>NC_000010.11:116620368-117870368 GCF_000001405.40 Homo sapiens
TGCTGGGATTACAGGCGTGAGCCACCGCGCCTGGCCTCATTTTATTCTTTGGAGCTTCGTCTGTGAGGTTGCGTTCATTTTTGTCCTCTGTCTAGACTCTCTAATAGGGAAGGTAGCCCTCCACCTACCCCACCCCCAAAGTAAGTAAGGTGTCTGTCTTCAAAAACAGTCAGTTCCACTGAGCAACAAGTCTCCTGACTTCCTAGGCCCGCACAATCTGTCAAGAGCAACAGGACGACACGATGGGTTTGGGGGATCATGTGTCCAAAGGGATTTTGTTCCAGAGATGCTATGCGCGGCATGATGTTTCCCTGTTACCACTTTGGGAACACAATCTCTTGGCAACTAAACCTGTAAACTCAGATTAACAGAGCTCTTTCCCTTCCCAAAGTTGGTTTTCCTTTCCTTGAATCTTACTTAATAAACATTGCTGCTCCCAGGGTTGAGTTGGTTTTATGTGTTTACGATAAGTTAGGTTCAAAGCGCCCACGTGCAGTGCCTTATCTATCCTGCCCCGGCCTTTCCTCTAAGGAGTCCAAAGGATAAAGCCTGGTTATAAAAGGCCACAGCCAACCTGCTGGGCTGTGAGTGGAAGCTCTGGTGCAGCATGGTAAGTCAGGGCCCCATGTGAGCAGGGGATTTGGCAGGGCGGGGGCAGCCCAGGCTACAAGAGGGACGTGGCCCAGAGGCGGGGAAGCCACCACAGTGGAGCCCCTGAGTCCAGGGTCCTAGTGTGCTGCTGTCTAACTCCCTGTGCACTGGGAGGACTCAGCCTCAGGGTCCCCACCTCAAGGGAGAGCCCTGTGGGGCCCGGGTTGCGGGGCGTCTGTTCTACTCACTGTCCTTGTGACCCGGGCTCCTGACCCAGCTGGGTCCTGCCCCTGCCAGCCTCACTGTGCGCATGGGTCTGTGTGTGTCTGTGTTTCCATCCATGTAGATGCTGCCCCCTTGGACCCTCGGCCTTCTCCTGCTGGCCACAGTCAGAGGTGAGGATGCTGTCACCATTCCTTTAGGGAGAAAGTGACATGCCTGGGCTGGCCTTTGGTGAGGCAGCTAGAGGTATATTAATAATTATTATAATGATTATGAAGAGCATTATCGTTACTTGGAGAAAACAATTGTGCCACTCAGAGAGTGTTGACTCTCAGGCAGACACAGGGCAACGTGCCGGACACAGAGTATCTCCCGTAACCCTCCTACTTGGCCACCTTCTTCCTGCAAAGACTCTCACGGCTGGGAGACAAGTGGAGGGTGTGGTGTTCCCACCTGATCCCAATGCCCTTGTCCTTGCCTGCAGACCAAAGTCATGTGGATGTGCCCTCTCCCAAGAAAGCCCAGTCCTGCCAGGCAAGCCTGCCTTTCTGCCATCAAGCCCACGTGTCCTCTTCTCAGAGTCACCGTTTCTGTCTCTCCAGTTTGTTCCCCCGACCTGGTTCTGTCCAGAGGAGATACAGATATTCAAGTTCTACTTATCCTAAAACACAAATCACCTCCGTTTCTTTTGGAGCCCCCTGAGCCCCAGCCTGCTGACTTCCCATCTGCCTACGCCTTCACAGGCGTGCTTCCTCCGGGAGTCTTTCCCTCTCCGTGGGGGCTGCCTCACCTCCTCTCCTGCCAGAATACCTCACTGCCCAATTTGGTCCCCCAAGTCCTGCTGTAGGAGACATGGTCTCCTTGGGTCCCTGTGGGGGCTTTCTTCTGCCTTGTGACTCTTCCCCCTTGTCTTCTCAACCCCGCCAGCCCACTCTTGGCCTCTCCTTCCATCCTGGCCATGAATTAAGGCCAGGCTCCTGACGGCAGAGACCGGGGTGGGTGCGACTGCTCCTCCGGCCATACAACCCCTCTTCATCTCCTTTGCTGACCTGCAGCCTCCTCCTGCCCCAAATGTGGACATTCCCCAAGGCTCACGCCAGGCTCTCTCCTCATCTCTCTCCTCCTAGGGCCTTCCTTCTTGCCCAGCTTCCTGGTCTTCCCGAGTTGCAAGAAGCCCTATCAGGGCCAAGCCTCAAGCCTCAAGCCTCACTCTCACTTCCCTGCCCCCAGCCTTCTCAGGCTTTTCTGCTTTTCAGCCCCCTGTACTCGAGTCCCAAAAACACAGGACTGCCTGTGGAAGCACAGCATTGCCACTGCCACCACCACCTCCCCTCAACCTCACCAACTCACACCTTCCAACACTTTCCTGCTCTCCACTTAAGAGAGCCCAGGTGTCTTGCATTCGAGCCCCTTCATTTAACCAGCTACCTTTCCCCTGGGGCAAACATTGCTTAAGCCTCCTAGAGTCCACCTCCAAGGGTGCACCCTCTTCCTGGAATGAATTCAACGCCATCAGTATTGCTTCCCTATTAGAGCTCCTCCCTTTCAGGACAGGGTTCATATCTCATTTATCTTTGTGTCCCCTCAAGTTCTAGCTTTATTCCCAGTTAAACTTCTTGGGTTCAAATCCTGCCTCCACCACTAGCTGTGACCTCAGGTAGCTTACCTTGTCTCTCTGTGCCTTGGTTTCCTCAGCAGTAAAATGGAGATAATACTAATTCCATATTTGTGTTTTCAGGCTTAAATGATACTATACCAGTAAAGTACTAACATGGTATCTGGCACATAGTAAACAAATATAAACTATTATGCATTTTTTTAATGATTCACCAATATTTGGCATCATCAGTACAGGAGTTGAGGAAGCATAAGAGAAAGGACCCATTATAATCCTTTGGGTTGGAATTATGTCACCCGTAGTGACCATATCCTGTGATCATGTTTATGTCATGGACACAGAAAGTACTCTCAGACTTAGATGTGGTTACTTGGATCATGGATTACATGTATTGAGTCTCTACTACACGTAGTGTGATACACAAGTCATTCCTGTTCTTAAGAAACTTACTTTTTCAAAGAGCAAAAGAGAAAATATGAAACGGCAGAGAATCACCCTTTCAAAAAAATGTGCATAAAAGGATGACATGAAGACATGTGAATTGGTGTGGGCACGGCCTATGCTGTGTGTAATAGAGATGTCAAGACAAAGTAGCAACTCTGTGCTACAGAGTTTGTAGGCACTCGATAAATACTCACTATTTGATGCTTACATGTAAAGAGTCAGCTGCAAGTTTCCTGAAAGAGGTGGTTTTAAGGCAGCAGTTTGTATTAGGTTGGTGCAAAAGTAACTGTGGTTTTTACCATTGAAAGTAATGGCAAAAACCGCAATTATTTTGCACCAACCTATGCATCAGCAATTCCCCAATTTGCCTAATGGTAAGGGGCACTTACTGAATATGTGTTTCTAGGACCCCACCCCAGACCCTCTGAACCAGAATCTCTGAGGGAGGGACCTATGAATGTGTATGTACAATACACCTGTTCCCCATACTGCCGCCTGCCCCCACCCGCCCTTCCCACCCCGCGACGCCGCAGCCCCCAGGTGATTCTTATCATCCCAGAGGTTTGGAAAATGATGGCAAAGATAAAGACCAGCACTGGCCTTAGCCAAACCTGGGCTCTGTCCTGCAGAGTTTTCCTGTATGGATATGACGTTGCTTCTTTCCAGAAGTTCACACATGTCCTGTTTGTGGCTCACCCTAGGAAAAGAGGTCTGCTACGGACAACTTGGCTGCTTTTCTGATGAAAAACCATGGGCAGGAACCCTTCAGCGACCTGTAAAATTACTTCCCTGGTCCCCCGAGGACATTGACACCCGCTTTCTTCTGTACACAAATGAAAATCCAAACAACTTCCAAGTAAGAGCAGGCATGTAAGCGCTGCATGGTGGGTGTATTTGGGCCGCCACAGTGGAGTCTTTGCATGGCTGTCTAGGGCATAAGTCACTGCCCTGGAATTTTCCAGAAACTCCAAGGCATAGAATCCAAGGCGTAGCTCTCAGGATCATAAACACCTGAGTATCTGATGAAATCTACTGATGCCTAACCCAGAAACTTACACATTCACACACACTGGTGCAGAGAACTTCAGGGGCTACCCCAGCGTAAATGCCTTGTTCCCTGGGAGGAAGGGACTATGAGCAGCATTTATGGAGAAGCCCAGGCCTGGTGTAGCCACCGGAAAGTCTGCCTCGTTTCTACACAGGAGAGTGGAGGGGGAGAAGCCTCTTGGGCATTGGGGGTGGGGGTGGGTGTAAATTCTTCCTGAAGAGCTAGGAGACAGGTAGGGGAGAGGGGACATGTAGCCACAATAGATAAAAGATGAGGTCCTCTGGAGCAACCTCCAGTTTTCAGCAGGTCTGCCCATCAGAAGCAGATCAGACTTGCTCCAGAGTGTCAGAAGTGACCAGGAGACAGTTTCAAGAAAGACATTGCTGAGAATCCAGCAGCTCACAGCTCTGGTCCCTGACAGAGTTTAGGGAGCCAGGTGCTGTCAATAGGTTTCTGAGGTCACCCACTGTGGGACTCTATCTGACAGACCAGCCTTCTTAGTGCCCCCAGCCCAGAGTCGGCTTGGACATGGTTACGGTGCGTCTCATCTGTAGGGGTTGGTGGCATCTTCTGGCATCTCATCTGTAGAGGTTGGTGGCATCTTCTGGCGTCTCATCTGTAGGGGTTGGTAGAAGGGGGTCGAGCAGCCTGTGGCAATTTAGAAGTGCATTCCAAAGTCTCACAGCTCCACTGAACTGAATTTGCTCCCACACTTAAGCTTCTGGTCCAGGGGTTCCTCACCTTTTCTGTGCCAGGAACCTCTCTGGCCACCTGGAAGAAGCCTAAAGGCCCCTTCTTAGGTCAATTTTTTGTTGTTGTTGTTTTTTGTTGGTTTGTTTGTTTTTTTTGAGACAGAGTCTTGCTCTGTCACCCAGGCTGGAGTGCAGTGGCGCGATCTCGGCTCACTGCAAGCTCTGCCTTCTGGGTTCATGCCATTCTCCCGCCTCAGCCTCCTGAGTAGCTGGGACTACAGGTGTCTACCACCACACCCAGCTAATTTTAGTAGAGACGGGGTTTCACCGTGTTAGCCAGGATGGTTTCGATCTCCTGACCTTGTGATCCGCCTGCCTCAGCCTCCCAAAGTGCTGGTATTACAGGCGTGAGCCACCGTGCCCGGCCAGGTCAATGTTTTTAAATGCAGAAATAAAATATATTGGATTACAAAAGAAACGAATTATATTGAAAAATAATTACCAAAACATTTAAATATATAAATATGTGATATAGTCATATATGTGCTTTTTATATATCATTAAATAACAAGATCTAGGGGTTGGTCTAATAACTACTATAATTTAAAATATTAATGAGTATAAATGATATTTTTAGATATCTGCAATAATTACATTATGACCTGAAAATACCTGTGACTTCTACCGGGGACAGAGTCACAGGTGTTGCTAATACCACTGTGGTTTATTGTCTAGTTTTGTGATTAACTGAAATGCTAGATATGGATTAAGGATTAACTAAAATAGAAAGTCTGTGAATTTGGACTTTCTGAAATCTATCCACAACCCCAGGTCAGGAGCTCCTTCTAGTCTGACCCAGCTTTGTGGGCATTGAAGCTGTGATATCAATTCTGAAACTGGCTCTAATAGACTCGTGGCTTGGAAAGGGCAACATTCAAATTAATCTTTTTAAATTAAACCAGCTAATCACTGGCACGGAACCAGACACCATTGAGGCTTCAAACTTCCAACTGGACCGCAAGACACGCTTCATCATCCATGGCTTCTTAGACAAGGCGGAGGACAGCTGGCCATCGGACATGTGCAAGGTAGGGCCCTACCACTTGGCCACTCCCTGGTGAGACCAGCACCCAACACACAGATTCAAACACTGTACCCCCAGTTTCCCTTAGACTGGGAAAAGAAATACTTCAGAGAGAGATGGGTCCTTTTTAAAACCACCGAGGAAAGCCCAGTTCCAAAGGGCATCCATTACCAAGCTCTCTCTACCTACCAATTTCTAGCCAACAATCTCCTATGAGGCTGAAGACACCCAGAGTTCAGTCAAAAAGTCTCGAGGTGGAGACTGCAGCAAACTGCTGGGCATTTATCCCTGAGGACTTATGTAAAACCCCTTTGTGATGTTAAAAACACTTAAATTTTACCCTCTAAAGCACCGCTATCCAATAGAATGTTCTGCAGTGATGAAGGTGTTCTATATATGCACTGTCCAAATCAGAAGCCACTGGCCACATAAGTTATTCAGCACTTGAAATGTGGCTGGTGCAAACGAGGAGCTGAATTTGACATGTTATTGAGTAGTAGTAGTCTGCTCACACCTGATTTAGTAAGTGGTCTTTTTAACCTGGTTGTGTTCCTAACGATGTGTGAGACCTCAGACACGTCACTCACCCATTCCAGGGTTCAGTTTCCATATCTGTTAAGCGGGTACTAGCATGTCCAGTCCATAGCACTGCAGTGAGGGTGACGTTATGGCAGGTATAAGAACATCAAAGCTCTGGCATGGGCTAGGTGTTTGACAGACGTGAATGCCTATCTCTGGGGTGTGCACCTGGGGGCTGTTTATAAATTGATTTCTCTCCCTTGTTTGTCTTCCCCAGAAAATGTTTGAAGTGGAGAAGGTGAACTGCATCTGTGTGGACTGGAGGCACGGGTCCCGGGCAATGTACACCCAAGCCGTGCAAAACATTCGGGTTGTTGGGGCGGAGACAGCTTTCTTAATACAAGCACTGTCGGTAAAACCCTGCCTGGGCCCTGTCCTGTGGGTAGGGGTCAGAGAGGGGCAGGGAGGTACCACGTGGCATGGAGAGGCAGCCTGGGGACCCGTGGGCATGGGTAGGGGCCGGCAGCTAGTAGCCCAGATTGCAATCAAGAAGGGCAATTCCCAAGATGAAGCTCTGCAACCTTCCTCTTTGCCTGCTGTCCTGAAGACACCTTGCCCTATCACTGTCTAGCTGTGGGGCCTGAGGCAAACTAAGCCTTGGTTTCCCCTTTTGAAATAGACCTTCCTTGCAGGCTGTTCTGCAAGGGTCAGAGAGCAGGCTGGGCTGCCCCGCAGCTCCCAGTGCAGAAGATGAGTTTTCATCCTTCGCCAGCCCACGAGGGAAGGCCCTGGACCTTTCTGCAGGATCTATCGGGAGGGGGCGGGGGGAGCCAGAGATAGGGCCCACTCTACCCGTGCTTGCCCAGACAGGCCATACCCCTGGCAGGGACGAGGAAAGGGAGCTGGGGGTGGGGCAGTCCCGGGCGGCAGGCCGTGTGCCACGCCCGCCCAGGTGGCCTGCAGTTGGCGTGGTGGCCGCTGGTCAGCACTGTTGCCCCGCGCACGAGCCGGCCTGCGGGACTCGCAGGCTGCAAATAGGAAGCGGGGTCGCCCTGCCCCAGGCGGCGTGCTCGAGCCCGGGTCCTGCCCCCATCCCTGGCAGGGCCCGGCGCCCCGCTCTCAGACCAGCGGGTCCCCACGCGGTGCTGTGGGACCTGACACGCTATCCCTCCGCAGACGCAGCTAGGGTACAGCCTTGAGGACGTGCATGTCATCGGCCACAGCCTGGGCGCGCACACGGCCGCGGAGGCGGGCAGGAGGCTGGGGGGCCGCGTGGGCAGGATCACAGGTAGGGGTCGCGGGGCCCCGGGCCGGAGTCCCAGGCCCCCGGGTGCGCACCTCGGAAGCCTCGGCCAGCGCCTTTCCGACGGCGAAGGGCGCCCCTGATGGTCCTCCTGGGGACCCGATTTTTTGTGATGACCGGCCTTAAATTTAAAAATAATTTTCCATAATGTGTATTAGAAAATAGATAATTAAAAATAAAAATGCATTCATTTTTTAAAACAAAGGCTGGGCCACTGGCTCACACCTGTAATCCCAGCACTTTTGTAGGCTGAGGCGAGAGAATCGCTTGAGGCCAGGAGTTCAAGACCAGTTTGGCAACATGGTGAAACCTTGTCTCTATAAAAAATTTTTAAAGTTGGCCAGGGGTGATGGCTCTGCCTGTAGTCCCAGCTACTCGAAAGGCCCAGGTGGGAGGACTGCTTGAGCCTAGGTGTTCCAGGCTGCAGGGAGCTGTGATAGCTCCACTGCACTCCACCCTGGGTAATAAAGGGAGACTGTATCTCAAAAAAAAAAAAAGAGAAAGGAGGAAAGAAAAGAAGGAAAGGAGGCAAGGAAAGAAAGAAAGAAAGAGAGAGAGAGAGAGAGAGGGAGGGAGGGGAGGGAAGGAGAAAAGTGAGGCCGGGCGCAGTGGCTCACGCCTGTAATCCCAGCACTTTGGGAGGCCGAGGTGGGTGGATCACGAGGTCAGGAGATCCAGACCATCCTGGCTAACAAGGTGAAACCCTGTCTCTACTAAAAATACAAAAAATTAGCCGGGTGTGGTGGGGGGCACCTGTAGTCCCAGCTACTCGAGAGGCTGAGGCAGGAGAATGGCATGAACCCGGAAGGCGGAGCTTGCAGTGAGCGGAGACCGTGCCACTGCACTCCAGCCTGGGCGACAGAGCGAGACTCCACCTCAAAAAACAAAAAAAAAAAAAAAAAAAAAAAAAAAGAAAGAAAGAAAAGAAAAGGAGAAAGATTTAACTAGCACATTAAATCCATGACTTAAGAGCTATTATTTTCAGAGTATGGCAAAGTAAAAGAAAAAATGTGAGATGGTTTTAAAAATTCGTCAGTTCCACGTAATTGTTTGAATGTCTCTACTGCGCCAGGCAAAGACAGAAAATGCAAATGCACACTGAGACCTGCCATATAGAAGGCGCTCAGTAAATACTGAATGAATGAATGAAGCACTAAACTGAATGCATATAAGGCAAAGACACAAATAACTTAATTTTGTGCAGCCAAATCAGTTTGTAACTTCACCAAACAGTTCACATCAACATTTAATGAGCGTCCCTTTGCCCAAGGCACTGGGTGAAGGATGAGGGGGTATTGGTTTGTGTTTATGTAGAATTTTGCAGTTTGCAAAGTCCCTTCTCTTACATCTCTTCATGAGGGTTTCACAACGACTCTGTAAGGTAGGGGTTGTCATTATTCCTGCTTTCCCGATAAGGATACAGAAGCTCAGAGAGGGCAGACATTTGACCTGGAGTAGAACTAGGGCAAGAATACAGGCCACTGTGTGCCCCCTCCTCCCACGCTCTGTTTCTCTCTGAAGATGACCTGGGGACAGCATAATACAAAGTGGATGGAATGGGCTGAGAAAGGAGAGGGGTTAGATTTTCCATTTAACCATGAGGAGGTGGTGTGTGAGCTGGGTTTGGAGGAGAAAGATTTAGATAAAGGAAGAATGTGGGAAAGAGCACAGCAGGCTGGAGAATGGCGTGAGCCAAACAAAGGAGTAGATGCTAGCAGCTGGGTAAGGCCTGGGGTCTTGCAGTCTCTGAGAGCAGTGGCCAAATGGTAATGTGTGAGGACAAAAAGAAAAAGGGAAAGAAGGGGTGTACGGAGGCTACCCAGATCCTCCACGGAGCCAGGCACTGGGTATTTCTGAATGTTCATCCACAGGCAATGACCCCATTCCCAGCCTTTCTGTCCCAGACTCTCTCTCCCAGGCAGACCAAGAACTGCAGACCCAATCCCCAGAACCATAGCTGCTGGGGTAGG
Source organism: Homo sapiens (assembly GCF_000001405.40). NCBI lineage: Eukaryota > Metazoa > Chordata > Mammalia > Primates > Hominidae > Homo > Homo sapiens. The sequence continues at coordinate 116,629,860 of NC_000010.11, forward strand.
AGGAATCCTCATGCTTAGTCTGCCAGTACTGGCTTTAAATCCCAGTTCTTAAGAGTCCAGCCTGCCTACCTTCTCCCTTTCAGGGCTGGATCCAGCAGGGCCGTGCTTCCAGGATGAACCTGAGGAGGTTCGGTTGGATCCATCTGACGCCGTGTTTGTGGATGTGATTCACACAGATTCTTCTCCCATAGTTCCTTCCCTAGGTGAGTTCCTCAATCCCATCTCCTGCTGACCTGTGCTACAGCTAATGACATTGGGTCCAGATATCCCCTCTCACACATACATACACACACAGCAGGGGAGGCCATTTGAAATAGCTACAGGAATGGCTTGGGCACCAACCAGTCAAAATGGGTACCAGTCCCAAATAAATAGCTAGTTCAATGCCAGTGGAATCAGCGTGCAGCCCTGGGTTAAACAAAAACCCTTCTGTAGTCTATGAAAGGTTGTCAATCAATCTTCAAACTCTGCATCCTTCCCCAATCTACCAGTAACTAGTGGGGCAGATGTATTCATTCTTAAAACTTGACCTGTACTTGCAAAATACGAAGTTAATTTTTGAATATTTTTCTTACTTCTTCAGTCAAAGCTTTGGTTACACTTTGTTTTGTTGGCAACTTTATCCCATTCTTTAATTCTTCTAAAATCAGTGTTTTTTTTTCAATATTTTCTTATATAGCCACTCATGAAACTTGCCAATAAAGGGTATGTTTTTGATGATGATGATGATGATGTTATCACTTACTTAGTGTTTACCATGTGCTACACTGAACATTTTGCATACATTAGCTTGTCAATTCTGTAACACTCTAAAAAGTGGGCTTTATTACCACCATTTCATGGCTGAGGAACTGAGGCTCAATTAGGTTAAGTAATTGACCCAGATCACAAAATCTGTAAGTAAAACCAGGATTTGATCACGGGTTCATATGCTTTGAAAGCCAAAGAGCCTAGCCATATGCTACGGCTCACAATATAACAATATAATGTTATGTAGTCTCCACATAACAATATAATGTAGACATCAAAATTTTAAAATGAGTAAAGTAATACAAATTGCACCAGTCTTGATAGGTCTACTGGTGCATAATGGTAGCAGGGCATATCAATATGGTCCAAGACTCTCCGAGACACACAGATGCACATCCAAATGTATGTGTCTCACTCACCCAAAGCTCAGCCTCCCCCTCATCTCACTTCCTCTGCCCTCTCCTCCGTCCTCATCTTGCCAAGCACCCATCTTTGAGAACTTTCTGCAGAGCTAGAGGCAGTGGTAGCTGTGATAAAGGGAGAATTTGCCAAAAAGGGTCTTGCTGTGGCCACACCCTAACTTTGGCACCAGTCACCTCGCCGCTCATCTCTGCTTCAAATATTTTAGGTTTCGGAATGAGCCAAAAGGTGGGCCATCTGGATTTCTTTCCAAATGGAGGAAAGGAAATGCCCGGATGTAAGAAAAATGTCCTTTCAACCATTACTGATATTGATGGAATATGGGAAGGTATGTAAATTAAAGAAGTAAGACAGCAATTGCTCTGTTCGGGGAGAAAGCAGAATGCATGGTCTGGCCTTCATAATGCTGACATTTGCCACCGTTTATGGAGTGTTGTGAAAATGTGCCAGGCATTTTCACAGCAATGCAATGAGATAGTTACTCTGATTAGTTCCAGTTTGCAGATCCAAAAACTGAGGATCCGAAAAATTACATAACTCAATTGGGCGTGGTGGCTCATGCCTATAATCCCAGCACTTTGGGAGGCTGAGGTAGGCAGATCACTTGAGGTCAGGAGTTCAAGGACAGCCTGGCCAACATAGTGAAACCCCATCTCTACTAAAAACACAAAAATTAGTTGAATGTGATGGCATGCGCCTGTAGTCCTAGCTACTCAGGAGGCTAAGATATGAGAGTCACTTGAACCCAGGAGGTGGAGGTTGCGGTGAGCCGAGATAGCACCACTGCACCAGCCTGGGTGACGGAGTGAGACTGTCTCGAAATATATATATAAAAAAAGTTACATAGCTCATTCAAGGCCGCTCTATATCTAAGCCCAATTTCTAACTATAAAGCCCTGAGCTCATGCCCCAGCCTGTGTATCTCCCTGTTGTCGGCATCCTGGGACAGCGGCTTGGCTGGCATGTTGGCTCTGGCTTTGACCACCTATCCTACCTGCAGCACCTGCTCCTTGAAGAACTGCAGGACATAGGCCAAGATTTGAAGGCCTTGACTTGCTTGCTGGTTGCTGTTGTTGGGTGCTAGAAATGGAAGGGGACTTTGCTGAGAAGAAGACAAAGGAGGGATGTGCTCTGTGGGTTTGGGGTACACGTGTAGGAGGGGGAGGCCTGGAGGTCTGGGAGACCCATGGTGGCTGCTGGCCAGCTGTGTACATTTCTGTTCATCTGAGAGAGCACGGCCCATGCCCTGCCATTAGGCGACCTCATAGCCCCATCTGATTTGCTGCCCCTTGCTCTGGCCTTTTTTGATTCCTGTTGCCCCTCCCCTGACACCAGGCTTCACTCTCCTCCCTGAAAAGAGAGGTTTTGGGCCTGTGATAATTTTAGTCTATTTTTCTGAGCTGGGAGTTCCCCAAGGCCAAGGACTATGTTTTGCACATTTCAGACACTCCAGTACCCTGCTCAGGGCCTCATCCAAAGCAGGCACGAAATATACTTTTAAATTGAGTTGAGTAGCCTTGTGTGGCATTTTAATATTCCATGTGCTTAATGTCAAAGAGCAGAGTCGATAAAGCGATCGCCAGCATCCACCGGCAAATAAACGGAGCTTTTGCCCTCTCAGGTAACTCCTGGGGAGATGTGACCATTCCAGGCTCCCTGAAAGCACACCAGAGTCACAATAATAGCTGCCCCCTCCCACAAACGATGAGCAAGGCACACATAATAGGAACGAGTCCAGGTTTAATTAGAGAAGCAATGTCGAGTGAACAAGCCCATGAGCACTGGAGTGTGTTTCTATTGTGTCAAGCTCCGAGTCATCCAGGCAGTGGGCACTGAGGAATAATTAAATCCACTTTCTCCTCCATTATGGGGTCCCAGGGCAGCAATTTTGGATGAAAGAAACAATTAAGTTTGAAACAGGTTCTGTTGTCCAGTGATGAGCACCAGTGTGGGCACAGGGAACGTGGCTTCAGCTAGAAGTCGCTGGGCCGAGGGCCGGGAGCCGTGGAGTACGAAGCCACCCTGGGCACAAAGGGAAGTGTTCCTTTCTCAGTGGGTGGCAATAAAGCCCCGCAGACCCCCCAGGAGTGGTCCGCAGGTGTGCCAGGGTCACTGTGCATTTCTCCATGGGAAGTTTTCTACCAAGTAGCCAGAGAAATGAAAAAACACCTTTCCGGACTTTTTCTAAAGAAAAGGATGATAAATAAAATGCAGTAAGAGAGTGGCCAGAGGCCATGGCCACCTTGCCATCACCGCTTTTACCTTGTGCCCTGCATAGCAAAGAGGAAGAATCAAAAAGCCTGGTTGATGGGGAAGGCCTGCCCGGTATGTCCTCACAGGGATCCTCACAGGGATAGGATGCGGTCTGCAGCAGCATTGGATGGGCCGGCATGGTAACTGTTTTTAAGATGGGGATGCGCTGCCTTCACTCACGCATGCGAAGGTTTTCAGGTAGAAGTGGAGATCCTGGCTTCTTATGAAAAAATCAGAGGACCAGGCGATTTGGGGCTTTGAACATGTGACACCTGGCTAGACTGTGTAGGGTTAGAGGGGCCCTTTTTACAGCTATTGCTATCTTCTCTTAGTCTCTCTCTCTCTCTCTGTATGTATGTGTATATATACATATATATACATATATACATATATGTATGTGTATATATACATATATACACACATATATATACATATATACATATATAGTATGTGTATATATACATATATACACATATATAGTATGTGTATATATACATATATACACATATATAGTATGTGTATATATACATATATACACATATATAGTATGTGTATATATACATATATACACATATATAGTATGTGTATATATACGTATATACACATATATGTATGTGTATATACGTATATACACATATATAGTATGTGTATATACGTATATACACATATATAGTATGTGTATATACATATATACATATATAGTATGTATATATATACATATATACATATATGTGTGTGTATATATATACATATATACATATATATGTGTGTGTATATATATACATACACACACTTGTATATATCATAGCGTATGTGTGTATATATACTATATATATACACACACACGTATACCCTCTCTATGTCTCTCTCCTCTGTCTCTGCATCTCTCCTCTGTCTATCTATCCTCTCTCTCTGTCTTTCTGAATCTCTCTCTTTCTCATCACTATCTCTTTTTGTGTTTCTTTTTCTCTCTCCATTTCTCTCTCTGTCTCTGTCTCTCTGTCTCCCCCTCCACCGGCTCTCTGTCCCTCTCTGACTCTCTGTCTCTCTCTCTCCCCCCACCAACTCTCTGTCTCTCTCTGATGCTCTCTCTTTCTCTCCCCCTCAACTCTCTCTATCTCTCTCTGACTCTCTGTCTCTGTCTCTCTCTCTTCCCTTACCAACTCTCTGTCTCTCTCTCCCCCACCGACTCTCTCGTCTCTCTCTGACTCTCTCTCTCTCCCCCGACCAACTGCCTCTGTCTGCCTCTCTCTATCACTTTCTCTCTCTCTCTCTCTCCCTCACCACCCCACCCTATTCCCAGCCCCCAGCCCTCCTCATTCATTTGTGTTACATGCCTGGCCCCTGGAAGAGTGGACAAAGGTGCTTGTCAGGACATGTCACTCCTCCACAGTCACCTAGCCCTGAGTAGGTCCCTGCTCAGCAAATGCCCCAAGATATTCAGGAGCCGACACCCATCGGTGAAATGTGCAGGTGATTCTTCCTTAGTCAGAATGAGTTGTTCACACTTAAAAGTGAAAGGCCTCCTTTGAGCTCCCGGGACCTTTGTTTTTTTCAGGAATTGGTGGCTTTGTGTCTTGCAATCACCTAAGAAGCTTCGAGTATTACTCAAGCAGCGTCCTCAACCCTGATGGCTTCCTGGGCTATCCCTGTGCCTCCTACGATGAGTTTCAGGAGGTAGGTTACCCCAGGAGGCTGAGGAAGATGTTGCTGGCCCTGTTTGGGGTGTTTTTGTGTTCCTGTGGCTTAGAACAGAAGAAAGAGATGTAACTCTGCAACTAATGCAGGGAGGTAATGGAAATTCTGCACCTCACAAAGCCATCTTCCCCCAGGCAGCAGGGTGGGCTGGAGGGGGAAGGCACAGACCTGACTGTGCTGGGCCCTTACTAGGGTCCCCAGTTGTTCATTTAGAAAAATTTCCAATTTGCAAAGAAGGTGAAAGAAGAATAATGATGAATACTGTACACCTGTCACTTAGATGCACCAGTTGCTAATATTTTATATATGTGTGTGTATGTATACTTTTTCTAAATTATGTGAAAGTAAATTAAAGACATTATGACATGTTACTTATAAAAACTTTAGCCTCCATCTCTTAAAAACAAGATCCTTCTCCTATAGAATAACATTCAAGAAATGTATCTTTGATACACTAATATTTTCTAATATATAGTACATATTCAAGCTTCTCCAGTTATCCAAATAATGCCCTCTAGAGCTGTATCTGTTTGCCTGCCTTCTTTCTTTCCTTCCCTTCTTCTTCTTTTTTTTTTTTTTTTTTTTCGCATTGCAATTATTTTGTTGTCTCTTTAGTCACCTTTAGTCAAGAACAGCTTCCCATTTTTTCTTGGTCTTTGAAGACTTGCCAGTTATGAGGCTTTCAGACCAGGTATTTGGCAGGATATCTCACTCTCTGAAATTGTTTGATTTTTTAGGCGGTGCTTCAGTGAGTAATAGCAGGTCCTTCTCAGTGTATTACAACTAAAGAGATTCATTTAATGTTCACTTATTATTTGATGACATAAATTCATTCATTATTTGATGACTTAAACTTTAATTACTTGGTTAAGATGTTTAAACTCACATTTTGTCCTTTCAAAACTAATTTTAACCTTGACATTCTTGGGTTGAACTGAGGTCAAAAGGACATCGTATTTGATCTCCAAGGTCTGTGAGTGTTCAGTGAGAAGGCTTCACTGTGCTAGTTCTTGTTGGGTCATGGATAACAACATGGCCTCCAGTATTTGTCTGATTCCTACCAAATCACAAAACAGCTCTACACATCATGCATTTTGGATGTGGCATGAGGTCAAAAAGCAGAGGACAATGACACTGTGGCATAAAGCAATCAAATCCCTGATTCAAAGACAGCAAGTTGCCTCCTCTGCGCCTAATTAAAGAACTATCATTTGAGAAGCAACAAATAAGAATCAACAAGTCTGGAGAAATAATTCACATTAAAGTGAAAATGGTCCTGGACCTTCCCTTCCTCACTTCTTTTGAAATAACTTGCCATCTCTCCCACTTCTCCCTACATATATTATATTTCATACCCCATTCATATTTTAATTTTACTGCTTCCTGGATATGACTTGTTTTCCCAACTATATTCCAAGTTTTTGAGGCACTTATTTGGATACTCTGCAGGGCCTAGCACAGTTCTATGCACAATTCCAAGGGTGGAAGCATGGATGCATGGGTGCATGGGTAGATAGATGCAGGAGTGCATGAGTCAGTGGGTAGATGAGAGAATGGATGGACACATGGATGCATGGGTGCATGGGTAGATAGATGCAGGAATGGATGGATTAGTGGATAGGTATGAGAATGGATGGATGGGTAGATGAAAGGATGGATAAGGGATGGATGAGTAGATGGATGGTTGCATAGGTAAATGAAAGGTGGATGGTTGGGTGGGTGATGGGTAGATAGGTAGATAGACATAGGAAGGAAGCTGAATTGATTGACTAACAGACAAATTATGGTTTTTTTTTTCCACTAGAGTAAGTGTTTCCCTTGTCCAGCTGAAGGATGCCCCAAAATGGGGCACTATGCTGACCAATTTAAGGGGAAAACAAGTGCTGTGGAACAAACCTTTTTCCTGAACACAGGAGAGAGTGGTAACTTTACTAGTAAGTTTCCATTTTACTCACTTCAAATTCTTGCGAATAATTTTCAAAAGTGTGCCAACCTTATTAGTCAGTATCCTTGGTAACAATGGATAGAAACTTAACTACAACAAGCTTAAGTTGTAATGAAAGGACAGTGAAATGGAATTTGTGTTGGGTCTCACCCCTTTAACCAATACTCCTGACCAGCAGAGAAAAGTACAATGATTGGCCCAGGCTGGGTCACATGTTCACCCACCCCTGTTGCTGGAAGGATGCATCTATTAACAGAAGAGGGCAACGTGAAAGTCACTGTAAGTCAAGAAGTCAGTGCAGTAATGACTATCTATTATATTAGTCCTCCTACATACACACACTTTGTGGTGATGTCATTTCGCCCTGCTTCTTATTTTAAAAGTACAAGATAGTAAAATTATCAAGACTCATTTACTGTGAATAATAGCACATAATGGCTGGAAAGGAGAGCAGTTATTTTCTAAGAGAGTTTCAAATTTAAAAATTTATATCAGCACTTTACAAAACACTTTTCACATACAGTATTTCCTGTAATCCTCAAAATATTTATCATAAAAGATAAGAGTTTGGCAGAATCTATAAAATCTTATATGCACATTCCTTTAACCCAGTAACTTCACTTCTCAGAGTGTACCATAGAGAAATACTTGCGTGTGTGCATAAGATGATGTGATCAAGGATGCTCGCTCTTTATTTTTAAGAGCGAAAGATTGAGGGGAAAACCTAAATGTCCACCAGTTGTAAATGACTAAATACTATAGATTAAATACTACATGTAACCATTAAAAAGAAGGTTATACCTCTGCGTACTGAAGAGAGAAAACCTCTAAGGTGTATTAAGTAAGAAGGCAAGTGACAAAACAACATGCAACACACCCATTGTCTTCATTGGTTCAGACTGCTGTAATGTAGTACCATAGACTGGGTGGCTTATAAATAGTAGAAATGTATTTCTCACAGTTCTGGAGGATGGAAATCTGAGACCAGGGTGCCAGCATGATCAGGTTCTGCTGCACATTGCTGTCTTCTTGCTGTATACTCCCACGTGGTGGAAAGAGGAAAAGAGCACTCTCTGTGGTCTCTTTTATGAGGTTACTGATCCCATTCATGTGGGCTCTTACCCACATGAATTCAGTCCATTGTACCATGTATCAGTCAAAATACACATGTGCAGTATCAGCTGCCCTTCATTCATCCAAGAGCACATACCTTGCTGTGTTCATAAGGGACTGTGCTGAACTATAATATTTACTGACCCCTGAGTCCCTTGCTCCCACCTAGAACCTAATGTACCCTTAATTCCTGGGCCCCAGGAATTCAATTAAGTCACAGTCCTATTGCCTCTCACCCCTGGAGGATTCAGAGCTTGGAACAATAATATTTTCATAGATCATTTTTTCAATAAGATGAGTTCATTAAATGGGTTGTATTTCTTTGGACAGGTTGAAGATATAAGATATCAGTCACACTTTCTGGAAAAGAGAAAGTGAATGGGTACATCAGGATTGCTTTGTATGGAAGTAATGAAAACTCAAAACAATATGAGATTTTCAAGTAAGTTCAATGGTAATGTGAAATGATCATACTTTCCATAATAGATTATTCAAACTTGATTGAGTATAAAGTGCTTTATAAATCTAGGCATCTATTATACAGAACCACTGAATCCTAGAATGTCAGAGCTGGAAGAAAGTCTCAATGTCTAGTTCAATTGTCCCATTTTACATATGAGAAGAGTGAGGCCCAGAGAGAGGGAACTCACTATTTAAAATGAGTCATGTGCTAACTCCTTTTGGAATGTCAGTCACCTGACTAGATTGTTTTTTCTTTTTTTGTTATTTTATTTTATTTTAGATTCAGGGGGTGCATGTGCAGATTCATTACATGGGTATATTGTGTAATGGTGAGGTTTGGACTTCTAGTGAACCTATTACCCAAACGGTGAACATTGAACCCAATGGATAAATTTTATCCCTTATCCCCATCCCAACCTCTCTCCTTTTGGAGTTCCCAGTGTCTATTCTTTCCAGTTTTATGTCCATATGTACCCATTGTTTATAAGTGAGAACATGCAGTATTTGATTTTCTGTTTATGAGTTATTTCGCTGAAGATAATGGCCTTCAGCTTCATCCATGTAGCTACAAAAGACATGATTTCATTCTTTTTTATGGCTGCATAGTATTTTATGTTGTCTATATGCCAAATTTTATTTATCCAATCAACCACTGATGGACACTTAGGTTGATTCCATGACTTTGCTATTGTGAATATTGCTGTGATCAACATACAAGTGCAGGTATTTTTCTGATAAACTATTCCTTTTCATTTGGGTAGATACCCAGTAGTGCAATTGCTGGGTCAAAATGAAGTTCTATTTTTCTATCAAGGTATTTGAGAAATCTTCATACTGTTTTCCATAGGGGTTGAGCTAACTGACATCCCTACCAACAGTGTATAAGCATTCCCTTTTCTCCATATCCTTGCCAACATCTGTTATTTTTTTTTTGACTTTTTAATAATAGTCATTCTGACTGGTATGAGATTGTATCTCACTGTGGTTTTAATTTGCATTTCTCTAATAATTAGTGATGTTGAGAATTTTTTTATATGTTTGCTTGATGTTTGTATGTCTTTTGAGAAGTTCTTTGCCCACTTTTTAATGGGGTTGTTAGTTTTTTTCTTGTTGATTTAAGTTCCTTATAGATTCTAGATATTAATCTTTTGTCAGATGCATAGTTTGTAATATTTTCTCCCACTCTGTAGGTTGTCTGTATACTCCGTTGATTGCTTCTTTTAATGTGCAGAAGATCTTTAGTTCAATTCAGTCCCATTTGTCTATTCTTGTTTTTGCTGCATTTGCTTTGAGGTCTTAGTCATAACTTCTTTCTTTCTTTCTTTCTTTCTTTTTTTTTTTTGAGATGGAGTTTCACTCTTGTTGCCCAGGCTGGAGTGCAATGGCAAGATCTCGGCTCACTGCAACTTCCGCCTCCTGGGTACAAGCAATTCTCCTGCCTCAGCCTCCCACGTAGCTGGGATTACAGGCACCTGCCACCATGCCTGGCTAATTTTTTTGTATTTTTAGCAGAGATGGGGTTTCACCATGTTGGCCAGGCTGGTCTCAAACTCCTTTCCTCAGGTGATCCACCCACCTCACCTAAGCTAATGTACAGGAGAGTTTTATCCTATGTTTTCTTCTAGAATTTTTATAGTTTCAGGTCTCACATTTAAGTCTTTCATCCATCTTGAGTTAATTTTTGCATATGGTGAAGAATAGGGGTCCAGTTTTATTCTTCTGCCTATGGCTAACCAGTTATCCTAGCACCATTTATTGAATAGGTTTATTCAATAACCCTTTCCTCGTTGTTTATTCTTGTTGACTTTGTCAAAGATCAGCTAGCTGTAGATGTATGGCTTTATTTCTGGGCTTTCTATTCTGTTCCAATGATATATGTGTCTATTTTTGTACCAGTACCATGCTGTTTGGGTTAGTGTAGCCTTGTAGTATAGTTTGAAGTCAGGTAATGTTATACCACTGGCTTTGTTCTTTTTGCTTAGATTGCTTTGGTTATTGGGGCTCTTTCTTATTCATATTCTAAAACATGAATTTTAGAATTGTTTTTTCTAATTCTGTAAAAAATGACATTGTTAATCTGATAGGAATTGTGTTGAATCTGTAGATCACTTTAATGATATTGATTCTTCCTGTCCATGAGCATGGGATGTCTTTCCATTTGTTTGTGTCATCTACAATTTCTTTCATCAGTGTGTTTATCGTGCTCCCTGTAGAGTTCATTTGCCTCCTTGGCTAAATGTATTTCTAGGTATATTTTGTGTGTATGGCCATTGTATATGAGATTGAGTTCTTGATTTGGTTCTCACCTTGAGCATTTTTGGTGTATAGAAATGCAATTGATTTTTGTGCAATAATTTGTATTCTGAAACTTTACTAAAGTGATTTATCAGGCCTAGCAGACTTTTAGGGGAATTGTTAGGATTTTCTGGATATAAAATCATGTCATCAGTAAACAGAGATAAGTAGACTTCTTCTTTTCCAATTGGATGCCTTTTATTTCTTTCTCTTGCCTGATTGCTCTGGCTAGAACTTACAGTACTGTGTTGAATAGGAGTAATGAGAGTGGACATCCTTGTCTAGTCCCAGTTCTTAGGGTGAATGCTTTCAACTTTTCTCCATTCGACATAGGGTTAGCTGTGGGATTGTCATATATGGCTTTTATTATTTTGAGGTATGTTTCTTTGATGTCTAGTTAGTTGAGGGCTTTTTATCATGAAGGGACATTAGATTTTATTAAAAGCTTTTTCTGCATCTATTGAGATTATTATATGTTTTTTGTTTTTGATTCTGTTTATATGTTGAATCACATTTGTTGATTTGCATATGTAGAACCACCCTTGCATTCCTGGAATAAAACCCACTTCATTGTGATGAATTATCTTTTTAACGTGCTGTTGGATTTGGTTTGCTTGCATTTTGTTGGGGATTTTTGTGTCTGTGTTCATCAGGGATATTGCCTATAGTTTTCTTTCTGACTTGGATTTTGTAAATATCAAAATCTCTTCAGGCAAGGCACATCTGTATGGCACATACCCAACACACACCCCATCCTCACACACATAGGTACACATATGAAGCCTGTGGCCATCTCATCCATGCTGTGTGGCCTCAGCATCTGGCTTCTGCTGGGCATGTGAGGTGCTTGGTAAATATGTGTTAGATGAATGCATAACCTGTACAATAAAGTTAGGTTCTGTTTTTGCACTAACTTTTACATAAAAATGTTTGTGTTGAATTAAATGTCCTTGACAAATTCCTGTAATACACATGAGATGCTAACAAATGGCACCTGCTGAACCACATGCATCTTTAAACATAAGACATTGCCCCAAATAGTCCTGTAACAAACTTAGAGCATTCATATGCCACCCCAAATATTCGACTTAGCTGTAGGTAAAAACTAAAACAGTGGAAATCTGGAGTCCAGTATTTTTAAAAGGTGTGTTCTGCACAAATACTTTTATGTTATGGCAGCCCCTGGATGTGTATGAAGTCATCCAAGGTGTTTGCAGAAAACCAACAACAGCAACTATTGTTTAGAGAAGTGATAGATCGCAATCATGTTATGTATTCATATATCCAGCTGATATAACATTTTATGTCTATATTTTCAGAGGATCCCTCAAACCAGATGCAAGTCACACGTGTGCTATTGATGTGGATTTTAATGTTGGAAAAATACAGAAAGTTAAATTCCTCTGGAACAAACGTGGGATAAATCTATCTGAGCCCAAACTGGGGGCTTCCCAAATCACAGTGCAAAGTGGTGAAGATGGGACTGAGTATGTATTTTTTATTGCATCTAAGTTTGGTTATTTATATTTACATATTGATCTATCTGTCTAGGCATTCATTCATCCAATTGCCCACCTACTCATCTATGTACCCATCTACTCATCCATTCATCTACCCATCTATCCATTTCTCTATCCTTTTAACCACTTAGCCACTTACCCATTCACTTATTCCTCTACCCATCCACCCAGACACCTATCTTATCATTCTTCTGGCCCTCTGGCCATTATTTGATCTTCCCTCCATCCATTCATCTTCCCAGCTGTTCATCTCAACTCTCCATCCATCCATCTGATTTACTTTGAAAAACCAAACGTTGTTTTCCTTAGGCAAAATTCAACTTGGCAGGGGCAAGGCAATGATTGTAGGCACAGATTCAAGAAACGGGCAAATATGAATGACTATTTTATCTCAAACAATAAGGAAAACACTTGGGAAGCACATAGTGGAAATCTCTGAGTTAATTCCAGTTGATGTGCAGTTATTAATGTAAACAGGTTTGTTTGGAGACTATAGCATTAGAGGGATACACACTGTGTTGGGAATCTGGCTCATAGTGGCAAGTTCTTCCATTCTGAGAGAATAGAATCCTACTTAGTAGGCATTGGGAGAGAATATAACTGTTTTTAAAATATGGAAAGAATGACACCTCAAAAGAGGATAATTCAAAAACAATGGGATATTAGAGAATAAAGGAAACATAAATGTTGACTCTCAACTGATCTTGTTTTAAGATGAGGAAGTAAGATTTGGAAAGTCAAGTAACTTGTCTAAGGTCATGTAGGGAATCTAAAGGGAAAAATATTGAACTTCAGAATGTTTTCAAAACACACACCAAGACTTAGCTCAGCTGCATGACTCAACTTTGCTGGCTGTAAAAGTGGCAATAATCCCAATTACTCAGTATATTATTGGAAGGATCAGATGTCACAGTCAGCGTGCCATCACTTTGTGTACAGTAGACCCCCTTACCTGGGGGGATGGGTGATATAATCCAAGACCCCAGTTGGATGCCTCAAACCTCAAATAGTACCAATCCTACATATACTATGATTTTTTTTCCTATTCATACATACTATATGAATAGGAAATATGCTGGACAAAGGGACACTTCATGTCCTGGGTGGGACAGAGCTGAACAGAGCAAGATTTTATCATGCTACTCAGAATGATGTGTAATTTAAGCTTATGAATTGTTTGTTTCTAAAATTTCCCATTTCCTATTTTGGGACCTCAGTTGACCATGGGTAACTGAAACCATGGAAAGCAAAACTGCAGATAATGGGGGGCTACTATGCTCAGTTGTAAGGCACAACAAGGACTGGGACCCAGGTCTTCTGACAGCCCCTCCAGTGTTCTTTCCACTGTGCCCATCAACTCAGCCAGCTGGATGTGAAACTGAGAAGTCCATATGGTCTGGTAGTGCAATGCAATGTGAAAATGTCTGGATTTCTCAGTATTTAAGTGGGGGTGGAGTTCCTGTTTTAAGTACAATATAGAACACATACTGTATAATCCAAACACCAGAGTCCCCAGCCCACATGAGGGCTCTCTCACCAAGAAGCTACATTCTGAAGCTAACCCGGAGGGAAGGCCAGCTTGGCCACACTGTTCCCCTTGCATCAAAGTCACCTGCAAGGGAAGGAAGAGGCCAGAAGTGGCCAGCTTCTCATGCTTGGTGCTTGCTCCAACCTGACTTAGTTAGTTTGTCACGGTTAATAACCCTCCAGGATCTTTTTTATTTTTAAGCAATTTTATTGAACCATAATTCCCATAAAACACAATTAACCCATTTAAAGTGTGCAATTCAATGGCTTTTAGAATATTCACAGAGTTGTGCAACTATCACTACAATGTTAAAATCTTTTCATCACCTTAAAAAGAAACCCCAGACCCATTAGCCATCATCCCTCCACCCGCACATCCCTTTTTCTCAGCCCTAGGCATCCACTAATCTACTTTGCGTCTCTGTAGGTTTTCTTATTCTGGATATTTCATGTAAATGGAGTCATACAGTATATAGTCCTTCATGACTGGCTTCTTTCATTTAGCATAACGTTTTCAAGGTTCATCCACGTAGCATGTATCAGTACTGCATTGTTTTTTATTGTCAAATAATATTCTATTATACGACTATGCCACATTTTATTTATTCATTTATCAGTTGGTCATTTGGGTTGTCTCTACTTGGGGGCTATTATGAATAATGCTGCTATGAACATTATGTACAAGATTTTGTTTTCATCCTCTTGGGTATATACCTAGGAGTGGAACTGCTTGGCCATATGATAACTCTGTTTAACCTTTAGAGGAATTGCCAAACTGTTTCCAAAGTGGCTGCCACATTTTACATTTCCAGAGCAGTGTATGAGGGGCCCTCTCTGATTTTAATTTGACAGAGAAAGTCCCCTCTGTGCTGGCTGGGGCACTCTTGGTCCCTGGAACTCATTGCTAGACCCAAAGAGGCAGTCCCATCAGAGTCCCCTCAGTTTTGCAGTTTGCAAAGCTTCAGTTTGACATGGCTGATTCACTTTCCACCCATTCAGAGCCCACATGGGGAGAGGAGTGCTCTTTGAGCAGGTTTTGTTAGTAAGAATTACTTGGACTCTGCCTGGTAAAGCAGAACTTTTCGGTCAAGGGGAGCCGAATCCAGGGGGTTGCCCAAATGCTGTTTACTCACCTGAAGTCACATTTCCACAAGCAAAAGAGCCTCATGCTGACAATCTTTTCCTCCACAGGTATAATTTTTGTAGCAGCGACACTGTGGAAGAAAACGTCTTGCAATCTCTTTACCCTTGTTAAAAACGTGGTGCAGCTATTGCGGTAATAAAATCTTTAATGCACTCGGTTTGAGGGTGAGCTGTTAGTTTGACATTCTCTACTTTCTGGGTTCGCATTTCAGAAATGATTTGGGGGATTGGAGCCAAGTTTGCCACAGGTGATGCCTGGAACTTCTCACCCACTTACCTCTGCCACCATCTCTCTCTTTCCAGGCACTTTAGGTGGCCCATTCCAGCGGATTTTATTTCCTTAGACAATGAACTTCTGTCCTATTTGTAAAGGTCATTGTTGCTCTCGCTTGCTGCCCAACCAGCTTTTAACATCCTAGGGACACAAGGTAGACACCACATAAGCATTCAGAAAATACAAAGAGAAGAAAAGCAAAAAAGGAGAATGAAACAAAAATCCCGAGATATTGCCGCATTTTGTGGCAGGTGTAACTCCAAACTCTGATGATTTTGATTAAAATCCACCTGCGGCATGGAGACAGCGGGGCTTTTTTTAAAAAAAAAAAAAAAGTTAATGCATGCACATGTTACAAAATTCAAATGATACAGAAAAGTATTCTTATGAAAGGAGAATCTCTTTCCCCCTTGCCTTCAAGTCTCTCAGTTCTTCTTCCTAGAGACAACCTGGGTTTTTTCAAGAAATAGTCCATATATCCTTATGGATATATCTATTTTACACACTCAACCCTGCCACACCCTTTTTGTCTAAGCACAGATGATAGAATACTGTACACACTGTTCCACATCTTGCATTTTTCACTAACAATAAGTTGCATATTCGTCTCTAATGGTACAGGAAGAGTTTCTCCATTCTTCATATAGCTTCATAGATTCCACTGAGAGATGTACATGGTATGTATGGTTGGACTATTTTCTATTATAAATATTCATGCAATTAATATCCTTTCATGATATATTCTACATTATATAGCTGATCAATAAATATTTGGAATATGTTTATTTTGACCAATATTGCCAAATTGCTCTCTATAGCGATTGTATCAATTTATTCAACGAACAACATAGTAGGTTGAACCATAGGCAATTACAGTTTTAAAGGCCAGAAAAGCCAAATGTTGACAATTTCATGTGATTCATTCTAATATGAGAGCGTTTCACACTCTTACCAACATGGGTATTGTCAAATCTTTTGCCAATTTGATAGGTGAAAGTGTGTTTCCTTACATTGTAATTTGCTTTATTTTATTATGAGTGAGGTTTCAGTATTTAATGGGCTCTTGGTATTTCTTCCTCTGTGAATTATCCAAATTCTTTGCCAATTTTAGGCATCTTTTTAATACAGTTTTCACTTTAAACAGCTCTTTAATATTAGGAAAACTGGAATATTCCATCATATGCGAATATTTTGCTCAATCTATCCTCTACCCAGGGAGGAAAAAGAACGGCAGCAGGAGGGCCTGGGGCAGCTGCTCACAGGGCCTGTACCTGTCTGCCCTGTGCGCAGCTCATACTTAAAGGGTTCTGCAGGTCCCCATCACCCCAGTGGCTTCCCGGAGGGCTCCAACCACCTGAACTCACACTGGTCAGAGGCAGATGAGGCAGCCAGGCCTGGGTTTTCATATCTCCTTCCTGAGCCTGATACTGGCCACCAGCCTGTGTGGTCTTTTTTTGAGGCTATGCCCAGATTTGGGGGGGCCAAGGACCTCCTCAACAAAGCTGCTGGGGCCCGTGTGGAGCGCAGCCGTGGAAGCCTGGCCTCCTGACCATGCACCACTTCCCATTTGCCCCCAGCAGAACTGCCTGGGCACCCCAGAGAGTAAATGGGCTGGTGCCAGGTAGAGGGTGTTGCTTTCAGGGCCTGGGGGTTGTACTGTAGGTGCACCCGTTGCGCCAGGGTGGGGTTATTCACTGTTCAATTCTTAGAATCCTGAAATGGCTTCATCTAGCAGATTGAGAAAATGGCATCATGACAGCAGTGGCTGTTGCTTCAGGAGAATTGCACGTAATTCTTCCTTCCACTGAGATTTGGAGAATAGGGGTAAAGGAGCTCTCTCTTCCCTTTAAGGGGAGGCCTCTAATGCAAACAGAACTGAAGTCCTTGAGTTCAATGTCTTGGGATTTTTTTGTTTCCTTCGTCCTTTTTGCTTTTATTTTCTTTGTATTTTCTAAATTCTTTTTCTTAAAACCCTATACAGCATTTATTTGTTTTTATTTTTTATTTTTTTGGGGATGGAGTCTCGCTCTGTCACCCAGGCTGGAGTGCAGTGGCGCGATCTCGGCTCACTGCATGCAACCTCCGCCTCCTGGCTTCACGCGATTCTCCTGCCTGTCAGCTTCCCGAGTAGGCATCCACCACCATGCCCAGCTAATTTTTTTATTTTTAGTAGAGACAGATTTCACCATGTTGGCCAGGCTGGTCTTGAACTCCTGACCTCAAGTGATCCACCCACCTCGGCCTCCCAAACTCCTGGGATTACAGGTGTGAGCCACTGTGCCCGGCCCCTATACAGCATTTAAAATCTTAGCCTGGTGCAATGAAATAGGTCCTTGTCTGAGACCTACCAGATGTTTTAGATCTCAATAAAACTACAAACTGTAGAAGTTATCAGCCCTGGCCGTGTATTAGAATTACTGTGGAGCTTTAAAAGAAACCTGTAATCCCAGCTACTCAGGAGGCTGAGACGAGAGGATCACCTGAAGCCAGGAATTTGAGACCAGCCTGGGCAACAGAGTGAGGCCCCATCTCTTCAAAAGAAAGAAAGAAAACAAAAGCAAAAGACAATCCCATGTCCAGGATATATCCTAGACCAACCACAATTTTGGGGTGGGTCACCGGTATTCTTAAAGCTCCCTGGACGATTTACAGCCACAGTTCAGAACCACCAGGTATGATCCCATCTAAGAGGTGGTAATGACACTTTCTATCTTTACTCATATAAATCCCCATAGTGTGATATAGGGCCTAATTGCTCAGCTCTGCAGTAAAGCTGAGCTGGCCTTGCATTCATTGCGGCTTCATTTCCTTCTACCTGGACTCCCTGGGCTGGCTGCTTAACTTCTCTGACCTCAACACTTACTGGAGAATAATAGTAGCCCTGCCATACAGGGTGGCTAGTAGAATTACATAAGATAAGAAACGCAAAGCGCTTAGGACAGTGCTTGGCACATAATAAACTGTCATTAAATGAGGAAGGTTGGGAGGCTGAAGCGGCTGGATCATCTGAGGTCAGGAGTTCGAGACCTGGCCAAGACGGTGAAACCCTGTCTCTACTAAGAATACAAAGAAAAAATTAGCGGAGCATGGTGGTGCACACCTATAATCCCAGCTACTCGGGAGGCTGAGGCAGGAGAATCACTTGAACCTGGAAGGCGGAGGCTGCAGTGAGCCGAGGTCAAGCTACTGCACTCCAGCTTGGGCAGCAGAGGGAGACTCGGTCTAAAAAAAAAAAAAGAAGAAGAAAAAGAAGGAAGGGCTGGCTGGCATGAGTTATTCTTTAAGAGTAACAGATACCAATGACAAAGAGCTAAGACAGGTCGTAGCCTCAGAGAAGCAATTTTAAGTGGATGCAACTAAAGATTCGTATTCAGAATACATAAAAGGACAACCCAACAGAAAAATGGACAGAGGTCACAAACATGCAATTCACACACAGGAAAACTGAATTTAAAAAGCTTGAGATTTAACCTCACTAGTAATCAGGGGAATACAAATGAAACCAACAAAATAACATTCACACTTGTCAGATTATCCAAAATATGCCTTCATCAATGAAAAAGAATGAACTAGGATCCATATGTATCAACATGTGTAGATCCCCAAAATGTCCTGTTGAGGACAAAAGCAAGTGTCAGGAAGATATATCATTTAGATACAGAAATTATGACTTACGTACATTTCTATTTACAAAATACTATTACTCACCACCTATGTGCTACAAGATATCAAAACATGACCTACAAGGCCATTTAGAATCCTTCGTCATCCTGGGAGCGAGCATAGTACCTGATAGATAGTTTTTCAACCCTCCCCACTCTTCTCCCTCAAGTAGTCCCCAGCGTCTATTGTTTCCATTTTTGTGTCCATGCGTATTCAGCATTTAGCTCCTGCTTATAAGTGAGAACACACAGTATTTGGTTTTCTGTTTCTGTATTCGTTATCTTATTCGTTATTCGTTAGGATAATGGCCCCCAGGTGCATTGCATTCATGTTGCTTCAAAGGACATGATTTCATTCCTTTTTATGGCTGCATAGTATTCCATGGTGTATAGGTACCACATTTTCTTTATCCAGTCCACCACTGATGGACATCTAGGTTGATTCCATGTCTTTGCTATTGTGAATAGTGCAGCAATGAACATATGAGTGCATGTGTCTTTTTGGTAAAATGATTTATTTTGGGGGGGATATATACCAAATACTGGGTCAAATGGTAATTCTGTTTTAAGTTCCTAGAGGAAGCTACACACTGCTTTCCACAGTGGCTGAACTAACTTACATTCCTACCAGCAGTGTATAAGTGTTCCCTTTTCTCCACAACCTCACCAATATCTGTTGTTTTTTGACTTTTTAGTAATAGCGATTCTGACTGGTGTGAGATGGTATTTGACTGTGGTTTTTATTTGCATTTCTGTAATGATTAGTGATGGTGAGCATTTTCTCATATTTTTGTTGGCCACATATATATCTTCTTTGGAGAAGTGTCTGTTCATGTCCTTTGCCCATTTTTTAAAATGGGGTTATTTGGTTTTTGTTTGTTGAATTGTTTAGGTTACTTATAGATTCTGAATATTAGACCTTTGTCAGATACATAGTTTGTGAATATTTTCTCCATTCCATAGGTTGTCTGTTTACTCTCATGACAGTTTCTTTTACTGTACAGAAGCTCTTTAAGTTACCCACTTGTCAGTTTCTGTTTTTGTCAAAAATGCTTTTAGGGACTTAGTCATAAATTATTTGCCAAGGCCAATGCCCAGAATGGATTTCCTAGGATTTCTTCTAGAGTTTTTTTTTTAAGTTTTAGATCTTGCATTTAAGTCTTTAATCCATCTTGAGCTAATTTTTGTGTATGCTGAAAAAAGGGTGTCCAGTTTCAATCTTCTGCCTGTGGCTAGCCAGTTATCCCAGCACCATTTATTGAGTAGGGAGTTCTTTCCCTACTTCTTGTTGTTGTCAATTGTTGAAGATCAGGTGGTTGTAGGTGTGTGGCTTTATTTCTGGGTTCTCCATCTTGTTCCATTGGTCTATATGTATGTTTTTGTACCAGTACCATGCTGTTTGGGTTACTGTAGCCTTGTAGTATGGTTTGAAGTCAGGTAGTGTAATGCCTCCAGCTTTTTTCTTTTTGCCTAAGATTGCTTTGGCTCTTTAGGCCCTTTTTCGGTTCCATATAAATTTTAGAATCATTTTTTCTAATTCTTTGAAAAATGACACTGATAGTTTGATAGGAATAGCATTGAATTGTAAATTGCTTTGGACAGTATAACCATTTTAACAATATCAATTCATCCTATCCATGAGCATGGAATGTTTTTCTGTTTGTGTCATCTCTTATTTCTTTCAGCAATGTTTTGTAATTCTTGTTGTAGCTATCTTTCACCTTGTTAGTTAGCTGTATTCCTAATAACTTTATTCTTTTTCTGGCTACTGTAAATGAGATTGTGGTCTTGATTTGGCTGTCAACATGGGTGTTATTGGAGTATATAAATGCTACTGATTTTCATACATTGATTTTGTAACCTGAAACTTCACTGAAGTTGTTTATCAGTTGTAGGAGCCTTTTGGCAGGGTTTATGGGATTTTCTAGGTATAGAATCATATTGTCTGTGAAAAGAGATTGACTTCTCTTCTTATTTGTATGCCCTTTACTTCTTTCTCTTGCCTGATGGCTCTGACTAGGACTTCCCGTAATAATTGAATAGGAGTGGTGAGAGAGGGCATCCTTGGCTTTTTCCAGTTCTCAAAAGAAATGCTTCCAGTTTTTTGCCCATTCAGTATGATGTTGGCTGTGGGTTTGTCATAGGTGGCTCTTATTATTTTGAGGTATGTTCGTTTGATGCCTAATTTGTTGAGAGTTTTTAACATGAAGGGATGTTGAATTGTATCAAAAGACTTTTTCTCTGTCTATTGAGATGATCAGGTGGTTTTTGTTTTTAATTCTGTTTATGTGGATGAATCACATTTATTGGTTTACATGTGTTGAGCTAACCTTGCATGCCAGGAATAAAGCCTACTCGGTCATGGTGACTTAACTTTTTGATGTGCTGCTGGATTCAGTTTGGTAATATTTTGTTGAAGATTTTTGTGTGTATGTTCATCAGGGATATTGGCCTGATGTTTTCTTTTTTCACTGTGATCTACCAGATTTTGTATCATAATGATGCTGGCTTTATAGAATGAGTTAGGGAAGTCTCTCCTCCTTTATTTTTTGGAATAATTTCAGAAGGATTGATATTAACTCTTCTTTGTACATCTGGTAGAATTTGTCTGTGAATTCATATGGTCCTGGGCTTTTATTGGTTGGTAGGTTTTTTATTAATGATTCAATTGCAGAACTTGTTATTGGTCTATTCAAGATTTCAATCTCTTCCTGTTTCAATCTTGGGAGGCTGTGTGTGTCCAGAAATTTATCCATTCTTCTACGTTTTCTACTTTGTATGCACAGAGATGTTCATAATAGTCTCTGAGGATTTTTTTGTATTTCTGTAAGGCCATTTGTAATGTTACTTTTGTCACTTCTGATTGTGTTTATTTGGATCTTTCCCCTTTTTTCTTTATTAATCTAGTTAGCAGTCTATTGATCTTGTTCATTCTTTCAAAGAACAAACTTTTGGTTTTGTTGATCTGTTGTGTAGATTTTTGCATCTCAGTTTTGTTTAGTTCAGCTCTGATTTTGGTTATTTCTTTTCCTCTGGGAGCTTTGGAGTTGTTTTGCTTTTGTTTTTTAGTTCTTCTATGTATGGCATTAGTTTGTTAATTTGAGTTCTAACTTCTTGATGTAGTCATTTAGTGCTATAAACTTTCTTCTTAACACTGCTTTAGCTAGGTCCCAAAAATTCTGGTGTGCTATGCCTCTGTTTTCATTAGTTTCAAATGATTTTTTTTCTGCCTTAGTTTAATTTTTTACCCAGAAATCATTTAGTTGCAGTTTAACTTCCATGTAATTGTATAGTTCTAAGGGATCTTCTTGGTATTGATTTATATTTTTATTGCACTGTGGTCTGAGAGTGTGGTTGTTATGATTTTTTTTTAATTTGTTGAGACTTGCTTTATGGTTGAGCATGTGCGCAATCTTAGAATATGTGCCATGTGCTGATAAGAAGAATGCATATCCTGTTGTCAGGTAGGGTGTTCTATAGATGTCTTTTAGGTTTATTTGGTCAAGTGTTGAGTTTAAGTCCAGAATATCTTTATTAGATTTCTGCCTTGATGATCCTTCTAACGTTGTCAGTGGGATGTTGAAGTCTCCCGCTTAACTTGTGTGGTTCTCCAAATCTCTTTGTAGACCTCTAAGAACTTTTTTAAAAATGAATCTGGGTGCTTCAATGTTGGATGCGTATATATTTAGGATAGTTAAGTCTTATTGAATTGAGCCATTTATCATTATGTAATGCCCTTCTTTGTCCTTTTTGATCATTGTTGGTTTAAAACCTATTTTATCTGATATAAGAATAGCAACTCCCTTCTCTTTTTTGTTTTCCATTTGCCTGATAGATCCTTCTCTATCCCTTTCCTTTGAGCCTGTGGGTGTCATTGGTGTCATTACTTGTAAGATGGGTTTCTTGAAGACAGTTGTTGGGTCTTGCTTCTTTATCCAATTTGACATTCTATTTTTTTTTTTTTTTTTTTTTTTTTTTGAGACAGAGTCTCGCTCTGTCGCCCAGGCTGGAGTGCAGTGGTGCGATCTCAGCTCACTGCAACCTCCACCTCCTGGGTTCAAGGGATGGATTCTCCTGCCTTAGCCTCCCGAGTAGCTGGGATTACAGGCATGTGCCACCACTCCCGGCTAAATTTTTGTATTTTTAGTAGAGATGGGGTTTCACCGTGTTAGCCAGGATGATCTCGATCTCCTGATCTTGTGATCTGCCCGCCTCGGCCTCCCTAAGTGCTGGGATTACAGGCATGAGCTACCAACTCTATACCTTTTAAGTGGGGCATCTAACCCATTTATATTTAAAACCAATATTGCTATGTGAGGATTTGATCCTGTCATTGTGTTGTTAGCAGGTGGTTAGGTAGATTTGATTGTATAGTTGCTTTGTAGTGTCAATGGACTTTGTACTGAAATGTGTTTTTGTGGTGGCAGGTATTGTTCTTTCATTTCCATGTTTAGCACTCCATTTAGAACCTCTTATAAGGCAGGTAGTGGTAACGAATTCCCTTAGAATTTGTTTCTCTGAAAAGGATTTTATTTCTCCTTTTCTTATGAAGCTTAATTTGGAAGGATATGAAATTCTTGGTTGGAATTTCTTTTCTTTAAGAATGCTGAAAATTGGCCCCCAATCTCTTCTGGAGTGTAAGGTTTCTGCTAAAAGCCCCACTGTTAGCCTGATGGGATTCCCTTTATAAATGACCTGCCCCTTCTCTCTAGCTGCCTTTAGGACTTCTTCTTTCATATTGACCTTGGAGAATCTGATTACAGTATGTTTTGGGGATGGTCATCTTATATAGTATCTCACAGGGATTCTCTGAATTTCTTAAATTCACATGTAAAATATTAGGAAATTTTTCATGGACTATATCCTCAAATATATTTTTTAAGTTGTTTGCTCTCTTTCAGAAATGCCAATGAGTCATAGGTTTGCTCTCTTTACACAATCCCATATTTCTTGGAGATTTCATTCATTTTCTAAAATTCTTTTTTCCTCATTTTTGTCTGCCTGCGTTGCTTTGAAGGAGTGGTCTTCAAGTTCTTAGATTCTTTCTTCAGGTTGGTCTATTCCAATTGTTGTTAATGCTTCCAATTGTATTATGAAATTCCTGTAAATTTTCTATTTCCAGAAGTTCATTTTGGTTCTTTCTTAAAATGGTGATGTCATCTTTCAACCCTTGGATCATTTTATTGTTTTCCTTGGATTGGGTTTCAACCTTCTCTTGTGTCTCATTGAGCTTCCTTGCCATCCAGATTCTGAATTCTATGTCTGACATTTCAGCCATTTCAATCTGGTTAAGAACCATTGCTGGGGAGCTAGTGTGATCATCTGGAGGTAAGAAGATACTCTGGTTTTTAGAGTTGCCAAAGTTCTTGCACTGGTTCTTTCTGTGAGGGCTAATGTTCCTTTATCCTTTGAAGTTGCTGTCTTTTGGATGAGGCTTTTTGTTTACATGTTCTTTATTGCCCTCGAGGGTTTGACTGTCGTACAGGTTGGGTATAGTTGAATGTTTGTTTCTGGATGCTTTCAGAGGGCCAAGACTCAGCTTGACACTCCTAGGCTGCATGCTTTAACCCTGGGGAGCTGGGACTGGGCCCATAGCTTTTTCTTCTGGCCCCTTGAGGTGAAGCACCAGCTGCTTTAAGGGAACCAAGGTGCTCCCAGACTGCTGGCAACAGCACTCTGTCGGATGCTGTGGGCTAAAGTGGTCCAGGAGGGCAGCAGAGGGGCTGTGGGTAAAAGGACTCTGGTCAGGTAGCACAGGGGCTGCAGGTGAAAGCATTATGGTGGTGGCCACTGGCAAAAGTGCTCCAGTGGGATGGCTGAGGCTGCCCTGTGAGCCAGCACAGATCAGACTCACCCCACTTTGTTGGAAAAGACAGCCTTGCTCTCTCCAGGTCAGGCAGCTAACAAAGGTCAAAGCCACCAAAGGAATATAGAGAGCTTTGGGAGATGGGTGCCTATTGCCGTGTTCCATTGCACCTGACCCTGCACAAAACCACCCGGGCTCCCTGCAGATTCAAGCTCTGTCTCCACCCACTCTCTGGGCAGTTCCCCCTGCCAACTCAATTGTCTGTGGGTGTCATGATATTTTCTGCCACTAGGGTCCTGGAGGTCCGTGGTGGGAGTAGGCTGCTCTGCATTTCCTTCTCTCACCCCTTCCTTAGGAGCCCTTCAGAGCCAGGAATGAGTCCTGGTGCTCAACAACCCCATGCAGGGTTCCCAGCTTCCTCCCCCTTCAGCCCCAGTGTCTGCATCGTCTCTTTATCCACCCTCAGTGCATTCTCTCTGAAGACCTGTTCAGAGTATGCTGGTCTACCTGATATTCTGAACTCTTCCTGGCTGCACCTAGATAGCCATGTTGTCCCAAGTCCCATATTTATTTACTTCTTACAAAAGAGCTTGAAGGAAATATGATAAAGCATTCAACTTTGCTAATTACAGGTGGTTACGTGGTGTTTGGCAATGTTATTTTGTGTTATTTTAATTTTTTATACACATTTAAGAGGAGAGAGAGAAAAAGAGAAAGACTTTGACTGACTGATTCTAGGGAAGCTGAGAATTCAGAATACATAAAGAAAAGGATGAGCTGAGAGGGTTGCCCACGAGCCTAGATGGATGAGGTCTACAGCATTTTGGGATTCGGGACCTGTGGCTGGTGAAAGGTGATTTAGTGGGTTTCCATGGCTGGGCCTTTCCAAGATGGCCCTCCATCTGTATTTGGATTCATATCCTGATTTAGCTGCCACTGCTCCCAAGACACATAGCAAGTGCCTCCCTCCTCTTTCTCTTGAGGACCTATGTCTGTCACATCAAAACCCTCCATTCTCAGTTTCTGACAGTCTTGCCACCTGTCCCTAGTGTCATACTGTCATCCCTATACCAAATGGCACTACTGATAAGGACCAAAGCCAGGACCCGGGCAGCATCCTGCGGGAGCCAGCCAAGACTACATTTGTGTAGACATCTTTATTTCATAGTATTAACCTGCCCAGGCACAAACCACATAATTCCACAGAGATCTTAACTGAATCAAGATGTTAACAGTAACAAAGGTGCAATAAAAAGCCCTTCATTGAGAATCAGGCATCTTCTTCCTGTCTTGCCAGCCTCCATAGGGAGAAAAAAAATGAATACTTTACAAAGCTGTTTCATAAAATGTTATGTTAAATGAACAACAAATTACTTTTTCTTTTACTAGCTTTTAATGCTAATAGTGCCATTTATTCCTGACCTTCAGAAATATGAGATATTTTAAATGACAACATAAAAAGGGTTCTTATTTGAAAACCCAGGCTACTTTAGACTGCATATTATTACTTATAAGTATAGCACGTGCCGGCATCATTCATTTCAGCATCCCATTGATATCTAACTGGTATATATTTCAGTTGACATTTATTGTTCTCCTGCATACGTGTCAAATTCCTTAATGCTGACTCTGACAAAGGCAGAACACTTGGTAGTTATAAATTACATTTGCTACCGTATAATCAGTGTTATCTATTAGAAGGCTGTTTGTGACAAATCATGTTCAAAATAAAAATTGAATTGATTTTTCTGTTATTTTAATATTGTGCCGCTCACAGCAAGCCTTTGATTGAATCTTAAACACTTTAATGCTCTATTTTTGTTTGAGGTAGATCAGAAATGGGGTTTGTACTATTCACAAAGCTAAAACAATTTGTAACACAACAAAATCAAATTTCAAAAAGCATTTTTATTTTCAAGCCAAGGGAATAAATTTGGTAAAGCTCTCGTTACGGGGCCCACAACTTAACGACGAAAGCCACGCACGCACGTTTAATTTCTATGCATCCATTTTCATCTAAATTAGATTTTAACTTTAATGCAGGGTATGAAAAGCCTCTACAAGGCCTTTGTTTCTACCTTTTTTGTCTCAAGCAATTGCAGGCTTTCTCCCGGTGAATACAAGCTACACATCATTCTTTGTCCCCCTCCCTCTTGCCAGTTGGTCTGGGCTACCTTCTCTGTGTTCTGGATACAGAGGATCTCTGTTTCTGAGCTTCTCCGAGGGGGCGTCTCTCAAGGAGTGCCTGCTTCACCCATATTGCTTACAAAATAAATCACACAGTCCGCTGCGGTGGCTCATTCCTATAATCCCAGCACTTTGGGAGGCCAAGGCATGTGGATCACCTGAGGTCGGGAGTTCGAGACCAGCCTGGCTAACATGGTGAAACCCCCATCTCTGCTAAAAATAAAAAAATTAGCTGGGCGTGGTGGCAGGCGCCTGTAATCCCAGCTACTTGGGAGGCTGAGGCAGGAGAAGCACTTGAACCTGGGAGGTGGAAGTTGCAATGAGACGAGATTGCGCCATTGTACTCCAGCCTGGGCAACAAGACCGAAACGCTGTCTCAAAATAAATAAATAAATAAATAAATAAATAAATAAATAAATAAATAAATCACGTACAACTAGATACTGGCTAGTGTCATCCTCTTGGATTAATTTTTCGTTTAAAGGAGGGGTCCTTGAATTAAAGCCCATGGCCACCTGTTTTTGTATGACTCTCCAGCTAAGCGGTGGTTTTCACATTTTTAAATGTTCTTTAAAAATTCAAGAGATAAATAATATTTCAGGATACAAGAAAACTATATGAAACTAAAACTTCAGTTCCCCTAAATTTTTGTTGTAACACAGCCACCTATTCATTTATCTATATAAGTATGCCATATGTCTATATATATTTGTGTGTGTGTGTGTGTGTGTGTGTGTAGCTACTTTCCTGCAAAAGTGGTAGAATTGAGTAGTTGTGACAGAGACCATATGGCCCATGAAGCCTAAAATATTTACTATCTGGCCCTTTATAGAAAAAGTTTTCAAACTCTGGCTTAGAAGACAGAGTCTTAGTGATTTACGTCCTATTAAAAGGGTTGGCACCTTCAGGGCAGGAGGCTGAGGTGGCACCCAGAAAAAATGCTGCATTCATGACAATGAATCTAATAGAAAAGTTTCTTGGACACGCTGGTTAAAAGTTCCTCAAAGTGTTCATAAGTAGATAAAATGGGGGGAAAAAAGAACAACCAAGGAAAACCAAACAACCCCAACCTTTACAAAGCTGCAGATGTGAGAAATATGCATGAATTGTCAGAAGTGCCCTTAGGCAAAAAGCTTGAGAAATATTTTATGGTCAGAGCAATTGGGTTGAGTTTAAGCACATGGAAGTGGTTTCAGACAAACTGGTACTGGGCAAGGGGTTACAGCAGACAGACCCCAGACCCTAGAGTTAGGGTCTAGGATTGTGGAGGGTAGAGGCTCCCGCAGCCAGACAGAAAGACCAGGGAGAGCGGCCTCTGTGTGTACTTCAGGATAGCACCCATCAGAAATGAGGTGTAAAGGACACTGGGCTGGGTGCCTAGCTCCCCTAGACCATGGAGTGCCTGGTGCCCCTTCCTCGTGGTGCCACAGACTGGTCAAGAGAAGTGAGGGCAGGCTTAGTCTTTGGAGAATCCAGACAAATCTGGTTTGAATCTAAATATAGATGGAAGCTGGTGTATCTCCACACTCTTCTTCCCCACCTCCACATGCCCCATCAGCTGAAAATAAGAGGCTGCCAAGGAGAGGGCAGATGGATGGGGTCTGCCTGCCTGGGCAACCTCGCCTAATGATAGCTCACACTCACGGGTTGCTCACTCTAGACCTGGAACCAAGGGAAACTTTGGATTGTTTGGGGAAAGGTAATATGCTTAAGGAACCAGAGGCCATCTGGGAAAGGACTCAAGACCCTGGCTCTTGAAATTCTTGGGGTGAGACAGGGGTCAGATGAGCAAGGCCTAAGAGCAGGGCGGAGGAGCAAGGGTCTTCATCCCTAGTGAACCTTTCAGACTTCCCCTTTGTCGCTATTGCTGTCTTCTAGTGCTTTTCACTGTGGTCAACAGGAAACGGAAGGCCTGCAAGTTTTATGCCTGCAAAATGCCGTAAGCCCTTTGTGTGAGTTATTTCATTAAATCCTCCAAAATGGCCTCATGAGGAAGGTATTATCGTCATTTTATAACTGCGAAGACTGAAGCTTGGAGAAGTTAAGTTTCTTGCTCCAGATTACTCAGCAGTTACAAAGCACAGACCGGTATGAGGACCCCCAAAGCCCAGCTCTCGGCATCTTTAACCCCAGTATACTGACTCCGGCATGTTTATTATACTTTTGTGTTCCTTGCTTATCCTTTCATCTCTTTTCTAAGTTGATTCAATGTTGAAACCGTGAGCCATTTAGTAGTAGTTCATGTTACTGTGACAATGGCTACTGAAGAGATCCACAGGACGTAGCAGTCCAGGCATGAAAGTTAAGTGTGAGACCCTGGCCTCAGACTGCCTGAGTTCGATTCCTGGCTCTGCCGCTTACTGTCTGTGTGGCTCTGAGCAAATTGCTTAACCCCTTTGTGCCTCAGTGTCCCCACCTATGAAATGAAAGTGATTTATCCTGATTCAATAAGCTATTCCAGATAAAGAGCTTGAGCAGAAAAGCAAGCACTGTACTCACTGGCTGCTGCTATTGCTGTTTTCCTTGTTGGCTAATCACACCTGTGCTGCTTGCCTCACGGGAGAATCCCAGGAAGAAAACTGCTGTGGTGCGGAGGGCACTTCTTTAAGAGCCAGGAGCTCTGGATTCTGAACCCTGTTCTGCCAATAACTCACTATGTGGGCTCCGAGACGTCACTCCTAATACTCTCAGTGCATGTCAGCTACAGCAATTTTTCCAGGTCCTTTTACCCGAATGGTAAATGTAATTTATATAACAATATTTACTGAGCATGTGTGGGCCAGACTGACCACCTGCCTAATCTCTCACTCTTTATGCCTACACTACTGGGTAGACTCTTTTGTTATCTTCATTTTACAAACTAGGAATTTGATGCTAAACAGGTGATGCTGAAGAGGAATTTGATGCTAAGGAAGGTGTTCAGAGTCACAAAGCCAGGAAAAAAAAAAAAAGGCTGAATTGGGATATGAACTCAGGGAGTCTGACTGCTGTCCACAGATTTCACAGCTGTGCTTGAGCAAAGTTGTGTTAGAGCCATGATTAAGGTCCCACTTATAGCCAGCTGGCCACCACTCTGCAGGATGGGGAGTGGGGACGGAGAACCGTGGCATCCCCTCTCCACACGTGTTGTGAAGAGAACTGTCAATTCTTGGCCGGGCACGGTGGCTCACGCCTGTAATCCCAGCACTTTGGGAGGCCGAGGCAGGCGGATCACGAGGTCAGGAGATTGAGACCATCCTGGCTAACACGGTGAACCCTGTCTCTACCAAAAATACAAAAAATTAGCCGGGCGTGGTGGTGGGCACCTGTGGTCCCAGCTACTCGGGAGGCTGAGGCAGGAGAATGGTGTGAACCCGAGAGGCAAAGCTTGCAGTGAGCCGAGATTGTGCCACTGCACTCCAGCCTGGGTGACAGAGCGAGACTCCATCTCAAAAAAAAAAAAAAAAAAGAGAACTGTCAATTCTTGCACAGAAAAAGGAAGAGGTGACCCCAAAGGAGCATTTGATTGCCATGGAGGTCAAACTATCCCAACAAAAGGCCCAAGTTGGCCCAAGGAATTTTCTTATCAGGTAATGGAAATTGTTTTTAGTGGCAAGAATGAGCTCATTACAGATGCAGCTTGTGCTAATAATGATAACTTGCTGAGCAGTAAAATCACCTCTCTACCTCCCCCGCCAACAGACGACACTCCAGAAATTATAGGCTAGGGAGAAACAGAAAGGATAAAGATTAAGGAAAAGACTTGCAATGTGGAACTGCTTAAACAAAGGGAGTTACAGATTCGCACGTTGAACTCGGTGATCTTAATCATGAAGTTGTAGAATAATTAGATACTGTTAAAGAATTGTTTAAATTGCCTTTATTCAATTTTGTTACCTCTATCACTGGGTTGTTGTTTTTTCTGGTTTTGTTTCAGTTTTACAGCTCAAACCATTTTTTAAAAGTTGGTGCAAAATGAATTAGTCAATGACTTAAATATTGATGCACCATAGGATCCCCTGGATGGGAGTAAGATAAGGGCAGTCACAAGGGGTCATTTCAGTCCTCACACCCCGTTAATTTCATGGGCAAAGACCCCCAGTAACCTTGAGCCCCTAGGAGCTATCTGCAAATTGTTTGGGCCCAGGCAGACATCCATTCCTGTCTCTCATCCCTGAGAGGCCAGCACAGACGCAGCAGGCTGGGCCACCCCCCAATCCCGGCAGTGGGGAGATCTAGCTCCACGTTTCCTTTCCAAGATCGTGGGTTTTAACTCTTTCAGGTTTTCAGAACACTGGGAAAAAATCCTGACAGTTCACTGAGCTTTGCCTCAGCCCTTGGAAGGGAATCCAGCTACCTTCTATTGAGATGTGGCTTTTTTCTTTGAACATTTTTTTTTTTTTTGAGACGGAGTCTCACTCTTGTGCTCAGACTGGAGTGCCGTGGTGTGATCTTGGCTTACTGCAACCTCTGCCTCCCGGGTTCAAGAGCTCCTCCCACCTCAGCCTCCTGAGTTGCTGGGACTACAGGCATGAGCCACAACGCCCGGCTAATTTTTGTATTTTTAGTAGAGACGGGGGTTTCACCATGTTGGCCGGGCTGGTCTCAAACTCCTGACCTCAGGTGATCCACCTGCCTCAGCCTCCCAAAGTGCTGGGATTACAGGTGTGAACCACTGCACCTGACCTTTCTTTAAACATTTAATCTCTAAAATATTAAAATATCTTTTAATTCAAATAGCGATTTTTTAATGACTTTTTTTTCTTGATTATAAAAACAATACCTATTGGCTATGGAAAATTGAAAAAAGCATAAATAAACAAAAATAACCAACAGGACCATCATCCAAATGACCACTGCTAGCATTATAGGTTAGTGCCCCCCCCCACCCTTTTTTAAAAACAGAAAGCAGGATTATAGTGTGTATGAGTTTGTGTGTATGAGGGACACACACACACAGGTCTGGTGTTACTGTACAGTTTTATGACCTGCCTATTTCATGTATGGGATCCTCAGTATTTTTATACAACACCATTTTTCCATCATATCATTTAAAAATAATGAGATGTACCATAATCCTGAACCCTGTGGGGAAGGTGTTGTTATCTGGTTTTGTGTGACAATCTCCCTTTACACACATTCGTGGCTGTTTTCCTGGACAAAGGTTCTTAACCATTCTTGTGGTGGGGACCCACTGCTGTCTAGTGAAACCTGTGGGCCTCTTGTCAGAACAGTATTTCCAAATGTTTAAAGCAAAATACATAAGATTACAATGGAAACAATATT
The DNA here is from genome assembly GCF_000001405.40 of Homo sapiens. Taxonomy (NCBI): domain Eukaryota; kingdom Metazoa; phylum Chordata; class Mammalia; order Primates; family Hominidae; genus Homo; species Homo sapiens. The sequence continues at coordinate 116,662,180 of NC_000010.11, forward strand.
GAAATATTATCAAAATATTAAAAAGAACAAATTTATAAAACAGCCATTTCTTTATTCTTATATTGAATAACACTATGTGAGAGAGTAGATATAGTCACTGTAATAACCACCATGATTACAGAGATGAGCTTTAACATCATTCCAGCTGTTTGCAGCCAGAGCCACGTGATACAAAAACATCTGTGACTGCTCTCAGGCCAAGGTGACAGGTCCTGCAGTGGTTTGTTGCCTGCATTCATCAAGGAAGGAAATACTAAATTTCGCCTGGAGGTTAGTGAAAACAATGATGTAACTTTTTTTCTCATCAAAGTTCTCTGACCTTCTGACTTCTACCCATGGAATCATGGGAGCCCAGCATGTCCAGGTGAAAATTCTTGCCTTGGAAAAAACCTCCGAGGCCCAGCTTGCTGCCTCGTGTGGCTCTGCACATTTCTGAGTGGATGACAACGGTCTCATTGTCCCAGGAGCTGTTATTTCTTCTGCATACGGGTGGTTGCTGAGGGAGGTCAGGGTGCCTGCTGGTGGCAAGATGATGTTATCCAGTGTTACGGCTTGAACTATGTCCCTCAAAAAAAACATGAAAGTCCTAGTCCCCGTACTTTATGTGACTTATTTGGAACTAGAGTCATTGCAGGTATAATGAGTTACAATGAGGTCACAGTGAAGTAGGGCATGCTCCTGATCCAGTGCGACTGGTGTCCTTGTAAGAAGACGGCCGTGTGGCTGGGCACAGTGGCTCACACCTGTAATCCCAGCACTTTGGGAGGCCGAGGCAGGCGGATCACGAGGTCAGGAGATCAAGGCCATCCTGGCCAACACAGTGAAACCCCATCTCTACTAAAAATACAAAAAATCAGCCGGGCGTGGTGGTGGGCGCCTGTAGTCCCAGCTACTTGGGAGGCTGAGGCAGGAGAATGGCGTGAACCCAGGAAGCAGAGCTTGCAGTAAGCCAAGATCACGCCACTGCACTCCAGCCTGGGTGACAGAGCTAGATTCTGTCTCAAAAAAAAAAAAAAAAAAAAGAAGATGGCCGTGTGAAGGCAGAGAGGCACCCAGGGGGCCTGGAGTTAGTAGCAAGAAATGCCAACGTGGCTGCAAAACACAGCAAGCTAAGAATAGATGAGTAAGGATTCCCCACGGGTTTCAGAGGGAGCTGGCCCTGCTAACACCCCAGTTTTGGACTTCCAGCCTCCAGAACTGTGAGACAATAAATTTCTGTTGTCTTAAGCCACCCAGTTTGTGGGACTTTGTGGAGGCAGCCCTATCACACCAATATAGCTGGTATCTGCCAACTGGACCCTCCTGGGGACTGGGATTCTGGAAAACCAGGGCTGGGGTGGGCGTGGTGTCTGCGCCGCTGTCAGGAACATGCCAGGACCCAGGGACTGTTTGGTTAGAGGGTTGGGCTAGGTCTTCAGTGAAGATCCTGGCCTGGCTGCAGTGTTACCTCGGGGGTTAGGAACCCTAGCTCATGGTCAACATAACCTGGAGAAAACCCGCACAAGAAACTTTAGCATGCGGAGAAGCAGCCTCTTTATTCCCACATGACAAAAAACGGTCTTTATCATTAATGACATGCAACCGTCAACCACTCAGGATGCAGGCGGCAGTTAAAAAATTCTTGTTACTAAATTTCTTTATTGCTCACTGGGCGTGATTCCAACATGAGAATGGCAGGTTTTGGAAGCCCCACTTAAAGTTCACCTCCTTGGGAGACTCTGCGCTTCTAGCCTTCTGCATACTTTGCGGAGGACAGTGGCTCTAGATACATCTTCCCACTGCATGGTATACTTGGCCTCTGAGCACAGCCACATGTCAGCGGAGTTTTGGGGTCCTCTCTCAGGGGCCTTCCAAGGGCAGGGCAGCTTCCATCTAGGAGAGGAACCGTCCGTGTGAGTTGCAGGGAGCTGGCCCAGCTAAGCAGAAAGGCCACTGCAAACATTTCATCCCCTTTTTAAAACGGTAGTAGGAAGGAAAGAGACATTTCTCCTCACCTGGAATAGAAAAATCGGGATATTTTGGCAGCAGCTCTTCATGCTGCAAAACTTTTGGAGACGGAGCAGAAGTTTTTGTGGAGCTAACTCCATATATTCTAAAACAAGAATAGAAGTCACAAAGTTATGGACCTTTTATTAAGAATAGAATAATAATAAATAGAATAAAATACAATACATAAATATGAGTAAATATATGAACATGGTATGTTATTTCTTTACAATTTATTCTAAAGGTAAAGATCACCCTCCTCATTTCGCAGAAGAGAAAGCTGAGGCCACTCAGCACCCTTGGGCCTTAAGCCACTGCCAGGATGGTAGCCCTGCTGGTTTTTACTCCCATCCCCTCCCTGCAAACCAGCAAAGACCACAGGTAGAGCTGCTGGGGAATGCTGAGCACAGGTTGGGAGCAGAGGGCACCTGCCTACTGGGGAAGCCCTGAAACTACAAATGAGGCACCTTCTCTAAGACAAATCACACACAAATAGTCCTAGTGCTGGGATGGGGACATCTGGTAAACCCCCATCCTGGGTTTGCACTTCTCCCTTTGACCTTGTGCCTGGGGTACGGACCCAAGCCAGACTCACTCTTCATATGGTTTCAGATGTGCCTTCTTGGCCCTCTCCGTGATCTCCAGGAAGTCCTTGTAGCAGTTTTTGGCCATGACAGTGTATCTCGTGCCACAGCCAAATTCAGTGACCTTGGCTCTCGGCAGGTAGCCTGCCCAGCCAGGGATCGGGGGCTCCTGGAGAGGTTTCTTTACATATTTGCATTCTGTAAAAAGACACCATGGCACAGAGAAAGCAACTAAAAAATGTTTTCCACTGACCCAGAAGCTGAGGCCTGAAAACTTGTGACTTGCCTAGGGTCTCCTAGTTCTCAGACCAGCACCCTCTTCCCTAACCAGGACTGTGCCCCCTCCCCTAGAAATGTTTCTTTCTGGCCAGCCTCTGTGGCTCATGCCTGTAATCCCAGCACTTTGGGAGGCTGAGGCAGGCAGATCACCTGAGGTCAGGAATTTGAGACCACCCTCGGCAACATGGTGAAACCCCGTCTCTACTAAAAATACAAAAATTAGCCAGGCATGGTGGCATGCACCTGTAGTCTCAGCTACTTGGCTGAGGCTGAGGCTGAGGCAGGAGAATCGCTTGAACCCAGGAGGCAGAGGTTGCAGTGAGCCGAGATCACACCACTGCACTCCAGCCTAGGCAACAGAGTGAGACTCCGTCTCAAAAAAAAAAAAAAAAAGAAAAAGAAAGAAAGAAAAAGAAATGTGTCTTTCTCATTTTAAGAAATGGAGCCTTTGCATTTGGTGCTGACCCCTGGGATTTGGAACGGTGCGGGATTCTGGGTGCTATGGGGCAGCTCAGCTGGCCTATGAGAATCTGCAGGGGTGACCAGGGGTGAGGGGAAATGGTTTCAGGGCGCTGCTACCCAGGATCAGGGGGTGGTACTGCAGATTGTACTGGTGCAGGGCCTGCAGGACCGTCTCCTCGGAGTTGACAGGTTTCAGTTTCGGGGCAGTGGCCACTGCGCAGCACAATTCCCGCAGCTGTTCTTTATAGCGCTGTGTTTTCTCCTGGAAGGTTTTCACACAGTGGTTCATGTCATCCTCCTTGGACATTCCTTGGCAGCTGAGGAATGGCACAAAGCCTGCAAGAGCCGAATGGAATCACAGCCTTCAGCAAGACTGGCCAGCAAGGAATTCAGAGCCCGCCTAAACTCCCCAGCATTTCAGCCCACCCTTTGGCATTTCTTCCTCAGCCAACAGCACTACGTTTTTCCAAAGGCCATTAATACAAGCAGTGCTGTTGTTTCCACTGCGGCTGGGCCCTCCCAAGGCCACAAAAAATGACCTTGGAGCTGGGGAGGGAAGGCCCATTTCAACAAAGGCGATGACAGTAATACTCTTTGAATAGCAAAGCCCCTGATGTCAGCCTGACGGAAAATGGGGAAAGCATTTAATGGGCCAAAATGATAGTCTAAGGAGTAATTGAAATTATTCATCTTTTTAAAGAGAAAGCTTATTTTCCTCGACACTTCCCAAATGCAATTTGGGATCTTTCTTGCCGGACCATCAGGAAATTGCAGGCTTATTAAAAGTAGAGCCCTGTTACACAAAAAGGTAAATTCATTATCTGCAAGACCCACCCCTAGCACAATTTTTCACCATTTCCCACCAAGTAACATATAATCATTACAATTAGTATGGGTAAAACACAACTATTTACTTAAACTGGAGGCTGAATCCTAAGTACTATAATATTGTCACAATAAAACCATTTTTTTTTTTTTTGAAGAACAAATGAGGAAAACTGGTTAAGAACTTAGTTTCAAACTGCAAAATAAATAAATAAATCTCTCTCCTTATGGAAACCCAACATTTTTGCCATGGTCTCCAGGAAAACAAAACCTGGCTTCAGAGTTGAAAGTAGCAATCCTCACCCCCAGAGCCCTACAATAACCCCCTCTGGAAGAACCTAATTACTAAACTAATCTTGACAGTGTTGGAAGCCTTCCATGCATCGCCCAGACTCCCCAACCCTTGGATGATTAAAAGATATCCTAACATTATGAAGACCCTAGGGGCTTTGCCACAGTGGTTTCCCTGCCATCAGGGCCGACTTTGGTCTGCCTAGGTTTTATATTAGTGCATATATGCACAGACATAAGCATACGAACTACCTTTATCGAGTCTCGCTAAGGACCAAGACATTTAAAATAGGTTATGTATGCTGGCTCCTTTAATCCTCACAACAATCTTATGGTATCCCATGTAGTGGGTTGAACTGTATCCTCCAAATAGATATATGCAAGTCCTAACCCCTGGTACCTGTGAATGTGCATTTATCTACAAATAGGGACTTCTCAGATGTAATTAAGTTAAGGGCCTAAAAATGAGATCATCCCGGATTTAGGGTGGGTCCTAAATCTGATGACTGATGTCCTTATAGAGGAAAGAAGAGAGAGACTTGTGACACAGAGACAAAGGGGGAAATGCCGTGTGAGGATGAAGAGAGTGACTGGAGAGATGCTGCCACAAGCCAAGAACACTGGGGCCACCAGAAGCTGGAAGAAGCAAAGGTGGGATCCTTCCCTAGCGCCTTCAGAAAGAGCATGGCCCTGCGGGCACCTCGATTTCAGACGTCTGGCCTCAGAACTGTGAGGGAATGCATTTCCATCACTTTAAACCACATAGTTTGTGGTAATTTGTTGCAGTGGTCCTAGAAAACAAATACATCCATTTTATAGAATGTTGTACTTACCACAGAGAGGCAAGTTACTTACAGTCTCATCGACAGTGACCAAACAGAGATTCGAACCTCAGCTTGTCAGAACCCAAAGCCTATTCTCAACCAGCCATTAGGACCAGAGTGAGGTTGGGCAACCCTGGAATATCACCCAAGTACTATTCCTCCTGAGAACGGCTGTATGGGAGAGCCAAGGGTCTGTGGGGACCACTGGGTTTGTCACCCACAGGGATATGACTTAGTAAGTTCTCAGTAGCCCAGAAGCCTGAGGAGGAATAGCCTCTAGGTAGGGCAACCAATCGTCCTGGTTTGCCAAGGACTGAGGAGTTTCCCAAATGCAAGATTTTCAGTGTTAAGGAAAGTCCCAGGCAGTCCCAGGACAAAGGCAGTCCCAGGTAGACCAGGGCAGTTGGCCAGCCTTCCTTTAGGGGATGCAGGAAAGGATGGGAGCACAAGAATAACCTTTGTGGAGGACTTGAGAAAACCAACTTGGGGAGAACAGGGCCTCTACTTATTCATGTGTCTATCCTCATCACATTGTGTCTATCCTCATCACATTGTGTCTATCCTGGTCCAAATTCATTCAACAGGCATTAAGTGCTTCCTCTGCATACCAGGCCATGTTCTGGGACGTGTGGTCTAAGTTCTGCCCCTCAGAACCCGGCCATCAGCCATCTTCAGCGATGGAATGCTCTCAATGCATGTCTGAGAAGCTAGAGCGCCTAGACTGGTCCAGTTGGCTGCACAGACACAGACAGTGGGTCAAGGCAGGGACAGTGACCAGGACCCGGGTTCCCCTGCCAGGCACAGCTGCAGGGTACGTCCACACTTACCGCTATAGCCTGGTGTGATTGGCAGGTTTCTCATGAAGGTCTTGGAAGGCTCCATGATTTCGCTCTCTGTTAGTGGAGGGAAGAGGGAATGAAACGGTCTCATCAAAAGTCACTGCCTTAAGGAATTACTATTGAGTGTGCACAAGCTCTTGGGAGTGGAAGAATGACTGCCAGGAGTTGGGGCTGAGAGGCAGCACTACCACCTTACCCAAAGCCAGAGACACAGCTGGCTTCAGTCACAAACCAATGACCTATTACCAAGGGCCCATCACCTTTTATGTTAACTTGGATAACAGTGTGTAGATCACACCTACCAGGGTCTCCTCTCCCCTCCATCCGACCTCCAGCCATCCAACAATTGTGAACTGTACTCATACTATGGCTGTGAAACATGATAGAGGCTGGGAATGCAAAGCTTCTGAGCAAGCCCAGAAGCCCCTGTGTTAGGTTCATGAGCCTCAGGTGAGGAGAGAGATGAGGCCCGCACACCCCCAGACCTCCTTCTTGATCCAGGTGAAATCAGGTTGCAGTGGTGATTTTTGCCAGCCCCCACCATTACCCCTGGAACATCTGGCAATGTCCAGAGGCATATTTGGCTGTCAGAAGTGGGGGATGGGATGCTACTGAACATCCTGCAATGCTCAGAAGCCTCCCCCCACCCGCCGGCACACACATGCACACACACACACACACACACACACACACACACACACAAACAAGGGAGAAGAAATTCTGGCTTGAAGGAATCAGGAAGTCCCAAAAGGCAGACATGGAGTCCAAGGAGGGTAAGCAGAGGCCACCCTCTGCTTCAGGGGGCTCCACTGAAACATCAGTTTATGTGGATGCTGTTTCTGCAATAAGACACCTTCCCTCTTTGGGTATCGCTGGTCATTCCCCCCAAGTGGGCTGAGGCCTTGCCAAGTCCTGCCCTGCTGAGCCAGTTCATCTCTTTAAAGAAATGCCTTTGAGGCTGGAAGAAGAGGATTCAGGGTGGAGGAGAGGGCCACAGTCATGGCTTAGTCAGCAATGATGGGGATTGTTAAGACAGTTCAGCCCCCGCCAGGCTGACAGCAGTGAGGACTGTGCCGCGTCTAGGCCACTCTAACCCCTGGCATCACGTACCTGACTCCTGGGAGGAAGCACTGGGCCTGGAGTCAGACAGACCTGGCTGTGAGACCATGTCCCACCCATACTGACCACCTGCTTACTTTTCTGAAAGCTTTCCACGCTTGTTTAATCCTCTCAACAGCCCCATGATATAAATGCTATATTATACCCATTCCCCAATTTAAAAAGGCAACAGACAGGGAACACTGGCTATCCCCATGTGGTTGCAGCAGAACCGCATTCTCCTTTAATCCCCACAGCTTCCCTAAGAATGAGTTCCTGTTGGAACCCCCATTTTATAAATGTGAAAAATAAGGCACAGAGAGGTTAGGTAACTGGTTTCAGGGTTCCAGAGTGAAAGGGGGTGCGAACAGATGACCTCTAAACTCTCAGGGACAGGATATGTTGCCCAAAAGCATCAGCTGGGGTATAAGCCTGCCTGGAGGAGGTGGGCAGGGAGGAGGGTGGGAAGAAAGGCGGTGTCCTGAGAAAGGGGGCTAGGAGTGGGTAGAAAGTAGGGCCCCTCCTAGCCACCCTCTTCCAATCCCACCTCAGCGCTCACCTGGGCGGGGCTGGCGCTATCCGGTGCCCACTTGGCCTCTGCCCGGCCGCCCAGGATCCCTGCCTTCCACCAGGCCTTTGTGCGCTCACCCGGTGGAGCACAAAGGCCCCACCACCGCCAGCCTGCCCCTCCCCCACCCTTCCCGCGGTCCCACCTGGAAGGTGGGCGCTTCCCCCAGCGCCCGGCACAGCCCGGACCCCGGTGTAAAGTCGGGCATCTGCGCAGTAAACATCTGGCCTCGGAGCTGTCCTCCGCGCCTTGGCTGCCCCAGCCAGGGGAAGGATATGCGGAGGGCTCTAAGTCAAAGCGGGCGTTTTTGCGGGTGTAGACACTGCGGCGCCTGGGTCTGCAGGTCTGGCCGGGGAAGCGGGTGGGCGGGAACAGGGGGCGGGGCCGGCAGTGGGCGGGAGGAGGCGAGGCCTGGGGGCCCTGGCGCCTCCAATACAGGAGCTTCCTGGGCCTGGCAGCCCCTCCCTCCCTGTCTCCTGTTAGGAGGGGCAGATTTTCAGGTGGCCGGGACAGGTGAAGGCAGAGAGGAGTGGCTGTCCACCTGGGGAAGGTGAGTCATCCTTCTTTCTAATCACTCTTGGAGGGACACCCAGACTTCCTCTCATTGAATTGAAACCCACCAAGATGTCCGCCCTATGAACCAGCATGTGCTGGCTGCTCCCTTTACAGAAAATGACGCTGAAGCTGCGCTACTTCCAGGACACGCTTGTTTGCTGCACCTCCCGGCCTTCCCTACCTCTACTTTTCTGAAAATTGAACTGCAAATGAAGGCTGGTGGAGCCGACCACCATTTATACCTCTCTTTTATCACCCCATTTAGAACATACCTCGGGCCATCAGGAAGCTTTCAGAGCCAACTGTGGAGGGCGACTCAGGTGTAGGCTCTGGACACAGCCAGTTTCACGTGACGGCTGGGATGCCCAGGGGCAAGAGCCCAGCCAGGCCTTCTGCATGTTTTAATGACTTACACTGGGGTGCAGTGGCATTGGCAGTGGTCACTCTGCTTACCTGCCCTCCCTCTGGCTAGACCACTTTCTTCCAGAGAAAAGGGGCTCTGTGCCCATCGATGGGGCCTTGGTTCCCAGCAAACAAAGGGCCTAGTCTTGTTAGAATAACTTAAGAAAACTTACAGCACCTGGAAAAAACTGAAACTCTCTCTCCACCACCTGAGATGGGGTAGAGAGGGAGATCAGTACTGACGTGTCCATCATGCAGTTTGCAAACCCAGGATGGGGGGAAAAAAAATCTGGGCCACATGAGATTCAGAGTTTTGCTTTATTAGGCGTCTGTGAAGACAAGAGAGTTTGCAGACACAGTCCCGTCTGGTGGTGAACTGCTGCAAAGTTCTGTGAAGTTTGAATTTATCTTGTAGTGAATGAGACCCCAGTAGCTGATATTTTAGAATACTGGTCCATATTTCAAGCAGATGAGAGGTGTGGCATTATGGCCAACAACTTTTATATTAGCCATCCACTCAAGCCGTTTCCCAGCATACATATGCAGCTTAATCACAGCTATACATCTCTACAATGTGAAATTCGATCTTTGACTAATAATGCATTCTGACTCCTGTTTACATTGGTGCATGCGATTCTTTGCTACCCTGGCAATTAACCAGACCTGGACTCTAAAAGCTAAACTTGGTCTAAATAACATTCTAAGGGTAAGGCAACCTCTATAATCTGGACTCAGCCATCATTTTGCAAAAACAGTTGTATGGTTCCTCCTCTTTCCCCTCCTGTCTGTAACTTGTCTGTTACTCAGCATTTATTCATGCCTGCTGTGTACGGAAAGGGCAGTTACAAAGGAAAGCCTTGATGATTCTGCTTCCAAGAAACGTGAAGATCAGATAATATGCCAGGGACAATTGAGTAATGGGTCAAGACAACAGGCCTTGTAGGTATTTTCTAAGGTTAGAAAAATGTGTTCAAGTGTACTTATCCAGTGCTCTTATTCTAGAATATTCCAGTGGGGGTAGGGAAGGAGGGATGGATTTGGGGGTTTCATTTAAGGACTCTGACAACTGGGGCTGCAGCTCTGTGGCCAGAAGATAAAATTATCATCCTCTCCATCACCTATCTGCCAACACTGCAGATTTCTATCTGCTCATTTAAGAGAAACAGTACACAGGGAGATAGCATTAATGCAAGGCAGGAAAGGCTTTACATTAGCCCAAAAAAGAGGGGCTTGACCATGTTACTCACACTTACACTTAGCCCAGCAGAAAAGCTGGGCTTATGTACCACTTGGTTTCTTTCTTTGACCCTAGCATCCTGAAAACATCACACACAGTGGACCACGCTTTGCCCTCAGAGTGACTGCTCCGACCCGGAAGGAGAGGTCAACGACCCCTCAGGACACAAAGGGTTTCTTAGGTTGTTCTGCGCAGTCACATGGCTTCCAGAACCAGAACGTTCAGCTCTTAAAGTCTGCACAGAAGAACTGATAGAATCTGCTCCTTTCAATGGAATCTGTGACTGTTTGGGAAGGATGTGCATGGAGAAGGGTCTGATGAGGCTCCTGATCCAGGCGGTCCACGTGCGTTCAGTGTGTTTGGACCCTAGGCACCTCTGTCTATTGCTCGGTCTTGCGTACATAGTCCATAGCTTGGCATCAGCACAGATCGATGCTTAGTGAGCACAATTAAGAAACCAAACTATGGAAAATTAAGGACAGTAACAAAAGTATCATCAACAAAAATCAAGCATTTTCCTCTTTTTGAAACAAGAAAAGCGCATCGTAGAAACCAAGATTCTGTACAATATTCTAACATTATATGTACATAAAATTATATTACTCATAACTATATTGAAAAGTCTTATTTGTAGAATATGGCTGGCAACAAAGAAAGACCCATACCATTTAGCGTTTGAAGCAGGGCAGGTAGCAAGAGAACATTAGCAAAGACACCTTTGTGCCTGGATACACAATCCTGCTACTAAGTTATGTGACTAACCAGCACACTCTAAGTTCTGTGGTTTGTTCGTTGTTTCACATTCTAGTAGGGAATTCTGCAGCAGGCGATGCGAAAAAGAAGACATGGTCAAATGAAATGTGAAATGCTGTTTAAAATCTGCATATTGGCTATGATAATGGGTTTGTGAATCCAAGTTGCATTGGAAGTTCACTCATTCTCCATTCATTATGCATGCCTCCAGTGATTTAATGAATTTCAGCAGGTGGAAAAGACAGCTTTGAACAGATCAGATGGGCTGTGAGTCAGATTCTTGATTCTTTTTCCTCATTTGGCTCCTGAATGTTGCAGAAAACTGGTTTTGTACACTGGGGAAGGAGAGAGTGAAGACCCTCCAGTTGGTTCCTCAGTCAGCTCCGTTCTTGGTGTCGCTTTCTTGCAATTTTTTTCCTCCCCTGGCCCTTCCTGTGAGGGTTAAAAGGGCCATCTCCAAGCCAGGTGGAGCCCCAATCCCATTGACCAAGAGGGCAAGGTATGGGGTCACCTTCTCATGGAAGCCCTCTTCCTAAAGGAGCCCAAAGGGGACACCTGCAGAGGGCGGGCTGTGATCTGTGTGTGAACTTCAACAAAATCTCAGGTTAGTATTTCTCCAATTTCAGTTGAACCACGATGTGGTATACACTACAAATGCAGATTCTGGTGCCCCTCTCCAAGAGTCGGCCTCAGTTAAAAAGGGCTCAGATCCAGGAACCTGTTCTGAACACGCACCCAGGCAATTCTGATGCAGGCGAGCCACAGGCCCGCTGTGAAAAAAAACTGACTTAATACATCAAGTATAGATCTACAAATTATTTTTAGAGAGACTTGAAAAACTGAAGATTTTAATGAAACATTGCATAGCACAGATTCTCTTCCCAAATTTCACCAATGTATTCCTTTCAAAATGTGGAATTAAATGGCCAAAACTCTTAGGGAGATGAAGGTGAGTGGGAAGGAGGGGGTTAATTTAAAATCTGTCTGCTTTTCAAGGTGAGGGGCTCTTCTGGATGTCTGGTCTTGGTGATGCAAACAAGACCAATGGCAACCTCATTTTCTTACCCAGAATTCCTACTAAGGTTCACTAGAATTACTTATGAACTCAGAAATCAGGGCTGGGCATGCTGGGAATTTATGTCACAGCATATAATTTGGGATACGTCAGTAACTCTTCACTATCTGTTTCCATCATGGCAAGTTTTCACCTGCTAAGAATGTGAGGTATCAGCTCTCCTACTCACAAAAGCCCTAGTGGATTACCCAAGGCTACGGTTATTCTTCCCTGAACCTCCTTGCTGTTTAAATGATATGAGAATCTAAAACAGTGCCCAGTGTAGGCAGCCTTCTACCACCAGCTAAAAACATTCCCAGTTCCCACTGAATCACCACTTTTAATCACATGATGAGGAAAAGAAATTAACTGCAGATGGGTGGCATTTTATATTGATGGCCATCCAAAAAATTTAGAAAGACAAGTCTCAGATGAAGATCTCCTCCTGGTTCAAAGATCTCATTTTAAATCTAGAAAGACAGCAATAGGGCATCCTAAATTCTACATAACGGAGATCTGTTCAAAGCAGCGCAACCACTGCTGCAGAAATGTACTGATTCCCTTCTCCGTGGCCATTTCACCACTTTTGTACCTATGAAAACTAGCTGCTCCTCCAGGATCCTTTAATTTTCTATGCCTAAACCTTAATCTTAATTTCTGTTTTTCTGACTCCAGTGTGCCCTCAAAAGTCACTAATTATTTCTAGCCCTGATTGTTCTCATCTTCCCTGCTGAAATTCACATGGGCAATGGTGAGGGTCAAGGTTAGGGAAAGAACAGTCAAGGTTGAGGTCAGCAGATGCAGATAAGTTGAGTCCAAGGGGACAGGCAGCGGGGCGGGAGGGTTAGTAATTTAAGAAGTCGATCCCAACTTTGACACTCTTCGAAGTGGCTATATCAATGGCTGTGGCTTTGATCTCGGTGTCCCCGAACTGCATAAGGGTCTGGATCTCCCTCCGGGCGGGCACCGCAGTGCCACTGGTCCCTGTGAGATCCAGGCGGAGCGTGCCACACTTCTTCACCCCGGGATCAGTGATGAAGCTGACGTTGTCGTGCTCAGAGCTGTAGATGTTGATGACAATGACCAGCTGGGAGGGCTTGGCCGGGGTGTAGCTACGCTTGACCAGCTCACCCAGAGCCACAGACTGGTCGGCAGAGATGAACTTGTCAAAGACGTCGGTGCACCACCGAGTGCCATCCTTCACCAGCAGCTTCTCAGGCGGGTGCTTGCCCTCCACGTAGCGGTTCAGCACGCCTACCCCGTAGGTGAGCGGCGACCGGCGCACCTTGATGACCGCGGGGTCCAGGCCAAAGAGGACGGCACCCTTGAGGATGGTGAGGCCCACGTCCTGGGGGATGATGATCCGGCACTGGTCCCCAAAAGCAGCCTGCACCGCCTGCTGCAGCAGGGGCGCCTCGGCAAAGCCGCCCACCAGAAAGAGGAACTTGACGGTGGACACCTCGGGCTTCTGAAACAGGTCCCCTGGAAGGGAAGAGGCAGGGAGAATGTCCTGTCACCAAAAGCCAGCAAGGAAGGGGGAACTGGGCTGCCTGCATCTGTGGGGAACGGATAAAGCCACTTGGGCCACTGGGAGGGCAGGCTTACTCTGAGCTCCTTGAACAGAATCTTTGCAGAACTGGTCTTTTAAAGAAAGGGAGTTTGCACACCAATATGTTCCGGAATAAAAGCCAGAGCTGCTGCTAAGTAGAAATGCATTTTAACAGATACATGGTGATAATTTTAAGTAGAATTTGGTTTGCATAAATGAATACTCCTAAAGCTCTCCAAACCTGTGGTTCTGTTGGGTAAGTCAAGGCAGGTTGTTATAAATAGAATTCTCTGATTTTCATAAAAATCCCATTCCACTCCTAGAGAGTCTGATTTGGTAGGCGGGGGACAGGATACTGAAAGAGGTCCTGGTGAGTTTGCTATGTGTCCCTGGGTACTGCCACCAATGTAGCAGGAAAATGACATAGCCAGATTCCATTTGCTTGCAGAACTTCCTTTGATTCACACAACAGTTCCTTCTCCCCTAGCAGGGTGAGGATGTCTAACATGTCCCAGTAAAGCAAAGAATATGCATTTCCTAGGGCCTGCCACTCTCAGGTAACATTGCCTCAGAGCTTCCAGCTCTCTGATCTTTTTTGTTGTTTTAAAGTTTTGTTTGTTTATTTAATTCTTCCTCTTTGTCATTACCAGCTCTCTGACTTTTGAGGCCAAACGGAAAGCTTGGGTGAGACAAGCTCTCAGCAGCTTTGCAGTACGAGGAGAGGGATCCAGAGCCTATGCCCAGTAACCTCTCCCATACATGCCCAAGCCCTGCCCAGTCCTGCAGGGCCCTTGCCTGTGGCTCCCAGATCCAGGCCAACCTGACTCCACAGGCACCAGCTGGTGATGCTGGGAAAGCCCATCCCCTTTCTCAGCTCTGCCTCGCCGAGTGGCCGAGCCTGGCTGATACTTACGGAGATGCTCAATGATGCTATCGATGGTCGGCTTAAAAAGGGCGTTCATGGCATCTGGACTCATCCGCAGCATCCCCTGCGAGGACCACTTCACAAAATCCACACTGCAGGAGCATAGCATGGAGAAGAGCAGGCAGTGAGGGTCTACACGATACCCAGGCTTATCTGCATAGACACCTGCCCTGGCAGAACATCTGTCACTTCTTAGCAGGCAGAAAGGGGGTTGAAAGCCAAAAGCACCTTTGGAAACCCTAAACTGCCAGGACCTGGACCCTTAGAAGCTCAAAAGCTAAGACATAATCTCTTCTCTGTATCTTAAGTTTGGCTGTGACCGACCTTCCCCTGGGATAGTGGAGGCCAAAGTCTAGTGCAAAGACAAGGAGATAAAGGGCTCACTGTCTCTTTCGCAGGACCACACTTTGAACCCAACAATATTTGGATTCAAGCACGTTAAAAGCTCCCTGGCGAGTTTATTGTACTGCTACTTACGGCTACACATGTGTGCGCTCAGGTGCATGTCCTCAGCCTTCCAGGCACCTGTCAGGTGACAGAGTAAGCCTAATTCTACTAGGTGGCCCTCACGGTCTCTGTCCAGAAGCAGCAGTGTGGAGCAGAGAGTCCTGGACGGGAATCCAGGATTGTGGGGCTCTAGCCTGGCCACCACCACTGCGGAGCTCTGGGACTTTGGGCAGATTAGACTCCATTTTCTTCAAGCCCAGTCTCCACGTCTGGAAGTCAGGGATAACTGCGCTTGCCTTACCTCCTTCACGGGGGTTGTTGTAAAGACGAAGTTAAATACCATGTCTGTGAAAGCGCTCTGGAAACTTTCTGGCACTAAGCAAATGCCAGGGACTGTGTATTCCCCAAACCCACAGGGCGTGCCCCTCCTGTTCTCAGAGGCCAAGCAAATGGCGCCTCTGTCCCTGATGCAAAGTGCACACCAGCAGCTTCCCAGGAACATGTTCTAGATGCTGGACGGGAATCTAGAACATGTTGGTAAGGAATCCTTTCCATGGCGTAGGCCAAAGGACAATGTGGTGTGGTATGGAATGACCCCATGGCTGGCTGCAGCCTGTTTCTTAGTGGGAGGGTTGACAGGCCCCAGAACTGTGCAGGTAGGTCTTGGGATTCCAAACAGAGGACAGGTGCCCTCTGTGGGGGACTAACGGGGCAGAGAACATCAGCCCAGTAAGAGGGTCCAGACTGGCCCTGCTCCAAGGGCAAGAAGACCTGACATGAAATCTGCTTTCACTTCCACTAAAAGGAACCAGGGCTTCTTAGGGAAATGGCCAATTCCAGGCCTGGGGTAGGGAATGTACAAGATGAGCCAAGAGTGTCTTCACATACAAGGAGGCAAAGACACTGTCAACCACCACAAATGTCATGTCAAAGGGATTCAGAGCCAACGTGAGAAGGCTCCTACTGGCCGAGATGGGACAGTGTGGGTGTCAATAAGGATAGAATTGCCATTGTTTAAAATACATCAAATATGCTTAAATCCTCAAATTCCTAATGATACTCCCCCTCATGCCCTCACAAAAGGAAAAATTCATTAGCTACTTTGGCGGATACTAGGAAATTGATTCTTTTTTTTTTTTTAACTCATAAATGGAGGTTGAAACCCAACCTATTTATCCTGTCTTCCCTAAGTGAGCTGTAGTTCAGGGCAACCAAACCACTGAGGAGCCAAGTTTCTCTCTCTAGGAGTATTCTAGCTAAATAAATGAGGAAGGAGTGATGGACCAAGATGGTGGCCATGGAGCCACCCCTAATGCATTAGTGGACCAGGCAATAATCATCAATGGCTGCTAATATCACAAAAGGAGAGACAGGCAGACATTTCGTGTCCCCTGATGGGATGCAGTAGGAGGAACCACCACCCGTAAGGCAGATATGCCAAAGATTCAAACTTGAATCTGATTAAACCTCTAAGTCCATCTGCCAACTTGCAAAAAAAAAAAAAAAAAAAAAAAAGGCTATGGGATAGAACCTGCTGTGTAACACCACGGACGTGAGATGAGCAAAGCCCAGATGATAGGAAACTCCAATCTAAGGACAAACTACTAGTTTTGCCATCTAATAAATTGTGAAGGAAAAACCAGGAGGGGAACCTGTACATTAGTGGGACTCGAGGGGCGTATCAGATAGCTGCTATGTAGAGCCCTCATTTGGATGTTGGTACAAAGTGAAAAAAAAAAAAAAAAAGACAAATGGAAAAATGTTAATGTTAATTAGATACTTGATAATATTGAGGAATTATTAATTGTTAAGTGTTATCGTGGTATTGTGGTTGTGATTTAAAACTTGTCTCCTTTAGAGGTACATACTGAAATAGATGAGATGCTAATTTCTAAGATTTGCTTTAAAATAATTGGATTTAGACTAGCCAGGACCTGACAGTTGTTGAAGCTGGACAATGGGGTATTTTACAGGATAAATGTTTGACATGTTCCCTTACAAAAGGATTATTAGAAAAAGGTAATTATGAAATATGATAGATAGGTAAATCTGTCTGTAGTCATCATTTCATGATGGATATTATATATATAAATTTAAAATGTTTAAGAATATTAGAAATCTATTATTTTTATCTTTTTTTTTAAATTCGGCTTTAAACCGTCTTCTAAATATATTCATTTTGCAACAAGCTGAGACACAAAATCAGTCAAGGGACTCAGAGTGGCAAGAAACCTACATTCCCATTGGATTAATTCCACAAATATTTATTGAGCACCTACTGCATACCAGGTTCTCTTCTAGACACTGGGGATATGGCAGGGGCCAAAACTAAACTTCGCTGCTTTCATAGTTCCTCTGTTTTTAGCAAACACATAGATAATACTTGCCAGGTCCCAGGCATTGTTCTAAGCACCCAACATGTATGAATTCATTGCATTCTCACAACAACCCTTGGAGTTACATAGAATTATTATCCCCATTTTCCATGTGAAAAAAACTGAGGGAAGAGAAGTTGAGTCCCTTGCCCAAGGTCATACAGCAAGTGTGTAGGATTGGAACCCGAAGTCCACACTTCGCTCCTCTCTCCCATCAGCACGATCCACCCGCTAGAATGTCCAGAGCCCGAGGTGATGAGCCCAACTCACTTGCTTTTCCGCAAGGCGTGCTCCACACTGTGCCCGCGGAACTTCTTGTAGTAGTCAATGAAGGAGAAGGGCAGGGTGATGTTCAGCGGGTTAGTTCTGTCTGGGGCAGCCGCCCTTTTGCGAGACTCAAACGCAATCATTAAGTCAACCCAGGCTGCAGGGCGTTTGATTTTGAATTGTTCAATAAAATCCTCTCCAAATATTTTATACAGAAGTTTTTCGAACTCATAATCTACTCCTAAAGATCCATAGGGTCCGCCTGAATTGAGAACAAAAAGGGAGGCCATGGTGTTAAAAACCATTAGAAACCCAATCCAGACTCTGAGAAACAGGCCCACCTGTTCATCTCTGAGCCACTTAGCAATGGGACGGCAGCTATAAGTGTTTACTTACACTTCAGAACCCTGCGCTGCTTCTCATTCCATGTGGAGAAGCTTTTCCCTACAGAAATCTCTTGTCAACAATCTTTACTTTATTATTTTATTTTTGTGTTTTCTTTTTTTTGAGACAAAGTTTTCACCCTTGTTGCCCAGGCTGGAGTGCAGTGGCACAATCTTGGCTCACTGCAATCTCCGCCTCCTGGGTTGAAGTGATTCTCCTGCTTCAGCCTCCCGAGTAGCTGAGATACAGGCACGCACCACCATGCCCGGCTAATTTTTGTATTTTTAGTAGAGATGGGATTTTGCCATGTTGGCCAGGCTGGTCTCAAACTCCTGACCTCAGGTGATCCACCTGCCTTGGCCTCTCAAAGTTCTGGGATTACAGGCATGAGCCACCACTCCCAGCCAACAATCTATTTTAAATCAATTACATTTTTTAAAAAATCAATAATTTTATCTAACTAGGACCATTATGGTATTCCAATCCAAGACATCCAAGGGCGGGGGCTGGAAAATCAGCAGGCCTGGTCTAGTCCCTGTGTGATCCTCTAATTACTTATTATCCTTTCCCCTCCAACCTCCCAAAAGGGAAACAGCATGTTCTTTGGTTTAGCAATCTTTTTTTGAGAGTCTCGCTCTGTCACCCAAGTTGGAGTGCAGTGGCGCAATGTCTGCTCACTGCAACCTCTGCCTCCTGGGTTCAAGCAATTCTCCTGCCTCAGCCACCTGAGTAGCTGGGGCTACAGGTGTGCACCACCACGCCCAGCTAATTTTTGTATTTTTAGTAGAGACAGGGTTTCATCATGTTGGCCATGCTGGTCTCCAACTCCTGACCTCAAGTGATCTGCCTGCTTGGCCTCCCAAAGTGCTGGGATTACAGGCGTGAGCCACCGCACTTGGCCAATGGTTTGGCAATCTTGATCCAAGACAAGGTGAGGCCTCCCTAGAAAGTTCACCTTAGCACGGTCATGGGCAACATCAAGTTGCAATCTCATCCTTTCGGAATTTTCAGAAACCAGCGCCCTTGGCCAGGATCTGAAACAGGCTCGCTTTAGGCCAAAACCCAAGTTGTGGTGGTTTGTGTTTTAAAGAATGTTTAATTGCATTTTGCTTTCCAATTTCAAGCAGACATTAGTATCCTCCACCGCCTACGATCCCACATGTTAGTGGCATTCAAGAGAATAAAACTGAGAGTTATCTGAAACAAGTGAAAACAGAACTGCCTGGAATTGGCTCAGGAATAAGAAAATTAGCCCTGCAGGGCCTCACCTGTTGCTTTATACAGTTCCTTAAGGTGTCCCTCCGGTAACCGGATCTGATGGACTGTCAGGTCTACGGTGCCACCGCCACTGTCCACAACCACATACTTATCACCTGGCACAAAAACAGCCATCTTTTACACAGACTGTTTGCCAACCCCATCTGAAACAAGCTTGTGGGTGGTAACTAGGTAGACCCAGCTAAGTGCCCTCAAAACTTCTCATTAGCACAATGGTTTTGCTAATTAGCAGCTCTAGGAGTTAACCATGACCAAAGAGAATGCAATCTGCCCAGGAGGATGGTTAGACATGGACGATGGAGAACCCAGGTGAGTGAATCTAAGATTCACACATTGCTGCATACCTGGCACGTACTTAGTGGGCAGTTTCCTGCCACGTGAATAGTGAGTGCCCTAAAATCATCTGCGTTTCACCAAAGACTTACTCTGGAACTGATCAATTCCAATCCCTACCTGGTTTTACAACATGCAAAATTACAGCTCCCAAAAGAGCTCTCCCTGCATGAGTGGTCTTTAGAACCCACTGAGTTTGAACATTTTCCAAAAGTGCAAAAGGGACAAATGGGAATGGCTTTTCACGAGCAGCACAGGAAAATCCAGCAAGAGCAAAGGACATTGAAGGACGCTACCTTCCTCCAGCTCGGACCAGATTTCTCCTATGACATTCTCCACCAAAAAGGTCCGACTCTGCCGATTACGCCGTATGTGTTCCTTAGCTAGTGGCCGACAGAAAGAAAATGATGACGGGTAAGAAAGCATGAAAAAGCAGAGATCATTTGCAGTCAGTGAAGGCAATAGCATGAGGAGATTTAGGGATGGAACATTAGTGACATTTGACCAAAATAAGTCAATACGATGTCGGGAATCACAAAGCCAGCTCTTCCCAGAGAAAGTGATTTCCACCGGCCTTCCTCTATTCCTCGGCTTAGCCTGTGCCCAGCTGAAAAGCCCACCCTGATGAGATTCTCACAACAACCCTTGGAATTAGGTGGAATTATTATCCCCATTTTCCACGTGAAAAAAACTGAAAGAAGAGAATGTGGTCAAATGTGCGCCACTGCACTCCAACTTGGGTGACAGAGCGAGACTCTCAAATGAGACCTACCCTGGTCACATTTT
Source organism: Homo sapiens (assembly GCF_000001405.40). NCBI lineage: Eukaryota > Metazoa > Chordata > Mammalia > Primates > Hominidae > Homo > Homo sapiens. Next base: position 116,682,281 of record NC_000010.11, read on the forward strand.
TTGGAGAATGGGTTAATGAAATCGCCTAGTTTCCCGGCTTTGCTGCCCCAGGGAGGAAGCTATCTGCCAAACAGCCTGCAGTGCGCTCAGTTAAACAATTCCAAATCAAGGAATTTTGTCTGATACAAGGAATTTGGGGTGTGTTTTCCTAACATGCACCCTGGGTAAATAGACTGGGGGGGGGGGCCATTTCCTGACCCAGCTGAAGCCAATATGCATTGCGGCCACAAGGTGGCGCGTCTGGGCCTGGCAAACCCCTGTGCTGCCTTTTCCATGAACACAGGGACAACCTCCGCTCCTGCTGTGGCTTGAGGTGCTGAGTGGCGGAGACGCCTATGTGGCTATGAGAGGGCACAAATCATTGTCCCTATGTTCGGAGAAGGAAATCAGGTCAGGAAAGGTTAAGGGGCTTGCAGTTCCCACAATTTTTTTTTCTTTGAGACGGAGTCTCGCTCTGTCTCCCAGGCTGGAGTGCAGTGGTGCGATCTCGGCTCACTGCAAGCTCCGCCTCCCGGGTTCACGCCATTCTCCTGCCTCAGCCTCCCAAGTAGCTGGGACTACAGGCACCCGCCACCTCGCCCGGCTAATTTTTTTTTTTTTTTTTTTTTGTATTTTTAGTAGAGACGGGGTTTCACCGTGGTCTGGATTTCCTGACCTCGTGATCCGCCTGCCTCGGCCTCCCAAAGTGCTGGGATTACAGGTGTAAGCCACCACGCCCGGCCCCACAATTCTTTTCTTGCAGCCTGAAATTAACCCTTAGACCTTAGGCCCTCGTGCCTTTGAGATTTAACAACAGTGCCCGGCGCCACCCCCATAGTGCTCTCACTTAGCGCTCATATTGGTGCCTTGACCCTGACAGGGCGTGTCTGCAAACCCTATAGCCCTCGACACACCCACAGAGCCCTGGATACCAGGGAACCAAGTTCTGTGACCAAGGCTATGACCTACTTGCATTCAGGTAATTATTAAAGAGGAAAAGCTTTTTAAAATCGCCATCCTCAGTCTCCCTAAGGCGGTGCTCCTTCCCACAGCTAAGCGAGCGTCACCTAGGTCAGGAAAAGTCAGCCGGTTTCATCTGCATTTTAAACTCATCGCACATGAAGCAGACCCAATGAGTGACTCAGCAATAAATCAACAGTCTTAATGGAGAATTAATAACAGGCAATGGAATTAGATTAAGAATCTGTTAATACACAAGAAAGATTAAGAGCCTAGTACAATGTGAGGCCAATAACCGCTCTCAGGCTACCCTCAGATTCTTAGAGAGAAGCTCCCCGCCCCCAGACACTTGGTGGGTGATGAACCAGGGTAACCATGCCTCCATTTATGGGGGTCCTTGGAGGGGCCAGGTAGGGGGGCTGAGCAGAGAGGTGCTTAAAGCCCACCTCCTCCCGGAGTATCCTGATTCTTCATTATGGCACTAAGTGCCTTTAAAATCATCAGAGGGAGAGAGACATCCAGGGCTTGGGAAGGAAGGAGAGCAGGAGGGGGAGAGAGAGAGCAGAGGTACCCTGTGTAAACCCAGCTCCTACTGTGTCACTGCCGCTGTACCCATTGACGGCTGCCTTGCTGCTCAGCTCAATCATCTGGTGTAGCCGCAGCTTTCGGCAGTAGATAGAGGCTGCCTCAGGCTCCAAGGCAATGATGAGCTGCTCCGAGTTCTCGGGGGAGGCCAGGCCTGCCTGGAAGACAGAAACAGAGGCTGGGACCCAGGGCCCCCTGGGCCGGCCTGCTCCTAGGACACCCGTGCCTGGACTGACATCCCTAAGGAGGGCGCACTCGTGCTCTGCATCTGTGGGACATTCTCTACACAGTCCTCTGCAGAGCATAATGTCAGGGTGCCTCGGTACTGGGCCCCAAGCCAGATACCCAAACACCCCAGGGTGGCCAAAGAAAATGTATAGGCACCCTGGGGAAAACACCAGGTGCTCTGGCTGTGGGGCCTCTTGCACTTGGGGCCTCCTTGGCTCAGAGCTGAGCAGCACCATGGGGAGGAGCGGGGGGATTCCGGACTGCAGGAGGCACACGGGCTTCCATGCTCCAGTGGTGAAGGCATGGAGTTGCAGAGACCCTGAAACTTTCCAAACCATCACAGGGTGGAAGGCAGGTGATCTGTTCTCAGTTGTAATATACCACACGGTCTGACCAAATCGGAGCAAACCCCTATCTTTGGTGGCCTTGGAAACAGACCATGGCTGGGCCTCAGCAACACAAGCATTTGACTTTGCTATCTGGGTAACCGACCTGTTATCTCCAGAGCGCTAGGAGGGTTCCTGAGATTTGCCTACTGGGGGTGACAGATAAGCAGTGGCTCCAGGAGGAAGCCCCTCCTGGAATCCCATATAGTCCCTCATTTTCTAGAGTGCGGTTGAGTCAGCAAGAAGATATCTTATTCAAAGCCTCCACCCTTTAATAGTTTTATTATAGACATATATCACATATAGTAATAAATATTCCTTTAACAATCTGATCCCCAAGTTCTCATCTGTGGCTTCCATCTGCAAACATTTGGGGCCTTGGCCTGTAGTAGGCAGAAGTGCTTCTGCTCTGTGACATCTGACCAGTCCCAGTCACCACTCCTGTGGGCCTTCAGAAGGGCCAGCTCAAGAGGCCCTGGGACAACCCTTCTGAGGATGCTCAGAGAAACAGCATGGCTGGGCCTCTAACCAGGTCCCTGGCACCTCTCATGGCCTTGAGCTGCAGCGGGAGGCCCCACTTGCTTCTGGAAACCATTCAGGTACACGGGTGTCCTCAGTTGCCAGCCCGATGGACCACGGAAGAACACTTCATCCCTGCCACTGCCGTGGTGCTGACTTTTTGCCATTTCTTAGGAACCTTGGGATGCTGCCTTCATACCATGCCTACTGGGAGGAAGGCCTCAAGTTCTGTATCAGACCCCTGGGGTTTAGTGCATTCTTCTTGCAGACCAGGTTCAGAAGGTCTCCTAATGTCACACACTCACAAATAACTTCTCATCAGGCGAAGTCGGCCTCATCATGGGCAGAGGGGCTTGGGAGGTCCAATTACTGGGCAAGGAGGGAAGGGGATTTTCAGGTATTAAGAATGCAAAGTGGCCAGGCGTGGTGGCTCACACCTATAATCCCAGCACTTTGGGAGGCTGAGGCGGGCAGATCACCTGAGGTCTGGAGTTCGAGACCAGCCTGGCCAAGATGGTGAAACCCCGTCTCTACTAAAAAAAAAAAATAGCTGGGCATGGTGGGGGCAGTGCCTGTAATCCCAGCTACTCGGGAGGCTGAGGCAGGAGAAATGCTTGAACTTGGGAGGTGGAGGTTGCAGTGAGCCGAGATGGTGCCATTGTACCCCAGCCTGGGTGACAAGAGTGAAACTCCATCTCAAGAAAAAAAAAAAAAAAAGAATGCAAAGGACCTTCAGAGCTATTTATCAACTCCTTCACTTTATGTAGAAAGAGAGGGAGGGTGGCCCACTGTCCCAGTTTGCTCAGGATAGAGAGATTTCCTGGGATGTGAGACTTTCAGTGCTAAAACTGATACTACCAGCAGGCAGGTGACTGAACATCTTCACTCTGTAAATACCAAATGCCTCAAAATGGCAGAACCACATCTGGAAGGCTGACTTTATAAAACCAGATAAGAACCACCACTCTCGTGTCCTGCACTGTCCGTGGCGAACCCTCTTCCCATCACCTAGTACCCTCAGCTACGGCCAACCACCCGGGCAGCATCAATGCCTGTCAGCTCAGCCCATGGGTCAGAGAAGCTGGGTCTGCCCTTAGGTGACATCGGTCAACAGGGCCCTGACTCAGGTGCATGACAGGATTTCCCACTGCCCCCTATTCAAGCAAGTAAAAGTCCCCCCTCCCCAGCTTCACTCTCACAGGGTCACATTAGACATCCTTAGCACAAACATGGCTGGAGGTTAAAGTGAAAGAGGATGTGGCTCTCACACGTATGGTGCCCTCGGGAAAGGTGAAACCTCTGAGCCTGGATCCCAAGGGGTCGGGAGGAAGAAATCCCAAATAAGACCAAGAGGGGCCCCTTCCGAGGGACAGCTCCTGTGCTGATTCTTCCATCCTTGAGGTTGTGGAGTCAAGGACCTCCCAGGAGCATAGAAGGTCCAAGGGGGAAGCTTCCACAAAACGGGGTGAGGAAGAAGGGACAACTTGCTGCAAAGAAACTGCCAGGCCTGTATGTATACAATTCTCCTCCAAAGTTCAAACTTGAAAATAAACTGGGGATGGCAGTAGACCCATGAGTGGAGCCCAAGGAGTTGGTGTGAAGGAAGAAAGGCAAAGACCCAGACGCTACATTACGGTTACCATGTCCCACTGGGATGTCAGCCTGCCAGGTGGGACTTGTGGCAGTGAGGCCCCCACAGGGCCAGAAAAAGCAAGGTGGGCCTGGGCCACGGCAGCAGGGACAGGGATGGGAAGGGAGAAAGGGTGGCATAAGCTCCGCCCCTTGTCCCCTCTTCCCACACTGTAAGTCCCACTCCTCATCCCTCTTCCCACACCATAAGTTCCACCCCTCATCCCTCTTCCCACACCATAAGCTCCACCCCCACCCCTTCCCAAACCATAAGCTCCACCCCTCATCCCTCTTCCCACACCATAAGCTCCGCCCCTCATCCCTCTTCCCACACTGTAAGCTCTGCCCCCATCTCTCTACCCACACTACCCCTGAAATTCTGAGCAGGAACTCTGACTTAGATGGGAAATCTTTATATGGAAATTCAGATCCAGCAGTCTAGAGGGGTGAAGAGCCCTGGGTAAAATTCTACAACTCGAGGGCATCCGAGTGTGCCTGGTGTGCAACTGAAAATCCAGCAGAACTGTCCCCCGCCCAGGACACTCTCACATCCTGAAGACACTGAGGCTGCCCCAAGTCTGTGGAAAACAGCTTGGGCTGGCCACTCAGGGGAGACCTTTCATCTGTCCCTCTCCAGCTGGGCTGGCCTCAGCTCCACAGCAAAAGCTTTGGCCTGTTTCCATAGGGGGTTCCCCACTGTACCAAGATGAGGATGCAGGTGGGAAGCGAAGGTGAAGAGGACCCCACTCCTGAGCAGAGGAAAAGGCAAGGTCATGGGCCCAGGCAGTGTCTGGGAGGCCTCGGACAAAGTAACCACACTTCTTTGCTTGAACCAGCTCCTGTCCAGTGAGGGGCCGTGTCCTACCTGCAAACTCCCATGGAAGCCACAGTAGAGAGCTGAGGAGAGGTGAGAAGAGGCAGCGGACTCTGCACAAATTCAACCTCCCCAGGAGTCCCAGAACTGCTGTGGACTCCGAGAAAAGGAGGAAATGCTAAAGTATCGCCCAGGCTCTCAAAAACCCAGCTGTCTTTCTCTCTGGGCAGGAGGACTCAATGCTTTCAAGTGCAAGCTTTGTTTCTGCATTAACACTTGCAGCCACCCTCAACAGAAGCCCTCCACTTGGCAGCCCTCAGCAAACCTATGGGTCTGTTTGCCTGGGATCAGGCCAGGGTCAACTGCAACCACAGAACACTCTCCGTCTTTGCTAATTCTGCCTTCAGAGAAGGTGCCTCATGGTTACTACTCCCACGTGAGCCCTCCCTCCACTGGGGCCCCTGCCAAGCACTTAACATATTCCGTCTCCAGTCCTATACGCCAAGCTTGTCCAACCCATGGCCCACAGGCCACATTGTGGCCCAGGACGACTTTGGATGCAGCCCAACACAAATTTGTAAACTTTCTTAAAACATGATGAGTTTTTTTTTGCGATTTTTTTTTTAGCTCATCAGCTATCATTAGTGTTAGTGTATTTAATGTGTGACCCAGGACAATCCTTCTTCTTCCAATGTGGCCCACGGAAGCCAAAAGATTGGACACCCCTGTTATTAACGGTGCAGACATGTGTAGCCTCTCCTGCAGGATGGTGGATTTTCTAACAGCAACGCTCAGTTCTTCTTGCCCCAAAGCACACAGTAGGTGTTCAGGAGGTAGCTGCTGAACGAATGGACCCACCAGCCCTCCAGCCAGCCTTTTTTCCTGCAGTTTCCTGGCCCTCATCCCTGCATTCCACAGACATGACCTGGGGATTCTACATACAGGAAGTATCTGAACCAAGAGCATGCTTCCCCATTTGCCTCCTCCAAGAATTCGGGGCAGCAGGAGCGACATCGTAGTAGCTTTTTAGAGCCTTCCTCTGTGATCACGAGTTTCACTCAGGAGAAGCAGGTGAGAAAACCACACTCCAGGGAGACTGAGAAGCTGAGGAGGTGGTGTTTACACCAACTACTCTGCTCCTCTGCCTTGCAGTCAGCCAGGAGAATCTGCCAAGGGACTGTGTCCACAGCTGAGAAAAAATAGCCAGATCAGTTAAGAGCGCTGCTGGTCTGCGGTCAGGCTACAGAAAGGCTACAGCTGCACCAGTTCGGGGTGTTATGCTGTTTTGTTTTCCTGATGATCATTTCTCACTGCAGCTTGTTCAGAAAGGGAGGCAGAAGAAGCTGCGTCTCCATGTTAGATGAGAGGATCATACATATGGGAGCAGCATTTATTTAACACGTTTCCGGAGCCTACTAGAGTTACACATTTTAGGCAAAATGCCCTTTGATATAAACTGGACTATTTCCTATCCACAATCCCCACAGCTTCAGAACAGTCTCCAGTTCTAAGTCTTTTCTAAAGGCCTCAGAAGAGGGATCAGCTGTTCTTTCTGTTATCATCTTTTCACTGAATGCTCTTAAAGGGTCTAAAGATGGCTTGAGTCTGTGAATTACAAAAGATAAAGGTTTAACCCATCTTTTCAACAAGCACTCAACTCAAGGCGAGTTTCTGGAGTTTCACCGATGAAACTGCATCTGTGCACCCTCTCTGCAGCCTTTACGGGCAGTGAGCCATAGCCTGCCCCAGCAGAGGCTCCAGAACTCCAGACCTGCTCCTCACAACATCATCTCCCAGCTCTGCTTCCAGGCTGCTTTCTCCTCCACCTGGCAGGTGGGAGGTTCAAGTTCAGCCCCCACCACTGCCCAGAAACCTGTGCTCAGGAGGCCTTTGATAAGCCTGAAAGGAGGGGCTCCATTTTCCCCACACAAGCAGAGTAGACGTGACCAGTTCTCCAACTGTCCTACTGGAGTAGCCACTCTACCTCATCCTTCCAGCTCTCCTGCCTGAAGTTGGGCCCATGGGATGGGATGCACTTTGGGTAGAAGGGTCAGTGGGCAGCCACCGCCTTGCAGAAGGAGACAGATGACCACCTGATTTAATACCTTTCACATACATGGGTGCCTGGTGAGCACTCGCAGAAGCTGCTAGGCTGAGAACTATGTTCTGTGCTCAGACACTGTATTAGTCAGGGTTCTCCAGAGAAACAGAAGCAGTAGGGCATACAGACACACAGACAGACAGACAGACAGACAGACAGATAGATAATTATAAGGATTTGGCTTATGCAGTTATAGAGGCTGAGAAGTTCCAAGATCTGCAGCCAGCAAGCTGGAGACCCAGGAGAACCCACGGTACAGGTTGGCAGGCTCGAGACCCTGGGACAGTCAATGTTTAAGTTTGAGTCCAAAGGCAGGGGAAAAAAAAAAAAAAAAACAATGACCCAGCTCAAAGGCAGTCATGCAGGAGGAACTCCCGCTTACTCGGGAGGGTCAGCGTTTTGCTCTATTCAGGCCTTCAACTGATTAGATGAGGCCCACCTTCCTCAAGGAGGGCCATTGCTTTGCTCAGTTTATTGATTTAAATGTTGAACTTTATCACAGGAACACTCAGGATAATGACTGACTAAATATCTGGCATCCTGTGGCCTAGTCAAGTTGACATATAAAATTAATCATCACAGGTACATATCTTTCTTATTCTGTATAATAATGGGGGATGGAGAGAGAGTAGAAAGATGTTAATTTTGCTCATAGAGTTGCAAATTTCACTTCCACTTTGTCCTAAGACTCTCCAGAAGACAGGCTAAAGAGACTACAGCAAAGTCTGCAGAGCAACTGTGCCTCCCAATACACCCCTCTCCCTAACCCAAAAGTATGCAAGGCTTCAGTGAACCATTTGGCTGGGAGCAACCCAGGGGCCAGATCCCTGCCTTGGTTGGGTATAGAATCCAGTGCCTACCACGGTCCTGACAGAGAGATAGGCCTCTAGTTTAGGTTTGTTTAATGAATAAATAAATGCATGAACAAAAAAAGCAATTGAATGATCGCCGCCCTCTTTAAATCCACTCAGCGGCTGTCAATGGAACAAAGCAAGTATCAAATCAGAACTGCAAAGGATCAAAAACGAAGCTGCAAAAACACTGTACCAAAGTTAGCCAGCATCGAGGAAACAGCATGTCTCTGGACTTCCGAAAGCAAATTCCCCACATTCATAAACACAGCTCACATCTGTCCTCACCCAAGAGCTGCAGGCCTTTTTCTCTCTGGGGTACCTATTTGATTCCAACAACCCCCAGGGATTTGGTGCCCTCCACTGTGACTCCCCAGTGTGAGGGCCCCACACCTCTTGTCCCACCTCCTAGAAGAGCCAGCCCAGGGCTCAAACTCCCCTGACAGATTCACCAGCCACTGCACCTCTCTTTTTTTTTTTCAGGCTATAAATAAGAATTGACCTTTTCGTGGGTCACACATTTGTTGCTGAAGTCTTCCTGTGGGGCTGGGAAAAGAGTCAAAACCATGAATCTTGAATATTCTTCCTGGGAAAAACTCAGAACGCCAGGTGGCGTCTCTGCAGACAGCTGTGTCCCGATGCCCCATTTCTGGGCCCTGCCGGAAGGCTGACACTATGGAGCTTGTGCTCCGTGATGCCCAGGGCTTCTGTGAATGGCTAAACTGCATTTTGTAATTCTCTTTTTAAAGAGCTTGCCTCTTTCTGGAGCTTCCACCCTCTTCCTTCATCCCTATAAAAACAGATCTATTTTTGGCAGGTACATACACTGAGCCAGATTCTCACACTGCAAGGAGGCAGGGGAGTGCAGGGGAAGCAGCCTGGGGAAGGGGAGAGAGTGCAGGGAGGAGACGACTCGCCCTTGACTGCACGCAAGTTGAACTGTGTGCTACTTGGAGTCAAGCCTTCCGAGTGAGCGCTGAAAACAATTCATGGTGCTGAGGTTCCCATGGCCATTCAACTATGCTGGGGCTCAGGGTTGACTCTGTGGGTTTTTTGTAAAGAAAGTGTCACAAACAAAATCAGAGGTACGTCTCCTGGGAAAGGTGGGCAGGATGCTTCCTGAGAGTCATGACAGTGGGGAGGGGACATCTAATGACTCTGGTGACTTGCCACACAACCCAGCCTCAGCTGAAGACTCACAAAACTGACTCTCAATACACAGAGAGCTGACCCAGGCCCCAGGCGTGGGTGTTCATACGCCCAGGGGCTTAAGTGCAACAGGAGCCAGCTCTGTCCTGTCCCTGGGACCATAACAACAGGTGAGCATGGCTCGCCATTCCTGCCTGGAAGCCAGATCCTCACAGCAGCCGCCCCTAGTGCCCACAGGGATGGGCTGGCCACTGGCACTGGAGCATCTGTCTCCCTGGCCAACAAGCGCCTGTGCCTGGTATGCCCCTTGGCCATGCCACTGCCCTCTGCAGGGGTCTGCCACCTCCAACACCCCCCCGCTGAGTGAAGTGTGCAGGGAACAATCACACTTCCCTTCTTTTCTGCGGCAGACATGCAGTTTTCAGCCTCCACACCAAGCTGAAAATGCCTGGTTCGTGGCCAATGGCCTTGGCTTGCTTGCTTTCTTGTTCAAATATTCCTGTTTCCCAAGCCTTTCCCTTAAGGTTCTCACTTCATTTCACCCACAGAGAAATGTCTCTGAACCACAGCTTTGAAATCCTAGCCCTGGAGACTCCGCAGTAGAAACATGACCTGGAAATGTAGAAAGCCAGGAAGGAAACCGAACCCAGCTCTTGTTGTGGGACTGACCCCCATGGCTCCCCCAGGAGGAAGCTGAGGAAAGGGATGGCTCCTTGTCTCCCAGCTCCCACCCTGGCTAGGGGAGCCTCCTTGCTGCCTCCCATGGAGGCCAGTGAATGTGGGAGGTACCTGGGCGGGGCTACAGTCACCACCCTGGACATCTTGAGTCCTTCTCCTCCGGCTTCCACCCGCCCTGACTCTACCCTCACCTGGTAGGCAGCTTGTCTCATGAACTGCTTGGCCGGCTGCTTCCAGATGGCAGGCACCGTGATGACCCATCTGACATCAGAGTTCTCGAACTCCGAACCCGCCTGGTCACTCAGCTCCTGAAGCCAAGGGAAAGAAATGCAACAGGTCAAGTGGCAGCTGGTTCCTGGAGCAGCCTCCTGTGGCTTCACTGAACCCAGGCTTCCTGCCATGAGCTCTTCAGGAGCCAGTTTCAGGGTCCCCCAAACTTACCAGCATCAGAGAGCAAAGATCTGTTTCCTGAATATTCTGCAAGCCGGGAGCTCTAGCCCCTTTCCCTCACTGAATGGGACCGTGGGCTGGAGAAAGGAGGATCAGAGGAAATCCCTTTGGCCACTTCCTAATCATGTGACTTTGGACAACTGACAACCTCTTAGGCCTCAGTTTCCATATCTGTGCAGTGGGGATTATAATGCCAAGCTCCAACGATTGTTGAGAGGATTGATGATTTATGGAGAGCTACATTTACTGAGTGCTTATCACGTATCTGCCACCTTATTAAGCACTTTGCATACCTTGTCTCTATTCATCCAGTCAAGAATCCTGTTAGGAAGGGAGTCTCACTGCGCCCCTTTCCTACAAATGGGAATACTGAGACTTTGATATGCTCAGTACCTTTTTGACCACTGTGCAGTTAGAAAGTAGCAGAGCCAAAATTTAGACCCAAAGCCTAGTCTATCTTGACTCAGCAAAGGTCTGAGTTGTTACACGTGGTCCCATAGGTAAACAGTGCCTGGCCCACAGTGATGCTTACCAGCCGGTGGCAGCTGTCATCATTGTCATCTACCTTATGCAAGGCCAGCATTATCAGGGGCATTTTCCCAACAGGAAGGGAAGGCTATGAATGATATGACCTCATCAAGAACCATGCGGCCCTTAACTTTTGGTTAAGGTTAAACGACATCACTGAGGCCCATGTTGATAAAGGGGCTGGGCAGAAGCATCAGAGGTTTCCACCTGGTTCACGGGGACAAAATATGTCGCTGGAGGACTTCTTAGACTCAGTATTCCCATCTGCGCAATGGAGATCATAAAACTAACTCACAGCATTGCTGGCGAGATTAAATGAAAACACATGAGGGAATGCTGGCCCAAAGACCTCTGATAAATGCCAGTTCTTTCCTTCCTTTCTCTTCCCCTTGCCACGTTCACCAGACAAATCTGTAATCAAACCGAAACACACACCAAGGCACTTCTGTGTCTAAATCAGCTCTGGAGAGACAAGAAAGATTAATAGACTGATGAAAAAACAAACAAACAAAATTGCTGACACTGTCTCATTTTTCCTATTGTTTCAAACAGTTATCTTGGGTCTGGCCCACCCTCTCTCTCTCTGAACTAACTTCCTCTTTGATCAGCAAATGATTTTTTTTTGCCTTTTTCTAAAAATTTTTAATAAAAATGTTTCATGGTAAAAATGTACACACCCTAAAATTCATCACCTTAACCATTTTTAAGTGCACAGTTAAGTACATTCAGTAAACTATTTTAAAACATCTTTCTAAAAACATCTCTGCTGTGGACCAACACAAAGCAGCCATTTTTTTATCATCATATTTTGTTTCCTTGCAGGTCTGCATTGGGTTTGAAAAAGCAGGTGAGGGTATGATGTGTGTTGGGAAGATTCTAAGCATGGCACCCATTACCAGGCAGGTGATTTTAAACTCTTTAAAAGGAAAAGGGTTCAAAATACACATGAGGGGCTTCCTTGAGCTGTCTGGAGAGTTTAGAGGAGCTGTCAGTTCCCCAGCGGGTAGGGAACAGCTTGGAAGGGAAAGGCGCCAGCATTAATTAATTGACCATCTCATGTGTCAGGCACTGTCACGGGCTTTCCTTCATGACCCACTGGGTGGCTTCATTTCTGTGACTCTTGGACGTCCCACTTGAGTAGGTATCCTGCCTTTGCTTATTCCAGCCAAGCAAGCCATAACCCCCTCCCTCCAACTCCAGCCAGCCCCTGGCAAGGTCTAGCTCCTCCTATACATCAAACAGCTTTTTCTCCTGGAATTTATTCACGGCATATTCCCTGCTGGGAGGAGCTACCTTTGAAAGAAAGGTGCCAGCAAGTTCCCTGGAGTCTCTCTGGCTGAGCTGAGGAATTCACAAACAACCACCCACATGGCCACTTGACCTTCTGGGGCCGTTCCCTCCACCTCCTCCCTCCCCTTCTGAGATGGGCTGCTCACTCCTTTCCTGTTGGCAAATTTGAAACGCACCAACATCCTGGGCTTTCTGAGTCCTAAATTTTGCCCCCGAGCCCCTACGGCTCCTCCTCCTAACTCAGGAGCCCCTGTGCGCTCTGCACTCTCTGCTCCTTCACCTGCCTCGGTGCCCACAGACACATCCTCACGTGGCCTCCTGGGCCACCAGGCGCTGAGCCTGTCCCTCTGCAACCTTTGCTCTTCCAGCAGACCTGGGTCCACCTCGTTGTGCCCCTCCCCTTCTGCCCTTTTGCCGCCTGGAACAAAGGGGCTGACCCCTTCTCCAGTTCCAAGCAGGCTTCACAACGCTTGTCTCTGACTGTGGTCACCTTCCCGAACACCACCCAGTCCCCTCCCTTCCCTCTCCCATGCCTCAACCCCCACCCCACAGTGACCTTGCTGCCAGGCCTCCCCTGTCCCCTTGTCCCCTTACTGGTGGAATACTGTTTGCCCAGAACCCACTCCTTCCCAGCCCACGGGCCCTCTTTCTTCTTGGTTGTCAGATCCTCCTTCTTGCTCCCCAAATGACCCTGTGGCTCTCAGTCTCAGAGCCTCCCTCTCTCCCTGCAGACAAACCTGCAGAATCTGAGTCAACTGCCTCCACACCACCGACCTCCACCCTGCAGGCTCTCGGGATTACTGGGGTCTCTCACTCTATGCTGTGTTCTGAATGTGTCCCCGAAAACTCATGTGTTGGAAATGTACTCCCCAGTGCAACTGTGTTGAGTGGGAGGTGGGGCCTAATGGGAGATGTTTATGTCATGAGAGCTCCGGTCTCAGGAACGGATTTTTGCTGCCATAAAAAGGGCTTGCGGCCAGGTGTGGTGGCTCACACCTGTAATCCCAGCACTTTGAGTGGCCAAGGTGGGCGGATCATGAGGTCAGGAGTTCGAGACCATCCTGGCCAACATAGTGAAATCCCATCTCTACTAAAAATACAAAAATTGGCCGGGCGCGGTGGCTCACACCTGTAATCCCAGCACTTTGGGAGGCCGAGGCGGGCGGATCATGAGGTCAGGAGATCCAGACCATCCTGGCTAACATGGTGAAACCCCGTCTCTACTAAAAATACAAAAAATTAGCCAGGCATGGTGGCGGGCGCCTGTAGTCCCAGCTACTCGGGAGGCTGAGGCAGGAGAATGGCGTGAACCTGGGAGGCAGAGCTTGCAGTGAGCCAAGATCACGCCACTGCACTCCAGCCTGGCTGGGCAACAGAGCGAGACTCCGTCTCAAAACAAAAACAAAGAAAAAAGAAAAAACAAAAATTAGCTGGGCATGGTGGCACACACCTGTAGTCCCAGCTACTTGGGAGGCTGAGGCAAGGGAATTGCTTGAACCTGGGAGGCAGAGGTTGTGGTGAGCCGAGATCGCACTACTGCACTCCAGCCTGGGCAACAGAGAGAGACTCCATCTCAAAAAAAAAAAAAAAAAAAAAGGCTTGCAGGTTTCAGGAGTGCGTGGGCTCTTTCAATCCACATCCCCTTGGCAAGAGGATGCTGCATTGAAGGCTCCATCTTAGAAGCAGAGACTGGGTCCTCACCAGACACCAAACCCACTAGCACATTGATCTTGGACTTCCCAGCCTCCAGACTATGAGAAATAAATTTCTGTTTTTCATAAATTCCCCAGTTTGTGATATTCCGTCACAGTGGCACAAAATAGACTAAGACACTTGATATGGTGTGGCTGTATGGTCCCCACCCAAATCTCACCTTGAATTGTAATAATCCCCACGTGTCAAGGGTGGGGCCAGGTGGAGATAACTGAATCATGGGGGCAGTTTCCCCCATACTGTTCTCGTGGTAGTGAATAAGTCTCACGAGATCTGATGGTTTTACAAAGGGAAGTTCCCCTGCACAAGCTCTCTTGCCTGCAACCATGTAAGACGTTCCTTTATTCTTCCTTCGTCTTGCACCATGATTGTGAGGCCTCCCCAGCCATGTGGAACTGTAAGTCCATTAAACCTCTTCCTTTATAAATTACCCAATCTCAGGTACGTCTTTATTAGCAGCATTAGAACAGACTAATACAACACTCTACTACTATCCCGGTGGCCACGTCACTCATTCCCCCACTAGAAATCCTTTGAGGACTCCCCATTAACCAAGAAAAAGTTCCTTGGCTTGGCATCCGCAGCTCTGCACTACCTTATCCTGAGCTCACGGCATCCTGGCTTTATCCCACAGCCTTACCCTCCTTCCACCTCAACTGCTTTCTTCCCACAGCTGTTTGTCTGCTGCTTTCTTCCTTCTGAGCTGAGCCTGTGCCATTCCACCAGCTTGAAATACCCACCCTTCCAGTTGCTGCCTGTGAACCACACCCCACCCTGCCCCGAATCCACCTCCTACAGGGAGCCTTCCATGATGCTCCCCAATGGACAGAATCTCTGCCTCCCCCAGCACCCACAGTTACCCCCTCACCACTCTGACCCTGACCACACACTCCTGTATACTGAGTTGATTTCTACACTGCCATAACTTGTATAGGATTTCACACATAAAAGGTACTCAAAAAAACAGGTACTTGAATAGATGAAAGTAATACCATGTTCTCACTTCTTCTTTGTCTCCCTCTGACCCTATTTCTAGAATTCACTAAATTTCCTTTAGTGGTCACACAATACCAAATGCTTCTGAAGTTCCCAAATCTTTTTGGATAAAGCTCAAAACATCAGTGCTCTTTAATCATCTGATCCCCACCCACTGGTCTCCATGCCTGTGGGAGGAGACACGAGTGGACAGCCACATTCCACTTCAAAATTAGATGCTTTTGGAATTTCAGGCCACCATGACCACAGACCTTTGTGGGGGCGACCCAAGGGGGCTCACGCTATTAGCTTCTTCCATGGGGTCTGGGGGGATAGAGGAGGAGGGGGAGGAGGGGGAGAAATAGCAGCCACCATTTACCCAGTGCTTACTATAGACCAAGCTCCAAGGAGGGCACTGCATGTCCAGTCCCATTTTCTATCAAATGGCCTATGAGGTACAGTTACCCACCCCACTCTCCAGTTAGGAAAGTGGATCTTGGAAAGATTAAGTACCTTGACCAAAATGGCACAGCTGCTAAGTATGTTTCCTGCCTCTCTTTTTGTTTTACTCAGATATAATTTCCATACCATAAAATTCCCAGTTATAAAGTGTGTAGTTCAGTGGGTTTTCGTATATTCACAAGGTTGTGCGCCCAACCCCATTACCTAATTTCATCACTCCTCAAAGAAACTCATATCCTTCAGCAGTCGCTCCTATTCCCACTCCCTGCAGCCCTGCGCAGAAAAAGTCTCTGCTTTCTGTTTCTGTGAAGGTGCCTGTTCTGGACATTTCATAGAACTGGAATCACATGCTATGTGGCTATCTGTATCTGGCTTCTTTCACTTCACATGGCGTTTTCAAGGTTTCTCCATGTGGTAGGATGTATCAGTAGTTCATCCTACTGATGAATAACATTCATTGTAAGATAGATCACATTTTGTTTCTGGCTGAATAACATTCATTGTAAGATAGATCACATTTTGTTTCTCCATTCATCAGTGGATGGGCATGTGGATTTTTTCCGATTTTCGTCGTTGTGAATAATGTTGCTATGCACATTCATGTATACGTGTGTTTGTGTGGACAGCATGTGGACTGTTTCTACTTTTCACAGTTATGAATAATGTTGCTATGCACATTCATGTATACGTGTGTGTGGACATCTTCTTTCATTTCTCTTAGGGATTTCATTTCTCTTAGGGATTTCATTTCTTCTTTCATTTCTCTTAGGGATTTCTTTCATTTCTCCACCCAGGAGTGGAGCTGCTGGGTCCTACGGTAACTCTGTGCTTTACTTTTTTAGGAATTGCCAAACTGTTTTCCAAAGAGGCCGCACCATTTTACTTTCCCACCAGCAGCGTGTGAGGGTTCATCCTGTTGTGTTGACTCCAAAGCCCACACTCTCCCTCCAGGCTGTGCCTCCTACCCTGGCCAGCAGGTGCAGCAGCCCGAGACACGGAGCTGGCACGGGTGCCACCGCCTAGCACACAGCTGGCTGGCCTCAACTATCAGTCCTACCTTCAGCGCCTGCTCCTTAAAGTACTGCAGGGCATAAGCAAAGATTTCAAGGGCTTTGACTTTCTTGCCATTTGCTGCCGTCAGGTCTGTATCCATGGTGAGGTCCTGGTAGGAGGAAGAGGAACAATAGTAAGAAGATGACACAGGAGAAACATGTCTCCTGGCTTTGGGGACTGCTCCAAGGGGACCTAGAGGATCCTGGTGAGCCATGTCTGTGTTCCCCCATGCTTAAAGAGGCAGACTAGGATGGCGCATCCCCCAAAATGGGGGCTGGCAGCAGTGTCCCCTTACTGTGTAGGAGGCTCTGGCTGTCCCCTCCAGGCCCCACCTTCACTGCTCCCTCCTTCTCTCCCTCTAGCTCCTGGATCCTCTGGGAGCAAAGGTTTCAGGGGCAACAGTAGAAGTCAGGAAGAGAGAATAGGCAGCAGGTGCCACTCCCCATGCAATTTCCGTACAATTTCCACATTCGAACACACATGGTCACGCTCAGGATCCCCCCTGATGGAGGCCTAATCGTACCAACCCACTGCCATCCACGATGCTAAACAGACGAAGCTTTCATTCCCCATTACGCTGCCAACCAAGTCACCAAAATAGAAGAGCTCCTATTTTAAGGCTTGCCCTATCTAATCCGCCAGGAGCCCAGCATCACTGCTTTCCTCTCTCCACCAAAAGTGAAAGCAGCTGCTGAGTGTGGTCCCAGAGAGAGGATGCTCTGCAGAGCCTAGATGCTGGTGGACGGAGATCATTAAAAAATGATGAGAAAAGTCCCTGTGGGGTAGGGATGGGCAGGGAGTGAGAGCAAAAATCAGGAGGAAGCCCCCAGGTCTCCTGAACCAACAAACTCATTACTGCCAGGGGGAAAAAAATCACTGGGGCCTCCAGATTGTCCCAGGCTGGGTAATTATGCTTTGCCTTGGGAGTGAAAACGGGCATTGAGTTACTAAGCTAGCCATGTGGAGCCCGTCTGTGGCATCCTGACCTATCTGCACTTGCTCACTCCTCCCAGCCAGCTGCCTTCTGCTCCTGGTGCCCAACAAAGATACCCCAGCTTTAGGGCAGCAGCTCCCAGGCTCAGAAAGGTGGTCAAGTGCCAGGAAACCATGGCTCTGAATTGAAAAAAATCCCTGTGCTTCCTTCCACCTGCCATCCTGATACTCAGCATTGAATCCCATTAGGCAAAATAGGAACAGTTCATTTCTAGCAGAACTTGGTCTGCACCATAGAAGGACAACCACGCCGATGGGCACAGAGCCTTGAAAGGCAGGGTGCTGGCTGCTGAGTTTCCCACTTATGTTTGCTTTGTCATCTGCAAGTGCTCAGCAGACAAATGAAAGCAATTAGAATAGGAGCTTGCACTTGACTAGAACTTAATCTGCACCAGGCATGGCTCTAAGAGCTTTACGTATTTTGATTCCTTTAATCCCTACAAAATCCCCATGAGGAAGGCACTGCTATTGTCTCCATTTGACAGAGAAGATAAAACAAGGCAGGGAGGGGTTACATAACTTGGATTACATTTCTCAAAGGTACCAGTGACCAGATTGAAACCCAGGCCATCTGGCCCCAGAGTCCGTGTTCTTAAACATCATCATCATCCTGCCTTTCTAAGCACTGACAGTTAAGGAAACTTTATGGAATAAAATGCTTAACTCAAAAAAGTTCTGTCCTATGCCCTATCCTTTTCTACGAAGCTTCGGGGTGGCAGGGGGTGCCTGTTTGATGTAGGTGTCTTATGGAACACTGGCTTGCTGGGAGCTGAGGACACCACTCAGGGAGTTGGACCTCCAATTATTGGGCACTTGATGTCCTGAGCTCCCCCTCCCCACATAAAGAGCTGGATGTACCAGTTGTTACTGGTTGTTACATCCAAACTGGTTAGTTAAGAGCTACTGCCCTGAGCTCGCCATGTGTCCCTAGCCCCCAAGTGGATCCTTCATGATACACTGATCTCTCAATAATCCAGAAACTAAAGGGAGAACTCCTGGCACAGCAGGAGGGCCCCAGCACCCCACTTCCCTGGTATAACCAGGGTCTACTCTGATAGGTCCATTTCCAAGACAAACGAGTTGTTAAATATTCAGAATATCTCCCTGCCCACATGCACATTGGAAAGCATCGCATATTCCACAAAAGCACTGTGTGCTCCAGGTTGTGTCTAAAATCAAGGTAAATGGACACTGATTTCTGCTTGGAAGAGACCAGAGGGCCCCCTGGGTTGGGAGGACATCCCTTCCCCACCCCAAGGCTGGAGGAAGCTTGGCACTCCATTGCGGGGGACCTGGGCCCAGGGGAGAGGCTTGCTCACCCCAGTGGTGTGCAGCTTCATCTTGAACTTCTCCAGGTACAGCCACTGCTTGGCCTCATTGGGATCCAGGTCATGGTAAAAGTCCCTGGCGGCATACCCGAAGCTGTGGAACTTCCTCTCGGGAGTCAGCAAGATGGTGGTTGGAGTCTTCTGATTGGACACACCAGGGTCACCTCCCTCCCATCGCCTGCCACCAAGGGAAGCAGAAGTTATGGGGCCTTCTTTCAAAATCCCAATTCAGGCAGCACAGATTTGAACACCTACTGTATGCATGAGTGTCAGTAATGTGGGTGCCCAGAGGCACTCTGCTTCAGCTGGATGAGCAGCTACTAGAGACACAACTTCAGTTAAAAAGGAGATGAACTGGGCAAGTGCAAAGTTCTTGGTCAATAACAAGCTCTGCCTTAGTCTTTCATTCCATGTTTACTGAGCATCTACTCTAAGCATCTACATGTTTGCCAGGTGCTGGCATGAAACTTTTATGTCTGTGTCTTCAAATAATTCACAATCTGCTAGGCAATGTATTTTTTATTTGCAAGCACTCAATAGCAGATATACTGCTAGCTTGAATCCTGTCTGAAACAAGGTAGGTATAGACAAATGCATAATTACCTGCCTTATGAGATGCAAATGAGATGCCCAAGGTGCCAGCTGGTAGGGCAGAGGAAAGAATGCAGGATTCGGGGGAGAACTGAAGAAGAGACAGACAACTGGATCTCAAAGGAGGGAAGGATACTCCAGGCTGCTCAGAGGTGGGCCAGCCGGGGCATTCGTGGAGAATGTGAAGTGACTGCGTTGGTTGGAGAGAGTATGTGAGTGGGAAGAGTGACTGTGAAAATGGGAAGGGTGAGAAACACGATTGGGAAAGCAGCTGGAATCAGGCTGAGGAGAACCCTGGGGACTTAGACATTTACTCTGTGAATAATGGGAAGCCACTAAAGGTCTTAGAGCAGGGGTATGACAGAATCAGAGCTGCTGTTCATAAGGGCAAACTGGGCTAAATGGAGGGAAAGGGAAGCCAGGAGCCTCAGACCTATCCTGGAGCAGAGGTGAAAGAACCATAGAAACAGATCTCAGCACTCTGGGGGGCCAAGGTGGGAGGATTGCAGTGAGCTATGATCGCATCACTGCACTCCAGCCTGGGCAACACAGCAAGACCCTATCTCTAAAAAGAAATGACAGAGAGAGAGAGAGAGAGAGAGAGGCTGCAGTGAGAGCAAGGGAAGGGGGAAGGGGAAGACAGGAAACTCAATGTATTCGCTCACCTTTGGGGCCACTGCAGAGAGGCCAGGGCCACCAAGAGGCCAAGCTGTTCCCTGCCCAACCAGGTCCTGGCTCCTGGCCTGCCGCTGGCCATGTGACCCCATGCACAGCCCGTGCGCCCTCAGGTGGGGACGCAGTGCAGGAGGGAAAATGAGCCACTTTCCTCACCCACTGGAGAGGTGGCCACGCTCCCAGCTGATCCCGGACCTGCTCCCGACCCCATGACATTAAGCATCAGTAGGACCATCTCAGTCCAGATGGAGCTCCGGCCTCCACTGATATTTGCTGCTCAAATGGGTCTGGAATCATCCCTGGTCAATTTCCTTGTCAAGCTCCATCAGGATGCTGCTCCTACCCCAGCAGCCAAAGTCCCCGAGGTGACCGCACTGAGACACAGGGATGGCCCCGATGCCAGGCAGCTGCTCCACACACTGCCCTTCACAAATGGAATTGTCATTAACAGTGACATTATCAGTAGAGAATGACCCCATGAGCTTTTTCCCTTCAAATTTTTATTCCTTCATTCCCACTTAGTACAAAAAAAAGTTAACTTTCTCACTTATAACTTGTCATATTAGCATCATTATGCTAATATGTTCTGATTGAAATAAAATTCAGGTAGAACCAACCAACCTCCCTCCAAAATGTCGACCATTACTAAGGTATCTCCTCTAGAGGCCCTGAACTATGGTGGTGCTTCATAAGTACCCCTCCCCAAGCAAGTTCAAAGTTATTTCCACTCCTTCTTTTCTGTTTTCACTGCATGACTATTCTGTGGAAATAACATTTCTTAGAACAACTACATAGAAGCTGATAAACATTGATTCTAGCCTTTAATGGCATATTCTTTTCCACTGGGATTTTTCATCTTGGGGGTCAGTGGTGGCAGCACAGACCCTCACAGCATCTGTCTGGCTAAATGGAAAGAGATTCCTGGTGGCAACTGAACACCAAGGGCGATGCTGTCAACAGAGTTGGCTATAGAACCGGCTTTTCATCATTTCCTGATGACATGACACCCAGGAGTGTCTGTACCCTCTTAGGACAAGAGCTTCAGGCTGAGCCACATCTGGTTTTCAAGAGGAAAGGTGAGACTTAAACCAAGATTGGGGTGGGAGTCACTTTTATTATGACTTGTGCTTTACACAACCCTTTATAAAAATTCCTAAAATACAAACATTAGCAGGGTGTGGTGGTATGCACCTGTAGTCTCAGCCACTTGGGAGGCTAAGGCAGGAGGATCACTTCAGCCCAGGAGTTTGAGGCTGCAGAGAGCCATGATCACACCACTGCATTCCAGCCTGGGCAAAGGAACAAGAGCCTGTCTCTTAAAAAAAAAAAAATAACAACAACAACAAAACTAAAAAATATTAATCTAGGAGCAATACTAAATTCCACAATTACTCAGTTGAAGAAACTGCAAAGCCAATTACAATGTATCTTCAGAGTCATCCCTTGGAATTGAAAATTGGGATGATAAATTCTGGGCTTCCAAAGATTCGAGGAGTCATACCCTGCAAGAAGATCATGGATCAAGACTGGGATCCCATGGATGGGTGGCACCCGGGGCCTGCAGGGTGCTGGGTGTGCGGGGAAGGGAAGGGGGCATCCCAGCACAGAGTGCATCCCAGGAGGCCCAGGGCAACTTTGCCTATGGGGCCACTTGGCTGAGATTCCCCTCATGCTGCCTTCTCTCTGGCAGGTGCTTTTTGCCTCTGGCTACCAACACCCCAGCACTTCTCTTCACTTGAAAGGGCCAGCACCTGGAGAGGATGTGGAGAAATAGGAACACTTTTACACTGTTGGTGGGACTGTAAACTCGTTCAACCATTGTGGAAGTCAGTGTGGCGATTCCTCAGGGATCTAGAACTAGAAATGCCATTTGACCCAGCCATCCCATTACTGGGTATACCCAAAGGATTATAAATCATGCTGCTGTAAAGACACATGCACACGTATGTTTATAGCGGCACTATTCACAATAGCAAAGACTTGGAACCAATGTAAATGTCCAACAACGGTAGACTAGATTAAGAAAATGTGGCACATATACACCATGGAATACTATGCAGCCATAAAAAATGATGAGTTCATGTCCTTTGTAGGGACATGGATGAAACTGGAAACCATCATTCTCAGCAAACTATCGCAAGGACAAAAAACCAAACACCGCATGTTCTCACTCATAGGTGGGAATTGAACAATGAGAACACATGGACACAGGAAGGGGAACATCACACACCAGGGACTGTTGTGGGGTGGGGGGAGTGGGGAGGGATAGCATTAGGAGATATACCTAATGCTAAATGACGAGTTAATGGGTGCAGCACACCAACATGGCACATGTATACATATGTAACAAACCTGCACGTTGTGCACATGTACCCTAAAACTTAAAGTATAATAATAACAAAATTTAAAAAAAATAAAAGAAAGGGCCAGCACCTTCCCTGCTTTCATTTTACTACACAGTAAGCACTTAATGGACAATCTCCTTTCATTTGCACACACACATTGTGAGGGAGGTATTGTCAGGATTCCCATTTCACAGATGAGGAAACTGGGGTTTAGCAGGTTCAGCAATTGCCTAAAGTCACACAGTAAGTGGCCAAGCTGGCACCTGGATCCCTCCATCACAGACACTACAGATCTGCGCCTCTCACCCAGGCCACAAGCTGGATTCACCCGGGCCAGGCTTCAAACATACTGCCCAGGCCCCTCCCCAGACCAACTAAATCAGAATCAAACCAACGTCTTTTCAAACCAGGAGCCTAGAGCCCAGAGATCAGAAATGGCTTGTCCCCAGTGGCATGGTGAGCTTGAGCCAAGCTGGAACAGAATCCAGGGCCGTCTTCGTAAGTGCCAATCACTGGCTCATTGCCCGGAGTCTCCACAGGTGCAGTGGTTGGCACCAGCCACGTGGCCCTCCCACCCACAGCACTCACCTCATCACATGGATGCATTCCGGCTCCTTGGTGAAGCTGTAGGCATAGCCACTGGATGTGGTCCCAAAGTCGACGGCCACCACCACGAGAAATGACTGCTGTTCTGAGACGTTGGAGTCAGTGTCGTTCTGCAGATATACAGTGAGGCATGGGGGGTGTGGAGGGGTGGGCCTGGCTTTCAGGAAGACACCCCTGGGGGGTCTCACCTTGCCTAGCTGTGAACCCCCTGCAGACAGAAAGACATTCTATATTCCAGCTCAAGTCTACCACCTGGGGAGAAGGCAGCCCAGCCTGGGCCCCCGCCTGAATGGCTCAGGGAGAAATGGGGGCATCCCTGAGTGGAGGGCCAGGCTGACTGGACAAAGCCTGCAGCTTGCCCACTCCTCTCTATAGACCGTGCCCGCACACGGCTAGTTACAGAAATTCTATCATCAGGGCTGGTCGCCCAGTAGTTCCTGAGCAGATACAATCTTCTTCCAAGCCCTGCTGCCTTCCGCAAGACCCTGTGCAGACCTCTGGCCACTGCCAGGAGCATTTCGCCAGCTGTGCCCTCTGTACACCCAGGTGACTGCTCCATCTGTGCTGGCATTTCATGCATGTGAGCAGGGCTGGGCATCCCAGGACCGTGTCCAATCCCACCAGGCCAGCCACATGACCCACTGTGACTGTCAGGGCCCAGGGCCTTGCCTCATCTAGATCACTTGGTCAGGCTATTTCAGGTTTCCAAGCCTTTCTCTCTCTCCTTTTTTTTTTTTTTTTTTTTGAGACGGAGTCTCGCTCTGTCGCCCAGGCTGGAGCGCAGTGGCCCAATCTCGGCTCACTGCAAGCTCTGCCTCCCGGGTTCACGCCCTTCTCCGCCTCAGCCTCCCGAGTAGCTGGGACTATAGGCACCCGCCACCACACCCGGCTAATTTCTTGTATTTTTTAGTAGAGACTGGGTTTCACGGTGTTAGCCAGGATGGTCTCGATCTCCTGACCTCGTGATCTGCCCACCTCAGCCTCCCAAAGTGCTGGGATCATAGGCGTGAGCCACCACGCCTGGCCTCTTTTTTTTTTTTTAAGCAGTTTACACTTTTTTTTTAACTCCCACAGAACTCCAAATTATAAAACCAACAAATGTTGGAGGGGAGGGGTGAGAATGCCACCCGCCTGGCCTCTCCTCACACCGCTCCCCTCCCTCACAGCCCTGAAGCTCTTACAGGACAACTTCAGGGTGCAAAGCTTGAAAACCACAGAACCTGGCCCTAGGGAACCAACCCTCCCAGTTTGCCCAGGAATAAAGGAGTCCCCAGGGTGCAGGACTTGCAGTGTAAAGGCCGGACAGTTCCAGGAAACCAGACAGGCTGGCATCCCTGCCTAGCAGTGACTCCGCAGTTCTCCCTGGGTCTTCTTTGTGCGTCTGCACAGCTCATGCAAAGCTGCCCTGTCTTCCGGGCACTCACTCAGGTTGGCTGCCTGTGCATCTACGTGCACACCCCTCTAAACGGCCGCCCCCTAACATCCATCTTTCCTCATACAGGGCAGGGTGGGAGCAACAGCCCCATCTCTAGCCCCACTCAATGCATATGAAGCCCTGCTCAGGGCTTCTCTACCAGGCAAGCTGTTCCAGAAGCGATTATACTGCTAGGGTCTTTTCGATACTGCAGACAACCGCAGTCAACAGAGTCCATGTATTCACCGATTCACTAGCCCAGAGTCAGCGGCTTCCTCTCAAGAGGACACCTCACAGGCTCTGACCCTGAATCTTTAAAGGGCTGCTCCCATCTCACCTTCTTCTGTGACCCACCCAGGCCCCTGCTCCAGAAGCACTAGCCACAGCACAGAAAGCCTTCCCAGGCTCGGAGTGGGGGAAGGGGCTTGGCAGGGCTCCTTTGGCCAGGACCAGGTCAACTTAATCTCCAACCAGTGAATGTGAGGGGCTGTCCAGCAGCCTGAACTGTGAGATCAGACCCAGAATGCAAAGGAAGTCAGTACGCACGTGTGCTCATGCGCACCCATGCGCGCACACACACACACACACACACACACACACACACACACACTTCTTACCACAATATGGGAGGGGGACAGAGGCGTTATTCCTGTGTCCCCAAGACTCCGGGCTGGAGATGAATATGCAGATGTGGGAGCCGTTTCTGAAAGGAAAAACAAAGCCGCCTCCTTAGAAGTGGCATGGACTGACCCAGGGGGAAGAAATGAGGGCTGCATGGCCTTAACTCCTCCAGGAACTGCGGCCTCTGCAAAGCCAGCTCACGAAATGGGCAAGGCCCAGCCCCAGCCAGGAAGGCAGGAACATCCGTTCCAGCACCTCTTTGCATTTGGTATTTAGAATTCGACCAAATGAGATGCTCCTTTCCTCCCAGTCGCCACCAGGCCTCTCACTCTGTGCCACTCAACCCAGCTTAGTTGGAGATGCTGGTCAGTCCCCGAAAGCTCCGCTCCTGGCTGTGTTGTCTGTGGAGCCAGAGGCCAGGCTCCATGATGGACTAGCAGGACCTGTAGCCACCTGAAATTATGTCAAATTTTTGTGTGCATTTTCTTGGAAGAGCATCTACAGCCCTCGGGTTCCCAAAGGGGTGAGGGGTACCTCCCCCAAGGAAGAGCAACCCCTATCCTAGGAATGTAGGATGTGATGAAGCTTCAGAAAGAGCGTCCTTGCCTAGCAGATGCACCAGCTCCTCCCTCCCCCTGCCAGGGCATGTGAATTCATCTCTCTTCAGTGATACTGAAGGTTTGGGACCTTTTTCAATCATAAAAACCACAGCAAAAAGGCAGACAGATCAGCATTTCTAGCCCCTGCAGATGGGACCCAACAGCCACGAGGTCAAACAGGCGAAGGGCCAGCAGCTAAGCAGCAGGAACACCATTTTGTCTGTTCCCCTGCACTCACCATCATTCAGGCCTAGCATTTTTCTGAAGTCTTCCCAGAGCCAGTGGCTCTGCCCCAGGAATGGGCCCCCCGGGAGAAAAAACACTCTCCCTGGCCGGCATTGGAACGCGCTACAGTGCTCTCCCTGCCTGCTGCCTAGGGCTGGCAGGGCACAGAGAAGCTGAGTGAAGACTGCGTGCTCCCACCGCAGAGACGAAGGCCGGGCACTGGGCACGTGCAACGACCCAGCACCACCCTCGGTGCTCTGCACATCCTGCTCCGTTTAGTACATACGTACTGAAACCTGCTAGGAAGAAGTGGGTAATTTTCCAAGGCAATACTTGTGGTCAAGGAAACCAGAAGGTTTGAGGTGTCTGAGAAAAGCCTGTCTGCTTCTAGGGGAGCAGGTGGAATGGTTCCATCTGCCTCTTCTGCTAAATCACTTTGGGTTAATCCCAGGCTCTTGCTGATTACTTTTTCTACTTGATGAGGACTCAGGCAGCATCATTACAGTGGGCACCAAACAGGCTGTAGGAATGAAATGAATCATGCAAGAGGGAATGTGAAGCCTCAAATCTGCACAGCCACCTCCCACTCTCTGCAAGCTCACAGCCTCTCTCCGCCTGATGAGGCTCAGTTCCTATCTTGGGGAGGGAGAGGCACAGTCCAGTAATTACAGAGGCAAAAATCCAACTCGCTGGGTAAAGGACTTGAATAGACATTTCTCCAAAGAAAATACACAAAAGATATATCAACAAGTATATGAAAAGATGTTCAACATCATTAGTCTGTAGAGAAATGCTAATCAAAACCAGTGAGATATGGCTTCACACTGACTAGGATGGCTACAGTTTTTTAAGAAAGGAAAATAACAAGTGTGTCAAGGATGTGAAGAAATTGGAATCCTTGAGCATTGCTAGTGGGAATATAAAACGGGACAACTGCTGTGGAAAAGAGTTTGGCAGTTCCTCAAAAAGTCAAGTACAGAATTACCATATGACCAGCAATTCCACTCCTAGGTATCTACCCAAAAAACTGAAAACAGGGACTCAAGGAGATACTTATATGCAAATGTTCATGCAGCATTATTCACAATAACAGAAAGGTGGAAACACTTCCAGTGTCCAACAACAGATGAAGGGATAGGCTGGGCGCGGTGGCTCACGCCTATAATCCCAGCACTTTGGGAGGCCAAGGTGGGCAGATCACTTGAGGTCAGGAGCTGAAGACCAGCCTTGCCAACATGGTGAAACTCCATCTCTACTTAAAAATACAAAAATTAGCCAGGCGTGGTGGCACATGCCTGTAGTCCCAGCTACTCGGGAGGCTGAGACAGGAGAATCATTTGAACCCAGGAGGCGGAGGGTGCAGTGAGCCGAGATTGTGCCACTGCACTCCAGCCTGGTGACAGAGCAAGACTCCATCTCAAAAAAAAAAAAAAAAAAGATGAAGGGATAAACCAAATGTGGTATATCCATACAACAGAATAGTATTTCATTGTAAAAAGGAAGAACATTCTTATACATGCTATAACATAGGTGAACCTAGAAAATATGCTAAGTAAAATACATGGATGCAAAAGGACAAATATTGTATCATTCCACTTATAGGAAATCTCCAGAATAGGCAAATTCACAGAGACAGAAAGTAGATGAGAGGTGACCAGGGGTAAGAGGAAGGGAGAAATGGAGAGTTCTTGCTTAATGAGTACAGAATTTCTCTTTGGGGTAGTGAAAAATTTTGGAAATAGATAGTGGTGATGGTTGCACAACATTGTGAATATAATTCATGCCACTGAATCATACACTTAAAATGGTTTAAGTGGCAAATTTTATGTTATACATACTTTTTAAAAAAACTTTATTGAAAAGTTTAAATCAACTTGCTCATCTGGGAGGGGAAGCTATTTCTGATTTCTATTAGCACCCACGACTAACAGAATTGCTATTAGCCGTGGGCGCTAATTGCTCTTGAAAAGAGAATGGAGAAGTCAGCTCAGTTCCTAGACCAGCCTGCTGATCTCCACCATCTTTGCTAATCTCCCAGCACAAGGGAACCCCTTCCATGAATGCAGGGGGAACTCTGCCTCCCCACTAGGGGTTCCAGCCAGATGGTCCTTCCACCTGTTGGTGAGAGGTCCTCCCTGCCCACAGCCCTTGGGCAGCCTGCGGAGAAATGCCATCAGCACCAGAAGCCACCCTCTCCACCTGCTACCTGGAAGGCCTGCGCCATGTGTCCACATTTGCACAGACGGTCCTGAAAGAAACCAAATGTCTAATTGCCCAGAAAATCTGGTGTTGGCAATTAGCAAACAAGCTATTATCTGCAGACAAACTATCCACCCCGCTGCTGCTTGGTCCTAATTATCCCATCACTCAGCCCTTCTCAGAGCCCTGGGTCTTCTCACTGATTTGCAAAATAGCCAAGGTTGAGCCACACATGGAACACATGTCTTGGGTCCCCAGGGGACTCTAGGATACTTTGAGGGCAAGAAGCAAGGATTTTTTGGTTCTGCTGTACCTCCCTTCAACCCCACGGCAACTGGGCCAATATTAAACAAATCATTTGACTTGCTGATCACTCAGCCAGGCCTAGAGGCAGCCGAACTTCATGGACTTTTTCCATCAGAAGTTAAAATTCAGCTACACTGTGCAATGATTGAAAACTGATCTGCACAGAAGGTATGGAGGGGTAACATTTTCAGAGATACCTGCACATGGTGCACACCCACATCTATATATCTGTATATTCCAAATCAAAGATAATTCACCAGCGAATGTCCATCAGTACAGCACAGAAATATACACAGCCAGTAGAGACATGCTACTGTTTCTCTACTTCACTACTTAGGATGTCAAAATGATGCTCAAAAATTCTCAGGGGAAAAAAAACGGAAAAGCCTATCTCACCCCCTGAGGAGAATGGGGAGTTTAATTCTGATGTGTCCCAACAAGGCTTGAGATCTTTCATTCAGTAGGTAAATGATCAGAAATAAAATACAGAATATTATCTATTAATCTATGAATATCTGACAGATATAAGCTAATGGACAACAGGAGAGAATTGATGTATGGAATGCCCTATACATACCAAGTGTAGGCTGTGTGTCCTGGCTGTCAATTATACAGAGGCCATTATCTATAGTAAGGAATCCCAAATGCCATTAAGTGTGGCCCTGCCTCCACTGCTTCTATAAAGCTAATACAACAACATCTCCCTCGGGACTACTCTCACCCAGGGGATAGTCCAGTTCAGTCCCCACAGGTTGACTTGGACACACTAGGAACAGAAGAGAAAGGCTAAGTCAACACCTCGACACAAATAGAGTTTCCTATAGTCGAGGCTTGAGAGAAAGAAAGGAAGCTGAAGAAAAGAAAATCCAGACCCTTCTGTGGAGGTAGAGAAGGAAGATTGCTAAAAGACAGGTTAAAGAAAATGCTCTATCAAGAAATGTGATCAAGGACAGAGCTAAAGGAACTAGGAGTTTTAAGAAATACCTACAGCACCGTTCCAAGTAGATTAAATAAAGGCCTACTCAAAGCATCTTCCACTTCAAGCACTAAGTTACCCTGAAATCCCATAATACAGAGAGAGTCAATGTTTTCACATCAAGGAATCAGAGAAACACTGACTCTTTCTTTTTTTTTCTTTTTTTTTTTTTTCGAGACTGAGTCTCGCTCTGTCGCCCAGGCTGAGTGCAGTGGTGCGATCTCGGCTCACTGCAAGCTCCACCTCCCAGGTTCACGACATTCTCCTGCCTCAGCCTCCCGAGTAGCTGGGACTACAGGCGCCTGCCAACGCGCCCAGCTAATGTTTTTTTTTTTTAAATTTTTAAATTTTTTTATTTTTAGTAGAGACAGGATTTCACTGTGTTAGCCAGGATGGTCTCGATCTCCTGACCTTGTGATCCGCTGGCCTCGGCCTCCCAAACTGCTGGGATTACAGGCGTGAGCCACTGTGCCCGGCCAACACTGACCCTTTCAAGAATGCAAACTACTAGCCACAAAACTATGGTTAAGCGGAAGGGGAAGAGACCTTTCTGGGGAACAGACCTTTCTGGGAAACAAACAGAAGAGCTTTCTGGGGAACAAACAAAAATTAATCATCATGTCTCCTTTGCTATTAGCTACGTGTTAGATAATTTAACATCACTTCAGTCTTGCAGAGCTAGTGAGCAGAAAATCTTTTTTAACTTTAGTGAACATAAAAATAAGGTGATGAGGGTGGTTATAGATTAACTCACAATCCTGGAACACCCCACCCCAACACATTAAACAATTTTTGCCAGAAAGAGGGGTATATAAAGAAATGAAAATATTTTTGCAGCAATGTAGAGGACAAATAAATAAAAGTATCAAATCCTGGCCAACAAGTCTCCTGCCCCAGGATTTCTTACAACCCCAAACCAGGCAATTGAGGAGGAACTAGTTTAGTTTGTTAGGTTAATCCTCATCGCTGGTCTTATTGGTTTAAGGATTAAAATGCAGGCTTCATCTGGGTTCCTGCTGTAAAATGCAACACATATAAAATTCAGACACAATTTTATGTGGTCCCAGCTCTAATGGCTTTAATCAAAGCAGATGTTCTTAAAATAAAAAATAGTCTTGATAAGAGAACCTCAAAGAGAGCCATAATTCATGAACTTGCTTGCTGTTCTCCTCTGCCAAAGTCATTAGTCAGCAAATGGCCGTGAGCAGAATCACAGACTCTCTGAGATACATAAAATCAATTCTGCTCCATAAATACATGTTTAAAGATGAAGACAGAACCATAGGGCTGACTTTATTCTACAAGGTTCTAGGCTCCGAGGAAATGTGACAGGTGGTCTCAACAATAGTGACATTCTAGTTTCTCTAAACAGTCCTTCTTGTTAGCTTTCAGATTTACGTATCCATCAAATAAATGCCCAATTTGAAAAGGAGTTTTAAGGTCTGGTACTTATGATTTTAAAAAATGCAATATATATATATATATATATATATATATATATATTTGCATTTCTTTTTCCCTGCTGGCTGTCAGATGTCAGGCCTTTGCTAACGATTGCCTAAAATCAGGCTATTTAAAAAAAAAAAACCTCTCTCTCTTTCTCTCCTTATATGCCTGCCTGCAGTGTCATCTTTGAAAACTGATCAGCTCAAGGTCATATGTAGGTTACTGGCAAACATCTTTTCAGAAGGAAAATAAAAAATCTTTTATTACCCTATAACAGGCTTCATGGCTAGCTGAACTAATGCATTATTACTGTAAGCTGAACTTCCATTTCAGTAAATAATTTATGGGCTGTTTTTAATCACTATGGTGGATGTCCAGAGTAAATGGAAATTTTATTGGCATGAACCAGGAGACCCTCTCACTACAAAGAACACTGAGTGTAAAATAACCACTCTGCAAATGCTAAATAATAATTATGGAAATGAGCATTTACCATGGCAGAGACAGTAGCATCAAGCCCAGGCCAAGTTGGGGGCAGCATCAGGCCCATCCTGACACGGGGTAGCAACTTCTTGTTACCCCTCCTACCTCCCTGAATAGTCCAAGAGATGAAATGTCGCAGGGAGAGCGAACTGGGGCAGCTGAGTTTCCCAAGACAGGAAAAGCCCCGAGTCCCTGCAATCCCAAACTGTCAACAGGGGTGGTTCACAGTCTCTCTCCTAACTGCAGGTTCATGCATTGGTCCGTGGGCCTCCAATTGTGTCTATACATGTCCAGGCAACTGCTGGGAGAGGTGAAGACACACTTGCTTGACCAACAGTTTTACTACTAATTTTCATGAATTACACTCCTCAACCTTACAGCCCTTCCCTCCAGCATCCAGCATTTGAAGAGGCTCTACCAGATCACCCTACACATGGTACTAAGATGTTTCTGTCCTCCTGGCTTCTCTCCCATGGACTCTGCTTGTTGGGGTAGGGCCAAGTCTTACTTCATCTCTAATTCCTTAGCTCTTGACATGTCACAAGCACTCAATGTTGGATGGATGGATGGATGGATAGATGGATGGATGGATGGATGGGTGGGTGGATGGTGGGTGGATGGATGGATAGGTGGGTGGGTGGGTGAGTGGATGGATGGACGGATGGATGGGTTGGTAAGTGGATAGATGGATGGATGGATAGATGAGTGGATGGATGGATGAATGGATGGACTTTTTATGTGTACCCAAAAGTGGACTCAGTGACTATCCACAGACTAAGAGTGTCAGGGAGTTCTTTCCCAACTGAGGCATCAACTCTCTTGAGTTGGATATTAGTAACATACATGCTATGCTGAGTGACCTCCAACAATGTGGGATCAGCTCTCAAACCACCCAGGTCTGCCTCTCTCCTCAGATACCCCTTTTGCCAGTAAAACCACCACTGCTCCCAGATGGAAGAGTCCCTAGACTTCCTCCTTTCTCATTCTACCCCCAAGCCCTATCACTCCTTCTAATTAGCATCTCTTGCATTCGCTGGCTCCTCTGCTAAGTCACCACTACAGCCTTGGTCCAGATCCTCCTGAACTTTCAGTCTCCCTGTCCTGGGCCTGCCCCCTCCCCCAGACACACTCACCCTGCAGTTAAAGCCATGACTGCAGATACAGAGAAAGCCATCTGGTCAAAATCAAGGTCTGCTCACCTAACTCAACCTTGTCAGGGTCTTCCCCTGATGCCCATTTCCCATGCAATAAAGTCCAGCACACTACTGACCCCAGGCTCTTCTAAGTCCACCCCACCTTCCTCTGCAGTCTCTTCTCTCTCTACTGCCCCACATCCCTGGCCATACCAAACCTATCCACAGGCCTTGGAACATCTGTGCTTGATTCAGCCTCTGGGCACTGCACATGCTGTTCCCCTGCCTAGCGTGCATCCTGCTTCTACAGCAGGCAAATTCTGCATCACCCTTCAGGGACCTCCACCTCTAAAAGTCAGCCTCCTCTTTTAAGAGAGAAGAGCCTTCTCAGCTCCCCCGGTGCAGATGAGAGAAGAACTTGTGCATCAGTTCCTGGTGATCAACTGGAAAACCCAGATGGGGGAAACTCGACAAGAGAGACAGGTTTCTCCTAAAGATAATCACAAGGAAAATCTACAGGAAAGGAGGGCAAACCTATGGACTAGAAGGTCTCAGCTCTGCTGTGCATCAGAACCCCCGAGGCTTGTTAAAACACAGATTAATGGTCTCACCCCCAGAGTTTCTCATCCAGTAGGTCTGAGGCTGGCTGACAATTTGCACTGATAATTTCCCAGGCTATCCTGACTGCCCCGGAGACCAACTGCGACAGCTTAGAAGAGACTTAAAACACACATCAACTCCAGTAAATGCAGTGGATGGACCTTTAGTGGATCCTAACTCAAACAATCCAAAAATGTTACATTTATGAGCCAATTAGAAACGTAAATGCTGACCAGACATTGGTAATGCTAAGGGATTATTATTAATAGTACAGTTACATAATTTTTAAAAGAGCCCTTGTCCTCTAGGGATACATTCTCAAATGTACAGACAAAACAATAGCATTTCTGGGATTTGTACCAGAATAGCAGGAGAGGGAAGGGGCAGGGATTAAACAAGGTTGGCCACAAGTTGATAATGACTAAAACTGGTGACAGATTCATGAGGCTTCAGTATAATATTTGCTCTGCTTTTGTATGTTTAAAACTTTCCATAATAAAATAATTGTGATTTGAATGTGCCAGTTACATGGAAGCTCCCGGACGGCAGGTCAATGTTTTTCTTCCGCTGTCCATCAGAGCACCTGGCCCATACATGGTAGGTGCTCCACACATATTTGGCAAATGAATGAACAAACCAATAAGGATACGAGTTCACTGAAACCTACAAATGTGGACTCTGAAAGCTTGGGAAGGTTTTGGACCTGGGTCTCAGGGTGGGTGAAGGGCTCCCAAACATCAGGCTTCTCTGGGGCTGAGGCTGGTCGGCCCAGTAGACCAAATAGCCCTTAGAGCAGTCAGAATTTCAGCAGGCACCCACTGGCCCCCTCGCAGATGACAAAACAGATGTCCAGCCACCAGCTGAGCAGCTCCCACTCTGGGATGGGCGCCAGCCAGATCTCAGGTACAGGGCCCTCTGGTCATCAGCTGACAGCTCCTAGACTTTGTAGCCGCTCTGTGAACCCAGGGCCTCAGAGGAGGTGGGGGTGGGGGGTATCCTCCATCCCCTGCTGGGCCCCTCCATGTCTGAGAAACAGTAGGGTATGCCCCTGCAGAGAGGCAGGATCACTTAAAGGACCCTGACATGCCCATTTTGCTTTGTCCTTCAGACTTGCTGAGATCCCAATGCCATATGGGAGGGGCAAGATGTAACAGCCTTGGCATCTTCCTGTGGTTCTCACCCCAGACAGGAATGGTGAGCTGAAATGCTGATGTTAGATGCCACCCTGTGACCCTTTGTACAAGCTCTGAGTCCTCCCGAAAGGCAGGTGTGTGTTGGGGGGTGGGGTGGGGGGTGTGTATGTGTGTGTGTGCATGCATGTGCTCCTGTTGGGGACAAGGGCACTGGGTTTTCTGCTCAGGCCCCAGGTTGGCCTTAGCATTGGGATGAGTGGAGGTGGCAGGCCAAGCAGTCATACGTGGGCTGCAGGCCAAGGGGCATGTCTCCTAGAATCAGGACGGCTTTGGAATAGGAGCAAAGCCAGAGTTGGCTCTTCGGCTGCTGCTCTTAGAGGAACAGAAGAAAAACAAAACAGCTCCTGAGGAGGATGAAGAGAGTGGAGGTGTGGATGTTTGTGAGCCTGGGGACACTGCCTCACCTCCCTCTGTGCCCCCTTCTCCCTCCATGAAGTGAGAATTGGTATTCTCAGGGCCCCCGTCACTCTGTTATCAATGAACACAGGACCAGTGAAACTCTGAAATAAACACCACCCTCCACCCACCATTTTCCAAATTCCTTCATGGGGTCAGATATTCATGCGTTTTTTTGTTTACTTTTAGGCTCTTTTGCAAGCTTATTCAAACTCAAATTATTAATTCAAAACCACTAGAAATATACAAACCCAGCACTCTATTGGGAAACCTATCATAGTCAGCACTCACTGCATGTGTATTTCATGCAAGCTAAGAGCCTTACAGGTGTATCTCATGGGGACCTGCCCTGTAAGGAAGGTTGCTGTGAATTACTATCATTATTCCCATTCTGTAGGTGACAAAATGAAGCCTAGAAGGGTAAGAAAGAAGCCCGCATCCTTAGTCAGGATGCCACCCAGGCAGACTCAGAGCTCTCTGACTCCAAGCCTGCACACCTGCACGTTCCCAGTGCCACTAAGGCATCATCTCTAACTACGAGACAGGTGTGAATGTAAATCCCCATTTCACAGACGAGCAAATAGCTGGAGGAAGTCAGGAGTCACCATCACAGGGCAGCTCCTGGCTGTCTCTGTCTGCAGGCTCATGAGACTGTGTGGCGTATTCTTTGGTCTGCAAAGCTCTATTTCGAAAACCATAATTCTCTCTCAAATCCGAAGATCCAGGTAGGAGAGGCACATATTGGTAAGAGAGATGTTAGAGGTACTAGTTCAAAGTCGGGAAAGCCTGAGCTCAAATCCCACCATGACCACGTCCTAGATGCATGCCACTGGGTGGGCATCTATATCTGTAAAATCTGGCTCATGGCAAGCACCCGATACATTATGGATGTTATTTTGTTTATTATTATTGTTACCATCATCATTATAAAATCGTTCCAACTGCTGCTGAAAAAACGACCGTGTGCTTACACAATGACACAAGCAGAGCCCCCACCTTTGCATAATGTCAGCAAATACATTTCCTTTACGTTTTGCTTCTCTAGGCTTGTTAATCAAAGCTAAAAATTCCCACCAGACAGGAACTTGGCAAAGGGAACCTTCAGGAAAATTTAGTGATAGGAAACGTGAGGGCCGGTGCTGCCAGGGGTAAAGGAGACCCTCTGGCCCCAGTTTGCCCCCCAAGCTGTCTGCTCACCCCAGGGAACTTTCAGAATAACCTAGAAGAACTTGAGAGGCCATATGACCACAGCTTGAGCCTTCCTGTATTCTACAGGGAAGCTCAGTCTCCATTCTAAAACTCACTGGGTCACTGTCAAGACTCTCTTCAGCTTCAAGGACAAGATTCCACCTGCCTGGGCCTCTGGAAGCCCTGGGTTTAGACTTCCCCAATTTCATCATGAACAGCCTTGTGACAGGTCAGTCTTCAGAGGCCACGGCACAGCTAGTGCTGCCTGGACTGAGGCTAAAGAAAGGGCCGAGGCCATTCCAGGCCAGTTGGTTTCCCCTTGAGCAGAATCTTTCACCTCCCAAACACTCACCACCTGTCCCTGGGGAGGGGAGAGGGAAGAGGAGGTAAGGGTAGGGAAGGTGAAGGTTCATCCTTCTTCAGCTGAACCCTCTCATGAGAGAGAGATACACCATCTCCAGGCAGGAAGGGGAACCCTTGGCCACCATGCCCTCCAAACCTGGGTAACTCGGGCACAAACCTTCCACTCTCTGCCAGTGCCCAGGAGGGCAGAGGCTTGAGCACATTTAAAAACCCCTCTGCAGCATTCCTTAATGGAAGAGACATCCCAAAACAGTTGTACGGCTTGTGCACTGCACAAAGGCACCAACCTTGAGGGACACCTCCCAAGCAGGGCTGCACTTACCCAGAGGTAAGTGTGCTATTTTCTTACCACAAAGGCATCTTTCCAAGCCTTGAAGGGCTGCACTGCCTAGAGTGGGCCCCTTTTTTTGAATTTTTGCATCTAAAGCAGATTTTTTCTAATTCACCCAAAAAGTAGCCATGGCACTTAATGGTCAAAGAAGGGAAGAAAATGCTGGGTAAGGTACTAAGTTTCCCGCAAGTAAAGCTCAAGCAGAGGCCAGGCAACCACTTAACTGAGTTCTAGAAGAGGAACAGAAGGTCAGAAAAACTCAGGGGTGTGGGGTGAGAACTAGAATTTATGAATCGACACGAGATTCACTGAATACTTGCTACATGCCGGGTGTTGTAGAGGCTGAGTAGCTGTGCCGAAGTGCAGTGGCCATGGACCTCAGAGGGCTGGTTCAGACCTCGGCTCAGGTCCCTGCTGGTCTTGATAGATGCTGCCAAGATACTGCTGTGTCCACTCAAAATCCATTTCCTGCTTCTTAACTAAACCCCAATTTTTACATTTGGGGTGTGATCCCTCCTGATAACTTGGGGTAGATCCCAAGTAATCTAAGCCAGTCATGGCAAGCCTCCTCCCGCTGCCAATGAGGAACGTGGGAGTGGGTTTGTGACCCACAGTCCTGACTGATGGGACATGAGAGGAAGTCGGCCTGGGGCTTCTGGGAGGAAACACCCCGCCTTTTAAGTGAGTACCCTGAGAAGAGGGTGGACGCACAGGGGCGTGAGGCCACACCTGCAGCTGCCACCTTGCCACCAGCACACAGATGCAGCCACCACCAAAGGAACCTCCCTCCGTCCTTGAGGGGGTCCATGAGCTGCCAAATCAGCCTGCTGGGCCCCTGGACTTCCCATTCTGGTCATAATTTCCCTTCTCTGTAAACAAGACAGGATCAGGTTTTCCATGCTTTGCAACTAAAAACTGATTCCTAGTTATGCAATCTTGAACAAATTACTGAACTTCTCTGGTGCTTGGTTTTCCTTATGTATTAGATAGGGATAATAATAGCTCATACTTCCCAGGATTAATGAGGATTAAATAAGAATAATGCAGGCAAAAGTCTTAACAAGTGTACCTATTATTACTTAG
This sequence comes from Homo sapiens, assembly GCF_000001405.40. NCBI lineage: Eukaryota > Metazoa > Chordata > Mammalia > Primates > Hominidae > Homo > Homo sapiens. Next base: position 116,719,725 of record NC_000010.11, read on the forward strand.
ATGGCATCTCATATTATCTTATTAAACAACCCAATGAGGTGGGAAATATTTAACAGCAGAGAAAACCAAAACACAGAGAGGTTAAGCATCTTCCCAAAACCACACAGCCAGCAAGTCCCTGTCACCAGTGCCTGAGCTCCTTGTCTCTACCACATTCCAGCCCTGAGGTTCCTGGACTCTGTGACTCCCACTCAAGTCTGTACTGCTGGCAGCTTGCAGCAAAGAGCAGTGAAAAAGTAAAGGGCTTTACTGGGAGTGGACCTAGGGAGTAAGTGCTAATGAATAGGAGTTTCTTCCCAGGGTGATAAAAATGTTTGGGAATTTAATAGTGGTGACGGTTGCACAATCTTGTGAATACTATAAACCACTGAATTTTATGTGGTGAGTTTTATATGTGAATTATATCTCAATTAAAAACAAATCAAAGAGCTGCTAGAATCAGCCTTGTAAGGAGAAGTGCCCCTGTCCCCCTGCCTTCAGGAGCCCAGCCTCGTCTCTGGGAATGGACTCAGTCACCGCCACCCACCCTGGGCACCGCCCCCTCCCTCCTCCAACCTCTGTGCCTGGTAGAGTTGGCCACAACTTTCTCCCAGGACCCATCCAGTGGTTAATCTAGCTGCGGACTCCAGACTCTCCAACTGGGGCTGGGGCAAGAGCTGGCACTGGCCTCTCCCAGACACCCTGCTCTTTGGCAACGTAAGAATGCAGGCACAGGGCCGGGGCAGCGCCCTAGTCAGACAGCTGCAGTTTCACTCTTCCCCTAGATGCTGGGAAGCTGGCTAGTCAGAGTAGAATGGCCCCACTCCTCCCCAAGGCCAGACGTGCCATCCTGCTGGGGTGCTGCAGGCTGACTTGCTGGTGCTTCCCCTGACAGATCAGCTGTTTCAAGCTATGCCAGAATAAATGCTAGTGAAAGCCTCAAAACCTGCAGCTGTAACTAGTCTTCTGCAGACCCACCTTTGACAGGAGGGCAAACTGCACAGCATTAAAACATTCTGCTGTGTGACCGTCTGCACGTGCCAGCTGCAGCTAGCCAGGTCCTGGGCAGGGAGGTGTGCAGGAACCTGCCTAAGAAAATGCTCCTTCCAGGAAATAAAGGAAAAGAGAAGGCCAATGCTAAAAGGGGCTCCAAGGAGCTCTGAGAGAGGACGAGACAGGACCACCCACTGCAGCCTGGAGGGGAGGCACGATGGGAACTGCCCAGGATGCAGGGACACCCCCAGAGGCTAAATGTTCTGCTCAGAACAGGCAGCCGCAGCACAGACAGCAGACTTCCATGTCAGAAGAGAGGAGACAAAGTCCTTCCAGAGACTTTTTAAGACCTTTGAAGTCTAAAATCCCTAATTACTTCTTACTTTGTAAGTACAAAATCTTCAATGACAGACTTACATTTGTACAAAAAGAATTAGTAAACTGGGTTAAGTTATTGATTAACTTTAGACTTTGCTAAGTTAAGTATGCATGGCAAAATTTCAAGGGTAACTAATCTTGAAAGCAGTTGAAATTGAATCCCTAACTTCAGAGCAGTAAAGAGAGATAAATACACAAGACACTGAATGAACAATTCCTCCTGGGGACCGAATTTGCTCAAAGTCTTTTCCCAAGGAATCCATAGGTCACAGAAAGGCATCTCCCAGGTCTCCTCCACAGAGCACAGGATCCAGAGGTCACCCAGAGCGTCCCACCTGAGGCCAAGCAGCTGTGATGAGGCCAGCAGGGTGCCCCCTCTATCCCACCTTTTTATATTGTACCAAGCCAGCTCCTGGCCCAGAGAAGGCAAAATACTGACCATTAAATTTTGATGAGCTTTTGAATTTGAACTTAAAGTAAGTCAATCTCACTAAAAACAAAACAAAACAAAACAAAACGAAAACCCGGGTGTGCGTGACTATAGCAGGGTAAGAGCAAACAAACTACAAACCCATCCTAATCCCCATCCCTCCCCTCCCCGGCACTGAAATGCAAATATGAGTCTCTCCAAACCCTTTACTGAGCTGCGGTGGGGACAGCAGGCCTCAGAAACATATACACTCCAGGAAATAATGTACATGCTGTGTTTAGGGGCCCTGGGAGGCCGTGCAGATGGCCCCAGCTGCCATAATATTCACACTCATCATCATGGCTGCTCACCCACGTTGGTGTGTACATGTTATGAAAGAATGAGTGAACACACGTGGCCTTCCAGGACCCCTTGTTCCAGCCCCGACACATCAGTCTCTGCAGTCCTTGGGTCTGGGGAATGAGACTTTATACCTTGTTACCATGCTCAGATGGACAACCGCCCAAGTTCAGGCAAGGGAGGAGGTCTTGGGCACCCAGGGTGGTCTGTCTCCGGCTTTTCATTACTGCTGCCCCACAGACCTGTCCCTCCCAGGCGCAGGCCTGCCTGCTTCATTAGGCAGGGCAGCTTCTCTGACTTCATTGTTATCTTTAACAGCTCCATCTGGACCTCAATCAATCAGCGGCCATCTCCTCTGCAGAGAGGAATGCTCCAGACGGGTCAGGCGCAGGGTGACTAGCCTGACTTCCAGCAGGCGCACAATCCTCCCCCACAGAGCCCAAGATGTCTGTGCCCACGGTGCTGACTGCTGGGAGGTGGCCACAGGAATGCCTTGGACTTGGAGAAGTGGGAGCTCGTGCTAGGGACACCCACACGAGCCCACGGCTCCAACCAACCCTTGTCTCCCTGCCTCTCGCTCTCTCTCCACAGACCTAGTCTGGGAGGGTCCTGAATGGCATAGACACCACACTGAGGACATTCTGGGTTAATGAACAAGAAGAGTTCCAGGAGCTGACCCTGCAACAGGAAGACGGGTGGTATGACCCAGAAGTTCATCAGTGGGACCAACCAGGGCCGATGTGAAACATCCCCTGCACCCCACACTCGGTGTGCCTGTCCTGAGCCCTCCTCTGCCCATCCCTACCCAGCTGTCATCAGTCTTATCTTGTGGACATGCATCACATGGGTATTTAATTTATGAGAATCCAACTATGAGATCTCAGGCCAAAACATAGTGGGATGATTTCAATTTAAATATTAAATTGAATATTAAAAACACTGTAATTAAAAGCCCTGTAAAAATCTATTTTGCACATGGACTCTTCATGAGACACCATGGTAAGTGCCACAGGGGTGTTAGGACAGACTGACATCCCTGAAGGGGGTGGGGGAAGGTAGCTCCAGGAAGGTGACGCTTGGCTGGCTCCCGGGAGGGCAAGTTTGCTGAATGAACAAGGTAGGGAGTAAACAGCAGGCCAAAGGAACAGCAAGGGCAAAAGCAGAGCGGTATGAAGGGCTTCCCAGAGAGCCTTATACTCTCCCAGCTGGTGTCACTGCCTCCAGGCTGTCCCACTGGATCACATCACAACCACCACCATCATCATGTCACTCCCAGCCTCAAGCACCTACTGTAGCTCTCTATCCCCTTCATATCAGATGCAGCTGTTTAACCAATCAGATACCTCCATTACCCCCTAACCATTGCCCCCCCATCATTCCTGTCCTCATACAACCCCCTGCACAGCTGGGCTGTGTCCTCTGCCATCTGGGAAAGCCATCTGCCATCCCTCAGGCCTGGCTTGTGCACTGGCTGTCTGCAGGGAGAGAGGGGCCCGCTGACCTTCACGTGGGAGGATTTGACCCTCATGCTGCCCTCCAAATAGGCACAGCCCCAAGCTGTTCTTCCAGGGGCAGGGGACGGGGCTGAGGACCCCGAATGAGCTGGGTTCTGGGGCAACACCCAGTTCCACCCTCACCAGCTCTGTCACAGACGGGACTCTGTCTCAGGTCTCAGTTTCCACAAGTACGTACCAGGCTAACAACTGTCTCTCTCACAGGGCTGCTGTGGAGACCACAAGGGGTGACCCATAAGGAAACTCCAGCACCGAGCTGGGTGAGGTTAGGTGCTCAGGAAGCATGGGGCCTCCCCTGACATTCATTCCTGAGACCCACTGCGCACACGTGCTGAGGTTTTAAAACTGAATCTCCAGCCTGAGGACCATGAGGACCACTAAGCCTCAGGTGGGACCAGCAGCCCTGCTCCTGCAGTCAGCCTCTCCACCCGTTCCTTAGATCCCGGCTGCTTCCAGTACCGAGCCACCTCCAAAGAGAAGGGCTGTGCTTCCAGGCCCATCTACCATCTTGCCCGATGCCCACCTGAGGGCCCCTGACCATACCCCAGTAGCTGAGGCCAGCGGGTCACCTGTACCCAGGCATAGACAGCACTCTGCTGAGCCATCCATGGCTGCATGGCCCCAACAGAGGCGTATCGGGCAGCACTGGCCGGAACTTTAGAAAGACAGAGTTTGGGCTACTTTTCAAGCAGCCCTTCTGCACCTTGTACAGAGCCCTGCACCTGGGGAGGGCCCAGCCTATCTTGCTTCCTGGCTGTTTGATGTCAGGAAACCACTGGATCTTGAAAGTGGCTTTCTTGTGGCTGGAGGCAGGGCCACAAGGGAGTGTCACAGATATTTCCAGGGCAGAGATGAAGAGAGAACACGCACTTTGGGTTCAGAGACCAGAAGGCCACCACCACTCTCTCCCCATGGGATCTTTTTTTAAAACTTTATAAAAAAATTTTTAGTTTTTTAAATGTTTCTGATATATTATATTTGTACCTATTTATAGGTGCCTGTGAAACATTGTTACATGTGTAGAATGTGTAATGACTAAGTCAGGGCACTTAAGGGCCATGGGGTCTTCACCAAGATTCACGACCTTTTGAGTCTCCATCTCCTCTTCTAAAAGAGAAGACCCCCTTCCCCATGGTGCTGGATTTTGTGACAGCCCCTCTGTGAGCTTTGTCTCAATATGCCTGGCCAGTCTGGAAGGCTCCCCACCAAGGGGTTAACAGGGGCTGCCTCTGAGTGTGGGGTCCTGGCTGTTTCCTCCTTTCTTGCTTTGGATAATATTTCCTATAGTAAACACGTAAGTCTTCTGTCATGAGAACCAAAGCTGTCTCAGGTTTTACCCAAAACCTTCCCAGGACAGTGTGGGGCAGAGGAGACAAGTGAGTGACGCCTCCTGTCCCTTCCTGTGGCCTCACTGGGTGCCCTGCGGCCCAGAGCCCAAGACTCCAGCTGCTCCCAGCCATAGCCCTGGTCCTGCCCCAGGTCTTTGCCTGCTCCTCAGTCTCCTGAATCAGGACCCCCAGTCTCTAACAGCTCCCAGTGACCACCTGGCCCCCAGACCCTGAAGGCCAACTCTCTGCCTGGCAATCTCCCAGCAACACCGTGGTGCAGGCTCTTTTTCTCAGCTCCGTCCCCCAGAGGAGGAACCAGAAGCTCTGGAGGTGTTGAGACCTGCCCAAAGCCTCACAGCGAGGAACAGCAGAGCTGAGACTTGAACCCAGGACTTGAGCTGTTCCCACAATACCACTTTGCCTTACAGAGAAAACACAGTGCAGGGATCCCACCTGGAAGGGGGCTCTCAAACTGCCTCATCCTGTTAGCCTCCTCCAGGGCCCAGGAGCTCCACTTGATGGGAATTGCTTCTGGCTTCAACACTTAATTCCCCAAATGTCCCCTGCCTGAAGTGAGCCAGCCTGTGTTGAGACAGAAATCCTGCCACCCTGTAGGGTGGGGAGCACTCTGCTAGGGTCCCAGGCCTCACGCTGGGCCTCCATGGACCCAGCTCCACCTCTGAGCTTCCATCGTTAACATCAGGTCAGCATCCCAGTGTTGTTCAGTCGCCAGATTTGAAAAGAAGCCTGAAGCTGGCATGGCAGTGTGCAAGGGAGGACTGCGTGGCCCCCAACAGGCTGGGGGCCCTGAGAGAAGGGGCAGGCGAGCAGGGGAGGGGCACCAGGAATTGTATGCATATTCACAGATAGAAAGGGGTCACAAATTCTCTCCAAGGAAGACATCAGTTATGAGTATGGGACTGGGGAGAGATGTGAGGACTGAGGAGCTTTGCTGGCAGAAGGAGTGGGGGTGGCAGAAGGGGCGCTATCTTGGGACACAAAACCCAGAACTACTCCCAGCGAGTCACAGGGTGAGAGGGATATCCCACTGCCAGGGTGACTGTATTTTTGGCTTCTGTGTTTATGTTTTGCAGTTTATTTCTGCCTCATCGCTAATATTTCATTAGAAAGTGGCTCTTCCCTCCCCCAACCCCTGCCACACTAATATTTTTGGGAGGAAATCTTAAAAAGACCCCAGCTGCATTCAGCATGCTTGCGTGCTATCTTAAGGCCTGCCTCTACCGGCATAGGACTCCGTTTACAGAATGCAACTCAGTGAGGAAGTCAAGTTTTCTATCTGAATATTCATTCAACATACAAGGTTTAGACACACACACACACGCACACACACACACACACACACACACACAACAGGCCAAGCAGGACAAGGTGAATTCTGACATTCCCATGGTTCTCTACCCAATCCTATCCTGCTGGCTGGTCTTCCCTCCCAAGAGCCTCAGGCTCTGTCCCCTGGCATGTGGCACTTTGCAATCTCACTACCGAATATTTACCAAAGGCCCAAGGAGTGTGGTGTTGGGGCAGAATCTGCACCCATGACCAGCCATGACTTTGTGGGTTCAAGTTTGAATAAACTGCAAGAACCCCAAAGGAAGACCTACCAGAAGCTTCTAACATCTCTCAGCCCATTCCTTCCTCTGTCTCTGTCTCCCTCCTCCATCTCAGCTGCTCACTCTACCTCTCTCCCCACGCATGCATGCACATTCAGAGTTATATACGCACATTCCCAGCAGCCTCCCCCGAGACAGGCCTGGCAGGACCCCACCAGCTCCAGCAGTAAAAGGTCCTTGCTGGGTCTCTGATATCACTACCTACCACCCCCCTTGTGAGTGCTCCCCAAAGGGTTGGTGTCCTTGGGTAGACCATCCCCAATTTCCCACAGTTCCTTCTGGGGGTGCCTGTCAAACCACCAGGCCCAAGAGGGGGCTGCCCCTCAACACTCCTACCCTTAGCCTCTACCCGTCCCCAATATCCCATCCAGACAGCCAGTCTTGGCTTGCTCCGATGAACGGCATGGCCCTACTGCCTCCAGGTGTGCTGTCGGGCTCACTGTCACTTTCTAGGTTTCTGTTTCTTCATGTGGAAAATGAAGTTGGCTCACAGAACACTGAGAGCTCCCACACCTCCACCCTCCAGCCTTAACTATTTCTCACTGTGATAATCTAAGTCACACTAACTAACGTGCCGATGACGGATGAAGACCCCAGACTGCACAGCAACACCTCCCTCAGATCTCCATAATTCAGTGGTTCCAAGACACTTATGTTTTCTAAGAAGTAAAATCTGCCCCCGTCAAAAAACTGTGGATCTAACAAAGTGTTATCACATTTTGATTTTGCCAAGAACAGACATTAACACTTTTATTAAACCTATCATCTGCTACTATATTCAATTCATAAAAGAAAGAAAAATAGGACTATATCAGTTATCTATTGTAATCCAAATATTTCTAACTCCAAAATTTAGTGGGTTAAAATAACAATAATTTGCACAGAATTCCGCAACTTGGGCTTTTCTCACCTGGGGTCAACTCATACAGCTAAAGTCATCTCAAGGCTCATCTGGCACTAGATGGGCCAAGACAGGCTCATTCATGTCCATGTTCACCTAGGCTGTCGGTCGGGGGCCTCAGTTCCCCTCTAGGTGGCCTCTCCAGCAGGACGACCTGGACTTCCTAAATAGCAAAGGACAAGTGAGCAAGCTCCAATGCACTGGCAGGAATTTTCAAGCCTCTGCTGGCTTCCTGTTTGCCAAGGTCCTATTGGCCAAAACAAATCATGTAGCTACACCGAGTCCAGGTAGGAGGAGATGACACAAGGGTGTGAGTACAGGCGTCCCCAACTGAGGATGATTTGACTTATGATTACTTAACTTCATGATGGTGTAAAGGCGATAGACATTTAGTAGAAACCATACTTTGAGTAGCCAAACAACCATTTGTTTTTTTACTTTCAGTACAGTATTCAATAAACTACATGAGATACTTTATTATAAAATAGGCTTTGTGTTAGATGATTTTGTCCAAGGGTAGGCTAATGTAAGTGGGTTTTTTTTTTTTTTTTGGTTTTTTGGAAAGAGTCTTACTATGTCACCCAGGCTGGGGTGCAATGGCACAATCTCAGCTCACTGCAACCTAGGCCTCCTGGGTTTAAGTGATTCTCCCATCTTAGCCTCCTGAGTAGCTGGGATTACAGGTGTGCACCACCATGCCCGACTAATTTTTTTGGGGGGGGGACAGAGTCTCACTCTGTCGCCACTGCACCCAGCTAATTTTTCTATTTTTAGTAGAGACAGGGTTTCACCATGTTGGCCAGGCTGGTCTCGAACTCCTGACCTCATGATCTGCCCACCTTGGCCTCCCAAAGTACTGGGATTACAGGCATGAGCCACCGCGCTTGGCCAATTTTTGTATTTTTAGTAGAGACAGGACTTCACCATGTTGGCCAGGCTGGTCTCAAACTCCTAACCTCATGATCCACCCACCTGGGCCTCCTAAAGTGCTGGGATTACAGATGTGAGCCACTATGCCCAGCCTTGTAAGTGTTCTGAGCATATTTAAGGTAGGCTAGGCATGGATGGTCTGTAGGTTAGGTGGATTAAATGCATTTTCTACTAATGATATTCTTAACTTACAATGGGTTTATCAGGGTGTAACTCCATCGTAAGTCAAGGAGCATCTGTACCTGGAGACAGGATTTATTGTAGGTTATTAATTCAATAAGCTACCACAAGGGCACAATATCAGAAATTGTTTTTCAGATGGAAAAATTTAGCTTCGTGCAAACCTGGTACACAGTCACCTGGGTAACTTCCTCAGTGACGAATGTAGGCTTCAAGCATCAGAAGCCATCATGAACTAGTCCAAAGTGGGGCATTTGGGAAACACAGCACTGATTATCGCATTCTTTCCAACTGAGCCAGAGGTGACCTCAGAATCCTTCTTAACACAGCTCTCTAGATAGCTTCTTCCCTATTGGTCAGAGAGGTAGACACAATTCAAGTCTATGTGCCACTGCTTATCTAAGGGTTTTATATGCAGAGCAGGAGTTTTCTTTTAAAAGAGAACACTAAAGAAATAATGTTTAACCCAAAGGAATGTGGCATCAAATCAAGCCTGCATGAGTAAGACTCCCTGATGGTGGAACTCCAGGCTCTGTGACCAGGGGCAGGTGCGGGGAGCCTTCCAGGATCCTCAAACCACCCCCTCCAGGGGCCCATCTTAATGCTCCTTATGTGCCAGGCAATAAGCCTCCCGGGGCAAGGGCCCTCACACATCCCTGCAGGCGGCCTATGGCAAGCAGAGACATGGGACCCTCATTTTAGGCCAAACCTCACTAGTCCTGGCTCTCTGGGTACCTCACACAAATGTGAGTTGTGTCTCAGCTCTCAGTTCTAGTGGGTTCTCAGCCTCTGTCTGGCAGCATTGCCCAGCCCAAGGACTGACAAAGGGCACCCTGCAGACTCCATCTCTCCCTTCTCCAGAGCCAATGAGGAGCACGCCGGGAAGGTCACAGGAGCCCACCCCCAACCCCTGACTGGTAAGAGCCCCAGCGTACAGGCTGGGATGCTATCATTGGGTCGACCCTGAAAGTCCCTCCCTTTGGGGCACGGTCCAGGCCTTGAGATCCCCCACCATCGGAGGTGGGGCTTTCTGCAAACCAGAGGATCCTGAATGACAAAATCCTCCCGAGTTGGAAATACTCTGCACTGACATGGTGGTTACATGACTACAGTTGACCTTTGAACGACATGAGGGTTAGGGGCACCCACCCCCTGCACAGTTAAAAGTCCACATATAACTTTTGACCCCCCCAAAACTTAACTACAAATAGCCTACTGTTGATCAGAAGCCTTAACAATAACATAAACAGTCAATTAACACATTATTTTATGCATTCACGAAATACCTAAATTCTTGATTTTTTTCAATATTTCTAGGCTATGCAGTAAATTGTCACAAATCTCCAGAAAATGTTCCAATATATGTATTGAAAAAAATCCATGGATAAGTGGACCTGTGCAATTCAAGGCCATGTTGTTCAAGGGCCAACTGTATCTACATTTGTCAAAACTCATGGAACTGTACACCCAAAAAGTGTGAGTCTTACCTTATGTAACTTAGACCTCAATAGACTAAACTTTAACGAAATCTCCCAGCCAGCTCCACTCCCTAATATCAACCTTTCTGAGTACCTCGTGTGTGCCCAGTGGGTGTTTTGAATAATAAAGATGGCCAGGCGTGGTGGCTTACGCCTGTAATCCCAGCACTTTGGGAGGCCAAAGCAGGCCAACATGGTGAAACCTCATCTCTACTAAATATACAAAAATTAGCTGGGCATGATAGCAGGCACCTATAATCCCAGCTACTTGGGAGGGTGAGGCAGAAGAATCGCTTGAACCCTGGAGGCAGAGGTTGCAGTAAGCTGAGATGGTGCCACTGCACTCCAGCCCGGGTGACAAAGCGAGACTCCATCTCAAAATAATAATGATGATGATGATGCCTAACATTGACTGCACATGTTTTATGTGTAGGACAAATTCTTTATATACATGACCTCATCTAATTCTCAGAACCAACCCGTGAAGTGCTGTGACCCATACTTTTGAGATAAGGTCACGGGGATCTAGAGAGGTTGAATACCTTGGTGAGGTCAAGGCCAGGTATGGGAGCCAGGACCCAAACCAGGACTTTCTAACTGAGCTAAGCCCGTTTCACTCTACCAAGTGCCCATCCAACACTAGCTCCCAGGCATGGGGTGTTGAGTGCTATTTTATACTTAACTGAGGCCCAGAGAGGCTAAATGACTTGGCTGAGGCCACTCGGCTAGTCAGAGGTGGCACCACGATCTGAACCAAGTATTGTCTTATTCTAAAGCCCACTCTGTCTTACTGCCCACAAAGGAGGCCTGGGGTCCCTCATGCCCCATTCCATCTGCTGGGCTCTCTTCTCTGGGACTGCCTGGCCCTGGGTGACTCCTTCCCCAGCCATGCCCACCCCCAACCTGTTCTAGCAGCTTTGCTGGCCAAGACTACCAGAGGCTGACGCCAAAGGATGGACGCTCAAAAATATCTTGGAAAGCATCTCGCCATAGCTGGTCTGACACAGACAGACTGAGGCTGTGGGATAAGGGCCTTCCAAGGGCCTCTGTACAGCCTAGGAACCTGGCTATGAAGGAACCGGGCCCTCCTGGCTTTCCCAGACCAGGTCCAACATGGTTCCCACCCTCCCAACGTTTCCTGGGGGAGAAGCCGAGGAGCTTGGACAGGCAGGAATCAGTGTGCTCCCAGGCGTGGGCCAGCTTCTCTGCGCAGCCCGTTCCCATGGTCTGTCCCAGGGTCCTGCTGCATGGGCCCTTGTGGACTCAGTCAATGCTACATCCTCCATGGCTGGCCAGTTGGCCTCCCCTGGAGGGCCCCGGAGTTGGTCCTTGTGCTTAGGCAGAACGGGCCCCTGACCATGTTGGTTGCCCATCTTTCTGTGCCTTGGCTCTTGGCAGAATGTCTGTTTTAAAACGAATTTTGCTTGTGAGTAAGTAAACCTTCTCTGGCCAGAGGAAGCCAAAAAGGTACCTTTACAGTGAGGATCCAGGGATGGTGCCCAGAACTTAAACCAGCTGCCAGGTCTAGGAGGGGAAAGTGAAGCAAGTGACTCAGATGAATGATGCACCCCTTCTGCTGCTCTCTAACTGCCGGCCCCAGGGAAACCACTGCCAGACCGGATGACCACGGTCCCTTCAAATGGGGCCAGCGGCCATGTGGACTGACTACAGCCCATCACACACCAGAAGAACACACCAAGAGTCTGTGCATTATTGTCATGCAAGGGACCCAGTGGTCAGTTACCCCATGTAGCATGAAACTTTTACATGGGAGAAAGTAATTTTCTCTAAGAAAGAACAAAAGAGCAAAATTTCTAACAGGTAGTCTCTTTCTTCTCCATTCTTGTACAGCCCTCACCTAGAAATTCTTTACTACACAGGGCTTACTTCAGACACCTGTACTGTTAACTATTTGTGGGAGATAATTACTCTCTGACCACCAGATATCGTGCCCCCTAACTCCCCCTCTCTCAGCAAGGTAACCCTTCTTCTGGCCAGGGTTGACTGTTTCTGGGTCAAGTCCTGATCATACCTGAATCTTGCGGCCTCGTCTGGGAATCTGGACTTGGAAAAGAAAGAAAAACAGACAGACATCAGACCTCCTGTGTATCAGAACTTTTCATTTCAACATGGGGGTCACTGTTGGGGGCCACATTTGCCCTAAAGATGGGAAGCAATCCTAAAGTGGTCCTGCAGAGAGGAGGGGTGGGTGACATGCAGAGCAAAGCAGAAGTAAGAGACAGGGCCAGGGGTGGTGGCTCATGCCTGTAATCCCAGCACTTTGGGAGGCCAAGGTAGGCAGATCATTTGAGGTCAGGAGTTCGAGACCAGCCTGGCCAACGTGATGAAACGCCGTCTCTACTAAAACTACAAAATTAGCTGGGTGTGGTGGTGCATGCCTGTAATTGCAGCTATTCCAGAGGCTGAGACAGGAGAATCGTTTGAACCCGGGAGGCGGAGGCTGCAGTGAGCCAAGATCACCCTACTGCACTCCAGCCTGGGTGACTCCGTCTCAAAAAAAACAAAGAAAGAAAGAAAGAAAGAAAGAGACAGAGGGAAAGAAAACTGCCATGTTCCCAACACTTTCCCCTCCTAGACCTAGCAGCAGGTTTAAGTTCCAGGAACCAGCCCTGGATCCTCACTGTAAAGTTACCTTTTTGGCTTCCTCTAGCCAGAGAAGGTTTACTTACCTGCAACCAAAATCCCTAATCAAAACCCTTTCAAAACAGACATTCTGCCAAGAGCCAAGGCACAAAAAGATGGGCAACCACTACTGTCAAGTGAGGGAACACACAAGAGACTAGAAAAGAAAAGCTGGGCCTGCGGCTCCACCATTGCAGAGTGTTTTATTCACAGCAATTTGACTTGGCACTTCATTCCTTTGAGTTAAGCATTCTTCAAATACTTTTTTAAAATGTAACTCCTGCTGGAGGGACAAGTCATGAATTTGTTAACGGCAAGGAGGTTTGGATCCTTGTGCCGTCTCTGAGTGACCGGGAGTGGCTGGCGGGACTGCTGGAGGATTCTGTAGCCATTGCGGAGTTCAGCTGGAAAGCATGCAGAGGGAGTCGGCAGACCTCGATTCTGAGCCTGGCTTTGCCTAGTGTCCTGGGGCAGTCTCTTCCCCTCCCTGACTTCAGTTTCCCCATCTGTAAAATGAGAGGGTGGGCCCAGTCCAGACATTAGACAACCTGGTCCCATCTAGCTGTGGATGTATCCATGAGCTCTGTTTTCTAACTGCTGGCCCAGGGAAACCACCACCCAAACTGATAACCATCATCCCTTCAAATCGGTCCAGCAGCCATGTGGACTGACTACAAGCAGTTGTTTTCTGAAACTTTCATCTGTCCTTTGGGCACAGACTCCTGCCTGATGGTTGTGCTGTAAACAGTTTCTTATCCCAGCCAGCGGAGATGGTCACTAAGGGACAATGACTAAAGGAAAGAAAAGGAAGTAAGTGGCCAGAGGAGTTTAGCCTTCAGCCCAAGGAAACATGGGAGACAAGCAAAGAGAGGCCAGCCTGAGGCCTCAGAGGCAGCAGGCTGGAGCCCGAATACCTACAGCTTCCCTGTCCCAAACAGAACCAGCCGCCTGGGTACAGGAACCACTGTTCCTCATCACAGAGAAACCAATAAGATCACGAGGTCTGATTTACAAAACATAGGAAGCCCCAAGGGACATCATTTAATTGTCAGTTTATAGGAAGCAAAGGGCACTGGCGTAATCCATTTCCCTCTGAGATCTTGGGTGCTAAGTGGGTCGATGAAACAGGAGCTCCATCCTACAGAACTTACTCCTGGAGTCTCTGTTTTCTGACATTAAAATTCTGAACATAACTGACAAAACTACCCACTAAGTATGCAAACATCTGGGAAGCAAAGCAGTCTCAAAATTTCAAATGACTGAATAGGAAGTGACTGTAGGCTCTTCCTATTGGCTGTTATTTGAGGCTCCACCCCATATCGGAGCAAATATTTTTTAAATGAACACTTATCCCACATCAAATATAAATACACTCAGTCCTCAACTTAGGATGACTCAACTTATGATATTTTCAACGTTTTTATGGGTTTATAGGGACGTAACCCTATTGTAAGTCAAGGAGCATCTGTTCAAGCACTTCCACTGTAATGCAGCATATTTTCCTACAAATCTTCACATTCTACAAACCCATACACTAAAAATAACAGGATTCATGAGGAAAACAAGGTCGGTGTACATCACTCCACACCTGCGGAACCTTGCTACCGGAACCTTTCCAAAAACAGTAACGGAGCACTCACTTCTTAGGGGGCCATTCTCATCAAAATGCAAAACCCAACAGGGCACAGTGGTTCACACCTGTAATCCCAGAGCTTTGGGAAACCAAGACAGGCAGATCACACCTGTAATCCCAGAGCTTTGGGAAACCAAGACAGGCAGATCACCAAGACAGGCAGTTTGAGACCCGCCTGGCCAACATGGTGAAACTCTGCCTCTACTAAAAATACAAAAATTAGCTGGACATGGTGGCACACACCTGTAGTCCCAGCTACTCGGGAAGCTGAGGCAGAAGAATCACTTGAACCCAGGTGGTGGAGGCTGCAGTGAGCCGAGATCACACCACTATACTCCAGCTTGGGCAATAGAGCGAGACTCTGTCTAAAAAAAAAAAAAAAAAAAGCAAAACCCATCCAGGGTGTCACCCACACACCCATACCCATCATTTTCTTATAGGGACAATGTCTTTGCAGCTCCTTCATCTGCCCTCTCAGCTGCCAACAGAGCTTAAGGGAATGGGGAATGGAACAATACTAAAACAGCCCTGACTTACACTAAAGGTAGTTGCATCTACAGATTTTCAGCTTTTTTTTTTTTTTTGCTTTTTTCATATATTAGCCTTCAATCATGAAAAAAGTGCATTCTGGGCTGAGCACGGTGGCTCATGCCTGTAATCCCAGCACTTTGGGAGGCCGAGGAGGGCAGATCACAAGGTCAGGAGATCGAGACCATCCTAGCTAACACGGTGAAACCCTGCCTCTACTAAAAATACAAAAATTAGCCAGGCGTGGTGGTGGGCGAGTGTAGTCCCAGCTACTCGGGAGGCTGAGGCAGGAGACTGGCATGAACCCGGGAGGCGGAGCTTGCAGTGAGCCGAGATCGAGCCGCTGCACTCCAGCCTGAGCGACAGAGCGAGACTCCGTCTCGAAAAGAAAAAAAAGAAAAAAGTTCATCCTGATCTGTCAAAGTGCAAACATACTGGGAAAAATTGAGAATGTGCCAACACAACTTTTCTGAATACCACCATCATTCTTCATTTATCACTTATAGAAACACATGTTCTAGCACAACAAACAAATAATTGTAAGTGTCAGACAATCACTGGGCACTTGCAGAACGTCTTAAGAAGTGAGATCTAACCTACAAGTTGCTTTAAAGCATAATATAGTTTTCTAAAGTTTGTAGTTTCAACATTTTTGCCAAGCCAACTCTGTTAGATTAAAAATAGCCACACATTCTTTGCAGGTCCTCTCACTAAGAGGTGAAGGCAATTTCTCCATCCCTCTATCTGAGCTGGCTTCAAGACTTGCTGTGACCACCAGGAATACAGCAGACGTGATTTTATTGGACTTCCCAGGAACGCCTCAAGAGGCCTTGCAGCTTCCCCTCTCATCCTCTTGCTGTCCTGAGGCCACCACATAAAGAAGCCTGAGCTTGCCTCTTAGAGGATAAAAGACCATGTGGAGAACGAAGCCCAGCCGACAGCCAGCACCAACCCCCAGACCTGTGAGCGAGGTCATCTTGGACTACCCAGACTAGTTGAGCCATCAGAGTGTTGCAGTCACATAAGTGACCACAGGGAAGACCACCAAAACAACCACCCAACAGAGACCTGCCCAGAGAATCATAAGCCATAAAATGACTATTGTTGCCAGGCACGGTGGCTCATGCCTGTAATCTCAGCACTCTGGGAGGCTGAGGCAGGAGGGTTGCTTGAGCCCAGGAGTTTGAGACCAGCCTGGGCAACATAGTGAGACCTTGTCCCTATTTAAAAAAAAAAAAAAAGCCAGGCATGGAGATGTGCACCTTTAGTCCCAGCTACCCACAAAACTGAGGTGGGAGGATCGTTTCAGCCCAGGAAGCAGAGCTTACATAAGCCAAGATCACGCCACTGCTCTCCAGCCTGGGTCACAGAGGAAGACCTTGTCTTAAAATAAATTTTTTTAAAAAGACTATTGTTTTAACCCATTAAACTTTGGGGTGGTTTGCTACATAGTAAAAGCAAATATAATGTGACATTTTATAGACATTTCAATAACTTGTTTAATGCATTGATTGTTTTCCCTGCTTGGGAGCCAATAAACCTTTTTATTCAGATCTCAATGAGTCATGGGCCCCTCAGAAGGGGCTAAATCAGCCCTAAAAGTAACAATGTCTCTAAGGACCCTACTGAGATTGAATAGAAGTCAAGGGTTGATCCACAATCCAAACTCCAGGGAGGGCAACCCGCAGCAGGTGCACGAGGAACCTGACCTAATGTACAACACGGAGGAGGAGTCATTTCCAAACTTCAGACAGCTCCTGAGGGACACAGAAGACTCTCCAACACCCCAAACCTAGGCAAGACTCCAATCTTTCTGGCTATGAGAGGCTCGATAATAGCCCCCTGGTACCGATGACTATGTTATCTCCTATGGGAAAAGGGAGTCAGCAGATGTGATTAAATTAAGGATCTTGAGATGGGGAAATGATTACACAAGTAGGCCTAATAAGAGGTCCTCATACAAGTGTCCTTAGAAAGGGAATGGGAGGAGGAGGGGCAGAGTCAGAGAAGGGATGTGGCAATGAAAGCAGGGGCTGGAGTGATGGGCTTGGAAGATGGAGGAAGGGGCCACGATCCAAGGAATGCAGGTCACCTCGAGAAGTTTGAAAAGGCAATGAAATGGATTATCCCCTAGAGCCTCCAGAAGGAATACAGTTCTGCCAACACCTTGGTTTTAGCCCAGGGAGACCCATTTTGGACTTATTCCTGACTTCCAGAAATGTAAGATAATAAATTTGTATGGTTTTCAGCCATTAAATTTGTGGTAAGTTTTACAACAGCAATAGGAAACAAATGTACTGGATAATTCCTCCTGCCTACAAGAATGTAAGTTGGGACATTTATTCATAATAACAATAACAGCCAATAATAATTGCTCATATTAATTCAATGTCTACTTCATGCCCGGCTCTACTCTGAGTGCTTTTCATATAAAAACTCATTTAATTCTCATAAAGGCCATATGAAGAAGAGACTGTTATAATCCATACTTTACAGATGAGAAAAACTGAGGCTTTATGGGGTTAAGTAACTTGCCAGGGTCACAGAGCAGGTCAATGACACAGCACAGATTTGAACCCAGGCAGTCTGGCCCCAGATCTCACATTTAACCACTACGCTTCCCAAATCAACCTAACAATGATAATAAAATGACTGGAAGTTACTGAGAGCCCTCTGTGTACCAGGCTCATACCTAAGCTCATTACAAATACTCTCTCATTTCATTCTCACAGCACCCCAGTAGAGCAGAGATTATTAATCGTCCTTGTCTACAGCAGAAAAAACAGATGCAGCAACGTTAAACCCAGATGTTACAAGCATCTGAGACCAAAGCCCAGGTTTACCTGCACACCCTACTGCCTCCCTCATCCGTCTTGAGGCCCGGATGGCTGAGAAGACAAAGATAAGGAGCGCAACCACATAATTCACCTTCCAAACTGAGATACTTAGAAGGTGAAAGATATCATTATTACTAATTTCACTAGGAAAAGAGGCATAAACTAGAACTATTCCAGCAAACCAGGACATATGGCCACCCTAAAAATAAGGGGACTAAAATCAAGGCAAAAACTCTGCAGCTCAGGATTGCCCAGAAGGGGTGCCATGGAGCAGCTGCCAGCCCCGCAGGACATCTGCGGCTGCCAGGTCACGGTCAAGGCTGGAAGAAGAGGGGTGGTCCTGGCAGAGCTCAGAGCAGCATCTGCAAAGCTGCAGCCTGGGAGTCATTTGCAATGACAGGAACGCAGCAAGGATCAGCAGGGCCCGCTTCAGTGGGGCAGGTTTCAATTCTGAGCACTGCCTGTGCTTCCTTGGTCGTCTCCTCGCTGGCCCCGCTCACTCCTGGGGATGCCCAGGCCTGGGGGTGCCCGCAGTGGCAGGCGCTCACTCATTCCCTGCCACACGCTGCTCATTCATTAAAAGCCCCTGATTCCTCCCCGCTGTTCTAATTATGCACAGCAGTAATAAAGATGCTTTCTCCCTTACCAAAGAGGCCTATTTATATGAAAAGAGAGCATTTCGCCCCCACAAGATTGAGTCGTCACTCCAGGCCTTATTGGAATCAAAGCAGCTTCTCTTCTGAGATTGTCCAAGCCCTGCCTGACTCCCCTCCAGCTTGGCCCACTCCTGAGCATCCACATTTCCAGGAGCACCACTGCGGAGTGGGCAAGATGTAGACGCCATTGCCCTCTGCTGTGTTCCCTCATGTCTTGCTGACTGACACTCAACAAAAAGTAAGACATTTATTGAACACCTACTAGTGTCCTTAGTAAAAAAAAATGGAAATGAAAGACATAGTCCACGCCTTTCTCGGAAGAAAGAGCATTGAGAGAAACAGCACAAGATTTTAGGCTCCATGGCTGACTCATATCCCAACTCCAGCATTCACTGGTTGGGCAAGTTAGCAAGTTTTTCAAAGCCCTCAATTGCCTTATCAGCAAAATGGGGTAATAATAATGCCAGCCTCACAGGGTTGCTGGAGGAGTCAATGAGATACAGGCATACAAAGCTGGCATATCGTAGGGCCTCAACAAACACTAGTTGGAATTATCAACCATTAAGTACCGAAGGCTTTGGGACCACACAGGCAGATCTCATCCCGATGGATGAGCCCAGGAAGGCTTCCTGAGAGGTGATACCTTAACTGAGTTTTGAAGGATGAGTAGGACCTTGCTAAACAAAGAGAGGATGTCCCAAGCAGGGAGGACTGCATGTGTCCAGGGCCAAAGGCGATCACAAGGCTCTGGGAAACACAAGACACTGTGTAGGGACATACACAGAAGGCATGGGAGGACCACCAAGGCGGCAGACAAGTTGCAGCAGCAGATGTTGACACGGAAGTGGATCCCATAGCCAGAACCCTAACCTGCAATGCCCAGAGCATCACCCTGACCTTTGCTTACTTCCTTTGGGGGCTATAACCAGCGCCCTGTCACTACCATCTACAGCTTGGTGGCTGAAGGAAGTAGGGCAGCCACTCTCTATTAGCCGCAGGCCTACTCAACACAAGTCCCTGAGGGCCTATGACATGCCAGGCACATGCCAGGAGAGGCTGTTCAGCTTGACCACCTGGGGCCTGCATCCCATGGCCTAGGTCCTTACCTAGGCCCCCTTCCAGCTGTGCGCTGCTAGGACTGTCAGCTTTTTCCTCTGTGAAATGGGGATCACAGGGCGTCCTTCATAGTCATTCATTCAACAACAAACGTGGTCAGGGCTAAATGAGATAACTCAATATTCCCAGGTTTCAGCACACACTAAGTCCTCAATAAAAGTGAACGTTTAAAATGTTTATTTTTATTAAGATGAACCTCCAGGATGGCATCTCCAAAGCCCAATGCCAGGCCTCGAGAGATACCCTCAACCCAGGCAAAACTGCCTGCCCACCATCCCTCTCCTCAAGCCCGTGCCCTGGAAAAAATGACTTGGTTTCCACTCTTCATGTCTAGCCCTGACTTGGTCACCATAGGAGCCATCCCTGTCCGAACCACTCTGTCCACCCCCAATTCATCTCACCCTTCTAGGGCTCCATGTGTCAACCCACTCAGGTCATGCGGGAGGGGGCAGGATTGAAGGTCATCTCAAATTTTGCTGTCCAACACCCAGACCCTCAAGTGTGGCCCTTCAGATTTTGTAAATTAAGTAATTTAAACATCTTATTAAGAAAATTTGCAAACATACACAAAGTAAGCAGAATAGTAATGAACCGCCGCTCCCCATCACCCAACTACCACATTTTGCCATTCTTGTTTCATTGGCACGCACCTCTGCCCACTCCCCACCCCACCCCAACTGCACTTGTTGGAGAAGATTTCATGGCCAGCCTTTCTGACACCACCCCCCAACACCACCTACCCACCAGCAAACCCCTCCCCAACCCAGGACTGCCACTGCTCACAAATTCCAACAGTGTGATATTTGTGGCACCCATCCTTTTGTACCAAAAACATTCTGGAAATCCTTCCCAGGAAGCACAACCATTTTTTTATGTCCTTAATAGAGTGGTAACCACTGCACACATGCATAAGGGCTGTATGCACAGGTTGGTGCCCTGGAATCAGATGGCCTGGGTCCCAAACAACACTTCCCAGATGTGTGACCTTGGATAGGTCACTCAACCTGTGTTTGGATTTCCCACCCAGGAAGGGGAGAATGCTGGTAACAGGTTTGTTGTGAGCCTTTAAAACAATAAAATAATGCACGCTCTTTTCCCAGCAATGAGGAAACCTTAGAAATAAGTGTAGGGGCCAGGGGCAAGCCAACTCTGCTCCTATGCAATACTATTCACATCCTCCATTTTACAGATAAAGGGAGAGGTGCCCAGAGGCACAGTGAGCTGCCAGGGACAGCCCGCTCTTCAGGTTGGTCTCTGTCCTAAGTCCATGCACCTGGAATTCTCACTGGCCACCTTGAGCTGGAGATGACTGGAAGTGAAGAAACAAATACTCCAGAACAAACGCAGAAGAGCGGTGGCAGGTGGCTCGGCACACCAGGTATGGGTGTCCCCATCCTGGACAGGATTTCTCCCAGCACCGTGTGTGTGTGTGTGTGTGTGTGTGTGTGTGTGTGTGTCTGTGTGTGTGTGTGTGTGTGCGTGTGTGTGTGTGTTAGGATAGGGGTGCTGAATTTGATTTACAAGACAAAACAGTGTTGGGAAAGGTGTGGGGAGTGGGTACACATTCCTGCCCACTTCTGATTTGACAAATCCTATGCCCAACCTTGTATTTGGTATCATCGCCCACCCTATCCCAGCATGAGAGGCAAGAAACTGGCTCAGTAATTCTCAGGCTTTAGCAATTCAACGCCCCTACTTATCGTCCTAAAAATTTTTTTATTTTCTGACTTAAAGGAAAAAAGTAAAAAAAAAAAAAAAAAAAAAAAAAAGAGTCAATCCAGTTGCTGAGTGATGTTCAGACAAAGACAGCTGCCAGTCCATTGCCTGCGTTCACCAGCTGAGGAAGAGTACAGGCGGGGACTGGGTGTGTGTTTGGGGACGGCCTGGGCTCTCCGCTGCCTCTCCCTGGAGTGAGCCCTGTCAGGATCCCCCACCCGCCACCCTGCACTCCCCCACCACTGCAGTGCCGCGTGGGGAGGCACCTCCCTGATCCGCAGGAACAATGGGCTGGGGTGGGGGCAGGTGCGGCTTGGAGTGCAGCAGAGGGTGGGGGCCGCAGGCCCGACAGCAAGACAGGGAACCCAGCGCAGATGGTGGCTGTGCTGCCACTGGACTCAGTTTCTCCAGCTTTTGGGGCCCCGCAGAGCCAAGCGCTCGTTTCGTGGCTGAATCTCCCTTGCGTCCCGGCATTTTAATATCATCCTCGCAGGCGGCTTGCCTGTCGCTCCCGGGAAAGATGCCTGGGCCGCGCTCCTCTCCCCGGCGGCCGCTCTCGCCGAGGCCCTGCAGGTCAGGGACGCGCGGCGCCTCCATGCGCCCAACTTTCCCCACTTGGGACCCACAGGAAGACTGGAATCCTGGCCAGCCGGGCCCTCCGTGGGAGAAGCCTTGATTTACAGCCCTGGGCTCCGAAACCTGCTCGTCCTCTTCCCGCAACCCCCTTCCCCGTCCTCTCCGGCTCCCCCACCCTTCGGAGCCCTAATCACGCTCCCCAAAGAAAGCGGCCCTAGCACATCTGCAAAATGCGAGCGTCTGTCCTCCGCACTGGGTGCCTCCCCCTGCCCCCCGCAAGGAAGGGACCATCGAACCCCCGCCGCTTCACCCTTCCCCAGCCCAGTGAGTCCCTGGGGATGGGCGGGGAGGTGGGTGAGAAGCCCTTCGGCCGCAGCTGCAGCCCCCACTCCTGGCTCGAGCGTCCGGCCGGGGTGGGATGGGGCGAGGGAACAGGTCCAAATCTCCGATTTCCCCCAGGCTCCCACTCCTGCCTCGCTGAGTCACGAAAATTACCCGCTGGGGCCACCCGGCCACCCGGCGGCGGGCCCTTTACCCAGCCAGCGCCGGCCTCCGCAGCCCATCGCGCGGGGGCTGCACACGCGGGGCGGTCCTCACCCGCACGCGCGACCAGCCCCGCAGGAGGCGCCACCCGAGGCAGGGACCAACCAGGCGCCTCAGCGGGGGCTGCAGTCCCCGCCGCGGAGTCCGCACCCTGGCGGGGCGCAGAACATGTGACCCGCGGGCCGTCTCCGGTCCACCGGACCCCGGCCCCCGGCCCCGCTGCTGCTGACCCCGGCCCCGCCCGCCAGAACTGGATGCAGCGCGGGCGTCCCCACTTTTCCACGGCGCGCGAGGGGGTGCGGAGCGTTGGGCCAAGCGCGCCTCCTCCCTCCCTGCCCCGCCAGCCGCGGCCGCAGGACCCGCAGCCTGCGCTCACCTCGGGGCCCGTCGCTGCCGCCGGCCTCCTTGTCCGCCATGGTCGCGCAGCCCCGGACCGCGAGGGGAGCCTCCAGCGCAGCGCCCGTGCCCGTGCGGGTCTCTGTCCGCGTCCGCGGCGGCGCTCGGGCCGTGTCTGAGCCGCCGGGCAGCGGGAGCGCTGCTCTGACGCGGCAGCCGCCGCAGCCACGGCTCCTCCCCGGGCCCCGCCCCGGCCCGCCCGGCGCCCCGCCCCTCCGAGCTCGGGCCGGCCGGGAAAGGTCGGGGAAGGCGGGCGCGGGGAACTGCCTGGCTCCGGAGCTGCGCTCCCCGCCCGCCCAGAGCGGCCCGCCGAGGCCCGGCCTCTCCTCTCCCGGCTTCGGGACCGAGCGGTCGCCCCGCAGTCGACCGCGGCGGGGGTAGTGGCGCGCCCGGGGCTGCGCTGCGGGAGCGGATTTCAGGCCCTCGGGGCCCCGCGGCGCGTCCCCTCTTTGGAAGTCACCGAATGGCCAGGCCTGGAGCCCTTCAGCAAGCCCAGCGCGCCCGGCGCTCTCCCGAGGACGCCCGCGCCAGTCCCCACCAGCTTCTGTCTGTCCCCCAGGGTCCCAGGGGAGCGGCCCTGGGCCGGCGCAAAGGCGGGCTGGGTGGACCCCGGCGCGGGCAGGACCCAGGCCGCAGACCAAGGACCTGCGCGGGGGCCGAGCCCGGGGCACCGCCTCCAGGCCGCCTGCGGGACTCCATGGCAACTCCGGACCCAGGGAGGTGCTTGCCCCGGAGGCTGAGTCGCGCCTTCCATATATGGGATCCAGCTGGGCCCTCCTTAGAAGTCTGAGAATAACGATATTAATAATGCAAGGCTTCAGTTGTGAATGATTCATACTCCCTGTCCCCAGCTCCTCCACACACACGCGCCGCTGGCACCTGTTTGGGCCTGGCCAGGCACCCCCTGGGTCCGCGGTGTCACCACCCTGCCTTGGCAAACGAGGGCAGTAATAGGAATCCGAGGAGCACCGTCACTGGGTCGTTTCCGGGTGCCTGGCACTGTGCTACCTGCCTGGTGCTTTACCTCTATCTCCTTTCCTCCCCATAACTAACATTTTGCAGATAAGGAAGCTGAGGATCGGCAGGGTTACAATATCACACCCAGCAGGTGAGTCGCGGAGCTGGGATTCCCACCCAGCTGTAACCACCAGCATCCCTCACTTCCAGAGATGGGTGGCATTTCCCAAAGATCACCTAGGGGAGGCTTCATCGTACAATCCCGTTCTGGATGACGGAGTGGGCAGAGAGCTGCTGCGAGAGCGTTATGGATGACGGAATGGGCAGAGAGCTGCTGCGAGAGCCTGGAGACCAGAAGGTGATGGCAGAGTGACAAGTTCAAAACACAAAACTTGTCTTCTGTCTGCCTGCATTAAAAATCCCAAATGGACAGTTCCTGGCTGTGCATGAAACCACAGTCAAGTTATTTAACCTATCTGAGCCTCAATATTCTCATCTGCGAAATGGGTATAACAGGAGAACCCACTTCATAAAACTGAAGATTAGATAGACTATGCATGTAACATGCTTAGCTTGGGATCTAGCACATGGTAAAAATCATTAAGTCACTGATGGCCCCCGAGGGCCCTTCCTGCCTACGTGCCTGCGACAGCCTGCCCACAGCTCCCCCGCCCTCCTGTCTCACCCCTTCAGTCCATGCTTTGTGATCTGGTCTGTCCCCACCCTACTCCAGCTCCAGCTACAGCCGCTCTGATTCTTCAATCCCTCTCACCCACCCCTGCTTCTCTTATGCTGGTATTTCAAAGACATGAAAATGTGCTTGATGCCTGGATCACCCGTCCTCTCATTTCACCACCACCAGCAACCTAAGAACTTCTCCTTCTCATCATGGACTGCCCAACTCCAGGAAGGCTCCCCTGCATACCCATGCTGGCCAGGGGGGCCCTCCTCAGTGTCCTCAAGGCACTCGTTCCTCCCCATCAGACCAGGGCATCAGGACATTGGCCTTGACAGCCTGTCAGAAGCAGCAGAAACCCGTAGCCCCTGCACATCTGCCTCCTGCTGTGGAAGGGCCTTGGGCGCCACGTGCCCTCATGGGACTCCCAGCCACAGTGACATGAGGGTGCGTGAGAAGGATGGGAGGTGACATGCAGGCCCCAGTGCTGGGGGCAGAGAGCAGAACACTTTTGATTTGCAGGGGAGCATGAAAGGCAGCGCACACTCTGCCTGGGATTTGCCCTCACGGCCTTCATGCTCATCACACTAATTACAACGCGCCCTGCTGAGCACACCATCCAGCCCGCCAGCGAGGGGCTGTTGTGGTCTCACCTAGTTCTCATGGTGGCCCTTGCGGTTTTGCAGGAGAGGAAAAGGAAGCATTCAAAGGCTGAGGCACCTGTTCAGGCATCCTCTGGCCATCAGCAGCAAGGCTGGGGTTCAAGGCTCAGCACGCCACATCAAGGAAGGGTTCCCACCTTCCTCCCTGGAGTCTTCTTCCCCAATAGCAGCCAGAGAGAGAGCATGTCATTCTCCTGCTACCAGGTCCTACACAAATTGGCCTCCTGATGCCTCAGTGACCTCAGCTCCTTCCACTCTCCCATTCCCCCCAAAGCCCAAACACACACAGGCCCCACCTGGGGGGTCACTCCCCCGGACACATCCTTCAAGAGAATCAATCACGTGGCTTGCTCCTCCCAGAACACTCTATCTAAAACTGCTGCCTCGCCCCCACTGGGAAGTAAGTCCCAGGAGAGCAAGATCGTGGACTGTGTTGCCAGTTCTGCATCTCTGTGTCTAGAACAGCGCCTGGTACATGGCAGGCACTTAATAAATCCTTGATGCTTGACTGGCTGAATCAGTAAGTGAAGCGGGAACACAGCCCAGCACACAGACATTCTGCTGACCCCCAGGGCTCATGCCTTTCCACAGCCCCAGCTGTCTCAGGGCACGCCCAGACTCCTGGGAGGTTGCTCTGTACCAAGTTCCCTCAAGCTCCCCTCCAAAGACTCCTCCTCACAGTGCTCTCTGTGGGTACACTGCAGCACCCTCTATACCATCTCTTCTCCACCCTCCACACCCTCCACAGGCTGTAGACTGTGGTAGCTGGTGGAGAGAATGTTACACATCTCGGTTGGATACTCAAGTCCTAAAAAGTGGCCCAGCCCAGAGCCAAGTGACCACCTTCTAGTTCCCTTCCTGCTGGTCACTCCAGCTTCAAGGGCCTGCCCTCAGGTCCCCAAAGAGCCAGTGCCTCCACTGGAAGCCGATTCTCCTCTAGTTTTGCCAGGTAACCAACCCTGTCTCTTCCTACAGGCCTCAGCTTGGATGGCACTTCCTCCAGGACACCACCTAGCCCTCCAAGATCACATGAGGCCCCTCCTCTCTCCTCTGTGCCCAACCCCCCATCACTCCTATCTTAGCACTTATCACAACAACTCCAAGGTCAGTAGTATTGTTAACCCCATTGTACAGATGACCAAACTGAGATACAGAAAGGTCACTGAGCTCAGAAGCTGCAGTGCTGAGACTAGACCTCTGAGACCAGAACTCAGGTCTCTCCAGCTTCAGGTCACCCACCTCCCCCTCTAGCTGCCAGCTCTCCAAAGTGGGACCAGCCATGTCCACATTTAGAGCCCCCAGACCCTAGGATGGTGCCTGGCGCAGAGAGCAAAACATTGATGGAAAACAGCCTCCTCAGCTTCAGGCCTTTCTCATCCTCTCCGGGATCCCGTTCACCCACAGCCCCACACACGCTTCCCTGCCAACAGACTCCCTCTCTGCTCTTCAGCCCCCAAACAAACCCCCACCACATCCATTCATGCAAATAGAAGTCAGAGTCCAGAGGCAGGCCCAGCTAACTGCACCAGACAGCCAGGGCACTCTGTCACCTGCTATAACTACCAACTGTGGAAAGGGCTGGACATGATGCACAGCATGGGTAGGGGAGGCAGCTGAGTCCTCTGGCCCCCAGCTCAGAAGAAACTGAGGATAATTGTTGATGGACCAGATGCTAAGGGCAGTGAGCCCTGGGGGATGCATCAGGACCAAGAATGAGAAAAGTACAACAGGAGGAAGCAGAGAGCATGGGGTCAGCTGGACCAGGGCTCAAGTGGGCTCAGCTGCTCCCTGCCCACCTCAGGGGACCTGGGACATACCTCTCTGGGTCTGTTTCCTCACCTGTCAAAAGGGCCCAGTAATGATAGGTATCATAATTATAAGAGATCATATATGTAAAACATTCCATTTAGAGTCAGCCTATATATGCCACTGTTAATATGACTTATTTAATTTATATATTTGAACACAAAAATGCCATTTCCTTGTATATTATAAATTACAGAATGGATCCAGGCAAGATTTTCTTGGCTGATAAAGACACACAGAAGATATGAGTAGCTTTTTCCATTTTAATTTTTCTTTTATGTTTTTGTTAAGCTTAAGAAACACTGATATGAGTTCATATCTGAACTTTGACATAGGACACTGCCCGTCAAAGCTGCTTTGGACTTTAGGATATGCCAGCGGAACGTTGTCCATGAACTGAATATCATAAAAGAGACTAATTCATAACAGGACCAAGATTCAGATTTGCTAAAGCAACATAAAAACTTGCAGAGAAAACCTGGGCAAATGTCAGCCGCCTTGACCTCCAACTGTCAGTGCATTTTAAAAAGCCAGCCTTACAGCTGAATCATGGTGGCCAGTGTATACATCCTCCCCACCTCACTGGTCTTCCAGTCCATCTGGTGTGAATCGGTCTCTCCATTAACATTCCAAAACAACCTTCACATGTACAATGTGAGCTGCTGAGCCACTCTTTCAGGCAAAAATTCAAGGGCCAGAGGAAATTATTGCTCCAAATATCACCATCACTCAGGACTGCAATGTAAACTTTAGAAATGCCTTCTCAGGTAATGGAAGGTTATCCAAATATTTTTCGTAAGTATTTCAAATAGCAATGGCTCGTCTATGGTTAGTCTCGCAGCCACATTCTCAGAACTGCTCAAACCCTGGCCCTGCAAAGCTGCCGGTTCATTAATAAGACGGGACATCCCGGAAGCCACATCTCAAGGAGGACAATGCAAACTGAGACAAAGGTTCAGAGAAGAGAAACTGGCATGATCACGTGACCAGGAGAGTTTTCACAAGGGCTGCAACTCACCAGACACTATGAGAGCCAAGGGTTTCATGTTATGGAGAAAAACAACTTTCCTCTTCTCCAGCCCACAGCCCAGTGCCTGGCTTGCAGTAGGTACTCAGTAAATGTTTGTGGATGGAATGAATAAATGGTCCAGTAAATAAATAATGGAGGCTGGGCATGGTGGCTCATGCCTGTAATCGCAGCATTTGGGGAGGCCGAGACGGGTGGATCACTTGAGGTCAGGAGTTTGAGACCAGCCTGGCCAACATGGTGAAACCCCGTCTCTACTAAAAATACAAAAATTAGCTGGGCATGGTGGTGCGTGCCTGTAATCTCAGCTACTTGGGAGGCTGAGGCAGGAGAATTGCTTGAACCTGGGAAGTGGAGGTTGTAGTAAGCCAAGTTTGCACCACTGCACTCCAGCCTGGGCAACGAGAGCAAAACTCCATCTCAAAAAAATAAAAAATAAATAAATAATGAAGTAGAAACATGGGCTCAGAGATACTAAACCTCTTGTTCAAAGTCACACAATCAGTGACAGAGCTACGGTCAAACTCAGCCCCCTGACTCCCAGCCCAGCTTAACCCTTGACCCTTGTTGGCCTCTTCTGCAAAATACAAAGTGGAAGATAGCTTGTGCTAGCTGTGATTACTTGGTGATGACTCACTGGGGCATGTCTGCACAGTTGTGTTCTTCCTGGTAGCAAGCCCATGGTCACAGTATTTGCCTGGAGGAGAGGTACAGGCAGCATACAGCTGAGGAGAAGGAGACCAATGACCTAGAATAAGGGTGTTATCTGAGCCAGAGGGCTGAGAGCTTCAACAGCAGTGTCCAAGAGCAATGCTTGCACAAGTCTCCAAAAACCCCAGAGTTAGGAATGCACACTAAGTCACCATCCTCATTGCTACTCTTCTCAGGGAAACCAGCACTTTTCTCAGTGACTTCTGCAAGAGTGAGCCCAAATATTGTCTATCTTTGGGTCACTGGATGTGTTAGTCCATTTTCACACTGCTGACAAAGACATGCCTGAGACTGGGAAGAAAAAGAGGTTTGATGGACTCACAGTTCCACATGGCTGGGGAGGCTTCACAATCATGGCAGACAGTAAGAAGGAGCAAGTCACATCTTACATGGATGGCGGTGGGCAAAGAGAGAGAGCTTGTGCAAGGGAACTCCTCTTTATAAAACCATCAGATTTCATGAGACATATTCACTACACAAGAACAGCATGGGAAAGAGCTGCCCTCCTGATCCAATTACCTCCCACTAGGTCCCTCCCAAGACATGTGGGAATTGTGGGAGCTATAATTCAAGATGAGATTTGGGCGGGGACACAGCCAAACCATATCACTGGGTTCCTGGTGGCAGCCCTGTGGGAGCTGGGACCAGTCACTTGTCCCTGGGCCTCAGTCTCCTCATCTGCAGAGCAGACCCAGCTCCTCTCCCTTCCTCACCCCCTGCTGTCTGCTTTCCTACCTTGTGTCATCCCACTGATTCACCTTGAAGGGCAGCTCCTGAGAAGGACCCTCCCCACCCAACCTATGGTTCCATATATTATGCCACCCCATTTCTCCACGGCACTTTTATAAGAGCCAAGGGTTTCACGTTATAGAGAAAAATGACTTTCCCCTTCTCCAGCCCATAGCCCAGTGCCGAATGACTTTAAATGGCTTTAAAGTCATTTTGCAAATCTGTTTATGGTGAGCCTTCCTCACTTGCTGGGCTCTTCCTACCAGCAGTGGTGAGAATGAACATTTATCAAGCACCTGCTATGTGCTGGGCATTGCTCTGGGAACCTCACATCCATTGCCCCATTTATCTTCATGACCGTGTAGATGAGAGAACTATATTGTTAATGTCCCCCATTTTACAGGTAAGGAAACTGAGGCCCGGAGATCAGGTACTCAGCTGTTGTGACCTAAGAAGAAAGTGGCAGAGGAAGAATTTGCCCCACGGCATTCTGAGCTCAAGAACACGTTTGTCTGTCATGCCTTCATCTGTGTGCAGCAATGTCCCCAGCTCCTAGCGCAGCACCTGGCACATGGCAGGGCCTCAAGAAACGTGTTGAATGAATGAACAAATTATCAAATTAGAAGACAGAATTACAGTTCACAAAGCACCCTTATATCTCTCCTCTCGCTTGACTCATGTAGCGGCACTGAGGGGGAAACATCACTATTCCCGAGTTTTTTAAGATGAGAAAACCAAAGGTCCAGTGAGACCAGGAGCAACCTTGCCTGGAGGTGGATTCTCCATGGGCTGCTTTAGGCTATTTTGTTTCTTTCAGATCTTGTGCTTTATTTAAAAGTTGTGGGCTCTATGTCTAGCGAAGGATGCAGGTCTCTGTTCTGCAGGACAGGGTTTGTTAAAGTTGTCAAGAATAAGGCCTGCTTTAAGAGATACAAAGTGAAATTTAGAAGACAAGAGGGTAAAATGGATTACTGTGCTTGGAAATGCTTGGCAATACAGGATAAAAATAAGTACAACATGCCCAAATACAGGATGATCGCTCACATAACTAACACAGAGAGTGTTTGTCACATTGCTTATGCCTGTATGGAAGGGGATATGATAATGTGTGTACCTTATGCTCATGAGCTACCAAAACATGGTGTGAAGGTTGGCCTGACAAATTATGCTGCGGCACATTGTCCTGGCCTGCTGCTGGCCTGCAGGCTTCTCAATAGGTCTGGCATGGGCAAGATCTATGAAGGCCAAGTGGAGGTGACTGGTGATGAATACAATGTAGAAAGCACTTATGGTCAGCCTGGTGCCTTCACCTGCTATTTGGATGCAGGCCTTGCCAAAACTACTTCTGGCAATAAAGTCTTGGGGGGCCTTGAAGGGAGCACAGATGGAGGCTTGTCTACCCCTCATGGTACCCAATGATTCCCTGGTTATGATTTTGAAAACAAGGAATTTAATGCAGAAGTGCATCGAAAGCACATCATCAGTCAGAATGTCGTGGATTATACGCATTTCCTAACAGAAGAAGATGAAGATGCTTACAAAAAACAGTCCTCTCAATACATAAAAAAACAGCATAACTCCAGGCATGGAGGAGGTGTAGAAGAGAGTAACGCTGCTATGCAACAGAATACAGTCTATGGGAAGAAACCCAAGAAAGAAGTTTAAATAAAGAGAGGGGCCGGGCTCCGTGGCTCACACCTGTAATCCCAGCACTCTGGGAGGCCAAGCGGGAGGATTGCTTGAGCCCAGGAGTTTGAGACCAGGCTGGGCAACATAGGGAGACCTCGTCTCTACAGAAACTAAAAATTAGCTAAGCATGGTGGTGTGTGCCTGTCATCCCAGCTACTTGAGAGGCTGAGGTGGGAGGATCGCTTTAGCCTCGGAGGTCGAGGTTGCAGTGAGCTGAGATCGTACCACTGCACTCCAACTTGAGTGACAGAGCAAGATGAAGAAAGAGGAAGGAAGAAGGACGAGGAGGAAGAGGAAGAACATGAAGAAGAAGAAGAAGAAGAAGAAGGAGGAGAAGAAAAATGAGAGGAAGAGGAAGAGGAATAGGAAGAAGGAGGAGGAGGAGGGAAAGGAGGAGAAGGAGATGAAGAAAAGGAAGAGAGAAGGAAGAAGAAAGAAGAACTAGTAGTGGGTGACAATGGCAAAACTGTCCCAAAATGTCCCTTGCTCAGAAGAAAGATCAGGTAGCTCAAAGGAAGGTGTGCTTCCTCAGAGTTCAGGATCAGGCTGCTGAGAGCTAAACCAAACAACAATTTTCCATGAGGATTTTTCAAATAAAGACAATGAACTTATGGACCAACCAGCAAAAAATAAATAAATAAGTAAAAATTAAAGTTGCATGTACATTTTGCATGTACATAATGCAATGTACATTTTGCATTATTGTGGAATGCATATGCGTTGTGCACTCCACAATATATCTGTTTTCTCAACAAAACTAACATCTTAGATTTCCATTACTTGTTTCTAAAATGTTTTATTGTGAAAAATTTCAAGGATCCAGAAAAGCAGAGAGAATGCTATAAGGACCCCTCAGGTACCCATCACCCAAATTAATTTGTAAAAATCAACTCTAAGTAAAATTGCTTTCCCAGGAAAAACAGTAACAGTTGCTATCATTTACAGTTCATGTGTAAATATGCTGACACGGTTTGGATGTTTGTCCCCTCCAAATCTCATGTTGAAATGTGACTCCCAATGTTGGAGGTGGGACCTGGTGGGAGGTGTTTGGGTCAAGGGGACAGGTCCCTCATAAATGGCTTGGCTTAGTACCATCCCCTTGGTGATGAGTGAGTTCTCAGTTCACTGACTCCTCCTCTGCTCTCTCCTGCTCTTGGTCCTACCATGTGTTGTGCCCGCTTCCCATTTGCCTTCACCATAATTGTAAGCTTCTTGAGCCTCACCAGAAGCCAAGCAGATGCCAATGCCTTGCTTTCTGTTCAGCCTGCAGCACCGTGAGCCATTTACACTTCTTTTCTTTATGAATCACCTAGTCTCAGCTATTTCTTTATAGCAACACAAAAATGGACCGACACGTATGCTCACTTAGTTTTCACAGTTCTCCCTCTAAGAAGTCCACACTTATGTTGGCCTCTATTTCAGATGGGGACGTTGGGGGTGGTGAGGTCAAGTCACCTGCTGGAAGTCTTGGGGCTAGAAGGGGCAGAGCCAGGAGTCACCCAGAGCCGGTCTGCTTAACCACCAAGTAGCCCTGCCAAGAGCCTGGAGGTCAAGTAAGTGCTTTAAAACAATTCAAGGAAATGGGGCTATGCCCTCTTTCTTTGAAGTCTAAAGTTTGCATTAAAGTCACATGGTTTCTGAATTATCCCATAGCAAGTCAGCCAAGACACCTGGTCTTTCCTTCATCCTCCCCTCATTTATTCTCATTCAGCCTCTCTCTCACTTATTCATCCTATCCGTCAATCATTCTCTCCTTCCATCAGACATGTGCTGCAACATAAAATCTAACCAGACACAGGCCCAGCCCTCAAGTAGCACCCAGACCTTGTGAAAAAGAGAGAAACAAACACAACCAAAATTCAAGGCAGACTTCAACCAGTACCCTCATGTATGAAATTTACAAGAAAATTTCACCTATCTTCTGCTTCAGGGAGCAAAAGAGCAGGGTGCAAGGAGTGCAGTAGTTAAGGATGTGGGTTAGGGAGTTAGATTATACTTGCTCCATCCCCGCCTAGCTGTGTGGCCTTGAGTGACTCATCTACCCTCTCTGATTCACTTGTAAAAGAAGATTGACATGAACCCTTTTATACTAGGGCCATTGGAACATTTCCTTAGATAATGCTTAACCCAGTTTCTGCAACAAAGGAATCTCTCCATCAATGTTAGCCATTATAACTGGCCATTACCTATAGCCCACTCTCAGTAATGACTCCTGACCTGCCTGAGTGAGGCAGGAGCTTTGTAAGAGAATGTATGCATTTGCAAGCCAGCTAGGATATTTTCCTTAACAGAATTTTCTCAGAAAGTCTGTAAATCAAGAAAATAAATGACACAAAAAATAAAAGTCCTCAGCCTTCCCTACTCAGCTGGCCAAGGGATGTTGGCCACGTGTGGGAAGTACAATCTGGTGGTCAGCGGAGCAGGGACAAAGATGCCCTGTTGTTTCACAGCCTGGCGCTGGCATGCTGGTATGCTGGCACAAATTCCATGATCCTGCAGGGCAAACCCATGGCAGTGGGGCCAGGATGGTCAGGGCAAGGCCTGCGGGCTCAGACAGGCCTGTGTCCCATTCAGCCTCTTTCCAGGACATCCCTCTTCCTGGGTAAGGACCAAGAGGACCCTGAAAAGACACCTGGCACACTGAGCACTTCACTAGCTGCAGTTATCACTATGATCAGTGGTGAGATAACACCCAGCCTGGGCTCAGGATCCCTGGCTCCAAGACCAGGTTCTGTCTTTTGCTGTGTGGCTTTGCACAGGTCACCTAACCTCTCTGATGCCCAGTCTCCCCATCTGTAGAATGAGGACAAAAATCATACTTATTCTTCCTGCCTCATCCTGCCTGTCATAGACCTGGAGTGGAATCCCAACTTTGCTGCTTCTTAGTTTGTGATCTTAGTTACTGTAAGCCTTATTTTCCTCATCTGTGAATGGGAATAATTATGGCACCCACCTCCCAGAGCACAAATTCCATGATCCTGTAGGGCAAACCCCTGCAAAGAGTCTGAAAGTAAAGTAAGTGTTCTAAAAGAATTCAAGGAAATGGGTCTACGTCCTCTTTCTTTTGTGAAGAGTAAGTGAGGTGGTGCGTGTGGAGTGCTTGGTCTGGAGTCTGGCACGTGGTACCCACTCCAGGATAGAGAAAGGAGCTCCTCGGTAGAGAAGGGCTACATCACTACAAGTCTAATCATATGAACACTCGCTTCACTCCAGTGCTTGCTCATTTTCTGCTGGGCACTAAGCCAAGCACTCAGCTACCTCATTTCAGCTTCCCAAGGGAGCCAGCCTCATGCCAGGGCAGGAGCAGCCCTCGTAGGCAACATAGTAGAGACACGGGCCGGGCCTTCCTCTCCCCACCCTGGCAGGGGTCAGCTATGAGCAATTTAGTCACCACTGGCTACACAGCCAGGTAATGCCCTCAAACTGCTCCACCGAAGTCCTTCCCAGGCTGGCAATGTGGTGGGAGGGAGGAGAAGGAAGTGGGCTCTTCCCTAACCAGCCTGTACCTGGACAGTCTTCACTCATAACGGGGAAAACACACTGTCTTGACCCATCCCCCCTCAGCTCACTGCGAGGATGGAAAGTGCTAAGATCTGGATAAAGGTAAAATGGCCAAATAAAAGAAAATTATGTATTTCATCCCCCAAAAGATTTGTTATTTTCTACGTTTCCTATTTTGTCCAGTATCCTGATAAAGTTCTAAGTTTAGAGCAAAAGAAGAATTAAAGAAAAAAATCAAAATATTAAACTTTTTAAAAGTTAAGTTTCTGGTTTTTAGAAACTAAGAAAATTGGGGATAAGAAGAAAAATAGACACTGAGCAAATAGGTTGCATCAATGTGATCTAACAGGTGTGTAACGTGCATGTGAGCCTAAGTGTGTGCATGTAAATGCATCTGTATCTCTCAGAGTCCAAGAACTAAATACTCAAAAGTCACAAAGAAATATGCTCAAGAAGAAACATACAGATAAATAAAAATATGAACAGAATGACCGATCTTGTCAGTAATTTATTTCTGTGTGTATATGGTTAAACACTTATTAAACACAGGTAAGTTATAAAACAATAAAACAATAACATCTAATAATGAGATCACAGTAGAGTCTATACTTTCATACATACATGGATGGAGTCATCGTAAACTAAGGACTTGCATACTTTGGGAAATCCTATGGCAACACTTAGAAAACACTGACCAGTTAGTCTTTCTCTTAGAAATTATGTCAAAAGAAAACAACTATATTTATCCATGTATTTTTTTTTTTGAAACAGAATCTCACTCTGTCGCCCAGGCTGGAGTGCAGTGGCACGATCTTAGCTCCCTGCAGCCTTTGCCTCCCATGTTCAAGTGATTCTCACACCTCAGCCTCTAGAGTAGCTGGGATTACAGGCGCCTGCCACCATGCCCAGCTAATTTTTGTATATTTAATAGAGATGAGGTTTCACCATGTTGGCCAGCTGGTCTCAAACTCCTAACCTCAAGTGATTCACTCGTCTTGGCCTCTCAAAGTGCTGGGATTACAGGTGTGAGCCACTGCTCTTGGCCTATCCATGTATTTTTAAATGTTAATTGATGCGAGGAGTACAACTGAATAAAATTACAAACATAAATATGAAGGTGGCGGCTGGGCACAGTTGCTCACATCTGTAATCCCAGCACTTTGGGAGGCTGAGATGAGCAGATCACTTGAAGCCAGGAGTTCGAGACCAGCATGGCCAACATGGTGGAACTCCGTCTCTACTAAAAATACAAAAACTAG
Organism: Homo sapiens; assembly: GCF_000001405.40. Taxonomy (NCBI): domain Eukaryota; kingdom Metazoa; phylum Chordata; class Mammalia; order Primates; family Hominidae; genus Homo; species Homo sapiens. The sequence goes on from NC_000010.11 coordinate 116,755,467, forward strand.
CCAGGCATGGTGCTGCATGCCTGTAGTCCCAGATACTTAGGGGGCTGAAGCACGAGAATCATTTAAACCCAGCAGGCGGAGGTTGCAGTGAGCCAAGATCGTGCCACTGCACTCCAGCCTGGGTGAAAGAGTGAGACTGTCTCAAAAAAAAAAAAAAAAAAAAAAAGGTGGTGTAGTAACATGAGAAAATGTCACTTATTAAGCGGGGGATTGGGAGGAGGCTAAGTGCAGTGGCTCACGTCTGTAATCCCAACACTTTGGGAGGCCAAGACAGGCGAATGGCATGAGCCCAGGAATTCAGGACCAGCCTGGGCAACATGGCAAAACCCCATCTCTACCAAAAAAAAAAAAAAAAATACAAAAATACAAAAATAAAGAGCCAGGCGTGGTGGGGCACATCTGTAGTCACATCTACTTGGGAGGCTGAAGTGGGAGGATCACCTGAGCCTGGGGAGGTTGAGGCCGCAGTGAGCTGTGATTGTTGCACTGCAGCCTGGGCAACAGAGCAAGACTCTGTCTCAAAAAAGAAAAGAAAACAAAATTTTACAAGCAGAAAAACACCCATAAATAATGATGATAACCACTAAAAGTATGCCTGCATACGAACACCTCCTAGCCTGTAGAAAGATCAAACAGTTGTGCTAAGGTGGAGGGATAATGAGGGAGGCTTTGCCATTTCCAGGTTTCCCTTAAGGCTTTATAATCTTTTTCTGTCTCCCTCTTTCTCTGAACTCTGTCCGGAGACTGATGCCTCTCACTTCCAGGGAAGGGTAGGGGGCTGTATCCTAACTCTACTGTCACTCTGGCTCTCGCCATTTGATTTGGCTCCTAAATTGTGTTGCTCTTTCTCGAAAATGCAGCTCTCAAAACAAACTGGCTGGTGTGCTTGTGAGATCAGAGACAGACAGCTCCAGCAAATACTTGATTCGAGAAAACACATTACACTGTGTGCTGGGGCCAAGGAATTTCACATTTGGACAGGAAATGTCAGTCCCCACAAAAGGCCTTCTGAGGCCCCAAGAGTGAGCTCAGAATGGCTGCCCTTCCCTGAGCCTGCTCGCCTTGGCACACGGGCACCCTCTGGGCACCGGCCCATGTGGGTGGGGCTCACTCTACCCCCATAACCCAAGGCCTGCAGCCGCCTCTCAGCCTGTTCTGAATCTTGTGCTCCTTTGAGAATCTGATAAGTGCTCAGACTTTGCAAACCGTTTTGAAAGGTTTATAGATCTACATAGTGGGAGTTCATTCATTCATTCACTCATTTGTGCACTAAAACAAGCATGGATTAAGGGTCTGTTATGTATTACAAGGATAAATACAAAGGTGGGAAAACACAGTTGATGGTCTTCAGTGGGAGATGGAAAACAAGAGAATACAACTTCCAATGAATTGAGGGTGGGCCAGTCCAGGTGTAAAGTTGCATCAGTATCAAAAGCTAATATTGAGCACTTACTAGATGCCAGGCATCCTTCTAGGCCTTCTCCATGGCGTATGTAACTCATTGTGGATTATGTTTAATTCACTTAATCTTCCAACAACCCTAGAGACAGGTAATAGTATTATATTCACGTTAAAGGCTAGGAAATGGAGGCACAGGAAAGGTTCAATAACTTGTTTAAGGATGGTCAGCAAAAAAGCTTGAGACCTGGAACTCTGACCACTCTGGTGCTCAGACTGGTAACCAAGCCACCGCTGCCACAGTAGGCTTAGCTGGGGGAAATGGGGGATGACCTGCAAATGGGAGGAGGCCCCTCAGGATTCCTGGAGTTCTCTCTGTGAATTGGCACGTTAGTGTTACGGATTTTGCCTGTGTCCCAGGAGCTGGGTTAACAGCATGAGTCTCCCAGGGAGAAGCAGCTCTCGCATGGGCTGACCCCTCCAGGTCCAAGTGACAGGGCTGATGATCAAAATCCAGACACCAGAAACCGTCCATGTAGGGCGACGCTGAGTGTACCCGTGTAGACAACCAGGCCCCTCTCCCAAGGTCACCTGACTTCCCTCCAAATGCCCTTCCCTTCAACAGCAAAGAGTGAGAGGGAGGCACTCCAGAGTTACATTCATCATCCGCACACGGCAGGAGGTTGGACAAATGCAAAATCACCTGGAGACAGAATGTCTTTCAGGCTGAAACCAGGAAGAAAGAGAGGCAGCGGAGGTCAGGGTTAAGAGCACTGGCCTGGGTTTGATTTCTTGCTCTGTGACTTTGGGCACTGCTTGGTACCTTGGTTTGGTCACCTGTAAAATGGGAATAATAACTGTACCTACTTCATAGGGATGTGATGAAGATTAAACGAGTTCATACATGTGCAGGGACAGTGATAACACCAAAGAGCCAAGGATTGTCAGCTGCTATTGATTAGAGACTGAGCGACCTATTAGAATGGCCACATCCAGATAAATACAAATCCCATCTATCTACTTCTCTACCTATGAGATATGTGCATATAAAATTGTGCATTTAAAAGACTAGAAAGCAATGCACTAACATATCAATAGGAGTAGCCTCTGCATAGTAAGATGACAAGTGACTTATTTTTTTCTTCCCACTTCTCCACCCCCACAACATTTTCAATAAGTAACATGTTTTTCTTTTATAACAAGAACAGGATCAATAAATGATTATTTAAAATCCACTCAACAGAAGTGGGATAGGTGGTTTAGAAGCAGAGGATGAGGTTGGAAAGGATGTCTTAATGCTAGGTACCTAACAGCCTTCAGCGAAGGTACCTTGATACATGGATTTCAGTCTCTTTCAGACCCATGTCCTGCCTTCTGAGAAGCATCGCTAGCTCTGCTCACCCTTGCCCCACACTCATTCCCCTTTCACTCTGCCCATGTCCAGGCCTCCTCAATGCATTGCCCTGTGACTTCTGATTGCCGTTTATGAATCACCTACTATGTGCCAAGCTCTGGGAGGCTAATTCACTAGGTGAACTCTGAGCTGAGGTCCAGAAAGCAAATGAGTTGCCCAGGACCACCCGGCCAGGAGGTGGCATGGCTGGAATTCACACCCACATCACTTATCACTTCAAGTCCAGAGCTCATCTTACTGGACAGCTCCATGATACAGGGAAGTCATGGGTTACAGGAATATGAGGCCAGCGGAGATGGTTCCTGTTTTCCAGTTAGAATCCCTGCCTGTGGATCATTTGTGTTTGTGTGCATGTGTATACATGTGTGATTGTGTGTGCATTTTAGAGAGAGGGAAAGAGAGGAAGTGAGATAAAAAGAAATAATATATATATATTTATCAAATGTTTCTCAAAGACTCTAAGAACAGATAGCAACACACAGAGCTTGCTCAAGTTTTTTGAAGAATTAGAGAAACTGAATTTAAAACCAAGGAAATAAAGAGTGTGGACTCAGATGAGTAGAAAATAGAAAAGCCTGATCCTGTGGAATGCTCTGGGGTGAAGGCAGGCCTCGGCTGATTCTAGATCCTGGTTCCTGACAACAGAATCCTGGAAGTTCAAGGTCAGAAGGAACTTTAAAGGTGATGTTGATGCAGAAACCCCTTCTGCTGCACCCCAGACAGCCGGCTTGTTTCAGATTCTCTTTTGATGGGAACTCAGGACCTGAAGAAACAGCACATTCCCTCGTCTCAGAGAGATGTCAGCCAGCTCTTCCTCTCATAGCTGTTTTCTCTTTGGTCTTAATTTCACCCTCTGGAGTAATGCAGAATAAATCTGCCCTTCTATCCAAGAAAGTTTCTGTATCCATTAAGGTATATCCAGCTGCAAATAATCAAAAGTCCTAACTCAATAACAAGTCATTTCAGAGGTAGTTCTGTCTCCATCTCTGTGGCTCTGCCCAGTTTCACTGTTAGCTTGACCTCAGGAGGTCAGCAAAATGGCAGCTGCCCCTCCCTGTGTGCTTTGGAGCCATTCAGTGTCAAGAGGAAGATGTTAATATGTCTTCTTGTGGGTCTTTCTTCTCAGAATCCCCTCAGCCAACCTCTCCTCACTTCTTATTGGACAGAACTAGATCTCATGACCACTCTGAAGTCTAAACCAATGACAGGCAAGGACAATGGAGTTACCTTAATTGGTTTAAGTGGATCTGGGCTTACCTCTGAGCTGGGGACAGGGTCACCTTCCATGAGGATGAACAAATTCAGGGCTCTTCCATCAGGGAATAAGGGGGAAATGGATGTTGAGTAAATGACAGTGGCTTTGACAGCATTCAGTACTGGGGTTGCAGAGGGATAGAAGACATCTCCTCAGGTGGAATTCAGTGGTTTCTGCTTGATATGGTTTGGCTGTGTCCCCACCCAAATCTCATCTTAAATCGTAGCTCCCACAATTCCCACATGTTGTGGGAGGGACCTGGTGGGAGGTAATTGAATCATGGGGCTGGGTCTTTCCCATGTTATTCTCATGATAATGAATAAGTCTCATGAGATCTGATGGTTTAATAAAGAGGAGTTTCCCTGAACAAGTTCTGTTCTCTTGTCTGCCGCCATGTGAGATGTGCCTTTCACCTTCCACCATGAGGGTAAGGCCTCCCCAGCCACATGGAACTATGAACCCATTAAACCTCCTTCTTTTGTAAATTGCCCAGTCTTGGGTATATCTTTATCAGCAGTATGAAAACAGACTAATACAGTGCTTACCCAGGATCCACTCATTCTCATTCTGCCAGAGCAGCACCTATTTTTGCTCTGAAGGATGAGCTCTTCCTTGAGGCCCTCAGCCCAGGAACCTGTCCTCTTCAAGTCATGGTTAATCAGCTTCTTTGGTAATTATACGAGCTGCCCCATATCTTTCTAGTACATTCTTTTTTATAGCTTCAATAGCCAGACCCAGTCTCTATTACTTGCAGCCAAAGAACTCTAACCAGCCCATCAGATTCAAGGGCACCGAGAGCTCCCTGTTTCACTCTCCCAGGCTGGTAGCAGCCTAAGAACAGTGCACAGAGCCCTGGAGTTTAGAACCCAGGATCAAGAGTCAGAAACTGGATTCATAGCAATCCTCTGACTAGCTGTGTGACCTTAAATAAGTCACTCCACACCTCTGATCAGTCAGTCCCTGGAATCTCCTTGCTCCCAGCAGGACTGGAAAGAAAACACATGAATGTGCCCTCAAACTCAAGACATCCCACTGAACTCGGGGGTCCTAGACATAAGCCACAAGTCCCCATGTACTTGCTCAATGAATTATCAAATTCCAAATCACATCACTTCTCAACACCTCAGTTTTCTTTTTTTTGTAAAATGAGAACACTAATAGCATTACCCAGGGTTTTTGCGTAATTACACAGAATGATATTTGTGAAAGTACTTTCTACTCTGTTAATGCCACAAAGTGCAAGGGACGGATATTCCCAATATCTGCTGGAAACATTAGCTTATTTATTCACATAACAAAACAAATGGTATTAAAGTATAAGTGTAGGCAGTCGTCCCCTCTCCCTGCTTTTTCTTGGTGTTTGGGTTTCTAGGATAACAACGGAGATAAAGGATAAAACACATGCAAATATGCGCTCAACTAGAGAAGCCAGAGGCTAGCTAGATGTACGTGGGGAAAAGAACTATAATTCTCATAGAGGTTAAAAAAAAAGAAAAAAGTAAAATAAATAAATTTTTAAAAACATCCTTGATCTAAGCTGGGTATGGTGGCTCATGCCTGTAATTTAGCACTTTGGGAGGCAGAGGTGGGTGAGTCACTTCAGCCTGGAAGTTCGAGATGAGCCTGGCCAACATGGTGAAACTCTGTCTCTACTAAAAATACAAACATTAGGCTGGGAGCGGTGGCTCATGCCTGTAATCCCAGCGCTTTGGGAGGCCGAGGCAGGTGGATCACTTGAGGTTAGGAGTTCGAGGCCAGACTGGGCAACATGGTGAAACACCGTCTCTACTAAAAATACAAAAATTAGCTGGGCATAGTGGCGCACACCTGTAGTCCCAGCTACTTGGGAGGCTAAGGTAGAAGAATCACTTGAATCTGGGAGACGGAGATTGCAGTGAGCCGAGATCACACCACTGCACTCCCACCTGGGCAACAGAGCAAGAGACTCCATCTCAAAAAAAAAAAAAAGAACAAAAATTAGCCAGGCTAACTAGTGAGGAACTCATCTACGTAGTGAAGAACTCATCTAAAAAAAGTAAAAAAAATAAAAAAAAAAACGAAGAAATTAGCCAAGCATGGTAGTGCACGTCTGGCTGGAGGATAGCTTGAGCCCAGGAGCAGAGATCGTACCACTGGACTCCAGCCTCGGTGACACAGCCAGACTGTTTCAAAACAAAACAAAATCCTTGATCTAAAACGTGAAGGTGGAAGGAAAAACAGAACAGACCCTAAGAAGAAAGTTCACAAACCTAGAGAGGAGAGAGATGCTAGAGGTGGCTATCAGGAATATGAGAAAATGAGAGGTAGGGGAGGGAGAAGCAGGCAGTGATAACAAAAAAAAAAGGATTTTTCAGGTTTTGCTGGATGTTAAGAATGTTCCCCTTTACATTTTCTTGAGAGACTACAGGAAAGTTTCAATTTGCTTTCAATTATTTTTGGATGTTGTGCTAGTCTTTGAATGCAACATTGTGCTAAGGCTGGCCTGGACGACAGCCCAGTTTTTTGCAGCTTATATACCAATATTCACTGAGTTCCTTTCACATGCTAGGCACTGTGCTAGGCTCCAAATACAGCGTGGCCCTTGTCCTCACGGACCTTTGGCGTAGCATAAGCCGCCTGGCCTGTCCCCTGCCTCACTCTCCTATCCTGTTGGTCACCAGACCATACAGACTTCCAGAATGGCTCCTCATCAGCCCTGTGGGCACCTCCTCAGATGAAGACCTTGTCACTTCCCACCTGGATGACTGTCAGTTCATCTCCCTGCCTCTGGTCCCAATCCCTCACCCCTAATCCATTTCTACCCTGCTGCAAAGGTGTGTATGTTTTTCTTTTTTTGTAAAATACATACCTGATCATGGCTTGCCTCTATTTTAAATCTTGACTTCCTCTTCATCCCTTACAGGATGAAGTCACAATGGCCATGCTGTGGGTCCAGCATGACCCATGACCCTCCTACTCCACATCCTCTGCATCTCACATGCCTGCATTTCCACACTGCCTGGAAAACCCACTCTGGTCCTCTTTCTCGCCTTAGAAACTCCCCTTACTCTTTCTTTTTTTATTTTTTTGAGACAGAGTTTCGCTCTGTCACCCAGACTGGAGTGCAGTGGCACAGTCTCGGCTCACTACAACCTTCACCTCCTGGGTTCAAGCGATTCTTCTGCCTCAGTCTCCCCGCTAGCTGGGACTACAGGCACATGCCACTACGTCTGGCTGATTTTTGTATTTTTAGTAGAGATGGAGTTTCGCCATGTTGGCCAGGCTGGTCTCGAGCTCAAATGATCCACCTGCCTTAGCCTTCCAGAGTGCTGGGATTACAGGCATGAGCCACCATGCCTGGCCTTCCTCTTACTCTTTCAAAATTCAGTAGGGCATCCCTCCTCTGGGAAGTCTTCCCTGGTAATCATTTGCCCTCATCCTTATCTTGAACAAAACTCTCTTTTCCTCCTCTAAGGCAGTTCTCTCTTTACACTCAGCAATGACTTGGGTATGTCTGTACCTGACACTCAGCTGCCACCATCTTAAGGACAGTAGCTACATCATGGTCACCTCTAGCACAGCTCCAGACACATGGTAAATGCATAAAGAAGTTTTGTTGCTGATGGTGACAGAGCTGACAGGGTATGAAAAGATATACCCTGGTGTTGGTAGGAGGCAGCCCAACTTAGTATTCAACTTGAACTCAGGCATGGTGGAAACTTGCTGCTTCTGAATGGATCTGGCTTTGCTTTTCTATCTCAATGTACATATGGGCTAGGAGAAGCCAAATGATCTTTTAGCTAATATTTTAAAATAAAATGTTTTCAAATGACACCGGTGAAACACGATCATTTTCAAGCAATAATAACTGACAAGAAATGTAAAGAAAAATCTCTTGTGAAAAACCCCTACCCCCAGATAATACTGCTCACATTCTGATAGTAGCCTCTGCAGACCTCTTTCTTCTGCATACATCGCTTCTGTTTGTATAGTGCGATATGATCCAGTCTCTCCATGCATACAGGGCAGGTCCCCAGCTTCCCAGAATCTGGGTGGAACTGCCCCCAGCAGGGTGGGGCCAGGGGACCCTCTATTTGAGGCCTTGGCCCTGGGCAAAGACATAGCTGGCTCCAGTCCCAACTTGGGGCCATCTCCAGGCAGACACAAAGGGGTCATTTTTCTCTCCCTCATGAACAAAATGTGCTCTGGACTAGGAGGTTTTTTTGGGTTACAAGATTCAACTGAATTGGAAAAGATCATCTGAGGTTTCTAAGAAAGTCAGATTTAAGGACAGCATAGACTGAAGCTTTATTTTTGTCCAAAATAATCATAAATTATGAAAGCCACTGGTTGGAAGCTGGGGCACAGCAGGCTTTTGTGGAGAAAGAAAAAGCATGAGTAAAATGTAGACACTGATAGGACCATGGCGTTATTGGGGGGGCGGTCGGCAATGAGCCTCTCTCACTTCCCTGCAACCTTTGGGGGGGTGTTCCAGGAAGTCTATGACTGGAGGCTACAAATGAGTTAATGTCAGGATTTATCCAGTGCCAGGGCTGAGTCTCATGGGACCTCCCCTGCCTCCTCATGGGACCCTCTATTACAGCTCCCAAGGCAGTGGTGAATTTCCTTCTAACTCACTATGGAAAAAGTCTTTCCACTGGCACTACTTTTATGGAAGCCATAGCTGCATGTATTATAGATTTATACTTTGATCCAGCAACCCCATATCTAGGAATCTACCTACAAATACAAACCAACAATGTGAAAGGTTATTATCGTAGGCTGAATTGTGATTGCAAAATAGTGGAAACAACATAAATGATCATTCATAGACAAGTTGAAAATACAATATGGTAGATTCACTCAATGAAATTCTATGCAGTCATAGAAATAAATGAAGAAAAGCCCTATCAATAGACATGGAGCAATTTCTAGGACATGTTAAGAAAAACAAGCAAAATACAAAAGACTACATAAAGAGAGTATTCTATGTTTTGTGTTAAAAAGGAGTGGGGAAATATACATATATATTTATGTTTAGTTTTGCAAAAACAAACACAACAGCCATACACTAGAAACTAACAAAATGGAGGGGGCAGAGTGAAAGGGATGGGGATGATGGTGAGACATCTTATGATGTCTTTTTATAGTTTTTATATCTTTTTATACAGTTTTGACTTGGAGTGCTTTATATACCCGAAAATCAATTTAAATCCAAAGGGTTTTTAAAGAGCAAACCCTATATTTGACATAAATAGAAACAAATAAACCTTACTATCCATCATATGAGTAGTAGAGATACAATATAGCCACACAAAAAAATCATTAATTCAAGTAATTTTGGATGTAGTACTCTAACTGTGTATCTTTAATATACATTTTCTAATGATAAAAAGAACACAAAGAAATCTTGAACTTCATTTAGCAGGCTTGTTGGGGATAGAAGTATTGGTGCTGTAATTCTGAAACTATTCTTTTGTGTAGTGAAGGATTGAATAAATGAGTAAAGATGTGATGTGGGGACCAGTGTTTTGACTTTGGAGAGGAGAGATGCAAACATAGAATGGGGAAAGGTGAGGTAAATGCATGCTACTGGGTACATCTGTATGTACTCATGGTTTTGAGAACAGCTTAGTTCTGTTCTCTGGAAAGACCTAGAAGCAATGACACTCCAGTGACAATGAGCACACCTAGTGCCCAGGTTTTGGTTTCTAAATACCATTCCCCACCCAAAAGCACATGGGCTCCTTGGTGATATAGCTGATTCCAGGACTAGGGTAGGAAAAGTCCAAATTAAACCTGAAACATCAAAAAAAATTTAAATTAAATAAGTAAAATAAAACCTGAAACATCATATAGTGGCAGAAGGGCTGAAAGACCAAGGAGGCAATACTAAAAACACAGAAAGGCCAGCAAGAAGGAGCTCCCACTGGCCAAATCCGGGACCATAGGAGGGGGAAAAAGGAATAATGGTAGTAATTTATTACAATAAACTGAATTTTTAAAATAGACCTAGAAGTCCATAATCATATTAAAAATAAAAGATATTTACAGAAAGAGGGCAGAAAGGAAGATTTTTAGAGGTACATGAGTGTTGATTGCACTATTCTTATAATTCCTCTGTAGGTTTGAGAACTTTCAGGATTAAAAGTTGAAGGAAAGAAGACACACACGTGTGGGGCAGGACACACCCGTTAGATGCTGAGAAACCTGCCATAGCCTGCTGTTCTCGAGGGTGGTGATGGCGCCCCCTAGGGAGGGTTTACAATGAAATGCCTCTCAGTTCTTCACCCAGTGTTCCCAGTCTTGCCTTAGCGTAGACAAACACAGACAAACATATTCTTTCCACTTTTTGCCCAACAGGAACATACCATATGCTGTTCTGCACCTTGGTTTTTCCTCTTTGCAACCTGGTACTTGGACATTGCTTCATAGCTGTGGAACTGCTGCATTCCTCTCTGCAGCCGCTTGTGGCTCCAACGCACGGATGAGCCACCCTTCATGCAACCAGGTCCTGTTTGACGGCACACACTCCCTCTCACCATTCGGCCACATTCACCTTCCCACCTTTCCTGCTCTCCACCTCCTCTGCCCCCTCTCCTCCCTTGTCCACCTTCAGTGCTGAGTGTGATCATGAGTAGCTGCCCTGACACTGGGGCATGAACAATTCATCCAGTTTTCCCTGAGACTTTTTCACTTTGGACACTGAAAGTCCTGGGTCCTAGGCTGCTGGTTAGGATGACCAATTCATCCCGGTTTGTCCAGGACTGCCCTGGTTGAAAAACTGAAATTCTTGCAACCCGAGAACTCCCTCAGTCCTGGGCCAACAGGGACAGGTGGTCGCCCTACCTGGGAGCAAAGTGGCTACTGGCTTGGAGAGGAGCCAAAATGTGTTCCTGGAGGACTTTACTCACTTTCAAAAGCTCCTCTGGATGCCCCTACCCAGCTCCCACCTCCAACTTAACGTCCTGTAAGAAAGGGACACTTCTGCCCATCTGCATCTTCAGACAAAGCTGCCCCACAGCCCTCACAGAGACTGCCTGGTCCCCTTCTTGGAGGCATTCAGAAGAAAGTTCATTGCTCCCTCAGTGGTTTTAACTGCCTGGAAATGACATTAAAAATTAACCCAGATTGTCATTTCCTCCCCACAATTCAATCAGCTTGGCATGGCTCATGGGAATCCCATTCTTTTAATCATGTTTCTCTTCAAACTCACTCTTGCTAGGAGTAAGGAATGCCATTCACTCATCTTTGGTTCAAATAATCTTTTACCTACTCTGGCCGCATCATTTAATAACTAACAATTTTGTTGAGACATTTCCTTTAAATAAAATGCTAGGAACTTAAAAAGAAAAAGCTCACACTGGCACCCGTAGGGCCCCCAGGGAACTGCTGGGTTTGCGTCCACCAGTCGACCCCAAAAAGATCCATCAGGCTGACAGCCAAGCCCATCGCGGAGGGGAAGTGGAGACGCAGTCCCCAGGGAACTGAGGAGGGAACGCCTGCTGGGGTCTGCCCCTGCAGTTCATGACCCTGAGATGGGCTAGGGTGGGGAGTGGAGGGCTGCAGGCCTCTGGGGGCTAGAGCGGGGGCACCTGATCTGGTTCTAGCAGGTTCCTGATGAGTCTGCTTCACAGTGTCTCCTCTCCTCATTGGCCTGGAGGAAACAGTGGCCCTGGGGAACGAGGTCCTGAAAAGAGGCAGCAAAGAGGCAACCAGAGGACAAGAGCCTGGGCCACGGAGACTGGAAGAGGCCAGAGGGCTGCCTGGAAGAAGGCTCATCCACTGATTTATTCTCCTTGGCTCAGGCACTGTGTTCATCCCCCTTCCTCCCATCCTGCACCCCTCCCCCACCAGTGACGGTGCAGACAAGCAGCACTGTCCCTGCAGAGCTAAGGCAGAGCAGACAGGAGAGGGTCATCCACCCCAGCTGCTGGGTGGAGGCTTGGCCCTGGGGCCTCGGGAGCCTCCCCAACATTATCTCCCGGCCCCTCCCTTCTCTGCTCCCACTAGCCTCAGCCAGCAAGGCCAGCCCCACATTCCTGCTGCAAACAGACTGGGTGGGGCACAGTGAGTTTTTAATTTGTCCACAGAAATCCAAAACAAGGGAGGGGAGGTTGTTGGTTAACTCTGCACCATCACCAGTGCTTTAAGCCTCTTTGGCTCAGAACCCAGACTCAGAAGTCCAGGCCACAAGGGGGCTTTAACCAAAATCCCAGGCAAGAGACCCCTTTGCTTCTGATGCCGTGTGTGGCTTCATGACAGCATGATGCCATCTGGGCTAATTTACCAAGGGCTCTGTGAACTCTGTCTCTCGGCACTATGTTCCCTAATTGCAGCCTCTTTCAAAAGGGAGTAACTACCTCTTCTAATCACGTGTACCCCCAGTATCTCAGAGGCAGGGCTACAAAAACAGCCTTAAAAAGTTTGGCAGTTCCTCAAAAAGTTAAACATAGAATTATCAAATGGCCCCCCAAGTCCACTCCTAGGTATATATCCAAGAGAACCAAAAATCTAAGTTTACACAGTAACGTGGACACAAGTGTTCACAGCAGCACTGTTCACAACAGCCAAAAAGTAGAAACAACCCAAGCATCCATCCACGGGTGAATGGATCAAATGTGTTCTCTCCATACAGTAGAACATTATTCAGCCATAAAAAAGAATAGAGTACTGATATATGCTACGACATGAATGAACCTTGAAAACATTACGCTAAGTGAAAGAAGCCAGATGCAAAAGACCACATACTGTTTGATTCCATTTATATGAAATGCCTGGAGTAGGCAAATCCATAGAGACAGAAAGCAGATTAGTGCTTGCCAGGGGCTGTGGGGAGGGGGAATAGGAGCAACTGCTAATAGGTACAGGGTTTCTCTTTGGGGTGATGAAAATGTTCTGAATTAGACAATGGTGATGCTTGCACAACACAGTGAATATCCAAAACCCACTGACTTGTACACTTTAAAATGGTAAATTTTATGTTATGTAAATGTCTCAATTTATTTGACCCTGTCTCAGAATAAATATATAGCCTCCACTCCCGGCTGGAGAGGAGTGGTGCAATCATGGCTCACTGCAACCTCGAACTCCTGGGCTCAAGTGAACCTCCTGTCTCAGCTTCTTGAGTAGCTGGGACTACAGGAGCCTGGCTAATTCTTTTATTTTTGTAGAGTTGGGGGCAGTCTCACTATGTTGCAGAGACTGGTCTTGAACTGCTGGCCTCAAGTCATCCTCCCACCTCAGCCTCCCTAAGTGCTGGGATTACAGGTGTGAGCCACTTAGCCCGGCTCAATTATTTTTTTTTAAAGCAGCCTGCTGACATCACCCTGACTTTGGCCTTAGCACAGCCCCCTATTGCAGGGCCAGCTTGTTCCTCTGAGTTATCTTTAACTCCAAGTCTCTGCTTCCTGGGACTGCCCTGCTGTGTGTCACCCTCTGCTTCCTGTGAGCACACTCTCTCATCCACACTGGCCTGACCTGTAGGACTGGACGTTGTGATTCTTGCCCGCTGCAGACTTTCAAAGCAGGTGTGGAAAGTGACATCCAGCACAGCACAGTGAGACACAAACATCGGACCATTCAATACCTCTGTCCTTAGAAGTCCCCTGGCCCAGCCACCACTAGGATCTTCTGACTGACCAATCATCACTTGACCTCCCCTTCCTCCAGCCACAAACCTTCCTGTGAGGTCACTTGGACTCTATGCTGGACCTAGAGAGCCCCCTCTTAGCAATCAGACAAGACTAAGGTGTGGGCTTGGTGGGGTCTTCTTAAGGAATGCTTTCCCCACCCCTTGCTATGGTGTCATCACCAGACCCTCATTCCAGCCAAGGAAACAAAGGCTTAGAGAAAGTCAAGCACCCAGCTGCCAAGCAGTGGGGTTGGCTCTCCAATGTAGACCCCTATGGTCTCCCATTTTGAGGGCCAGGACTTGGGGTGAAAGGTCCCCACCTTGAGGGCTGGGGCCCGGGGTGGCGAAAGCACCAGGATGTTGCTCTCCTGGGCTGTGTCTTCCTGTCTGGCTCTCAATTTTACTGGAATGATGCCACCACCCCCATCCCTTTCCCTGACATTGGCTCGGCCCAGGGCAGCTGCAGGATCGATTCCCCGTCTAAGTGCAGGACTTAGAGCACTTCATGGCTCAGAAACATGCTAATTAGGTTTAGGCAATAGAGCTCAATAAATTAGAGCAAAACAGCTATTGATTCAGTTATCAACTCTCCTGGAGATGCACGAAGCAGCGCTCCAAAGACAACAGGGAGAGAAACACACAAAACCCTTCTGAAGCCCCTTTACTCTCCACAGGTTGGGTTTCCATAGTTGCTTGGGGTGTTCGGAAGAAAATGTAGGCTGAAGAAGACATTTGCTCAAGTGCAGGCCTCGGCTCCTTGTGCTTAAAATTCTTTCCGCCTTCCAGCTGGGTATGCTCGCTTGAGAGTCAGCTCTCCAGGGAAGGCTGCAAGAAGCGATGACGCCACAGAGCTCCAAGGTCATTTGGGCCATTCCTCTGACTCAGAGCAGAATGAGGCAAGTAAGGAGAGAGTTTGTCCTTGGGGCAGGGTGCTGAACATGCCGTCATAGTTCCATTGATCCTCAGAAGAGCCTGATGGAGGAGGTCTTATGTGAGCCCTTGTGGTGGATGCAAAAACCAAGACTCAGAGAGGGCGGTGACTTGCCATGGTCACACAGACACCAAAAACAGGGCAGGGGTCTCTGGCTCTTGAATGATTACCAAGAGTTTGGCTTATGCGGCCCCTGTGAGAGCTGCTGGTGAAGTTCAAAGGAAGCCCTCAGATGAAAGGCTTCCTGCAGACCCGCCAGTACAGACCGAAGGGGCAGATGTGGGGAGGTCCCGCAGAGGCCACGCTGTGTGCTTGTGAAGGGGCGGATCAGAGGCTCAGCGGACACCCAGCACCTGGTGGGGCCAGTCCGATGCCCTCCTTGGGTCTGGGAATGTGTGAGATGCTCAGGGAAGGATGCAGCATGTTTCAGGATGATAGCTCAAAGCCAGGTGGCACAGGGGGCGGCAGGAAATGGACCCATGAGGCAGCAAGGTGGGGTGGGGGTGAGGGAGGACTGAGGCAAGGTGGTAGGAGGCCAGTGGCAGAGACGCCGAGCTCCAGCTGGAGTGCTAGAGTCTGCTCTTCATAAAGGTCCATGGCTGCCGGGTTGTCCCCACCATCTCTCCTCCAACCTCCTGTGCACTGTTCCCATAAGCCCCTCCCCAGGTGCTCGGGACAGCCCTCTGCTCTTGGAAACAAGGGGCCCAGCCTCCCCTCACCAACCTCAACTTTCTGTGAATTTGCTTTAAACATGGAAGCCTCAAATGCCTGAAAGCCTTTTCTAAGGATGCCTTCGGGTCACTTAACAAGCCTCTCTTGGGGGAGATTTTTACTTTTAAAAGGAAGAATGACTTCTTTTGGCTGCTGCGGGCTGTGTGTGCTGGGGGAGGGGGCAGTGGACTGCAGGGTTGGAGTGGGGCTGTGGGCTGTGTGTGCTGGGGGAGGGGGCAGTGGACTGCAGGGTTGGGGTGGGGCATTCTCAAGTGTGCTCAAGGGGCCTCAGTTTGCAAACCCTGGACTGTGGCTCCCGAGTCTGTAGATGGAGACAGAGGTGGGCGCAGGCTCAGAGCAACCCAGAGATGCCCCAAGTCCACGGTTCAAAGGCCCTGCCCATTTTGCCTCCAACATAGGGCCTGACTGGGCTGCCCCAGTGACACGCTCTGAAGAGGCACATTCACAGGCGAGATAAAACAAGGACACTCGCTGGGAGCTGGGGCCATCAGCAGCCGCTGGCTGTGGAGGCCACACAGAGGGGAGGGGAGGACAGGGGCCCTGACGAGATACTGGGGCCAGAGGCCAAAACTGAAAACCTAGGGGTGAGCCCACCAGCAAAGCCAGTGACAGGCCTGGGTGAAGGGTCACCCTCCTCCGGGAGCTGAAATGGGAACTGAGGAAGGAAGAGAAGCCACTGGAATATTTTAAGCAACGAAAGAGGCCAGGGCAGAGCCTGGGTCTGAATCATTTCCAGGGCCTAGACAGAGGGCCCCCGGGAGGATGTTTCCGGAATGAATACATCCAAAAGGATGGGACGGCAATTGCGAAATTCCATCATGGGAAATCCCTGCCTGCCAGCATGTTTACCAGGAGCCCAGGGACGGGGTGGATGAGAGGCAGTCCCTGCAGTTTCTCTCTGCAGTGGATGGAGGTTTCTCTCCCAAACAAGGGGCGCTTGCTTGTCAACCTACAAGGGGCCCAGATAGAAAGGCAGAAAAGGGGACAATGGTGAGAGTGCACCCCCAAGGTGCCTTGGGTTCCAGAAGCATGGAGTTGGGAGAACTGCTGGGGGCGGTGGGGAGGTGGCATCCTCTGGGGCCTATATTGATGCCAACTCCAGTCCAGGCAGGCTGCTCCAGCAGCTGTGCTGTCTCAGCCACGGCCACACCTGAACAGTCCCCACCGTATTTCCCATCTCCACATTTCCAGGTGAGCTACACTCAATAAGCTTAACATGGGAGAGGGCAGAGGCAGGACGAGGCTGGATGCCAGGCCATTCCCTGAGATGACAGCACAGGACGGGAGCGGGGGTAGTGGCGAGGATGATGGTGTTCCCGCCTTGGGACACTAAATGACCTGGGTGTCTCTGGGACATGCAAGTGGAGATGTCCAGATAAGGCTGGATCACGTGGGTTCAGGGATCATCAGTGCTGGGGCAGGGGGTACTGTGAAGCCATTGAGTGGAGGAGCTGATCTTGGATCCTGTGTACAGGTGAAGAGAGGAGATCCCAGGACAGACCCCCAGAGCCCCAGAGCCCCAACACTTGGCAGAAGAAGAGGATCTCAGACTCTACCCCACTTGCTCCTGGGACCAGCAGGGCTGGCTCTGCTGGCAGAAAATGCTGAGCAGACTCTGTGGAGCTGCATGCCAGGCCCAAACTCAGAGCTCTGTCTCCAGGAAGATGCTTTCAGGGAATATTTGTAACAGCCCTTTTGCAGATGCTGAAACTGAGACCCAGAGAAGTTAAATCACAACTTGAAGGCACGAGAGCAAATGAGGCCCGAAGCTGTCTGGCTCCAAAGTTCCAAGTTTTATCCCTGGGCCCTATCTCTGCTCTAGGAAAGCCTGTGGTTCTTCTTTTTCTTTTCCTTTCTATCTTTATTTTATTTATTTGTTTATTTATTTATTTATTTATTTGGAGACAGGGTCTCCCTCTCTATTGCCTAGGCTGGAGTGCAGTGGTGTGATCACGGCTCACTGCAGCCTCAACCTCCTGGGCTCAAGCGATCCTCCCAACTTAGGCTCCTAAGTAGCTGGGACTGCAGGCACACACCACCACATCTGGCTGATTATTATTATTATTATTATTTGTAAAGACAGAGTCTCACTATGCTGCCTAGGCTGGTCTTGAACTCCTAGTCTCAAGCAATTCTCCCACCTTGGCCTCCCAAAGTGCTGGTATTAACAGGCATGAGCCACTGCACCTGGCCACCTGTGGTTCTTCTGAGAAGGGGCTCATTCAGTCAGGACCGGGGACCCTAGCTAGACTAAAAGTCTGGGTGAGCCAGGGGACTTCCAAACAACTGCAGCCCCAGCTGCTCCCGTTGACTCCCCCTGGGCCCTCCTTCCTCCCACTCCTTTTCCTCTGCACAGCAGGCAAGGTCCCAGGGAGGCAAGAGCAGGCCCAGGTGGGCCCAGGCATTTCCCCAGCCCCTCCAGAGGCCCAGGATGAACTGGCCTGGGATGAGGCCCTGCTAATGAGCAAAGGCTTCAGTCCACTGAGCAGTACATGGTAGCACAGAAGAAGGCCTGGTACACCAACAGCAAATTGCATTTCCTTCTCAGAACCCTCAGCTCTGGTCTGGTACCCCCAGGCAACAACAGCCTAGCGGGCAGACAGGACAGGAGGCCTGGGAGCTGTGCGTCACTCAAAGCCAGACTGGAGAGTGACAATTGCCTTCGCAGCTCCCAGCGGGTTTCGAGAAGGTAACATGACCAGGGAGCAGTTCTGCCTCCCTTCTGTCACCTCTGAACCTCACCTTGGCCCATGGCCCCTCAACCTTGACTGATGCTAAGTAAGCAGTCTCCTCCTCCTTATTCCCTGGCCAACCTGCCCAGCTCACAGTGGGGGCCTCAGCCAAGGGTTGTCAACTGCAGCCTGAGAAAGTCTTTCTCACTGACTTGCCCCAAGAAGGGATTCCACTCAGCTGACAATTATGAAGCTCTGGCTGGTCCCTGGTCCTGGGCAGGGGCAAAGCTGCAAAACAGCCCACAGGGAGCTCACAGTGCCTGTGGTAATGATGATGACGATGATGGTGATGATGCTGACAATGGTCATTATCATGGTGACGGGGTGGAGGACTTGGAGCCAGGAGACCTAATTACAAATGATAACTATGCCACCATTCAGCTGAATGACCTTGGGTAGGTTACTTACCCTCTTTGGTCTTGAGTGGCATTCACTATGACATGGGGTGGGGGAACCTGCTCTGTGGCAAGGGCTTTTTTTTTTTTTGAGACGGAGTCTCGCTCTGTCCCCCAGGCTGGAGTGCAGTGGCGGGATCTCTGCTCACTGCAAGCTCCGCCTCCCGGGTTCACGCCATTCTCCTGCCTCAGCCTCCCAAGTAGCTGGGACTACAGGCGCCCGCCACTACGCCCGGCTAATTTTTTGTATTTTTAGTAGAGACGGGGTTTCACCGTTTTAGCCGGGATGGTCTCGATCTCCTGACCTCGTGATCCGCCCGCCTCGGCCTCCCAAAGTGCTGGGATTACAGGCGTGAGCCACCGCGCCCGGCCGGCAAGGGCTTTTTTGAAATATTTGCCATAGAGCACTCTGCGAGGGTCCCAGGTGATACTGCACCAATGCCTAGTTCAGTCCCTGACCAGTGTGGTCCCTGACCAGCAGCATTAACAACTCTTGGGCACTTAATAGAAATGCAAATTCTCAGGCCCCAAGGCAGATCTACTGACCCAGAGACTCTGGGTAGGGCCCAGCAACTGCACATCTCACACTCTTGCCAAAGTGTGAGAACCCCTGGAATAAAGAAATGTCAATGGTGCTCTTGGGTCTCTTCACAGACGTGGCTCTGCTAGAGGACTGGCCTTTTGGAGCAGGAGTTCATGGCCCAGATCCATCTCTTAGGAGAAAGGATTGGAGAGTGGGACATTGAGAGGGAGGCCTTCTGTGCACCCCTTCATTCACCCACCAGAAAACCCAGGTCCACCATTGAATAAGCTCCTCCCCCAGTCCCATGCCTGCCCACGTGGCCCTGGCCTGACTCCACCCTGACCCTGCAGGCTGCACAAGCCTGGAGCCCTCCACCCTGGCCCCTGCAGGCCCCAGTCCTGCCGGCTCCTGCACCAGCCCCTCGTGTTGGCTATACTGCCATGGCATAGGTCCAGCTGGCATCCTGTCACTCCACTCCCTCCCCAAGGGCCCCAGGTCGACTGCTACACACCCACCGCCACTGCTCCCAACTGTGCTGCTTTGGGGGACTCCAGCATTCCTTTGCTCCCTCCCGCCCATCCTGTGGCTGTCTCTGCTGAGTCACTCTTTATTAGTGTCCTCCCAGACACCTGGCACAGGTGCCCCCAAGGGATTGGGCCAGAAGCCAATAGCAGCAATTGCTGCCATTTACCAAGTGCTGATTCTGTACTAAGAACGTGCGAGTTCCTTATATCAGTTATCCCACCACTCACAAACCTATGGATAGGGCCTCAGGACTCCCATTTTACAGATGGATGAATTGAGACTCAGGAAGGAAAGATCCCAGGGTCACACAGGGCCACATAGCCAGTGAGACGGGAGCCTGGGATTTGAACTCCTGCCTGTCCGGTTGCAAAGCCAGCTCTCTCTGTCACCCCACACTGTCTCTTCTAGAGAGCCCTGGGGAGGACGGGGGCCAGCCAGTGGGCAGCCTGGGAAGGGAGTCTCTGTAGCTGGAAATGGCCAATGTATTTTCTAGAAACAGGAAATCTAACATTGACCGTGAAGTTTGTTTCCTGGTCAGTTCTGTCTGTTCCCACTGACAGCCTCGTGATACTGACTTTCAGGGCACCCGATGAGAGGGGATGGAAGAAGGACCTCCCGCCTCTCCCCACAGGAGTGCTGGGTGAGCCCTGACTTTCCTCAGTGCTCGGATGCTGGGAAGGTGCTGGGGCCATTTCATTTGCTTGCTAAAGGAAACACTCAGGCCAGGGGGCCAGAGGATTTGGGGACATCAGGGCACAGAAGTAACAGGGGGCTTTCAAGCCCTTTCCCAACTCCTCCCCGAGACAGTGACCTGGCCTAATCCTGCAGCCCCTATGACCTCTCTGTCCCTGGGGTCTTGTGAGGGCTCCTGCAGCTGGGGAGCTATGCCTTCTACTGTGGTCCCCAGCCTGGCACAGACTCTCTTATGTGACTCCACCAGGGACTAGACTGGGGGCAGCTGAGTGCCATAAAAGAAGTTAATGTGGCCTCACGTTGGTGGTGAGTGAGGGGCTTTGGGTCTACCTGCCATCCTCTGCGTCCCCTCTGGCCTCCAGTTAAGTGACCCATCCCATTGGTCTCTGTCCACTGAGCTGACTGCCCCCCAGTACCCAAGACAAGTGCCACTGCTCCTGGTTCCCAGGTCCCTGTTTTGGGTGACCACCTCACCCCCTCCCTGCCTCAGCACCTCTGTGGCCCACCCCTGGGACTCCTGTGGGACACAGGCAGGTGTCATGGGTGGACAACAAGGAGCATCTCAGGTCCGTCCGCCTGGACGCCCCCCTCTGCCTCGGGATTTCGCTCAAAGCAGCCTCCAGCTCTTGGCCGCTTCCTCCCGCTGGTCTCACCCCCAACAAACCTCTCCCAGGCAAAGCATAGTGCTTTCTCCTCTGCCTTCCTGTCTCCCAGGAACTCACTTCCATTGTATCCAGAATTCCTTCTATTTATGGCTTACAGTAAAACTCTACGCTCAAAATCAGCCGGGATTGATTCCTTATATTTAGAAAGAAGCTTTGGAATTCAGAAAATTTTTTTTTTCTTAACAAAACCCGGCATTCAAGACTATTGTTTTGCCTAGAAGACAAAACAAAATGGAAAGCCTAATTTGATCGTCAAAGTGAACAACGAATTTATTATTGTAGCAGAATCCACCGCTTCCCTGAAGTACTCAAGCCATTGATTCAGTGGATGCCACAGAGCATCAAAATATAAGAGCAATTAAAAATACATGAGTTTTATTTTCTTAATTGTTAACTCCATATACAATGCTTAAAACTCTAAAAACTGGGCTTAATGTAATCTTAATTAGAATCATAAACACTATTTCAGAATGTATTTTAGATGTATATCCTTAAAAGTTTGATGCAAATATGATAATTTAGGGATGTGAGGCATCATATAAGATGCTTAATGTCTGTACCAGGAATCTGGACTAGGTTCGAGAATGGGAGATATTGACAACCTGGACTTGGTTCAAGTTTGCTTTTAATTTGATTTACTGCAGAAGCATCAAGGAAGCAATGCACAGGGGAAGGAGGTTGTAAGAAAGCTCCTGGGTGGACCATGGCTCCTGTGTAGCCCGCTGAATTGTTCTCTGACATGAGTAGTGTGAGACGCCAGCCAGGCTGGAGGGGCGCTGAGCTGCAGATGCGCCCCTTTTCTTCCCTGCCTCGTCAACACCCGGGTGTTAAGTTCTTGCCGCGTGGCACTGGGTGGTCCCCCCACATCTGAGGCTGCACTGCAGTCTCCCATTTATGCCCCTTGGGAACTTTACATGGACAGCTCAGGCATGGCCTGTCACACTGACAAGCAACCAAAATAATCTAAATAATAAAAGAAATGACTTAAAACAGTATCTTTTAGAATAATTATTGCTATGAGTTTCTTTGCAAATTCTGCAGTTTTCAAACATTAGTCCTCAGGTGGACGGAGCCACAGAGCAGCTGCTGCTGGCCTCTTCCTCCTCCTTCCTGCCCCACCTGGTGCCTCCACCCTCACACCCAGTTCCCAAGAGCCTGCCACTCAGGCCTCCTCGTGCCCAGACCAGACAGGGACATGTGTGGACTTCCCAGGTGTACATATCCCCACCATGGCTGATTTTCAGCTACCCACATGATGTCACCGAATACGGAGTTGTAAAGAGACGCACGCCACTACGTTTCCATCCCAGAGCTGCAACAGACACAAATAAGCTTAAGTGCATCGACAATAGTCAGATCAGATGCACAAAAACAATTAGAAAATGCTGAGTTTGTTTTGTTTTGAGACGGAGTCTCACTCTGTCACCCAGGCTGGAGTACAGTGGCGCAATCTCAGCTCACTGCAATCTCCACCTCCTGGGTTCAAGCGATTCTCCTGTGTCAGCCTCCCAAGGAGCTGGGATTACAGGCATGTGCCAACATGCCCAGCTAATTTTTGTATTTTTAGTAGAGACGGAGTTTCACCATGTTGGCTGGGCTGGTCTCAAACTCCTGACCTCATGATCCGCCCGCCTCAACCTCCCAAAGTGCTGGGATTACAGACACGAGCCACTGCACCCAGCCTGTTATTTAACTCTTAATAATGGCTGTGCTTAACAACTGGCCCACAAAATCCCTGCAAATTTAACAACTGGTTCTCAGGAGGAGCCGCACATCATTGGGGGGGCCTTGGTTGGCCACAGCAGCTTGGGAAAGGGGAGGTACATGCCCTGACACTAGTCCCAAGATGGTTACTTGACATTTCCAAGCAATATATTATTTAAATATGCATATGTTTTTGCTGATTGCTAGTAGGTTTTTTCTTTCATGAATGCACTTAATTTTGCCCAATGCAGTTAATTCACCAAAGGATGACTGGGCACTGACTATTCCCCCCAAAACCTCCAGCTGGTGCTCTAACAGCCGACCTTACACAGAAAGGTCAGAGAAGGAAGCAGTTCTTCAAAGCAGGCAGAATCGCCCTGACACGGATGGGGAGATGAGGGTGGCACACCTCAGGGCTGTGGTCCCTCCCTCAGAGAGAACCACATTGCTCCTGAAGGAGCTCAGGCTCCTTCAAAAGGAGCTGCACTTTGGCTGAAGCTTTGTGTAGTCATTCCTGTCAGCACATTCCCCATAATTCCCACAACCCAAGCCTGGCTTCATCAGAAAGTCCAGGCTGGGCATGGAGGCTCAAGCCTATAAATCCCAGCATGTTGGGAGGCCAAGGCAGGAGGATCGCTTGAGCCCAAAACTTTGAGAACAGTGTGGTGGGCAACATGGTGAGACCAGCTTGGATGGCATGATGGGACCCGCTATGAAAAATAAAACAAAATAAAATAAATTAGCTGGGCATGGTAGCATGTGCCTATGGTCCTAGCTACTCAGAAGGCTGAGGCAGGAGGATCGCTAGAGCCCAGGACGCTGAGGCTGCAGTGAGCTGTGACTGCACCATTGCACTCGCAGTGGGGAGATGGAACGACCCTGTCTCAAAACAACAACAACAACAAACCCAGAAACAGAAAGAAGTCCATGGCAGAGTGGAAGGGTCTGTCTGCCCTTGGGTCACACAGGTCTTTAATCCTGATGCCTGATATAGGTCAGTTAGCTCCTTTCAAGTTAGGCAACAAAACATCCTTCTTTGATTCTCCAACCAAGTGCCATCACTCAAGGCACGTGGTTTCCAAGCCCTCCAGGGCCTTCATCGGCAGTTGCTTCCCTTCGCAACATCGTGAGCGACACATCGTGGCTGAACTCCAAGGGGGACATGTGGGTGTAATGAGTCACTGCCAACACGGAAGGTCCAGTGCAAGCTAGATCGAAGCTGATCCGGGTGCCCACCCCAAACACAAGAGTAGCAGGGAGGGGAGACAAGCACCTACTGAGGAGACCAGGGCCAGTGGGGCCTGGGTGAATCTTCAATGGGGACAGAATCACCCTGACACGGTTGGGGAGATGAGGGTGGGGCACCTCAGGGCTGTGGCCCCTCCCTCAGAGAGAACCACATCGCACTCCTGCTCTGCTGGACTCGGGTGTGGCCACGTGACTCTGCCTGATGAGACATGAGGGCAGTGACACTCTGCCTGGTCAGTATATTCTGTCCCTTTGCCAGGAGACAGGGAAGGTTGCAGGTGGAGGCTACTCTGTCAGCCCCAGGCCCGAACAAAGACAACAGGAACAGTGTTGCTGCCAGCCCGCGATGGAATCTGGGGGTCATTTGCTCCCAAGCTTTGCTATGTCTATCCTGATTGACACCCAGGCAGGTGGGAGAGGTGAAGGAAGTTCCAGAAACCGAATAACGCTGGGCATGTTGGGGAATGGCACGAAGCCCAATGTGAAGGGAAAACAGGGTGGGTGTGTGTAAAGAGGAGCTAGCAGGGGGGACGGGATTCCTAAGGGCTTGGAGCTCTGAGTGCACTCCGTCCCCGCACCCCGACTCCATGTGGGCCCATGGCACCACTCCCTAGGGGACTGCAGCCACCCTTCCCCTAGAACATGGACAAGGGCTGGCCGGCCCTGAAGGAGCTTCGACCTACCTAGAGGAGGCAGGCACCCAGGCCAGCCACGAGTCAGAGACCACTAATTCCGCCAGAGCAAGCTGTTTGGGCACTGCGTCCTTCTCACGCGAAGGGCAAAGATCCCGTTCATCCACAGGGACTGCCCAGCAACAAGGAACAGCAGTCACTCCCTGCATAGCTGCAGGGCACTGTCGCAGACCATCTCCTCCATCCTCCACCATACCTGGAGCTAGTCTAAGATCACAAGAGTTGGTGTGTCTTCCCTGTAGGAAGAGGGCTCTCCCTTGAGTCCAATTCTTAACCTTCCTGTTTCATGGACTCTTCGGTCACCTGAGGAAATCTATAGAGCCCTCCTCAGAACAATATTTTTATTTATTTTTATTTTATTATATAATAATTATTATTATTTTGAGACAAGGTCTCTCTCTGTCACCCAGGCTGGAGTGCAGAGGTGCAGTCACCACTCACTGCAGCCTCCACCTCCCACACTCGAGTGATCCTCCCACCTCAGCCTCCTGAGTGGCTGGGAGCACAGGTACGCACCACCACACCCAGCTAATTTTTTGATTTATTTTATTTTATTTTATTTTATTTTATTTTTCGTAGATATGGTGTCTACCTATGTTACCCAGACTGGAAAATAATGTTTTTAAATGCATAAAATAAACCAGGTAGGATTACCAGGGAACCTAATTATTTGTTAATACGATTATCAAATCCTTTTAAAAATTATGATGCGTGCTTCTTCATTAAAACATTGAATAACAAGGATCTAGTAGAATTATATAACAATCATAATTTTTAAGTGGATATTTCAAAATATCTACAAGCAAAGTAATAGGATGTAAAACTCTCTGTGATTTCTATGGGTGACGAGTCACAGGCATTGCTAACATTGTTTGGTTTGTCCTCTACATTTATAACTGAAAGTAATGCTACATTTCAGCCAGAGATTAATGAAAATAAGGACATAAACTTTTGCCTATTCAAGTTCACTGACCCTTTCACTCCTAGCCCCATCCTGGCTGGGTGCAGTGATTCATGCCTGTAATCTCAGCACTTTGGGAGGCCAAGGTGAGAGGGTCGCTTGAGGCCAGGAGTTCAAAAATTTTATGTTGCCTTGGCATCCATTTTGAGACTAAGTGTTACCTAGTGAGACCCCTGTCTCTACAAAAAAGAAACTTTTTAAAATTAGCCTGGCATGGTGGCACATGCCTGTAGTCCCAGCTACTTGGGAGGTTGAGCCAGGAAGATCTCTTGAGCCCAGGAGGCCGAGGGTGCAGTGAAACTTGCACTGCAGCCTGGGCAATAGAGTGAGACCCTGCCTCTTAAAAGAAAACAGAAAAAAAAAAATGGATTTCCTCTGGATTCACTCTCTCTACTCCCCAATCAGTGCCAATGATGATGATGATGATGATGATGAATGCCGCTCGGTCAGGCCTCAGTGATTTCACCCTGTACATTCTCAGATGGTCCTCTGGCTCTCTAGTTTACCCCTGGGGGAAGCACTTGTCTCAATGAAATGTTGCAATAAAAACTGAAGGGGAGGAGTGGGGAGGGGTGGTGCAGGAGCCCCACAGCCCTGGGTCCAAGGTGAGGCCAAGGGCAGCCTCTGCCACAGCCTGTGTCGGTTTCTCAGGAAGCCTTTTTCTCTGCCCATCCGTGGTGTGGTGATTGCTTAATTGTCGCTAAAAGGATCAAATTCAAAGCACTCGGCCTCTCTCCTTCATTCTCTTGCCTCACTCCAGTTTTTAATCAATCTCTCAGCTGTCAGCTACACCGAGTGCCTGAGGGTCTGCTGTGGGCTCTGCCTTTTCTGAGGTTGGGTAGGGGGTGTCCTCCTTGGGTCCAGCTATTCAATCTGACTCAACAAACAAAGCATTTCTTAAAACAAGTCTTCAAACATGCAAACAGTAAAGGAGAAGACTGATTCATTCTACCAGGTTAAAATTAAGATCATAACATTCATCAAAAGACAGTAAAAAGGAAGTCTCAAACTGGGAGATAATATTCCTTACACCTGTGAGTGACAAAGGGCTAGTATCCAGGATGCATAAAAACTCCTACAAGTCAATTTCAAAAAACAACCCAATACAAAAATGAGGGAGAACAATGGTCAGGCATGTCACAAAAGAGGCCCACAAGAAGGGCAAAGAGACGTTCGCAGAGATGCTCAACCTCAGCTGTGACCAAGAAAACACAAAGTGAGACCATAAGATGAGATTTTGTGCTCACTAGATGGACAAAACTCAGAAATGTGACTATCCCAAGGGTTGGTGAGGAAGTGGGTGAGCACCGGGGATCTTTACACAAAGCTAGAAAGAGGCTTATTCGACTGTTTTGGAAATTTGGCAATCTCTGAAAAGCTGAAGATACGTGAGCTTTGACACAGCAACCCCACTAGCATAGCCTAGTGCCTGTGCCCAAGCCTGCGTATATGACAAGGCTGATAGCAGCGCTTTTTGTAACAACCAAAATCGGGAGAGGGAGTTGTCCTTTGACTGAAGAATGGATAAATAAATTGTGGCATAGTCCCGGGTGGAACATTACCTAACATTGCAAAGGAATGAACTACAGGTACACCCAGCAACAAGGATGATGCTTAGAGTTGTAATGTGGAGCAAAAGAAAAAGCAAGTCACAAAAAAATGCCTCCTGTGTGACACTATTGTCATAAAAACCAAGCAAAACTAAACAGACTATTCAGGTAGGGCTCATAGACATGCTATCAACTGCTTTTTAAAAACAAGGGAATAAATGAGATGCTATTCAGGGTAGGGGCTGCCTGGTCAGGGAAGAGGACAGGATCACCAAGGCTTGTGCAAGTAGATTCACAGGTGCCAACAATGTTCTACGTCTTAAGCTGGGTGGTGGACTCTCAGTTTCAACAAAATCGCTGAGTAGACACTGAGACTGACTCCCAGGCCTGATGCCTGGCAACATACCAAGCCCAGGACACAGGGTCACCCTCACGGAGGGTACTGGAAGCCTTAGAAGTAACCTCAGAGAGGCAGAGAACATGGTGGGCCCCAAGGCGAAAGAAGGGAAATGACAAATGTCTCCTGCCACTCAGATGCCAGGTCTCTCCACAGCCTTTCCCACGTAATCCACACAGGCAATGTGTTAAACAGATACCAATCACGTCCAGCGCACAGATGGGCAAACTGAGGCTCTGAAAGACTAAGCTGTTTCTCCAGGAAGTGCCAATGGGAAGGGCTGGGGCTGAGACACCTCCAGTCCAGGTCCCTCTTTCCACACCATCGACGTGGTGCTGTGGGGATCAGGAGAGGCTTTGATGAGGAGGTGACGTTGGAGACATGTCTGGAAGAATTTGGAGGAGTCAGTGGCAGAGGAGCCTGGATGGCAGAAGGTGGCCTGTGCCCTGGCAAAGTGTGCAGCAGTATGGCTCGGGGCACAGTGAGTGGGAAGAGGGACAGAGCCTGACTCATGTGGCCCAGGGTCTGCCCACGATTATTGACTGTCAAGCACTGAATGAATGAGCGTGTGGGTGGACTTGGCTGGAGCACAGGCTGCACACGGACAAAGAGCTACAGCCGTCAACTGCAGCAGCTGCAACAGTCCTGACCCACCGTCCCCACCCCAGTCCACTCTCTCCCGCTAGCCAGGGTGAGTTTTGTAACACATAAACTGGGGCACATTCTTGCCCAGATCCAAATCCTCCAATGTTGTCTGTGATATAGTCTTAAGTGGGGGGAAAAAAGAGCAAGGAACAGAATGGTGTGTTAGTATACCACCATTTATGGGTATTTTTTGAGACAGAGTCTCACTCTCTTGCCCAGGCTGGAGTGCAATGGCTCACTGCAACCTCTGCCTCCCAGGTTCAAGCGATTCTCCTGCCTCAGCTTCCCGAGTAGCTGGGACTACAGGCATGTGCCACCACGCCCAGCTACTTTTTTGTATTTTTAGTAGAGACAGGGTTTCACCATGTTGGCCAGTACGGTCTTGAACTCTTGACCTCCAGTGATCCACCCACCTCAGCTTCCCAAAGTGCTAGGATTACAGGTATGAGCCACCATGCCCAGCCCATTTATGGTTTTTAAAATTACATAATTACATCTATTTTTTTCTTATGTATCCAAAAGATCTCACTGGAAGGACACATCAGGACCTGGTTGCAGTGTTGACCTCTTAGGGAACCAGATGGCTAAGTGGGACAGCCATGACTGGCCATGTGCTTGCCAATCCCATTTCCTCTTCCTGGACACACAAAAGTCACATTTCCCAGCTTCCCTTGTGGCTAGGCTGGGGCCTTGTGACTTGCTCTGGCCAATGGGCAGTGGCTGGGGTGATGCATGTCTCTCCAAGGCAGGCCGCTCCTGACCTAGGTGGCCCCTTGCCCTGCAAGTGGCAGCGCAGGGTCTTTGAGCACTTTCCAAAGTCCATTGCCTGATTTCTCTGTTCTGCAGAGCATTTTTCACATCCTGGTCACTTTCTCGTTTATTGGTTTATCTTCCTATTAGCGTGTAAGCTCCACTAGAGCAAGAAGTTCATCTGTCCTGTTCATTTCAGTAAGCCTAGCACTTAGAGTGGTACCTGGACTCTGTAGGTGCTCAATAAAGGTTTGTTGAGGGAATGAATGAATGAATGAATGGATGAGTGCAGGAATGAGTGAATGCCTTTAAGATTGGCTTATGATTGACATTTATGAAGTTGTCTGCCTAGCGTCCCTTTAGCAAGAGTTGCTCCTTCCCGTTCCCTCCACGTGTTGCCCTTGCAGTTGGGGACTTGTGCTTCCGGCCCCAGCTGACTGGCTGAGGAATGAGTCCCTGGCTGAGCTGGGTCAATGAATCCCTTCCCTGGGATCTTTGGACTAGATGGGATA
The DNA here is from genome assembly GCF_000001405.40 of Homo sapiens. Classification (NCBI taxonomy): domain Eukaryota; kingdom Metazoa; phylum Chordata; class Mammalia; order Primates; family Hominidae; genus Homo; species Homo sapiens. Next base: position 116,784,802 of record NC_000010.11, read on the forward strand.
AATAGAAATCAACATAGACAGAGCCTCTCCGTCTGGGGTTGAGCCTGTAACGCTAACCTCGGAGCTGTCAGTCTGGGCTGGAGATGCTGAGGGCACGTGTCTACAACAGCAGACAGGGAGGCAGCTGCTCCTAGGCAGGAGCCAACAGGAGAAACCAGAGAGGCCCCAGTCCTGCTGGTTCTAGGCCCTGCTGTGTTCCTCTTTTCTTGGCATCATGAAGCACCTCAGGCCCTAATAACAAGTTGAGGACCAACAAGAGGCTCTGGAGCTTGGATTCCAGAGGAGACATTTCCCAGCCTTTGGGAGGGGCGTCCTGGAAACCCTCATTGTGCCCTGCTCTGAGATGGCTTTGGGGCTTGACCCCTGCATGTCCACTCTCAGATTCCTTTCCTCCCCCTCCCACCCACCGCCACCATCATTCAAATGTCCAAAGCCTCAGGTAGTGGGAAGGAGGAGTATGAATTCTGGAACACAGGCAAGGACTGATGTCTTGTTCGGGAACGTTCTGGCCACCACAGCCTAGTGCTGCTGTGGAGGAAGGAGGAACGGCCCCGACCCAGGCCTGCCAGTGGACATGGCAGCCCGGGGACAGAGATCAAGATGTGGGAGCTGAGAGCAGTCCTGGCCACCAGCAGAGCATGGCATCAGGGCATTGTGACAGAAATGTTCTTGCCTGACCCCAGCCCCAGGACGGCTGTCCCCCACCCAGATCCCCGCCTGCCTCCCTGGTTCTCCCTCTAAGCCTCCACCTCAATGCAGGGGTCAGCAGGTGCCCACTCATAAAGCCCAGCTCACTCCCCAGCCTTGGGGGAACGCACACTCGGGCTCTGCTGCCCACCGCATGCTGCTGTTCATGATCCCTCTCTCTTCCTCTCGGACAGACACACACACACTACCCCAAATATCCACCTGCCCTCTGAGCACTGGCATCTGCTGTCACCCCCTCCCTCCCAGGGAATGGTCTCAGCCATCCACCGGTTATCCCAGCCAGAAGCCAGGCACCCACTTGACTCTGCCTTTCCCCGCTGAGCCCTCCTGCCCCACTGCCCTAATACCGCAAGATTCCTCCTATTTCCCCCCCTCCCCTCACCTTAGACTGCAGGCCCACCCCATGGCCTACTCAGACTCTGCCTGAGTGGTCTAGCATCCTCCCCTGCTTACATCTCTTTGTGGCCCTGGGAGACATCCCGACTCCTGCACCCGTCATGAGGCCTTTGCTGATCTAACGCCCACCTGTGCACTGGGAATCTTTGTAGCTTCATGAGGTTCACCTATGAGGTTAGCGCCAGAGAAGCCCCACGTGGAGCCTCTCGGGTAATTACGCAGGAGATGGAGCGGGTTCTGCAGAAGAGACTCTCAGCAAATCTCAGCAGTGGGGTTGCATGGAAGGCAGGGCTCCCAGGGGCTGAGACACAGTGGTAAATACTTCTTAAAATAGACTGTTTATGTTATGGATCAAACTGAATTCCTAAGTTTAACTATATTTTTGGTAATTTGGTGGGGAAACAGGCTGCGCAGAACAACTCCGCCTTGCCCCTAGCCTGGGCTCAGGACTCTAGGGAGGTCTAGGGAGCAGCTCCAGGGCCTATGGCCCCTCAGGTAGAGGCACAGGTGCGTGTGTGCACATTTTCCTGAAAAAAAAAGAAAAAAAAGATCTAGTGCTTTTGTCAGAATCTCAAAGGGATCCATGATCTAAGAAATGTCTAAAGCATTGTTCTCACAGAAAAATGTTCGTTCTCATTTATAATTCAAGAAATGTACATTTAAATGGTATATTTTTCTCATCTGTCTCAGTGGCGTTCATCTGTAGCTGCCTATTAGAATCTCCTGGGGAATTATTTATTTATTTATTTATTGAGACAGAGTCTGGCTCTGTCACCCAGGCTGAAGTGCAGTGGCTCAATCTTGGCTCGCTGCAACCTCTGCCTCCCAGGTTCAAGCAATTCTCATGCCTCAGCCTCCTGAGTAGCTGGGATTACAGGTGCCCACCACCACGTCCAGCTAATTTTTGTATTTTTAGTAGAGACAGAGTTTTGCCATGTTGGCCAGACTGGTCTCGAACTCCTGACCTCAGGTGATCCACCTGCGTCAGCCTCTCATAGTGCTGGGATTACAGGTAGGAGCCACTGCACCCAGCCTCCTGGGGACATGTTTTAAGTGCCAATGCCCAATCACCTCCCGGACACACACACACACACACACACACATACACACACGCACGCACTCACACACACACGGTCAGATTCTGCTTTAATTGGTCTGGGATACTGTCGTGTTGGCATATTTAGAAAGCTCCCCAGGTCATTCTGACTGCAGTCAAGATTGAGAACCAGCAACCTGTCAGATCAACCAAGGGCAAAAACGTCCATGGGATCTCATGCATTCTGGGTGGGAGTGCGGCCTGGTTTAAAAGTCCTTTGCAGAGCAATCTGGAAATACCAAAGCTAGAAGGGCCTCTACCCTCTGACCAGCAATTCCACTCTTAATAATTTAGTCAACAGCAGCTCTTGCATTGGTGCTTAAAGCTGTGTATAGAGGATATTTACTGCCCACTGCTCCTAATAAGCACAAGATTGGAAAGTGCCCAAATGTCAAATCAAGCATGTCACATCCACATACTAGAATACTCTCTAGCCAGCAAAAAAAAAAAAAAAAAAAAAAACCACAGGCGCCTTCTGTGAAGTGATGTGGGAGGCTTTCAGCGTCATTGCTAAATGCAAACGAGAAACTGAGTGGAGGGTGTGGTTTTGAACGTACAGGCGTCTGTATTTTTATATGCATCTAGAATTTCTGGAAGGATATACTTTTCCAAAACCTCTTAACAATTATGGCCTTTGGGGAAGAAGTGGGGCTAGGGTGGGAGGCGGGGAGCTTAGTTTTCACTTGCTTCCCCCTTTTGTGTTGTTTGAATTGTTATTATTAATATGCACTGCTTTTTCCAAAAACTTCAGAAGGTGAAAAGAAGAGGAAAGAAGGGAAGAGAGTGCCTGGCAGCCGCTTGGCACAAGGACTAAGAAGTGGAGTGCCTGGTCATGGAGGGGTGCGAGTGAAGCCTCCAAACTGGCTTCAGCGTGGGGGCACCCTAAATCCCCTGGAATCAGGTCAGACTCTGAAGGTAGGAGTCTGCTTGGTCTATGGTGGAAGTTGGGGACAGTGACTTGGCCTGAGGGTCGGGGATAGGAGGGCTTCCAGGACGGCAGGGCGGGAGCTCTGCAAGCCAATCCCTCCCTCGTGCCACCTCCACGCAACGCCGTTAAATTCAGATGCTACGCTAAAAGCAGAGGAAGGAAAAATATCTGTGTCACAGCACCAACTGGAAACCAACGCGCGTACATCCTGTCTCTACTCTGGCCGAGCCGACCAAAGCACATCCTGCAAAATTCTAGACCCCCGCAAACGGCGGGAGGCGGCCGTGCGCACAACATCCTGCAAACGCCGCCCTCTGGTGGTGGAGCTGGTGAACTGCGCCCAGGTCCATAGGCGGGCCCACGCTTGAGTGTTCCAAACGGGAGAAGAAAAAAGTACCATTTAATACCGAAGCGAAAACAAGTACTCAGTAAGAAAAGCACAGATGCAAACGCAAAATTCATATTTTAAATATAGTTCGCAAACTGGTTCCCAACTAACTCTTCTCCCAAAATACAATAGCTTGTTTCTCCCCTTGCAAAATACATATTCTCATTCTAAAAAAACAATAATGAAAAGCACTAGGAAAAAGAGACACCTACAGTCACCAGGCTGTGATCTGTAGCTCTTGCTAGCATTTTGGTGAGTATCCTTCCAGACTCTATCAACACATACACAGAGATACATGCAAATGGATAGCAATGGGACTGTGCAACACACCCAATTTTGTAGCCTGATTTTTTTCTCTTAATTATATATTGTGGGTATCTGCACAATAATACATGCTACATCATCATTTTTAATATTTTCAATTGAAAAAGTTATACGTGTGAAAATATACCCACAGATAAACTCACATAAATGAGAGAAACTATCTATTAATAGCAAACTTGCTGAGTCAATTATGATATATCCATCTGGTAGAATTCTACGCAGCTATTTTTTTTTTTTTTTTTGAGACAGAGTTTTGCTCTGTCACCCAGGCTGGAGTGCAGTGGCAAGATCTCAGCTCACTGCAACCTCTACCTCCCGGGTTCAAGCAGTTCTCCCTGCCTCGGCCTCCTAGTAGCTGGGTCTATAGGCACCTGCCACAACGCCCAGCTGATTTTTGTATTTTTAGTGGAGACAAGGTTTCACCATGTTGGCCAGGCTGCTCTCGAACTCCTGACTTCAGGTGATCCACCCACCTTGGCCTCACAAAGTGCTGGGATTACAGGTGTGAGCCACCGCACCCAGCCACTATGCAGCTATTAATCTAATGCACTGGTGCTGCAATATGTCAAAGATATATCACATCGCAAAATAAAATTACATTACAAAATAATACGTATAGAAGTATCCTATTTTAGCTTACAAAAATATATTTATATACATATACCATTATATATGTATTGATATATAGACATATATAGATATATATGTATATGCCTGTGTCTGAGAAGAAAATGTTTCTTGAAGGATACTCCAGAAACTCTCTTAGGAAATAAGACTGGGAAATGAAGGATGAGTATAAGTTGTAGCTTTTACTTTCTCTCCCCTTATAAGATTTTTTAAAAATATTATCCTCTCGATGATAGAATTCTGAATCCTGAATGTGCTATGACTTAGCTGAATAATGCCCTGTTGGTGAACACTCAAGCTGCTTATACTTTTTCTGCCAGGAACAAAGCTACAGTGGTACCTTGGATGTAGTCACTGTGCACTTGTCTGATTATTCCTGCTGAGTAAATTCCTAGGCATGGAATTGAGGGTTCGTTTTTAAGGTGCATCATCCAGGATATTGACTATCAACACGTCGTAGAGTGAAGCTGACGTGACTGTTCAGTGCCCGTTTGCATTTCTGAAGGGCCTAATGTCTGCTTCTAGGTGAGGAGGGCATTATCTCTGGCCATGCTTCATATCCCTGGAAGCTCTCTCCAGACTACGGGTCAGGTTCACCGGATGCCCAGACGTCCCTCTTAAGGTCTTGCTTCCATTTATGGCTGCACCTCCACACCCACTGTCATCCTCACCCACCTCTGTCTATTCCCTCCACAGCAGCCAGTGAGAGCCTTCACCAGACCCTGCCCACGCTCCATCAGTAGCTTTGCTGCACACTGGAAATCAATCCAAGGTCCTCCCATGGCCCAGGAATCCCTGCATGGTATGGACCCTGATAATCTTTCTTTTTTTTTTTTTTTTTTTTTTTTTTTGAGACAGAGTCTCGCTCTGTCGCCCAGGCCGGACTGCAGTGGCGGGATCTCGGCTCACTGCAGGCTCCGCGCCCTGGGGGTTCACGCCATTCTCCTGCCTCAGCCTCCCAAGTAACTGGGACTACAGGCGCCCGCCACCTCACCCGGCTAATTTTTTGTATTTTTAGTAAAGACGGGGTTTCACCGTGTTAGCCAGGATGGTCTCTATCTCCTGACCTCGTGATCCGCCTGCCTCAGCCTCCCAAAGTGCTGGGATTACAGGTGTAAGCCACCACGCCCAGCCCCCTGATGACCTTTCTAACCTCACGTCTCCCTCCTCTTCCTGCCCTCAGCCCACTCATGCTGCACACTGGCCACCTTGCTGTTCCTGACGCTCCCCGAACATCCAGCCCCAGGGCCTTTGCACTTGCTGTTCCCTTTGCCTGGAATACTGATCCTCTACTCACAAGCCTCTTTCCCTGGCTTCATTCACAGCCCAGCTCAAATATTTCCTCCTTAGAGAAGCCTTCTGGCCCACCCTGCCTTAAAGGACACTCTCCATTCCCAGACCCCATCTCATTGTCTAGTTATCATTTTTTATTTTTTTATTGAGACAGAGTCTCACTCCGTCGCCCAGGCTGGAGTGCAGTGGCATGATCTTGGCTCACTGCAACCTTTGCCTCCCAGGTTCAAGCGATTCTCCTGTCTCAGCCTCCCAAGTAGCTGGAACTACAGGAGCGCACCACCACACACACCTAATTTTTGTATTTTTAGTAGAGACAGGGTTTCACCATGTTAGCCATGCTGGTCTCGAACTCCTGACCTCAAGTGATCCGCCCGCCTTGGCCTCCCAATGTGCTGGGATTAGAGGCATGAGCCACTGCACCTGGCCCGTCCAGTTATCTTTGTATTCATAGCCCTGGGATTGCATTCTAAATCTACGTGTTTATTTGCCTTTGATATTCTGCTTTCACTGAGTTACAAGCTGCACAGGAGCAGGAGACTGTCTGGCTAGTGCTGTGTCCCCAACACCCAGGACAGGCCTGGAATGTGCAGGCCCTCCCTCCACAAGTGTGTGCTGCTTGGATGAAGGAGAAGCTATTAACACAAGGATGTCTGAAGCTTGAAGAGCCTAGATAGGCCATTTCTCCCAACTGCTCCCAAAGGAGGTCAGATGTGTTTAAAGCATCTTTTCCATAGATGAAGCTTTATCAAGAAAATCTGACAGAACCTTTTCAATGCAACCATTTGGGAGAAAAATTGCAAATAGGTTATTATTCAGGAAAAATACCTTTCCTCCAAACCAGAGCAGCACATCCACCCAACATACTGGCTCCTTTAGAGAAAAGCAGAAAGGTTAATATCGCCCCGTCAGAGTAAAGCAGCCAATTAGTGCAATTGCAATTCAGAAGAAGAATAGAGGTTAATTGCTTGGAGTCCACATGTCTCAAATGCCTAATGCTATATCATTATTTTTTAGCTACATATTATTCATTTCATACACTTAAGAATTCTACCTTATTACTAATTAGTAATTCCTTATCCTTAAATTTTACCCAATTCAAGTTGTCATCATAGGGCCCTCCTCAGCCCCCATTTTCCCTAAGATGCAACTAAATTGTTGAGAAAAGGTTGGCATCTCCTATTCACTACCTCCCACCTCCAGCCCCTGCCAGCACCCCCGAGTTCACCTCTCCTCTTCCACGGGCATGTGGTTTCCCTGCCTGCAGAATCTTCCATCTCGGTAAACAGGCTTCACTCCTGCCTTGGGTGTTCTCAAGCATCTACTATGTCCCAGACAAAGTTCCAAGCTTATCGATTAGCTGGGCAAAAAGATGCCAATTCATCCTGCCCAGGTGTCTCTGTTCTCTTGAAGAGACCCACAGCTTGGCACCTTGGAAATGTTAACCCAACAGATCAGAATTTCCTGGGAATGTAATAATGATATCATTAATAATAATAATATAATAATAATGATGGCCATAAATACTTCTTGAACACTTTCAGGTCTCAGACACCATGCTCATGAACTTTACATGCATGATTTTAATCCATGGGAAGCCACGTACATGCATGTACGTTGATCACGTAAGCATGTGAGTGGGACAACCCCAAACCCAGCCCCAGTTCAGCATGGGCAACAAGAATGAAACTCGGTCTCAAAAAAAAAAAAAAAAAAAAAATTATCCATCAAGGAACAAGAATTGGGAAATGTGAAAGGAGGTTAAGAGACAAAGAGTTCGGAGTGAGAGGTTCTAGAAGGAAATGAAAGTAGATGAAGCAGAGGTAATATAAGAAGATATATGGGGGTGAGAACCTTCCAGAACTAATGATAACTATCAACCCCTGGATTCAAAACAAAATAAATCCAAAGCAAGAAAAAATAAAAATAAATCAGCTGGGCGCAGTAGCACATGCCCGTAATCCCAGCACTTTGGGAGGCCGAGGCAGGCAGACTGCTTGAGCTCAGGAGTTCAAGACCAGCCTGGGCAACTTTGCAAAACCTTGCATCTACAAAAAAAAAAAAAAAAAAAAAAAATTAGCCAGGCATGGTAGTGTGCACCTGTGGTCCCAGCTACTCAGGAGGCTGAGGTGGAAGGATCGCTTGAACCCAGGAAGTCAAAGCTACAGTGAGCCAAGATCGTGCCACTAACTGCACTCCAGCCTGGGTGACAGAGTAAGACCCTGTCTCAAAAAAGAAAAGAAAAGAAAGAAAAAGAAAGAAAGAAAGAAAAAGAAAAGAGAAAAGAAAAGAAAAAGAAAATCTATTCCTGAAACATCATACTGAAACTGATGACTAAAAAGACAAAGGGAAGATTTTAAATGCACTCAGAAAGAAAATATAGATAACCTCCAACAGAGCAACAGTTTGACAGCTGACTTTTTATTGGCAGGAATGGAAGTTAGAAGAATGGATGATTCATTTGATGTGCTGTGAGAAAAAATAACTGTCAACCTAGAATTCTATGCCCAGTGAAAATTCATTTCAAGAACAAGGTGAAATACAGACATTTTCAAAACAACAAAAACTACGAGAATTCTCCACTAGCAAACTACAATAAAGGAAACTCTAAAGGATGGATCCAAGTTTAAAGATCTAAAATGCAAAAGGAATAAAAAACACTAAATAAACATTAACTGCATAAAACAACAATGATAATGCCTTATGGAGTTAAAGAAAAACAAAACAGACTGGGCACAGTGGCTCACGCCTGTAATCCCAACATGTTGGGAGGCTGAGGCAGGTGAATGTCTTGAGCCCAGGAATTTAAGACCAGCCTAGGCAACATGACAAAACCCTGTCTCTACAAAAGATACAAGAATTAGCCAGGTATAGTGGTATGCACCTGTAGTACCAGCTATTCAGGAAGGTGGGGTGGGAGGACTGCTTGAACCTGGGAGCTTGAGGTTGCAGTAAGCCACGATCACACCACTGTTCTCTAACCTGGGTGACAGAGCAAGACCCTGTCCCCACTGAAAACAACAAACAAACAAAAAAAACCCACAGAATTAAAAGACATCACAACAATGGCATGCAAATCAAGAGAGGGAGAATGAAATAAAATTGTTCTGAGATCCTTGTACTATATAGAAGGAAGGTAAAAGCGTTACATTCATATCATAATTTCTAGGACAATCACTAAAATAATGGAAACAGAATATGTAACTTCCAACCTACTTAGAGGGGGAATATAAAATGAGAAAAAAAATCGAAAATATAATAAGAAAAGGAGAGAAAAAGAAAAACAGAAAGCATAAAATGAGATGGCACATAAAGTCCTAACATATCAATAATTACAATAAACATAAAGGGACCAGGCCGGGCACGGTGGCTCACGCCTGTAATCCCAGCACTTTGGAAGGCTGACGTGGGTGGATCACAAGGTCAGGAGATCAAGATCATCCTGGCTAATATGGTGAAACCCTGTCTCTACTAAAAAATACTAAAGAAAAATTAGCCAGGCGTGGTGGTGGGCGCCTGTAGTCCCAGCTATACTCGGGTGGCTGAGGCAGGAGAATGGCGTGAACCCGGGAGGTGGAGCTTGCAGTGAGCCGAGATCGCGCCACTGCACTCCAGTGACTCCTGGGTGACTGAGCAAGACTCCGTCTCAAAAAAATAAATAAATAAAAATAAAAATATAAAGGGACCAAATGCTCCTGGTAAAAGATAAAGAGTATCACATAAGATTTATTTTAAATCCAACTTTTTGCTATTAACAAGAATCCCAACAAAAACTTAAGGACATAGAAAGGTTGGAAGTAAGAGTGGGAAAAGGGCTACAAGGCAAGCAAGCAGAATATTAACAAACATGACTATATATTGGACCATAAAGCAACTCCCAACAAATTTCAAAGGACTGAACACATGCAGATCACATTCTTTGATCACAATTCATACATCAGAACGCAATAGTAAAAAGATAATAGTTTTGGCCAGGCGAGGTGTAATCATACCTATAATCCCAGCACTTTGGGAGGCAAGGTGGGTGGATAACTTGAGGTCAGAAGTTCGAGACCAGCCTGGCCAACATACTGAAACCCCATTTTTATTAAAAATACAAAAATTAGCTAGGCATGGTGCCATGCACCTGTAATCCCAGCTACTTGGGAGGCTGAGGCAGGAGAATTGCTTGAACTCCAGAGATGGAGATTGCAGTGAGCCGAGATCACACCACTGCACTCCAGCCTGGGTGACAGAGCAAGATTCCATCCCAAAGAAAAGAAAAAAAAGATAATAGTTTTTTTAAGTTCACATTTAGAATTAAGAAATACATTTTTAAATAACCCTTTGGTCAAAGAAGAAATCAAAATCAGAATTTAAAAAATAATTAGAATTGATCAAAAAAGAAAATATACTATATCAAAACTTATAAGATGTAACTTGAGCAGCAGAGACAAACTTATAGCCTTAATTGTGAATATATTTTAAAAATAAAAATAGAAAGGCTGAAGATTAATGAGGTAAGTATTCATCTTAGAAGGGGGATAAATAAAAGCAAAATAAACCCAAACATTCTGTAACCAGGTCTCTACAGAGCTCAGTTCACCTTCATACCCCCAAATGCAACATGGCCTTCTTCCACCCTGCAAGGAAAGGTCCCTTCCATTCCCAAGGCAATATTTCTCCAAACATGCTAGGCTGTCTTCCAATAGTACAGAGGATGATTTTCAGTGTACTTGGGCACATATTTATTTTACTAGATTTTAAATAATAGCTTTTTCCTACATTTGACAGGTAATGTAGTTTTACATTTATAGTAGTAAAATAAAATTTCCTTTTAAAATTACTTAGTAAGAGGCCAGGCATGGTGGCTCATGCCTGTAATCCCAGCTCTTTGGGAGGCCAAGGTGGGTGGATCACTTGAGGCTAGAAGTTTGAGACCAGCTTGGCCAACATAGCGAAACCTGCCGCTACTAAAAAAAAAAAAATACAAAAATTAGCCAGGCGTGGTGGAACGTGCCTGTAATCCCAGCTACTCAGGAGGCTGGGGCAGGAGAATTGCTTGAACTCGGGAGGCAGAGGTTGCAATGAGCCGAGATCGTGCCACTGCACTCCAGCATGGGCAACAGTGAGATTCTGTCTCAAAAAAAAAAAAAAAAAAAAATTATAGTAAATAAAATTACTTGGTAAGAGGATGAAATTCAAAGGAAAATATTAAATAAGTATATCATATATTATTATTTATAAATTATTATATACATAAATTCTCATTTCCAAAATGGAAATAATATTTCCTGCTTCATAGCATTGTTATGAAAATTAAAGGCCGGGCGCGGTGGCTCATGCCTGTAATCCTAGCACTTTGGGAGGCCGAGGCGGGTGGATCACAAGGTCAGGAGATCGAGATCATCCGGGCTAACATGGTGAAACCTCGCCTCTACTAAAAATACAAAAAAAATTAGCCGGGCGTGGTGGTGGGTGCCTGTAGTCCCAGCTACTCAGGAGGCTGAGGCAGGAGAATGACGTGAACCCAGGAGGCGGAGCTTACAGTGAGCCAAGATCCCGCCACTGCACTCCAGCCTGGGTGACTGAGCAAGACTCCATCAAAAAAAAAAAAAAAAAAAAAGAAAGAAAGAAGAAAATTAAATAAGTTATACACAATATAAAATAATACTTCATGAATATATTACTTGTATAGCATCTGGTACTTACCAAGAACTCAGTTCACGTTAGCTGTTATAATAATAATAATAGTTGAATGATCAAAATTTGGGAAACACTAATCCAAGACTCCAAAAATGAACTCTAGACCAGTGACAATCCCTGCAGGCAAGAGGAAAGTAAAGACAACGGGTCTTCGGGTCTTTGCAGCTCCCCTCTCCCTTTCCACAGCCTTCCTGTCCTGCCCTGTGGGTCTTGCTGCTCTGGGTCTCTGGACCCCACGCTGTCCCTGCCCCAGGCCTGCTCCTGCCTCCCCATCCCCACTCAAACTACAAAATGCAAACTCCTCCAGACCATGGAGCAGAGTGCAGGGCTGATGAGGTTAGAAAGTTGTCCCTTCTCCAAAAGTTTCGTTTAAGACAGCAAAAGCGTTTAACACTGAAAGGGAAACCCCCAGCTGTAGCCGCTGCAGCATCCTAGCTGAGCCCCGGGGCAGAGATTTGAGAGCAAAGCTCTGGGTGCCTCCCAGAGCCTGAGCCCCTCTGCCCAGCCCCACCCTTGGATGGGGAACATGGTTCTGAAGCAACCCAAGGACAGCCCCAGGCTGAGGGTGACTGACCTTTCTGATTTGACAAGAGTGATATCTTCAGGTTCTTCACATCAGAAAAATTTGCAATCTGTCATTTCCAAACCCTCACTATATCATTTTTCCGCCCACTTCAAAGATGTATAGCAGGGTTACTTGGGGCCCCCTCCATTGCAACGTTTTTATTTTCCCTGCATGATTATTGCTGCCCCCGGGAACTCTTCTTGAGGTCCTCCAAAGAAATCCCACAGAAGTGAACCCCACCAGGATGTGATGCATTTCCCATCCGCAGGAGCTGGCTGAGAGCACGCACTTGCTGCAGCCACCAGGGGGAGCTACAGGTTTCTCTTTGGAGCCCCAGAACTCAGTGGCCTGAGTTCCTTGTCATTTGCTAAACAGAGGGGCTCCTGAGACACTAATAGATATGGGACATATCTGTGTAGATCCTATGTACTTCATTGGCTGGTGCACGGGGCTGACAGGCTGCCACTGAAGGCTGCTTCCTCATTTGAGACTCTTAGGTTGTGGGTCATCGTCCTTGACCCCAGGGGGCTTACAGTCTGACTAGGGGGTGGCAGAAGGACCTGTGGACCAGCAGTCAGATGTTTGGGTTCCTTACAATTGTTTGTCAAATGTGTGCTCCCGCTTACTCCAGGAGCCTCACAGGGCTGTTCGTGTGGATGTGTGTGCATGTGTGTATATGCATATGTGTTTGAGTGTGTGTGTTGGCTCAGGTCACCCAGCAGTATGTGGGAGGCTGGAATGTGAACCCACGTCTCCTGCCTCCAAATGCAGTATTGACACGCTGTTCAGTAGAAGAAACAAAATAAGCTGTTGAGTAGAAGAAACCAAAGAAGCTGTTTAGTAGATGAAGGGACAGAAGCCCCTGTTTCCAGGGAAAAGCCCTCAACAGGGTGGAAGGTGACCAGAGGATGGCGTCAACTGCTGAGAGCTGTGTACGTGGCTCTGTGAGGGGCAGGGATGAACACATGAACACACCACTTGCATTTGGCAGTGCAACAGGAACACACAGGCCACAAAACGGAAGCACTGAGGAAGGGGTGTCCATCAGTCCCCTGTAAGGACTGATGGTGGGGAAGGCTTCCCAGAGGACCAGAGGGGACAGCCAGCTTTAGCCAGAAGCCAGGCAGAAGGACATATCCAGCAGAGGGCACAGTTTGGGTAAAGACACAGCTATGGGAACACAGCCATGGGAACTTCTGAGTTTCAATGTAAGAGAAGCTCTTACAAGAACTATTTCTGGAGAGAGGCAGGGGCTGGGACCAGATCACGTGGGGTCTCCCAAGCCAGGCTGGCTTTTGTCAGGGGAATGACATGATCAGGCCCCGAACTGGACTTCCCTCAATGTGGACGGTAGAGGGGCGGGGCGGTGGGGCGGGGTGGGGCAGGGAGCAGGGGTGGCAGGAGGGAGCCCAGTCAGGCAGCCACTGCAACCTTCTGGAAGCCGTCTAAGATGAGACGGCCACCAAGGTAACCAACTGTCTTGGTTTGCCCAGGGTGGAGGGAGCTCCCAGGACTTAAGACTTTTAGCTTTAAAACCAGGAGAACCCTGGGCAAACAGGGACAAGTTGGCCCCCCTGCTGGCCACTAAGACAGACATGTCTGCCACTTAACCTCGCATAACTTCACTTTTCTCATTTGGGATCACAGCCCACATTAGCAATGTTCAAGTGAGTTTCAGTAGCATAGCACCTTCAGACAAAATCTTACACGGAAAAGTTGGTAGAGAAAGCACCCAAAACTGGAGCCCCCAGGAGGAAGTAGAGGATGGGATGGGGTGGGGGGTGAAGGACCGACATGCTCACACCCTCAGGCCCTGACCCACCTCTGCAAAACCACAGCGTTTGACAGCCATTGGCCTAGATGGTCAGAGGGTCTCATGACTACATTCATTTGTTGAACTGAAAACCCAACTGAATTAAAATCAATGATCTGGTTCAACTGCAGACTATGCTAAAGAATAAAATAATAAATCCACTCCCAAATTGGCCCACCTCTTTGAACTGGAACTAAATCCATACGGTTTCTCCAATTATTGTCTTGGAATAAAATCTAATCCCCCTGTGAACTGACCTTGAACCAATGGTCATTTTCTTCTGCTTGAGTTCTTGACAAGGCACCGCACAGCCAGACCCATCCACAGACATCCTCCGCAGCCTGGGCCATGGTCAGGGAGTGGCCGACAGGGCCCACTGGCGAGATGCCCAGGGCTCTGCTGACTCTTACTGGGCCCCCTGCCACCCTTGGGGGCCTGACTACCACTCCCACAGCCTGGTCAGGAAACCTGTGTCACTGACGGAGGATTAAAGGAATCTCCCACTCCTGGACATGGATGTGACTGGCTTTGCCCTGATCCTCAGGCAACTGGCCAGCCCTGAGCCTTGGCCCATCTTCACTACCCCTCACAGAGCCACGTACACAGCTCTCAGCAGTTGACAGTTTCCTCTGGTCACCTTCCACCCTGTTCAGGGCTTTTCCCTGAAAACAGGGCCTTCTGTTCCTTCATCTACTAAACAGCTTCTTTGGTTTCTTCTACTCAACAGCTTATTTTGTTTCTTCTACTGAACAGCGTGTCAATACTGCATTTGGAGGCAGGAGACGTGGGTTCACATTCCAGCTTCCCACATACTGCTGGGTGACCTGAACAAACACACACACGCACACACATATATGCATACACAAATGTGCACACACACGCACACGCACACTCATGCGCACAGACACAATGGGGTTATTCCTCTGTTCTTACAAGGCCTGGTGCCATGGAAAGGGAACTACAAGCTCCTAATAGAGAACGTTATTAAACCTCCTAGCTTTTGGAAATCTCAAAGCATGCTGCCCTGGCCTCCAGAGGTGGCCTGCTAAGCCCACACCGGCCCTGTGCCTCACCTGCAGTGACAGCCACTTGCTGGTCTATCTCTCCTCAAGACTCCATGAAGGAGGGTGCAGGGCTGTCTCCAAGTGCTTCACACCAGGTAGGTGCTCAGCGCGTGCTTAGTGAGCAACCCACTCCCCTTCATTCAGAAAGATTTAGTGAGAACTCATAGGCCAGGCCCTGTTCCAGATGCTGGTAATAATACAGCAGTGAACAGAACAGACAAAAACCTCTCCCTATGTGCCATTTACATTCTAGCAGGTGAATGAAAAAGTGGGTGGGTGAAGGATTTTCGTCGCCATGGTTTGTTTTTTTCCAGGGTATCAATGAAGAAACCCATTTCCTCCAACACTCATTCCATCTCTCCTTCCTAATACCCAGCATGGAAAAGGATGAACTAGAAACCCGCTTCTCCCAGAAAATGAGAGATGAACAAGCTGATACCATGGGCAACTGGCTTCTTGCCAATACAGGGTTCAGGTGAAAGCTATGGATGGCTCTAGCTTCGGTACCAGCCAAGTTCATTCCCTTAGCACCAAGTTGGCCTTAGTGAGAAATAAAAGCCTTCTGTGGTGGCCCCAGCCTCTCCCCCAACTTACCCCCAGTTCTGAGAGCTGATGACCCTCACCCCTGGCTGGCTCCATCATGGGGAAGCTCACAGAGGCTTGGTGAGGGGGTGGGGGTGCCAGCAAGTCACAGGTGCCTACCATGAAAGGGTTAGACTGGGTGGATTCTTCAGTCATCCCCTGCTCCTAGACCCCACTGTGTCCTGAGAGCAGGGGTCTCAGCTCTCCCCGAAACCTGGGCACCCACCAGTGGGAACTGAGCCTTTGTGGGGAGAGGGAGCCAGGAGCTACCCGGCAAGCTTTGCCACAACCCCTGCTGCGCTCACTGGGAGTCTCTGTTTTTCATTCAGATGCCAGTAGATACCACGAAACTCAAAAATCCCTTGCACTCCATCTCCGCGATGGATTCTTGGCTGGAAAAAATGGGGTCCTTTACAGAGTGCTTGGTACCTTGTCCCACAGTCCAGGGTAGCCTGAGCCCAGCAGTAATGTCTGTCACCTGACAGGTCTCAAGTCTATACTAACCCCTTCTCCATTCAAATGCAAACTCTGAGGAAGACTCATCGGAATGCAAACAGCAAGAAAGTCATCTAAAGTTGCAGCCTTGAAGCCTTGAAAAATTCTCATTTCTCTCCTGATGCACAGAACTGCAGCCGGGGGTGCTGGGGGCAGGGGCGACAGAGCAGAAGGGCTTCGAAAATCACATTTCCTTGCTCAGAACTCTGTCCGCCTGCAATTTGCTCTGATTCTCTGTCTTTTTGTCTGCTGCAGAGGGATGTGAATCACAGTTAAATTCTACCAAATAAATGAGCTATGTGTTAAAGTTCTGTAAAACCTACAATTTTAGAAAGGCTTGATGTGGTTGACACTAAATTGATTTCAACACATCCTATTTCCGGTCTAATGCTGGGCCTTTCATCCAGAACAAACATGTGCATAATGGCTGGATTCTAAGGGAATGGACTCGGTAAAAATACATAGGCAGCACAGGCACTCACATTAATTTTCTTCCTTTTTTAAATGAAAAGAGATGGTGTGTTTTACTTCTCAATGATTAATTTCCCATAAAGTTTTCATGGCACATCCATCGGAGGTTTTCAGGTGTAAACAACCAATCACGCTGCAAACTGAAAGCTCACCTTTGGGTTTTCATTTTAATCAGCAACAGAAACCTGATGCTTGCCAAGGGCAGGAGATTGTCCTGAGTGTTAAGAGCCCCCATCCCGAGGGGGTTCACAGGGAAGTTGGAGAAAGGGAGTTCCTAGCATCTGGTCACCTCACACTGAAAAAACGAACAGCTGCCTTGCACTGGATCTAAATTCAAGCATTCCCACGAGCGCAATAGCTCAGAAGGACCCAACAACCACAAAAATAAATTGCACAGAGAAAGAAAAAAAGCATATTTATTATACTCAAACCTAATACGTGGTAAGTTTAATAGCTTTGTGGCAAATTTATACACGTCATAAAATATCATAGAACTATTCACCAAAAGAAAAAAAAAAGCGCATGTAAAATCTGGCAAAATCCAAATAAAGCTTACTTAATAGTATTGTACCAAAGGCAATCTCCTGGCTTTGATCTTTGTCCTGTGGTTAGGTGGGAAGCCATCTCTGGGGGACGCTGGGTGAAGGGTACACCAAGTATACCCTTTTTTGTGTCCAGAAAGTGTACAACCAATGGCTGTACTATGTTTGCAACTTCTGTGTGAGTCTAAAATCATTTCAAAATGAAAGTTTAAAAAAATGTGTGGGCTGGGTAGAATGGAAACAGGCCTGCTAGCCACCCTGGGGAGGGCATAAGCTCTGGCACGGGCCTTTGGGAGAACAAGATGGCAGCATCCACCAAAATGTAAAACATGCTCACCCAGCAATTCAATCCTGGGAGTCCAGCTTACAAAATGACCCGACCAAGTGTATATGGGGTGTTCTTTATGGCATGGTTGTCATTGAAAAATCTAGAAATAAACTGAATCTCCCAGAGTAGGACAATAATCAGTGAACATGAGCTGCCCAGGCCCGTGGACTCCTGTGCACTCACCATAAGGAAAGCAGCCCTGCAGGAAGATATTGGTGATGCACTGCTAAGCACAAAATGTGGCCACAAAATAACATGTATCTGCGTGCATATGTCTAGGAAGATCCCATTTCCCTAAAATCTTATCTATATACACGTGCACCATATGTGATTCTGTGAGCAGGGGAACACTTGAGAGGATGCACCTTCAAGGGGTCACAGTGATTGCTTCCCGGATGGAAGGTTCTTAGCAGAGGTAACAAAGGGTCACTTTCACTTTGTTTAAAATACATTACAATGAGAATGTGTTACTTTTATAATTAGAACAACAACAGGAACAAAAAAAGACAATGGAGGCATGGTGGGAGACGCCAGGGTGAGTGCAAAGACTGACCAGGAAAGTCACCGGGGCCACAGGAAGGGGGCAGCTTATCCCAGAAGGCCACTGAGCAGAGGCAGGCTGCCCCGATCACGGCTTGCCTACCTCTCCCTGGCAGGGCCTTCCCACAGGAGGGACATCCTTCCCTGCCCACTGTTGGGCTTGGCCGTATCATGGGCCACAGAACATGAGCAGATGAGGTCTGCCAAGTCTGAACAGAAGTTTGAAGAGCCATGGCCTGGGTCAGCCAGATCTGTGTCTCTTCTCCCTTTGTATGTCTCTGACAGGTGTTACCCTTTCAGTCTGGGTTCCCGAACGAAGGAGACCCGTGGAACAGGGCCCAAGCCAGCTGGCAACGACCACAGAACAGGGCAAGAAATAAAGCATGTTTGGAGTAAGCCACCGGGAGATGAGGATTGTTCGTTACTGCAGCCTTACCTTATGAAAGCTGACGCAGGCGCCACGAGGCATGCGCACGCGTGCACACACACGCACGTATTAGGGAACTGACAGGTAGTTGGTATTTTCTGAGGGTATGCTGTGTGCAAAACATAGGTACACTCGAGGCAGGGGACGAGAGGGTGTGCGGAGAGAATTCGGGAAGATGCCTGCCGACTCCTTGGGGAGCCAACATGCGTACACGCAGATATACACGTACCCAAACACGCTGGCATGGAGCTCACAGGGGCCACGCAGAGTGGTGAGAAAAGCCAGACAGTGGGGCTGGCAAGAGACACTGTGGGGAAGAGGAAGATCCCATGGGCAAGGACCCAGGTACTGCCTTTCTGCTTCGGTATCTAACCCCGCAGGCACCCCCTGAGCTGAATCCAGGCATTCTAATAAAGCACAAAAACAATCACTCCCAGTGTAATCGCCCTCCCCTTTAAATCAAAGGTTCCAGGAAAACACCCACCGCCTGGGGCTTCTGTGTGGGCCTTTTGTTCCTGGGAGATGCGCTCTTCCACCAGAGAAGGCCCTTCTTGGATGATATGTTCTGTGTCTCTTGGGAATGATCGGAGCGTGAACTGTATTTCCAGAAACCAGCTGTTTCTCTTCTGAATGAGGCACATCTTTGTGCAAGGCACACTCTCTTAAAGACGACAAAGGGATGTGAGCTTGACGAAGGGTGTAAATACCAAGTCTCCCTTCCCGTCTTCTCTGACTGCGTGACCACGGTTCATTCATAATGTTTCATACAAATAGGCCACTTGTCACTTTCTCCTCTAAATCTGGACATTTCTGTTTAAAGTCCACTCCCTTACCACCACCCCCTTTTGAAAATAACACAATTAAGCCATTATTAGGTCCCCCAGTAAAAGATTCAAACTCCTAAGTACACGGAGAAGCAAAATGTGAGAATCTCCCCTTAGCCCCTCCTCATCCCCACTCACAAATCACGCACTGTCTTGCAACGGCCCCTCTGTGCAGCTCCCTACGGTCGACAGGCACATACGCATTTATAGCCTTTGCTTCCCTCCCTCCCTCTTGTCCTTCCTCCCTCCTCCCTCCAAAAAAACGATGCACGCATTTTCTTAAGCCACTCATTATTCTTATTTTCACCTGACGACGGGACGAATCTGCTCGCTTGTGGGCTGTTTGGTTCAGCAAATGCGAAATTCATCAAACACCCCAACGTGTTCAGTTAACCAGGGGAACCCATGGTTAGGGGAACTGAGGCTGGGTCCGCCGTGAAGTTGTAACAGCGGTGGCACCAGGCTCCCCGATTTGAGGGGTTGGGCCTTCGGAAAGCAAAGCTTGCAGCGTCCTATGGGGCTCACATTTCCAGAAGGGGTCGGAGAACCTTCATCCTGTAGCGGGTATACCCTCCCCGAGTCCCTGAGATTCTCGGCCAACTCCACTCCAGGTCTCTACCTCCCCTTCCTCTCCCTTTACCCCCAGCCCCCAGCCCCAGCCACAGCGAGATCCCTCCGCTGAGGCATCAGGAACATTAGTGGGAGGAAATGTTCCTGCGTGTTCCTACGCAACAAAATCAAGTGCATGTGTAGGTGTTCTGTGTTTTTACAAACTCTCCTCCCTGGTTGTTATAAGATTAAAACAATTTTCCCCCTCAGTAAATGCTTCCCTTCAAAACCACTGGAGGCACATAATCTCCCAGCCCATTTGCAGCTCCTATTTTCTTGGGGCTGGGAGAAAAATAATGATTGTGGGACCTGTTTCCTTCTAAGAGGCCAGGGTTGAACAAGTGATGGACAACAGAAGTAATGTTTCAATGACAGCTCTGATCAATGTTTCTTTTATTTTGAAGTTCAAAAAAGATAGGCGAGCCTTGCACGTCCTGTGGGAAGGCACGGATAGTGGGGATGGAGGTAAATTATCTTTTATCCCCAGTAAATTTAATGGACACTTCCATTAAAACCGCAGGGAATGTTGGACGGGCGCGGTGGCTCACGCCTGTAACCCCAGCACTTTGGGAGGCCGAGGCTGGTGGATCACGAGGTCAGGAGATCCAGACCATCCTGGCTAACACTATGAAACCCTGTCTCTACTAAAAATACAAAAAATTAGCTGGGCGTGGTGGTGGGCGCCTGTAGTCCCAGCTACTTGGGAGGCTGAGGCAGGAGAATGGCGTGAACCCGGGAGGCGGAGCTTGCAGTGAGCCGAGATCGCGCCACTGCACTCCAGCCTGGGCGACAGAGAGAGACTCCATCGCAAAAAAACAAAAACTGCAGGGAATTTTCAGGTAGTTCTATTCCATTTTAAAGCTGGAGTTGAAGGTTTTTTTTTGAATTCCTAGATCATTTTTTACTGCTGAGAAAACTAAACATTTTAGCCATGTGGCACATTTTATTTTCCTTAACAATGATGGGAAATTCACACACACCTGAGGACACAGAAACACTACTTAAAATCACAACAGATTTCAAGGGAAAATGTACACAAAAGGAGAAAATGAAAAAGCTGTTTCCGTTGATGTTGGGCGGGGGGGTACTGACTTGTGTTTGTCCTTGAAAAAAACAAATTCACCTGTCACTGATCAACGATGCCAGTTTGCCACCATGCTACTGAAAAAGCATTCCTGCTGACTGTAAACGGCCCCATTTATGTGACTGTTTACATAATTGCACAGCGAAACATTGCAATCTTTCCAATTTAATACATGTTTTAAGAAGCCCTTCAACTACAGTGTAGGCTTCTGTAATCAAATCAAGTCTTTTCAATTAAAACACAATTAGAAAAGGTGTCAGGTTGTCACTGTTACATTTTGCTGCGTAAAAGGATTCAAGAATCACCTGGCTGGAAATCGGAGCTAACCCAGGATGCCTGAGCGTAAATGCCACCTCAGACCACCCAGGAGGGCACCTAGGCAGTGGGCCTTTGGTCCAACGTGAGAGATGCATACTGTCATCCTTGGGCCACCTCTGTGATGGACTGAAGGCAGAGATGAAAACCCAGTGTGGCTCTCAGCTTGACCTCCAGGTGCTGACAAGTGTGTCATGGGCCAGAAGTGGTGGGCACAAAGTTACCAGAGAGATGGCCATCTTTCCCTAGCATGAGTGACAGCACAGTGGAATTCTACAGGAAGACACTGCTGTAGATATATATATATACATTTTTGAGACTGGGTTTCACTCTTGCCCGGGATGGAGTGCAATGGCACGATCTCAGCTCACTGCAACCTCCACCTCCCCAGCTCAAGCCATCCTCTCACCTCAGCCTCCTCCTCAGTGGCTGGGACTATACAGGCTTGAGCCACCATGCCCAGCTAATTTTTGTATTTTTTTGTAGAGACAGGGTTTCATTATGTTGCCCAGGCTGGTCTGAAACTCCTGAGCTCAAGCAGTCTACCCACCTCGGCCTCCCAAAGTGCTGGGATTACAGGCATGAGCCACCTCACCTGGCCTATTGCAGACATTTGATCTATTTCATCTTAAAGATGTGAAACAGAGCTCTCAGAAGACACAGTGTTTGCCACAGGCCATGATATGAATCATTTTTTGACACAAGGTAAAATGTGCAGCCCCACGCCACCCCTACTGAAGGATCAGTATCTACTTAAAGCAGATATGCAAAGGTGCCCTGGCTCACAGTGCTAAGGGGCCCTCGTTCCGAGAGGCCATTGGGAGACAGAAGGTTCCCTCCCATCTCAACACATCAGGGACAGAGGTTAGATGTGGAAGGCTGGTGCAGGGGATTGACCCGTGGCCCCCCAAAAGATATATCCATGTCAAATCCCTGGAGCCTGTGAATGTTATGTGGGAAAAGAATCTCTGCAGATGTAATTAAGGATTTGGAGATGAGGAGATCGTCCTGGGTTACCCAGTTATAAATCCAGTGGCAAGCGTCTTTGCAGGAGACACAGATAGGAGAGACACACAGGTAGAGGAGAGGAGAGGGTGATGTGAAGACAGAGGTGGAGACTGGAGTGATGCAGACGTCAGCCAAGGAATGCCTGGAGCATCCAGAGGGACTGTGGCCCTGCCAACACCTTGATTTTGAACTTCTGGCCACCAGAACTGGAAGAGAGTACATTTCTACCCTGCTCTCTGCCAAGGGAGCTACAACCAGGGGCTCTTTGACTTCTCGGTGGGCTCAGCCAGTGCAGGGCCTAGAGGGAGGGAGGAGAGAGGCCAGACATGAAATCTCTGGCTCCCTTCCACGGGGTCACTGTGAGCTGGCTGTGTTCCTCAACCTAACGGCCATAGCTCCTTTCGAAGCAGCCCTCTCCAAGGGACTCTCTGTTTCTGGGTCCCTGGACCTGCTTTCCCCTCTTACCCCTGCAGGCTTAGAGCTCATATCAGCCCTGGTCTTCCTGATACCCTGCTCATACCTTTGTAAACAGTCCCCGTATCCAAACATCCTCGAGTTAACTGGATTGAGTGTGCCACACATACCCTGCCAAGAGCCTGATGAGCATGCTCTGTTGATGTAGCAATGCTTCTATCTTATGGCACATTTGATCTATGTGAAGGCAAGTCTACTCCTTCAGGCCATTAGCTACTAGGTCAGCGGGTCGTCCCCATTTCTCTATGAGATAAGGGTTCTGGGGTGTCTGCGCCACTTGGAAGTAAGTGAGGCTCACAGAGGTGAACTGTCATTAGGACAATACACCGTGAGTCTGGAGCAGAGCAAGGATCACACTGCAGCCGTTCAGCCCCAATTCTGGGCTGTTTCCTAGACTAAGCTGTAGACCAGGCATGGCAGATTCCTGGCCCTCTGGCTACCAACGCCTCCTCATTCACAGCCTGGCTGACATCATTCTTCAATCAGGACATGCAGACTGCGCCCAGACTTCATCCTGGGATCTTCCTCAACCCAGCTCTCTAGAAGGCAGGAGGATCAGTCAGCACTGCTGGGCAAGTGTGTCCTGCCTGCTACAGTCTAACAGGCTTTAGCCTCTGGCCATCTCCTCCTACAATGTCTCCAGGGTATAATTTCCCAAGGTAGTTTCTGAGGACGCTGGTCCCCTGGGTTCCAAGACAATGCCAGCTTTTTCTTTGGAAAGACTGAAGGTTTCAGGGTTATCTGAAAGTCCCCAGGGCTTTTGGAGGAATATAGAAGAGTTTGGCGAAGGGGCCTTGAGTTTTTCTGATGAGGGATGAATGCTGAGGCCCATCCTGGAGGTAGACAGTGGAGAAGGAGCTTGGCTATGAGAACAGATGTC
Organism: Homo sapiens; assembly: GCF_000001405.40. Classification (NCBI taxonomy): domain Eukaryota; kingdom Metazoa; phylum Chordata; class Mammalia; order Primates; family Hominidae; genus Homo; species Homo sapiens. The sequence goes on from NC_000010.11 coordinate 116,808,268, forward strand.
TCAGTTGCCACTGGGAGAAGAACTCTGGTGGGGAAAGGGGGACGGGGGCTGGGGGGCAGCCAGGAAACTTCAGAGGATTTAGGAAGTTTAGATGCAAGCTGGGTGACATCACTTCCTCCTCTGTTGGTCGCCCCAAGAAATCCTCAGTAAAAATCCACATGACCACGACTGTTTTGCAGTGTGGTTTGTGCGTCTGTGGATTAACATGGTATGAGGCTGATTTCCATGGTGGGCATTTCAATCGCCCCACAAGCACACTGGAGGCCCTAAGGAGTCCTGTAGTTTAGAGAACTGCGGGACCTCAACACAGCGTTTCCTTAAACCTGTTCATTTCCAGAACCTGATTTTCATGGTGCAGCTTAATAATGCCCAGCGTGCATCCTGTTCCCCACAATGGTCTGGCGTAATTATGGCCAGATCCATGATTGTGCTGCCATCTTTATTCAAATCACAGTTGAAGAGTCCCTCCTTTGAGGGACAGAGAGCCTTTCAGATCCAGTTGGTCTCCGACTTTTGCACATCTGATGCTCCACAGCTCACATTCCTGTACAGGGTGTATTTACAGAGGGCCCCGCACCGCCGTTCCTATGTTCAGACTTTCCTACAGTAGGCTACCGTAGGGTCACGACATGGCGGTGCCACTGACCAGGCAACAATTCAGTATCACGCCCCCAGTGGCTAGCGGGGAGTGGGAGGCAAGTCGGGAGGGGCCTCCTTCCACAGACTTCTCTTCCTCCGCTCCTTCCTCTTCCTAGAGGGCTGTCCTATGGCTCCAGCAGCATCCGGCCTGGGCACATGCTTCCTGGGACACCTGCCGATCTCTAGAGGCAGGGAAGGGGGAGGATGAGGCACATCAAAGGGCTTAAGTGGGGACTCAGGGGAGCCACTTCCCGGCACCTGGCTCAGGGGCAGAGGCTTTTCCTGACATTTTACATGTTGATGAGGCACAGTTACTTGCAGGTAAAGTCACCAGCATCACCAGCACAAGCCACCACTGAGGCTACTCATGACTGAAGCCCTCTGGTGATGGGGCTCCATTACCCACCTTTGCACAAAGAGGAAAGCACCCTGAACCCTCATGAAGGCAAAAGCTCCGGAGTCAGACACACCTGGATTCAAAGCCAGATCTGCCTCTTTCTAGCTTGAGTTTGACCAAATTTCTAAATTTCTCAAAGCCTTAGTTTCCTTGTTTCTAAAAAGAGGGCTGAAAATAGCATTTGTGCTCTCTGTGCAAGGTGAGGATTCCACGGGAGAGCCCAGTAGAATGAGTAGCCCATGGCCTGGCACACAGGAAGTGCTCAACTGACGTCAGCAATACTGCCGCTGCTGCTGTTTCATCAACACATTTCAGCGACGCCGGGGACTGTCTGCGGGGGAAACCCACTCACTCCTGGGATTCAGGAAAATTGGCGGTTCCAATATTTGCTGTGCCAGCGCCTGGACAGCTTCTTGCTCTCTGGCGCCTCTCCAGGCCTGTCCCCACTACTGCATCTGCTCCAAAGGACCCTTTCCTAAAAAGAGGATTCAAAAAGACAGATGTTGCTCACCGCCATAACTGCAGCTTCCTCTTGGGTATACAGAACTGGCAGAGCACTGGAAAAGGCGAGACTTTCGGAGAGAAAGAGGGCAGCTACCTAAAACCTGTCATGGCTGGTTCTTCCAGTCGCACAGGATCCCTGGGGAGGGACCCGGGGAAGACACGGGTTGGTTTATGCAAGGCTATGTGGACCAGAGAGGTGGAAAACAACCGAAGCCCACCGAAGGAGAACTGAAGAATGTGAACTCTGAGCAGCGCTTAACAAATAAAACACCCAGCCAGGTGAAGGCAGCGCTCCAAGCCATGGGGGGTGCTGGGGTCGCAAGGTGTTTCTTCTTTTGTTTTGTTTTCCCCCTGGTTTAGCCTCTGTACTTCCCTTATTAATTTCGATTCTCTGGTTTTACCCTCCAAGGTGAAGATTAAATGCGGAGCCGGCGGGAAGCGCTCTTGAAACCTCCCGGCTGCAGCCACCGTTTCATTTTCAAGCATTGTTCCCAGAGACCAGCTCAGCCCCACGCCCTGGTCCTGGTCCACAGGCACTTCCATTTAACTGACCTTTGGCCATTGTAAACCCCATCAGTAGGTGTTAATCCCTCCTGATTTAGACGAGGGTTTTTTCTTTCCTCTCTACCACCTCCCCTGCCCTTTTCCTTTTGAAGGTAAAGTTATGTTTCAAAACATCTCTTGCACTTATATATACAGTTCGTATAAGCACGGCACTTTCATATTCACCATGTCACTTATCAGAAAAATTAAAGATGCGAGCCTGAGGGTCTCTGCAGATGGTCTAACCCAGTGGTTCTCAAAGTGTGATCCCTGGACCAGCACCATCAAAATGATCTGGAGACTTGTTAGACATGCAAAAATTCTGGCCCCCTCCTCCAAAACTATTGAATCAGAAACTCTGAGGGTGGGCCAGCAATCTGGTTTTACAAGTTTTCCAGGTGATTCTGATGTAGGCTCAAGTTTGAGAACCAGTGCGCTAATCAAATTTCCCCTACAGCTCCTCTCCGTTGAACAGATTAGAAAACTGAGACCCACGGTAATTTAGCCAAGGCCATTCATTTGTTCAACAAGTGTGCAACACCATGCTAGGGATTTAAGACACATTCATGAAAAAGAAAAATGTGGTCCTGCCCCACGGAATTCACTTTCTATAAACCAAAAAACAACAAAACAAAGATAATCACCGGCTGTAGTTAGTGCCACAAGGGAAACAAACCATAGGGATAAGATTAACTGGGAAGGAGCTACCTGGGATGAGGTGGTCAGGGAAGGCTTCCTGGAGGAGGCAACATTTCAGCTGGAACTAATGGGTGAGCAACAGCTGGCCATGATAGCAATGGAAGACAGAGGCCACCACTTGGGCAAAGGCTTAAGAGCAAGAAAACACATGGCCTCTTCCAGAAACAGAAACACTGGTGTGGCTGGAGCTTGGTAAGCAAGGAGAAGAGTGGCCAATGCAGAATCAGAGGGAGCTGAGAGAGACTGAGGCTGAGACTATGCAGAGCCTCAAGGGCTTCACATCCAATTCCCATTCCCATAAGAGTCAGGCTAAGATTCCTGGCCCCCAGGCCACCTCCGCAAGGCTCTTGTGCCATCTACACTCAGACCCTCCTTGCGCCAATCACCTTGTCAAGCCTCTTAGATCTTCCAGGACCCGGGAGCTCCCTTTCTCCCTCACACCAAAGGCAAGGCAGCTGGTCCTGCTCCAGGCATTTCTCACTGATCTTCCTTCATATTGGGCCTAACTTGGATTCCTCTTTGCTTTTGTTAAAAAAAAAAAAAAAAAAAAAAAAAAGATTGGCCTTGCCGTCCCCATCCCCTGTCTCCTCTTTGTCAGGCTAAACATCTTCACATCTATTAAGAGGCAGTGAGACGGCATGGTGAAGAAGGTGAGTGCTGGAATCAAACTGCCTGCGCTCCGTAGGGCTCTGCCCATGACCTCTGCACCCGGGTTTTCCCATATGTCAACTGGTTGTAATAGCAATAACCCCTACCCGGTAGGTTTGTTGTGGTGTTTACATGTCTTAAAACATGGGAAGGGATTCAGTGAGGGTCAAGTGCCACCGCAGGGATTCCAGGGCGGGCCTCCATTACTCCAGCATCCTAGTAGCCCTCCCTCAATGGCGGCGGTGAGCAGCAGTCACCCCGATGTGGCCAGGCCAGGCCAGAGTGCAGAGGGACTGTTGTTTCCTCCCAGTCTGGCCACTCGTCTTCTGGAACAAAACCAGAGGCTGAGTGGGAGACGGAGAGGCTTGTCATTGTATTCATCTGGGAAAAGTGGCCCTTTACCTTGGGCCCTGTACCTATTACAAAGACACACTTTGTATATTTGCCCCCTGCCTTACTAAAATCATGACACTGGCTGGGCACGCTGGCTCATGTCTGTAATCCCAGCACTTTGGGAGGCTGAGGCAGGCAGATCACCTGAGGTCAGGAGTTTGAGACCAGCCTGGCCAACATGGTAAAACCCCATCTGTATTAAAAATACAAAAATTAGCTGGGTATGGTGGTGCGTGCCTGTAATCCCAGCTACTCAGGAGGCTGAGGCAGGAGAATCGCTTGAACCCAGGAGGCAGAGGATGCAGCGAGTCGAAATTGCAGCATTGCACTCCAGCCTAGGCGATCGAGTGAGACTCCATCTCAAAAATAAAATAAAATAAAATAAATAAAATAAAATAAAATCAGGGAACCCCCACAACCATCAGGAAAACTGATCTTGACTTTCCTGTCAGTTGAAGTGGCTTGTGGCTGACCACTGCAACCACTGAGACCAGCAAGGAAAGCAGAGACCAAATTCAAAAGCCTCCTGTACAGCACTGGAGAGCTGTGGAGATGACCAGGACCCACAAGGACAAAAACCTCACAGCAGGGGCCCCTGGATGGCAAGGTGAGCCGACATTCTGCTGCCACTCTTTCCTTCAGGGAATCTGCTCATTCCAGGTGTTGACCCAAGAGGCTGATGATCTGGCGAAGGACCCAGGCCAGGGTCGACGTCAAAGAGGCGCAGACACAGATGAGCTTTGGGCAGCCTCACAGGAATGGAGGGACCAAAATGAGGGATTTGCAGGGCTGGGATTCCTCTAAAAAGGAAGGACAGAAAAGACGGAACAACACACTCCCACTTTCCACCATGAGACATCTGCCAAGTTCTGAAACTGTGTAGGGAGGGAGGAAGCTAAGACGTTAAGCAGGAAACTTTTGAAAAGCAGTTAGGAGTTTCCAGCCATCCTGAGAAGCCACGGTGATGAGGATTAAAGTCCAGGACCTGCCACAGGGGAGATGCCCTGATGAACTCTCTGGGTTCGAGTGGAGGACCTGGAAGGCTACAACCTTTGGACGGGGTAAGCCAAAGGCAGGCAAGAGCTAAGGTCCTGAGGAATGCAGCCACCAGCTCCTACTTTATCTGCCGTTAAAGAAAGAGGCCATCCAGAGCTCTATTTTTTTTTTTTTTTTGAGATGGAGTCTTGCTCTGTTGCCCATGCTGGAGTGCAGTGGCGCGATCTCGGCTCACTGCAAGCTCCGCCTCCCGGGTTCATGCCATTCTCCTGCCTCAGCCTCCCAAGTAGCTGGGGACTACAGGCACCCACCACCACGCCCGGCTAATTTTTTTGTATTTTTCGTAGAGACAGGGTTTCACCGTGTTAGCCAGGATGGTCTTGATCTCCTGACCTCGTGATCCACCCGCCTCAGCCTCCCAAAGTGCTGGGATTACAGGTGTGAGCCACTGTGCCCAGCTGCTTTCTCACATTTTTATACATAATGTCTGGCATTCAATTAAAAACTCTAAGCCAGGCACAGTTGCTCACATCTGTAATCCCAACACTTTGGGAGGCCAAGGCGGGAGGATTGCTTGAGCCTGGGAGTTCAAGACCAGCCTGGGCAACATAGCAAGACCCTCCCTCTCTACAAAAAAAAATGTTTTTAATAGCTGGGCATGGTGATGAGCACCTGTAGTCCCAGCTACTTGGGAGGCTGAGGTAAGGGAATCACTTGACCCCAGGAGATTAAGGCTGCAGTGAGCTGTGATCCCACCACTGCACTCCAGCCTGGGCAACAAAGTGAGAGGGACCTTGTTGCTAAGAAAAAAAGAAATTATAGAAATGTCTAGTAATAGAATAACAGACAGACAAACAGAACCAAATGACCAGAATCCAAAAGAAAAAAAGACAATAGGAACAGACCCTCAGATAATCCAGATGCTGGAATTAGCCAAGAAGGACTTTTCAAAAGCTATCATAGGAATGTTCAAGAAAACAGAGGAAAAGATGGAGGAAGTATTAAAAGACAGAGAATTTCAGCAAAGAATTAGAATCTATTTTTTAAAAAAGAATTAAATGAAAATTCTAGAACTGAAAACTAGAATAACTAAAATTAAGTCAGTAGATGGTTTAAAGGGCAATTAGAGCAGAAAAGATCACTGAATCAATAGAAAATACTCAGACAGAAGCACAGAGGAGAAGCCAGAAAAGATTCTAAGAGACATAAAGTCACACATGGAAGGTCTGACATATAAGTGGAGTTCCCAAGGCAGAGGGCGGCCAGCTGTTGGTGAGGATCCATACAGGAACCCCCTTTTTGCCTCCTAGCCTTTCCCTTATCTTTGCTCACCTGTGACATATCTCAGCAAGTGAAAAGCCACATCTGCTACCTACACCCACCTGCACCAAAGATGAACTTTTTCCCCCATGGGACTTTGCACTCAACTCCAGCCAATAATGGGTTTGAACATTTTTGCTAAACTGTAAAAACTGGAGTTTCTCTGCTGGCAGTCACTCTCCACCCTCCCTCCCCAGTATTCCTGATGACCCCTCATCCAGCTGTGTCCTAGTGGAAAGGCCAGACCAGGACTTGGGCCAGACTAGACAGCTCAGAGCCAAAAGAGAAAGGACATTTCTGGGACCTGCTGAATCACCACCAGGTAAGGACATCTGGGAATGAGTACCACGGACCATTGCGAGATTGGGATCATCTTTCACCACCATCACCTTGCTGGGAAGTTACATACCTCTCCTGTTCTGTATGAGAGGGTGATTGGGTTGCAAATTTGTTTTCTAAAAATACAGCCTACGTTATAAAGGGGGGAATAAGTTCCCTTCAACCAGAGCTAAGACTTAGTTTCCTAAAACCCATCAGATGGAGAGCAGACAGCAAAGGGGCAGTCTGATCTTTTCAGTAAACTGGGATAAACCCTACACTCTTTTTACACCATCCCCTCTTCTTGCAGTTATGCAGTTTATTTACAGTTGACTTTTGAACCTAAGTACACGACTTTACATTTATCCCTACCCATTTTTTTTTTTAATTAGCACCAGCTCTTTTCTTATTTCTGAGATATCTTTGAAATCAGCAGCTGATCAATCAGCCAGCCTCTTCCAACTTTGGGTCACCTATAAATCTGCCCAGAGTGGTGGATATCCTCTGCCTCAGATCCAAAAGACAAAAAAAAAAAAAAAAAAAAAAAAAAATAGACAGAGGGCCAGGCCCAGGGACTCATGCCTGCAATCCCACACTTTGGGAGGCCAAGACAGGCAGATCACTTGAGGCCAGGAGTTTGAGACCAGCCTGGCCAACATGGCAAGACCCCATTTCCACATGTAATTTTCTGAATACAAAAATTAGCCAGGTGTGGTGGTGCGTGCCCGTAGCCCCAGCTACTCAGGAGGCTGAGGCAGGAGAATTGCTTGAACTCAGGACACGGAGATGGCAGTGAGCCGAGATCACGTCACTGCACTCCAGCCTGGGCAGAAGAGTGAGACCCTGTCTCAAAAAAATAAATAAGTAAAATAAACAAATAAGCAAAAAACCCAGGAAGGAACTAGGAAACTGCTACCCCGTTTTATACAGGTAAGTAGATTCTCTAGGATAACATGGCAGGGCCCTGACTCTGTCATTTTCCCTCGGGCCACTCCCTCCAACTCCCCCACCAAACGCTGCCAGCCACAAATCCTTCTTTTCAGTGCACTCTGCCTGCTGCTCGGCATGTGCTGTTGACAAGGCTCAAAAACAGAAAGCTTGTTGTTGGAAGGGCTGTATTCCCAAGCAGTGCATCTGTAAGACAAAATGTGTATCTCCAGGGAATTCGTGTTTCTGCTCTCCCTCTCGGCCCCCGCGGCCCTAAGAGGAAGGAGCCGGGCTGTGGATTGGAACAAATCCTCACTGAGCACTGACTGGGCCAGACTCTGTGCTGAGCTGTGCAGGTGCATTACCTCCATCAAAGCCCACGCATCCTCTCTGGTGGGTGCTACTTCCTCATCTTATGGGAGAGGAAACTGAGGCTTGGAGAAGGAAAGGAACTCGCATGCTGGCCGCAGAGAGGAGTGAGTGGCATACCAGAACTGGAGTCTCAGCCCTCACGCAAAGACCACTGGCTTACTCAGCCTGATTACTCAGCAATCGCTGACCTTCCAGCTCCAAATAAGCCATTCTTTCTGCCACATTCATATCATCTTGCCCCTGACAGACGAGTGACTATATAAAACATTCCCGAAACCATTGTTCTTCCTGCTCAGCTGCCATCCCCAGAGGCAGAGGACACCTGGCCTGGTCTCTGGCACCCCGCATACGGGGCAGAGAATGTTGGCCATGTGCCAGGCAATGATGTTCCAAATTACAGTTTGATCAATGCACTCTTCACCTTTTCTCCGAGGCCTGGAGTTTTTAGCAGCTCTAACTCCAAACTTCACAGCACCCAAATCATGTCACTGAAGGAGCGAGCAGAGAAGGCGCCATGTGGCTCACGCACCTGACTTCCTAACCTTAAGCTGGTGAGACACACAGCTCCTGAAAGCTTAACCGGCGCCGTCCTGCTCACGTAAAACAGCCCCGACATCCAATTCCGATGGTTGCAGCTGCGTGGTCTCCCTGAAAATCTGCCACTCATGATTTTTTTAAATGGGGTTTTTCCTTCTTTTCAGGGTGACAAAAGTCTTCCTAATGAGAAATACCAGAGGGTTAAAATTGCCTGGAGCCCTCGCCAGTTTCTGGTACTATGGTTTAAAAGATGACTTTTTATGCTCTGGGTTACAAAACGCTTCCAACAACACCTTTGCTCAGTATTGGATTGAGGCTAAGTTTATTTTTCTGGTGGGGAAATCAATCCTTGAGCTGTGTTAAAACAATCAGCAGCTCCAGTCATGACATCACGATTCAAATCGTTCTTCCTTCTTATGTATCAACTATGCTGTCGAATGTGGAAACATGAAATCTACAGTTTGCTGGAATCATCTGGATTGTTTAAACTGTATTTCTTAGGCAGAAAGAAAGAATCATTCTTGCAACCTATACCCCTTCCCCCACCCCACCATGCAGATTTACTTCATATTTATTATTTTTTTGTTACAATTAACAAAAGGAGAAACCCATTTGCTGTTTTTTTTCCCGGGGATTTAGAACAGAAACTTCTACCGCCAGTGGCTTGTGATTCCACCCTCCACCCCTCGCTCTCTAGAAGTTTCTGAGGTCTAATTTTTTCTAACAGAGGCTTTGTCTGTAGTGAATGAACCCTGGCTACAAAGTCGGCTTAATTAAAACAATGGCATTCCAGAGACAATAGGGAACAAGGTGCCGGCTTCTGTGCTGGGTGCTAACCCTCGGCACAGCCTTCTGCGGTGACCTTAGTGGAGCTACTCCTGATGCCGTCAAGTTCAGGGACAGGCTGGTCTTCTATTCGCTCGGTTCAAGGCTCTGGCAGAGGAAATCCAGTGTGTGTGTGTGGGTGGGGGTGGGGGGGATGGCATATTCATACCTACACATAATGATCTTCTATTTAAGATTTCTCTGTGCTCCACCACCATAGCGATGGGTGTCAGGCTGCCAATAGAATGAAGAGAAGTGGAGAATCGCGGCCATTGTTAAAATATTTCAGGCTTGTCACCCAAAGTCCCCCAAAAAAACCCTCTGCCTCAAGAATGTGGGTCAGTCAAGATAATCTGCAAATATGAAGAATGTGGGTCAGTCAAGATAATCTGCAAACATGAAGAATGTGGGTCAGTCAAGATAAGCTGCAAACATGAAGATGATACAAGACCATCTCACTGCTTTCCGTCCGGATGCTGAGAGCAGCAGCAGCAGTTCGGTTGCCCTGGTCAGACACCTGGCAGACATCCTGGATCATTCGCCACCTCCAATTAGGCGCCGATTCCTGTTACCTGACCTTACAATGACACTCTCCCCTCCAGCTTCCTCTTCCTCTCCAGGGTCTCTGCCCTGAGTTAGGAGTGATCGTTTCTCACCTGGGCAACTGCATCAGCCTCCTGTCTGGCTTCCCTGCCTCTCACCTTTCCCTGGCCACACACTGCCAGTAGGGGCCTCTCCAACTAGGAAGACATCTGACCACCTCACCCTCTCCTTGAGAACTTGGATGGTTCTCCCTGAGCTACAGAATCAAGTCTCAATGCCTCAACCTGGCATATGAGCTTGGTCACAATCAGGGACCTACGAGCCTTGGTAGGTTGTCTCTCTTGGCCCCTGTAAGATCATGCTCCAGCCCAGGGAGGTAGACTTTGGGCCTGCCCCACAGCCAGACCTACCCTGTGGTGGTGTCCCAGGTCACCCACTGGTTCTCTTCCCTGCTTTACCCAGCTGCTTGATGCCAGCCATAATGGCAGTGATGTATGGAAGGGGGACACAGTTGCATCATAGGTTGTCTCTCTTGGCCCCTGTAGGATTGTGCCCCAGCCCAGCGAGGTAGACTCTGGGCCCGCCCCATAGTCAGATCGTGGTGTCCCAGGTCACCCACTGGTTCTTTTCCCTGCTCTGCTCAGCTGCTTGATGCAAACTGTAATGGCAGTGACGTATGGAAGGGGGACACAGTTACATCTCCATGTGCTGTCCCCACCAAAGCAAAGGCCACAAGCACCTCCCCACAACACACTGACACAGTGGTCTGATGTCCCAGAGGGAAAAATGTAACTGTCAGAGATAAGAAATGTTAGGACAAGGGACATGGGAGTATGTGATCCCTAAATCATGGTTCTGTTTCCATCAGTGAGTGTAAAAATCAAAATCTGTCTTGGTAAGAATTTTAAATAAAAGGAAAATGGTGAGAGATTTACCCCCAACACATTGCAGTGTGTCTCCAGGAGCAATCATCGCACCTAAGGGCACCCTTCCTGCTTCCAGGCTTGTACCTTGACCTTCTCTGTTAACCCTTTGCAGCCCCTGTCACTCTCTCTCGCTGGATTCCTGTCTCTCTGGGTCTGATGTTCCCATGTGTCTGTCTCCATTGGTCCCATTCTCCCTGAGACAGATGCTCCACAAGGGAAACCCTTGACTTTTCCTCTTCTTCACAAGCAGCACCCCCAAGCCCTGTGTCCCGTGACACCCTGCTTATTCACTGGTCCCAAAATCACCTGCATTTTCCCAGTTCTGAGATTCAGCCTTTGCTTTCCTTTCTGCCCCAAATGCCCATCATCCAGTTGAGAAGCCCTTGTGCCCCTCTCATCTGGATGGCTCCACTTCTTAGATTCCCTGGGTCCCCTGACCCCTACCCACAACAGACAGGGCAGAACAGACAATTCCCCTTGCACTTTACATAGGAGGGTTCCGTGGTCTGAGTCTTTGTGTCCCTGCAAAATTCCTATGTTGAAATCTAATTCCCAGTGTGCTTGTATTAAGAGGTGGGGCCTTTGAGAGGTGACTGGGTCATGAAGGTGGAGTCTTTGTGAATGGGATTAGTGCCCTTATAAAAGAGAGCTGACGGAGCTTGTTCATGTGAGGACACACAGAAGGCACCACCTATGAGGAACGAGCCCTCACCAGACACCAAATCAGTTGGTGTCTTGATTTTGGACTTCCCAGCCTCCAGAACTGTGAGCAATAAATGTCTGTTGTTTGTAAATTACTCAGCCTAAGGTATTTTGTTGCAGCAGCCTCAACAGGCTATGATAGGTGGGTAAGACTGATTCAGAGAATGATGGCAACGTGGGAAAATCGTTATTACTGTAGGATATGTATAATGGAAATGCAACTTCTAAGGGAATCTGTATGTAGCCATACATGTTTGTAAACAACTTATAGGATTTTTTGGTTTTTTGTTTGTTTTTTGAGACAGGGCTGCCCAGGCTGGAGTGCAGTGGCATAAACTCGGCTTACTGCAGCCTCAACTTCCTGGGCTCAAGCAATCCTCCCACCTCAGCCTCCTGAGTAGCTGGGACTACAGGCACATGCCACCATGCCTAATTTTTGTATTTTTTTGTAAAGATGGGGTTTCACCATGTTGCCCAGCCTGATCTCAAACTCCCAGGCTCAAGCAATTCACCCACCTGGCCTCCCAAAGTGCTGGGATTACCAGCGTGAGTCACTGTGCCCAGCCAATTTATGTGTTTTTAGTTGGTAAAAATGGGTTGTACTGAGTCAGTACCATTAGAATTAGACAAATATGACATGATCAGCAAAATATTTTAAAAAATTAAAAATCAAGGAAAAATAAGAGACAAACATCTTGAACAGCAACATACTTGTTGACGTGAGAGTATCAAAGGGAAAGAGATTAATTTTGCCATTTTTAGGGACCATGATGGGGTGGGAGGACAGGCGTGGAGTTTGAGATCTGTGCAGGAGACAGTCACTGTGATCACCTGGTCAGGGATGCGGTTACACTGATCCTGTGGGAGGAAGCCAGGAGTGTTACCTGCCTGCTGTTTCCACCAATGGTATGGTCACATGACCATGACTTTGCATCAGTTCTCAGCCCTCATCAGACGTGGCCAGTCACCACCCTCTCCTCTTCATTTGCTTTCCAGGACACCACATCCTCCTGCTTGTCTTGTTCATTCCCGGCACAGCATTTCAGACTTTTTCACTGGTTGCACCTCATTGCTGTGGCTCTGAATGTGACAATGCCCCAGGCTTTAGTCCTCAGACCTCTCATTCCCATCTACACTCTTTCCTTGGGGGATCTCTTCCGCTTTCTTGGTGTTCAGTACCAACTATATGCTAATGAGTCCACGTTGACATTTCTAGTCGGAGCTCACCATATCTCCACTTGCAGTCTAACAGGTAACTCTAATAAACAGACCCCCAAACACCTGATCTCCAAATCAGCAGGTTCCACCCCAAACCCACTCCTCCTCCTCCAGTTGCTGGCACATCATATTGGTGACTCCACCCTTCAAAATGCCAGCATCATCCTTACTCCTCTCTTTTTCACAACTATATCCAGTCCCCAGAAATCCTATGGCCTCCCCCTGCACCCCTGCAAAATCTGTCTGCTTCTCACCCCTCCACCTTCTCCTCTAAATTCACATCTGTTCCATCTCCACCTACATCATCATAATTGCTGCCTCTCCTCTTGCCACCCCACTTCCTACCAAAGTCTATTCCCAACATGACCTTTGGGATCTTTCAAAAATATAAGTACAGAATGTAAGATCGTGTCACTCTCCCTCTCAAGACCCTGGCTTCCCACCTCAGAGGAGAAGCTGGAGTCCTTGCCAGGCCCTATAAGGCCCTACGTGGCCTCATCTCCCAGCTAAGTGGCCTCCTTGCTCTAACACACAAGGCACCTCCTACCTCAGGACCTTAGCACAGCCCTTCCTTCGGCCTGGGATGCTCCTCCATTGGACAGCCACATGGCTTGATGACCCACCTTCCCTCAGGCTGCTGCTCAGATGCCACCTTCTCAGGAGGCCTCCCCAGAACCCCTATTTTAAATTCCAACCTCATTTCTAGCCCATCATTCTTTATTCCCCATCCAGCTTTATTTTTTCTCTATACCATTTATCATTTAACATATTCAGATTTGCACACATACACACATACATACATTAGAATGGAAGCCCCATGAGGGCAGGGATTTGTACTTTTATCCAGTGCTGCATAATGTGTAGAACTGTGCTCAGCATATGATAGATGTGAAATCATTATCTGTTGACTGGTTTGTGGCTCCACGCTGATCCACCCGTGTCACTTGCCATCCTGACTGCATGAGAGGAAAGCCTGGACCTCAGGGAGTGGCACGGCAAGTCACCATCTACCACAGTGGGCTGGACTCACCTGTCAACCTTCCCTGTCAGATGGGAGCTCCCACAGTGTAGGGACTATGCCCTTTACAGCTCAGAAACACCAGAACCTGCCATTGGGTCTGAAAAAACAGGAGTAGGTGCTTGTTGAATTAATGTAATCCAGATAATCCAGGCCTAAGAGGAATCCGAATTAAATGAGATAATATGAAACCACAAATGTGATTTAAAAGACAGCTTTGCGTGCTATGCCTATCTTTTGGTGTTCGCTAAGGCATTTACATCACTTTGTATAGAGCAGTAGTATTTCACTTTGTGTAAAGTAAGTAGTACACTTGGGTTTATCTGAGGACATGGGATGTGGATAACTGAGTTTCTTCTCACTTCCACACTTGCTCAAGTCTTTGTCCATACGGGAACTGTCTCTCTCCATTACCAGTGGAGGAAGCACAGGACATGCCACTATAAGCTTTGGGTTCTAGTCTTCCCTTCACACTTACCAGTCTTATGTCTGACCTTCCCTTCGGTGATCCTCAGCTTCTCCATCTGAGGTTAATTCTCTCATGATAAGAGAACAACTGGCTGATGAAAACAATTCAGGAATGGCTTGTTAGAGGGGATTTGTGGCTTATGAACATACAGAAAGCAGGAATCACCAGGACGCCCTGTGGGTTCACAGAGAAAATACTCTTTCAAGAGAATCTTGTTTCCTTCCTTGATAGGATTAAGAGACCGGTAGAAATGAGGGAGATCAAGAGTTTATGAATTCAGTAGGGCATTTGATAAGTTCAATGGGGTTGACATGAATTTGGTGCATGGACCATTGGATGGCTTGGGGACTGGTTGGATACGGTTCTTCAGAGGCTACAATTTAATGTTCTCAGAGAGAGGTTCTGAATTCAGGACTTCAAGCCTCTATCCTTTGCAAAGTCCCATTGGACATTTTTATCACTGGCTTGAATGAAAATAAAGAGGCCATGTTTATTGCATTCGTGGATAGGCTGGGAACAAAGATGTCATGACTCAGGGTCAGAATCAGCATCCAAATCACTCTCACTCCTAGACTAGAAGCAATGGCCTGGACCCAAGAATATGCAATGGAAAGGGAAAGGAGCTATTTCTGGCACCCAAGAGCTACTTGCCCAGGTACAGAATAAGGAAGGCATGGCCTAGCAGCAGACGACTTAAAAAGGTGTGAGGGGCTTTTGTTGACATGAGTCAATGGTGTGCTGTGTGTGCCAACCACCCAACCCCAACTCACCTCTTCCACAAAAAGCTTAACTTTGTCTGAGGTTAGAGTACAGAATCATATCCACAAGTTTGAAGTGAACATCCACTGTCTTCAGTGCTAATCTGATGGTTCCAGGGACCACGTTTTAAAAGGGATGTGAAATGAACAATCCAAAAATAAAATTAAGAAAACAATTCCCTTTACAATAGCATCACAAGAATAAAATATTTAGGAATGCATTTAACAAAAGCAGTGAAAAATTTATTCTCTGAAAACTATAAAACACTGTTGAAAGACATTAAAGAAGACATAGGTAATCCAGGTTCATGGATGAGAAGATTTTTAATACCATTAAAATGGCAATGCCCCCCCAAATGATCTACAGTCTCAACATGATCCCTGCATTCACAAAGAAATGCAAGGGACACAGAATAAACAAAACAATTTTGAAAAAGAAGAACAAAGTTGGAGGACTCACACTTTCTAATTTCAAAACTCAATACAAAACCACAGTGATCAAGATAGTGTGGTACTTGTATAGGGCTAGACAGACAGATCAATGGAATAGAATTTCAGAGTCCAGAAATAAACCCTCACATGTATAGTCAATTGCTTTTTGACAAGGGGGTGAAGACAATTTAGTGGGGAAATAATAGTCTTTTCACTAATGGTGCTGGGACAACTGGATATCATGTAAAACAAGGAAGGTGAACCCCTACATCACACCATATACAAAAATGAATTCTAAATGCACAAAAAGCCGAAACGTTAAGAGGTAAAACCATAAAACTCTTATGAGAGGAAAGAAGAAAATACAGATATAAGTCTTTGTGGCCTTATGTTAGCAATGGCTTCTTAGATATGCCACCAAAACCACATGCAACAAGAAAAATATGGCTAAACTGGACTTAATAAAAATTAAAAACCTTCATGCTTTGAAGGACATCATCAAGAAGGTGAAAAGGCAACACACAGAATGGGAAAAAATATTTGCAAATAATACATCTGATAAGGGAGTTATATCTAAAATATATAAAGAACTCTTACAAATCAATAATAAAAAGACATAACCCAATTTAAAAATGGACAAAGAACCTGAACAGATATATCTACAAAGAAGATGTATACAAATGTCCACTAAGTATCTGAAAAGATGCCAGCATCATAAGGTATAAGTGAAATGCCAATCAAAACACAATGAAATGCCACTTCACACCCAGAAGGATGACTATAATCAAAAAGACAGATAATGCAAAGTGTTGGAAATGATGTGGAGAAATAAGAAGCCTCATACACTGTTGGTAGGAATACAAAATGTGTACCCACTGTGGAAAACAGTTTAGCAGTTCCTCAAAAGGTTAAATATAGAGTTACCATATGCCCTAGCAATTCCATTCCTAAGATATACCCAAGAGAAGCGAAAAAATACATCCACACACAAACTGGTCCATATCAACATTATTCATAATAGCCCCAAAATGAAAACAACCCAAACATCCATCAACTGACTAATGGACAAACAAACCATGTTCTATCCATACAATGGAATATTATCATTATCCAGCAATGAAAAGTGAAGGACTGGTTGGGCTCAGTGGCTCACGCCTGTAATCCCACCACTTAGTGTTTTGTTTGTTTGTTTGTTTATTTTGAGATGGAGTCTTGCTCTGTCACCCAGGCTGGAGTGCAGTCGCATGATCTCGGCTCACTGCAGGCTCCGCCTGCCGGTTCAAGCAATTCTCCTGCCTCAGCCTCCTGAGTAGCTGGGACTATAGATGCGCACCGCCACACCCGGCTAATTTTTGTATTTTTAGTAGAGATGGGGTTTCACCATGTTGGCCAGGATGGTCTTGATCTCCTGAACTTGTGATCTGCCTGCCTCAGCCTCCCAAAGTGCTGGGATTACAGGCATAAGCCACAGTACCCGGCTAATCCCAGCACTTTGGAAGGCCGAGGCAGGCAGATCATTTGAGCCTAGGAGTTTGAGATCAGCCCGGGCAACATGGCAAAACCCCATCTCTAGAAGAAATACAAAAATTAACCGGGTGTGGTGGTGCACGCCTGTAGTCCTAGCTACTGGGGGGCTGTGGTGGGGGAATCACTTGGGCCTGGGAGGCCGAAGCTGCAGCGAGCTGTGATTGCACCACTCTACTCTAGTCTGGGTGGCAGGGTGAGACCTTGTCTCAAAAAAAAAAAAAATAAGTAAATTTAAAAAAAAAATGAAGTGGCCGGGCGTGGTGGCTTATGCCTGTAATCCCAGCACCTTGGGAGGCCTAGATGGGAGGATCACTTGAGCTCAGGAGTTCAAGACCAGCCTGGCCAACATGGTGAAACCCCATCTCTACTAAAAATACAAAAAATTACCAGGGCATGGTGGCTCGTGCCTGTAGTCTCAGCTACTTGGGAGGCTGAGGCAGGAGAACTGCTTGAACCTGGGAGGCAGAGGTTGCAGTGAGACTAGATGGTGCTACTGCACTCCAGCCTGGGTGACAGAGTGAGACTCTGTCTCAAAAACAAACAAACAAACAAAGTACTGATACATGCTACAACATGGATGAACCTTAAAAACATTATGCTAAACGAAAGAAGCAGTTAAACAAAAGAATGCATCCTGTATGATTCCATTTATAAAAAATGCCCAGAACAGGTGTATCTATAGTGACCAAAAGCAACTAATGGTTTCCCAGGGCTGGGATTGGTGGGGGAAACGAGGAGTGGCTGCTGCTAATGGGTATAAGGGTTTCTTTTTGGGGTGATGAAAATGTTCTAAAATTGATCATGGTGATGGTTGCACAATTCTGTGATATATTAAAAATCATTGAATTATACACTTTGAGTGAATTGTACTGCATGTGGATTATAGCTCAATAAAATTGTTATCGAAAAAGAAGGATACGAACAAACTGGATCTCAGAATGAAAACAGGCTGTGAAACCACATCCTAGGCAGAAAAGCTGAAGAAGGCAGGAATACAACAGAAAGGCTTCCGGGGAGAAGCCACCTACAGATGTGTGAAGGGCTGTCACATGGAAAGGGAATTCCATTCTCTGTGTGGCCCCGAAGTCGACTCTGCTCCTCTGTCTGGACCGCACATGCCCCACCCCCACACACACCCAATAACTCCTATGCACCTTCACAGCTCAGCTTTCCCGTCACCTCCCAGGGAAGCCTCCCCCGCCTCCCTCCACCTTCATCTCTGCTGTCCACCTTCACAGCACCAAGTTCCTTGCCTTCATCTCACTTCCATCTGTCGTGACATATTTATTTAATTATTGGATGACAGTCTGAGAACCCTGATAAATTACCAGCTCCTTCAAGGGAGCCATTGGCTTTCACTCACCAGAACTTATCAATGTGCCTGGCAGACAAGAGGTGCTTAATAAGTATTTCTTGAATGAACGAATGAATGAATAATGAATGAAACGTAAAAGCCAGAAACTACAAGCAGATCCTCTAAGAAAGAAGTTTCTGAGAGTCTGAGCCATCTACAGATGCGTGAGTGTCACCGCCCCTGCCTGCATGGGAACTGATGGACGACACGGGTGTCACAGAAGTACCAAAGGGAAGGGCAAATGGGGTTGCTTTTCTTTCTGTTTTAAGATCTCACAAACAGTTCACATACACTGGAAAATTCCTAAAAAGCAGATAAATAATCAAATCAAATCACCCATAATTTCTCTACTGTGTGATACCCCCAGTTAATGTGTAGCCTTCTGGAGTTGGGCTATGTAGCATTTCCTTATATGGACAGAAAATGCTTGAATGAATGGGGGACTATGTGGCTCTTTGTACATTTCACAGCCTTTAATCATAACTCACACTTCTTGGATGTTTAATCTGTGCCAGGCACCATGTTAAACACTTGACATGCATTTGATTCTCCTAAAACCCAATGAGGCGGATACTTAGTATTCACATTTCATATTACAGATGGGGAAACTGGGTATTAGAGGAATCACGTCATTTGCTCGAGGTCATAGACTAGTAAGTGGCAAGCCCGATTCAGATCCCCGCAATCTGACTCCAGAAGCCAGCAGGGGTTCCGCAGATGTTGGCTGAATGAATCACTGAATTAATGAATGTGTGCTCAGCCACCCACACACACTGGGGAAAAACTGAGCTGCGCTTAACCAGCTAGTTGGCTGTTGTCTTTCAAATGCTCTAGAATATCATTAATACCTTCAGGGGTCACAATATCCTAAGGTTAAAAAAGGGACATTTTGACAACATAAGGAGCTTTCTTTGGCTCCAAATTCCCCCACCAATGGAGAGGTCTTCCTCAAGGGGGAGCCTCAAGCACCTCCTTGGATAAGGCTCCCCAAGGTCTCCCGTGTCCAGGCTTCTGTCACCCATGGAGTTGTCCAGAGAGCTCGCCCTTGCTGCGAGCCACTCCCAGCCACTGCCTCCACACCTACTACAGCCGATTGGCACCTGTAGCCACTGTGATGCTGCTGCATCCACTTTGGAGGTGTCGGTGCTACCTCTCCTGCTGGTACAGACACCGCCAGTGCTGGTGCCACCACCACCACGTGAGTGTCACCAACACTGCCAGCGCCAGGCTCACCGCCACTGCCATGTCACTGGAGCCACCAACTCACAACACCGCAGGGCCAGCGCAGTGGTGGGGAAGAGTGAAGCTCTGGGTGTTGTTTGCTCAAGTCCCACTCAGTTTGAAGGCAGATGTGGGACAAACTGGGTGACAAGACGTCATGAAGTGCTCCGAACTGCCCCTCTTCTCCAAATAAAGCTTCATTCTGGACTATTTGGGGATGTCCAAGGGACAGGACTTAGTCCCTCAGGTAAACAGATTCCTGGATAGCCCCACTCATGTTCCCAAGACGCCTCTAAATTCTCTGCGGCAGACGGTGGAAGCCAAGTTGCGAGCTGCTGTCCGCCCAACCCTTCTCCTGCTGCATATAGATATGACCAATTGTGTTCCTTTGTTCTGCGACTGGGAAGCTTACAGGCATTTGTAAATTTTAAATTCAGTAAGACCTCGTGGTATGCATTTGTGATCCAATTTTACCCCTGACTTTGCCTTAGTTTCTTTTCAGTTCTGTTTCTCAAATGTATTGTTCTTATTATGTTGTTATACCTCTGCCTGAAAGTCCCTTTTGAAATAAGACAGGCATTTATAGAATAAAAGGAAGAGCTGAAATAAGAACTTATGGATACATACTTTAAAAAGTTCATTTCCAAATGTGGTATGTTTCATTAGCGGTTTTTCTCTGCAGACTTCAAACAAGCAGGAAATCTTCACCAAATGACTTGGCAGTTCCAGGTGAAAAACAGAACTCTCAAAAAGCTTTACTGCATGTGAATTACAGAATGACTGTTCACCTCCTGGCCTGTGGTAGACAGGCAGGAAGGACATGGCTGCGAGGCATGGCCCTGGCAAAGCTGGCATTCAGGACCCCAACCCTTCCTACCTCTCCATCTCCTTCAGCCCAGACTCCTTTCTTAAAGGGCACCCAGCTTCCTGCACTGTCCTGGGTAGGCCATAACAGATGAAGTCATGTTAAGATTTAAAACTGTAACTCGATGCATGCTTCACAGTTAGTTGCCTTGCAGAACCCCAAAGGGAGGACCACCTATGTAATTTGCTGGGCCCAGCATGAAACAAAAATACAGGACCCCTCGTTCAAGGTATTAAGAATTTCAAGATGGTGACAGCGGAGCATTAAACCACGTGCAGGGCCTTGTGTGACTGCACAGGTCACAAGTCCAAGCTGGTCCTGCATCAAGGACACACAAAGGCACACTTTAGAAAATTACTTTTATGTACACAACCATGAATTCTGATTTTTATGGAAGAATGACAAATAGTTGCAAATATTTAAAAAACAACACAAAATTTCAACCACATTCCATTCCATTCTCGCAGAAACACCAGTTGCCTCAGCTCTGCGATTTGTATCACTTTGGTGCAAAAGTGTGAGAAACAATGTTGTAATTTTTACCGTGTTTCCATCCAAGCCTCCACATGCTGTCAGAATGTTGCATTTTTAAGAGAGAAGTTTGGAAGGGGTGATCAGATTGCATATGCCAGATATATTTTGGCTGTGTCCCCACCCAAATCTCACCTTGAATTGTAATAACCCCCACGTGTCAAGGGCAGGGCCAGGTGGAGATAATTGAATCATGGGGGCAGTTTCCCCCATACTGTTCCCATGGTAGTGAATAAGTCTCATGAGATCTGACAGTTTTATAAATGGGAGTTTCCCTGCACAAGCTCTCTTTCCTGCCGCCACATAAAAAGTCCCTTTGCTCTTCCTTCATCTTCCACCATGATTGTGAGGCCTCCCCAGCCATGTGGAAATGTGAGTCCATTAAACCTCTTTCCTTTATAAATTACCCAGTCTTTTGTATGTCTTTATTAGCAGCGCGAGAACAGACTAATGGATACCACAGCAAAGCAGGAAGGGGTAAGACAGCCATGGGCATAAGCGTTTCTCAAAGGATGGGCAGGATTTGGCAAGACCAAGAGGAAGGGCTCTGGGAAGGGGAGCCAAGGCGCAGAGAGAGGAACAAGGAGCAGAACCGGTGAGGGGGCAGGAAGAGGGTCACCCAACAGGCCAGGTGGGGCGGGCTCACCAAGAGCCACTGAGTTACTTCAGAACAATACATAAGAACCCTTTTAAAGTTCTAGAATCTGATTTTAAAACAGAGATTTTGTGTTCATATAGGGTAAAATAAATGTGACTCACTCAATGTCAAATGGGCACTTGTATATAAATGACACATGAACTTTTTCCCTCTACAAGCAACAGCATAACAGAATCCAAAGGATACACAGGAGGACTGACAGCTTGAATTCTCTTAGCAAACCGTCATCCAGCTCTCCCAATCTCGTGGCTGCCTCTGAGCTCTAGCAGAGCCTTTTGGGTTTGTGCTAAGGCCGTTGTCAGTGTTGGGTCGTTAGTCAGTCTTACCCTAAACATACTGCCCGGCACATTCCGGGAGGGCGTTATGGGCACTGGTGGGCACTCCTGGCAAAGAACGAAACTCGTGTTCACCACCATTAACAAGCTCAGCCTCCACAGACTGAATGATGGGGAATCACACAAGAACAAAGTAGGACTTGTCATCTTCCTACCTGAGACAATACACATGGAAAAACTCAAGAACACTATTCTAGCCAGGCATCCTCCTCCTCTAATGGGCTTTCTGACTTCAATGTACTATGATACACCATGGCAGAACTTCAAGAGCTTAGAGGTTTGTCTTTAGAAACATGTAGGCCAAGATACATGCTGTCATCTACTTTACAAGGAATACAGATTAACAGAGAATTTAAAGGCAGGGAAACCATGTAACACACGTATATTCCTCCAGACTGCAACTGATTCTTTCTCCGCCTGCCTCTCTTGCTGTCTTTATACAGAAAATATATGTGAATTTATGCACATATATACATATTGTTAATTTATATGCATAGATGTGTATATGTGTATGTATATGCTACACATGTATATTAAATATGCATATATGGGCTGGTTGCGGTGGCTCACACCTATAATCCCACCACTTTGGGAGCAAAGTTGGGTGGATTACTCGAGCCTAGGAGTTTGAGAACCGGGCAACATGGTGAAACCCCATCTCTACAAAAAAAAATTCAAAAATTAGCCAGATGTGGTGGTGCATGCCTGTAGTCCCACCTACTTGGGAGGCTGAGCTGGGAGGATCCCTCGAGCCTGGGAGGTCATGGCTGCAGTGAGCCGTGATCATACCACTGCACTCCAGCATGGGAGACAGAGCAAGACCCTGTCTCAAAAAATAAATGTATATATGTACATATATACAATATACATATAAAAGCCTATCTAAATATGCATATATTATAGGTATATGCATATATATATAAAGAGCAAGAGGGGCAGGGAGAGGATATGTACATATATACATATATATGGTCTGTAGCTTAGAAGCAGCTAGCAGCAGACTGTCCTGCATATAATAGCTTAGTTGTGAGGCAGGCTATATCATCTAGGTTTGTGGAAGTACATTCTATGATGTTCACACAATGATGAAATTGCCTAATAATGCATTTCTCAGAACATATCCCTGTCATAAAGCAATGCATGACTGTATGTATAATAGTGGCCTCTTCATAGGGTGGCAGGGCTTAAATGATATAACAAGTGAAAGCACTTACACTTACTGGAACCAAAAGGCACTCAATGAAAGGAAACCATCATTGTTACCACTATTGTTGTCATTGACAAGAACATCAAGTTCGACAGTGGGGGACACAAAAGAGAAAAAGGTCAATCTAACTTGGGAGGTGTCAGGAGAAGCTTTGTGGAGGTGATGACATGGGGTTGAATCTTTCCTAATAGCATGTGTTTGGCAGGGGAACAAAAGGAAGAAAAGGCATTTATTCCAAGGATAAGAAAGGTTTGTTCAAAGGCCCTGTGGCATGGAGCACCCTACCGTGTCCGGAGGACGGTCAGCAGATCAGCACAACCAGAGTGAGGGTTCAAGGTCAAAGAGAAGCCAGAGCCAGATCTCGAAGGGCCACCAAAAAGCCCTTAACAATGGAATAACAAAATCAAATTGTCCTTTGAGAAGGGTTAGGTAATATTCAACTGAACATAATTTCACCTTTCCGGGGTCCCCATCGCGATGATCAGCGATCATGAATACTACTGGAGTCTATCAATGCCACAAAACAGAAAACCTGTAATTCACATGTTCTTTCCTCTGTTCACAAGTCTTCAAAAGGTTTTTGTTTTAGTGACTAATTGGCTTATTTTTCCACAATGATTTAGTTGCTGAGGAAGGTTTTCTTTACCACTAATCTCCTCCAGAATGATTTTAAAATACTCATCTTCCTAACCACGAGGAAAATCTTAAGTGGTCACTTTTTAGCACTCAAAAGGGCTGCATGACAACTGTTCACCCTCAAAGTGTGCAAACCGCAATCGCAGCTGTGCAGGTCAGGACTCCGAGTCGGAGGTGAGTGTGCGAGGCATAGACAAGATAGGCGTCAGAACCAGAAATAGAAGAGATATGAGAGCTCAGAATAAAAGCAGTGTGAGTAAACAACAGTGTACAGGAGCAGCAAGAAAGACAAAGAAGGTCACCAAAGAGGAAAAAGAACGTGTGATACGGTCTCAAGGGGACGGAAAACAGGATAGGACAAAAATGCAAAAGGGTTGATTTTGTTTTTTTGGTTTTTTTTTGAGACAGAGTCTCGCTCTATTGCCAGGCTGGAGTGCAGTGACATGATCTTGGTTCACTACAACCTCCGCCTCCCCAGTTCAAGCGATTCTCCTGCCTCAGCCTCCCAACTAGCTGGGACTACAAGCACGTGCCACCACACCCAGCTAATTTTTGTACTTTTAGTAGAGACGAGGTTTCACCACGTTGGCCAGGATGGTCTCAATCTCTTGACCTCGTGATCCGCCCACCTCAGCCTCCCAACATGCTGGGATTACAGGCATGAGCCACCGTGCCTGGCTGCAAAGGGTCTTTTCAGGGAAGTCAGTGGCAGAAGAGGTCTGAGAAAGTTTGGGACAGTCAACTAAACTGTTTTGAATACCTCTAGATCAATTTGCTCAGTCATCATTCAGGAGGTCAGCCTATTGGTCAATTCTATTAATTCTCCTTTTTCAAATATGTCCTGTGCACCTTCCATGCCAGGTGCTGAAGATTCAGAGCTGAATTAGCGTCCAGTCTCTGTCTTCACTCAGTAGCTCACCTGCTATCAGGCCGAAAAAATAACTTGGCACGCAGAACAGCGCATGGTCTCCAACCTTCAAGAATTCATGACAGCAGGGAGAGAATTCACTGCTATTGAGCACCTGATATATGCCAGGTATTGTCCTATGTGTGCTTATTTATGCCATCTTACTCAATCTAACCTTCCTTTGATAAAATCAACAGACATCAGCAATCTGTTTTGCTGGCCCCCATTTTCACTGTTCCATATTAGAGAAAACAGAGGCAGCGGGTAGGAAAGAGGTCATGAGACAAGGAAAGGAAGCTGAAAAACCGAAGTTTCAGATGCCCTTTGTTTTAGACACCCCTCATTTCCAGAACTGTCACCTAAGGATTGGGTCTGAGATTTTCATAAAACAAACATTGCTTTTTCCAGTTCACTTTTTCCCTTTAGTTTAACACAACACTGGCCGCAAATGCCCATGGATTAATTCTGTCATTCCTTGGCTAACAGGCCCATAACATGTTCCGTCTGTTCACGTGCGTTTGTGTGTGCTCAAGTGCTGGTGCGTCCAATTCAGACACAACTAGGGAGTACCGTCATCCCTGCAGGAACTGCCAGTTCGTCAAATCCAAATCCTGGACACAGATGTCCTGTCATTGCCATAGGACTGCTTCTTTGTGTGGTAGCTGCTGCAGCCTGGGGGAGCTGAGAATTAATGGTATTTTGCTTAAGTCGTTAAAAACAAAACAAAACAAAAAAACAAGATAATCATGCCAACCCATAATGTGGAACTACAACTTAGCAAGCATTTTATGGTCAACTGAGAAGTTCAAAGAACATGATAGAAAGAGTTAAAGCAAGCATGAAAAAGAGCAAAATCTCAACCAATCACTCTTTGTTGCTCAGACAATAATTTTTCTCCCGAAAAACCAATTCAGATCAATAAATTTATTTATTGAGCACCTACGATGTGACAGGCACTGTCTATCCCACTGAGTATTACAGAATTTGTTTTCACTATGGTCTTTTATTCTTTCCAATATTTAAAGCATTGATCGGGATGCTTTCATGGTTTTCTCCTTAAGCAATTTTATTATTACGTCTTCAGAAGTTTAACACTTTCAGGGCTACACAGAGTTTTCTGGGTTTTTGTTTTGTTTTATTTCCTTCTTACTGTTGTTTTTCACCTAAAGCATTCCCTTTCTTTTCCTACTCTCTGCTTTTTACGGAGAAAAAAATCTAGCATCTGGGGTCTGAGACCACTTGAAATGTCTGGGCTGGGGATTGCTAATGGCCTCCCAGAGATAACCCAAATTGCTGATTTAGCGAAGCCCATTCTTGACCTTGACACAAGACAAGACAGGCAAAGGGGAAGGACTTGGGAGGCAGCAGTAAAAGAAAAAGGATCATAGAAGCGCTCAGATCTCGCCAGGCCCCTCCCCCATTCAGCAAACACCTGGCTGAGTTGGAAAACATGACCAGCCCAACCTTCCTATTGGCTGCAATTGAAGCTGTCAGTTCTCGGCTTGTCACCGGTTGCACTGGGAGGCCCCAGGCAGCCACAAGAGCCCTAATTAGGCAGAAATGACACTTCTACAACTGACCTGCCAGGACCTTTGGCAAACCATTTAACATCATTAGTTAACATGTTTTAAAAGTGTGAATGTAAATGAACAGCCAGTGGCTTTCAATGGAGTTTGTCGGTGGCATCTCCCCCTCCCTTTCTCAGTCTTTCTCTTTTTACATGAATAGTCCACTTGTTTTCTCCAGAATTGGAGGGAGGCACCAAAGAAGAAGGAGGAAGAGGACCAGTCCTCTGAGAGGAGAGACATGTTAAGGCAAAAATAAGTCCAGAAGAGCGAGAGGCCATCTCTTCCTGCCTTTGTATGGGCCCTCACAGAGCCAATCTCCCAGGGCCACCAGAGCAGGGCAGTAAGACAGCACGAGGCCGGTAGGCTACCCGGATGCTAGGTCCACAATCTGTGCGTGTGAGTGTGGCCAGCGATGATTCTAGGCTTTGGATAGGTGGGAAACGAATTTGTTTCCTGACTCAAGGGTGCCTCTGAAATTCTCTCAAACCTCTTCCCCCTTGCTGGTGTTCTGAACAAGCAGGTTTTGCAGCAGTGGCTTGGCAAACATCTTACACGTGCAGAAGTTTAAACGTCCCAGTTTTAAACATACCTAGTCCCTCTCGACAGGAATGAGGTTCTGGGGCAGTTATTTCAGATGCCAGTTTGATACTTACACACATTAGTTAATTTCCTACCTGAAGCGGCTATTTCCCACCTTGAATCACACTTCATTTTGTTCTTTGCTTTACACCCACAGAATCCGTACACGCCAACACTCTCCATCTGTAGGAGGGGGGAAAAGAGTTGCACTGTGAAAATGTCGATTTGTTTCCATGTTGCTCTTAAGTCGCGTACTCGTGCTGGTTGACGGTTTGTAAGAGGCAGCACCCGGCAGGAGGGAAGCAAAGATTTAGGTGGGCGCAGAGGAGCTGGGTCCCTGGCAGGCCTGTACACTTACCACCTACTTGTTGTGTGGCCTTGGGCAAGGTGCTTAGCCCTGAGTCTCAGATGTTTTCATCTGCAAGACAGAGATAATGCCTTACTACATCAAGAAAGAAAAAATAGATGGAAAATTACAAAAACCAGGAAGCGTTGTGTGCACGTAAGGAGTCGTGGAGAAACAAGAGCTGCCAAAACTGAGGAACGAGGCCCGGTTCTTTCTCCATTTACCTTGGAGAGATGACGCCGAGACTCTGTCCTCTGGTTCCCCAAGGCACATTTGACAGAGCCAATGTACCACCAGCCCATCCCAGGGTACTCCTCGTCCTCTGCCTCCACTCCTGCTTATTCTTAAAAGGGCTGTAGATATTACAAAGACAAGCGACTGGGTGTAAAACAAATTCCTAGAACCCACAGTTACATTAGCTATTCATTCCCTCTGCTGGCTCCTAAACAGTACAAGGGGAAAAGCATATCTTGTTCACCTGTGGATTTCTAGAAGCCCCACGAACACTGGTGGGTACACAGTAGATGCACAATACATGTTTACTAGTTGGAATGCAAGAATTCAGCTTCCACACTTGTGCCGAAAGCAGTCAGGAGTGTGTGCTTTATAAAGGTAGCACAGATCCTAAATTTGGAGAGCTTTACTCATCCCTGAATTAAAGATGAGTAAAATCAAGCCGGCGGTGTGTGGTGGTGAATGCCTGTGAGTAGTCACGAGAGAGGAGCGAAAGAAAACAATCTTAGTTTGGGGCAGAAAGAGAGTGAAAATGCTGGAAAATGTCCTTAATAACAGTAAATGGGGAAAGAGAAAACGGCTCATCATGATGGGGCATTTAGTGCTTTTAAGCTAAATACCTCAGCATATTAAGCAAATAGAGAAAAGCCAGCTAGAAGATGTCAGCAAATTGAACCGAACAGTGCTCAGAAAGCCCATAGGAGGTGTCTGTTTTTGACCCCTTTTCCCATCACATGCCTGGGCCCAGGCTGGTTGTTTAGTGTTGCCTCTCCTCTCCAGCTGCGGAGCTTATTGAAAAGCTCTTGCTCCCTGCCTGGCTTTGGCACATTTTCTGCAGGTGCCTCCTACTGTGGCCACAATGGGCTGCTAGGGAGGTTTAGACCTGTCAACAGCTACAGGGGAGGGGGTGGCAGTGGTGGAGGGAGCATAGTCATTGTCTTAAAGGGCCAGTGACATTGTGTGCCGCCATGGAGCCTGCAGCACTGGCACCTGCTAATGAGATGAACCCTTTCTCCCACTCTCTTTCTCTCTTTAATGATTTAACTAGATCGCTTTGGTTCCTTTCTGGAAGGGGAATTGCTCCATTGATCATATAAAGTAATTGCCTGTAAAACATTGCTCTGCAACAACTACTACTTCCCTGGCTGAAAATGTCACAGCAATTGAAAAGCTCTTAGCCCCGTTCAAGAATGAGGTTGCAGAAGAGAACAGTCTTTGCATACATCCCCAAGTATTTGTGTGTTCCTGGAGTTACAAATTTTTGGTGTGACTGGTGGATTTTTAAGACACAGAATTTCTTCCCTGCTATATGGTATGATTTTAGTGTAGAATTGTGGTAAACGAACCGAACACACACACACACACACACACACACACACACACAAACTCCTTCAACCCTAAAATTACATCTATTCGTTCAGAGAAAGAAATTCTTTTCTTCATCACCCATGCCATTCTTCTCTGAGAGGCCATGAATTTGGAGGGACACCCATATAGGGTCCAGTGTGATTTGGGGAAGGGTCTTCGTTTCTCCTTACAGAAGTATACACTATCTTTATCTAGGAGGTAGCAGGGGCCTTGGTTTGGGAAGGAGGAATTGATGCCTTAATTGTTTAGGATTTGCTGATTTTTCAGACCTGTCACTTGGCGGCGGCAGTGACACACTGTGGGAACGGGGACCACACACTTAAGGAGTTTTCATAAATAGCTTTATTAAATAGTCATTGCCACACCAATGTGAAGGAGTAATTTACCTGGGGATAAATCACTTTGTCACAGACATGAACCTGCCTACAAAATAAAAAACTCTTAGTGATGGTTTCATTTTCCTCCGACAGGTGAAAGTGTAAGTTTATATCTAAATCAGAAAGAAACCTTTTTCAATTCAGTTGGTGGGAAGGGCCACTTACGACACGCCATGCTGCCCGCTACCAATCTGGGAACAAAGCTCAGGTGAATCACCTGTCATCAGGATAAGCCATGGATATGGTTCTTCTAGCTGATGAAGTAAAGGCAGTAGACATGCCTATTATCACACTTTTATAAAAAGGCAAAAACATCTGCCTACTTACTGACAAAGAGCACAGAGAACTGAGCTATAAAAAAGACCATCTATGGCAATAAATCTGAAAAAGCCGTAGAACTTTGTGCAGCTAAACCCTCTGAAAGGTCATGGTACAACTTCCATAGCTGAACATATGTGCAGCATTTTTTTTCCTTAGAATTTAGAGACTGGGGATTTTAGATTTTAAAATACTTTAATACTATCAGAATATACATGATATCCAGCTAGGGCAATAACACATACTATACCAAAATATACTGTATATAATAAAAGGTATTTTCCTACCTATAATAAAAGGTATTTTTATCTACCTATTTAGTAAAAAGAATGCAAAAAAAAAAAATTCTTTAAATCTAAGCCCATTAAATAAACTGATTCCCGAATATGAAGAATTATGTTGATAGCCTTTTAAACAGGAATTTAAATGTGTTTCTATTTGCTCATACTGACAGGGTTTTTCTTTTTAATTTGCCTGTAACACATATAATTAGATGTTTAATTTGATAATATAGAACTAAATAAAATATGAAACTAATAACCCCAAAAGTTCTGCCTGGCTCTGAGTCCCTTAAAAAAAAACAAGATTTATATACTCTCATGGGAAATAGATAGTAAGCGGTAAATTACTCCACACGACAATTTCTAGTAGCTTTGCCTATTTGATCGGTGGTCTAGGCACAGGAAAGTGGGTTGAATTAAGCCCCTGCATCCAAGAAGAGAAGAGCTTGGACTATCGAGGCTGGAAACAGAAACCCCATTCGTACAGAGCAACACAGCAAGGCAGGGTGGGATGGGAGGGCCCGGGAGGTGGCATTCTGTGTGGGAGGGAGGCAGGGGTTGCTGGCCTGCTGCTGGTCCTCAGGCTGAGTGTCCTCTGCATGAATGCCCAGAGTGAGAGTGTGTGTGGACAGTTTTAACACCGTTTCACCATATTTCTGGAGGGGGGGAAAACAGAACATTTGAAGTGGAGAAAAACAAGCCAAACACACACATCATCAGTGGAATGAATGTCAAATCTGACAACAGCCACAGGACTGGTTTCACTTCTGCATGCCCCTTTTTGGTTTATTTGTACTTGATGCAAGAGGTCTGCCTAGAATTCCAAAGTTCAGAGGCAACAAAATTATGCTTTACATCTTATCACATGGATCTCCATAGCACATTTTAAACCATCTGACTTCACAAGGTACAATTAAACCTTTAGCTAAGTTTGTCTTAACTTCATACAAAAGAGGGTTTGTAAAGATGCTGGGGCTTGCTTTAAAAAAATAAAAGACTGCATTTTTAAAAATGTTGCCTTATTTCTGTGTCAAGGCACAGCCGGTTAAATGCACAGAGAGATGAGAATTCTAACCCGGGCTAATATGTGATTGTTCTGAGCAGTAACTGCTAAATTCTTCATAATTCAGGTTTGTCAACTTATTTATGTAGTGAGAGCCACACACATTTCAACCTGAGCACCTTATGTACTTAGTAAATCCGTGTGTTTACATTTGTCACCAATATGTATTTCATCCACTAAAAGTTAACACACAGAAGTGTAAAGATCCTTTATACTTTAATAAAAAGCTAACAGTCAGGCTAGCGGGTAACAGGGCCTGTTGCAATGTTTGTATTCAATACATAAGGTGAATATACTTTCACAGTTGGAAAACGACATCAATCTGAACTTTGTTTTATAGCTCCTGAATTAATATAGAGCTACTGGCTAAGGAAAGAAACAGATTTTACTATTTTATGCCTTTGTGGAATGCACAAGATCATTCTAAAGGAACATTTCAACCGCAGTGTTTAGGATCAAGTCAGACATTACTGAAGCTGCATGAGCACAGACTTCGCTCCCCTCCCCCACGAAGACCCCGGCTCTTCTTTGCTGTTTCCTACAATTTTCTTAGAATTACGTGCTGCAAAGTCTCCTCAAAAGTCACAAAGCACTAAGTAGCCAAAGGAGTCTTCCCATACCCTTGTTTTTCTCAGTTTGACAGGGATCACAGCTCCATTCCTCCAGTAATATCCATCCAAAGTTACAGCTTATTTAAAAATACCCCATTGAAAGAGATGCACTTTAGTAATCAACACAAGTGTGACTGATTCCAAAGGACTTCGTAGATGCCTACCGTAAAAAAAAAAAAAAAAAAAAAAAAAACCTAAAATCTCACCTACACATTTTGTCAAAAATAGATGAGACAGGATGGCATGACGTGTATAATCTTAAAGTCTCAATTTGAAAGCAAGGTGAGTCTATCATAAACAAAAACATAGCAATCATATGATCATAAACATAGTAACTGCATGATCGTAAACATAGTAATCATATGGACTGATCCTGATGTGGCAGCTGAGCCTTAACCCCAGAGGGTACAGACGTGTGTGCAATGTTTGATATACCAGCCAGGGTCTAGTTTTGTGCCAAGAAGGTTAGTGCCTTTTTTTTTTTCTTTAGTATTGGGGCTTGAAAGAATGTGAAAGGCCCAAGGCATGCCCCTAGTGAATTGGGGTTGAACTCAAGACAGCATACATACGGACGGGAAAGCCAGGTCTTTTTAGTTAAAAACAAAACACATGGTGATTTTTATTTTGTTCTCATATAATAAATAATATTTGGAGATAAAGTCTCTTGCAAATATAAATTTAAAAGAGTTCCTGTTTTGAGTTGATTTTGACTGCATATCCTGTTTTGCAGACTTACAATTATCTCTGAAAAAGACAACTAATTTTCCAACATTCGGTTTATAAGAAGTATACAAAAAATTACTAATTGAAGAGATCATGTTTTTCTTGCAAATATTAATTTCTTGGTTTAGAATTTAAAATGGCTGTATTTTCAGTAAAGTAAGAAATGATGATACACAGGAAAACATTCATTCTAAAGCTTACACATTGATAAATATACATTTTATTTATTTCAAATATCACTCTTTAAAATAAAAGTTATAGTCCTTTGTTCTTACCCCAAAAAAACATAGCCTTTGATTTTGTATTTGATTCTGTATTCTCAAAATCAGCACAGAAACTCTATTTTTCCTGTCAGCTTAGCTATAAAGAAAAGAAAGCATTTATGATTAGGCAACCAAAGTTCAGGTCAGGTCCATGGTTAATAGGAATCTCAACAAGTGTTGGCTGAGAATAATTTTACATCAAAAAGAAATTTGGCACTAGTTCCCTCAAATGGGAACTCTGCTTTTAACATGTTAGAGTCCGAAAATCCTTTAGGAGGTACAGAGATCTAAGCTTAATTCAGACCGAATTCCTGCCTTGTGTGTTTCACTGTCTTCTCCATTTTCAAGTTTCCCGAAAGTTTGTAAGACTAGATAGAGTACAAATATTTGGTTGTGACCTTTGGGAAGGATGACTACCTAGGATTGCTCAGTGATGTTTTAAATCAATCAGTTGTTCATTGATCAACTCCAATTTTCACAACAATCTAACAGTAGCTGTTTAACAAGTGCAGCTCCCTCAGGGCACTTTGGTAGCTCCGGTAAAGGCAGTGGAATAGAGTGAAGCCTGAGTTACTCACGCTGCTTCCCTTGGCCGTATCTCTAGGCACACACACACACAAATGGTGATGAGGGCAGACACCCAGATACTTCTAATCCAAACCTCACTTTTGCCTCAATTATTTATTTCAAGTGAAAGTAATTTCATACGACCTTCTCCTAATACACACAACTCTTTATTCCATTCTGAGTACAACTGTGTGTTAGATACTCCCGCACTTTCCTATTCTTTCGTATCCCCCAACTGTAGCAGTTAAAATTGTAGCTCAGGCCAAAGACAAACATCATTAATAACATAATAAAAGCATTTCCATTTTAGAAATCATATTTCAGTCTTTGATCTTTACTAAACTTTTCTCCTTCAAGTATTAATGGAAACGTTTTTCTGAGAAACAGATGCTGATCATCAGTAATTATACTTCTGTAATCTCTACCTAAGGTGTTGAATGCACAATCACAAAATATAATAATTACATTATTTAATTAAAAACAGGATTAATCATACATTATCCCTTGTCAGCATTCAACCCAATTCAATCTATTTTTTAACATCTGGTATAGAAATTTAATCTAACATATTAGAGATTCATTCACATACATCACCTTAAATAATTGTGGAAGTACATACAGCTTCAATTATAATAATTTATAGATGTTTGTCATATACAAAAGAGATGCAGTTAAATCAATACAGGTAAATTTGCCTAAAATGATTTTATTTGCTAAAAAAAATACTGAGAATTTACTCCTCCAGAATACAGTTCTTTGAAAAACAGTTCTCATTCTTCATTTGTGACTGTTTTTTCTTTTTTTTTTAATACTCAAAGAACTGTAGTTCTAAAACTTCTTAGGACAAAATAGCTGCCAACTCTAAAAGACAAAATTATGGCAGAAAAAGAGAAAACAACACCATAATGACAAAAAAAAATTCTACACTTTGCCAATAATTAACGTAAAGTCAAGGCCTAAGTTGACAACTTAATTTTTTAAATTCCCCAAATAACTTTTGAAGGTTTAATATTACCATAAGATTCATAACCAGGCCTGTAGAAATCATCAGTTATAAGGCAGAGGCAGTCTTTTGATTTTGCTAATAACAAACAGATAATTCCTCTTAAGCAGATTAACTTAAAGTACGTTTTCAAGGAAGTTAAAATCCCCTTAAATCAGGTTCTCAAGTTTAATTACAAAAGTCAAACAATTTATTAATACTCATTCAAGTGCAGCAACAAAACAGGCACAAAAGTCTCAGGGGCCAGGAAGCAAACCCAATCGATATTTACAAGAGTCACAGAGAAAACATTTTTTTGCCATAACTTGATAAAACATCTAACTGGTCCTCTTAACTAGGATTCTTCCTCTCTCTTCTTTGCTGCCCCCTATGTGGAAACTACCTTTAACATTTTCTTCACTCACAATAAGTACAATCATATTGTTTATTTTGCTATTTTTATATTAATAAAAGAAGTACAAATTAGAAAACCTGGCCTTTTAAAGGTATTTTATAGGTATCCTTTTGCTTTATTAGCCCTGTAGTTATGTTACAAAAATAGCTTTAAGCTGTGGCTACTTCTATAAAGTTAAAAAATTATCTATTTAAAAATGGCAAAAGAGTTTGCTTAAAGAGTTTGTTTTTGTTTTTGTTTTTGTTTTGAGATGGAGTCTTGCTCTGTCGCCCGGGTGCAATCTCAGCTCACTACAACCTCTGCCTCCCGGGTTCAAGCGATTCTCCTGCCTCAGCCTCCCAAGTAGCTGGGATTACAGGCACCCACCACTGTGCCCAGCTAAGTTTTGTATTTTTAATAAAGTCGGGGTTTCACCATCTTGTCCAGGCTGGTTTTGAACTCCCGATCCACCTGCCTCAGCCTCCCAAAGTGTTGAGATTACAGGCGTGAGCCACCACACCCAGCCAGCCAAAGTTTCTTTTGCTCGATCTTTTCCTTTTCTCTTTACTATCTGAACTCACTGAATAATTACCCTACTTCCAGTTTCATTCTGCCCATATAGAAATTGTGTGTCTAGTCCCTGAAAAATACCAATTAAACTGCCAGCAGTAGCATCTTCAACAGTATCTTTTGGTCTTCAGTGTCAAAGGCCTTTGAACAAATGACTGGAAGGCTGAATCTAAAACAGCCTTTGACAGGATGCCAGCTTTGAACACTCACATTTTGACTATGGCTCCAGCTTTCTATTTATGTGGGAAGCAAGAGTGAAACAACACAACTTCACAATTTTGCGCAAATGCTAAAGGCTAAAATTAAAGTGATACATCACCAGGAGGCATAATCACCTCAAAAGCTCACTGATACTGTTTTTAAAGGCTCCCTTTTAATTCAATTCAGTCTGGATTCCAGTGTAAAGCTAAATAAAGGTTTTCAGACAAATACTGCAAAACTGCTAAAATACTACATTTTCCTTTTCCTTCATTTTCTTGGTCATAACACCACCATTTACTGTGTGTTAGCCACAGCAGAAGGAATCTGACATGGATTTTTTAAATGTCATTTCCTAGCAATTCTATGAAATTAAAAATATTAGTCAGTGAGGAAATGGGCTCAGAAAGGTCAAGTAATTTGTAAAAGGTCACACAAGTGGGAACTGGAAGAACCAGGGTTAGAACTCAGGAGCTTTGATTTCCTAGGCCTTGTTGGCTTCATCCATCAACAAACCATTCCTGGGGGAAGGCTTCATCATTCTCTTTCTGACCTAATCCATGGAGAAATCTTTTGGAGCAGCGGTTTGCAACCTTGGCTGCATATTAATCATCATATATTTTTAAAATGTATATGCATGGGCCCCACCCTCTGGAGATTCCCATTTAATCGGTCTGGGATAGGGCCCAATCACCAGTATCATTCAATACTGTAGCAATGATTAAAATAAACAATATGTCTCTTCGTGGTGCTTAATTTCTAATGGTGCTTAGATTCTAGTAGAAGCTAATAGAACCTCCAGGTGATTCTAATGTGTGGCTCAGCCCAAGAACCAATGATCAAGACACCACTTACTGAGAGTTCTTTCTTCAAGACCTCCAAGTGAGCAACTCAACTGACTCCTCCAAAGAGAATGGACAAGAGTCAAGCAACAGCTAGCATTAGTGGAACCTGAGAGAGTTCTAGCTTTGAGAGGCAGTGGAGCACAAGGGGAAATACATGGACACTGGTGTCACCTAGACCTGGATCAAATTCCATCTCCCCTATTTATTAACTGTGTGACCTTGGGCCAATCACTTACCTTTTGTGGCTGTTCTGCAGATTCAATGAAATGATGTAAGTAAACCTCCAGGCATACAAAAATGCCCAATCAAAGGTAGTTGCAACTGTTGTTTTGGCTGGTTTTGTTATTACTATTATAGTGGTAATGACTACTGCCAGCAGACATCGATGAAGAAAAAAACAAATTTCAAAAGCCTCCCCATTTATTAGCCAGATAATTCCTACTTTTATTACTTAGCATTTAATTTACAGCTATTTATATTTGCAATTAGCTTGGTAATCATATTTCTTATTCATGACAACTGGGTGAGGAAGGTTAATGTTATTATTCTGATTTTCTAGATGAGGAATCTTATTTCCTATGCGTGATGACTGAGTGAAAATAGTTAACATTATTATTCCCATTTTCTAGATGAGGAAAAAGCAACATCTTCCATCTATTGTCTCTAGTTTCTATGATTCCA
Source organism: Homo sapiens (assembly GCF_000001405.40). Lineage (NCBI taxonomy): Eukaryota > Metazoa > Chordata > Mammalia > Primates > Hominidae > Homo > Homo sapiens. The sequence goes on from NC_000010.11 coordinate 116,844,661, forward strand.
TGATTAAAGGGACCTGCAGTCATGTTCATTGGTTCCCTATGAAAAATGATATTCAACAGAGATGTCAAGTGTGGGAAAGAAGAATTAACAAGCACTTGATAGCAACCCCAAAATAACATCTAAATAATCACTCAGGAACATCAAAGTCATGGCAAACAAGTTCCATTTTAAATAAAGGTGTTGGACAGGATTAGGGAAAAAATGAACAAATACGTCTTTATTCACATTCATTTAGGAAATATCTGACATAGCTTAGAAATTCTTTTTGAAATGCAGACTGAATAAGTGTTAACTTCCTCTATGAAGGGTCTTCAGTTAGCAGATTGCAATAGATTATGTCCTGATATTTTATCTTAAATTAGAGTTATAAAGTAGGAGAGATCCAAGATGGAAAGACCCAGTTCAGGGGTTCTCTAAAAAGGCCACCAGGAAGCCCGTGGACTCTGTGAAAGGGGCCATCACTCCAAAGACACCAAATACTCCCCCAACACTGATGGCTTGCCCATAAATGTATCCCTTTTCATATGCATGAAATTTCCATGAATAAAAATATAAATGCCTCTAGAAACACCACTAAATTTATAGTTATTATATATAACTACTATTACATTGAGGGAGGGGCTGAATTTTGTTATTGTTGTTAAAAGGAGACTTCATATTCGAAAAGCTTAGGCAACTCTAGCCCAGTCCAAACATCTCTTTTTACTGACATAGATGGATCTTAGGGGCAACTGGGATTCCACCTTAGGTTTTCTCATTCCCAGACAAGTGTTTCTTGTTGCACACCATACACGCCTTCCAATGCAGTTACAGACTCATGGAATGTTAACAATCATGACTAGATCCTCTCTCTAATATCATTTCCTCTTTCTGAAGCAGGAGAGTACAGTCCTACCCTCTCTCCGTGGATATGTTCCAGGAACACTCTAAATCTCCTGAGCCTCTTCTTTCCCCTTTCTTCCCTCCCATCGTCAGCTCCCCAGTTTGCTAAGTTTAAGGTTAGCAATACACTCAACCCTTCTCAAGCTCAGAGATGCTCTGGAAATGCCCTAAGACATTTAATCTCAATATGAAATGGAAATGCAATCACCGAGGTACTAAAACAAAGAATGTGTAAAGTATGCATAAAATCTGCATATATATGAGTGTATTTATAGCTAAAACCCCACAAATATTTCCTAATATCGATGAAAAATAAGGAAGTGGAATATTCATGAATAATCATGTTATTTACCTGGATCTGTCAATACCAATCAGCTGTTAATAAACCCCTTGCACACCAACTTTTCAAAATGGTTTCACATTTATGATTTCACTTTCTCTTGATGACTCACTCTGATATAAGTGCTACTGGAGTGTCACTGGAACTTAAATTCCATGAAGAGAAGGAATTTATTTTATTCACTGTTCTTTCCCCAGTGCCTAGAACAGCATCTGGCACGTGGTGGCATTCAATATTTGTTGATTGAGTGAATGACAGAAGCTGACTGGGATGGTAGTTTCTATTTATTGATTGATTTTTTGACTTAATGTAGTTTCACTTTTCTTTGAGAAAATTAAATGAGTCTATAGGGGAATAATTGAGTTCCTAAAACTTTCTTCTTAAAGTCTTCATCCTATTATAACTGTAACATTCTTCCCTCAAATATTGTTAATGTAATTTTTCTTTTCTTTTTTTTTTTTGTTTTTTTGTTTTTTTGTTTTTTTGATGCAGAGTCTCGCTCTGTCACCCAGGCTGGAGCACAGTGGCACAATCTCGGCTCACTACAACCTCCGACTCCCAGGTTCAAGCAATTCTCCTGCCTCAGCCTCCCGAGTAGCTGGGACCACAAGCACGTGCTGCCATGCCCGGCTAATTTTTGTATTTTTAGTAGAGACAGGGTTTCACCATGTTGGCCAGGATGGTCTTGATCTCCTGACCTCGTGATCCGCCCGCCTCGGCTTCCCAAAGTGTTGGGATTACAGGCGTGAGCCACCGTGCCTGGCCTTGTTAATGTAATTTTTCAAGTTTATGTAAGTAATTCATTCATTACAGGAAAATCAGATACTATCAAAATATGAAAAGAAGAAAATAAAAGGTCCTGGTGATCCCATCACCTTGGGACAACACAATTAACATGCTGATGTATATCTTTTCAGACTTTTTTCTATGCAGTTCTACAAACACAAACACATATATATGAAACATTCCCAAAAGTCTCTGCCCTAGACTTTGTGATTTTGATTTTTTCCTTCTTCTCTAAACCCTTTTTCCTGAGGTAGCTCCTTGCCTTCCCTTTATGTCCTAAATCTATTCCTTCCCCAAAATTTAGGTCCTACTTCAAAACGATTTTCCCCCTTTGCCCTCCAAAGGATTCGTCTGTTCTTACAACTTTGAACTCTATGTGGATGTTGTCTATCAGGATCTTCAGTCCTCCCTTTTCTCTGGGATACCAATGCTACTCAAGCTCTACACATCTAACACCCAATGCATCATATCGCCTCCATCAAAACCAGATGACGCACTGATCCTATTTCCGTTAACTATCACAGAATTCTACAAGGTAATCTCAAAAGCCATCTTTGCTTCCCCAACTCCACCACATCCAACCACTCAAAGCCTTTTACATCCCTCCTTCCTATTCTCTCTCACTCATCAATTCCCATGGTTGCCATCAGTGTTTAGGCCCTTGCACATATACTATTTTCTGCCTCTGTCTCTTGTTTTCTGTATAACAAAAACCCATCAATGCTACCCACTGCTGCAAGTTAACTTCCTAAAACCCCACTTATTTCTTGCCCTTCCTATATTCAGAAATTTGTGGTTGCTTCCTTCTCTTACAAAATGGGATTCCAGCTTCTTCATAATCTCACCTCAAACTACTTTTCCACCCTATTTCTCATTATTCCTGAAAAGAAACCCTTTGCTCCAGCCAGGTTGGTGTACTCATTACTCACCCACCTCCAAAACATCTGATTGTGAGTTAAGTACTTATTAACCATTTATTATGTGTAAAACCCATTCAATCACTCAACAAATATTTACTGAGCAGCTATTCCATCAGGTAATGTAATGATGCTGCAGACACAGTGGCGAACAAGACAAATCAAGTCGCTGTCCTCCTGGAACTGAGGCAAATGGGTTATAGGGTTATAGGGGGAGACTCTTAAGACATGGTGGTCCCAGCCCAGGATACTCGCAATCTTCCATTGAGATGTCAAATGAATCAAGACATCCCTGAGGGCTGAACTTTGTGGTCCAGGCTGCAAATGGGGAAAGAGTTCAGAAGGAAGGGCTGGCTGGAGTGAGAGCTGGATTGTGGACGTGGCTTCTTTGATGTGGGACTCAACCCAGGCACTCAAGGATGAACATAGGAGAGAAGCAGGTGCCTTTCTTCCAGGGGTGTATGAGGAAAGGCAAAAAGGTGAAATGGAAACAGCAGCAATAGTGTCAGCTTATTTTGCATAAGGGTTCACTCAACACCTATTCAGCAGAGCACATCCTCTGCCCTTGCAGGGCCCCAGGCTCCGTGGTGGATGTGAAGGTAACACAGACTCAGATTCTACCGTCAGGGGATTTCCATCTAGCAAGGAGAGAAGGCAGGTTCATGATGGTCCATTACACACAGACAGTGAGACGTTCCGTAAGAGAGCAGAGAGAACACGGAGGAAGTTTGGAAGGTGCATGTCTGGGTTTGTGTAACAGTACTTATAGCATCACATTTTTATGCATCTGCACCCATACGTGCATGTATTGAAAATAACTGTGTTTCAAAGTGCTTTCTCACTCACTTCCTCATTTTGTACTAAGTGACTCGGGAAACAGGCAGAGGAGGTAAGATGATGTTTTCCAGAGGGGGGAAAGTGTGGCACAGATCTTGTAACTGATCTGCTTAGGTAGGAAACATAAACAGGCGTGAGTGGAACAAGAACACCCTGTCCGTCGCCGCCCACTCCTGCAGCAGAGGAAGTATCTAGAACTGAGGACGCACACTAAGTTCTGTAATCGCATGATACCTGGCAGGTACAATGAAGCCAGGAAGGCACTTCGGATTGAAAAGGGCAAGGACATAGGCAGCATTCTGGAGAGGGAACGTGAGCCAAGGCCATTCCCCCATTTCCGTTTTACCTCCCCAAGTCCTGCCTGAATCATCCCCCATCCTTAGGTCTGCCCAAACCACAACCATCCCTTAGGGTTCACCCCAGATATTTTCAACCCACACTGGTTTTTTTCATTCCATTGATTTCACCCCCACTAATATCCCAGAGAAGGGCAAGTGGCCGTTTCTCTCCTGGACATCATAGCAGGCCCAGCCAGCACACGGCTCGGCTCAGAGCAGGTAGTTAATAAACATGAGCCGAATGAAAGAATTCCTGAGATCGCCACCGCTCAGTAAGGATGCCCTGAGCCCCTACATCCCTCCCCCAACAGAGTGGGCCTGCCTGGCACGGGCGGCCTTAGCAACCCGGAGGAGCTCACTAACAGCAGAGAGCAAGGGGGCGCGTGGGGAGGGCGGGGTGGCCCAAGACGCTGGGCCACTGGGACCCGAGCGCGCGACCCCAGCCGGAATTCGGAGCTAAGGCTGCCGCGCTCCGGCAAAACGCGCTTGATGAGGTCGTTAAAGATTTCCCCCTCTGGAAAATCGCCAGGGAAAAGTGGTGAAAAACGAAGCCGGGAGGGCCCTAGTCTCGGGAGTCTAGGAGGAGCCCAACCCCCGGACCTAATGCCGCAGGGAGAAAAGACAGAGCAGCGAGCGCAAATACCATCCTAGCTCCAATAAAAGGGAACGACTTTTACCGCAGGAAGAACCTAGGCCTGGAAGCCACGCGAGATCTGGGGGTCGGGATCACGTTGCGTTGCCTAGCGACAGCAGGGACGCTCGTGGGACCCCAGGCTAAACCCCGCTGTAGCCTTAAATCTCCTACCATGGAGGAAGAAGGCGGCGGCCGCAGCTGTGGGACCACTAGGGAGCTGCAGAAGCTGAAGCAGCAGGCGATGGAGTACTACCGGGAGAACGACGTTCCGCGCAGGCTGGAAGAGCTGCTCAACTCCACCTTCTACCTCCAGCCTGCCGACGTCTACGGGCACCTGGTAGGGACCTGGGACAAGCGCTCTCCTCCCGCCAACCCCTCTCCCCCCGCCCCGCGCTGCGGCAACGCCTTGCGCCTGCGCCTGCGCCTCAGAATCTCGCATGCCAGCCGCCCGGGCCCTGGGCCTGCGTGTGCGGAGGAGACTTCTGGAGGGAAGGAGCGGGAAGGACACCCAGGGGTGAAGGGATCTCCCCAGAGAAAGTGGCAGAAAGGAGGCAGCTGGAGGAAAGAGGGCGCTAGGCGTATTTGACCTGCAGCGGCAGCCCAGGGGCTGGCAGGCTTCCTCGCTGCCTAAGAGGCCTCTCCGTTTGTGGGCCGGCCCACCGCCCATGCTTGCCAATTGTCATTTTTAACACATACCTTAATGCCCTCAGCTCAGCTCACCGACCTTAAGCAGCTCCTCTTTGATCACAGGATGAACACCTTGGCGTTTGCTACAACTTGGCTTCAGCCTATTCTGGGGCCTCATCCTACTGGCTCCTCTGCCGGGATGCCAGTTAATATCTGACCAGCCCCGCCCTAAACTCCAAAATTCAGACCAAAGCCTTGCCCACGTAGCCCTGGACCAACCGTCCTTCTGGGTTCCTACAGCATTTCCTTCGTGTATTGTAGTCTCTTGAGGCAGCCTCCCTAGGCAGCCTGTGAGCCCCTGCTGGGCTCAGAAGCCTTGTCTTCTCACCTTCCGGGTCTCTGCCCAGCCCTGAGATCTGGCACATACCTTAGCGTTAAGCAGTGAGCAGCTGAAGCAAAGACGTTTTCTCCCTTCCAGATCTATAAGTAGTAAGGAAGGCAGTGTGGCTGGGGCCCCTAGGAGTTTGCACTATGGCAAGGCAAAGCAAGGAGGCAATGTGAACACCAAGCAGAAGGAGTCCTATGAAGAGGCAGATGTGCTGTCAGGGTGCAAAACCACGTCGTATTGAGGCAGTTGATATAAAGGATGTTCCGCGAATGACTTTTTCCCACTCATGGCCTATACTATCAAAGGGGAGAGGTGTGGGGTTTACTGAGCCCCTTGTGCTGCGTACTGTAACTCAATCCTCAGTACCACTGCGACGAGGTAAAAATGATGATTCCCATTTTACAAATAAAGAACCTGTGGCCAGTGCAATTTAAATGATTTTCCCAAAGGACATAGTGACAGAAGAAAAAAAATCAAACCACATTTGTGTCCCTAGTACCCAGCAGAGTGCATGGCACACAGTGGATGCTGAGAAACTACCTGCAGGATGAATGAGTGAATGCTTGACTCTCATTCCATTCTCTTCCTACTATCTGTTGCTAGAGGAATTCTTGAACACAATCTATTCTAACGTCCTCATTTTACAGGGACACCAAGTCTTTGTCTCACAGCTACTTAGTGTACAAGCTAGGACTAAAAACATGGACTCTTGTTCCCCAGTATAATGATCTTCTTATTCTATTAGGCAGCCAGGATATTCGTTTGTACAGCTCTCTGGGAACTTACATCTTAGTTTGGGACAAAAGTCACTAATACATAAAATAATTGGAGCAAAAGATAAGGTGATAGATGACTGTGTGCTAGATTGAGGGGCAGATCCCTATATGCCTATTAAAGGAATTCAGGGATGGAAAAGATCCTTGGAGGCTGTATATCCAGGAAGGCTTTGGCTTGGACTTCGAAGGATGTTCAGGAATTGCAGAGGCAAAAAAGCAAACTCCTTGAACCTGGGAATCGGAGGTTGCAGTGAGCCGAGATTGCACCACTGCACTCCAGCCTCGGCAACAGAGCGAGACTCCGTCTCAAAAAGAAAAACAGAAAAAAGCAATCTCCTTTTCCTTTTCTTAGTAACTGCCCTAGTTTTGGCCGTGCTTACTCTCACCTCGTCTCTCCCTCTATCTAGTTCATCCTGCAGAATGCTGCCAGAGCAGTGTCCTAACATGCAAGTCTGACCACACTTCTCTTCCTCAGAACCTCCTGTGGCTTTCCCGTGCTTGCTGGCCTTCATGTGTGTGGTTCACAGTGCTCAGCCCCTCCCTCTGGTAACAGGCGCATCTCCCACTCCCTGCCCTCCTCCTCTACACCGAATCACTGACTGTTCCCCAAAGCCAGAAGTTTCCTACCTCCCTCCTCTTTGCTTGTCCCATTCTCTCTCCCTGAAATATCTGCTCACCACATCTCCCCCTTGACTGGCACTGAAACACTATACCTCCTCCAGTGTTCAGCTCCAATGTCATTTCTTCTGTCCCTCTCCAACATTGATATGGCTTGGCTCTATCCCCTCCCAAACCTCATCTTGAATTGTACTGCTCATAATCCCCACATATGACATGTGGGGAGGGACCGGGTGGGAGGTAATTAAATTATGGGGGTGGTTACTCTCATGCTGTTCTCGTGATAGTGACTTCTCATGAGAGCTGATGGTTTTATAAGGGGCTTCCCCGCTTCACTTTGCACTTCTCCTTCCCGCCCTCATGTGAAGAAGGATGTGTTTGCTTCTCCCTCCACCATGATTGTAAGTTTCCTGAGGCCTCTGCAGCTGTGCAGAACTGTGAGTCAATTAAACCTCTTTCCTTTATAAATTACCCAGTCTCAGGCAGTCCTTGATAGCAGTGTGAGAACAAACTAAGACAGACATATTAGAGGAATTCACACATGGTAAAGATCCTTGTAGGCAATAACAATACAATTTATTCCATCATCATAAAACTGAATGAGAGAGTTTTGGACTGGGAATGTGGCAGATCTGGTTTTGATTCTTATCTCTGCCACTTCCTCACTGTGATAGAGTTACACTGATGGTCCTCCAAGAAACTACACTTCCAGTGTGAACACCTTTTTGTAAGTCCCTCCCACACTGACTCTGGAATTGGCTATGTCACTTACTTTGATCAATAGGACCTTGACAAACACGATACAAACAGAGAGTTGATCAGTGCTGGCATATGGAAGCTTGTCCTCTTGGAATCTAGTCATCATGCTGTGAGGATGTCCCAATTACCCTACTGGAAAGAGTGAGGTTGTGTAGAGAAAGACCTTGGCAGATACGAGACCCCTCAGGATATCCTGTGAGAAAGATAGATGCCCAGCCAACCCCTCACTGTGCCAGCCATCCCAGCTACGGCACTGGACATTGAGTGAAAACAGCTTGGATATGCTGGCTCCTGTCAAGCCTCCAGATGATTACATCTGCATAAGGGACTCCAGAGAAGCCCAGCAAAAGAATTTCCCAGTTGAAGCCCCACCCAGATTACAGGACCATGAGCAAGTTAATGGTTTAAACCACCAAGGTTTGGGGTGGTCTGTTACAAAGCAGTAGATAATGGCCGGGCGCGGTGGCTCACGCCTGTAATCCCAGCACTTTGGGAGGCTGAGGCGGGCGGATCACAAGGTCAGGAGATCGAGACCATCCTGGCTAACACGGTGAAACCCTGTCTCTACTAAAAATACAAAAAATTAGCTGGGAGTGGTGTCGGGCGACTGTAGTCCCAGCTACTCGTGAGGCTGAGGCAGGAGAATGGCGTGAACCCGGGAGGCGGAGCTTGCAGCGAGCCAAGATTGTGCCACTGCACTCCAGCCTGGGTGACAGAGTGAGACTCCGTCTCAAAAAAAAAAAAAAAAAAAACCAAAGCAGTAGATAATGAAAACATTAGCTAAGTGATCTTGGACAGTTAATTTTTGTGGAACTGTCTGCCCATCTGTGGGATGGAGATGATATCACATAGCTTAGAGAGTTGAATGTAATGACATAATGTATATACAGTGCCCAGGGATGTCACTGACATTTATTAATTTATACGAGATTTAATTTATAGAATCCTATATATGTCAGGCCCTGTGGTTTGAGATATAGTGATAAAGAAGTCATTCTTTCACAGCCCATATTAAGCACTTCAAAAATGTTAGTTCCTTTCCTCTCCTAACACAACACGCGGCACATTATAGGTGCTTGGTGCTTGTTAAACTGAACTCACTATAACACACAGAGTGTAAGCTAAATAACATTTTTGCTCTCCTGATTCTAAATTCATTTAGGCACTTACTCTGTAACATACAAACCACCATTTAAAGAATCCACGGATAGCTTGAAAATGAGCTCTTGCTTAATACTTCTGGGGCCCCACCTCTGAACTGGCATGTCGCTGTGGGTATTAGATGACCTGTTGTCCAGGTTGAAGTCACTGGATTTTGAACTGAAAGATCAGAGACCTGGTGTCTGCTAAATGAAAGCAAAGCCCAGTCCTATCTGGTAATCAAGAGAGCAATAAAGGTGTGCCTTCACCTTCCCTCCTTCTAGTCTCTCCTAGCTCCTGCTCCTCTGCACAGAAACACCTTCCTGAGCGTTTTCTTGCAGGCTTCTCGAGTGGGCTTTCTATCTCAGCTTCTCTTTCTTCAGTCTCCTTCTTAGATCACTTCCAAATGGCTTCTGCTTTTCCACCTCAATGAAACTGCAATTACTAAGGCTCCCAACAAGCCTCCTTGAACACATAGGACTATGAATGAGCTGATGGTAAGATACAGCCGTCACGTAAGTCTTCACCACTAAAATATCACGTGCCTTGCTGGGAGGAATAAAAATGAGCCCATGTGCCGGGCGCGGTGGCTCACGGCTGTAATCCCAGCACTTTGGGAGGCTGAGGCAGGCGGATCACGAGGTCAGGAGTTTGAAACTAGCCTGGCCAACATGTTGAAACCCCATCTCTACTAAAAATACAAAAGAATTAGCCAGCCGTTTTGGTGCACGCCTGTAATCCCAGCTACTCGGAAGGCTGAGGCAGGAGAATCGCTTGAACCCAGGAGGCAGAGGTTGCGGTGAGCAGAGATCATGCCATTGTACTCCAGCCTGGGTGACAGAGTGAGACTCTGTCTTAAAAAAAAAAAAAAAAAAATTCAGCCCATGTCAGGTTTCTGAAATTTGAATGCGTCATGGTGTTCTAGAGACCAGTTGGTTTCTGTATCTTGAAACAAGGGGGCTGGGCACAGTGGCTGACACCTGTAATCCCAGCACTTTGGAAGGCTGAGGCGGAAGGATTGCTTGAGGCCAGGAGTTTGAGACCAGCCTGAGCAACATAATAAGATCCTGTATCTACAAAATGTAAAAATTAGCCGGGTGTGGTGGCGTGTGCCTATGGTCCCAGCTACTCGGGAGGCTGAGGTGGGAGAATCACTTGAGCCTGGGAAGTTGAGGCTGCAGTGAGCCGTGATGGTGCCACTGCTCTCCAGCCTGGCTGACAGAGCAAGACCCTGTCTCAAAAAAAAAAAAAAAAAAAAAAAAAAAAGAAAGAAAGAAAAAGAAAAGAGGGATAGCTTAGGCAACTGAATTGACTATAAGAACGCCTGCTAGCCTGTAATCCCAGCACTTTGGGAGGCCAAGGTGGGTGAATCACGAGGTCAAGAGATTGAGACTATCCTGGCCAACATGGTGAAACCCCATCTCTACTAAAAATACAAAAATTAGCTGAGCATGATGGCGCACGCCTGTAGTCCCTGCTACTCGGGAGGCTGAGGCAGGAGAACTGCTTGAACCTGGGAGGCGGAGAATGCAGTGAGCCGAGATCACACCACTGCACTCCAGCCTGGCAACAGAGTGAGACCGTCTCTGTTGAAGAAGGCCTGCTAATCAGTGACACAGGGCCTTTTAATTAAGAAACGTATGCAAGTTTCTGTTGAGAGTTCAACATACACCAAATTGCCCCACATACCAGAGACTCAGGAGTGGGCTGAATCCATATCTCGGTATGTAAGGGCAGGGCAGTTCTCACAGAACTGCTAGTCTAATCCTGGCATCAGGAAGAATACTCGCGGAGAGGTTTGGTAGAAACTAGAGTCAATGTGAATGACCTTTTGAAGATAAAGTAGATATGGTATTGTGACTTTTTTCCCCAAACAACAACTTGAACCAGATGATTTTTGTTCTTTTGTGTGTGTTGAAGGCAAACTGCTTTTCTAAACTTGCAAAGCCTCCCACCATATGCAAAATAGTGGGGAAAGACGTACTAGATGGACTGGGGCTTCCAACCCTGCAAGTGGACATATTCTGCACCATTCAAAACTTTCCCAAGGTATGAGGCAGTTTAAGTGTGTTCTTTAATGTCCTGGCCCCACTGCATTTATTAGCAACACTTGTCTAAGCTGTAGAAAATTATTGTTTTGAAATTCAGTGTTTGTGAAATATATTTCATAGGTAGTCATGTAAGCATGAATCATACCATCAACCATGATGGCTTTATTATGTTTAAGTGTAATTTTGATACAGACATGACATGCTAACCTGAGGATGATCCAACATGGATAATGGAAATGAGGCAAAAATAGTTTATAAACTCTGACATTACTCATGTGATAGGTTCTATAAATCTACATGTAGGTTTATAGATTAGTCTATTTACCTAGACATTTATAGATGTTAGACTGACCTAAAGAAAGAAAATAATTTACTTTAATAATTTTAACAATTCGTTTTAATTCACTTTGCTACATATTTGTTAGAAATAATTTTTGCCATAGTCTCTGGTAGGAGAATAATGATGATTAAGTCTGATTTTTATTGTTATTTATTGGAGAGGTAGTGATAAAAATGAAGTTTGATGTAGGGTTTTTCTAAGGGTATTTTAAGTGTTCTATGAAGCTGAGTTCCATAGTGTTTCAACAGCTATAAAAATATCTCAAAGAAAATTATATATTCTCATTGTCCCCTTGAAATTGGTGGTAAAATTTCATGCATGTTAAAAGCTGGATTCATTTAATTTCCTCTTTCTGGGAGAGGTAGGGAAAGTGTTGAACACATTTATATGATTTTCAGAACGTATGTTCTGTGGTGATCTCGACTCATTTTGAAGTCCATGAGAATGCTCTGCCCGAGCTGGCCAAGGCGGAGGAGGCAGAGAGGGCCAGCGCGGTGAGCACCGCCGTGCAGTGGGTCAACAGCACCATCACGCACGAGCTCCAGGGGATGGCACCCTCTGACCAGGCAGAGGTGGATCACCTACTCAGGTACAGTTTCCACTTTGAAATATAAACATCAAGTACAAGCCGGGCACAGTGGCTCACGCCTGTAATCCCAGCACTTTGGGAGGCCGAGGCGGGCAGATCACGAGGTCAGGAGGTCGAGACCACGGTGAAACCCAGTCTCTACTCAAAATACAAAAAATTAGCCGGGCATGGTGGTGGGCGCCTGTAGTCCCAGCTACTCGGGAGGCTGAGGCAGGAGAATGGCGTGAACCCGGGAGGCGGAGCTTGCAGTGAGCTGAGATCGCGCCACTGGACTCCAGCCTGGGCGACAGAGCGAGACTCTGTATCAAAAAAAAAAAAAAAAGAAAATCAAGTACAAATATACGTCCATTATCTTTCCATTTCACCTGCCAATAAAATGGGTCTGTCAAATCTATAGAATTGGGAAGTCAGTTTACAAAGCGTATGTGAAAGCAGCAACATTTAGCATAAAATTTGTTTTTCTCCTGAAAACCATGTAGTTAACACCTTACTATGTAACACTACATAGGGCTTTTCGGTCTCTTTTCATGTATAGAGCTTTCCTAAGACTTAGTAAAAAGCTTCTCAGAAAAACAATCCGATTATGAATCCAGAGGATGCCTTTTTCTTCTCCCCACCTGTCACATGCCACCTGTGAGCTCCTCATATCCTTTTATTTAGTCACAACAGCTGACACTTACATTCAGTCCTCCAGCCACAACTAAGTCTCCCATGCTTTGCCCATAGGTTGACTCAAACACGCTAACAAGGAAGCATTTACTAGGGCTATGGAAATGTTCTTCATTCCCCAACCAAGTAGTGAGTTAGAATCATTTTCCTGTTTGTGCAGGTCCAATGCCACAACCCTTTGGCCAATAGAAGGTCAATTGGATTCTCTTTTCTTAAGCTTTATCACTTACTTAATTGTATATAACATTTTAGTTTGCTTCAGAGTAAGATAATGACCTTTGTAACAGAAACTTTTTTTTTTTTTTGAGATGGAGTCTTCCTCTGTCACCCAGGCTGGAGTGCAGTGGCATGATCTCGGCTCACCACAATCTCCACCTCCCAGGTTCAAGCGATTCTCCTGCCTCAGCCTCTGAGTAGCTGGGATTACATGCACTTGCCACCATGCCCAGCTAATTTTTTATTTTTAGTAGAAATGTGTTTTCACCATGTTGGCCAGGCTGGTCAAGAACTCCTGACCTCAAGTGATCCACCTGCCTCGGCCTCCCAAAGTGCTGGGATTAGAGGCATGAGCCACTGCGCCCAGCCAAGAAACTTTTTTGAATAGTTTTGGGTTTTCTTGGAGTTTCTGAATGCTATTCCTCTATTCCTTTTTTTTCCCCCTTCATGTGCTGTTATCATTTTCTTAGTTTATTATTTTTTTCTCAAGCTCTCAGTTACATCTTGTATTTTATTACACTCCTTTTTTTCCTGGCATTTTCCCTCCCCAAACCACCCATCTGGACTGGTTCTTCTGTAGACCAACTACAGAGATGCCATAAAAACCTCATTGTTCTCCTGTTTTTGGAACCCACATTCTTTTCTTTCATGATTTGCTGGATTGTATCCTTTAAAAGTAAGGATGAGAAAGGGTATATGGGATGTAAAGTTTCTTAGTTATTTTATGTGTGGGAATGTTGATACTTTGCCCCCATGGTTGATAGTTTAGCTGAGTATAGAATTCTCTGTTGAAATCAATTTCTCTCATACTTTAAAGGCATTGCCCTACTGGCATCTGGATTATTAATACATCTGATACAAATCTGATTCCTATGTCTTTGTTTTTTATTTGCCTGGTTTTTTGCCTATAGAAGTTTTTAGCCTCTTTATTTTGGGGTGCTGAAATTTTACATAAATGCATCTAAGTGGGATTTCCAAAAGTTTTTTTTAAATATTAACCCTAAGTGTCAAGAAAAAAGAAAGGAAGTCCTCTCTATTTATATGCTATATTTCACTCTATTCTTGACACATTTGTTTTCTGATGGTCATTTATACAAAAAGAAAATACTGTAACCCACAATAAAATTACATCTTCAAGTTTTACTCTAAAAATGCAAACCCAGGGCGCTCAAATAATTTAAAAATGAGCACCTGAAATCTTTAAACATTTATTTCCATGCCAAAATGAATTTCAGTTCTTGAATGCAGTTTTATAACAGCATCATTGTTTACTGGCTTTGAAAATTAAAGTTGATTTGTTCTTAAGTAGCTGAAAAGCAGTTATTTATTGAAATATATGGGGTCATCTCTAAAACATGACCAAAATCACAGAGTGATATTCCTAAATATCCCACTGTAAAGCCATATTTTCTTGCTATTAAGGATATTCTTCGCAAGTAAAGTACAAGAAGATAAGGGGAGAAAAGAATTGGAAAAGAGCCTGGAATACTCAACAGTGCCTACACCTCTACCTCCAGTACCACCACCACCACCCCCTCCACCTCCTACCAAAAAAAAGGGGCAAAAGCCAGGTTGGTTGGTGACTTATCTTGCAGAGTCGTTAGTAACAAATGTGTGAGGAAGAAAGGCTGAAGCCTGGACTGCCTTTCTGAGTCTCTTGGCTACAGGCCTACTTTGGGCTCACGGCTAAAAGCCATCCATCCTATGCCACATCCTCACTCAAAGATTTTGCCCCCATCCCACTCTCCTTTTTATTTGTAAAATAAAACAGTTTCTCACCCAGAGGTGATAAATACTTATTATTAAATAAGGTGCATTGAGCGGTGCCAAATTGGGGGTAGAGTGGGAGGGGATGGCATGGGAGACCTTTCACCTCCTTTCAAAATTTCCATTAGCTAATCCAAAAGCCACTCCATATCTTAGAGTTTTGATTCCTTTGATATGAACAACCAACATTTTCTCAATCCTATGTAAAATAAACATTTTCTTTATGAAACTTTATTTTAAAGCAAATAATAGAAATTATCACTTCAATTTGCCCTTGCTCCATGCCTTCCAACAGATTGCTAACCTCAGCCCCTGCAGTACTGTTCATTCTGGAGCTGCTCTTGGTATAATAACAGGGTTTTGTATGTCTGCTGAACTAGAACGTGCTCCTTGAGGGCATGAATCATGTTTATTCCACTTGCCATTGCCCGTATCTAGCATGATGCCAGGCACGAACCATACACCCAAATAATGTGGGTTCCATTGAGTAAGAAAGCACCAGAACCAGGAAGGGACCAAAGAGACCAGGGAGGCAGGGTACCTTATTTCATAGATCCAGATGCTGAGGCCCAGAGAAGTGAAGAGATTTGCCCCGAGACAAAATAATTATGTTTGAGCAATCTTCCCATGGGAGGGTGGGATGGCCACTACTGAGTTATAAGTAGAGACCAACATGGATGTTCGTTTGATGGTTGCTTTTGACTAATAGAATGTGGAACTTAAGGGAAGAAGTGGGAGGGCACAGCTATTTGCTAAGCGCTCATTAAGCGTGAGGTGCTGAAATATCTTATCTCCACTGGGGACCTGAACCACATCCGCAGCTGTGAAGGAACGGACAAGAGGAACACTAGAGATATATGATGGACTCTGTCCGGACCTCATGAGACAGGGAGGCTGAGAACATATTCTAGTGAAAGATGGGTAAGGAATGTGGGTCAATGATTGGATCTGAAAGGCACTGCTAAAGAACGTAAATGACACAGAACAAGGCATTGGTTTGGTGTTGGTGAGAAAGACAGCAAGTTAGATATATTCATGCAGAGATGTTCAGCAGAAAGTTGAGTGTGCAGCAGCTATGGTGAAATATAGAAAAACAAATGATTTGAAATTTCAAGACAGTTCAAATCCTCTATCTACTTTCTGTTACATGTTGGGCAAGTCTTTTAACCCCTCTAAGCCCCAGTTTATGTATATGTAAATGTAGAATAAAAATATCTACCTCATATGATTGATGAAGGAATTAATATTAAATGGCCTAAAATGTCTTAGACAGGCAAAATCCATGGCTAATGATTATTTGAGAATCTTAAGCAAAAGCAAACAGAAAACTTTTTGGGGGTTGAGGTAGAGCATTTGTTGTTCCCAGCCTCGGCTTTCATCCTTTCTTTTTCCTGGGTCTTTCCATCTGTAAGTAAAGCATTTAGAAATACAGTCTTACTCTCAATATTTCTCCCTCCAGGGAGGAAGGATACTATTACAGAGAAACCTATTGCGCCTGCAGAGCCTGTTGAGCCTGTACTCAGTGGCAGTATGGCCATAGGGGCCGTGTCACTAGCTGTTGCCAAAGCCTGTGCCATGCTGCTTAATAAACCTCTGTACTTAAATATCGCTCTACTGAAGCACAATCAGGTTAGTATCTATGAAGTTCCATTAAAAGGAGCCATGAGTATCTCAATATGGATGAACCCTGTTTCTCATTTTCCCTCGTTTTCCCCCTATTTCAGGAACAGCCAACAACGCTATCTATGCCTTTGCTGATGGTATCGCTGGTCAGCTGTGGGAAGTCATCATCTGGGAAGCTAAATTTAATGAAAGAAGTGATTTGTATACCCCATCCTGAATTAACAACCAAACAAGTACCTTACATTATCTTAAATTACCTTTTCTAAAAAAAAAAAAAAAATATATATATATATATATATACTCCGTCATTGATGAACTTTTAGTGGGGAATTAAGGATAAAATGAGAAAAAAAATATTTTAGGAAATCAGAGAAGTGGGAAGAAAGACCTCAAACCAAAGGGAGCACATGCAGAGCAACTTAGATGTCTGGTTTCATTACAGCACTGGCTCATGCTGTTGACTCACAGACAAGCCATGGCTGAGAAACTCTGCAGACCTAGAAAGTGCTGGAAGGTTGTTATTTGGGGGCATCTTATTTACTCTGCACTGTGCCCTATGGCAGCAGCAAGTGAAAGCTAGCACTTCCTAGCAGCCCACTCTGTTAAGTAAGAACTCCAGGACTTGCCTGGCACCTATGAGACTTTTAGTGCATATTTGTGGAGTGAATAAATCTCAAGTTGCAGGTTCACCACTCAGAGGTGTGCAAGGATCTATACTACTCCTCAGTAGCCTGAAAGAGTCAATATGCCTCTTTAAATCATGATGACCAAAGGTTCATGATCTATAGGAGATGCTTTGTAAAAAAGTACAGAAAGCTTTCCCCAAGCCCCCTCCAGTAATAAGTTGAGTGATAGTTTATCTTAGTGGAAATCAGTAAGAAAAAAAAAATCAAGATTTTTCATGATAAAGAATTCTTTCTTAAAATAGTTATTGCCTTACAGTTTATCAGTTGCAGAAGAATACTATTTATATCTGGCTTATCATCTGTCAGATCGTATTCAGATCCTGGTGTCAGGATCTTTCCTTTAGTTAGTATCTGTTGAGCTGTTTGCATACCAGAGCACGAGGAATGCCATTCTTTATCAGGTCTTTGTATGTAGATCTCATCATCACAACATACTTTTCTACTTTTTAAGGGACAGTAGATTTATACTGATTCAGCCACTCTAATCCAGACTACCTTGGTGATCTGTGACATGTATTGTGGGAAAGTTATCTAGGCTGGCCAGGCATGGTGCCTCACGCCTGTAATCCCAGCACTTTGGGAGGCCAAGATGGGAGGATGGCCTGAGGTCAGGAGTTCGAGACCAGCCTGGCCAACATGGCAAAACCCCGTCTCTACTAAAAATACAAAAATTAGCCAGGCATGGTGGTGCATGCCTGTCATCCCAGCTACTTGGGAGGTTGAGGCAAGAGAATTGCTTGAACAATTCGGAGTTTGCAGTAGGCCGAGATCATTGCCACTGCACGCCAGCCTGGGCAACAGAGTGAAACTCCATCTCAAAAAAAAAAATAAAAAAGAAAAAAGAAGAAGAAAGTTATCCAGGTTGGTCCAGAGACCATAAAAGAGGATGAAGCTAACTTGATCCAAGCAACTGAACCAGTCAGTTCTGAAAGGTCGAAGAGAGGCTACTGAGGGAGAAGAACCTCTCATTCACATTCAACCCAATGAAAACTGGGGCGAAGATTAACATTTAATCTACTGATTTTGTAGAGCATATCATCTGCTAATCAGGGACTCTACAAATACTCTGAGTTAGAAATAGCCACGTGTTATAAGTTTTTATACTTAAATTTTCTAGTCTGCAACTGTGGAAGATCATGGTTGTTCTACTTACAGGGTGTCGAGATGCTTATGGAAATGCAGAAACATATCAACAAAATAATTGAAATGGTATGTAAAGAGATTCTATGTTATCTAGTTACTGACACTTAGACACCTTCTAGCATGCAACTTGTAGTTCATTTGGACTTAAATCAATTGTGGTTGATATGGAGAATGTATTTATTGGCTTTGGGTTTCCCCCAAGAACCAAGTGTATCCATGTCCTCAGTGGCTATGGATCCAGCCTCTAATGGTACTTAACAATCTCATTTCAATTTCTGGGGCAACTGGCTTTGTGCTAAGATCATCCCTTAGGATTTACTAAGAAAGAAAGGATGTGGCCCCCACGATATGAGAGGCAGCTTGATGGAATGAAGGCAGAGACTCTTGTGCCTGCATTAGGATCCTGGTGTTGAGCAAACAAGGGCCCCTGGCAGAGCAGCCCTCTTAGGGGCAGTCACAGACGCAGGCGTATGAGTCGCCAGTTGTCCCATCATGTTCTAAATGGGCAGTGCACAGTGATATGGAAGGGCTGAGGCCAGGAGAGGGACCCAATCCTTGTCTGTGGGGCTTCACACACACACACACACACACACACACACACGCACACACCTTTTATTTTGGAATACCTCTCACCCAGTTTCCCCCAATGTTAATGATATATTACATGGTACATTTGTCAAAACTAAGAAACCAAAATGGTACACTACTAATAACTAACTCCAGACTTGATTCAAATTTCACTGGTTTTTCCACTAATGTCCTTTTTCTGTTCTAGGATCCAATCCAGGATCCCACATTGCATTTAGCCTGAGGCTTTTAAGCTGCATGATTAGGAAGCAGTAGGGCTGAGGACCCAGTAGGATGGGGCTGGGATACAATAGCAGTGTAACATGGAGGCACTTTGGTTTTAACTCTGTCTCACCAGCACAGAGTGTGACTGCAGGCAGGGGGCACGGGCCCCTCCCCTGCCGCGATGGTGGTTGGCTGGCTGGGGCCCAATCCCTGCAGTTGATCAGAATTGCTTCAAGCAATTCCAGGCTGGAGCTGGTTTCCATGGTGCTTTTCAGGAGGCCAGCTTCTTTTCTGGGTGACCAGCCTGTAGAGACTCAGACTTCGACAAGTTAGCTCTGATGTTGCACTCTGCTTTGCCATTCATAACTCCGTGACCTTGGGCCAATTCCATAGTCTCTCTGCCTCGGGTTCCTCATCTATAAAATGGAGATGATCAGTACCCAAGTCATGAGGGTGACCGTGAAGAGTAAACAAGTGTAATATCAAACACGCCGCATCAGGAGCCGGTGCCACAGGAAGCCATACCTGGTGTTGGTTCTGTCAGAGCAGGTGAAGGAAACCCACCTGAGCATTCTACAATTCATCCTTCTAAATTTCTTTTAAAAGTTTTTCAGCTGGGTGCGGTGGCTCATGCCTGTAATCCCAACACTTTGGGAGGCCAAGGCGGGTGGATCACCTGAGGTCAGGAGTTTGACACCAGTCTGGCCAACATGGTGAAACCCTGTCTTTACTAAAAATACAAAAAAATTAGCTGGGCATTGTGGCAGGCGCCTGTAATCCCAGCTATTCGGGAGGCTGAGGCAGGAGAATTGCTTGAACCCGGGAGGCAGAGGTTGCAGAGAGCCAAGATCGTGCCATTGCACTCCAGCCTGGGCAACAAGAATGAAACTCCGTCTCAAAAAAAAAAAAAATTTTTTTAGAATTTTCTTGAATTCTAAAATCTTTCCTGACATTTTGTCTTTTAAATGTTTTATTTACTTTGTGATTACACAAGTAGCTGATGAATGTTCTTGTGAAAATTCAAATACTGATAGAGCTACCCTCCCACAACCACCTCCTACAGACTGCCACCCTCAGCACAGTCCCTTCTCTAAAGGTAACTGCCGTTAAAAATTGAGTGTGGCCTTCCAGCCTTTTTAAAAAAATAAATAAGTAGATAGGTCAGGCGCAGTGGCTCACACCTGTAATCCCAGCACTTTGGGAGCCTGAGGCGGGCAAATCACTTGAGGTCAGGAGTTCAAGACCAGCCTGGCCAACATGTCAAAACCCCGTCTCTACTAAAAATACAAAAATTAGCTGGGTGTGATGGTGCACATTTGTAATCCCAGCTACTCGGGAGGCTGAGGCAGGAGAATCACTTGAACCCAGAAGGCAGAGGTTGCGGTGAGCCAAGATTGCACCACTGTACTCCAGCCTGGGCAATAGAGTGAGACTCCGTCTCGGGGGGAAAGAAAGATAAATACACAACAGAGAACAGTGTTTAAAATAATACAACAAATTATGCACAAATCATTCTGCAAATTGCTTTACTTCTTTGCCCTTTTCACTGAGGTGTTTATCTTTTATTGATATCTAGGAATTCTTTACATAATAAGGGATTTACTCTTTTATTTTATTAATTTATTTTTTGAGACAGTCTAGCTCTGTCACCCAGGCTGGAGTACAGTGGCACGATTTCGGCTCACTGCAACCTCTGCTTTCCGGGTTCAAGCGATTCTCCTGCCTCAGCCTCCTGAGTGGCTGGGGTTACAGAGCCCAGCACCATGCCCAGCTAATTTTTGTATTTTTAGTAGAGACGGGGTTTCACTGTCTTGGGCAGGCTGGTCTCGAACTCCTGACCTTGTGATCCGCCCGCCTCGGCCTCCCAAAGTGCTGGGATTACAAGTGTGAGCCACCACGGCCAGCCAATTCTTTATATACGGTAGACCTATTTTCCTGTATCATGTTGCCTGCCTTTAAATTGTATGATATGGAGTCATACCGATTTTTAAAATTTTTTGATGAAGTGAAATGTAGCAATCTGTTCTTTTAAGGCAGTGACTCTCAACCAGCAGTGATTTTGCCCAGGGGACATTTGGCAAGTCTGGAGACATCTGTAGTGGTCTTGGCTTGGAAGGAGAGTTCTGACCGCATTTTGTAAGCAGGGATCAGAGCTGCTACTGAGTGTCCTGCAATGTACAGGGCGGCCCCCACAGTGGGGTGATCCAGCCCCAAATGTCAATAGCGCCAAGGCTGAGGAAGCCTGCTTTAAGGCTGTTGCTTTGTGTGCCTTGTTTCATAAGGGGCTCCCTCTTCCTGGAATACTAATAATCCACAAGTATTTTTTTAAGTTTACTACGTACCATCCTGAGTGCTTTAATACTTTAACTCATTCAATCTGCATAACTGTATAGGTAGGTACTATTATTACCCCTATTACATAGATTAAGAACCTTGGGCCCAGCACTCACCCAAGACCCCCAGGTCGTAGGTGGCCAAGCTGGCATTCAAACTCAGAATCCATGATCTTAATCAGATGCTAAACTGCCCCCAAATCACAGAATATGTTTTCTTCAAACACTTTTATAGTTTCAAAGATTTATTTATATCTTAATTTCACCTGGCCTTTATATCAATAGTGTGAAGCAGGGATCACATTTCTGTTGACTTTCCATGTGGTGTTACACGTTTGGAAGCTGCAGTGGGATTCTTAGTAATAGCTCCAACTAGTTCATTCATGTTTGAAGGAAAAGCAGTAAAGCACTTAGAGAAAGCTCAGATATCAAAAACCATCACTATGCTGTCGAAGTCACAAAGTTTAAGTTGTTAAAGATTATGTAGTGTAGCAGAAAGAGCACAATCTTTGAAGCAACAGATTTGGTTTCTATTATGGTTCTGCACTTAGGAGCTGCCACGGTGAGCCTCTTACATATCCTGTCAATGCACTGGTTTCCTCATCTGTACAACTTTTAAATGCCTGTCTTGGCCAAGTGTGGTAGCACATGCCTATAATCCCGGCACTTTTGGGAGGCTGAGGTGGAGAGGCCAGGAGTTCAAGACCAGCCTGGCAACATAGCGAGACCTTGTCTCCACAAAAATTAGTCCAGTGTGGTGGCATGCATCTGTGGTCCCAGCCACTTGGGAGGCTGAGGTGGGAGGATTGCTTGAGCCCAGGAGTTTGAGGCTGCAGTGAGCTCTGATCATGCCACTGCACTCCAGCCTGGGTGACAGAGGGAGATCCTGTCCCATTAAAAAAAAAAAAAAATCCTGTATGGGAGGAACGCTGAATTGCTGGGCTCCTAATAAAGGACACCTATTGATAGCCTAGTAATTGAATATAGAAAGATGTTTAATCCTTCCCAGTGATTACAGTGATAACAGATCATTCCCAACATTACCGCGATTCTTCTATTAAGTCTTAATTTAAATCTATTTTGAGAAAAAAATGCTGAAGAAATGGTATGTTTTCTCATGCAGGCCCCAACCCAAAGATGTCTATAGATAACCTTAGCTAAAGCCACGGTCTTAAAACAGGAGATGATAGGAGTGGAACCAGGGTTACTGCAATCACCATGCTTTGTTTTAGTAATAGAGTGATAGTTCCTGATGACATCATTTGGCTGGTGGCAGAGATTAGTAGATTACATCATGCCAGATTTATTTTGGCATAACTCACTCTCCCTAGGAACTCCTGAGTTGCCTAATTCTTATTAAGGAAAGATTATATTTGTTTCAGTTTTTAGCCATTTTTAAATCCACTTAGTCTGAGAACAGCCATTCTAGAATACATTGCATTTTTTATGATTAAAAAGGCTGCCAGCCTGGGCAACATAGTGAGACCCTGTCTCTACAAAAATATTTACCAAAAAAAAAAAAAAAAAATTAGCCAGGCATGGCGGTGCACGCTTGTTGTCCCAGTTACTCTGAAGCCTGAGGCAGAAGGATTGTTTGAGCTCAGGCGTTCGAGGCTGTAATGAGACATGACTGTGCCACTGTACTCCGGCCTGTGTGACAGAGTGAGACCCTGTCTTTAAAAGAAAAGGGGTAGAGGTGGGGCTGGAGATTTTGACTTCCATTATGTAACAGCTTATTCTTAGTAAGGTAGACAGAAAGATGTCACAGGTTGTTTTTTTCCCTGGTTATTTTTTGCTGTTGCAAGGCCCTGTGCTAGGTGCAAAAGGGGAGAAAAACATACTTCCTGTCCTCAGGCAGTTTAAAAGTCTCAATGAGGGAGCATAAAAAACATGAGAAATCCAATAATAATGCAAACCAAGACTGTTCTTTAATGTTTGCCATTCTGAATTGGAGCCAGTAATCACTATTGTCCCCCGATCACATCACATGACTTCCCTTTGCCCTTCTGTTCAGGGTCACTGTATGTGCATATACTTGAGTGTGAACCATACCTATGCTTGACAATCCTGCCTCAGTTTACAGAATCAGTACACGCTGAGCATCCTTTAAAAGATTAGATCCTTGCAATAATATGCACCCAATACCCCAAATGTGGGAATGCCTCTTTGGGAATTACCTTTGCTTTTAACCTCATGACACTACACCCACCAGATTCACCAGATTTAATGACCTTTGACTGTTTCAAATCAAAGTCAAAACCACCCTGCAGGAGAAAGTGTTTGCACTCTGAGAATATTCAAAACAATATGTTGGGCCTGTAAAAGCAAATCCCGCAGTGGGGTTAAGCCCTAAGGGCAAGGAGGGGACTTTGTATCCTCCTGCAGAAAAAGGGTGCCTGCACACAGCAGGAGTTCATGATATATGTGTGAATAACACATTATTTATATGCATAGAAATGCATGAATCTGTACACACACCCCATATATGTGACTGGGGGCAGAGGGTAAGGATGAACTAAAGGAAACACATTCCTGAATTTGAGAAATAGTTTGTGGCATATAAAGTAGGGAGTGGCTGGAATCATCCCTATGTGCATGAGTGCGTGTGTGTGCGTGTATGTGTGCACACGTGTGTGAGATTCAGTGTTGCTGGTCAGGTCTCAGAGCAGTAAGCTTTGCTTGCTGCCACAGCCATGCTAAAAATTCCAGGTGATACATTTTTATCTTCTGCCCCACAGCCCTCTCCTCCAAAAGCAGAGACAAAAAAAGGGCACGATGGAAGCAAAAGAGGTCAAGTAAGTCTATATATTGTTTACCATCCTTCCATATGACACTGTCTATAAATTTCCTGCCCCTTTTTATCTTCCATAGTCACTTTTTGCTCCAAGACCAGGACTGAGGCAAATGGAAACCATATAGTGATATTGCTCCAGACACCCCCAGAGCTGCAGTATCATGCTGCCCCTGCCTTCCAGCAACAGGCTGCCCGACCATCGCTGGCAGCAGCTGTCTGACCATCTGGAATCTCACAGGGCTAGGAAGCATTTATGAGACGTAGGGTTACACTGGACCCTATAGGGGAAGTGTTTGGGAAGTCGAATCTCTCTGACAACTAGCTGAAAGGCACATAGGATGTTTTACATTTTATTATTAACAAAGAGAAAAACAAGAAGCACAAAAAGATGGCTATTCCTTCCATCTGGTCCCCCAAAGGCACTGAAGCATCATTTCTGACGAACCATTGCAGGAACTCCGATTTTGCCAGGAGAGTGAGGCGAACAGCCCTCCTTGTCAAAACCCGTTCGCTGGCTTCAGGAGCCTTGGGAGACCAGCTGAACTTGATCTGTCAGTCACGTTGGTGATTGTGAGTGCGCTGATAGATGTATCTATTATAGCCTAAACTTTCAACAATATAAATAGAAGAGCCAATAAGAACTTTGAAGAGCATGCACATGGGTGAAGGTTGCTCGCATCTGCAGTATTTGCTTTGGTTTGTGAGCGAACAATCTTTGCCCCACCCTGATGTTAGGTACATGAGAGTCAGCTGAAGACAAAAAAAAGAGGGGCTAGGAAAGAAGGGAGAAGACATGGCAAAGATAAAAAAGTGAAGTTTCTTTTTAAGATCAGGAGAGAGAAGAGAAATGTGTGAACACATACAGCGGTAAGTAAAATCCTGTCAACAGTTTGTATATGTTGGAATGAGCACAGCCTTCTAATATTAGGCCTTGCAAGAGGTGGAGATGGTAAACAAGCCACCAATTCTCAGTGCTGTGCCTTCATCCCAGCAGGTGGTTCTCTGCATGCTGGGAAACTTAGACCAACATCAGCCTTCCCTGTAATAAGCTTTACTACTACTTTTTCTTTTTCCCATTAGAAACAGTCTAGAGTATAGATTCCAGAGAGGCAGCCACACAAGAATTAGGGGTATAAACTCTGGTGCTAAATTGCCTGGATTAAAATCTGGTTCAACTTAGTTAACTCCGTAAAATGGAGATCATAATATCTTTGTATGATGTAAGGAGTAAATGTATTTACTTTATGTAATGTGCTTAGAACAGTACCTGGCATTTAGTAAGCACCAAATAAGTGATGCTTTCATAGTTTAGAAGGCTCTGTAACAAAACTCAGTTGATGGACAAAAATTTCCCCAACTATTGCTTTGTTTGCCAAATAAAAGTTTCTTCTCATTGACATTAAAATAGTGCTATCACCAGTCAAAACAGAATATTCATTCCCGGGTTCATGTTTGTCATTGAGTTTGGTGCACACACACACACCCCTTACCTTAAGCCCTCAGATTCATTGATATTGCTTCAATTTATAATTGCATAGTGGCAATTTATGGCGAGGGCACATCAAGGCTGACTTTGCAGTAGCTGTCTTTCCTTGGGGTTATGTGGGTCCTGAAATCATCTTCCACTAAAATCCATCTTCAGTATTGCATCCTCTTAGTGGAAGTCTTCAATCCTTTTAAAGTGGCCAACACCTGTAATCACAGCACTTTGGGAGTGCTGAGCACAAGACTTCAAGACCAGCCTGGGCAACACAGTGAGACCCTGTCTCTACAAAAAATAAAAAAAATAGCCAGGTGTGGTGGCACATGCCTGTAGTCTCAGCTCCTCAGGAGGTTGAGAAAGGAGGATGACTTCAGCCTGGGGAAGTCGAGGCTGCAGAGCCACGTTCAAGCCACTGCACTCCAGCCTGGGTGACAGAGCAAGACACTATCTCAAAACAAATAAATAAATGAAACTTCTCCTGAAGGAGGGCTATGCTTTTAATGGCTGCGTTTATCTAGAAGAAAACAGAACATACGAAAGAGCAGGTTTGGAGGAAAAGGACTGGCAGAGCTAGAGACAGACAGGGTGGACATTTACAGGGAGGGCCTGGAGATTCACCAACTGGGTGGTTGTGACTCAGGCTAGCCCCATGTACAAGGAATGGCAGCATCCATAAAGAGAGAACACAGACACACTAAAGAGAGAAAAGTGCACTCCCAGGCCAAACTTGGAAACCTCAGGAGTAAGAAAATTACTCCCAGATACTGCAGGGGAATCATATGCCCTAAGTCATGTGAATCAATCCTAAGTAGGATTGAGAATCAAAGGACTGATCTTTGCAGAGCTATATCTGATCATAAACCATGCTTATCACAGGAAGCGCCAAGAACCTTAATGTGCTGTATTGACATGGATCATTGTCTCTTGATCTTGCAGCAGCAGATCACTGGCAAGATGTCTCATCTTGGCTGTTTAACCATTAACTGTGACTCCATAGAACAGCCACTGCTTCTAATACAGGAAATCTGTGCCAACCTGGGGCTAGAACTGGGAACAAATCTGCATCTAGCTATCAACTGTGCTGGACATGAGCTGATGGACTACGTAAGTTTCCACTTCAGAACATTCACTTCCTATTGAGATCCATGATTTTTAAATTAGAACTCAGAAAAAAAAGAGCTTATCTGAATATTGTCCAAACAGATCTTATTGTTTTTTTATTAATATTGTGTGAAGGATCCAAATATAATGAGAAAACCAAATTAGCTAATGACCACAGAATAACATAACCATAAAATTTTTTAAATAGAAAATGTCATTATTATATATAGAAATTCTACAATAAAGATAAGTAAAATGAGTTACTTACATTGCAATCCTGAAAGCTACTGAAAAATAATTTAACAAACTGCATTTGGTTGATAAATGCTGAATTTGTCGAACCTAAAAAGTAGATGAGTTGTAACTTATGATGTGATAGGCGCTTCCAGACATGTAGTTCTTAGAATTTATGCTGTGACTTTTTAAATATAAAAATTTTTCCAAGTTATTGAAGTTTATGAAGAAGATGTTTTTGTCCAACTAAACACATCACAGTGTTATCCACAGCCTGGGTTAGGAGGACAGAGCTTTAGTGATGTGACGAGACTCCACCTGGGGACCACCCACCTGAAGAGAAAGATTCTAAAGAGAGTGAAAAACAGGTTCATTGAAAAACATCCTAGTTGGTGGGGCACAGTGGCTCACGCCTGTAATCCCAGCACTTTGGGAGGCCGAGGTGGGTGGATCACCTGAGGTCAGGAGTTCAAGACCAGCCTGGCCAACATGGTGAAACCCCCCTCTACAAAAAATGCAAAAAATTAGCTGGGCGTGGTGGTGGGCTTCTGTAATCTCAGCTACTCAGGAGGCTGAGGCAAAAGAATCGCTTGAACCCAGGAGGCGGAGGTTGCAGTGAGCCAAGATCGTGCCATTGCACTCCAGCCTGGGCAACAAGAGTGAAACTCCATCTCAAAACAAAAAACAAGCAACATTCTAGTCTTCACTTCCTCAGGGTAATACAACGGCAATTTACCTTTAAACTTGGGAAACTGGTATGTTAGGAAAGTTATTAGTTTTCTGTCTTACACATGTACTTCCTGATATGGTTTGGCTGTGTCCCCACCCAATTCGCATCTTGAATTGTAGCTCCCATGATTCCCATGTATCATGGGAGGTAACTGAATCATGGTGGCGGGTCTTTCCCATGCTATTCTCATGATAGTGAATAAGTCTCACTAGATCTGATGGTTTTATAAAGGGGAGTTCCCCTGCACACACTCTCTCTTGCCTGCTGCCATGTAAGACATGATTTTGCTCTTCCTTTACCTTCCACCATGATTGTGTGGCCTCCTCAGCCATGTGGAACTGTAAGTCAATTAAACCTCTTTCCTTTACAAATTACTCAGTCTCAGGTATGTCTTTATTAGCAGCATGAGAACAAACTAATACACTTCCCAATTTCAAATACACAAAAATGTTGAGTCTACATTTTATGAAATGCCCAGCATATTGCCAAGCATCTATGGTGACTTGGTAATTTATGTCAAATTCAGGGGACATGACCAAATAGCATTCTGCTTTAACTGTGATTTTAACTTTACAAAGGAAATTTTGAACTCTATAAAAGAGCCCTAAATTTTGCTTGACTTCTAAAAGTTCTTTTACTTTTCTAAAGAAACTAAGCACATAAAAGAATATTTAAAGTAATTTCCTATTCTTCACATAATGATTGGTTCCTAGGCATACCATTAAAAAAAAAATTGCATGTTTTCATCAGCAACGTATACCAGGAACTATGAATATACTGACTGCTAGTGCTAACTAGAATGGGTATTTATTGCTTATATTCAGTAAAATGTATTAGCTTGATATCAGATAATTCTTACAATATTGTTAGTTCAAAATCATTAGCGTTTCCTCACTGACAAGATAGGGTTTTTTAAGCTTTGCATTATAGAAGTTAAAAGTTCTTGCTGCTTTTGAAGGTGAAAAAAGTATGAAATCCCTTCAGTTATGGTCTTCTTAGGAAGCTGCTTAATTCCAATGGAATCCATTCTATTAGCAGCAGCAGGAAGGCATTAGCAAACCAAACAGCCACTCTGTTGCATTCCACCTCCCTCCCAGTGCCAAAATATCCCAGGTACCATCCCTGAACATAGACTTAAAAGGAAGGGTGCTTTGTTCTGCAGAAAGGCTATTCTAGATCCTTCAGCCCTGTTTACTTCTATACTTAATGACTTAGGGGCTTTCCAGACTTCAAATGAATGTTGCACTAGAATTCTACCTTCTGGACAATATCGTTACTACTAGAAAGTACATGCTACCCAAGAAAGAAATGCCTCAAATAAATCACATTATTTTTCACACTGGTTGTTAGTATATCAAAAGCCTAGCCTTGCTTTCAAGCGTTAGAGTATTTACAGTAAAGGAAACAAGTTATTCATTCAATGTGACCTGAAAGATGGTAGGGTCTAGTGAGTGAGCAGGTTAGCATTGCTATTCTGCTTATTTTGTGAATTTATGTTATTGTCCATCTACGCAGGCAGCCAAGTCTAACAGATTATTCCCCTCCTACTCTGTAATTCTTGGTGTTTTGTGTAGGAAGCTGCATCTGAAGTCTGTGGGAAGAACCCTAGAGGGCATCAAAAGGAATGGTGACTTGATTTCCCAGGTTAATATTTAAGATATTTAAAGTAGAATGGACAGATTTCTCAGGTCAACGTGCCCTGAAAAGAACCTGTTTACAACCTCTTATATAAAATGAACGAAAACGAATCTGAACCGTATCTTTGGGATTTGATGAATTCATTATTTATCCCTTATTTTAATATTTTCCTGACACATATCAGAATAAAGGAAAGTATGAAGTGATCATGGGCACATACAAAAATGCAGCGGAGATGGTTGACCTGTATGTGGATCTGATCAACAAGTACCCTTCAATTATTGCCTTAATTGATCCTTTCAGGAAGGAGGTAAGCACCCCACCTTCCATATTTTATAACATATTTTATATGCCATAAGATAGGCAGGACTCACCTTTTATATTTTATAACTCACCTTTTATATTTATAACAAAACAGAGAATAAAATCTCATTCTTTTGGATCGTTGTCATTCAAAATGTGTTGTAATTTGGTCTGGGGCTGAGTTGCTTTATTTCAGCATTCATGAGAAAAGGCACTTACTAAGCAAATGAATAGGAAAAACACAATTACCTAGGAGTGTGCCTGTCTGGGGAATGAAACACGTTATTCGCAAGCCCTTCAGGAGTACCTGTATATTTACAAGCAACCTAACAGATGGAAGCTGCCCCTGCTGTGCTAGCTGGAGCTTCAATAGGTTAATCATATACCATTTTCATGTGCTCAGGGGAACAGGACTTCTATAAGGCCAAATATTTTTCAACCTAAATCCAGTCACTATATATGCATAAACGTAACAAAGCCATTTTTTCTTTTATTTGAGACAGGGTCTCACTCTGTCACCTAGGCTGGAGTGCAGTGGCACGATCTTGGCTCACTGCAACCTCTGCCTCCTGGGCTCAAGTGATTCTCCTGCCTCAGCCTCCCAAGTAGCTGTGACTATAGGCGTGCACCACCACACCCAGCTAAATTTTGGTATTTTTAGTAGAAACAAGGTTTCGCCATGTTGCCCAGGCTGGTCTCCAGCTCCTGAGCTCAGGAGATCCGCCCACCTTGGCCTCCCAAAGTGCTAGAATTACAGGCATGAGCCACTGTGCCCGACCTGCAAAGCCATATTTTTAAAGGGTTTGAGATATTGAGGTTTTATGATCTATTAAAACTCATGCATTTGACAAAGGCTTATGTGACCATCTTTCCCCCAACCAACTTACACTCCAAAATTTAAATTCTTGATTTTATAAATTTGAGAAACATCAGATAGATTGAACAGATATATTGAACAGATATCTTCTTTGAGATAATACAACTATTTCAATTTGGAGGACGATATAAATGCTGGTCCTGATGTGGAGTCCCAGGGTCTCAGTCACATCCTCCTTTTCACAACCTCCATTCTACACCAGCATACACAGAATGCACTGGCTGAGCTTAGTTCCTTAACCTTGCCATACCAGCCCTGCGATGACTGTCCTGAGGCTCTGGTCATACTTTTTAAGACAGGGTCTTGCTCTGTCACCCAGGCTGGAGTGCAGTGGCCTGATCACAGCTCACTGCAGCCTTGACCTCCCAGGCTCAAGCCATCTTCCTACCTCACCCTCTCAAGTAGCTGGGACTACCAGGCACACCACCACACCCAGCTAGTTTTTGTATTTTTTGTAGAGATGGGGTCTTGCCACATTGTCCAGGCTGGTCACACACACACACACACACACACACATGCACATGTATGTGTATAATTTTAAAATAAGCATTTCATTTCATATGATAGTCTCACCAACAAAAATAAGGGTGTTGAGAAGGGACTAGAGCCCTTGCAGGCTTTCTTTTTCCATTTTCTGTTTATCAGAAATATCAGAAAAATCCATCCAGCCAATCCTTAGCAGCATTATAGACAAGAGTGGATGGGAATAGCCTGGGTCTGAAGAACTCTAAAATCCATGTAAGAAATAACATTTAGTGTAGTAACATTTTATTCATAAAACCTTTAAGCTCAAATTCACTATTAGTTTCTGTTTCCCAAAGCTTCTTAGTTTGTGTGGCTGTGGTACAGGGTCATTCAGGAACAGAAGTAAAAGAAAATTGTTTTGTGCATCTCAGGAAAAATGTGTGAGCTTGAGTATGTGCTATATTATTCCTGTTGTTTTGTAATTATGTTCAATGCATTATAATGATCAACTCTTAAATATTTACCCAGGACTCTGAACAGTGGGACAGCATCTATCACGCACTTGGTTCCAGGTGTTACATAATTGCAGGAACTGCTTCCAAAAGCATTTCTAAACTTCTAGAGCAAGGAAACATCAGCATCCCCAAATCCAATGGGCTGATCATAAAACACACAAACCAAACTACAATGTCTGACTTGGTGGAAATAACCAATCTGATTGACAGTGAGTAAAAGCATACATCTGAAAGACTCGTAATGACTTGGTTATACAAGAAACCAAAAATACACAGCATATCAAAGTTACTAAAAAGCATGGGAGAAATCTTGGAAGAAAAGAAAGTCCAACCATTTGTGAGAGATTTAGTGCTGGAACACAAAAGGCAGCTTACTGACTCCCTTCACTACGTTCCACTAACAGCCCAATTCCAAGCTCACCCCCTTTACTGAGGGCTACCAGAGGTATGGCCAAGGCCACTGCCCTGTCAACTTCACAGTGGGGAGAGCCTTTCTGCCTGTAACAGGAGGACTAATGGCTGATTTCTTACGAAAGGGCATAGCCTTCAGCACATTTATCAATTTGCTTTAGGTTCTGAGCTTGGACTACAGAAAATCTTTAAATTTACAGAAACCTGGCCGGGCGCAGTGGCTCATGCCTGTAATCCCAGCACTTTGGGAGGCTGAGGCCGGCGGATCACGAGGTCAGGAGATCGAGACCATCCTGGCTAACACGGTGAAACCCCCATCTCTAGTAAAAATACAAAAAATTGGCCGGGTGTGGTGGCGGGCGCCTGTAGTCCCAGCTACTCGGGAGGCTGAGGCAGGAGAATGGGGTGAACTTGGGAGGCGGAGCTTGCAGTGAGCCGAGATCGCGCCACTGCACTCCAGCCTGGGCGACAGGGAGACTCCGTCTCAAAATTAATTAATTAATTAATTAATTAATTTACAGAAACCATAGAGGTACCCCAACTCTTACTGCTAAAGAACAGGTCCCAAATCCTGATTCATGCACTGTGGAACACCTGGGTACCCATCTGCACTAGCCAGGCTTCCGGCTACAATGTAGTGTTCAAGCTAAGAAAAATATCTCACCATTCACAAAGCCAAGGCACCAAGCACAGCCAAGGAACAGCAGGGGCAGAACATGTGTAGCCTGCATCACATTACCGCAGTATTGTAAATTTCCTCCTATCATTTACTACCACTTTATGCTCTAGATTCTAGATAAGGAGTCAACACCTTAACAGGGACCACAGCTCTTTCTTCCACATAGGCATGGCCCAAGTACATAGTAAGGATGTAGGAATTACTTAATTGAAAATAAACTTAGCTACTTATAATATATCCCGACATCAGTCAGCCATTTTAATTTGCATTACTTGGGGAAGTCTAGGAGGGATCAGAATTTGGAACCAGATCATCCACTGCAGGGAATGGTCTACTTGAGCAGTTTAGAAAACAGGCAACAAGATCAGATTAGAAGCAGTTTTCTGTCAGTACAGAGACCTGAGGCAAGGGTAGGTTCACTACTAACATGCAGCATGAGGAAGCTGCCAAGCAGGTTGGCAAGGCAGTGGAGTATCAGGGAAGCCTCGGGAGGCAGAATCTGAGTCATGAAGCTGGGATTCAGGGACAGGATCCCAGCAATGGGGATCAGGGGATGACAGGTGAAAAGCGGGGCTCCAGTGCTGGTGCATCTGGGATGCCAGAGGAGAGCAGCTTTACTTAAGACCATTGGGTCAGGCATTTGCGAATTGGACATAATCCTTACAGCATCCCTGTGAAGTAGACACTATCATTTCCACTTTATTGATAAGAAAACAAGACTTGGAGAGATTAGGCAACTTTCCCATGACACTATAGTCATCTCACTTGCCCACAACTCTTGACCACCTGTCTTTAAACATGCTGTTCCTTTGGACCAGAATGCTTTGCTCTGACATACTTGGCTCTGCATCCTTCAGGTCTTGGCTAAAATGAAATGTCTTCAGCCACTCCTGCCTTCCCCTATCCCTAACTGGTTCAGTTCTGAATTTTCCTCCTAGCATCCTATATTTCCTCTTTGTAATACGGACCACAATCACTTATACAACTACCTAATGACTGGGGTTTCCCACTGGACTACAAACTGAGTTCATGGGCATCTTGTACACTTATGCAGAGGACATGAAACAAATACCACGAGTGGGTCTCAGGAACTAGACAGAAAGCTGGTCTCAGAGCTGGAGCAGAACTCAGAGCCAGACTGGCAGCCAGGGGCCTGGGTTGGTGCCAGAGGATGGAAGAAGATGCTCAGGCAGGGCTGGCCTGTGGGTGGTAGATGATAGATAGGAGGCAATGCAAACACCGTTGCTGCAGGAAGAGCTCTGGCTGGCACTCTTCACAGACTGGCACATTTCAAAGGGTTTTAAGACCCTCAAATGATTGATTACTACCAACACTACTCTTCTAGTAAACATTCAGAATGACAGTCCTTTGAATAAAATTCTACACAATGAAAGGAGAAAGCCATTACGTAGGCATACCAACTCCACGTTACTCTTACCATATTTCACTGACTCAAAGATGCATTTTTCTACACTGAACATTTAAAAAATTGAATCATGTCTTATAGCCGCGGTCTTAGAAATGTGTCAATCTAATTTGAGCATCCCCCTACCCCCTTTTAGTGGTAATAAAATAATAGTGCAT
The DNA here is from genome assembly GCF_000001405.40 of Homo sapiens. NCBI lineage: Eukaryota > Metazoa > Chordata > Mammalia > Primates > Hominidae > Homo > Homo sapiens. Next base: position 116,878,726 of record NC_000010.11, read on the forward strand.
TTTACAAATCATATATCTTTTTTTTTTTTTTTTTTGAGACGGAGTCTTGCTCTGTCGCCCAGAGCTGGAGTGCAGTGGCGCGATCTCAGCTCACTGCAAGCTCTGCCTCCCGGGTTCACGCCATTCTCCTGCCTCAGCCTCGCGAGTAGCTGGGACTACAGGTGCCTACCACCACGCCCGGCTAATTTTTTGTATTTTTAGTAGAGACGGGGTTTCACCGTGTTAGCCAGGATGGTCTCGATCTCCTGACCTCATGATCCACCTGCCTTGGCCTCCCAAAGTGCTGGGATTACAGGAGTGAGCCACCGTGCCCAGCCATCATGTATCTTAATTTTAATGAAACACAGTATTCATTTAGTATTTACAGCATCTAAGCTACTGAAATTGGGGGTAAACAAACAAAAGCAGGGCAATAAAAATGCAAACGTTAGAATCCTAGGTAGGCAAATAATTGACTCTTCACAGGGAAGTTTTAAATCTGAGAAATTTTAAATTTTGATCCCAGAGGCCCACATGTATCCTAACTTTCTACACCATATAAAACTGAAAGAAATTCCTCTTCCAGGTAAGAAGCACATCACTGTCTTTGGAAGTACAGAAGGAGAATCATCTGATGACAGCCTTGTCGATTTGGTAAGTGCTGAATGCTGGTCAACTGCCAAACACTGCTTTTATCACGAATTGGTATTTCAGAGAAATGCAGTCTCTGGTGGAGAAAGGCATGTAACCTTTTATGAAATAGACTTGCTTCCTCCCAGATAGCTACCTTTTGCAAAGAGCTAATCTTTGAACTTTTAAAAAGAAGAAAAATTGAAGTCCAGGGAAAATGATGAGCACACTTAAATGACTGGGGTGTGCACCTGCAATCTTTCCTCCTAAAATGAAGAAAGGCCAGAACGTTCTTACATAAAATCAGCATGCCTACGTGACTAGTAAAGTGCCTGATGGATAGTCAGCCACATCATCTGTTTGCCTTTCAGCACTCTCAGCTTGTAGGCCACTGTGCTTACATAAAGATAAAAAACTAGTAAGAGAAAATCCCAAACAGCACACTGTGACAGTTTCCTTTGTCTTTAAAGAATTGTTTGTCGTTTAGCAAGACATGGCTCCTCCGTCTAAAATTAGTTTTTTCCCCCCTTTCAGGCTGTTGGGCTTGGTGTCCGGTTCATCAAGTTGGGGGGTCTTTCCCGTGGTGAACGAGTGACTAAATACAACCGCCTTCTCACTATAGAGGAAGAACTTGTCCAGAATGGAACACTGGGTATGCGCTGCTTTCTTGCTTTGTTTCCACTTAGCCATGAATAAGAGAACAAAGATTGGAAGAGGGGGAATAGAAGTCCCTCTGCAGGAGGGCAGGGGAATCCAAAGACCATACATAAGTGCTGACAAAACTAGGATGGCACTTGCCACAATGTATATTGTTGTCTTAATGGATCATCTATTTACCTGAATGTTTAAAACTCTCGCCCTTTTTCTTGATGAATAGGCTGCACGATGCTCTTCAATAGAATTAATTGATTGGAATTTCCAAGCCTACCTTTTGTTATGGTCCAAATTATACTTAAGGTTTCCCTGCACAGCCCATGAAAGTTAAAGGCAGACACTTTCCTGAGGGTTTTTGGAAACAAACTGTTTTACTTAAAAACAAGTAGGCAGCGTGTTAATTTTAACATACCTTGGAAAGATTAAGGTCTCAAGAGAAATCGATCATTTAATGAAATTGAACCTTTGTAAATCTGCATGGTTAGAAGCACCTTGTATACTGGGTAACTAGAGAGAAACACACCAAATATGCATTTTTATTTTCTTATATTACTGATTGTGATGGCCAAAAGGAGGCCTATAGCATGCAGTGGCATTTAAAGAGACCAACAGAAACTGTGATTATAAACTTGTCATGTTTAACGTATGTAGCGGTCTTGAAATGCATCCTAGGATTCAGAAAATAAAGATATAATTGGGAGACTATTTCTGAGTCATGTAAGGGCAGTCAAAAGTTAGTCTGTATTGTTTAGTGTGTAGTAGAAGGGCTAGTTTTTTCAAATAGGTAAAATTATACTGTTCCACATATCTGATTATTTTTCTGGACATCCTGACTGGAGGCCTTAGCTTCCCTGAATCCCAGTTCCAGCCAGACGTTACCACGAGGGAAACAGCTGCTGCAGGGCATCCAAAAGGACTCTGGTGACCACAGGCTCCACCCCTCTGTGGTGACAGTGCAGCCGCCTCAGTATTCCACAATAGATTAACAGATCGAGGAGAATTTCTCTGACACTGGCCTTGGTGAATCACTATTAAAGGGACCAAAAACTGGAAAAATAAATCTCTCCACTCCCACTTTAGAGTAGGAAATCTTGGCAAAAGCTCAGCCATTAAAATGTTGTCAATACTTACATGTAAGGACCTGACTGGAATGGTCCTCGCCTGCCATCATTTCCCTGGGAGCAGTCAGCTGGCAGTGGCTTGTATCATGCCTAATACTGGCCTTTCCCCCAGTTTATCACCTTCCTCTTAACCCTTTCCGCTAAGCCTCTGCCCAAAGTCCATGATGCGTCATCAGATGTTCCAGAATGTTGAATGAGAGTGCAAGTAAAATCGAACAGAACATCTGTATGGCACAATTAACATATAACCAAAGATACGCCCAGTTGTAAATGGTTCTGGAGTCCTTTCCGATGGTGATGTGACACCTTTGGACTAGTACTGAAGATGATCTCCTTCAACTTATGTAGTATATAAAAACTGGCACCATTGGATTAGACAGTAAACTTTATTGTTACTTTAAATAGGTTTCAAAGAAGAACACACTTTTTTTTACTTTAATGAGGAAGCTGAAAAGGCTGCGGAGGCACTTGAGGCTGCTGCGGCTAGGGAGCCGCTGGTGCCCACCTTCCCCACACAAGGTGTAGAGGAATCAGCCGAAACAGGAGCATCCTCTGGATAGGGCTGTACACACCCCAGGTTCCAGCCACACCATCAGTATTAGTAGACCGGGAGGTCTGAAGTACGGCGCCGTGTCTCCACATGGAGTTTCCTCTTCAACTTCACCAACTCTTGTGGTTTTTATTCTTCTAATTCCACTGTTTGGTAAATTACATATATGATGTTTTTGCCTGAAATTCTGTGAACTTCGTTTTGCAGCCACCACACTTCCATGTGGATTTTGTTTGTCTATTAGCTCTCCTGTCCATTTTTCAGGGACACGCTCCAGTAAAAGAGGCCAATATTTTTGTTGCCAACTCCACACTCAGTCAAACACCCCATCCTTTACCAATCAGAATATCTCTGAGAACAAAAACCTAATGACCCTAGAAGCTCTCTGTGCTGGGAACAGATGTCCATCTTCTGTGTTTATTCTACATGTCTGTGCTGAAAAGCACTGACACATTTTTGTAACCAACCTCACGTAGAAGTGTGAGAGCATCACCATTTTTTGTAAGAGCCAATTTCATCTCACTTTCCTACCCTTGATTCCTTTTTTCCTAATTCCCTCTCCTTTTTAAATTTTAGTTTTTCTTGTATTATTTTTATCTTTGCGAGTCTTCTTAGATCCTTTTTGGAGTAAGAATGAGTATAAATGAATAAGCACATCAGTAAATGAATTAATATTCTCAAGGTTATTAAATGCCCAGTTATTCATACCACAGCATTTAAAAAGCAATCCGCAAGTGATAAAAAAAAAAAAAAAAAATGATGTGACATATCCATTGCCTGAATTGCTCTTTTGTAAGCCAGTGTTGGGATTATAGCAGAGGAGTAGCAGAAATAAATATATTCAGACACAAACATATAGATATAATAATATCCAACCACTTTATATGATTTAGGGTCTCGTTAAAATGGTTACCATTTGCTTCTCCTAAAAATTATATAAATTGCTATGTACTGACCTGTAGGGGAGTTGGCTAAGTTTAGACTTCTGACAAATTCTATAATTTTTATTAAGCACACTGAGGACCTCTCCTTTTAAAGAGTACTAACAAGGGACCTTAATTTCCTCATAACAGAGCCAACTCTTTATTCTCAAAGCTATGATTTGAAACTGGCTCAGGCGCAGACTCTCTCAGAGCATGCAGGAGACTTGGTTGGTATCACTCTAAGTTGGAAGAACTGTGTCACAGTTTGTGGCTGCTACTGCCTCTCCTGATGCTTAGCAACAAGCAACGGGTAGGAGAAACTGGAAGGAAAATTCATTTGAAAGGCAGAACAAACATGACTGGGTGTTCACATACCCTTTGAAAAATACACACACACACACACACACACACACACACATCATGAGACTATGCCCTGGAACAGTGATATAAATTATAATTAAATTACTAAAACCAGAGCAAAAATGTACAATGAATAACAAAATAACTAAATTAAATTAACCAAAGAGGTGATTTATTACAATAACCAGGTCAGCAGTGTGACTTCAACACAGAGCAGTTTACTCACCTATCCTCGAGACTGCACTCACCAATGGATAATTAGCATTTTAATTTAAATTTCTTAGGGTGCTAGGCACTCTTTCTACTTATACTTTCTCTCTCTTGTGTTATATAACATTTAATATGAAATATATTTATATAACTGTATATATAATATTATCTGTGAAAGAAATGAAAGAAACAGTCACATACCAAATTAAAATGACTGTGGGATAGGGACATGTTAGTGCTTGGAAGAGAAACTTCAAACCACTCCAATCCTTATGCAGGGACTGCTTGATGAGTCTTTGAAGGTCAGTGATAATGACAGATGGTTATCCATTCTCGACAACTTACTGGTATATAAGCTAATGTTGTTCCACAACGAGTGTAACTGAACAGGTAGAGTATGCATTTAGAAAAATAATCCAGACTTGAAGGCTGTGATACAGACTATCATTTACTGAACACACAACCAAAAACTGGTCTGGAAAGACAATTAAAAATAATTGTTACCTGTACTACTCCATTTCCAGCAGTTTACCATTAACAAAGAAGGTAAGGAAGGAGCAATTATTGGTGAGTAGTTAGAGCCAAAGCATCCATCCTCCGTACTCAGGGCAAACTATGCTGGGTGCTAATAGCCCTGTTGATGCCTGCCAGTCAGAACTTCCATGGGACTGTTCAGCTGCTGAAACTGCTGTGGGTGAGGACTTTGTTTGAGACCAGCTCACATACAAAAGGGTGCAAGTGCTTTAATTAAAATCTTATTCTTCCAGAAAAAAAAAGAGACATTTTCTTTTTCTTTAATAGCAATGGCACAAAGTACCTCTATCTCTGTTCCTCACTCGGGCTATAAAATGCATCAACATTCGTTTTTCTTAAAGAAAAAAAATCCTCTATAGCGCACAAGACTTAATTTATCTTTCCCAAACAGAAGGAAGCATAAATAACCTTTTAGAGAAATCAAAAACATAAAGATGCAGTCTTTTCCAACTTAAAATTGTGTAAGCAGGACGTATGTAAGTTTTGTGTGTGCAATAGCTATGAACATACCTTGCAGATATAAGCACGGTTCTCCTATGTCTTCCTATTTGGGATCCCTTGCTTTGGTTGACAGTGTCACCCCAGCCAGGGGCAAAACCCCCTCAAAACCAAAGTGAAAAGGGAAAAACTGTAGGCAGAAAAAGGTGAGTGAATATCTTCCATCAAATACCTTCATGTCAAATTAATTTAAAATGCTTTGTAATCACAGTGAGAGAAAGTAAGCAGCTTAAAAAAGGCAGGAATACTTTCAAAATACCTGTTACTAATTGTTCCCTAGTCCAGCTAACACATTTCACCCAAAGGGCAACTTCTTACTCTAGAAAGGAGGGTATTTTGATAACCATATTATTCTGTGATGGTGTGATGAAATATGGAAAGACAGTGTACATATTTTTATATTCCTAAATGTGTGTGAGTTGCATGCTGGCAGACAGATCACAGATGCAAGAAGGAAGACAGCACAAAGAAACATGAAAGAAAACTCAATAAACCATCTTAGGGACTATTAAAAATTACTAAAGTTGTCAAATCATATACAATTTTCTATTAAAGAATGTCAAGCTTGGGGAACTAAACCAGAAACGTTAATAATAACCACAACTGACCCTTAATGGGAAACTATTGGTGCCTTTTTAATAAGTTGTGGTGAGGAGAGTTCAAATTACAGCATAACAGAATTCGTTTCGTGAATTAATGCAGTCTGTAGTAAGCATATCATATAGCAGTATTATCCAGTTAAAGAAAGATACAGTTGAAAAACATTACGTTTTAATTCTCCATGAGTAAAGTGATAAGTAACTATAAAATCATTATTGGGAGAACATGGAAACAGTCAAGCATAACGAACTTACAGAAAGATAATTATCTCCAAATTTAGGAAGTACATGTACCTGCCTACCCACCTCTTCAAGCCTATGCTTACCACACGTGCAAAAATACAATACAATACAACTACTGCAATTATTACTATCATTTTCTTTTGCCCTTAGGTGAAAAACACCTGACAGCTACATGCTGAGCCATGCTAACAAAACTAAACCTTTCACTTTCTTTAATAGTAAAATTACCATTACTGAATCATTGTCATAAAAAGTGCATTCAAGTACATTACCACTTATTTTAAATAAACACCAATTTTGAAACAATCAACTTTGAAAAGCTGCATAAGTTTTTTTTTTAATCCCTGATTACATTTCTATTTATTCACTGTGGTAGCCTGAAACATTGTATTTTTAGAGACTAACTACTGCTTAATTTCTTTTTTAAAAAAAACAACAACAAACCTGTGTAATATAGAACAGCAGTGAAGCAAGAAAAATGTGTGCTTGTCACTTATCTTCACCATACTGTACATAAGAACTCTGATAAAATATGGTACTTGTGCCACATTAGTATTTGGGAAAACATAATTAACTCATAGCACAGAGCACATGGTTTACCAACTTACTACTGTAAAATTCAAGGTTTGGACTTTCACCTCAGTTCTGTATTCAGGCTACCAGAGCATCCCCACGGAGGTCCTCGGGAGGCTTTGGACACAATCAATAGCATGTATTTTTCATCCAATAGTTAACAATGTGTGTAATTAACACTGACTATGGGACTACGAGTTTGATGCCAGCTCCTGAGTTTTCAGTTTATCTCAGTCTACTGTAGAAAATAACTTGTATGCCACAGTACCCAACAATTTCCATGCTGCTGCAGTTTCTCCATCAAGAGGATCAGACCCAAAACAGAAGCTTCTTTGGGGGCTTTTAAAATCACATTGGGTTGATCAGTTTTGTTTATCCGATTATATACAAGCACCTCAAACTTTCAGCATTCCATTTGATGAGTGGTATGCACATTTCCTAAAAAGGTATCAACATCTGAATTTTTTTGTAACCTTCTAAAAGAAGTCATACTTAATACAGTAACTAGGAAAAAAACCTCATCTTTATAAAGATCAAAAAACCAAAACCTACTAGGAATGTGTGTTTTGCTAAACAGCTTACTTATGTTTATAGTTGCTACTTACAAAAGTGACACCAGAAAAGAACCTGTATTCTGAATACAGTGACCAGAGCAGAATGTCTACAGCCCTTGCCAATATAACAACACTAATCATGTGCTTATTGAAAAGGACTTCCAAACATGTCAGGCTTCTGGTTTATGGATCAGCAGTTGGAGCTGTCTGTCTCTCTCACGTTTTCAATGCTGTCTTCTTTGTTTTCTGGTTGAATTTCGCCTTCATCCTCCTTGTGTTGAGTTGGATCTTTTTCAGCAACCTGGTCTTTGGTTTGGGGTTCATGTGTAGAAACAGGATCTAAAACTACAACTGGTTCGGCTTGTTTTTCACCGTCAATGTATTTTTTCCTGCATCCAATGCTACTGGGAGGCCTATGAGATGAAGAGTTAGACAAAAAAAGTAAAAAGCAGAGAGAGAAAATAGTTGTCTCTGATATTCTGGATTCAGACTAACATAAAACCCAAAATGTTCTAAGTCTAATCAACATGCATATAGTAGTCTTTGAGATGCCAGCCATTTAAAAGAAAAAATGAAGCTATCAGATTACACAGCTGATACTAGGAGCACAAGGCCAGAAGAAAGAAGGCAGAGAAAGAGCGATTAACTACAGAAGTGTTAAAAAGCCAAATGCACCTACCTGCTTAATTGCATTCTCTTCTCAGGAAGCGTAAAGCTCATGGACAAACTGTGAACTTCTCACAGCCTGCTGCCCAGACCCCCACCCGCCCTCACTTAGCTGGATGGAGCCAGTTAACTCCCTTCCCTCCTGTGTGTCCCTGGGTATGGCTGGTTGCAGGGTAGTGCTGAGGAGCCTGCAGGGACAAGGGGAGTAATCACCCCTCATCACTGATGGACAGGTGAGAGGCATGCTGACTGCTGCCATTACCAACTAGAGGAGACCTGGTCAGACTTCAGGAGGGGGTGGTGGTAGGACCAAGGGCGGAGAGAGAGCCAGAGTAGAAGCTAAAATGCTAAGTTACCATTAATGTTTCTAAAAGGAGAATCAGGTTTCTTGAGAAATTTCTTATGGAATTTCAGAGGCAGTTTTCCACAGACTCCTTCTCTCGTCTCTTCTGCTGCAAGAAGCTATGGCTTCTCAGGCTGAATGGGTGAGGATTTCATTATGGGAACAGATATCTCTGAAACACCCGAAGGTTCAGGCTGCTGAGCTGCGGCCTGAAGGTGGAGGCAGCTGCAGCAGGCAGGGCTGGGGCTTTCGGACTTTTCTGGTCTTTTTGGAAAATGCTAGGATCAGGCCTTTTTGTCCCTGAGAACTGGCTGTTAACCATGACCCGGCACACCACCATCCCACCTCTTGGTGTTCCGCCAGGTGCCAGTGAGCTGCCAGCCAGTGCCTGCCCACTGCTCTACCAGCCCCTCACCAGGAGTTGGTTTCTACTATTCTCTGACCCCTTCAGCAGGTCAGAGCTGGCAGGAGACACTCTTTTACCACCTAATACCTCTCCCTTGTTGGACTTACCACAATTGTTTCCTGTCTGTCTCTTCCAATAGCATGTAAACATCCACGAGGCAGGGACTGTTTAGCTTTACTCACAATTCTATCCCCAGCACCTAGCACAGATGCATTTGTGGACTAAACGAATGGGCAAATACTAATAAACTGAAGGGTTCAGAATGAAGGGGGAGAAATCAAGGTTTGGGTGTGAGTAGGTCTGGATGTCTCTCTTGCAACAAAAACAACAGAACAAATGATCAACTACTGAGCAAAAGTAACCTGCATGACCCGGTCACGGGCACAAAACCTCAAACCCAAAGACCACACTGCTTTTTTCACTTTCTGACCAGTACTGTAAGATCTGTCCAAATGTTTAAAAACCACTCCCTCTGGCTACTGGGTTATATTACCTATGTGTGGCTCGGTCATCATCCTAAGTGACAAACACTATGTCTTCCTTGGAGGTGGTAAAAACAAAAATAATCAGGAGCCTGGGGACAGGCTGTGCTGTAGTGAGGACAGATTCCTTTATTTTTGCCTGATTATGGCACCATGACATTGTCCATCTACCTTGGCCAAGGAACTACTTCTCCAGACATCTGCCGCTATGCTTTGGGAATCAGAATGGGGTGTAGTTTCTCCAGTGGTACCTGTTTTGACTCTCTCTGACCCACACAATATTTAAAAGCCTGTGATGGGAGAAGCAGAACAACTATGAGTAATATTAAGGATTGATCAGAGGAATCAGACCTTAGGGAATGAGAGGCACTAGTCATGCCGTCTGTGTAAATCTGCTGCTTCTGCGTCTGACACTGGGCCTGCAGTCAGCTGTTCTGACAGTTGGGAGGGAAGGCGGCTGTAAAGTGACAGAGACTGGGGACAAACTAGAGCTGCACCTATCTCTCTCTCACAAGCACCAATCTTGATGATGCAAGACAATCTGCAGAATAAGCAGGAGCCTTCCCCAAGGAGCTGCACATGCACCTGCCCCAGGATTTGGAAAAGCTGGAGGAGGAGATGTGGGGAGCTGGAGAAACTGTGGGCCAGTCACTGCCACATGCCAGTTAGGTGAGTCAGCACATCAGGAATGTCATGCACAAGCTATAACAGAGCCTGCCCTACACGGACCTTCCGAGGGTTAAAAAAAATTTTTTTAAGACAACTACTTCACTTCCACCTTCTAAATCTCATGCAGATTTATCTGTCGGCAACTCTAAACTGAAAACAAACAGGTGAGGAGATTCTAGGAAATAAAGCTGCAGCCCAGCTAAGGTTCCAGGGAAAGTCCCATCCAAGTCTGCAGATTGAGTCACCAGTACGAAGGTTTCACCATCTTGGGCCTGGGCCCACTCTTATGTAAGCCAGTCAAACTGCTTTCAGCATGCAAAGGAGGTAGTATTTCTCTCATTCTAGGTGAGCAACTTCCATCAACCCATACTAACCTTCATCACTTCTGTAGAACTACCATGGATGTTTCCATGCTCGTGTGTGTCTGTAGGTGAAGGGGTGGTGCACAGATCCTAGAAAAAGCTTTCTTCATCAGCTCAGGGCTAAAAATTTCCAGGAAGTGCTCTCTGGGCTCCACAGCAGCAATACATGGATGTTGATTGAACTGAAAACTCATAAACCTAGTATTGTCAGGCTGAAATTGTCCTGGAATTGTCTCAGTCCAAAGAACGATCTCCCTGTCCTGAAGCAAGCTTCTTGACTGCAGATTAATCTATTATTAAGTCACTTATAGGCTACAATTTGAGAACCCCTTTGTTATCACTGAACTAGGCGCAGTGGGCATTTTCTGAATCTAGGCATGGAGGGAGAGTGACTGGTTTCTCAAGGATAATGACCACTGCCTTAGAATCCCAGTGGAAGGTGGAAAGGGACTAGGGCAATCGTCTAGTCTGACCTGTCCTTTTACAGATGAGGATGATGGGGCATGAAGAGGGGAAGGAACTGGCCCGAAACCACACAGCTCATCAGTGGCAGAGTCAGAACAAGAGTCAGAAGCTCCTGTCTCCCTGTTTCTGCCTTTTCCATGACAGCATGCTGTTTCTCAAAGGCATCTTCTCCTAGAAACAGGAGGCTACAGGCTAGTTTTTGGCATGTTTACTGATTTCATTCTTTCCGAATCCGTTTCCATCTCCATCTTCCAGATCTGTAAATAAAGTCTATCCCTTCAAGCTATCCCTTAGTTTTAATTTTTCCCCTGTGGTTTGTAGCTCCTCCTGGCTTGACATCACTAGGTCCACTCTTGGCTCCCACGGGCAGCTGCCCAAGACTCCTTCTGGAATGAGAGTCCTTTCTTTCTCCTAGGCCTCATTCTACCTTCATTCCTATCGTATGGGAAGAGCCACAGAGCCGCATCAGTGATGGTGCCAAGAACCCAAGTTCTCACTCTAGTAGTCATGGTGGCAGGTTCTAGAGGGTTAAATATGAAGCTTCTCCCCAAGGTAGAAATCCCAGAAGCTCAAATGCAACACTTCAATGGGAATTGTAATATACTGTCATTCTGTTCAATTTTTTTTTCTACTTTAATGCAACCTCTAAGGACTAAGACCACAATAAGGAATTAAAAGTCTGTACTTCTAAAAAGTGATGGCAGCCTGTCTCCTGCATGCCACAAAATCTGCAAGTAAAACTTAAATTTTACAAGTATCACTTATAAATTAAAACTAAAATCATGGGATGCTTGGGCTGACAGGGATCACCATGGTGAGCTAGTCTAACCTTTTCAGTTGTCAGATGAAGTGTCCAAGGAACAGTGAGGTTAAATCAGCATACAACTTGTTAACAGCAGACACAGGACTAAACTAGTGGAATCCTGATTTCCTGTCCAATAATTTTTTCTTACCACAACATACTGGTTGTCATTTATGATCCATTCATATAGATATTTTTCACGGGTCATATTAGACTATGTGCTCAAAGGCTATTTCAAGACAAAACCAAAAACCAAAAAGCAAAATAAAAGCTACGAGAAATATACCAAGTTATGCCACTCTATGAAGCCTGGTGCCCAAGTAAAACTTGGGTGACCTTTTAGAAAGCAGCTATTGTGCCCCTACTGCAAGAGAGCCCAAACGTGGGGCCTGAGCAGGTGGGGCAACTTACTAGTAAAAGGAAAGACCTGACTCCAAACCATACTGGTACCAGAAGAATCAGAACAATGGCAATGGCCATGCCAACGCTGAACTTTACAGGACTCAGTGATTTCTCAGACTGTGTTACAAGAGATGAAAATGCAGCATTCTAATTTTTAAAAAGGACATCGTTTGCATTCAATGAAATTCCTTTCAAAATCAACTTTCCACGTTCCAACTATATTCAACAACATTCTAGCTAACATTTCGGCTGCAATTCAAATTAACTAATGCCCAAAAGAGCCCTAATAGACGTGGTTCTGAGCTCAATTGAATACAATCAAAGCTCATGAAATGAAGGGGGAAATGCTTATTTCATGCAAATTCTGCATATCACTCAAGCTTAATTTTACTGATAATATAAAGGTGGGACATTTTGAACATTACAGTGAATGAACTTTTAAGCGGTGAGAGTTATTTTATAAAATGCTACCTCTGAAAAGCTGATTGCCAAACAGTATAAAAATGGTTTGAGGCATAAATGCCAAGTTCATTTCTATTTCACTTCTGAGGTAACTATCTTTCAAATCGCAACAGCTGGACTATTTAACACAATCTGGTGAATCAAAGTATAGTTCTTCTCTGGTCTCCCAGTGGGATGTCTGCATTAGTCTGTGGCAGCCATCCAACAAATGACGCACAGCCGGACGGTCTGAACTCTGTTTCATTTACAATAAAAATGGATAAAACCGCAACCATATTTACCGCCTTCAAGGACAGAAAACAGAAAGATTTAAATTTGTCTTTATAAAGTCGTTTCCTGGACAAACTCCAAAGAGGAAGTTCCTTTTATATTTTCTCTGGTGTAAAAATAAGGATTCTTATTTTTTTCCAAGCCCTTTATACAGTTACTGCAGTGAACAGTAGTGGCATTACAGCAGAGGTAGTTTTGATTGTTTCTTTTGGAAACCCTATTTTTCAGGAGATTTTAATACACTTGTCCAAAACTTCACAAATTTTTAATACACTTGTCCAAAACTTCACAAAATAAAGTTTCAAACCTAAGGTGAAACTTTCTATATTACTACCGATTCTAGCATTATTTTAAAATATAATAAAGGCAGAACAAAGCTCAATTCTTTTTGTTTTGGGTACTTTTTCAAAACTTCATTTTAGCTCAAAGAACGTATTAAGTTTGTCAATTTGGGTCCACTTCTATTTGTGGAAAAAGTAGATTTAATTATTTACATTGTTAAACAACAGAATACTACTATGTTTGAAAATCTGACATCAGCCTCTAGATGCTGATTTGCTCTCAACATGAACAAGAATTCCTTTTTAACATAGGTAACAATGGCTGGGCAAAGATCTATGTCTATGCTCAGCAATATTTTCTTTAGCTGAGTGACTGCAGCACAGGCATCCCAGTACACGGCTTACCTCCCGGACCACAATGCAATGCTAGGGAGCCTTGTAGCTTGTACCTTGTAGGATATTATCTTATTCCTCTAGTGCAGGCTGGACTGCACACATTTACAGAATCTAAAATACACTGGCACAAGGAGGTTCAGGAAACCGGACTATTCTCACAGCAAAAGCAACACTGACAATGCGTGAACTACGATTTCAGCTCGGCCAAAGATTCTGAAATGTGGGTGATCATTTTCTTAAGCTTCGTTTTTTAGCTTTTTATAATTCTGCACAACATTAAGTCATCATGGAAAATCCACTCAGATTCCAGCTATTAAAAGCCATGTTATTTATAAGAAATATTTTAAGAGACATAGTCTTCCACAAAATTCACCATATATAACATTGGTTCCTTAAAAACAGCTGCCATGCACAAAATACTTGCATTTTCATTCTATGTTTTCAGGAAAATACTGTTTTAAATGTAGTAGTTTTTCTTTCAATTTACTGTGTATTTTTAAAACTCTCTTTTAAGATCGAAAGTCACAAATTACTTTTCATAGAGCTATATAATAAAGAATATTACAAATGAAATGTGTTTATTGGGTTTCAGAAATTGGGTCAGTTTATTCTGAGATCTGACATTGCATTTGAGTTTTAGCTTCTTCTATTTGAATAAAAAAACCTCCCCTCTACTCCACTATACACAAATAAAAGGAAACATAAACACTGTGTAGACTATTGAAAAATGGCTAAGAAAACTACAATGTACCGAAAGCAATTTGGTTCTCTATGCAGAAATGGTATATTTTATACAAAGTCTCTTAAAAATCATAGGTGCTTGCAACTGGAAGCAAATGTTAGAAGGCAATTAATTCTCTGAGAGAATTGAGAATTACTCAGCAGCATTTTAACAGTAATTTTGAGATTTACTCAACAGCAGTTTAACAGTCATTTTTACACTAGGTGTAATACATCCTCAACAATTAATCTGGAGGAAGTTGCTGTTTGCACAGCAACTCAGAACACTTGTAAGACAATCCTGACAGGCGGATCTTTCGGGCAGTCCACAGGATAACTCCTTGGCAGCGGGGGAAGGAAAAAAAATGAAGTGAAGGGATCTCAACTTCCAGAACATCCAGTTGTTCTGCTAATTTTGTTGTTAAAACTTAATTGTCCATGTACAGGCGCACATGGAGAACCTTTGTAGCAGCGCTTTGCTGAACAGAGCTGTTTCCTGCAGTGTCAGTACACAATTCAGCAGTACTAAGATTACAGTTGAGAGCAGAGCAAATCCTTTAATTGTATAAGAGCATCAGATTAAGCAGTAACGTCCATGCAGTTCATTCTGCTAGCTGGTAGTCTCTTCTCAGAAACAAATGTTTACTAAGTACAGGGAAGGCGCCTTCCCTCCCCCTCCCTGATAGGCACTCATGTGCACACACACACACACACACACGAGAAAGAAAGCGGAGAAGCGGAGGTTATGAGGAAATGGTGGGGGTGGGAGTATCTATCAGGAACAAAATCCACTCCTTTCCATCCCAGGACTAAAAGAACTTCCCTAGTCTCCATTTGAACAAAACATGACCCCAAACCTCTCTTAAGGAATGGTTATATGGCCAACTAAATTAATTTCCAGCTGAGATAATTAGTTTGAGAGAATAATTTTATGCCAAGTTTCCCTAAAGTAAGTTAAGAATCTCAATTTTTATTTGCTAATGTATTTCAAAAGCTCATAATCTTTCATAGGATTAGAGAAAGTAAACAAAATAAAATAAAATAGCTCAGATTCTCCAGCTCCAGTAAATTAAAAAGCAGTACTTTCCTATTTCATTTTTCTACATTAGTTTCACATCAGAAATACTGAATGAAGAGACCAGTTAGAGGTCAAACAATGATAAAAATCAATCTTACTTTTAATTCAAAACCTGAAAGGCAATTAGATTTTTTTTCTTTCATGGAAATGTTTGACTGGTCACACCAACCAAGAAACATCTAAAATTTATCTTTTGTCAACTACCCTTTGGTTTCATTAATGGCCCAAACAAGATGAACTCTTACAAAAATAAATTTGTGTGGGGCCAAAAGTCACATGTATTTAGAGATACCACAGACATAGAAATTAAATGCAAATTAAAATAAAAATGGTTTCACTGGAAATGAACATTTTCTATTGAAATTGAAGTCTTATAATTGCCACATGGGTTTTTGTTTTTTAAATTCTTCTAGGGCAGCATGTAACCTCTTTTGACTCCCCCAAACGAAAAAGCAAACTGCCTGTCTGGCAGTTAAAAAGGAAATTGAAAAGAGCTTGATAAAGCTTACAGTTTTGAGGGGACCCTGGGGTGAAGAGAAGCATGATAAATTAGAAAAATGTTAACTTGAAGAATCTCTGGCAATTAATTGTGGCTTAAAAGGATCTTTGAGAATGACCAAGACGACACAGCTATGAAAGCACTGCAAACCACACTGTTGAAATGGAACAGGAGTTCCCTTTCGAAGGGCTTCTCCCTTTTGAAGTAAGGTTTTAAAGAAGTAACTAGATAAAATGAAAAATCATCTTTGAGGCTGACTACCTTGTCTAATTGCAACTGTTAGGAGGATATTCACCTTCCTGAAAGTAATTAATTGAAAAAGTGTGAATATGGATGAAAAAGCTCAATTCAGACAAGCAGCGCCACTTTCAGATAAGATGGTTTCAGGGGAGAAAAGCAAGAGGGCAAGAAAACATGAAACTCTTAAGCCTCTGCCTGACTGTGATGCAGACACATTTTAAGATCTGCTTACCTCTTTCTCCATACTGAAGGCCCACATATCCTGCCTCTCTTTATAATAAAAATGTCCTAAATCATAATGACCAATGGATAAACACAAACTCAAAGGTGTTAACCAGTAATTGACCAAACATGAAGCTCTCTTAAAAAGGCATAGAATAAAGTGGATACAATAATAAAATGTATTTGGTGCTTTAGAATGTATGTTTTTCAACTAGATTCACAGAGAGTGATTCACCTTTGTATTATCATATTATCATTTAGTAAAAGCATCTTTCTAATCCAATGATTACGGTCAGAAATTTTCAAGGTATTTGACTTCTGGGAAAAAACTATTTCTCAGCATGGTTAAAATGTTCAATAAAATAAAAAATGTGCAAATAGAACTTATGCTGACGACTAAAGTAGCTTAAGGCTGGTATTCTGACAGGCTAATTTCTAAAATTTATTTTGAAGCACAGCCCTTTATTGGACATTTGGCATGAAAAAAATTGAAATAATTTCTTTCCAATTATTCTTTAAGACTTTTTGCTAATTCAGATAGGCTCCCTTTTCAGAACTCTGTTTTACTGGGTAACACTTTCCTCCCTTGACAAGAGATCTTTAAATTGCTTAGGTTAGCCTTACAGAATGAGAAAAGGAAGACATGAAACTACCTATGAGTATGCAGGGTCTAAGGAACAGGATGTGAGTATCTTAGGGTCAATGAAGCAACTTAACTGCAGAATCATTACCTCCTATAGAAGGAATCTTATGGTCATTCTTTTCTTTCTCCTTCCTTAAGCTCTTAAGACACTAAACGCAGTACACCATAGTTCAAAAAGCACTGGCATTGGAAATAAAGTTTAAAACGTTCAAGTGCAATTTGATCTAAATGTCAGTTAGAAGTGTAATTTTGGGCAAGTTGTTTACCTCACTGAGCCTCAGTTTTCTCACCTGTAAAATTGGGATAATGTCCAATCTATAGGTTTGGGAGAATTAAAATAATAAACAAAAGCACCTTGCTTAATATTAGTGAAATACAGTAACAACAACACAGAAGCAAATTCCAAAACCCTCAATCCCCAAACTGGAAGCTGGTTCCATTACCGATAGCCTCCATCTATAGCTAACATATACATCCTGCCTACTATGATTTCAGCACATTTCCTCTTAGATGGATATTATTTTATTGTGAATATATACTGATAAAGAGTAATAGAAGTATTAAAACACACACACAGAATGGAAGTTTCTTGGCATTTCCCCCGAAAATGCTTTTTTCCTTTATTATACCTATATCAACCAAGAACATCAGATTTATGCATTCTGTTGATAATAGAGTTAACATGTTTCAGGTATCTCACATAGGATTAAAATGGAAGGCAATTTCACCCACACTGATGTATACTGGGTTTTCTTATTTATTGCTTGACTTATGTTTCAGAAACATTAATTTCCTAGCTACTCATTACTCAACATCCCAGAATGTGTAAATGTGGGACTAGTCAACCTAGCTGGGGTGAAAGAAGGAAGGCTAGGCCCCAACCAGCTTCGGCTTGACTGTACTGCACGACACTCTTTGGTAAATGTGATTGGCAGGCATATCAAGTGTCTATGTCACATTAAAAAAATACATACATCTGCAATGGTGGCGAACTGATAGCTATGTCCAAAAATTGAATCCACTTTCAAAAGCTAAAGTCATTTGGAAACATATGTTGAATATAGTGGTGATTAAAATGGGTCACGTCATCTTTTGATCAAAATGAATTACTGACACTATTCTCTTAGAGGACCAGCAGAGCGGCTCCGAAGCAGTCGTCTCATCTTCTCACCCATTTTCTCCACCCCGAAATAAACAGGTGGGAAAGACTGCCCAATTTATTTTCTCTGTGATCAGGTACTTTTTTTTTTTTTTTTTTTTTGAGTTAAGAGTCTCACTCTGTGGCCCAGGCTGGGAGTGCAGTGGCACAATCTGGGCTCACTGCAACCTCCACCTCCTGGGTTCAAGCAATTCTCCTGCCTCAGCCTCCTAAGTAGCTAGGATTACAGGCATGTGCCACCACACCCAACTAATTTTTGTATTTTTAGTAGAGATAGGGTTTTGCCATGTTGGCCCGGCTGGTCTTGGACTCCTGACCTCAAGTGATCTGCCTGCCTCAGCCTCCCAAAGTGCTGGGATTGCTGGGATTATAGGCGTAAGCCACCATGCCTGGCCTGTGATCAGGTACTTCTAATGTAAAAAGGTCTAAATGCATTTGGGGCAACAGTGAAGGGCTGCAATGGGTATGTTGGCCCCTAAGAGTACTACTCTAAAAGATAACAGTTATTTTGATTTGGACTTGTAAGTCCTGAGGATGTATTTTAAAAATTAATTATTTTACATTTCTGGGTTTGTGTTTTTCTATAAAAACTACACTGAGAGACACGTAGCTAGGAAATATGTGCCTCTTACTCCTTTTCCTAACCGTGAACAGCTTTACCAAGTGAACACATTGGCTAGGAATTACTGGGATTCTAAAGCTGAAAGGGACTCTGTACAGTATGTAATCTACTTGCCTCAATTTTGGATTAGAAGAAACATAACAAAAAGAAAACAAAACACAGAGAGGTTAAACAACTTGTCCAAGTCATCTGGCCCACTCAAAAACCCAGGGGTCTAGTATCTTAGCTTTGGTCCTTGATGATCCATTATCCCAGCAATATAATTGTAAGATAAGATAGGAAAGGAATTTATTAAAATGCTTTTCCTATATGATCTAATTTACATGACAGTCCTACAGGGCAGGCATTACTACCATCAATTTACACACCAGGAAATTCAGTTATAGATTACATAACTTTCCCAGGGTCACAAATATCTAAACGGCAGACCCAGGATCTGAACCCTACTCTGTCTGACTTTAGAGTTCAAGTCTTGGAAATAACTGGATGCTGCTTGCCACCCTGTGCATATGTGGACAGGCACCGGCTTAGAAAATAAATCACATTGTTTCCTTGTTACTCCCCCTCCCGTCTACAGGCTTTTATTGATTAAAATACAAATCATTCTTGTTTTTCTGACCCTGGGCAACACTTAATTATTCTATTGCCAGGTATTATAGCTGTCTCAAAGTAAAAGAGTTTCTTTTAAAAAGTCTATAATTTAGGCTGAGCGTGGTGGCTCATCCCTGTAATCCCAGCACTTTGGGAGGCTGAGGTGGGTGGATCACCTGAGGTCAGGAGTTCAAGACCAGCCTGACCAACATAGTGAAACCGCGTCTCTACTAAAACTACAAAAATTAGCTGGGCATGGTGGCAGGCACCTGTAATCACAGCTACTCGGGAGGCTGAGGCAAGAGAATCGCTTGAACTTGGGTGGCGGAGGTTGCAGTGAGCTAAGATCGTGCCATTGTACTCCAGCCTGGGCGACAGCAAGACTACATCTAAAAAAAAAAAAAAATTCTATAATTTAGAATTTTCTCTCTTTGATACCCACCCACTGATTGGCCTGAATCAGTGAATAAAATATCTTACTATATTTTAACATTATCAGATTTAATCTTAATCAACAGAAGAGCATGAAAGCAAAAAAGAGGTTTGCACTTAATGTGCCTGGTCAGCCCTTTACCTCTTATAGCATAAAGGGACATGATGAGCATAATTCTGATCTAAATTATAACCAATCGGAATTCATAACGTTCACATTCACTGTGAGATTTAAGATACTAGGATTAGATGGTATATACTTATTAGACATAATTAACAGGACACATTTTGTAGCTATTATTAAAATAGAAACAGAATAAATTAGGCTTTCCCAAGCCCTGATTATCTTTTCCTTTCTTTTTCTTCTTTTTTCTTAAAAACAAACAAACAAACAAACAAAAAAAACACCCTTGCTTTGCATATGTTGGTGACAGGAATGTTAATTTTAATTAATCCTTATAATTAAGCATTAAAAGTGTTTCTTGCTTTCTTATAAGTCCCTAGGAAATAAATCAGTATATCTTTGACTTTATAATTTACCAGAGAGGAGTTACTCAATTATATGGAATCTATACATATGTTGATTTTAGGAATTTATTGAAAGAAAAAAAACTTTCTAGGTATAGTGTGATTTTATTTAATTTTCTGGTTAAGTGAAGATCTTACGCAGATCATACTGAAAATGTGCTCATTCATTCATTTATTCAAAAAGAATTTATTGAAAGCCTACCATAAGGCAGGAATTGTTCCATGTGTGTAAGACACACCAGTAGACAAAACAGGAAAAAATTCTTACCCTCATGGAGCTTACATTCCAGTGGGGGAGAGAAAAAATAAAACAATAAATATAATAAATAAAGTATATAGTAAGTTAGAAGGTGATAACTGCTCTAGGGAGAAATGACGTAGGATAAGGGGGAATCAGAGCTTAAGGGAAGAGGAGTTACAATTTTGAATAGGGTGGCCAGGGTAGGCCTCATAGAGAAGATAACATTTGAGCAACACATCCATGGAGGCAAGGGAGTAAGCCATGCAGCTCTTAGAGAAGACCATACTAGGCAGCGAAGGGCCTAGGGTGAAGTGGTACTGGGACAAAAAGGCCAAAGTGGAGGGGGAAGGGAAGTTAGAGTGGCTGGGGCTGGTGTGTGTGTGTGTGTGTGTGTGTGTGTGTGTGTGTGTGTGAGAGAGTGCATGCATACATATGTTGGGACAGTAATGTCTGTATTTAGAGCCGACTGTCATTGGCATCCTCCCTTGACCTTGATTCAGGTCAAGAGCCAATAGCGCCACTCACGTGAAACACTAACGGTGGTGTTGCCACAGACAAAATAGAAGTGTTAACTACTAGAATGCAAAGACAGTTTTTAAAAGCAAAGGAAATACTTTACTTATTAATTGCTGACCCGACTTCAAAGTGCTTTGACAGGCCAAGTCTATAAAGTAAGAGAATGTGGTTAGTGTAACAGAGTACTTACTAATAAGTCAAAGCCAGCCAGACACAGCACTGAAAATAACCCTTCTCATTCCTGGAAGCTAGGCCAGTTTCAGGGGATTCTGACAAATGATACAAACTGTTAAAGCTTACATGTAACTACATTAAGTTAAAATTCTTTTAGTCATTAAAAGGTTTAAACATTAAATGAATGAAGTGTGCCAGTCTGGGTAAATAATTACCTATACATACACAGAATTCTCAGATTCAATCTGGATAGTCTAATTATACTTAAGAAACAGATTTTTCCAGAAAGGTGCTCTTATTTGGTAAATTACTGTCAATATGAAAATACACGGCATCAGTTATTTTATTTAGCTAAAGAATGTCAAGAACCGAATAATCGAGCATTAGGTTTCAAAGTTTAGAAGTTAATACAGCAGTCCACAGTATTTGTATTAGAGCTTTAAGTAGATAAATTAAACTGGAATGTGTCTCTTAAGCAGTCATTGAACAAGCAAGATGAGAAATAAATTGAGCTTCACATCTGCCTTTATGGCATCTAACAACTGTGTCTGTCAACACATGGATCCTTTTCACTGTCAATTCAACACATATTTTGCAGACCTTGGGCCTGCAATTATTTCATTTCCTTTCTTGGAAATGTAATTTCCACTTACTTTTGGAGAACAAAAGGCAGACAAAAGGAGGAAGGAGTTGCAGTATTTTCTGATTCAGATTATCTGTGTAAAATGGTAAAGGAGAAAAATCTATACACACACACTGAAGCATTTATCAGAAACTAACTTGTCTCAGCCAAATTGCTTTTGTGTCTGGATATTGGTTCAAATGTAGCCAGATTGTTGATGTCAAATTAGGTGTTAAACAAATTTAATAGGAAAGATGGAGAATGAATATAGATCATCTTTCTGTTAGAACTGTTCAAATGACTCTAGTCAAAAGAAAGGAAACACATGACTACAGGAGAAAATGTGCTTTTAAACACAGTGAAATTAGATAAAACTGTAAATCAGCAAAGAAGGCCATTCATTCCAGAAGAGAAAAAAAAGTTAATAGTAGCAATGAGAGAATGCAAGAGAGGAAGAAAATACCAGTTGGCAAAAATAGATCCAAATTGAATTCCAACTTCATTTGTCCAGGTTTCACCTTTTAAGCTAAGACAGCTAGAGTTACAAAAAAGGGGTTCTTTCTCTCTTGATAGGACAGGAAATCAGAGGTTTAATTAACCATGATTACAATATTCGGCTGATCTGATTTGTCTCACCTCTTCCTTTTCTTTAAGTGACAAACTAGCTGACATCCTGGCAAGAGAACTAAAGCAAAACTGTAGACTAATTTCAAAAAAGAGCTGCCATTGTTATAAAACAAATTGATCCTCCACTAGATCTGTCTGAAACACATTCAATAGCAGGATTAACTCTTTGACAATCAAAGTGCCACTCTGAAGCAAGTCTATACAGATAACTCTTTACATAGTATGTTTTCATTTTCAGGATAGAGCAATATTAGGCACATCTTTAACTGAAGACTAGAAAAGAAGGTTGTAAAAACGTGCCCTTCTAAGTAGTCTCTGAAAGATCTAGTATCTTCTTGGGCTGCTCATGAACCATTAAGAGGGATGATCGATGTATTTAATCTTGAAAGACTGATTGTCTCCTGACGCAGAGTCTGTATCATCCAGATCAATTATTTGTGTAGAAGAACCTGATTACCAAACCAGTTTAGGGGAAGTAATTCTCTTTGTACATGGTACTTGCTTTGGATCTGAATGAGATCTCTTAGCTAGGAGCCTAGAATGAAAAAGCTGGCCCATCAAATGAAAAGAAGAAGAGAATTTACCGGCGAGCCAATCAAAATCTCTCTAAAGGAAACAAATCAAAGAAACACACAAGTTAGTCATTACAGATTCTTCTATACACCACTTAGTAAAGAGCATCGTTACTTACTGAAACGTAACCTTGGAACTTGTGCATCCTTCCAATTTACGGGGCCCTTCACCTGGCTCAGGTGTTGGGGGGGACGGGCTGTTGAATTCTGCCTCCAGAGTTTTCTTGTTCAAGGCTGTTTTTGTTACACTGGATACAGAACCCAACACTGGCATGGATTTGGACTCTGAGGTGGCTAATATCCCAGTTGGACCTTAAAACCAAACACATACCTCAAGTTTAATAATTCTGTATGATGCTTATTAATATGGTACTGAAAAACAGATTAGCTGAAAATCCCTCAAGAAGTGAAAAGGCCAAGTTTGTTAAAATTTCAAGAGCATGCTGGAAAATGTTGTTGGAAATCTGCTCTGCTTTCGTGGTACTACTACATTTCAATCTACCAGGACCACGCTGAGAAATTGTGTACAGACCTTTAAGAAACCACAAAATCCCAGGCCACAATTCCCTCACTGACCAGGGTCCTTCGTAATACTGGAATTGTGGAAAGTCTTTTCCTCTCATAGAGTATGGCTTTCTGACAGCCCTACTCGAACCATTTCGCCTCTCAAGAGTTAATTCTTCCCAAAACTCAGTTCTGCATTTTAAACAGCAAATGGAACCATGTCAAAAGGCTCTAAAAGGCTCATGAAGGCTTCTTGAGCATTAAACAGTTTTTATGAACATTTTCATTTTAATGTGAATGAGAAGTAAGTGGATTTGTTTCCTCTTAAAACACAGACACAAAATCATAAAAATTAAGTGGGAAAGAGTTTGGCTATTTACCTTTTGGACTTTTCTGCTCTTTAGGACAGGATTTAAAAACCATAATAAAACTTGTTACTGGAATTATTGGCATATCAATCTAAAAATTCTGGGCATTGAAGCCAGTCCCTAATTTTAGGTGGAAAGATTCTATCCTAGTCAGTTTTTCTCAAAGCATGATTCTAGTAAGTGCTTCTTGAAACTTCAGAAGGAATGCTTTTAAAACAAAGATAAGTCACAAATATGCAAATTAAATGACTATTTCTAGAAATAAAGTGAGAGGATAACCTTGAAATGTGCCAGTAAGAAGAGCACAAAACTTGGGTGTCTCTTGGGTGTCTATCCCTAACAAATGTCAGATCATCTTAAAATGGAAAGCACTAGTGGGTATAATCCAAAATGCTAGCTAATCCCTGACCATTGGTATTAAGCTCTGGAATGCTATTCTTCCATTTGGATTTAATGTGCCTGATATACTCAGTATAATAGCGTAACATATCAACTCTAAAAATGAAGGTCTAATTTGAAAAACCTACCTAAGAGAGACTAAAAAATTGTGAACCCATTCTGTTGGACACCTCTCTGAGCCTTGCTCTATGCAGGTTACACAGGACCTCTCTGTTCTAGTGGAAGCCCCAGTTCACAAAGCATTAGTTTCTATCTTCCCCATTTAATTCACCTATACTCTCTAGGCAGACACGTTTGGACATTATTGGATATTTTGATCTAAAAGGCCTTTTCCGGCTGTACGTGGTGGCTCATGCCTGTAATCCCAGCACTTTGAGAGGCCGAGGCAGGCGGATCGCCTGAGGTCAGGAGTTAGAGACCAACCTGGCCAACATGGTGAAACCCTGTCTCTACTAGAAATCAGCCAGGTTTGATGGTGGGCGCCTGTAATCCCAGCTACATGGGAGGCTGAGGCAAGAGAATCGCTTGAACTCAGGAGACAGAGGTTGCAGTGAGCCGAGATCACGCCACTGCACTCCAGCCTGGGCGACAAGAGAGACTTCATCTCAGAGACAAAAAAAAAAGGCCTTTTCCTCCCAGCTATGTCAAGCCTCATGTTGCATGGAGCTGTGGCAGTTACGACAGAAGGGCAGAACAGAAAGATCAATTAATTTTAGAGTTCCTGAAAATATAAATACGAAGTTGAATTCAAGATTTGCTTCTGATCAGCTCTATTCTGCCCTTGGGTAAGCGTTGACTACAATACTAGTTAGCTTTAAACAATCTGTCCTTGTAAGAAAGATCTGCTTCTGAATACACCAACACATTTTCTGCAAAAAGGAAGGCAATTAGTGAGCTAAGCTACAGCTCTTATATTTTTCTTATATACAAAAAGACATTTTAAAAAATGTACACCGTTTAAGAGTATTATTATTGCATCCTGTTTAAGCCACCCAGTGTTCTCCAAGAGGCACTTGCTGCTCTTTGAAATGTCAGTTTGGTAGGACACAAGGCTAGGTAAAACAAGGGAACATTAGTTAAATGCCTAAGAAAAATCCTAAGGAAAAGGGTACAACATCCTTTGTCCCTGGGGCAGATAACCATTAACCTGAGATCTTAGCTCTGCAAACTCTCAGGCTGTCTCTCTTCTGATGTTTCCTTTCTCTACTTGTGACTTCACATTTACTTTCCCAAAAGCCTTTCTAGGCAGAAGAAAACCACCCCAGAGATTCAAGTACCTGAGACACCAACCTATCCAACTCCTCACCTCTGTCACCTGACTCCCAACATGCAGCTCTGCAGCTTTACTTTCTTGCTTACTTTCCCCCCTGGAATTTTCACATTATCATTCCACAGCCTTTATAAAAATATTCACATGGTAAAAGCCACCTCTAGTTTGATAATAGAAAAATGTTTGTACCACCTAAAAAATGGTATGATTTCTTTTTTAGATGGTAAGAGTTTGTAAGTTTGTTTCCTTCCTTTTTTTTTTTTCTTTTGCTTTGGCTATTAGGAAACTCAAAGGAAATTTCTGCTCAATTACAAGTCACTCCCTTAGTGTGTGTTTGCTCTCTACCTCACCAATGAGTTCTCATTTTTCTATTCATTTATTAACGATTCTACTGAAAATGTATTTTCTATTCTAACTGCCCTAAAATAATACAAATATTTGTATATTGGTGGAATATAATACATTAAGTGAAAAATTCCCACCATGTTCATGAAATGTGTTCCTTTCTGTACTCTGAATTATTCAAATTTCTATATTAACTAAAATAAAAACCTTTGCTCATTTCTTCCATTGAAAACTAACTCTGAAATGTGAGTATTGCACATTTTGACCAAATTTGTGAGTGAAGTAACAATGTTTCTGGAGAAACGAAAAAGCCAGTGGCAAAACACAAAATGTGAACGACAGAGCACTAAAATGGCACATCAACAAAGTCCTTAAAAATAGCAGTGTTGGCCGGGCGCGGTGGCTCACGCCTGTAATCCCAGCACTTTGGGAGGCCGAGGCGGGTGGATCATGAGGTCAGGAGATCGAGACCATCCTGGCTAACAAGGTGAAACCCCGTCTCTACTAAAAATACAAAAAATTAGCCGGGCGCGGTGGCGGGCGCCTGTAGTCCCAGCTACTGGGGAGGCTGAGGCAGGAGAATGGCGTTGAACCCGGGAAGCGGAGCTTGCAGTGAGCCGAGATTGCGCCACTGCAGTCCGCAGTCCAGCCTGGGCGACAGAGCGAGACTCCGTCTCAAAAAAAAAAAAAAAAAAAAATAGCAGTGTTTACATGAGCACTTTAAGGCTGAAACGATGAAAAGGATGACTCAAGCACTGATTAAGTCACAAAATGAATAACGATTATATGTTACGGGGAGGCTGCATAATGCTCACAAAACCATCCTAAGAAAAAAATGTTGTGGTACCCCCTTAATTTTCCTGAGGTAGTTGTTTTGGGGGGCACAGTAGGAGGGGAGAATCTTTGTAAGATTTTAATACCAGAACTTCCAAACCAACCTAAAAACTGAATGGCTGATTTTTGTTTTTTAAAGAAGAAAATTTTCATCTTCTTATAATAAAAGTTTGGTTGGTATTAAGCCACTTTGGGTTCAAGGAATCAATTTACTCAATTGTCTGAGTAAATCTCTCTCTGAACATGAGAACTTGATGATCAAAAACCCATCTTTAATATTCTTGCTACTTAAATTTGGTCAATGTGACTCAGCATTTTCCAGATTTAAACTGTTACGATAGACTACTTGAAGCTGACTGAACTCAATCTAGAAGCTTCAGCCCATTAGCTGCGATTGCTGATTAATTTTACTTTAAGGTAGTTTTTTGAAGTCGGCTTCCTACCTGGTCACAAGGGGAAACCTCATAAAGGTTTCCGTTAATTCCCATGACCGAGCTGATGAAACCACTGAAGACACGCACAGTTATGGGATACATTTTGAGGCCTAATACAGACCTAATGTCACACAAATGCAAACTGTGAGCTCCAGACTCGCTCAGATGGTACATTATAGTCAGTGACAGAGCTGGAATTTCCCAGTCACTCAGTTCACAGGCAGGCACAGTAAGTTAATGGATACAAAGAGTAAAGATGATTTTCCTGCATTTGTAACTGATGTGTAATTTCTACTGCAACTACTAAATGAGTGCTCATTTTGTGCCATGCACATTGCTAAGCATTTTTCACTTACTGACTTAATCTTTAGAATTATCCTATGAAGCAGTGCTTTTATTATTCTCATTATATAGATGAAGAAACTGAGGCACAAAGAGGTTCAGTAATTTGCTTAAGGGCAACCAGCTGGTATACAAGAGAACTAGGACTCAAACTTGGGTGGTCTGGCTCCAGAGCCTGTACTTGATGCTATATTGTTGCCGAATCTCTTCCTGAATGTCTTTACACAAGGGCATCTTGCATTAAACAAATCAGATCTATAAATGCCTGGTTACCTACAAATAAGTAAACACACCAATAAATAAAAATATCTAAGAGTTCTTATGAGATATCCATAAATATCTTTACCCATCCCATACTTCTCACTCACATTAAAAACAAATATTTTAATAATACTTTTTAAAAGATTGTTTCATGTAAAAAGAGACTTAGAAGAAGATGTTTCAGAGATGAAGAGAAGGACTGTGGAGAATTCAAACCGGCTTACTACTGCTATCTGCTTCTGCTGTCACCTTTCTGCGACGCAAAATCCTTTCTAACTCAGTTTCACTGTTTTCAGGGTCAAGGGATTTTAAGCTTCTTGAACTAGTGGATTTGTTAAGTGTCCCCTAAAGTGAAAACAAAACAAAAACAAAAAGGTTAATGTCTTAATACAATATACAAAAGAATATAAAAATCAAACCATGAAAACATTACCAGAATTTGAATGGAATTATGAAACAAAATGAATTTGCTATATATTAATATTTTTTAAATGTGCACATTTTCAACAAGACAGAGTGTTGGATCATTTAAGAAGATGCTATTGATGGTGTAAATGCTAGCTTTTGTTTCAGAAGAACAGTACAAGAACACTTCTGGAAGAGGTGACTATATGAAATTCATCAGTGGGAAGGTACCTGCATAGCGACGATTAAGACGTGATGTGTGTTGACTGGGTGGAGAAGAGAATTGATATATTAAACTCACCTTAGAAGGAAATCTTTATATGGCAGCCACAAGCTACTAAACTGAAGTCACAGCGGCACTGAAAAATGTGTGACTGATCCTTCAGAGGGTGACCCTGGCTGCACACCTGATGTCCGTGGCGTCGTAGCTGTCAAAGGAGGCACATAATGCTCTCCAGGGGCCGACCCAAAGAAGGGCTGCACTGAGCACATCTTGACTTCAGTATGAAAGGAAAGTTATAATCATACAGAGAGGCAAGCAAGGGTCGGCATCTTAACTCCACATTCCTAACACAGGAGACAGTTAATGTATTATTCAGGGCCCAGAAGACACTGAAGGAAACAAGAGATGCTATAAATCTGTACTCCTGCTGAAACTGATACTGGCTTTCAAGAAGACAGAGGAAGATCCATGTTTCCCTGCTCTGGCTCTTCCGGGAAGTATGTTACAGAGTGAGAGCTATGGTTTTCCATCTCCATTACTAGTCAAGTGTTTGTACAGAACACTGGGTGACGTATTTCTCAGTGATACATAAGGATTTAATACATCAACAAGTCTTTCATCAGAGATGCCCATTATTTCTTAGAAACGGTCCTTCTCAACTGTGCCACATACTTGGGAGGCAGCGGAGGGAGGGGAAGGCAGGAGAACCATACATAATCTTTTGATCAGAGGACATAAGAACCTCAAGTCTGGTATAACTTGCCAGACTTCATGCCAGAGTCAAAAGACAGCTTTTGTCCACCAAGGCTAATAATCTTGCCAGCCTTTGTAATGTTTGAACTCACTAAGGACTTGCCTTAATCCTGCTCCCTCCCTGCCTGCCAACTACCTGAAGGATTCTAATAATTCTACTGGCTAAAAATGGTTGTTTTAGCCATTTTTACAAGAAGCCTTGTTTCTTCTTTAGCATGTAAAACAAAAAAAAGGTGCTTGTAAAATCAGATGGTTACAAATCTCATAATTAACCTCTATTAAGAGATTATGTTATTTTGTTTAGGGAATTTTTTCCCTAACTGCTTGAAGTTACAGAAAAGTAACCTGTTGTCAGGGAGGAAACTGACTAACAAGATTAGGAGATTATATTATTTTGCTGTCAGCTGCCTAATCAACTGGTTTGCAAAAGACTTAAATAAGGCTCATATTTTAATTAGGCATATAATTTTTTCCTTAGAAGTATCTCTTTTTATTTTTCATTTATTGTGTAAATACATTAAAAGGACTATCACATCACATGTAACACTATAATGGCTTATTTTATCATTAAAATCTGGTTTGTTTCTTTAACATTGCTGATATGCTTCTATGTGTAGAAGAGTCACACCATAAGGTATGACCAATACTGACAAGATACAGAAAATAGAACCATAGCCACTTTACATTTGAAAAAAGTACTACAACAACTATTCCCATATCATTTGTATTTATAATTTTTAAAAACTTACCATCTCTATCATTTGTAAACAGATATTTGAAAAACACATGGTCATCACTACTAAAATAAGTTGTAAAACTACTACATTGTTTCAATAGCAAGGACACTGTGTAGTTTTTCTCAATGGCTTGATTTAATTCAAGGAAAACTTATGTGTGTGTTCGTACATACATACATACATACCTTTCAAGGATATCTTTTATTGATGAATGTATCTTTCACAGTAATTTCTAGTTTTTTATTTGGATAATGGCATTATTTCCTCAAATTCTTGACTGTAGTAAGCTACTCTCTCATCATACCTGATTACTGAAGGAATCCATTTTCCATGTTTTAACCCTTGAATCCCCAACTTCTTTCTCCATTTACTGATGGATGTGGTGGCTTCAGCTAACATATGAGTAAACTTTCAATACAAGGGCAATTGTGGAGGAAAGAAAGGTTTCTGCATGACTCTCAACTGAAATGATGAAGAGCTCAGCTAATAAAATACCAAGACTATTTTAGTTATCTCTTTATATTAGAATCATAAAATTTGAGAATCAGAAATTAACTTAGAAACTGTGGTACATATAATTCCTTCACTTTATAGAAAAGAGAATTCAAATTCAGTGAGCCTCAGGGTCTGGGGACAGGTCCCACAATAAGTCATTGATAGGGCTGGATCTAGAACTTAGATTTCCCAAGTCCCAAACCAATACTCTTTTTCTACTTCAAACCACTGTGGTCATTTAACAACCTTAGGCCCCATGTTAGTTAAATGTTCATAATACTAACTAATCTAATTGTCAGGCAAAATTAACTATTCAAAAATTTCTGGGTATTTTGGAAAACTGAAGATGTCTGGAAAAGACCCATAATACAATTTTTTAAAAATTGCTTTTAGTTCTTTGATTTACAGCCAACTGAAATTGAGAAGAGAATTTTGATTTGCATCAATCTATTCTTCAGCAATCACCACTGTCACTTAGAGTGGCTTTCTAAGTGACT
The DNA here is from genome assembly GCF_000001405.40 of Homo sapiens. Lineage (NCBI taxonomy): Eukaryota > Metazoa > Chordata > Mammalia > Primates > Hominidae > Homo > Homo sapiens. The sequence continues at coordinate 116,909,513 of NC_000010.11, forward strand.
GAGGTGACTCAAAAGGTTTCATTTCCTAAACCTCAAAACCTTTTGTGACTATGAGAAATGGACTATACATATTTTTATCTACAAAATATCCAGCTTTAAAACTTAAGTGGAAGTAGGTTTGGAAAAACGAGGTCAGTCAATACTGAGACATTAAAAATTGGCTTGAAAATTGTTCAACTCAGAAAATAGAATAGGGGTTTGAAACTCCCCCAAACCAGAGACTTGTTTTCTACCTGGGGGCTAACTTAGCAGAAGGCCAAATCACTAAGTCTTACAACTTGGGTCACATTCCATTTCATCAAAAAATAACCCACACTGAGCTTCTTTCTGGTTCTGTTCCACAATAGAACCGAACACAGTGTTTTTTGGTTTCTTGATAACCCCTGGTACCAGTGCTTGTGTTTTTCAGTACACAACTGCAGGCTTTTCGTGTTCCATCTTAATTGTTTCTTACATGCCATGATTGTGAGGTTGGGACCATGTGCTTTACAGGGTACTAACTTCAATAATCCTAACAGTCTGAACTCCAGCAACAAGCACCACTAAAGACCCAAATGTCTGGCAGGTCGAGCTAGGAGCTTTCTTTTTATCTTTCTTATAAGAATGTGTGTGGTTTATAGGCTCCAGGTGACAGGGAATTACAAATAGTCCATCCTTCCTCAAAGAAACTTCTATGGGGGAAGAGGAGAACTGCCACTTGGCAGAGAGTAGGGGAGAGGATCATGAGCTCTACTTTTAAAAAAACTTAATGTAAAGAAGTAATATTGTCAGAGTAGTAACTCCTAGTGATACACTAATGCCAGGTAAGGCAGTGAGATCTAAAGATAGATCCAAGGCAAGAAGGATGGGGGCAATTTGCCCTAAAAAAGATGTCTTAAAATTTTTTATAACTTATAAATTATTTCACAAATTTCTCTCCTTGAAGTGGCACAAAATTATGGTGAATATGGTATTTAAGAGTAATGCTGTAATTCAGTAAACTTGCTACCATGCAGCATTCTCAGAGAATGGGATATCTTGGCTAATCAAATATTATCATATGTACCTCATAGAGACGTCTGATTTTCAAAATTAACCTAATTTTTAAAAAGTCAAACTCAGTATAGTCTACTCTTTCACTGTTGGCCAGAACTGTGCCCCAGAGGACATCTTTATGAACATGAATTAGCATTATAACACAAACACAACAAAAGAGACTGTCATAGGGAGTTCTCCTTAATAGAACACTGAATAACAGACTTTTCTGATCAAAGAATCTATTAGATAATCACCACATGCTTTTTCAATGGCTTTAATACACTATTCTGTAGGTAGGCCACCACTGTTAGCCAGTGATATACCTCTCTTCAGTGCTAATCCCACTCACTTAAAACTAAAGCAAACTAATTAAGCCATTCTGGGTTAAGTCTACTGTTTAAAGACATGCTTGATGAAAATAATCTTGTTTACCACAATTATGTGGATGTCTACATGCAATGCATAATTGGCACAGCAACAACAAACATGGGAGTATTCAGTCTTGTACCTCCGCCCCCATGTTTGTTGACTTACTGTGCATAATAACTGGGACTGGGACCGTAACAGGATCTGAGAATAGAGCTCTTAGTATCTGAAACATTTTCTAAGTGAGGCATCTGTCTCTAACAGCAACTGCTGGAGAGTGCAGTAGCCGCTGATTCCATTGGCAAAAGCTCACAGTTTGAAAAGCAAAAATATGACTAGGAAGGGACACAAAGTATGCTCTCCAACTGTCAGAAAATAAAACTAGTAACATAAAAAAAGGGCCTCTTATTTTATTCCTCAATTTATCATCAAATAATTGTTTCGACTGTGAGGAAAGGCAGACTGTGACCCTGATATGAAGCTATTTGGGGAGGAATTTAGCTTCACATTTAGGATTCTCCTTTTAGGCTTCAAAGTAAAGCATTATTCATCTATTATATTTCTGTTTTTCATCAACATGTACGGACCCTTACATATGGCCAGCCACTTCATCTTCAAGCTGTGATGCCAGGATTGGAGGGCAAGAACAGGAAACAATGACTTTGGTGAAAGTGTAACCACTCTTTTAGAACAAAAACAGCACAGTGTTATTTGAAAAATTATTAACATATGTGATGGAGCAGTCTGTAAGCACGATCAAATAAACTGGCCAAAGATGAGGCTAATTGTAAATGGGAATAAAACACACCACAAACAATTCACAAAAAACAGATTTTAAAATACTCTCCTTTCATTTCCCCATTAGCTAAACAATAAACTGAAATCTATTCTTACCAGTATTCCTTTTAGTTCATCCACTGCACTTTCGCAGCCTTTCGAAGATTCTGGCTATAATTTTAATAAGAAAGAAAAATCACTGAGTAATTCAGTTTAAAAATACTAAACAATGATTTTTACATGGCAAACTATTAGTAGCCTTATATTGGTAATATGTATGACTATATATATTTTTAAATTAGGACTATGTCTTAAGGTTAGGAAAAAATACTAGCCATGTTAGTGCTTTCAAGTAGCAGTTAAACAAAAAATAAGAAGTTATATTCAAAGCAAAAGGAGACAAGCTACCCTCTTCTAAATACCATATTGTTACCTCTTGATTATTATCATAGACAGAGAAGATTTGGTAGACATCGGATTTCAAAGATCTGATTCCAAATTATTCAGAGCTTCTTAGGATAAACTGTCCTCTACCTGCATTGCTGGACTCTGCCAGCAAGCAGAGACTAGAAACAAGGCAGTGCAGAGCAGAAGCAAGCCACAGGGCAGAAAACCTCTCTCAGCTCCACCAGCTATGGGAGGAGGTCAGCTTACAGGGGCCTGGCATGTAAGAATTTCACAAGAGGACAGAGTCGAGAGAGCAGGGACCAGCAAAGAACCTGGCTACAGGAGAAAGTTAGCATGGCTGGCTGCCAGAGCAGCCAAAGACCTCAGAGGAGGTGCAGTCCAATCACTCATCTTGGAAGGAAAGTCAGGCTTCAGCCAGGTAGTATTTGAGTTAGGTGTCTTGATTACAAGCTCAGCTCTCTTCTGGCCATACCATGGACAAAATAATCTGAAGTAAAATTCTGGGTATGATTTGCCTGCCTCACAATACCTAACGATCTCTGCAGATCACTCAACTAATTTAATGGAGGGAAAATTTAGCATGAGGACCTCATGAAAAGTAAGTTCAGGAAAGACTTCTGATCTCCCTCGTACCACTTCCTTTCACAAAGGATAGAGATGAAGGGGAAACTTGCAAGACATAGTGAAAGGAACCCCTTGAGCCTCTTATTCCTGGAAAAGAGGTAAGGTTATATTCTCTCTCATCAAAAAAATGAGAGTTAATTAACAGCAACCTATAATCCTTTCCTCTCAAAAACAATTTAAAAATAAGATCCTACTTCAAATTTTAAAAACAGAGAAGAGAGAGGTTTGCTGCTCATGTACAAAGCTGACTAAGGCATTCAGCTCTCATAGCGCAGATTTTCTGTGAAATACACATGCCCTTAGTGCCAGTCCATACGCACTAAGACACTAATTTGAACCACACTAGCACCACCACCACCACCACCACCACTACCACCAAGGAATTTTGAAAATAAGCGGTTAAATTAATATTCTCAAGGCAGGCTTGACTTCTGCAGGTCAACCCTTCAGGTGATAAGCTGTGACGTTCAAACAAATGCCCTGCCTTTAGGCATACCCAAAAGTGCTGCCATGCCACTCAGGCTGCCCTCTGACTGCACAAGCCTTTTGAACCCTGGACCACAAAATGTCGCCATTTGTGACATTTCAGGAAAGCCCTGATGGTACTAGGGGAAGACGTCTGTCCTCAAGCATGCAGTGACAATTTGTTTTAAAGGTTATTGACCAGGTCATTCAGCACTGTATCTACACAGTTCAAGATTTACCAGCAAAAAACCCAGTTGTCCACTGATCCTTGTTCAGTTGCTTCCCAGATTTTGAATTGACATTAAATAATGTGTAACTGCAGGAAGTCATGGGAAGAAAGAAAAAGCACAAAGTGATATTCTGAAAACGAAAGTACGTATGGAACATTGATTGCTTATGATTTAAGAAGTTTTCAACTTTTTTCTTTCTAAAACTAATTTTGTTTCTTTATGGCATTGTATTTTTCTCTAGTAATAGTTTGGTTTTGCTTATTCTTTCCATAATTAGTGGTGATGTGAAAGTCATAAAAATGGATTCTTTTTCAAAGGTGGCACTCAGACCTTGCATTTTAAAGTATTTTCACACTTTATTCCATTTGATCTTGACAACAACCCCATGTGTCAGATAAGGCAGGTGCTATCCCCATCTTGAAGAGAAGAAGTGTGGGGAAGCTGGGTGACAGTGCCAGGGCCCAACTCCAAGAGCTCTGCTCTTCACTCTCTTGCCAGACACCAGCACTGGGCCAGCTGTGCCAGATCATTCTACACACTCAGCTTCTCCTCCAGTTTTACATTTCATCCTTTACTTAGAAAACTGCTTTCAGATAATTGGCACAAGACTGAACTATTTTACGTGGTTGGCTGAAGCTTCTGTTTCCTTAGATGTAAATTTACTCTTGGAGTTGAGTATTCTTTCCCTCTTTCCAATCCTTTCCCATGTACAGCCCACACTATAGCCACTCTCGCCTTGCCTGGCTATCTTGCCTGGCTGTGACAAAGTGGCAACTTAGAAAACCCATCAGAGGCCGGGCATGGTGGCTCATGCCTGTAATCCCAACACTTTGGGAGGCCAAGGTGGACAGATCATGAAGTCAAGAGATCGAGACCATCCTGGCCAACACGGTGAAACCCTGTCTTTACTAAAAATACAAAAATTAGCTGGGCATGGTGGCATGCGCCTGTAGTTCCAGCTACTTGGGAGGCTGAGGCAGGAGAATCGCTTGAACACGGGAGGCAGAGGTTGCAGTGAGCCGAGATTGCGCCACTGCACTCTAGCCTGGCGACAGAGTAAGACTCCATCTAAAAAAAAAAAAAAGAACAGAAAAAGAAAATCCTCAGAATGTGTACTGAAGTCATAACACTGGGGGACGTTCACACGGTTGAGGTAGGGCAGCCTTGAGAGGGAGAAAGAACCAAACCATAAAGGTTAGTGAAGAAGGCGAAGGAAGAAGAGGAAGTGGAGGAAGAGGAAGAACCGGTCAGTTCATACCTAATTAGAGAGGAGAGAGAGTATTTTTCAAGAACAATGTTTAAAACTATTATTGGGCTTATTTAAATGTAGTGGATATACAAACAAAGGCAGGGGAGAGATCATGAAAGGGACTCTAAGCAACTTCACAGATCCTGGAGTGCTCGCTGTGGTCTAGTTTAGGAGAGAGTTTTTCTCCTCGAAGTGACTTGGAAAACATTTGTGAAATTAATGAAAAACAATCATATAAGTCTCACTATTTTCCCCAGAGTTGTCCTAGTTTTGTTCTGCTGTTGTTATTATGTGATTCCGTCCACTATAATAGAAGCCTCAGCAAGGCGAGGGTTTTCGCCTATTTTGTTCAGTACTTTATCCCTCGTGCCTAAAACAGCATCTGGCACATAGCAGATAATCAGTAGAATCACACAAAAGAATCAGGAATCAAAGAAAAGAAAGGATGTGATAATTGTTATTTGTTTGGTGTAACAGTTCGTATCACTGTCTCTCGTAATGAGACAACAGCACCCCCAAAATAACATGGCTTCCTTTTTATACTGATTTAGGTTCACCATGGGTCCTCCTGAAACATGCTTATGTGGAAGTAAAAGCTTTTGTGACACATTAGCTTTATCCTAAGATCTGACAGTGGGTCCTGATGCAGCTTTCATCAAATTTCAAATTTATACATTTAAAAAAGGAAATATCAAACAGGGAAAAAAGCATTCAGTCACTCCATACCTTTGTCTTCGGTCTGGCTGTCTGATTAACGGGTCTAAGATGAACTCCCTTTTTAATTCTATCCATCATCTCTTCAACTGCTTGCCTCTTTAGATCTGTGACTTCTTCAGCTGTTCAAAGAACACAGACATAAATCCTCTTATGTTACAAGAAAACAGCTACTTCCTATTTTTGGTGACTTGGAAAAATTACACTATGCAATTAATCACAGTCATTTTTCATTCACAGTTGCAGAACACTAAAAATTTACTAGTTAACAGCTATCAGGTAGCAACACTTAAAGAAAAAACTTTTAGAGAAAAAATCTGATCAGAAAAATAAGAGTTATAAAAATTTGTAGCCTGGATCCAAGTCAGTATTGTCTTGCCTCTGTCAACAAAGTAGACTTTGTTCGTTTGTCCACATTTCTCCAGGTCTTTAAAATCCCAACTTTGTGCCTAATCCCAAATAATCTTTGTCTCAAAGATGTTTTTACAACTTACTGTACATCCTATGTCAAAGAAATCAGCCTAAAAAAGAAACAACTACCAGAAATCCACTGGGGGAAGAAAAGATGAAACAGATGTTTTTCTTGTTGGAATAAGTCTATAGTCAAAAGACAAACAGTAAATAAATAAAATCTATTTTTAAACTGCCATCTTTTGTTTATGAATCGCATGGAAAGGAAACATTTAAGCAAACCTTTCTCAAGTCTTTTTAAATTGTCAGTGTTAAAAGAAAATATACATGTAGCAATAATTGCAATTAGGTAATTCCATTTGATTTTAAAATTCAACTATCTATTGTTTAACGTTGCCACTATTTTGCTGCAAAAAAAATAAATAAATAAAAAAGAGGTGGAGATGTGTATCAATTGGATGAATGTAACTGAGGTGAACTTAAACTTATTGATCAGAAAAGTGAAATGTCTCTCTTGTAGAATAGCTTGACCAAAATCACAGAACCATTTCAGAACATTTATCACCATTAATGCAGTTCTAGGTCTTGTGTTTACTTCCATCTAGCTCATTGCAGCCAACATATTTGAGTTTATCTAATAAGGACCTTCCAATTACCATCTTTAATAGACTCTACACTGCCTGGCAATATGGTGGGCACTCAACAAGTTTCTACTGACTATTGGCTTCTGAAGTTTCTGCTTTAAATGCCTACTAATATTTTTACTATCTGAGTAGAAATGACTAAACCCCAAAAGGCTGGCTTCTAAATGCCAGGCAATCACTACTGCATCCCCGAGCTAATTAGCTCTAGTATTAGGCTTTGCAATAAGGAGGCCTAGATTATGGCTTCTTTTTCTGCTACAAGGCTAGACTCCATTCCAACCCTGGGTAGCCATTCCTCTTGTGTAAGCGCCTAGGGGAGCAACTAAGAGAGACCAGAGGTTTCCATTACCCTCATCTGTACAAGTCCACAATAAGGGATCACTGCTATATTCACTGTATAACCTAGGTTTTCTGATACCGTCCTAACTTCAAAGAGAATTGTCAACCTCAGAAGCCATTGAAATGCTGAGAATTAAAACCTCTCAACATCTAAACAACAGTTTTCAGATCCAGAAGTCAAAACAAGTATCTTTTGCCAAGCAACATGGGAAACATGGTCACCAAAGTTAGAACTCATCTACCAGTAAATGAAAGATGACTAAACTGTGGGTTGATCAACCATGTGCCCTTAAGCAGCATTTTCTTGGGCAGCTTCTTCTGATGGTTCACAAACATCAACAAAGGGACAGATAAGTAAATTATGATGGGTAGAAATTCATTCATTCATTCAATCATTCATTCCTTTATTCACTCACCCACTCAATATCTGAGTATCTGTTGTGAACTACACAGTGCTTTTGCTGACCCTACTCAAAACCCAGGGAGATAAAACCCAGTCTGCCATTCAAGCATCTGGTATCGGTATGGGATTTATTCCTGAGAATTTAGAAAATACTTTTTTTTTGAGATGGAGTCTTGCTCTGTCGCCCAGAGCTGGAGTGCAATGGCACGATCTCGGCTCACTGCAACCTCCACCTCCCGGGTTCAAGCAATTCTCCTGCCTCAGCCTCTCGAGTAGCTGGGATTACAAGAAGCGTCACTACGCCCAGCTAATTTTTGTATTTTTAGTAGAGACGGGGTTTCACCATAGAAAATACATTTTTAAAACATTTGATTTTTCAAAAAGTCTGCCATTTTGAGACTAGGAAGAGCTGCATGGTGATAGGAACACCGCCTACAAACAGATTAGCACTCTGTAAGGAATGACTGAAACCCAATTAAATGCACCATACAAAAACTAATTAAGGCAGACAGATGGAGAATTATGGTCAACACCATTCAAATCTGCTACAGCATCTAACATAGCAGGAATTTAAAGTAGTTTCTTATATTTGCTTGCCAGAATCATAGTGATAATTCAGAGACGTGCCACTATCTGTATTGTGTACAGATTATAAACCAGGCTTTAATTTCTCAGTCTTTTTCAAATGTAAAGGCTTAATTGGTTTTAAGGAAAAGGAATCATTCTTATCAGATTCCCTACTCAGGCGCAATACAAGAGCAACGCTAGGTTAGCTACACAAGCTTTCTCTCTTGCCGACCCTGTTTTTGAACTAGCAAAAAGCAATCTATACGAACTTCTAAACTATTAAGCAGTTCTAATAAATCTGCAAGAATCACCTACAGAGAGCTCATGGTATGTTTTGTAATTCTTTCTGCAATCACACAGTTGGTAATTGTCTCACAAAAGCATGTAATCAAGGGGACAATAGAAATATGCAGGATACTGGAGATTAAAGAAAAGGGACAAATGAAGACAACAGGTCTAATGTTATTGAACTGCCACAGGAAAATAAAATCAAATGCTCTTTGAGTTAGTGCTTCAAGGTCAGTCTTGGATCAGAAAGCTACATGTAATTAATTGGGGCTTAAATTTTAAGACCCACTTGAAAAATAAGTTAGTTCCTTATAAAAAAAAAAAAGACCCACAGACAAGACCATCATCTTATTACTAAATAAAACCTTCTGCTATTACCTTGAAGAAACGAAAATGAATTTCCAAATTCCACAGGATTACTATTTCTTTCACTAACTTTCTTTTAAAGGTAATTAAAAAAAAAATCTTATGCCACCATGATATACCATATTTCTAAAGAATACATTATAGTCGAATTAAGTTCAAATCTGACATCAGGTCATAAAGTTAAAGAAATTTCCTTAGCTACAATAATCACAAGAACCTGTGGGATGAGGATTCCCTTTGCTCCTCCCAAAGGATGGCTAGTACCTTTTCCATGTTTTTCCATGCTAACATTTTGAGTATTTTCTGTGCTGGATACTACTGTAAACACTTTTCATGTTGTGAGACTCACTAATTCTCACAACAATCCTGTGAAATAGGAAATACTATTATCCCCATTCTACAGATTAGCAAATCAAGGCACGGCGAAGTAAGAAAAGATCAACAAATTAATGACCTAAATGTATGATAAACAGTAGGCATACTTCTGAAATCCAGAACTGGCCTAACAAATACATTCTTGTCAAAATCAGAGTTATTATCTTCAGAGTGTAATGATCTCTTACATTCAATTATTAAAACTATCTATAAAATATTATAGTCTTTCTTTACAATGAAGTTTTTAGAGCCATAAGTAAGGAGTAAAAGTTTCCCTACTAATAAACTCTGAATACCTTACCAACTGTAAGTTAAAAGCCATCATAAGATGCTAACCTAAGAAAGAAAACACAGTGAATGTGAGACCAGTCACTATGTTATAAATGCAAACCCCAAAGTGTCACAGAGAATCCCAATGTTTGATGCTTTACATTAATTCATCATGCATTTAATTATTGATTTGTTCACTCAACAACTATTTTTTCAGTGTGACCTATTAACAAGACACTATAAATAACTGCCTTGCCAGATAGAAGGAGGGTAGTGCTTCAGCCATGTGTGAGTACAGTATGCATTATTCAAGGCTGTGTGTTTTTTAGGGTTGCTCCATTCTAAAATCTCAAGAGCAACTTCTATATTGGTAACTCTACTTAGAATCCCAAAATAGCAATCTGGTAGCCCAAGGATGTGGGAGAAAATACTGTCACATTTCATGAATTATAAATAAGAAAAACTGTATAGGTCCTAAAACCGGGGGTTAAGAAATTCTCGAATAATTTTTCTTTTTAATTTAAGGTGCTATCAAAGTTGACAAGTTGGTGATGTGATTTACTTGGAAGGAAAATTCATTTTATTCCAATTTCCCCCCAACCCTCTAAAATATATCAATTGTCTCTCCCGAAAAAAATGAAACAAAATTTAAATTACAGCATCAGGAAACGCTAATAGCCAGTAACCAAAGAGCAGGGCCACCCAGCAAATCACCAAAGGCGGAATTGCTTCAGAATCCTGCAATGGCTTGTGCAATGCAGAATTTGCCTTTCAGCCCCATTAATGTGCAGAGGAATAGATTCCAAAGGATTGCAGAAGGCAGGCACAGAAAGCCAATTCTTACGAGAGAAAATCAGCTTTCATTTGTAATGGTGCTGCAAGATTCCTGCTAAGAGAGAAAAAAACTAAGTCCAAACTTCAATTCATTCAATATGCATGAAAGCAGTGGGATGCTGCCAAGAAGAGTAAACCCTCAAAGAGCTTGCAATCTGCTCAGGGGGAGAGAGGTGGAAATAACTCAAACACCACAGCCAGAGTAGAGGTAGGAAGTGGGACATTAAATCCTTAAAGTAACAGAATTTAAAGCAAAATGCTGTCACAATGCATGGTAATGAGCTACTCATTACCATGTTGTTTATACTAACAAAATACGATAAAGAGGAGGATGAAGAGTCTGGAACACACCAGCTATCTGCCCAGAATCTGCACGGAGGCTATGGAATTAGAACGGCAGGCACAGGGGACCAAGATCTGGCCTCCTTGTTTTAAGCCTTTGCTGTCACTGTGGCTGCACACCAAACAGACTCCAGTGCATCTAGCCATTTGCTGGCTCTGCTCAATGGGAGGGCCCTTCTCCTTCCAGTCCCATCTCATCATTGTCCTGTATATCTCGATCTCCAATGAACCAGAGTCCTGTGAATTTTACCTCCCTAAATAGTTCCTGAATTCATGCATGTCTCTCTACCCCTGCTGCTACTACCCTCATGTAAGCTACCATCAACATTCATCTGAATGACTGCAATAGTCTTCCCTCATCCACCCTTATCCAGTTACAGTCTGTTCTCTCACTGCAGCCAGGGTGATTTTTTTTTAAGGACAATTCTCATCACGTTATACCTCTGCTTAAAATTTCTACTGCTCTTAGGAGAAATGCCAGAACCTTGACCTTGACCTCCAGAATCTGGCTCCTGCCTACCTATTAGACCTCCTCTCTTGGACACCATGTTCCAGCCATACCAACTTTCTTTCAGTTTCCTAATATGCCAAGTTCCTTCCTGGACACTTTGGACCTTTGAATCCACTGCTCCTCTATTTAAAATGGTTTTACCCTAAACACCACCACCCAACCCACCCAATGTTCTAAAGGCACAACTACTCAGCTTGAACATCATTTTCAGACACCAGCAGTCCACTTCCACAATCTCCTAGCACTGTGTACTCCTCTTTAATTGTATTTAAATAATTACATATTTACTTGTTTACTTCCTGCCTAGTTACACTAGAATGTAACTTCTATATCGTGTACCTCCAGCACACAACAGTGGAGTAGTACATACTAAGTGCTTGATAAAGTCCCAGGTCACTTGCTACCAACTCTAAGAAGTCTTGCCCCAAATCCCTCATTTGGAATTACTCCCTCTCTTTCCTGTACACTCCAAGGTACCCTGACCTTTAATGAAAATATATTTGCCAGTATGTCTCTTATTACAGTGAGGTGTGCGTGTTTATCTCCTCTAGATAATAAACTACAGGAAGGCAATGACGGTTACTGGTTCATTCTTACAGCTGTTCAGTGCTTCATACTACTCTCCCAACAACATGTTTATAGTCAAAGAACTTAACAAATATGTGAATTGCCCCAAAATGGTACACCATCAACCACTTACACCAATAGAAGTGATGCTTACTTGTTTCTGGTTGAGTTGCCTTTTCTTTCTTAGCACCACTGCCACTGGGGTGGGATCGTTTCCGGATCATGGACATGAGGGATCTTTGGGAGAAAGAAAAAGATCAACAGGAGATTACTGGATGCCTAGATCCTAAATAACCAGTAAAAATCTCACTCTTTGATAGGTGCATGAATATATAACTAGAATCTAAGTAGTCTACGTTCCATTTTTAATAATATTAAACTTTTCATCACTTTACAGAAGAGAAACACGTCTCATCCTCTTCTGTATAAAACCAAACTGATTATTGGAGAGAGTACACTACTATAATAATAAAATGCATACACACTTACAAAGGAAAAGAGACAAAAAATTTCAATACTCATATATATAAAATTCAGAAACAGCTATCTATGTACTATGTTAGAGGGGGAGGGAAGAATGAAAGAATTAGGGAATGTTTCACAGTAAAAAGTGTATGTTATCAGTAAATATCTATTTGTGAACTATGGGTATAAAAACATCTGAATCAGCATGATGTAGACTAAATACTTATGGATAAAACATATTTACATCACTCTCTCTCTGGTCCATTTAAAAACAAATCTATGTAAAATCAAATTATGATAAATTTGACTATACTAAAATTTTATAACCTTTGATATTATGCAGAATAAAAAGACAAGGATATATAAAGAAATTCTACAGATCAATGAGAAAAAGCACATAATTCAAGACAAAATGGAAGAGAACCTTGCAACTCCAAAAAAGATGTCCAAATTTCCAATACATATACAAAAGAGGTACTTGACTTCATTAGCTATTAGGCAAACACAAAACCACACTGGGATATCACTATACATTCATCAAATAGACAAAAAAAATCTGATAATATCAAGTGTTAGTGGGTTTGTGGAGTAACAGAAGTTCCCAAACCAAACAGGATATATAAATTAATAGTACATTTCACTCTGGAAAACTCTTTGTAATTATCTAGTAGAGCCAAAAATATATGTATCTTATGAGCCAGTGATTCCACTGCCATATATCCTACAGAAAGGCAAGCACTTGCGCACCAGAATACATGAACAAGAATGTTCATGAAGAATTTCCGTAATTCCCCAGAACTGGTAATAACTCAAATGTCCATCAGCACCACAATGGATAAGTACATTCTGAGACCTTCATAAAGTGAATTATATATCACTGAATATGAATAGACTTAAGCTACACAACATGGATGAATCTTACAAAATAATACAGAGTAGGCCGTGTGCAGTGGCTCACACGTGTAATCCCAGCACTTTGGGAGGCCAAGGTGGGCAGATCACCTGAGGTCAGGAGTTCGAGACCAGCCTGGCCAACATGGCAAAACCCTGTCTCTACTAAAAATATGAAAAAATTAGCTGGGCGTGGTGGCGGACATCTGTAATCCCAGCTACTTGGGAAGCTGAGCAGGAGAATCGCTTGAACCTGGGAGGCGGAAGTTGCAGTAAGCCAAGATCACACCATTGCACTCCAGCCTGGGCAACAAAAGCAAAACTCCATCTCAAAAAAAAAAATAAAAATAATAATAATGTAGAGTAAAAAGAGCAAGATCACAATGATACATGAAAATTCCAATTACATAAAGTTCAAAACCAGGCCATACAGATATTTACAATAGTTTAGGGATACATATTAGGCAAGAAAATTTTTCTTCAATAATGCAAGGAAATGATCACCATAAAAGATAGTAATTAGGGAGGAAGGTGGTTATCTTTGGAAAAGGATCAAAGGAAAGAATTAGGGTACCAGTATTGCCTATTTCTTGATTTGGAGGGTGATTACATAGATGCTCACTTTAACATTCTTTTAAAACTGTACATAGGCTTGTGTACATATCTGCATATAGCATCATTTCCTCCATAAAATGTTTACCAAAACATGAATGAATCAAGAATTTTTGAATTCTTTCAACTGCATCATAAATGTCCTCAGTGTGGTGAACTGTATTTGCAAAACAGTCCTGAGGAAGCCAGCAATAGAAAACACATACTTGGAGGATAAAAAAGGCATAACATTGCCCTTAGGAAAAGGGGCAAATGGATATACAGAGTAACACCTGTTCAGAAGATATCATCACCCAATGCTTCCTTTCTTTCCTTTTTTTTTTTTTGAGACAGGGTCTCACTCTGTTGCCCATGCTGGAGTACAAGGGCACAGTCACCACTCATTGCAGCTCCGATCTCCTGCACTCAACTGATCTTACTGCCTCAGCCTTTGGAGTAGCTGGGACTACAGGTACACCACCACTCCTGGTTAATGTTTTTTAATTTTTTGCAGTGGTCTCATCATGTTGCCCAGGCTGGTCCTGAACTCCTGGCCTCAAGCAATCTTCCTGCCTTGGCCTCCCAAAAGGCTGGGATTACAGGCGTGAGCCACTGTGCCCAGCCTCCAGTTTCTTAATCGTTCTAATTTCTAGCTTTTTTTTACTTTTCACTTCTACGTTTGCTTATATTATTAATCCCCTTCCTAATTGCCTTTTCTTAAAATTCCCAAACTCACTGGATAATCTCCCATAAAGCATAGTAAAAAGAAAAAAACACATCCTGCTCTATCTAGCTTGGGAACCAATCATGGAGCTTCTGACTTTGTCTAGTTTCTCTTCTTTGGGCTTGCAATGGCCAAATGGAATTAAATTATTTTCACAAAAGTTAGAAATTCTAATTTACACAGAACTTTGAAATAAGCACATTTTATTCTAGAAGTTATAAAGAATAAAACAAACTTTACTTGCTCAATTTTCCATTCTGTCAGCTGAATCTACTTGTTACCACTCCATGGCGGGCTGGGTGTGAGGAGGGTTCTCACTAATCAGATGCCTCACCTTACCCTTGCACCACACTCTGCACTGACCTCGCCTCTCGTTCTGTGAGATTTTGCAAGTGTACATTATTGTACATAAAGACGATGAAGCAGGAATTTATCTGTACTGCTCAGAGTACTTATATATATATTTACACACGGGAAGAAGAATATGTTTATTAGCATAAACCACCTAGATGATGGAAAGTGTTAGCTTAAAGGACTCTGAGTTGAAGCATAAGCTGTAGACATACAGTGCTCAAAGGAAAATCATTGCAATATTAAAACCAACAGTCAAGATGGGACTCAGACTACAGGGAAGGCAGGACTCACAGGCCAGAGGAGATTAGGTCAAGACCTCTGGGACCCATACTCAAACCTCTGGCCATCACTGCCCCATTTCACTGTCATTTCAATTGAATGAATAAAATTTCAGGCATGTGTCATCCCAAGATGGAACATTTCAGTGGAGAATTTTCACCTATTTTTTTTTTTTTTTTTTTTTTTTTTTTTGAGATGGAGTCTCGCTCTGTCGCCCAGGCTGGAGTGCAGTGGCGCAATCTTGGCTCGCTGCAAGCTCTGCCTCCCAGGTTCACACCATTCTCCTGCCTCAGCCTCCCAAGTGGCTGGGACTACAGGCACCCACCACGCCTGGCTAATTTTTTTTGTATTTTTAGTAGAGACGGGGTTTCACCATGTTAGCCAGGATGGTCTCAATCTCCTGACCTTGTGATCCGCCCGCCTCGGCCTCCCAAAGTGCTGGGATTACAGGCGTGAGCCACTGCGCCCGGCCTTCACCTGTTAGTTTTTCAAGAGGTGTTCGTCATGTCCACTGTGATAGTTATTTTGTGTGTCAACCTGACTGGGCCACGGGGTGCCTGAGATACTTGGTTAAACACTATTCTGGTGTTTCCATGAGGATGTTGTGGATGACATTAACATTTCAATCAGTAGACTGAGTAAAGCAGATGGTCCTCCCTGAGGTGGGTGGCCCTCAGCCAATCATTTGAAGGCCTAATTAGAACAACAAGGCTGATCCTCCCTCAACTAACAGGGAATTCCTCCTGCCTGACTGCCTTCTAACTGGGTTATTGGCTTTTTCTTGCTTTCGAACTTGAACTGAAACACTGCCACTTCCTGGGTCTTGAGCCTGTCAAACTTTGGAATAAAACTACACCATAGGTTCTCCCAGTTCTCAGGCCCTTAGACTCAGCCTGGAACCACACCATTGACACTTTTGGGTGTCCAAGTTGCCAACTCACCCTACAGATCTTGGGGTTTGACAGCCTCCATAATCACATGAGCCAACTCCTTATAATAAATCTGTATTTATATCTGCCTATATCTGTATCTATAGATATACACATTCTATTGGTTCTGTTTCTCTAAAAAAAGCACTTAATAGCCTCAACCCTCTCCCCATGAACTATATCTGCATAGAACCTGTCCTACTTTCACTACCACTGGGACAAAGTGACCAAGGTTTGCCTTCTTCCTCTTTCTTCTATCTATTCTTGGAGTCAAATGAGTGGGAAGAGAAGGGAAAAGCAGTAAGCCACTTAAGCTACAGGCCCTAGTCTTTTTTTTTCTTCCCACTTTCATTTCTAACCATGATTTACATCAGGATAAAACAAATAGATCAGGAACAAAGTTAGAAAACTTTGATTTGTGAATTCAAAATCCACTCAAACTCAATACATGTGCAAATATACCTCTTTGACAAGAAAGCACTCCTCACAAAAAAAAAACTCTTTTCTTTAAAAAATTATGTCCTATACTATTTAAATTCATCTTAAAATAAAAATCATATTATTCAATAAAATTTTCTTTAAAGAGCCTTATAAAAGAGTTCACACTTGAGACACAAATAGTCCTGAACATTCGTTTCTCAGCGTAACTGTAAAGTGCTCTTTGGGAAAAAAAATTCTACTTAGGTTATACTTTACTTTTAATTCTAGGGGCTCTCAACATTTCTGAGAATAAAAATTAAAGGCCAACAGCAAGACTGTAATTACTTTTTAATCGTTCTCCCTCTTCATGGACAGAAGTGACCTTTCTTATCAGCTCAAAATCCCAGACCTTAGAGAAAGATCAAAGTGATGAATTTCCAATTTTAAATGTCAAATCCAGAATATCTCCTACAGATTTAGCTACCCAGGAGAGAAAGATTTTAAAATACCTGAAATTCTTTCAATTGACTCTTGGATCGATCACGTGTAAAAATTATTTTGCCTTAACTACTTCAATGGCTTAAAGTAGATTATGTCATACCCTACTCAGTAAGGAAAACTAATGAGAATCTTTTTAAAAGGCAAAGTCCCATTTTCATAGTTGTGTGGGAGGAACATGCTACGCATTCTATTCAGATGGATCAGCAAAGGTGCAAAGTATGAATAAATGGCCTCTCTGTGTGAAAGGATTAAACAAATCACATGAGTTAATGAAAGGTTTAAAAAAAAAAAAAACCCTAGAAAAAGTTTTAAAATGCCATTTGTTAAAGAATAAATTATACAAAAGCAGCTAACATCATGACATGAGCATGTAAGCTGTCACCATGGCAAGGAGGTTGTCTTATGTAATTCTAGATGGTGGCATGTGGAACCACAAAAAAGGCAAAATTTGACTCTAAATCTCCTAGTGTGTATTGTGCTCAAGTGATGTACATAATGCCATCATGTCACCTTAGGCTTCAGAAAATACGAATTCCTGTCTGCATATGTGACTTCCTGCCACAAGAATTTAAACATAATCTATCTTTCTTATGGACGGTTCCTCTCTTAGCATTACTAAAGGTATAAATATGAGGTTAGGGATAAAAGTAATTAATACTTCTAGTTTAATTACTAGTTTATAACAATTAGCATGTTTACGTTTTCATTTAGTATTTTTATTTTTAAAATAATTGAACAAACCACAGCTTTTCAAATTTGAATTAGCAAGACAGAAAAGTAAACACATTCTGGAAAAGCTCAAAATTCCTTGTTCTTACCATTAAAGGAAATCTTAATGTTATTGAATGAAATTTGTATACTACAAGAAGGGAATAATATATTGGCTTGTTAGGCCATTCTCATGCTGCTAATAAAGATATACCCGAGACTCGGTAATTATAAAGGAAAGAGGTTTAATTGACTCACAGTTCCACATGGCTGGGGAGGCCTCACAATCATGGCGGAAGGCAAGGAGAAGCAAGTCACATCTTACATGGCAGCAGGGAAGAGAGAACTTGTGCAGGAGAACTCCTCTTTATAAAACCATCAGATCTCATGAGATTCACTATCATGAGAATAGCATGGAAAGACCCACCCTCATGATTCAATTACCTCCCACGATACGTGAGAATTGTGGGAGCTACAATTCAAGAGGAAATTTGGGTGGGGACACAACCAAACCATATCACTGGCCTTTAGAAAAATTTCCAAGAGAAGCATCAGCTAGTATCTTTCATGCTTTTAAGATGACTCCTCTTATGGCACAATCTGATGGAGAAGAACATTTGATGCAGAGCAGTCTTCCTGGATGTGCTTACCGGATAGGATTGGGAGGTGGAGGGGGAAGTGGTGGTGGAGGAGGAGGTGGTGGAGGTACTGAATTCTCAGACTGGTTCACTCGTTTCTGGAGTTCATCAACTGCACAGAGAGCAAACATTCAGAAGAGAGCTGAAATAAGCAACTAAACATTGTTTATACATGTGAAAAAAAGAACATAACCTTTCTCAAAAGTAAGTTCTTTTTATTAAGGCAAAATTAGAAATTTCAATATGAAATTACAGACCTTTTTAAACTTTTCACTATCTAGTCTATTGCTAATGCAAGAGAGGACTCCTATCCATCAATATTAAATGTTATCTTTTTGCTGTATATACAACTTTAGAAAAGAAAAAAATTAAAAACAATGGCTGAAGGGTAGGAAGGAGTAGGCTGAAGAAATATTTGTTAACAACGAAGTATATGACTCAAACACTAAGAAATTGTTAATACTTTAAAAGTGTACAGACCAAGAATTAATTTTAAAGATGACATTTAGTAATGAAATTTAATAGCTGCATACTTCTCTCCCCTGCTTAATTTCCTTCAAAAACTGCAAATACTAGAGTCTTTGATTTTAACCAGATTCAGCTTCCTAAATCTGTAACTCAGAAACTTTTTGCTCTTTTGAAGAGATTTCTGGAAATGTATCGTATTCCTTCAAGTCTTTCATGAGGAAGGCATTTTACTAAGCACCAATGATGTGAAAGTGCCTATGAATGGTGCTACAGGAGACGTAACACCTGACTTCAAAGAACTGAACTTAAGTTGATATCACAGGTGCTAATACCTATGAGATAATGGGTAAAAGGTGCTGCATACTGTTGGCACTCAGAGGTAGCTCTCCCCATCCACAGCCATTCCACTTTCCCCGACTGAGTGTACCCTCAGGGATCTGTCCATTTGTATTTACCCTCAACACTTAAATAGGCAGTGTGGGCTATGCTCTCCAAAACTGAGAATCCTCTAGTCTTTTTATGTGCATGCACCTATCCCTCCAAGGGGAATCTGAGTTCTCTGAAGACAAAAAGCATGGTTTCTTTTCTTCTGTATTTCTTATTGTTTCCTAGGATAGGGCTGGGTACACACACAGCAGATAATAAGTATTAATAGAAGGCATTCAGATTTGAACCTTATATATTTCCAGTGTCTGCCTCCTCTATTCATAATAAAGATGGCTTTGGCTACAGGCTACTCTGATATTCACTAAAAAGAATGAAATACTTCTTAATTTTGGATCAATTAAAAAATAAATTATAATCAATTTTCATTGTGGATTAGAAAGCACTGAATGCTTTTAGAAGGAAAAAAGGCCTACATGGTTCTTCTGCATAGGTTTCAAAATTCTAGTATAAAATTAACCAAAAATATCTGAAGTGAATATTGAAGCTATTATAAAGGGAATGTACCTGACTTCTTAAATTACCGACCTTCCAACAGAGACTTACACATATGCCCGTATAGTAATCTAACTCGCACATTCCCGTTAAGCCTTCTAGAACTGAATGAATAAATCTTTTGATTTAAGTATCCCCTGGTGTTTCTAAAGATTTTCCATTTAATAGATATATTGTTGCCCAGTTCATTGTTAGGTACAATATAGAAAGTATTATTTCATGTGTATTATTAGACACCAAAGATGAAGGTAGTATGAACACCAAAGATGAAGACAGTATTTTTAAAAAGTTTAATTCTTTCTAAAAATGCACTCTAAGTGAACAAAATAAAGTACATAATGAACATTCATCTCTGAAGCTCTGAAAAATGCTGAAAAGTTGGTCTTCCTAGGCTAACGGTATCTCTGTGTCTAAATTCTGTATATGATGTTCACAAGGGCTCTAAGTCCAAAAAATTAGTCTAAATATTTTTGAATTATTTAATACAGCAGCTATTCTACTGAATTGCAATGGTTAGAAATTAAGGAATTTCAAAACAAATCTTGGTATTTTTCCACAGCATTCAGTAAATGTTCTAGACTAACTATATGCCAGGTTTTGTACTAGGCATGAGTAATTCAAAGATTAATAGTAAGACATAGTAGCCTACTCAATGCTTTTACCAGAGTGCTTTAAATTTCTGGCTTTCTCTTCAGAATTCTGATATTTCAATTCCAATTCCTTTTTATCTTCCTCTAGAAGCTCCAGTTGCTGTTTGAGGTTGTGTATTTCTTTGTGGAGTGTTTCATTTTCTAGTTGCTCTTCTAATTCTTTGACCTATAAGTTATTTAAAAAAAAAAGACTTTTATGGCTGACAGTTTTTCCTTTGTCAAAGAAAAGAAAGGGAAAAAATAAATATTTCCCTTTGACTGTACTTCATAGCAAACAGATTCCAATCCATCTTAACAACCATGCAAATGCTAGATACAATTAACACACAATCATAAATCAGCTAAAGAGCTGATTTAAAATAAATTTACTGGGGAGTTACGTACCAGACACTTTAATTTTTTTTAAGTTTTATTTTAGGTTCGGGGTACATGTGCATGGTTGTTATATAGGTAAATTGTGTGTCACAGGGGCTTGGTGTACAGGTTGTTTCATCACCAAGGTAAAAAGAATAGTACCTGATAGATACTTTTTCGATCCTCTCTCTCCTCCCACCCTCCATCATCAAGTAAGCCCCAGTGTCTGTTGTTCCCTTCTTTGTGTCCGTGTGTAATCAATGCTTAGCTCCCACTTAGAAGTGAGAACATTTGGTTTTCTATTCCCATGTTAGTTCACTTAGGATTATGGCCTCCAGTTCCATTCATGTTGCTACAAAGGACATTATCTCATTCCTTTTTATGGCTACACCGTATTCCATGGTGTAATATGTACCAGATTTTCTTTATCCAGTCTACCACGGATGGGCATTGAGGTTGACTCCATGACTTTGCTGTTGCATATAGTGCTGCGATGAATATGTGTGCACGTGTCTTTATGGTAGAATGATTTATATTCCTTTGGGCATATATCCAATAATGGGACTGTTGGGTTGAATGGTATTTCTGTGTTAAGTTCTTTGAGAAATCGCCACACTGCCTTCCATAATGGCTGAACTAACTTACATTCCCACCAGCAGTGTTTAAGCGTCCCATTTCTCTGAAACCTTGCCAACATCTGCTATTTTTTGACTTTTTAGTAACAGCTATTCTGACTGACATGAGATGGTATCTCATTGTGGTTTTGATTTTCATTTCTCTAATGATTAGTGATGTTAAGCATTTTTTATATGCTTGTTAGTCACACAGACACTTTAATTTTTAAACATGGGTCACTTTTGTACCCATTTTCAAAAGAAAAATTCAGGTAATATTTTAAAAGACTCCTGGGGGACACAAATTTAGTAATAAGTATCAAAAGTCTTCAAAAAAAAAAAAAAAGGAAAGGCTTTCGATTCAGTAAAACCATTTTTAGAAATTATTTTTTAAAATACTCTGAAATATATTCACTGAAGTGGTTTTTTGTTTTGTTTCGTTTTTGTTTTTGTTTTTGTTCTGAGATAGAGTCTCACTCTTTCGGCCAGGCTGGAGTGCAGTGGCGCGATCTGGGCTCACTGCAAACTTCGCCTCCTGGGTTCAAACAATTCTTGTGCTTCAGCCTCCTGAGTAGCTGGGGCTACAGGCACATGTCACCACACCCGGCTAATTTTTGTATTTTTAGTAGAGACAGGGTTTCACCACATTGGCCAGGCTGGTTTCGAACTCCTGGCCTTAAGTGATCCACCTGCTTTGGCCTCCCAAGGTGCTGAGATTACAGGCGTGAGCCACCACACCTGGCCTGAAGTATTCTTTACAACAGCAAAAAGTTGCAAATAACCTAAATGTCCACCAATATTTTTAGTTTAATAAATTATAGCATGTTTATTCAATGAAATACTATGCAACTTTTAAATCACATAGCTTACTATATACTGACATGAGAAGATATATTACCAATGGAAAAAAAATCAAGGCATAAAATAGTATGCATAGTATGATTCAATTTAAACAAACTATATTTATAAAGGTATATATTTACAGAAAGTTCAGCTATGCACCAAAATATGGGATACTTGGTTAATCTTCTTTAACTTTTGCTGTATTTTAAAAATGTATTATAAGGAGCATATGCTATTTTTATAATTGCAAAAACCATATGCTGTGCTTAAAAGACTGCTGCATCTGCAAGGGAACTTACAGACAGCTAAGAAACATTTTAAGCGACATACAGATGGTCCCCAATTTAGGATGGTTTGAGATAGTTTTTCGACTTTACAATGGTGTGAAAGCGACATGCATTCAATACAAACCATACTTCAAATTCTGGATTTTGATCTTTTCCCAGGCTCGCAATATGTAATAAGATACTCTCTCAACAATCCTCTGCAGCGGCAGCCAGCCACAGCTCCCAATCAGTCACATGATCATGCGAGTAAATAACTGATACTCTAGAGCAGGGTTCCCCAACCCCCAGGTCTTGGACTGGTACTGGTCCATGGCCTGTTAGGAACCAGGCTGCACAGAAGGTTAGCAGCAGGCACGAGCAAGCATTACCGCCTGAGCTCCACCTCGTCAGATCAGCAGCGGCAACAGACTGTCACAGAACCGCGAACCCTATTGTGAACTGCACACGCGAGGGATCCAGGTTGGCCGCTCTTTATGATAATCTAATGCCTGATGATCTGAGGTGGTACAGTTTCATCCCAAAACCATCCCCCACCCTCTTCCCTCCCCAGTCCATGGAAAAATTGTCTTCCACGAAACTGGTCCCTAGTGCCAAAAAGATTGGGGATTGATGCTCTAGAGTATACTGTATTTCCAGTTGACTCTGCCCAATTGTAGGCTAATGTTAAGTGTTCCGAGTATGTTTAAGGTAGGCTAGGCTGAACTATAATATTCAGTAGGTTAGGTATATTATTTTTGATTTACAATATTTTCAACTAACGTGGGTTTATCAGGACATAACCCTATCATAAGTCAAGGATCATCTGTACATGAAAGACTGTAAGAATAACTGTATATACAAAGAGTATAACAGTTTTAGAAGTAGTGATTGTTATAATTTCATTGATAACTTTAATCTTTAGTACCCAACAAGGTATATATACAACAATTTAGTCCTATACCTCAGCTCAATTCAGTAGGTTCTAGGCACGTATTATTTACTAAATGATTTAACTGTAAGTAGCTGGACTTTTCAGAACCAAAAGTTAAATTCTAGCATAAACTGAAACAAAAACACATTCTTCTTTTTCTCTTTTCTTGAAAAGGTAATTCCTACATATGGGGACAAAAGAAAGAATGAAATTCTTTCCCTCCCACCCTATTCTCCAGTTCTCTTTCCCAGGGGACTGTTACCACCTGTCCATCCAGAGGTACTCTACATATATATCAACATTTCCTTTTAAAATTATTTTTATTATTTATTTATTTATTATACTGTAAGTTCTGGGATACATGTGTAGAATGTGCAGGTTTGTTACATAGGTATACATGTGCCATAGTGGTTTGCTGCACCCATCAACCTGTCATCTACATTAGGTGTTTCTCCTAATGCTATCCCTCCCCTTGCCCCCACCCCCCGACAGGCCCTGGTGTGTGATGTTCCCCTCCCTGTGTCCATGTGTTCTCATTGTTCAACTCCCACTTATAAGTGAGTACATGCAGTGTTTGGTTTTCTGTTCCTGTGTTAGTTTGCTGAAAATGATGGTTTCCAGCTTCATCCGTGTCCCTGCAAAGGACACGAACGCATCCTTTTTTATGGCTGTGTAGTATTCCATGGTGTATATGTGCCACATTTTCTTTATCCAGTCTATCATTGATGGGCATTTGGGTTGGTTCCAAGTCTTTTCTATTATGAATAGTGCTGCAATAAACATATGTGTGTGTGTGTCTTTATAGTAGAACAATTTATAATCCTTTGGGTATATACCCAGTAATGGGATTGCTAGGTCAAATGGTATTTCTGGTTCTAGACCCTTGAGGAATCACCACACTGTCTTCCACAATGGTTGAACTAATTTATACACCCACCAACAGTGTAAAAGCATTCCTATTTCTCCACATCTTCTCCAGCATCTGTTGTTTCCTGACTTTTTAATGATCGCCATTCTAACTGGCATGAGATGGTATCTCATTGTGGTTTTGATTTGCATTTCTCTAATGACCAGTGATGATGAGCTTTTTTTCATATGTTTGTTGGCCACATAAATGTCTTCTTTTGAGAAGTGTCTGTTCATATACTTTGCCCACTTTTTGATGAGATTTTTTTTTCTTGTGAATTTGTTTAAGTTCCTTGTAAATTCTGGATATTAGCCCTTTGCCAGAAGGATAGAGTGCAAAAATTTTCTCCCATTCTGTAGATTGCCTGTTCACTCTGATGATAGTTTCTTTTGCTGTGCATAAGTTCTTTAGTTTAATTAGATCCCATTTGTCAATTTTGGCTTTTGTTGCCATTGCTTTTGGTGTTTTAGTCATGAAGTCTTTGCCCATGCCTATGTCCTGAATGGTATTGCCTAGATTTTCTCCTAGGGTTTTTATGGTTTTAGGTCTTACATTAAAGTCTTCAATCCACCTTGAGTTAATTTTTGTATAAGATTTACGTAAGGAAGAGGTCCAGTTTCAGTTTTCTGCATATGGCTAGCCCGTTTTCCCAACACCATTTATTAAATAGGGAATCCTTTCTCCATTGCTTGTTTTTGTCAGGTTTGTCAAAGATCAGATGGTTGTAGATGTGTGGCATTATTTCTGGGGCCTCTGCTATGTTCCTTTGGTCTACGTATCTGTTTTGGTACCAGTACCATGCTGCTTTGGTTACTGTAGCCTCGTAGCATAGTTTGAAGCCAGGCAGTGTGATGACTCCAGCTTTGTTCTCTTTGCTTTGGATTGTCTTGGCAATATGGGCTTTTTTTTCAGTTCCATATGAAATTTAAAGTAGGTTTTTCTAATTCTGTGAAGAAAGTCAATGGTAGCTTGATAGGGATAGCATTGAATCCATAAATTACTCTGGGCAGTACAGCCATTTTCACGATATTGATTCTTCCTATCCATGAGTATGGAATGTTTTTCCATTTGTTAGTGTCCTCTCTTATTTCCTTGAGCAGTGGTTTGTAGTTCTCCGTGAAGAGGTCCTTCACATCCCTTGTAAGTTGTATTCCTAGGTATTTTATTCTCTTTGTAGCAATGGTGAATCAGAGTTCACTCATGATTTGGCTATTTGTCTATTATGGATGTATAGGAAGCTTGTAATTTTTGCACACTGATTTTGTATCCTGAGACTTTGCTGAAGTTGCTTATCAGCTTAAGGAGATTTTGGGCTGAAACGATGGGGTTTTCTAAATATACAATCATGTCATCTGCAAACAGAGACAATTTGACTTCCTCTCTTCCTGTGTGAATACCCTTTATTTCTTTCCCTTGCCTGATTGCCCTGGCAAGAACTTCCAATACTGTGTTGAATAGGCGTGGTGAGAGAGGGCATCCTTGTCATGTGCCAGTTTTCAAAGGAAATGCTTCCAGCTTTTGCTCATTCAGTATGACATTGGCAGTGGGTTTGTCATAAATAGCTCTTATTATTTTGAGATAAGTTCCATCAATATCTAGTTTACTAAGACTTTTTAGCATGAAGGGGTGTTGAATTTTATCGAAGGCCTTTTCTGCATCTATTGAGATAATCATGTGGTTTTTGTCATTGGTTCTGTTTATGTGATGGATTACATTTATTGATTTGTGTATGTTGAACCAGCCTTGCATCCCAGGGATGAAGCTGACTTGATTGTGGTAGATAAGCTTTTGGATGTGCTGCTGGATTCAGTTTGCCAGTATTTTATTGGGGATTTTCACATTGATGTTCATCAGGGGTATTAGCCTGAAATTTTCTTTTTTTGTTGTGTTTCTGCCAGGTTTTGGTATCAGGATGATGCTGGCCTCATAAAATGAGTTAGGGAGGAGTCCCTCTTTTTCTATTGCTTGGAATAGTTTCAGAAGGAATGGTACCAGCTCCTCTTGGTACCTCTGGTAGAAATCAGCTGTGAATCCATCTGATCCTGGGCTTTTTTTTGGTTAGCAGGCTATTAATTACTGCCTCAATTTTGGAACTTGTTATTGGTCTATTCAGGGATTCCACTTCTTCCTGATTTAGTCTTGGGAGGGTGTATGTGTCCAGCAATTTATCCATTTCTTCTAGATTTTCTAGTTTATTTGTGTACAGGTATTTATAGTATTCTCTGATGGTAGTTTGTATTTCTGTGGGATCGGTGGTGATCTCCCCCTTTACATTTTTACTGTGTCTATTTGATTCTTCTCTCTTTTCTTCTTTATTAGTTGGGCTAGCAGTCTACCTATTTTGTTAATCTTTTCAAAAAACCAGCTCCTGGATTTACTGATTTTTTTGAAGGATTTTTTTTGTGTCTCTATCTCCTTCAGTTCTGCTCTGATCTTAGTTATTTCTTGCCTTCTGCTAGCTTTTGAATTTGTTTGCTCTTGCTTCTCTAATTCTTTTAATTGTGATGTTAGGGTGTCGATTTTAGATCTTTCCTGCTTTCTCCTGTGGGCATTTAGTGCTATAAATTTCCCTCTAAACACTGCTTTAGCTGTGTCCCAAAGATTCTGGTATGTTGTATCTCTGTTCTCATTGGTTTCAAAGAACTTATTTATTTCTGCCTTAATTTCGTTATTTACTCAGTAGTCATTAAGAAGCAGGTTGTTCAGTTTCCAGATAGTTATGCAGTTTTGAGTGAGTTTCTTAATCCTGATTTCTAATTTGATTGCACTGTGGTCTGAGAGACTGTTTATGATTTCCATTCTTCTGCATTTGCCAAGGAGTGTTTTACATCCAATTATGTGGTCAATTTTAGAATAAGTACGATGTGGTCCTGAGAAGAATATATATTCTGTTGATTTGGGATGGAGAGGTCTGTAGATGTCTATTAGGTCTGCTTGGTCCAGGGCTGAGTTCAAGTCCTGAATATCCTTGTTCATTTTCTGTCTCGTTGATCTAATATTGACAGTGGGGTGTTAAAGTCTCCCACTATTATTGTGTGGGAGTCTTTATCTCTTTATATGTCTCTAAGAACTTGTTTTATGAATCTGAGTGCTCCTGTATTGGGTGCATATATATTTAGGATAGTTAGCTCTTCTTGTTGCATTAATACCTTTACCGTTATGTAATGCCCTTCTTTATCTCTTTTCATCTTTGTTGGTTTTAAGTCTGTTTTATCAGAGAGTAGGATTGCAACCCCTGCTTTTTTTTTGCTTTCCAGTTACTTAGTAAATATGCCTCCATCCCTTTATTTTAAGCCTATGTGTCTTTACACGTGAGATGGGTCTCCTGAATACAGCACACCGATGGGTCTTGACTCTTTATCCAATTTGCCAGTCTGTGTCTTTTAATTGGGGGCATTTATCCCATTTACATTTAAGGTTAATATTGTTATGTGTGAATTTGATCCTGTCATTATGATGCTAGCTGGCTATTTTGCTATTAGGTTATGCAGTCTCTTCATAGTGTCATTAGTCTTTACAATTTGGTATGTTTTTGCAGTAGCTGGTACCAGTCTTTCCTTTCCATGTTTAGTGCTTCCTTCAGGAACTCTTAAAAGGCAGGGCTGGCGGTGACAAAATCTCTCGGCATTTGTCTGTCTGTAAAGGATTTTATTTCTCCTTCGCTTATGAAGCTTAGTTTGGCTGGATATGAAATTCTAGGTTGAAAATTCTTGTCTTTAAGAATGTTGAATATTGGCCCCCACTCTCTTCTGGTTTGTAGGGTTTCTGCAGAGTGATCCACCGTTAGTCTGCTGGGCTTCCCTTTGTGGGTAACCCAACCTTTCTCTCTGGCCGCCCTTAACATTTTTTCCTTCATTTCAACCTTGGTCAATCTGATGATTATGTGTCTTGGGGTTGCTCTTCTCGAGGAGTATCTTTGTGGTGTTTTCTGTGTTTTCTGAATTTGAATGTTGGCCTGTCTTGCTGGGTTGGGGAAGTTCTCCTGGATAATATCCTGAAAAGTGTTTTCCAACTTGGTTCCATTCTCCCTATCACTTTCCAGTACACCAATCAAACGTAGGTTTGGTCTTTTCACATAGTCCCATATTTCTTGGAGGCTTTGTTCATTCCTTTTCAGTCTTTTTTCAGTAATCTTGTCTTCATGCTTTATTTCATTAAGTTTATCTTCAATCTCTGATATCTTGTCTTCTGCTTGATCGATTCGGCTATTG
Organism: Homo sapiens; assembly: GCF_000001405.40. NCBI lineage: Eukaryota > Metazoa > Chordata > Mammalia > Primates > Hominidae > Homo > Homo sapiens. Next base: position 116,937,963 of record NC_000010.11, read on the forward strand.
ATACTTATGTACGCTTTACCAAGTTCTCCTGCTGTGTTTTTCAGCTCCATCAGGTCATTTATGTTCTTCTCTAAACTGGTTTTTCTAGTTAGCAATTCCTCTAACCTTTTATCAAGGTTCTTGGCTTCCTTGCGTTGGGTTAGAACATGCTCCTTTAACTCGGAGGAGTTTGTTATTACCAACCTTCTGAAGCCTACTTCTGTCAATTTGTCAAACTCATTCTTTGTCCAGTTTTGCTCCCTTGCTGGCGAGGAGTTGTGATCTTTTGGAGGACAAGAGGCATTCTGGTTTTTGGAATTTTCAGCCTTTTTGCACTAGTTTTTCCTCATCTTTGTGGATTTATCTACCTTTGGTCTTTGATGTTGGTAACCTTTGGATGGGGTTTTTGCATGGATGTCCTTTTGTTGATGTTGATGTATTCCTTTCTGTTTGTTAGTTTTCCTTCTAGCAGTCAGGCCCCGCTACTGCAGGTCTGCTGGAGTTTGCTGGAGGTCCACTGCTGACCCTGTTTGCCTGGGCATCATCAGTGGAGGCTGCAAAACAGCAAAGATTTCTGCCTGTTCCTTCCTCTGGAAGCTTCATCCCAGAAGGGCACCTGCCAGATGCCAGCTGGAGCTCTCCTGTATGAGGTGTCTGTAGACCCCTGCTGGGAGGTGTCTCCCAGTCAGGAGGCATGGGAGTCAGGGATCCACCTGAGGAGGCAGTCTGTCCCTTAGCAGAGCTCAAGCGCTGCGCTGGGAAATCTGCTGCTCTCTTCAGAGTCGGCAGGCAGGAACGTTTAAGCCGCTGAAGCTGTGCCCACAGCCGCCTCTTTCCCTAGGTTCTCTGTCCCAGGGAGATGGGAGTTTTATCTACAAGCCCCTGACTGGGGCTGCTGCCTCTCTTTCAGAGATGCTTTGCCCAGAGAGGAGGAATCTAGAGAGGCAGTCTAGCTACAGCAGCTTGGCGGAGCTGCAGTGGGCTCGGCCCAGTCCGAACTTCCTGGTGGCTTTGTTTACACTGTGAGGGGAAAACTGCCTACTCAAGCCTCAGTAATAGCAGACACCCTGCCCCCCACCAAGCTCGAGTGTCCCAGGTTGACCTCAGACTGCTGTGCTGGCAGCGACAATTTCAAGCCAGTGGATCTTGGCTTGCTGGGCTCCGTGGGGGTGGGATCTGCTGGGCTAGACCACTTGGCTCCCTGGCTTCTGCCCCCTTTCCAGGGGAGTGAATGGTTCTGTGTTGTTGGAGTTCCAGGTGCCACTGGAGTATGAAGAAACACTCCTGCAGCTAGTTTGGTGTCTGCCCAAATGGCCACCCAGTTTTGTGCTTGAATCCCAGGGCCCTGGTGGTGTAGGCACCCAAGGCAATCTCCTGGTCTGTGGGTTGCAAAGATGGTGGGAAAAGCGTAGTATCTGGGCTGGAGAGCACCATTCCTCACAGCACAGTCTCTCGTGGCTTCCCTTGGCTAGGAGAGGGAGTTCTCCAATCCCCTGCACTTCCCGGGTGAGGCAACACCCCACCTTGCTTCAGCTCACCCTTCATGGGCTGCACTCACTGTCCAACCAGTTCCAGTGAGATGAGCCGGGTACCCAATGCAGAAATCACCCGCCTTCTGCGTTGATCCCGCTCGGAGCTGCAGACCGGAGCTGTTCGTATTCGGCCATCTTACCAGCCACCATATATCAACATTTCTTATTGAGGCAAAACAAATCAACTCAACCTCACCACCAAGTTTGTAAAAACTTCAGAACTTCCAAGGATTAAATGTCAATACTGTTGCCACAGAGGCTTTGACAGGTGGTAACAAGTAGCAGCTAACAGCCTTTCCTTCCCAAATGAGGTACATTATAAGTAGTATAAACATTGATGTAATTTTTCTTAAGTGGTCTCTTTAATTTGGAAGTCTTTGTTCCACTTCTTTGCTTCTCCTCTCACCTACCACAATGACTATCCTTTCTTCTTGGCACACAGAGGTAGGCTGTGTCAGCTGGAATAGCTCCACTCATCAAATTGAAATAATCACTTAGGAAGTCTTTAAACATACACATTTGTGCAAGTTTACAAAATCAAAAATTTTCTCTAAGCAAACAATTACTACTAATACGGACTGTCATTTTCTTTGAATAAAACCTATGCCCTCCAACAAGTGCTCTGAGTTGAATACAGCCTCTTAGTGTGTGCAGTCTCCAAAAAATATAACATTTCCAAAAATTGAATTTCCAGACTTTGCCTTATCCAAGCTGTTTTTAAGTTATACCTCTTTCCCTTGCTTCTTCCGACCCTTTGGACAGTTTAAAGATTATTATAAAGTCTATAATAGCGTATTACAAATTTCAGTTTCACAACATTAAGTTCATTTAGTTATTTTTTTCTAAAAGGTGGTTGAAAGCACTTAGTAACTAAGGCAAAATATGAAACAGTAAATGACTGGACTGACTGCACTGGCTCCCTTCATCTTAAATATATGTGTGTATGCATGTATGTGTGTGTGTACCTAAGATTCCAGAAGAAAATGGGTTACCTTTTGTTGATGCTGAATTCTCTCTTCTTCAAGTTGCTGGGTGAGTTTTGCATTTTCGTCTAAAGCTTTCAAAAGCTGCTGATCAGGGATGGAGCTCTGCAGCAGAAGGTGGCTTTGTCTCTTTAGCTTGTTTTGCTCAATGAACATCTGCAAAAGTTTGTTACAAGAATGTATATATCAATCAATCTCACATACCTCCTCAACTGTAACTTCAGCAAAAGAAAAGTACATGGAATTTTTATTAAATCATTAAAGGCAAATTCTGACTTCTATAAGTTTTAGAAGTAGTGATTGCTATGATTTCATTCCTTTTATATAATCTTTAATACCTTTACTCCTGCCCCAACAAGATATTTATACAATAAGCTGGTCTTACTCTTCAGTTTTTAATATTTTATTATTGCTTTAAGATACATTAATATTAATAGTAGTAGCTAATATTTCTCAAGAATTTACCTTGTGTACTCCACTAAATATTTTATATGGATTATTTTAATCCTTACATCAATCCTATTAAAGTGCTTCTACTATGAATAGGTAACATTTACTAAACACTATGTGATAGATATGGTGGGAATCATTTTACATTCATTATATCATATAATCCTTAAAACAACACTATCAAGTAGACACTACTATCATCTAATTTTACTAATAAGGTAACTGAGGCTCAAAGAAGTTAAGCAACTTTCCCAAGAACACACGTAAGTGACAAGACCAGGACTTAAACCCATATCTGATTTACATGCCCAAGCTCTTAACCATCTGGCTAAGTTCCTCTACTATTTGCTAGATCTAATGTTTTGTTTTAAACTAATTAGTTTCTCCCTAGTGATAAAAGTAGTTAACAGTAGAAGGGTAAAGGGGAGAAGGGAGACAGTATATTTTATTGAGCACTGTATTAAGCAATTTATATGTTATTCATCAAATCCTCACAACTTTACATGATTGAAAATAATATTGATTTCTATTTACCTGTTATTTCTTTTCCTTAACACTCTACCCAATTTGGCCAGTGAGTGATTCCAAGTATGAAATGTTTTTGTAAACTCTGAAATCTGGCCTACCAATTTTATAATAGAGCTTCACCTTTTCAGATTTTTAACAGCATTTTAAAATTTACATTATAACTTAACTGAAAGCTCTGAACTGCAAAATGATTTGCTAAAGCCCTCATATTAGTTTGTTCAACAACTTCACCCATCATGTAACAGAAAAAGTCAGCAAATAAAACTCAGGACAAAAATATTTTCCATCAACCTCCATGTGGCAAGACCACAGCTTTAATGATTTATACAATCCTTAAGCTCTTGATCAGTATCGACTTCCACATCAAAGTCAAGTCATGAATACAGTATACTAAAACACTAACATTTTCTTCCCAGTATGTCTTCCTATGAAAGGGAAAAAAAGGTCAGAAGCTTTCCTTCTTTGCCTAGGGATTTATGAAAAGCCTACAAAACTACGACAGGGTTCTTCTGCAGAATTAAAACACATTACAAAGTCAAACAGGTAAATAAACAATTGCATATACATGAAACCCACATTCTTCTTCCATTTGTGTGAGAGTGAGAGGTATAGAGACTGCAGTGAGGAAGAGTATGTGCATGTACACTTGGCTGGAGAAGGGTGAGATGCAGCTTCAGCATTCTAAGAAAGAGTAATCAATATTTCATCACAGTATCTTAAACTTCAGACCAGTGATTTAATTAAAATGAATTGTTTTGGGTGACCATTATGATTACAGTAATTTTTTTTTTTTTTTGAGATGGAGTCTCGCTCTGGCACCCAGGCTGGAGTGCAGTGGCACAATCTCGGCTCACTGCAACCTCTGCCTCTCAGGTTCAAGTGATTCTCGTGCCTCAGCCTCCCAAGTAGCTGGGACTACAGGTGCCTGCCACCATGCCTGGCTAATCTGTGTATTTTTAGTAGAGATGGGGTTTCACTATGTTGGCCAGGTTGGTCTTGAACTCCTGGCCTCAATTGATCCCCCCGCCTCGGCCTCCCAAAGTGCTTGGATTACAGACGTGAGCCACCATGCCTGGTCAAAAAATTTAATTATGTTGAAGAAATTTAAAATTTTAATATAGTTATGAAGACAACTGATAGTTTTCTTGTTGAGGGGGATTAAGTTTTTGGTTTTGTTTTTTAAATGAACTAGCGGGAGTTAAGAATGGGGGGTAACTTTCAATTTTTATTTTATACATTTAGAAAATATTTGTATCTTTGTGCAAGGCACACATACTCCTTTTTAATTAAAAATATAAAGTAAATTAACCTTAAAAATTGATTTCTAAGGCTCTAGACTATAAGCTCCAAGAGGGTAGGGCTCACATTTGCTTTCTTCACCACTGGATTCCCAATGTCAGCACAGTGTCTGGCACAGTAAGATGTTTGCTGCATGCCCTAAGTGGTAAGTAAAATGCAAAAGAATGGGACTCTGTTGTTAAACTAAGTTATGTGTCTTTGTGCAGTACTTACCTGTTGAAAACCTGAGAATGCATAAACTTTGTAAAAAGGAAAATATACTAGTTCCAACGTGGTGCTATTTTTTAAAAAAAAGTTTTCTTCTCACTATTGTGTAGATTGAATCTAGATATTGTAAAATTGTTGAGTGCCACTGCAAATATTTATGCTGCCAATAACGTAAGTACCATTGCTCTTGCTTTCTTTCTCTCCTCAAACTTCTACCTTCTCATTCTGGGTTAACATGTCAGCATTATTGTTTCCACCAACCACTAAGACTGAAGACCAGGTGAACAGCAGAGTCAATCATTCATTTTTGTCTTCTTACTGCAACCTTGCTTCTTCCATCTGTCTTCTCTGCTACCACATGGCCTTCAAGTTTTTCTTTGAGCTGCTTTGTATTCTAACATCATTGTGCAAACAACAGATGGAAAACTGAACATGTCTTGAAATGAGACCTGCTATTCAGGTCAAAATCAGCCGACCTTTCCAGTTTTGCAATAAAGGCATCTTCACATTATCCCTGCTTCCCCTCCCCCTCCACTGTTTATTTCACTGCATTATTTATATTGCTCCAACGTTTTCCAGAGAGCTCTGACACACTTCAATTCTTTTTTCTTTCTTCCAAGTAATAAGAGAAAAATATTTACTCACCTTTCATTAAACTCTCTAAATAAAACGAATCATAATATTTCAAATCAGATCTACTTGGCCTAAACCTTCGGTAGAGTTCACTGCTAGCACAGCTATGCTCAAGCACAGAAAGACCCCCACAAAACCATCATTGGATTTTCAAATGTCATTCCCCTAATGCCATGCTTTGTCTTCCTTCTATGCCTTGGATACCTCTACCTAGGACTGTTTTACATTTCCTGAGCTATCTTCCTTCAACCTACAGTATGCACACAAATTCAAACTACACCCACAGGATGGAGATCTCATTGCAGACCAGCTTTTGAGTTTAGCCCATTGGTGAACTCCTCATCCCCCTGGATGAGCCCCAGGGCCATGGAAGACCCAACGACTGCATGTCAACAGGTAAGCCGGAACAAGAGATTCAAAGCTGATCTCTAACATAAGAGGAAGATCAGTAGGCTGGTGAAACGCTGAGATAATGAATGTACTACATGGCAGTGTTCCACAGCCAGTGGAAGAACTTCCTGGCATAATGACAGCACTGCACAATGGCTGAAGAGAAATACTGATACCATAATACTGTTATCTGAGATGGTATATGGAGATACATCCCAGATTTTAAGCCTATTTGAAATGTACAGGCATCTTGTACCCAAGTTGGACTTTCCATCACAAGTCATGGGTTGTCTCCAAATGCAATTCCTTTCCCTTACATAGCATTTTATAGTTTATACAACACTTTTTTTAAATTTTGCCATTAAAATCCACTTGGTCAGGTCTGTATTATTGTCCATTTTACAGATGGTAAAAGTGAAGCCCTGAGAGGCTGAAGAATTGCTCAGAGGTCATACACTACTACAACTAGTAACTGACATGGCCAAAATTTGAGCCCAGATCTTTTGACAATGAACTTGATACTATTCTATATCTGCCTCCCTAAACCAGCAGATCCTTAATTCAAACTGGTAAGTTCTTATTCAACCTCAAGAATTTGTCTGATATGTCGTCTGCAAGGTCCCTTACAAAACAAAAATTCAAAAGGTTTTTACGGCTGGGCACGGTGGCTCACTTTGGGAGCACTTTGGGAGGCCAAGGCGAGCAGATCACGAGATAAGGAGATCAAGACCATCCTGGTCAACATGGTGAAACCCCATCTCTAATAAAAATACAAAAATTAGCTGGGCACGGTGGCGTGTGCCTGTAATCCCAGCTACTCGGGGGGCTGAGGCATGAGAATCGCTTGAATCAGGGAGTCGGAGGTTGCAGTGAGCCGAGATTGCGCCACTGCACTCCAGCCTGGTGACAGAGCGAGACTCTGTCTCAAGAAAAAAAATAAGATTTTTACAAGATACCCACCTCTTGTGCAAATGACTCTGCTTTCTTTCGAAGGTCCTTCTCCAGCTCCAGGTTTACTTGCATCTCCTCATACTCTTCTACAGCTAACATGGACACTTAAGAAGATAAAGGAAAAAAAAAACCCAGACAATAAGTCACACAAATAATCAGGAATATGGATGAAAAACAGTGTTGAAAAGATTTTTCATACCAGCATACAGGTACCCTCATGCATTCCTGGTTGGCATACAAACTGATAAAACCTTTTTGGAGAGCAACTTGGCAACGTGAATCAAAAATCTAAAACTATTCATACACTTTGAATAATCCCACTTCCAGGAATGCATATGCTAAGATTGTAACACATGAGCATATACAGACATTTGGTTGCAAGGATGCTCTCTACCTCATTGCTGATAAAAGTGAAATGACATAATACTCTAACACAGAAGAATGAGTAAATTGTAGTACAAGAAATATTATTCTGCCATCAAAATTATATTGTAGAAGCATACTTAGTAAATGGAAAGACATCTGTGATGTATTTTTAAAAATAGATTGCAAAAATTAGTGCAAAGTGAATTCATTTTTGTTCTTTAAAAGCCACAGATAAAGCACATCAACAGCCATTTCACAGAATAGAAAATATACAAAAGGCCAATAAACATGTGGAAAGATGCTCATCTTCATTAGGAATCAAGGAAATGCAGAGTAAAAACACTTCTTACACCCATCCAAGAGGCAACTGGTAAAAATTTTAAAGCATGGTTTTATTAAATTTGGTATGCAGTGAAAAAAAACTGAAGATAAAATTTGACATTTGGCATGTGTCTTAAAGCAACTCTTGGACATGTGCACCAGATGACATGTCTAACATTTTTTATAACAGCATGACTCAGAATAGCAGAAATATGGAAACAGCCCAAAGTCTACCAATAGGATACTACTTAAAATAATTTTAGTGTAGTCATCTAATGGAATAGTATATAGCAGTGAAAACAAACATACCACAGCTATGCCTGTCCACATGCATGAATCTCACAAACACAAAAAGTTGCAGAAGGTTACAGGAAAAATGATTCCATTTACATAGAGTTCAAAAATATGCAAAATTAAACAATGCTGTTTAGAGATATAGACATATTTGGCAAAACTACAAATAAAAGAAAGGAAATAATAAAAATTCAAGGGAGGGGTAAGAGTAGAGAGGGATGTTCATGGGTTTGTAAGGTACCAGCAAGTATAAAGAGATTCCTTTTACTGGTATTTCCTCTGTCTTCCATATATATATAAATATATATATAAACATATTTAACAAAACATTTAATATGTATATATGTAGAGAGAGTTTTTTTTAAGATTGGAAGAATATACACTAAAATGGTACTAGTGCTTATCTCTGGATTGTAAAGGTTGAGATTTTTTTCTTTCCTTACATGAATCTAAATTTTCCACCAAAAAAAGTATACTACCTGAATATATACATTTTTATGTATAAAAATATATGTATTATATATAATATTAAATGTAAATAAATGTATAAATTATGTATATGTATATACATATGTATAAAATGTAAATATTTTATATATAAATATATAAAATGATTTATATATAAATATATAAAATGATTTATATATAAATATATAAAATGATTTATATATAAATATATAAAATGATTTATATATAAATATATAAAATGATTTATATATAAATATATAAAATGATTTATATATAAATATATAAAATGATTTATATATAAATATATAAAATGATTTATATATATAATATATATATATGTTTTATTTATTTATTTATTTATTTTTTGAGAGATGGAGTCTCACTATGTCTGTCGCCCAGGCTGGAAGGCAGTGGTGCAATCTTGGTTCACTGCAACCTCCGCCTCCTAGGTTCAAGTGATTCTCCTGCCTCAGCCTCCTGAGTAGCTGGGATTACAGGCAGGTGCGTGCCACCATATCTGGCTAATTTTTGTATTTCAGTAGAGACGAGGTTTTACCATGTTGGCCAGGCTGGTCTCAAACTCCTGATCTCAAGTAATCCGCCCACCTCAGCCTCCCAAAGTGCTGGGATTACAGGTGTGAGCCACCGCGCCTGGACATATAAGTTATTTTTAAGTGTTCTCCATATTTACAAAGGAGAGAAACAGCCTTAGATGCATTCAGAACCAAAGAATCAGAGCTTTGTACCAAGGAGTTACTGCAAGACCGAAAGCTTCAAAAGGTCCTGTCAAATAAAAGTAATATAAATTCTTTGCTATTTTCAACATTCAGTGGCCTATTTTGTTAAATAGTGATAATGACAGGACAGAGGGAGTGACGATACCATTAGATATTAGGCACAAGCTGGGCAGACAGCACACTGTCCATCCACTTCTGGTGAGTCACCTCCACCCTGAGCTGAGTCATACCAACAAAATCTTTCAAAAGGCTCTCTTAACAGCTGCCTTCACACACTGCTCCACCAGGGCACTTCAATCCTAACTGACTTAAGGACTGGTTTGCTGCGTAATGACATAGAATTTCAAACTCTGTACTCAATCTACAGCCTCTTCAGATGAAAGACTAATAAGTAAAGCAATAAGAGTGGTGATTTTTTGGTGTGAATTATAGGTCCCTGAGAGCTAAATGATTTTCAAGCCTATTTAAACAAGAAATTTCATGAAGAAAACAAAGAACACTATGACGATCTGAAGCCCAGGCAAGATAATTGACTCTCTTTTCTATGTCCAGAACACTATAATAAAAAGGGAATTTTCACGTGTCCTGGCCCTTCTGACTTGGAATCTGAAAGAAATCAGGTTGGTCCTAGTCAGGTATTTATTTATATAATTTTTCTCTCTTCCTAGACAGGGGACTCTCTGAAGGCAAGATCTACATGATTAATCCTTGCAGAACCCTTTTCCTAGCACAGTGAATCAAGACTGAAAATTCTACACCATTTCTATCTTTAAATACAGAAAGACTTGGAGAAATGTTACAATCCAGCATATTGCCCACATTTAACTACAAGGTCCTTTATTTACAAAAAAAATTCCCAGTTGATGAATCACAAAAAGATTGACAGCTACCACCAATAACAATAGGGAAGGCCCTGGGTCGCAAAGGTTTCCTGTTAGTGTTGCAGCTTCTAAACAAGGAAAGAGAGTGACTGAGGGAAAAAGAGAGAACAGAAAGTATATTAAGTTCTTCTTACCACTTCCAGAATTATTTTTGCAGAACTACACTTTGGCATCACTTCCTTGTCTTAAACTGGGAGATACATGAAACAGCCCCGATGAGAGCTGATGCTGTGTTTTATAACTAGATGGATAAAGTCACTGTTGCCCAAAGTACACAAAGTTTTCTCTGGATATAGCCACTGGAGACACTTCCCTCTCACCAGGAGAGCAGGTCTGCTTTTCCTGATCATTAGGTTCATTTTCATGTGATTCATTTAAATGATCATCAATCTCTTATTGCACTGACTGTCAGACAGCTCAGAACCAGATTTCAAACACACAGGCAGGAAATGTGCAAGACCTCAGAACAAGTATGCACTTTGTATACCAATCTAACTCTTACTTTCCTTTATCCCTTTTTCCACATCCTCTTAATTTAAAATTTCATCACATAATGTTACATGTTTTATGTAGACAGCCTAACCTCTTCTGGATTGAGATTTACTAAATAACCTACCAAACATATAAATGCTGAGGGGAGAGCTAAAAAGGCCATGATCCCTGGATATATGTAAGACAGAAATAGTATTTCGGTTTGAAGTTTCAAAATGAGTGGGTTCCTTGTTCCTCAAGTGAAATCACTTTTAGATGTCCCCAGACTCTAAGTTGGGTAATAAAACAATGGAAATGGGAGAGACACAATGCTAGAAAATCACAATATAGGAGAAGATTTTATTTACAGTCATATTTAGGCACAGGTGTAAAATGACACACAATATATGCAAACAGAACACACCGCATACGTATTTGAGAAAAAAAGACTGGACAGACTTACCTCTATTGCATTTTTCTAAGACTTTTCTCTGTTCAAGAACTTCTGAATTTAAAACAGTCTTTTCTTGTTTAACTTTATTTACCTAAAAATGTGAAATTTTGAGGGGAGAAAACACCAAAAATTGTAAAACAGGACATATGGCAATGTGTGATACTCAATTGCTGTTCAACTTTCAACATGAAGTTACAATTTAAAGCAGAAATTGGTTTCAATGTGTTAGGACTTTTTATTAAAGCTCTTCTTTAAAGCTTCAAGGATAGCTATTTAAGTTAGGATGTATACCTGGTACAGAACTTATTTATATATTCCAGTTGGCACTGGCACCTAAACATAACAGTATGCTAGCCATCCAATGTATATGATACATATTTTTTTAATTAAAAAAAAACAAAGAATATAGAGATGGGGTCTCCTATGTTGCCGAGGCTGGTCTCGAACTCCTGGGCTCAAGCAATCCTCCTGCTTCAGCCTCCCGAAGTGCTGGGATTACAGGCGTGAGCCACCATACCCAGCCATGATTCATATTTTTAATGCAAAAATCCAACTAAAGATCACCCAGAAAATACAAGAATCATTTAGTCAAGATCCGATACTCAATTTTGGTATTCATTTTAAATGTTGATTAGCATTAGGAGATATACCTAATGTAAATGACAAGTTAATGGGTGCAGCACACCAACATGGCACATGTATACATATGTAACAAACCTGCACATTGTGCACATGTGCCCTAGAACTTAAAGTATAATAATTTAAATAAAATACAATAAAATAAAAATGCTGATTATTTTTGACTTAAGTAAGATGAACATGAACTTTTAAAATAAGACTTTGAACTCTGATGACTCTTGGCTTAAATAAAACACATATAAATACTCCCACAAAAATTTAAATTTCTGAAGTAACTTTTGATGTCTATCAACGAAAGAGAATACTATAGAAAAGTTTTTTTAAAAAAAAAGAACATAAAGTAAAGCTACATATATCAAGGTAGAAGATAAATCTCAAATATATTGAATTTAGAAAGCAGGCATGTTTATAATATTTAAAAACACTCAAAATACTATGTATTGTAGTGAACATGTAAATATATGCACTGACATGATAAACACCAAGTTCAGAATAACAGTTGTTTAGGGAAACTGGGCAGGGAGCAAGGAGTATGCAACCAGAAAGAGTTACACCAGGGCTTTCATCACCATGCTAATATTCTGTGAATTAAGTTGGGTAGCAGGTATATGGATGTTCATTAAAAATAATTTTTTTAGAGACAGGGTCTCAGTCTGTCACTCAGGCTGGAGGGTGGTAATACGATCATAGCTCATTGCAGCCTGGAACTCCTGGGTTCAAGCAATCCTCCCACCTCAGCCCTCTGAGTAGCTGGGACTACAGGCACATGCCACCATGCCTGGCTAATATTTTTAAAAATTTTTTTGAGAGACGAGGTCTTGCTAGGAGGTCTTGCTGATCTCCAACTCCTGGGCTCAAGTGATCCTCCTGCCTCGGCCTCCCAAAGTGCTAGGATTACAGGCGTGAGCCACTGAACTCAGCCCCATTATTTTGTTCATTATGCCTTCTCAGATGTCTGAAATAGCCATAATAAAAATAATTGTTGAATTGTCTTCCAATAATACCTCTAAGTGGGAAGCGAGAGAATCATCAGTAAATAATCACAACTGAGGAACAGAGCACACTAAGAAACAAAGATAATGGTCCTGAAAGTGGCTCTGAATCCATCAGCACCTCCAGATAATCTATTAACTGGTTCTTTTAGTGTAGGCTTTATTTTTGGTTTTGGTTTAAATTAGTAACTGGTACACATTGTCCAACGGTAAGGTCCTTTCCAAAATATCATCTTCCTTCTTCCCATTCGTTACAATGTTTTGCCACAATAATAAAAGGAGCTCAGGCTGGGAAGTTGGCAGACACTGCTTTCCAACCTTTTTTACATCATGGCCTCCAAGAAAATGACAATATGTGTGTGCAAACTGAGGTAACTGGATGAGGCTGCTCACTGACAGGATCAATACGTTGGCATGCTCATAAGTCACTTTATCAAGCTGCAGTTGGCACATCAGTTGGGAAGTGCTGGGCTACAGAATCTAAGAACCACTGATACAAATTAAATCCAGAATCAAGACTGTGAAGGCAAATCCTTGAAGCCTCGTGCAAATAAAAGGCAATTGTGAGGGTCTTGTTCTGAAAGACAGTTCAAAAGGAAAAAGAGGCCAGGGCAGCGGCTTGCATTGGTGGTCCCAGCACTTTGGGAGGCCAAGGTGGGAAGATCATTCAAGTCCAGGAGTTCAAGGTAAGCCTGGGAAATACAGGAACCCACATCTCTATAAAAATTTTTAAAAATCAGGCAGGCGTGGTGACGCATGCCTGTACTCTCAGCTATTTGGGAGGCTGAGGCAGGAGGATCATTTGAGCCTGGGAGGTTGAGGCGGCAGTGAGCTGTGATCATGCCACTGCACTCCAGCCTGAGTGTGACAGAGTTAGGTCTTGTCTCAAACAAAACAAAACACCAGAAAAGAAAGATTCTGTAAACAACCACTTGAACCCATCCTACCACCTATCATAAATGCCTGTGTTGGAGATGCACAGAGGGACAGTCCTTCCCAATTGAACCAGTCATTCACCGGAAAAGCAAAACATGCTCTTCTTTCTCTACCAGCAGCAATAAAATATATGACTTGAAATAGTAGCTACTATTCTTACAAATTTGCCTTACATAGCAAAAACTGGGGGAACAACAGGAAACATGTCCATGCTATTTCAGAATTTTATTTATTAAGCTAGCTAGTGGGTACATGAATCTTCATCATCTTATTTCCTCTACCTTTTTTTATGTCTGAAATTGAGGAGAGAAGATTAAAATTGGTACATGGTTCTCATGTTAGAAATTGGCTTATAATATTAAGTTCTTAACTTAGCAAATCCCCAAACACCTTGAAAATGCTAAAGCCCTTGCCTTTCAGGCCTGAGATACATACTTCTTCAATTACTTCTACGAGTTTGCTCTTGAGATTTTCCAGCTCAATGGCTAAAATCTTCTTTTCCTCCTGAACAGATACAATTTGATCTCGAAGTTCTGCATTTTTAAAGAAAAAAAATATATAAATAAACTTATTTTTAAAATAAGAAATCAATCTGGTCAAAAGAATTGAAAATGCCAGTCCATGTGCAGCTTATGGTCAAGATTATTTAACAATTAAAAAGAAATGAAGAACCAAAGGACAATGAGAATCTCATTTGCGTGGCCCTCCCCAAAATAGCCATGGATATTAACAATTTTATATCAGGCAACCTCACTACATTAAATGTACCAGATCATGTTTTCTTTGCATTCTATCAAAACCACATTCTAGAAAACTATCTAGCATTTTGGAAGTAAAATTTTTTAAGTTTTCAGCAAAACAAATTAAGGTGTAGTACTAATTTCTTTTTTATTTCATAATGCCATGGGCTGTTATCACAATAAAATATAAACAATTGGGATGTTAATAATTTGGATATTTTGATTAGAAGTAAAAGATCCTGACTTGCTGCCAATTTATAGTCCTTAGACATTATTTGAACTGATTCAAAATATAACTATTTGAAAGAAGGGTTAATTCTAGTAATTTTCTCTCTAGAGTCATGGGTGTTTTGTTTTTAAATTTATTTCATAGTTTTATTATTAGGATTCAATGAAAAGTGTGTCACTAGAATGAGAGTATTATCAACTGTAAGCGCAAAAGCTTCTGGTGTTAAAGTTACTTCTGTCACTCAAATGTTTGAAAATACACATAGATTAGCACAGACTACTCAAATTCATATTCTGGCCTACTGTTTTGTCACTTAGGTTTTAACTGCCTTTAATTTCTTACTGTTTTCCAAGTGCAATAAAGAATATGTTATGTGGTTATTTGTAAATTAAATCAAACTTTTTACATAAACTCAGCTTGGAGAAGTTCTCAGAGACTTATTTCTGAATCACTTTCTCCATTTGCTGGCTAATCCAGAAAGAAGAACATGAAACCATATTGTTCAAGCTCGAACAGAAAGGAGAATAATGAGCAAAGGGAACTCCTTTAAACTTCCTCTCCCTCCCTACCAACATGAATTCTATTTTGTGTTAGCTTGAGGGGTTGAAGAGTAGGTAAAGATGGTGTCTGTAACATCCTTTCTTCTTTATACTTCCAGTTGAAATTTTATCTACCAAACAAATAAATGAATATTGCTTTTGACCTGTGTACTAAATTAAAATGTTCCAATAGTTACTGAGCCAGAACTGCTTTCCTACATCTTTAAATAAACATGTGTATGAGTAAAATGAATGTGCATTCAGTAGATGTATCATATGATCTTGCCTTACAACACTACTTGTTAACCAACAAAAAGGGGTGTCGCTAAATATATTTTTATTCATTGTTTCTTTCATTTAACAAAAATATCTTGACATATAGTACATATCCTTAAGGTTATAGTATAACTGGCTGCTTCCATTGAGACACTTTCAAAAGTGCTTAATTCCAAACAAGAAAGTAACTCATAAAGCACAATTGTTATATACCCTATGGTGATTTGGAGATATAAATAAATGATGTGGGAAGCTTTCAAAATACTGATGCCTAGGTCCTACCCCATCCAAAATTCTGATTTAATTGGCCTATGGTGTAGCAAAATTTTGGATAGGGTAGGACCCAGGCATCAGTTTTGTGTTTTGTTTTTTTTTTTTTTTTTTTTTTGAGACAGAGTCTCGCTCTGTCGCTCAGGCTGGAGTGCAACGGCGCAATCTCGGCTCACTGCAACCTCTGCCTCCTGGGTTCAAGTGATTCTCCCGCCTCAGCCTCCCAAGTAGCTGGGATTACAGGCACCTGCCACCACGCCCAGCTAATTTTTGTATTTTTTAGTAGAGACCGGGTTTCACCAGGTTGGCCAAGTTGGTCTCCAACTCCTGACCTCAGGTGATCCACCCGCCTTGGCCTCCCAAAGTGCTAGGATTACAGGCGTGAGCCACCACGCCCTGCCTAGGCATCAGTATTTTGAAAGCTTCCCACATGATTCTGATGTGCAGTCAGGGTTCAGAAGCACTATCATAACGGGGTAAAAAATATGCTCAATAATTAAGCAAAGAGTTCTACCTTTAATTTGCTTCTGACACTGTACTGAGACACAAGTCTCGGCGGCACCGTCTGTGTCTGTAGTCGAATCTTCATCATCAATGTTTATCTCTTCAGTTATTACATCTGGTCCCAGCTTGGCCATGTACAACATGCTGATTCTTTTCAACGTTTTATTTTCTTTATTTAGCTAAGACAAAATATAAAAACAGTTATTTTAAAAGCAGCCAAATGAGTATCTTGGATTTTTAAACAATAGACAAATTAAGTATATTTTTGTCTTACATATTCATCAACACTCACAGCAGGACATAACAATTAGTGGATTCATTAAATAAGGTTTTATATTAAATTTATTTCTTTAACCAAGATCTGATGTCTGGATTACAGCCAGCAGCAAGTGGAAATGCTAGTTGTAACTGATGAGAAATATAAGGAACTAAGATAAAACACCAGTACAGATTAAATAAAATTCTGATTTATAGTCATTAATAGTCTTAAAAAAGGCACTTTATTTCAAGCAAATCTTCTGCGTGCTGTGGTGCTGAGAACACCTTTTAAATGTCTGTTTGCCTAACATCTCTCTTTTCTGGACATTACCACTTTCCATTGTTCCACATGATTTCAATGGGAGTGCCATGCTCTCCCAAGCACACCCCATCCCTTTGGCCACAGCGAATTAGTCCAGGGATTAAACACATGACCCAAGTGTGACCAGTCAGATCCCCTCGCTAGAAATTTGGAGGCTGGAACAGAGCAATGAGTTTCTTTCCATGTGCCTGGACAGGAGCTGCTGGTAACCACATTCCACTATAGGATCAAGGAAAAGAGGAAGGTAGTTTTTAGAAAAGCTAAAACTGAAGCTGATGTGTAGAGAAAGGAAGAGAAAAGCAACAGAGAAAGGGTTTCCCACCAGACTCAAGCCCCAGACTCCAGTCCATTCCTAAACTGCTCCTGTCTCAGAGATTCTATGGAAGTCTCTGATATTTCTAACAGATCCCACATCATTTTCTTTTCTTGTTTAAACTAGTTCAAGATGTTGTTTCTACTATCTCTATTAAAAGAGTTCTACTTCACAGCAAAAAAAAAAAAAAAAAAAAGGAATCCTACTTTGTTAATGTATTTTTTATTCCCGGACAGGGAAATGAGTTGGTTTTTTAACTTCAGTTATTCAACTATTATCACCTTCTTTAGCTAATGTGTTTATGTACAAGAAAATTTAGGACAAAGCACACACAAAGACTAAGGATGTTCCAATGTCCACAGAAGTACAATATGGTTTTGCTCATATTTTCTCTTCCCAAGACTAAAAAATAAACAGTTTTCCTTAATTTGCGCACATCAAAGTAATCAGTAGATTATTTTCCCTACTATAAAATGTAAGTTATAGAAATGCAAATACATTTCCTTTACTAGAGCCCTTGACCAGGAAGACATGCTCTGAATTTAATAATTGATATTGGAAACAAATGAACATAGTTCATTGGAAAGATAACTACCTTTCCTCACTGTAAACCTGACACTAGAATAAGATATTTAGCATAGCACTGGTCTGACTTTGCTCTTTCATTTGTGATCATAATTAGGGTTCCTCAGGGTTTCTCATAGAGAAAGCCCAGCCCACTTTAATCTGGGAGATCTGATTTCTACCCCAATAATA
Source organism: Homo sapiens (assembly GCF_000001405.40). Lineage (NCBI taxonomy): Eukaryota > Metazoa > Chordata > Mammalia > Primates > Hominidae > Homo > Homo sapiens. The sequence goes on from NC_000010.11 coordinate 116,955,681, forward strand.
TGGAACCTAAAGTGGCATGGTCTGGAGCACGAGAGGTTTGTCTGACCTCTTTGGAGAATCAGGAAGAATCTCTAAGAAATGGTTATGAACTCTTCCATGGATTCTTCCTGGAAGACTGGCAAGCTCTATTCAGGAAATCAGACACAACCCTTTATCCTCAGTCCCAGTCTCCAACTCTAGCTTCTGTCTGCACACATTACATTAGGAGATCAAGATAAAAGATGAGGCCCATCATTTCCCAACACCTCTTCCTTAAGTTGGAAAATTCAGATAAAAACTGTTGTGGGTTCTTTAAACCATGAATGCTACAGCATGGCACACGAAGCTCAAGGACCCTCACTTGTCAATTCTCAAACTATCCCATCTTTTAGGAATGTCAGAAGAAAACATCAATTTAAGGAAAAAGTGAAGACATTTAAGACTTAATTTCTGGTTCTGTATCCTAATATTTAAACTAATGGTTCTCAACTCTGGCCATCAGAATCTCTGGAGAGCTTTTTAAAAACCTCAATGCTTAGGCGCTATGCCATACCCAAATCTCTGGCAGTGAAGCCCAGCATAGCCCTTTTTCAGTTTCCCAGGTGATTCTAATGTACATCAACACTAAGAATCATTGATGTAAAGAAACGCATTGCTTTAGTATACAACCCAGCTCTGCAATAAAATTCCATCTCTGCCTCTACAACTAACCTAATCCTTATGTTTCAGTTTTCTCATCAGTAAACTAAGAATTAAGATAGTCTGTATCCCACAATATGATGACTAAATGAGACATTATATATAAAGTATTTAATATAGTAACTGCCACACAGTAAAACTTCAGTGTTAGTTATTCATAGTAAGAAGAGGTTTAGTTTGTGTCTAATTATCCTTTGGAAATCATTTATCAGCTAGTTTTCTTCAAAGTATTCATTTAGGCATTTTCTCCTTCCTCCAGGATACTCAAGAAACTACTAGTTTCTGTCATCTAGTGCTTAATATATTACTTCTTAGACAACCACTACAATAATACCTTAGCAACATCATAGCTAACAGTTCTGCCCTCAAAAGGGTTTAATGCCCCTATCAAACCAGGCACCAAAATCCACCAGTTTGTCTGCAATACAATTACTCTACTTAACAAAGTCACCAGCTCAAGAAAAAAAAGCCAATCAGAAAATTTCATAATCCTTCTCTGAAACCCCATTTTCGCATTTTGAAAGAAGAAATGTAAGATTTATATATATGAGGGTTTTTTTTGTTTTGTTTTTTTGGAGATGGGTTCTTGCTCTGTCACCCAGGTTAGAGTGCAGTGGTATGATCATAGCTCACCACAGCCTCAAAGTCTCAAACTCCTGAGCTCAAGTGACCCTCCCACCTTGTCCTTCCAAAGCACTGGGATTACAGGAGTGAGCCACCACACCCGGCCTAGACATGAGGTCTTATGTGCATACTATTTGAACATTTTTGAGAATTCTGAATTCACAAATTTTGGCTAAGTAATTTCATTGTAGCTATTCATCAAGCTATAGGTTAATTGCATGCTACTTGTTGTTTGGAACCCCTCTATGTCTAAGGCAAAAATATATCTTTTTACTTTTTTTTTTTTTTTTTTGAGATGGAGTCTCTCTGTCACCAGGTTGGAGTAGAGCTGCGTGATTTCAGCTCACTGCAACCTCTGACTCCCTGGTTCAAGCGATTCTCCTGCCTCAGCCTCCCGAGTAACTGCGATTACAGGCACACACCACCACGCCCAGCTAAGCTTTGCATTTTTAGTAGAGACGGGGTTTCACCATGTTTGCCAGGATGGTCTCAATCTCCTGACCTCAGGTGATCTGCCCACCTCAGCCTCCCAAAGTGCTGGGATTACAGGCGTGAGCCACCGTGCCCAGCCAAAAATATATCTTTTATAACCCTACAGTAACAGAACCTACTATTATATTCAAATGTAAATAGGGTTTTTATATTGTCCAGTTTAGTGGCTATTTAAAGGTACAAAACAAGCAAGTTTAATGGCTTTGGATCATATGACTTAAATAACTGGTCCACATTTATCAGTTTAATCTACACATTTTAGCAAAGCAAAGTATCCATACTTGCTTCTAAGAAAATATGAGGAACTGGGCGCAGTGGCTCACGCCTGTAATCCCAGCACTTTGGGAGGCTAAGGCGGGCAGGTCACCTGAGGTCAGGAGTTTGAGACCAGCCTGGTCAACACAGTGAAACACTGTCTCTACTAAAAACACAGAAATTAACTGGGTGTGGTGGCACATGCCTGTAATCCCAGCTACTCGGGAGACTGAGGCAGGAGAATTGCTTGAATCTGGGAGGTGGAGGTTGCAGTGAGCCAAGATGGCATCACGGCACTCCAGCCTGGACAACAGAGCAGGACTCCATTTCAAAAAGAAAAAAAAGAAAATTACGAGGTCAAGCTGCATCATCAGAATTAAACATTCCATTTGTCATTAATTTGATGGCAAAAATTTAGAAAAATAAGAATTTATAGAAACTTTGCTCTCAGGAAAAAAAATGAGCATTTTTGAAAGCCTCCTTTCAAAAATGACAATTGATACTTAAATCAGAATGAAGTCACACATATAATGAAGTTTCCACATTTTGCATTCAAAGCAGTCTTTCACAACAAACAAGCACATTTATAGTATTTGATTTAATCCATTTTTTAAATTTTTTTCTAGGCCCCATGAGTTCATACTATATCTTCAAAAATAAACTATATGTTCATTTTAAAAAAGGGTTTTTAAAGAACAGGCAACAAACAGTGTTAGGTAAGGATCCTATTATTAAGACTTAATTGTAAAAATGAGCTTAGAGATTAGGTAACACTGGTTCGTAACGAGCAATGAATATAACAGTCACCAGGCAGCTTTTCTACATGCACATGCCTGGGCCACACATCTAGAGCCAATGGATCTGGGGTATTATGATGAAGCCAACCATGGTCCATCCTGGCATTTAGAGCAAGACAACTGTAGCTCAGAGAGGTGAGTTCTCTTGCCCAAAAACACCTATTAAATAAAAGGGGAGACAGAATAAAGTAATTTTTTAAAAGGGGCCATATGCAAATAAATTATTAACTCCAGTCCTAACTCTAGTCCATCATGTCATTTAAGATGAGATACTACACTCCAGAGAACAAAATTAACTTGTCCAAAATCACATATGCCCAAAATTACATAACCAGGAACAAAACCTGTATATACTGTCCCACAAACCAGTGCCTTCCATAAACTCTGCCAATCCTGAAAGGTAGCCAGTATCCTCACTCTGGATGTGCTATGACAACAGGAATACTTGTTAATAACAAGAAAAAATAGAGAGTATATCCTTAGACACTAGAAGATTCAGAGCAGCTAGCAGGCTCCAAATGTACTTTTTCTCTACTTATTCCAAAGAAAGAAATTCAAAAATGAAAATAGAATTCACACAACATTACGGACTAGTGAACTCTAGGAATGTGCCGCAGAGTAAAAATGATGTGAGAATACCCATGTTATCATTTTTTAAAAAGTGTTTTTAAAGTGTATTGCTGTGTATTCTTCAGATGAATAACAGGAGAGAAGTTACATACCCAAATTTATATTCTTAGTTAGGTCCTGATTAAATATCTTATGAATTCTAATGTAGTGTTGTTATGCAAACAATTAAGCAAATACCTCTAGGAAGCACACTGTTAATGCATACAAATTACATTTATTTATGTATTTATTGAGAGTAGGATTTCAGTCACATCCAAAGAAATTTTCGGAGGTGGGTGATGGAGGGGAGGGAAAAGAAACACAACCAGTATTACTAATGAAATTTGGTTGAAAATTGCTGTAATCCACTTTCTGATGAAGTGGTTCAGATGCATTTTACCCAACCCAAAATACATAAGACAGAGATAAAAAAAACATTCTTTAATAATAATGTACTTCTGATGAGATAGAATGTAGAAAATTACACACTTGGTAAATTCATCAGCAAGAGGCAATCAGTGGAACACTGGAGGTCACCTTCAGCATGCCCTCGCTTTGCTTTCATAAATAATCACCTGAAATGCACGGCTTCAGGGTGACTTTTTCATCTGATTCAAATATGAGACATTCACTGCTCTTTTATGTCACACCAGGTTAGTTTTAAACTTGGTTAGCATTTTAACCAAATGCATGGACATTTGCAAAGTCCCCTTTAACACTACTCTGGGACCATTTTTTCCACATTTTCACAGGCAAAAAGCACAAATGCTGAAATACTCACATACAAATGCTCCTTTTACAATTTGGAATAACCTTTGCATTAAGGTGAATATTTACATAATCATATTCCAGGATTCTGAGGCCTTTTAACATTTCCCTCATCATCAGAGTAGATAATCGATTAGAGAAGTAGAAAAGCAAAACCAGATAGAAGCCACTGCTTAGAAAAGCAAGTTGAAATTTAAAAGCTCAGGTAAAATTCCTTCATTTGAAGTCTCACCTTTGTTGCCAAAGCTTCAGCACTTTCTCGACAAGTCTTCTCTATTTCAAGATGGTTCTGCATGAAATTAACTTCCTCTATGACCATGTGAGAAACTAGGAATGAGGGGGAAAAAAAATCTCAGCATTCAAAGATTAGTCAGCTATTCCAGGAGCCCACGCATCGTCCCATGATTAAGAATACTTCAATTCTTTGGCTAGCCAGACCTTTAGCTATCACTGAAAAAAGGTTTTTGAGAAGCTGCCCTGATTAAATCTGAGCTAATATTTGAATGTAGAAAGAAACAAGAACACAACAAAATACATTCATTTCACATACATACATTTTATTATGTACATTTTAAGAGCGCTATTTAGATTTTTTTACAAGTCTATTTTCTATGCAACTATATATGTATCCATAGACATATGTGCTAGTTTAAACAAAAGAATATTTCATAAATAAAGAGGAGTGACAGCATGACTTCTTTTTCTCAGCAGTGTATAACACATGGCTCTAATAAGAAAAATTAACAAAAAATAAAAGAAAAATAAATCTTAAATTGATCTTATGACTGGAGTAGTGATGTGGCGACTTGGCTAAGTACTGCAACATTTGTCTCTATTAGCTACAAAGTAGTTACTGCTATTTCATAAGTAACTCTCAGGCAGAAAAGTATAGCAGTAAGATTTATGTACTATATGGTTATAAAGCAGATGCTAATAAATTACTTCCTGAATCATAGGCTATCAGAAGCATTAGAAGAAAAATAAAATTTTACTTGATATGTCACCAATGCTCGAAAAATTGTATTTTTTAGATTTTTTGACAGCTGGTGCATGTAAATTGAGATTTACAGGTATAAAGTGATTTAGAACTTGAGTTATATTTTGAAGATCAAGAAAGAAAAATGCCAATTCCTTCCACCCATATTTCTAGTTAAATGAAAACTCTCAGAATCTCAACCCTAAATGTAGACATTACTTATTGCTATTTGTTTGGCTTAAAAAAAAAAAAATTAAAGGACACCCAAATGTGAAACCCAACAAAGTTAGGCAAAAAGCACTGGGCTCACATAACACAAAGAGAGATTACTTTTGCTTCATTTAAGCTTAATTAACCTGCAATTATGATTAAACTCAGGGGAAAAAATTTCTCTCCAAATTAAATACAAAAATGTATTACTTCCTAAGTCTGTCCAAAGTTCTTATTATGTTAATATTCAAATTCATAAAGCAGCACTAAATGGCCAGAAACATCTCTAACCTTGACATTTTTTCAGGGGTAATAATAATCTGCAGCAAATGCAGGCCAACCAAAAACCACTTAACTAATTAGTAGTTGCAGTCACCGAGAAAAACATGAATCAACACTGTTATTACAAGTGGCACATTTGAGTGGCATCTAATTATGACTTGATGAGCACGATACTTGCATTATCAACATTACTACTGCATCCCATCAGGGCCTAAAAGCTGCTGATGGCATTGACTTCGAGAAACTCCCACTCAATGGTACAGCAGCACCCAACAATCGGCTTGGCAGGGGCCCCCCTCACTAAATGACACGTTAAGCGTAATTACTGGTAGACATTGTAAATAAACAGGATTGGAAGTGAAAATTGTACCAAGTGCATAAGACACAATCTGACACATTGGAAGTGGCAGCCTTAATTGAGAGTTTCTTTGACTGCTCAAGATCATTTCAACTGCATTTCTCAGAGGACAGTGATTATAACTGTGGAGACAGACGGCATAATGGTATCAGCACTGCTGACAGAGCAGTGAATTAAATTGTATCTGCTGTTGTGTGAAAGCCTTGATGAGAGGTACAGATGCCTTAGTGGTCTTATCATTATAACACAATGGTCATGTTGTCATCAACCTTTCTGGCTCCAATTGAAAAGAAATGATTGTGTGTTGAAGCTCCCCCCCCCTTCCACATCACCCCCCTTCTTCTCTTCTATCTCTTGTTCTGAATAGAACCAATTTTCAGAGAGCTATGAAATCACGCAATAGGTCCTAAAATGCAGCTGCTTGGCATACAAACGGGTCCCCATTAAACTGGAATCACACACAATATGTGTTTATGCCAGAAGAACAAATAGAAGCTGAACACAGGCCAAGTTTATTCACACACACAAAGCCCATGTAGCTCTTCATCAATATAATTGCCTTTTATATTGTAGTTTAAATAATAGGCTCTATTATTTCCTTAAAATCCTAATATTCCTGGCATTTTATCACTATGTTTACAAGGTAGGTTCTTCAAAAATGTGAAGGAAAGAGAAAAGAAACCTATACAATTTTTACAACATCAAATATTACTTTGAATTTTTAGCCTTAACTACTTGACATCTTCTGCCACAATCTGGTATTTCCACTATCATAACAAAAACATAAACACTCTGCATTTTTCATAGGAATCTTACTTTTTATTCAATAACATTCTTGCTCTTGAAAGAGTAAGAAAATTCATTCCACAGTAGTGAGGTTTAGGCCTAGCAAATAGGAAACAAAACAAAACAAAAAAAACATTTATTTTCTGAACATTTTGTAAAAAGGTGCCCTGTGATTCAACTTGATAAACATAGCTGGGTAGTCCTTGCTCACATTTTCTCCAGTTCTGATTTGGTACACTCCATCTGGTGGGGTTTTTATTTCTTCTCAAAGAGAGAACAGTAGACATTTTTTTAAATTGCGCATTAATTTTTAGTTTAAGAAATTATTCCAGTGCTAAACTGGTAGCATAACAACCTACTTACCAATGTTCTAGGTTCATATGGGAAGAGTATATTTCAAAGGGTGATTATATCTTTAAAAAGCATGACCCCATTTCCAAAACCAAAAGTCAAGTCACATGACGCAAAACAGAAATACTTTTAATATGTAAATTTATTTGCACATTTTGAATAATAAAAGTTTTTTTTTTTTTTTTTTTTTTTTTTTTTTTTTTTTTTTTTTTTTTTTTTTTTTGAGACGGAGTCTCGCTCTGTGGCCCAGGCTGGAGTGCAGTGGCGCAATCTCGGCTCACTGCAAGCTCCGCCTCCCGGGTTCACGCCATTCTCCTGCCTCAGCCTCCCGAGTAGCTGGGACTACAGGCGCCCGCCATCACGCCCGGCTAATTTTTTTGTATTTTTAGTAGAGACGGGGTTTCACCGTGTTAGCCAGGATGGTCTCGATCTCCTGACCTCGTGATCCGCCCGCCTCGGCCTCCCAAAGTGCTGGGATTACAAGCGTGAGCCACCGCGCCCGGCCATAATAAAAGTTTTTTAAACGTTTAGCTATTCATGTAATAATTTGCCCTATGGTTCTGAATTGGGCTTGTCTCAGGATATCCACAATCCATGGCCACTGTACTTGTCATATTTGCATATTTGGATGACATGAGGTTTAAAAAAGAAAAAAGATGAACTTTTAATAAAGTGTCCGTAATACTGCAGTTATGTTAAAAAGAAAAGACTACTAATCTTTTAGAAATATATACTGAAATATTTCCAGGCAGTAAACAGTAAAATGATATGATGACTGGAATTAGTTCCAAAGCAATCTGAGGTCAGTGACAGTGGGTGTATGGGTGTACAGTTGGAAGACTGGCTGTGAGTTGGCAACTGTTGCAGCCAGAAAACTGGAACATGGGGATTCGTTAAATTATTTTCCCGCCTTTGCATCACTTTGAAATTTTTCATAGTAAAAAAATTTTAATGACCCTGAGAACATAGAAGTATAACATAAAAGTACATCAAGTATTGTTTCTATTAGTCTACTTGAATTAGCGAAGTTTGTCTCTCTTCAACTATGACTTCAAAGCAGTCTTACATAAATGGCAGTGTAGTACACATCACATTGTAGGGTAACTGTTTTTTTTTTTTTTTACTTGTTTTTATCTTCTACTCACTATGAACATTAGAGCAGGGATTTTGTTTTACATGTCTGATTCTCTTGCACCTAGCACAATGCTACATGCAAAGCAGGTGCTCGTGTTAGTGTCTATTTGAAGGACTGAAGGCCTAAGCTCGCCTGTGAACAGCCTTTTATGAGAATGTTCTCTGTAGTATAGAATTGCTTAGGAAACAACTACCATCGCCATTTGTTGAGCCTGACTATGTGTCCAGCCTTGTGCTAAACTCTTTACATGTGTTCCCTCCTTCACAAAGCCTCACAACAATCCTATAACGTAGGGATCATCACAGCAATTTTATATTTGAGAACACGGAGGCCCAGAGAAGTTAAATAACATATTCCAAATCACAGAGTTCTAACTGGTAAAACCCAGTTAAAACCATTTCTAGGTGACTCTACTTTTCTATAGTCCTTTCTAATTCATTATACAAGGTGTCACCACCAATGATGTTGCTTCTAGAGCAAATCTCTCCCAACTCTAACTCCCAGCGATATTTAGATGTAGAATATCTCTAAAGCATATGTGGTGAACATATCACAAATTCTTCTTCAACATCACACTACTTCAAAAGTTTTCCATGTGGTAAGGAAAGAGCCATGAAAGTTGGCATATATGTAGGAAAATCGGTGTGTCCTTAAAACAGATTAATGGATCTAATATTGTGGCTGAAAAGACATGAAAGGGGCTGGGCGCGGTGGCTCATGCCTGTAATCCCAGCACTTTGGGAGGCCAAGGCAGGCAGATCACCTGAGGTCAGGAGTTCGAGACCAGCCCGGCCAACATGGTGAAACCCTGTCTATACTAAAAATACAAAGTTAGCTGCCTGTAATCCCAGCTACTTGGGAGGCTGAGGCAGGAGAATCACTTGAACCCAGGAGGCGGAGGTTGCAGTGGGCCAAGAACACGCCACTGTACTCCAGCCTGGGCAAAAAGAGCAAAACTCCATCTCAAAAATAAATAAATAAATAAATAAAAAGATATGAAAGGTCTTTAGTTACCTTTCACAGGAATCCGGTCTAGGGAATGCAGCTTTGCTATGTAGTGGTGTTCTTTGTGTGTAGGAGGAAGGCTCAGAGAGAGCTGGCGAGGATCAAAAATGACATGGACATATGGATAAAAACATTTATCCTGGGAAAAGTATGCTAAGCTAGGGAGAGTAGAGCCCTATGGCCAAACAAAGCTTTTCCTAACCCTTAGTCAGCTGTTCCGTAGGCCTAGGCCGGGTGTGGTGGCTCACGCCTGTAATCGCAGCACTTTGAGAGGCTGAGGCAAGAGGATCACTTGAGGTCAAGAGTTCAAGACCAATCTGGCCAACATGGTGAAACCCCATCTCTACTAAAAATACAAAAAATAGCCAGGCATGAGGGCACACACCTGTAATCCAAGCTACTTGGGAGAGTGAGGCACAAGAATTGCTTGAATCCAGGAGGCGGAGGTCGCAGCGAGCAGAGATCACGCCACTGCACTGCAGTCTGGGCAACAGAATGAGACTCCGTCTCAAAAAAAGATGTAGGCCTAGTAGGTTAACGTTACAGGGATTTCAGATTTCAACTCAGCACCAAAAGAAACTTCCTCCATCACTATCCAAATGTGGAGTCTGGTGTCAAAGAACTAACTCCCTAAAGGTAAATGATATGAACTCTTAATACTGAAGGGCAATCAGGCATTGGATATTTTAGTTGATGAGATGGTGGTAGTAGCAACTAATATTTATTGAGCACTTACTATATGCCAGGTACAGTGTTAAGCATTTTTTATACAGATTATCTTTTTTCACCCTCAAATGGTATATGAAGCAAGGTCATTTATACCAATTTTATTAACGCAGAAATGGATTCACACAAACTAATGCTCTTCACTGGTGATAAAAATACTGCCTATTCCCTTCCAAATCTGAAATTCTACCCTCTGCTCAAAAGCCATGAATTATTTATCCCAGATACAGTTTTCTGACAAATATTTAAAGTTTTCTTAGTCCTTATTTTTTTTGTTTTTTTGGGGTTTTTTTGAGACGGAGTCTCACCCTGTCGCCAGTCTGGAGTGCAGTGGCAAGATCTTGGCTTACTGCAACCTCCGCCTCCCTGGTTCAAGTGATTCTCCTGCCTCAATAGTCCAAAATAGCTAGGACTACAGGTGCCCGCCACCACGCCTGGCTAATTTTTTGTATTTTTACTAGAGACGGGGTTTCACCGTGTTAGCCAGGATGGTCTTGATCTCCCTGACCTCATGATCCACCCGCCTCGGCCTCCCAAAGTGCTGCGATTACAGGCGTGAGCCACTGCGCCTGGCCAAGTCCTTGTTTTCTCTCCTTTTGAGACTGAGTAAAGAGTTGGCACTCTGTTGTTCTGTGAGTTACCAAGAGAGTAAGAAAAAAAGAATTAGTACTCTGTTTTCCTAACATCCAAACCTTAAATTAATTAAAGACACTTAGTAAAGGTAAAAACTAAATGCATACAACCATACAGATTGTTGTACTAATCTTCCAATCAATCCTCTCAGGCTTTGAGTTGCTCATAAGGAAAAATGTAAATTTTTAAAACTATCAAAGTTATTCAGAGGAAGAGACAAAGAAAGGGAAAAGAGAAATGGCAGATGAAAGCAGAATTTAAATGTTACTTCGAAGGTTGATTTTGGGGGAATGTTGCTTCTGGTTTTGCATAATGCAGGAGGCAAAGTCCCTACTGCCTACCTAGACCAAAATATTTTATAAACCCTAGACCAAATATTTTATAAGCCCAACCATAAGGAACTTGAACTATTCCCACTGCACACCAATCCATTATCAATAATTCAAGCATATTAACCGGTAACAATGCCAATGGTATAACTCTAAGAATAAGTACATTCCATAAGTAAAAAAGTACCATATAATTGGAATTCATACATTTGCAAATAAGAGGTATTTCTAGCATAGCACATTGGCCTCCAAAGACAGGTAATATCAATAAGATTCCCCTTGGATGTTCTCTGTTACAACCAGACACTGAAGTAAACTTGCTGTTGAAATTTAACCATAATGCTGCATTTGTATGGCTGTTTTAACTAGAATAAAATGTTCTGTTGTGTAGTTACCAAATCAACTCTTTATAAATAATCAAATACCCTGACTGACAGAACATCTGCAGAATGATGGAGAAAGGCCTTGTTTCCAAGGGAGGGGGTCACTTTCCCTGCTACGGTCTGACCCTTTGCCTATGACATATTTCCATCTGGTCCCTCTGGGTCTGATCAGCTATGCTGTCTTAGGGGATAAATAACAGATTTACATTACATAAAAAAAATAGCAAAAATTTGGAAAGTACAGCTTTTGTGGGAATGTAACTTTCTTCAGTGAGAGGGCTATTTCAAACATTCACACTCTTAAAAATGTTTAAGTTCTATGAAGCTATCATTCCTTTTCTCTATTTTTGAACCACTTTATTAAGGTATAAGTGACATGTAAAAAGCCATACATATTTCATGCATACAACATGATGAGTTTGGGGGATTATTATACACCTGTGAAACCATCACCACCATCAAGGCTGCAGACATATCCATTGCCTCCCAAAGTTTCCTTCTGCCCTCTTTATTTACTTATTTTCTTTTGTAGTAACATCACGTAACGTAAGATCTACCCTCTTAGTAAATTTTAAGTATACAACACAGTATTATTAGCTATAGGCACAATGCTCTATAGTGGATCTCCAGTGTAATTCCTTTTATATGAATTAACCTCAGGAACTATTTAGATTACTGTAAAGATGTAAGTGTCAGAATACCTGCCATCGCATTATTTATAATAGCTAAAAACCAGGAATAATCTGTCAATGAAAGAATAATTAAATACATTATGGTACTATCCTATAATGGAATACTATGGACAACATTAAAACTGATGTACAGGCTGGGCGCAGTGGCTCCCGCCTGTAATTCCAGCACTTCGGGAGGCCAAGGCAGGAGGATCACGAGGTCAAGAGACCAGGACCATCCTGGCCAATATGGTGAAACCCCGTCTCTACTAAAAATACAAAAATTAGCTGGGCATGGTGGTGTGCGCTTGTAGTTCCAGCTACTTGGGAGGCTAAGGCAAGAGAATTGCTTAAACCCAGGAGGTGGAGGTTGCAGTAAGCCAAGATCTTGCTACTGCACTCCAGCCTAGTGACAGAGCGAGACTCCATCTCAAAAAAACAAACAAACACAAAAACAAAAAACTGATGTACATCTGTACTGACATGCAAATATGACCAGGAGTACTGTTTACTGAAAAAAGCAGACTGCAAAACTGAATTTAAAACACGATTACATTTTTTACTACACAAATAAAAGACCAACAAGGACAGATTATAAAGTACTAGCACTGGCCTTTTTCAAGGAGCCAACAAGGCATTTTTGTTCTCCTTTAACTTTTCTGTATAGTTAAACTGTTTTATAACAAGTATAGGTTTTTCTAACACCCTTGATGAAACAATGATGTTTATTCCAGTTCTTTAAAGCTTAAAGTGATGCCTGGGCATGTTTGGACAAATAGAAAGAAGTCTTGCTTTCTTGATTGTATGACCAGGACATTAGCAACTCAATAGGGTATAAGTCTACTCACATAATCCCCAATAGGCTATATGTGTTATAATAATTCCACTGAAATGCTTACGTACTTTTCTGAAATTCTTCCAGTTTTTTAACGGCTTCATCTCGTTCTTGCCTAATTTTGTCACACTGAAATGAGAGAAGTAAACAAATGTTAAACTTCAATCATAAATTTTAAGTTTGAAAAGGCAAGCAAGAGCAAACTTATAAACAACAGCAATTTTCTGAAAACAAAACAAAATTTAAAACCTTTGAAAAGCATCAATGGTCATATATGAACTTGCACTGCTCAGCCAGCATGGTGTTTGTGCCATTTGTATCTGGCCAATTTTCTCAGACCTTCTAAGATATAAGTCACCTTCCTGCTCATTATCTCCTCAGTAATAGCCCGATTTAACATCCTTGAGTTAAAATATATTCATTCTTTAAGAGAATGTTTGTACCTATTTTTATGTTTGGCTAATGCTGTACATAGTCACTCATGTACATGTCTGATTCCAAACAGCTTCAACTACCCAGAACATTGGTGCATACCTGGGAGGTAATGGAAAGACTACCGCAGGCCAGGCGTGGTGGCTCACGCCTGTAATCCCAGCACTCTGGGAGGCCGAGGCAGGCAGATCACGAGGTCAGGAGTACAAGACCAGCCTTGCCAGAGACCAGCTTGGCCAACATGGTGAAACACCATCTCTACTAAAAATACAAAAATTAGCCAGGCGTGGTGGTGCGCACCTGTAATCCCAGCTACTCGGGAGGCTGAGGCAGGAGAATTGCTTCAACCTGGGAGGTGGAAGTTGCACTGAGCCGAGATCACACCATTGCACTCCAGCATGGGCGACAGAGTGAGACTCTGACTCAAAAAAAAGACTACTGCATGAGGGCAAAAGGCAGCCACATGGCACACACTCTCACCCAAGAAAAAGTGATCCATGTGTCCTCAGAATTCGGAATAGAGGAAGGTACCAAATTAAAAGAAGAGAAGATAAAATATTCCATACTAAGCACATATCATTTATATAAACCGATTTTTAATTTAAAAAGGTGGGAGAACTCACTGAAAAGACTTTGGGAGGCAAGACCATAAAAGGCAAAAATAACTATTAGAGCATAAGGACCTTTTAGGGTATCTGGTATAGAAACAAGTATCTCCTGTATTGATAGGCCCTGGAGGCATTAATGAATTTTTTTAAAAAACCTAATGTTTATTATTATAAGGACTGAATTCAGTATATCTTGAATTTCATAAAACAGGGATATATAACAAGATATTCACCACAAGTAGCTAAAACATTAAAAAGTAATTTCTAGCTATTAGAGTAGTAATTTTAAATGTATTATCTTGGGAATACCTTATTCCCTAAGAGTGCCATATGAATAAAGCACAATTTTAAATTATATTTGATTGCTAACCTGCCATATAAATATATAGGAATTTCATCCCTTTGGATGTTCTTAATTCCGATTTTCAATAGCTAAAAAATTATGATGTCACATAATGTGAAAAATCCAGATAAAAACAATGAGATAGTCTCACCTATCGGACTGGCAAAAACTGAAAAAATCTGATACCAGGAGACAGGAAATCTCATAGACCACTGATGGATGTGTCAATTGGTATAATTACTTTGGAAAAAAACTTCTATCAAAATTGAATACATACTTCCCTATGACTCAGCAATTCTACTTCTAGGTGTATATACCCAGAGAATCTCTAGTAATGTATAACATATACAAAAATGTTCCACATTTTTAATAATAGTACATCATGGTATGTTCATACACTATACTACAGAGCAGTGAAAATGAATAAAGCCGTATGTATCAACATAAACGTTAAAAACCATCATGTTGGCCGGGCACGGTGGCTCAAGTCGGTAATCCCAGCACTTTGGGAAGCCAAGGCAGGCGGATCATGAGGTCAAGAGATCGAGACCATCCTTGCCAACATGGTGAAACCCCATCTCTACTAAAAATACAAAAGTTAGCTGGGCGTGGTGGCACACGCCTGTACTCCCAGCTACTTGGGAGGCTGAGGCAGGAGAACTGCTTGAACCCATGAGGCGGAGGTTGCAGTGAGCCAAGATCATGCCACTGCACTCCAGCCTGGTGACAGAGAGAGACTTACTCTCAAAAAAAAAAAAAAACAAACCATCATGTTAAATGAGTTGCAGAAGATATATCAGATATATCAAATAATATCTTACATACACAAATGCATCTCATATATTTATATATGCTTTATGATACATCTAATATATATAAATATGAAATAAAAAGAAATATACAACATTTATAACAGTAGTTGTCTCTTAGGAAACAGGGAGGGGAATGGGACTAGAAATGGTGAGAACTTTCAGTTGTATTTGCTGCATTCCTTATTTTTGAATTTCAAGAGAAATAACAGTTCTGTGCAATGGGTATTTGTTATACTATTCTCTGCCCTTTCCTGTCCTTTCAAAATATTTTAAAAATAAGTAAGAAGCTTGCAGTTCAGTTTTCCCCTTTAGTCACTAAAGAACCACTGAAATGTCATACTGTACCTGCTCATATGGGTAAATGTATTCTGGCAAGAGAACATGAAACAAGTACACAGTGTTAAATTAGCAAATCTGGTTACTAAATCCTGACTCAGGATCCCCCACCCAGTCAAAATGAGTTAGGCTGGACCTAACTTATTTACCAAAGGAGAAGGCATTTCTTTGATTAAGGTTTCCCGTGGCAATCCCATCCTCTGTAAAAAATAATAATAATTCTGTCTAATATAGTCTGTAGTTTCAGCTTAAACAAACAACATTTATGATTTTTTGGTGTTTAAAATTCGAAATAGTAGAGTTCTAAATTCGCATATAGGCTTTTCTTAGCTCCTTCCTCAACCCAAACGGACTACATTAGACATCATAACCCTTAATGATAGGAGACTTCTGGCTAGCGGTTTCAGGAATGTTCCTCTCATTTTCTAGAATGGGCTTCTGTTTGGTCTGGATTTCCCCACCACCCCTACCAGTCTGTCTACCTTCCTCCAATAATGCACAGTGTAGCATAAGGCACAAAAAGAAACCTAGTTTCCGACTAGGCTCAAACTCCTGAGTCATGATTGCCAAGTGAAATATATCTGGTGCTTTACTTTCAAATTAATTTAATGTTTCTTAATCTGGCATTTCTGAAAAATGTGAGATGTCTTGTAAAAAACTGTCTTCATTTAAGAGCTGGCACTTGGGAGTGTTGCTCCTGACTTAATGTCACTTGGTTCCCTCTATGTAGCTCTCGAAGCTCTACCTAAAGGAATTAGAGGTTTATTCAATTCTCGCTTCAGTCAAATAGCCAGAGTTTTTAGTGAGACTTTGGATGGCAAAAGCATTAAACAGGAATGGTGCTCTATCTAGTCAGATCTGAAAAAGGCCACCAGTTGACATCATACACAATCACTAATGTGATGCATGACAATTTTAGGTAGGCTTGTACTAGTTGCCCAGAAGAAAAACGTCAGGTCCACGCTCTCTGCTATTAAGGCCCAGGTAGACAAGCTCAGATTAGTAACAGGTCTCAACATCAGTTTTATTCCAACATGCAGGTAGCCCATTTCTATAGTCCAGCTATATGGGTTCACACTAATCCTATGGTTATCATCAGCAGATTCACAAGCTGTCTCCCATCCCCAGCTGTGTTCTATCAGGGGTCTTCATGTTGCTTTGCTTTCTATTTTCTGCAACCACATTATGCTAGAACTGGCAGCCACAGAATTTACCATCTGTTATGCTGAAAGGGGTGTGAGTTGGGGGTGGGGAGAGTCTACACATGCTGCAAATGCAGCTTACTTATTCTGAACCAGAACTGAGCAAAATATGGAGGATGTACGCATTTACTAAAAGCAGAAATCCAAACACCCACTTATTTCATCTTTTTAGGTGAACCCAGAAAAGAATCTTGCAAACTTTCTCTCATTCTATCAACAGAGGGAAGTCAGCCAGGATAACGGGCCTTTTTGGAAGAATGTTTCATCTTTCCACCACACAGAAGCCCCTCACCCATCCCACCCCTTCCTCTACCCTGCTCACGCAGCTGCACCATTTGTAAAAACTGCTTCTTTTTGTGTGAGAATTGCTCATGAAGACTTTGCAATAGCAACAGATGTTCTTGGGCCTACATCACTTAATTATGATGCCCAACGATTCTCTGTAGCTCAAGGCTGAGGTAGAACCCAGTGGCACAACTGCTGGCTCATGTAAGCAAGCTGGATAACATTACATCGACTCTAGAGTCTCTATTTGGCTCTTTATGAAGGGATGAATTGACCGGAGGTTGGCCTTGCTGGTTTTGAAAGCCCTTAATATTAGAAGCCCTGGCTATTTTCCATATCTCTTCCTTGAGCCTCATCCAGGCAGATACCTGGCTTCTGAAACTAAACCAGGATTTCTGAGCATTGGCAGACTGATTTGTAGAGAAACAGCCTTTCCAGTGTGAATTAGTATCTTCCTTGCACCACCCACTCCCTAAAATGGGCAGCTCAGTTATTCATCCCTCTCTCACGTATTCATCCAACTACCATCAACATCAAAATGTCTGCTTCAAAGGGCTCAGCAGAAGTACAGATAACTGATACAGATACCAAGAAATCTTTATATTCTGTTGTACGTATACGTTATGCAAGAAAAACCTCAACATTCTAAATTGTATCTAACTTCCACTAATATAAATATTCATGCTTGTCTTCCTGGTGCACAAATGCATCAGAGGGTTGCTAGCCTATAGATAGGGCAGTTCAGGGCCCAAGAAGTGCATATATGCACTGCATATGCACAATACCAAGACAGGGAACAATCTATACATACGCAAGTACATTACAGTTGACTGAATCAGACTTTTAAGCAAGTATCTACTATAATCATTGAATGTCATTATTTCCTCCTCTGAGAACTGAACAAATTTATACAGGGCCCACACAGCCCAGCCACTATGTTAAACACTGGGCACAATACATGAACACAATAGACAATGTGTTCTCACAAAAACTTATGATCTACCACAAAAGATCAACAAATGAAGTAAGCAATTCATAAGGACACCCGATATAATGTGAGAAATACTGCCAAACCAGAACTGAACAAAACATGTACCCATTTCCTAAGGAACGTACAGCAGAGCCTACAACGCCACTAAGTCTGAAGAAGTTTAATGCTACACCATTTTTCTTGAAGTTCATTAATGTCCAGTTACAACAGTTAAAGATTTAAACATGCCCAGCATCAGAATTGTGTGTACTTTACCTGTTTACCTGTTTAAGAATCCTTGGCATACAATGAAAGGACCATCAATTCATTTTTAATAGTAGTCGACAATTCTACTGCTCCACCTATGTAAGTCTGGCCAGAACTGTGCTTTCTGGATTTCTACACTCTTATCCCTAAAGAATACAACACATTAAATCATTCCCACTAGGATGGAATTCCTTTCACTCTCTTTCTCTTTTGGTGTTCTTCTTTCTTCCAATTCAAAGTTCTTTCCCTCCAATTTTCACAGGCAAAAAAGAAGTGGTAGCTGCCCTCAAAGCTGTCTTGCAGCATTCTCCAAATTCTAGGTATTGTGTGTTAGATGGAAACACATGTCATCAGAACAGAGATCCTTGCTCTTTGTTTCTAGATAGATTGCTGTTAATAAGAGACTCATTTTCACTTTCAAACTGCTAAGTAATTACTTTTTCTCTGGCACAACCACTTGCCACTCTGTCTCAAAGAAACTGCATGTATGTGGATGTATTATGCATGAACAGTTAGCATAATGGATGCATATCTTGCTCTTTAAAGTGGCTTCTTTATTGATTTTTTTAAAAAATAAAATACTTTGAGACCTTCATCTCTGAATATTACACAAGAGGAAGAAATTTTAACAATAGACAACTGAGCCAAGATGCAAACAGTATCATATATCCTGCTTCTTGAAACATAAGTCTTGGAAAGTGTCTGTCTCATTCTCTTTTCATTCATTGTTCCTGGCAAGCTGACAGAACCGCCTGATGCACTGTTACAGTAGCTCACCCAAACGACTTCTAATCAGCCACTTAAACATTTATGCATTTCAAAACTTGATCTCAGAACATAATACTAAACATAAATACTTACTATTTAAAGGCAGACATTCTTCTATTATACAGATTTCCTTCTTTTTACGCACACTCCACACACACCCCCACCCCCACCACTCTGAGAAACATGAAAGCTATTCCATTCAAAGCTCAATGACGCTTTCCCCCCATATAGGAAAAAAACCCAAACGATTATGATAAAGATCCTGAGTGAGTCATAAGAGAATGCCCTTCAATTGTGGAGGCATGACTAACATTTGAATATGGTGATTGCTACACAAGCAAAGTAAACCATTTTATTTGGTTGATTGCAAAATATATAGTCATCTATTTTTCTATACCCCAAAAATATAAATTTGAAGAGTTGTTCACCTCAGTATGATAGGCTCTTACTTTTTCACATACTGCTAAGTCCACTTAGAAAATGGGCAAAAAATAATGGAAACTAGCAAGTAGCACCATTTCCATAATCCCCATTTATCTTGATGTTAAAAAAACTCGCTGTTTTTACATTTGAAGGCAACCCACATCATTTGCTTATACTCTAATATTTTGACAATAAATTTTGCTTGATAAATGTGATACATACATACATAAATATGCAGATGTCTTATTACCAAAAAAGCAATAAATTCTGCTTGTGAGAGAGTTAGAGAAGACTTTGAAAAACCTAAGTGACATTTATTAAGGCAAGCATTAAAGGCTAGTAAAAAGTTATCACATGGAAAAGAGTAGGAACCTTGTCTTTTTGTTCTTTGTCCATTGCCCAGCCATGCTCTAGGCACTCACAGAGCAGCATAATTGATCGTGGTTATTTGTCAACTTATTTGAGGTCCTCATTAGAGTGGTTTTACTCAAGAGTAGGACCTTCATATATTTTTCTTTATACCCCAGTACTCAGAAGGCATTCAATAAAAAGGTTTCCCTTCAAAAGAGCTTTCCTTATAAACTCAAACAAATTGACTCCATTCTCAAAGTCACTGATAAAAAAAAAAAACATAAAAGAGTCAGCAGTTTTCCTAAAATGGAAGAACTGCAAAAAAAAGAGAAAATATCCATCAAAACATGGGTCCACTCCCCCTGCCCCAAATTTCCTGCTTTTATCCTTGGGATGCATTATGCCAGAATCTATATGTATATATACAAGTACACACATACATATACAAACACATGTGAATGTTTTGACATAAGATTGATTTGATACTTATATTCAACTTTCAGTTTTTCAACACAAACCAATAGCTGGTAAAGATAAATGACCCAGAAAAGGATCGGGTCTGATAATTTGCTGTGGAAAACTCATGCACTAACAATACAGAATTAGAATAAAGTTAGGACCTTTGCAGAAGAAGAGTCAATAAGCTCCCACTGTTCACCTGCTTCTAAAAGAACATCGTGCTCAGAAGACCCATGTTTGAATCTAGACTCTGCCATGGTCTGTGTAACACTGGGAACCTCACTCAAGCCCTGGGGTACTGTTCTTTCCTCTGTGAAATGGAGCAGACACACTGCTGTGTAGAGCATGAGACAGGGAGATGAGAGAGCATGGATGTCCTATAGCAGCTTCTTACACCATGCAGCCTCTGAACAACTGGTTTCCCTGAAGAGCACCATGTCAGACCACTTGTCTCAACGCAAGAGAGTCCAAACAGGGCAGGAAAAGATCCTGCCCAAAGGAATCACATCCACCGCCGCCTCCCATTGATAAGGTTCATGACCTGGGGACAAAGATAGTAGACATGTGGAAGGAAAAAATACCTTGCAATTTATTTTTTTGCTTCCTCTGTTCACTCTAAATTTCCCTACATCAAATTAACCATGGCAAAAGGAGTCTTACTTTAATTTGCTGTCCCTGAACGATTTAACTGCACTCTGGTTTGGGGCCATGAATGAAAGGATGGCCATACGTATTTGCTGATGTCAACTGGACAAAGCTCACCCAGCCAGGCACAAGAGAGTGCTTTCCCAGAGAAAATGCTGTTCTCCATTTACCACCTCCGGAACTAAAGCTGCTTTTACTCATTCTACACTCTATAAAAGGCTTTTATTATATGCTTCCCTCCTTTGTAATACAGCCCCCCTTTTTTGAGGAAAAACCTGCAGTAATAAGCAAGCTAGTCTTTTAACAGAAGATAAACAGAGTGCAGTGAACTTAAAACCACTCTACTTTGTTTTACCCAACCACACAGCATTCCATATTGCTTTCATTTCTTTTCTTCCCGTTTCTGTTAATAGTTATTTTTAAAGAATTACAACAGAAGCAGGTCAATAATGCCTACAGATGTCATGAAAGTATTAGGCCATACTCTATGCAGTGAAACATGTAAACAGTTAATGGGCTGAGGTAATTTATAATCCTCCTTTTACCAAATGCATTTTACCTATAATTCCACTTGCATAACGGATGATTCACTTAAAACCTCACTGAGAAAGTGTCTGTCAGTTAAACAACTATCATCTCCACCAATAACAGATGTTTACAGAGCATCTACTATGTATTTTTAGGGCACTGCTAGGTCTACATGTAAGCAAGGATTAAACAAGAAGAATAAATAAAAAATTTTATCTACTTCCTCTTACATTATTCATTTTCTTCTATCATCCTTCTTTCTCTATTATATGAAGACAACTGTTTGCTTTCCCTTCTCTTACCTTCTAGGTTAAGTCAAAGAGTGCTCCTGAATTAACCCCTCCAACTTGCTTTGTTCTTCTCGTGGGTCAGGAGCAGCTACGAAAGAGACTCAGGGACTGATATCATCTCAGTCTCTTTGTTCTCCTACAGCTGGAAGATAGCTGAGTATCTTAGAGCAAGATGCTCAAGTTATCCAGCCTAAGCATTACCCACTAGGTTTACTTTGGAATTTTGGGGCATCAGGGGCCCAGGATCTAAGAAAAACCTCCTTACCTGTTTATGTCCTCAGGACATTTGTGATTCTGCATGGTTACAGGGTTGGAATTAGAAATCATGCCAAACTACTATTTTCAGTGACTTTCTTACTCTGTGTGTGTGTGTGTGTGTGTGTGTGTTTTGAGACAAGATCTCACTCTGTTGCCCAGGCTGGAATGCAGTGGTGCAATCATGGCTCACTGCAGCTTCAACCTTTAGGGCTCCAGGAATCCTCCTGCCTCAACCTCGCAAGTAGCTGGGACTACAGGTGCATGCCACCATGACCGATTAATTTTTTAACTTTTTTGTAAAGATGGGGGTCTTACTATGTTGTCCAGGCTGGTCTTGAATTCCTGGTCTCAAGTGATTCTCCCACCTCAGCCTCCCAAAGTGCTTCTTACCATATTATAGATGCAAGCACCAGCCCCTTCTAATATGGATGTTTTTATCACCTCCACCTACCATTCCCTGAATCACCTGATGAAGGCAAGAGAAGAAACTTAGGATTTCACAGAACACCAAGGATTTATTTACAAATGAGCAAAGGAGCCTTAAAACTAGGTGAAAAATAATGATCTAAAAATCCCTTATAATCGGCTTCAAACTGGAGTACTTACCATTAATATCACCATCCATACTACAGCTATATAGGTGGCAAATTAATAGTGAAAAAGTTAAATATAATTCTAAAGAGCCCAATAAGTGATCCCAAATATCCCATACGTTTTACAAATATTTAGCTTGCTGCCAGTTTTTATTACAGCTCTTACTCCGAAATTTTAAAAATGAGGTTTCACAATTTAGAGCAGTGATGGCTATCTTCTTCTTTAATATCTACAAAGGACCTGTTTTATTAATTTTTGGTCAGGGATATTATGTTCTGAAATATTTAGCCTACCCAACAAAGTAATTTTTTAAAGTAAATTTTTTTTATATCTAAAACCGAAAATAGGCAGTCTGCTTTCTTTCCTTTGCTATTCAGTCCCTCTACGTTTCTGACCTTAGTCTGTTCTTCCATTTGTCTCCTCCCTAAATTTACAAGAAATATATATATATATATTATTAGCTATATATATTAGCAAGCATTCACAAATCTTAGATATTTTCAGTGATAAGGATATAGTTTGTAAGGTAAGTAGAATTCAATTATTTAACAGTTAAAACAAAACTGACAGAACCCCTGAAAATATTCACCAGACTTCCCCACCTTCACAGTGGATGCTTCTCAACTTCCAGTGTATTATTCATATAAATAGAAGAAGCAGACATATAAAGATTTATGGAGGTATTGGGGCGAAACACCAATGACTAATTCCAAAGAGTTTTCTCTAGGACCCAATGTGTCTAGGTCCCAACAGTACATGTATGAAGTGTTCAATTCCACTGACAGAATCCCAAATCTGACTGTTAGGGAAAAAGTACGATTCCTGGGGACTTGAGTTGCTTGGCCTGGTGCCTTGCTGCACATTTAGCCATGTAGTTAATCTCCCAGAGCTGCACCCACTGTGGCATGCCTGCTATTCTTTACCATCTGGAGCCTGGAGTTGGTATTAGCTTGAACCACACATGCAAGAGAAAAGGGAAGAAAAGAAAAGAAAAAAACAACCCTCATTCACATTTAACTGAAATTGGTGACTGAACAATGCACTATGCCGCCTAGGCTTTTACACATGTAAGAAAGGGGAAAAAAAAGGTAAAGTACAAACCTTCTCCTTTGTTTTCTGGTTCTCTGCTCTAAGGTCTTCATATTCGCCTATTGCTAAAAGAAAAAAGGAAAGCAACATTACAACACTGTCAAAAGTTTACTGCAGGGCAACCTGGGGAATCCAACTAACCCCCATAGTCTTCTTACTAGGTTGAGGTAGGGTGGAGAAGAGGCTGCAGAAAAGGGGCTTCTGCTTTTTATTTTTTTTATTTTGTAGAGACAGGGTCTCACTCTGTTGCCCAGGCTGGTCTCAAAACTCCTGGGTTCAAACGATCCTCCTGCCTTGGCCTCGCAAAGTGCGATTACAGGCACGAGTCACCAAACCCGGCTGGGCTCCTGCTTTTAACAGTAAGGATGAAAAAGGAGACATGAGCCCACCAAACTAAATTTCAGTTCTCCCTAGGTCATTAGGAACACCCATGATCCAGGAGAGGTGACAGATGACAAGCAATTTCTCCTTTCTGATGCTCAGCACTTGGTCCTGTGAAAGGATTCAGGCAGGTGTTCCCTGAAGTTCCTCCCAGCACTATTAGTCTGTGGTATTGTAATCAGAGATTTATTTAGAAAATCAGCCTGTAGAAAGTAGAGTAGGTTTGCACACTCGACTCAATGTCACACGTCTGCTTTATTCACAAAGCAAAAAATTTATGAAGGATTCAGCTAAGAACAACTATTTTCAGACAAGATTGTCAGTCACGACCAGAAATTCAGACTCATTTCACTAAATGGGGAAGATATGTTAAACTGTTTGAAAATATTATCCACTAGGTAGAGGGGAAAGTTGTGTACTTAAAATCGTTTATTGCCCCTGCCCAGAAAAAAAAAACGAAACCTAAATCCCCACATTCATCTTTAATCAAAGCACCATTTTTAGGTATCCCTACAGTTGAGAATATAAAGTTTTGAACACATGAAGTGAGAAGAAAAAGAATGGCCTAAGATCAATGACAGAGCAGAACATCTGAAGTAAGTCTAAAACTGCTGCTCACCCCAGGGCTGGCTTCTTGACTGGCACCAGAACGTCAGTGAATCATCAGGTTGATTTTCTTTTTTTAAGAGACAGGGTCTTGTTCTGTCACTTAGGCTGGAGTGCAGTGGCACCATCATAGCTCACTGCAGTTTTGAACTCCAGGGCTCAAAATGATCCTCTCACCTCAGCCTCCTGAGCAGCTGGAACTACAGGCACATACTACCATGCCCAGCTAAATTTTTAAATTTCTTGTAGAGATGGGGTCTTGCTATTTTGCCCAGCCTGGTCACAATTTGAACTTTTGCTTTATGGATTTATCTACCAAAAAAAAAAAACCCTCAGTTTTTCTTTTAAGAAAGAAAAAAAAACAAAAAAACAGAGCTTCCTATTTCTATGAATAATCTAGAAACAGAAATAAAAAATCCGAAACCAGTGGTTCCAAGAACATCCCAGATAATCTGGTCCTTAATTCCAGAAATGTATGATTCTAACCACTAGGGCAAAGAACACCCCAGAAACAGACAATTAACATGGTAAAGCACATGCCTTGTTTTCTCCTATGGTGATCGAAAGGGTTCAGAATGGCTACTGTGATGGTGGCACCAAAGTCCTAAAATCCAAATTTAAATTGGCGAATATTTATGAGATTATATCACCAATGTCCAGAAGTTTTATTAGTATACCAGGACCACTTAAACAAGAATAGACAATTTTATTGAAGCCACATCCCAAAATAATCCTTGAAAACTAGTCCATAAAATAGGTGAATGTGTACATGTAAAGATATAGTTCTGAAAATAATTACATTTACAGGCTGGGCGTGGTGGCTCACGCCTGTAATCTCAACACTTTGGTAGGCCGAGGTGGGCAGATCACTTGAGGTCAGGAGTTCAAGACCAGCCTGGCCAACACAGCAAAACCCCGCCTCTACAAAAAGTACAAAAATTAGCTGGGCATGGTAGCACTTGCCTGTAGTCCCAGATACTTGGGAGGCTGAGGCAGGAGAATCGCGTGAACCCGGGAAGCAGAGGTTGCAGTGAGCCAAGAACGCACCACAGCACACTCCAACCTGGGCGACAGAGCGAGACTCTGTCTCAAAAACAAAACGAAACAAAACATTTTCAACAGAAAAAGATTTGACTGACCTAGAATGAAGCTCTCTGCACACCAGCTCTTCATCAGCCCCACCACACGCACCGCAAGAACTAAGTAAAACTAAATTGTCTTTGGAGCTGAAAAACCAATAAAATGTGTCCCCACCTTTTTAACTGAAAGAAACAAGAACTAAGTAAGATCTTCTAAAAATATTCACTTACACCACCACTGGGTAGTCTATGGTCATGATCCCACATCTTACTACTGTATCTTAAATTGTTTCAAAAAACAGATATATAAGTATTTTATTAAAAGACTTTGATTTTAGGTTACTTGACATTTAAAAGTATCTATAGATGAAGTTGAAAAAACCAAAATTTATTTAATGTTCTATAATTGGTGACCTACTTTACAGACATACAGAATGAACAATAAAGGCTTATAAAACCATGATCTCAGCCGGGTGCGGTGGCTCACATTTGTAATGCCAGCACTTTGAGAGGGTGAGGCGGGCAGATCATCAGGTCAGGAGTTTGAGACCAGCCTGACCAACATGGTGAAACACCGTCTCTACTAAAAATACAAAAAGATTAGCTGGGCGTGGTAGCGCGCACCTGTAATCCCAGCTACTCAGAGGCTAAGGCAGAAGAATCGCTTGATCCCGGGAGGCAGAGGTTGCAGTGAGCCAAGATTGCACCACTGTATTCCAGCCTGGGCAACAGAGCAAGACTCCGTCTCAAAAACAAACAAACAAACAAACAGAAACCCATGATCTTATATTGACATTAAGAAATTTTTTCTATTTAAAACATCAGATAATGGTTTTGAAGTCTTTTTAAAATACCAGTACTATTCTTCCATTATACTGACAATAGAACCCAGATGAAACATTGTAGGCTCCCAATTACTGAGTATTTATGAAAACAATTAAGAATCTTTGAACTATCATATTTTAATGAAAATCACAGAAAACATGCTTTCTTGTGACTATGTACAACTTTGAAGTAAGGTATAAGGAAAGGAAAGGGAAAGTATGAGAATAATTCAACCCCTTGCTAATAAAACCAAGCTCACTACCATAAACAACACATACACAGACATGCACACACATACACACACATATGTATCACAGTGGACCCCTAACCCTAACTTCAGCAAAACTGGCAAAAACTGAAGTGATCTATATTACTCAGCTCCTTTTTGGCAATGTTACGGGGTCGCAGAGAAAGCTGCCTTTTTGTTTCAGAACTGGCTTGCAGTCTGAAAATTTTAAAAACTGAGCTTGCACAGCTCAAGTGATTCCATCAGAGACATCCTCCAAATCCTGAATTTGCCAATGCTAAAGAGATTAATCTGGCCGGGCGCAGTGGCTCACGCCTGTAATCCCAACATGTTGGGAGGCCAAGGTGGGGGGGAATCACTTGAGGTCAAGAGTTCAAAACCTGCCTGGCCAACATGGTGAAACCGCATCTCTTCTAAAAATACAAAAAAAATTAGCCAGGTATGGCAGCACACGCCTGTAATCCTAGCTACTCTGGAGGCTTGAGGTGGGAGGATCACTTGAACCCAGGAGGCGGAGGTTGCAGTGAGCCGAGATCATACCACTGCACTCCAGCCTGGGTAACAGAGCAAGACTCTGTCTCAAAAAAAAAAAAGAACAGATGAATCTGACCAATTCTCAGCATATGAAAGATAGCTGCAGCTTGAGAGCTCGAGAAGACTTCATCTCTCAGATTTACAGGTACAGTATATTTCACTGTACTATAAGGTTATATAGGACAGTAATTAAAAAGTACATCCTAATGACAGCCGAGCACTTACTGGCTAGGGGACCTTGGGCAAATCAGTTAATCTCTCTGAGTCTCAGGTTCCTCATCTGGAAAATAGGAATAATAATTATACATCTCTCATAGTGTTGTTATTAAGAGTAAATGAGTTAACATATAAAAGAGTATTTGGGCTTATTAACTGTTTAAAACATGTTAGCTATGGTTATTATTACTCATACAGCAAAGTACCTCAAATTCTGTGTTTATGACAAAGGAAGTGTCCTGCATGGCAGACAGGAAAAATTTCCAGGGTACTTCTATCCTCCACCAAATAAAGGGAGGAGAAAAGGGGCTAAAGATCTACTGCAAACAATTTGTTGCAGTAAAGAAAGGTGGCAAAGAAGTAAAAGCACTTCTGAGAGCTGTACTTGTCAATCCTGGCTACACATTAAAATCACCTGCGGGGCTTTTAAATCATATAGATGCCTCGCCCCTCCTGCTTCAAGATTGTGATTTAACTATTCTGGGGTAGAGCCTGGGCATCCAGATAGATAGATAGATAGATAGATAGATAGATAGATAGATAGATAGATAGATAAATACATACATACATACATACATACATACATACATACATGCATATACACACACTCACATACACACACACATATATATATTTAGAAGTGAGAGCCCCAGGTAATTCCAATGTACAGCCAAAGTGGGCTGTAACATAACAATATAGAATGGAAGAAAAAGGAAGATGGTGGAGAAAACAAGGAGAATATCAGGCAGAGCACGTGTTTCAAGAATCATGCTGGTTTTCTATTTTCTAACTCCTCAGTGCCAAGAAAAGGAGTTTTCTTTCCAAGCTGCAAATCATGACATAGCCAGCCCAACAGGCAGCTGAGTAGACTTAGTTGTTTCAGAAATGTGACAACTAAAGTTCGTAACTACAAGCCAGTAACACCTCTAGCTAGGGTTAATAAGAATCATGCTTTGTCTGGGATTTTGTCAGTTTTAGCGCTGAAAGTTCAGCATCCTAGGAAACCTCCCAGTCCCAGGGAGGCTAATCACTCTACCTCTAGCACTCTTTCCAGACCAGTATTTCCAACCAATACTTACCAGACCTGTGTTGTCCAAAATGGTAGCCATTAGCCACAAGTAGCTATTTAAATTTTAATTGATTGAAACTAAAGAAAATGTAAAATTCAGTTCTTCAGTTGCATAAGTTAAATTTCAAGTGCTCGATAGCCACATGTGACTAGTTAGTGCCATAATGAACAATGGACACAGAACATTTCCAACAGAACAGACAGTTCCACTGGCAGTTCTGGGCCGCTCTGTCAAGAGGCTCTGCAAGCATCTCAAACTCAACTTTTAGAAAGTGAGCTCATCAATTTCCCTTCCCTACTCCCTGTATGAAACGTCTCCTTTCACTGCTGTCATCATCTACCTACCTAGTCCTCAAGCTACTACCTGCAGGATCACCCTTGAGTTCCCACTTTTTTCTCCCTCCAAAGGATCATCAAACTGCTCAAACCTCTAAAAAGTATCTCTGCAAACTGCCCTTCCTCTGAAGCTGTTATCTCTGCCCTTAGACCCTCAATAATGACAAAACCCTCCTATCTAGTTCTAACTTCCTTCTATCCCAAGGGCATTCTTTACACAGCAGTTAGTTAACAAAGCAAGCTGGTTATTTCATGTTTAGAAACTTCAAAAGACCTTATCTTTACTGCCTGGAATCCCACTCTACTGCCCACCATTCAGCCTCAAAGGCCACACCCAAAGTCCCAGTGCTTCCCTAAACCCTCTAAGACCTTTCATACTTAGGTACCTTTGCAAATGTTTTTCCCTCTGCCTGCAAAGGCTTTCCCTACCCCATCTTCCCTATCTCCTCTTTTTCAAAGCAATTCAACTGTTACTTCTTCTAAGAAGCCTTCCCCATATACTTCATGCAAAATCAGCAGGTTTATCTTAATATACCATCAGAGTACACTGTTCATACAGCTCTATTGGAGCATCTACTTATAACATTATAAATTATCTGTGCACAGGTCTGTTTTCCTGTCATTCTTCCTACCCGATTCACTGCTATATGTCTTATACTCATATGAATACCAGAGTCCATGCCTATGTTGAATAAATGAATGAATGGTTCGTGTAAATCTGTGAGGCAAAACAATCCAAATATTAACGTCCCCATTTTACAAACAAAGACACAAATGCATAGAGAAGTCAAATCCCACAATACAGAATGGTAGTGGAAGCACCAATCTACTGACTCCCAGAGTCATTCATCCAAAAAGACATTACTGAGCATTACTGTGTGCAATGCACTAAAGCAATGGATCAGAAATAATCCTCTTGGTTAAAGACATCTTTATCTATCCAGATTCCCATATCTAGGATCCTGTCTGACATATAGATTATTTGATAAACGTGTTAAATTAAGGAAGAAGGAAGAATGGATCTAGGTCTTCACGTGAGCAAATCATGAAAGAGAACATACTCTCCTCCCCATGGTAAGAGTCTCTTATACATCATATATTGTATCAAGATACTTAATAAAAATGAAGGTTTAAATAGCCATCAAATGTAACCAGAAAACAAGACCTCATGAGAGCTTCTAATGTAGACTTTCATCCATTCAGTCTGCATCTTTGATACTCAGGGAGTTTTGAGATACCTCTTACTAATGGGAAATGAGGACATGAGTCACAAAAGATAGTGTTCAATTACAACATTATTCCCTTCTGTACACATCCCAATGGGTCGTCCTCTTATAGCCAGAGTAGAAAGAGAAGTCATTTGTAACTTACTTGTTAATTAAAGCATTTGAAAAGCCATGGAAAACACTGATAGAAAATCTGATCAAAAAACAAAGGTGACAGATTTCATATCCTGAAAAGAAATTACGGCAAACCAGAAATTTATTCATTACATGGTAAAACACACAGTTCAGTTAATAAATTAATGATACTTAAGAAGTACTCTCAACAAACTACATTAATGACTTCAAATTAACCAAGAAGAAAGGAAGAAAACTGAGTATCTTTAAAATACACACATAAGTCTGATTTCTGGTCTGTCATGTAAGGAGCTTGTAAATCCTCATTCCGTCCTCACAACAAAAAGTAAAAACAAATTGAAAATCAACAACTCTTCCTAAGATATATCAAATAATTGAAGTCACAGGGCAAACCACCATCCCCAAAACTGAAGAGACACATAAGGCAGATAGAAAGGATTATAATTTATTAGAGAAGCAGCCTGGAAGCGAAACCTCCTTGGGAACCGGTACCTGGTAACTGGTACTGGGAACCCTAAACTGTAATTAAAGAATAGCTGGAGGCTCAGTTTGGACAAGTTTGAGAGTTAAAATGTCCAGGGGGACATAGCCTTAGAGGGGCCCCTAAACTTTTGTGAGTTTCACCTCCAGGATCACTACTAGATGCTCAAAGTGAAAATTTTCCCTACTACTCTGGCAGGTGGCATAGAAAAGTAGCCACTGTTGACAGAGTGCAGTGGCTCAACCTGTAATCTAGCACTTTGGGAGGCCAAGGCAGGAGAATCATTTGAGCTCAGGAGTTTGAGGCCGGCCTGGGCAACATAGCAAAACCCAGTATCCTTTTTTTTTTTTTTTTTTTTTTTTTGAGACAGAGTGTCGCTCTGTCACCCAGGCTGGAGTGTAGCAGTGCAGTGCGATCTCGGCTCACTGCAACTTCTGCCTTCCGGGTTCAAGCGATTCTCCTGCCTCAGCCTCCTGAGTAACTGGGATTACAGGCGCCCGCCACCACACCCAGCTAATTTTGGCATTTTTAGTAGAGACGGGGTTTCACCATGTTGGTCAGGCTGGACTTGAATTCCTGACCTCGTGATCCACCCGCCTCGGCCTCCTAAAGTGCTGGGATTACAGGTGTGAACCACCGTGCCCGGCCTATTTTTTTAAAAGGAAAATAAGGTAGCCTCTATGAAATATGCCCAGAGCATTTTGTTCCTCTAAACAATGTCTGTCCTCAAGAGAAACTATCTTACCAGAGCCTAACAGACTTGGTGGAAGGCAAATACCCAACGCCAGCCCCCACTAGCCTTCTTGTCTCATCTAAGAGGTAAATAAAACAAAACTGAGAAGAACTCGTAAAGGTCACATCCTAGGGACACAGGGTCACTAAGAGCTAATGATAAAACTATGATCTAATCACAGAACTACAGAACACTTCCCTTCCTTCCATACGTTACCACCACCCTAATGTTTATACAACTTGATTCCTAATTGCCAAAACTTGGGAACAAACAAGACGTTCTTCAATAGGTGAATGGATAAATAAACTGTGGTACATCCAGATAACGGAACAGTATCCGGTGTTAAGAATTAGTTGGTGCTAAGAAGTAGCAAGTGAACTATGAAGTCACAAAAAAAGACAAGGAAAAAAACTGTATATAGCTAAGTGAAAAGTCAATCTAAAAAGGCTACATACATATGATTCCAATTATATGACATTCTAGAAAAGGCGAAACTATGGAGACAATAAAAAGATCAGTGGGAGGTCAGACGCAGTGGCTCACACCTGTAATCTCAGCACTTTGGGAGGCCTTGGTGGGCGGATCACAAGGTCAGGAGATCGAGACCATCATGGCCAACATAGTGAAACCCCGTCTCTACTAAAAAAACAAAAATTAGCCAGGAGTGGGGGCATGTGCCTGTAGTCCCAGCTACCAGGGAGGCTGAGGCAGGAGAATCACTTGAACCGAGGAGGCGGAGGTTGCAGTGAGCCAAGATCATGCCACTGCACTCCAATCTGGTAACAGCGAGACTCCGTCTCAAAAAAACAAACAAACAAAAAAAAAAACCGTGGGTGCCAAGGATTTGTAGTTAAAGAGGAAGGGCTGAACAGGTAGAGCACACATTTTTAGACCAGTGGTACTATTCTGTACTATAATGGTGAATACATGTGCTATATATTTGTCCAAACCCATAGAACGTACAAGACAAAAAGTGAGCCCTAATGTAAATTATGGATTTTAGTTAATAATAATATATCAATTCTGGCTCAACAATTCTAACAAATGTACCACATTAATTAAAGCAAGATGTTAATAATAGTAGAAATGAGAGTAGGAAAAGGTGAAGAGGTATGTGAATATTCTCTGTATTTTTGGCTCCATTTTCTGTAAATCTAAACTTCTAAAAAAAAGTCTTATTTATTTAAAAAGCTAATACACACACACACACACACACAATCAATCATACACAAATTTGTGCCATAGAGGATCTGAAATGGAATCAAGCCTAAAGGATCTTGATATAGTAGTATTCTTCATGGTACCACAGAAAAATTTCAGAATTCATGGATGGGCTTATTTTACTTATTTTATATTTTTATTTTATTATTTTATATTTTTTCTTTTACTTATTTTTTATATTTTATCTTATTTTACTTATATATTATTTATTTATTTATTTATTTTATTATTTTTGAGACAGGGTCTCACTCTGTCACCCAGGCTGGAGTGGAGTGACATGATTATAGCTCAATGTAACCCCAAACTCCTAGGCTCAAGCAATCCTTCTGCCTCAGTCTCTCCAGTTACAGATGCATACCCTGCCCAGCTGATCTTTTATTTTTATTTTTTGTAGGGAGGGGTTCTTGTTAGGTTGCCAAGGCTGGTTGTACTCGTGGCCTCAAACAATCCACCTACCTCAGCCTCCCAAAGCACTGGGATTATAGGCATGAACCATCATGCCTGGCCCAGAACTCATGCTTTAGTGTTTAAAATGCTAAGCAGGCATGGTGTGCAATCAATCAATCAATAAAAGCGTGTTCCTTCTACATCTTGAGGCAAAGCTTAGCTGTGCAACAGTCTTACAGAATAAAATTTAAAGCACAACAAAGTTTAAAATACATATATTTTTTGGATCCCACAATTCCATTTTCAAGAATGTGTCCTGTACCCCAAAAATCCATATAATTATGTCAGTTAAAAAAAAACAGTATTTTTAAAATGAACTTTTCCTACAGCTGAACTTAAAGATACATGTGTATAAGAATGTAAGCAGAATTATTATATTTAGTAAACTTTTATGAGTTTCAGATTTACAGTAAAACTGCAAAGATACTGCAATATCTTACATTAGTATGGTGCATTTGCTAAAATTAATGGACTAATATTGATACACTGCTATGAACTAAAGTCCATATTTTATTCCGACTTCCTTAGTTTTTACATAATGACCTTTTCTAGGATCCCATCTGGGATACCACATTACATTTAGCTATTATATATCCTGCAAAAACAAAAACAAAAAAACAAACAAAAAACAGAATATTTCTCCTTAAAATATGAAGAGCTGGGGAGAACTAAAGATAATTAGGATGCAGGGGAGCTCTCTACCTTTCCTGTTTGCCTAAAAGCAGGACAGAGAATTACAAAAACAAAAGGTCTTTCTATCCTCCCCCTCGTTCCTGCCTAAAAACAGGATATAAATTCTCCTTTACAATCCATATCAGCTCAGCAATGGCACCAGAGGAATCTGCAAGCAGACTTTGGCCCATTAGCTTCCCCATACATTTACCTTCCCACATTTTCCCACCCTTGGAAGCCTGGGACTGCTTTCCTTTGTCCTATCACTTCTCTAAAATGAAGTGTTCTTTGTTGAAGATGGTAATATAAACCAGAGTTTTAAACCACTATTTGGAGTTACTTTTCGGCCTCGCGATGTGCATTGCATGTGTTAATAAACCTGCTGTCTCTTGTTCATTTTGTCTTTTGTTACAGGAGTCTGTCCCAATTACCAACTTATGAGGCTTGAGGAAAACATAATTTCTTCTCCCTTTCATTTTGGCATAGTTGGCAGGAAATTCTGGGCCACTTTACTCGTTCTGGGACTTGCAGACACAATCCTGGGAGAACAGAACAGGCAGAAGCTGGTAGGAAAAGATAATTCTTACAAAGGCAGCTCTCCCAAATCTCTACCTGTAGAGCCTGGTCAAGAGGGGAAGGTAAAAATTTTTCCTTGTTCCTTCCTTTCCAAATTCAGATTGGCAGGAAAAAAAATTTGAAATTTAAAAAAGAGA
The DNA here is from genome assembly GCF_000001405.40 of Homo sapiens. Classification (NCBI taxonomy): domain Eukaryota; kingdom Metazoa; phylum Chordata; class Mammalia; order Primates; family Hominidae; genus Homo; species Homo sapiens. The sequence goes on from NC_000010.11 coordinate 116,990,165, forward strand.
AAATTAGTTCTTTGAATTTGTGACTCCTGTAGATTTGGTTTGGGTACATATTGATGACTGATCTTTAGCCACCCAGAAAAGGCCTTTGTTTTTCTTGTCTTTTTTCTTTTTCTTTTTTCTTTCTTTTTTTTTTTTTTTTTGGTGTGGTTTGTCATAAAAAGGAAAATCGTAAGAAGATTCTCCTTCCACCTTGTTGTATGTTTTGAGAGCTTGGCTTTTGCAACAAGCAAGGTTTTTCTCCTTGCTTGTTCTCCCAGGGGGCACGAATTGTCAGATTTGTATCAGGCAGCAGCTATCCAGCTGGCTAGGAGTCTAAAACATGTTTGTCCAGCCATTCCAGCTCTCAAGGAACATTCTCTTAATTGTCTTAACATTCACTGCCTTGTTAACAATGAGGGTCTTTACTTTCTTAGGCTGTCGTTGGAAGAAACTGGATCTTGAGGGGAACTGCATCTTTTTCATTCTACCCTCTTTGGAATGTAATTCTTGCATCTATGGTTTTAAGTCATAAAGAGGCTTATTGTTAGCAAACCCCCAAACACACCCCATGGGCAGCTTTTGTTTTTCTGTTTGTCTTAGTGACTCCTGTCTCTTTTTGTCTTTCCATCTCTTGGTGGCACACAGGTTATTGGGCCTTTCTTCCTTCTGTCTTTTGGGAGTGGTGTGGCTCTTGGAAGGGCGGCATCTTCTACTCCCTCTTTGAAGACGTTGGTTAAAGCCTTAAAGGGCTTCTTGGTTTTGGCCGGGCGCAGTGGCTCACACCTGCAATCTCAGCACTTTGGGAGGCCGAGGCGGGTGGATCACGAGGTCAGGAGATCGAGACCATCCTGACTAACATGGTGAAACCCTGTCTCTACTAAAAATACAAAAAATTAGCCAGGCGCGGTGGTGGGCGCCTGTAGTCCCAGCTACTCTGGAGGCTGAGGCAGGAGAATCGCTTGAACCCGGGAGGCGGAGCTTGCAGTGAGCCGAGATTATGCCACTGCACTCCAGCCTGGGCGACAGAGCAAGACTCCGTCTCAAAAAAGAAAAAAAAAGAAGGGCTTCTTGGTTTTAGTCTCATGCATGGTTGTAGTTTTCGTATTGAGTCACTCGTAATATATAACTTTAGTATAGAATTTTGGTTTACATTTGTTTCTTAGTCTATCTGTGTTGCCATAAATGAATACCTGAAGCTGGGTCATTTGTAAAGAAGTTTATTTGGCTCATGGCTCTGCAGGCTCTACAAGGAACATGGCACCAGCATCTGTTTGTGTTGATGGCTTCAGGCTGCTTCCACCCCTGGCAGAAGGCGAAGGGGAACAAGCGTGTGGAGCGATCATACGGTGAGAGAGGAAAGCAGGAGAGAAGGGAAAGGTGTTATGCACTTTTCAACAAGTAGCTCTCAGGGGAACTCTCAGGGAGGCTATAGTAGACAACTCTTCTAGCTTCATTACTTATTGCTACAAGATACTAAAAAGCAGGCATTACTAGGAGGACAAAAGCACCAGGCCATTCATGAGGGATCCAGCCCCATGACCCAAACACCTCCCATTAAGGTCTCACCTCCAACATTAGGGAATCAAATTTCAACATGAGATTTTGGGGGACAAATATCCAAACTTCCAAACTATACAAATTTGCCTGTTTCTTTCTCTCCTAAGCTAAAATGGAACTATACATTCGAGGGGAAAAATGATTTATTAAAATACTGCAGGCCGGGCACTATGGCTCACGTCTGTAATCCCAGCACTTTGGGAGGCCAAGGCAGGCTGACTGCTTGAGATCAGGAGTTCAAGACCAGCCTGAGCAGCATGGTGAAACCCTGTCTCTACAAAAAATACCCATACTAGCCAGGCGTAGTGGCACACACCTGTAGTTCCAGCTACTCGGGAGGCTGAGGTGGGAGGATGGTTGGAGCTCAAGAGGTTGAGGCTGCAGTGCGTCATGATCATGCCACTGCACTCCAGCCTGGGTGACAGAGTGAGATGCTGTCTCAAAAAACAAACAAAACAAAACGAAACAAAACAAAAAAACAAATTCCAAAGGCAAACAGCACTAAAGCTGAAAGGGAAACCTTTTTATTTCTATCTTAGTTGGAAATCTCCTCCCTGATAACACAAGTTAAAGATAATGCAATTAGATAAACAAGTCAGTCCATTGATATGCAGACTGCAACCCAAACTCTCTGAGGAATTAAAAACAACTCTCCTTGTCTTGCAAATTGTTTACAAAAATAGGACGTGCCTCTAAAAGCAATTCAAAGCCCACTTATTCTAACTAACCCCAAATCTCACCTATTCATCTCAGGATGCCAGCAAATGCTGTTCAACATCAGGACATTGAAATCAGTACTGTCCTGCACTTAAGAAGGAAAAGCTGAAATACTAATTACCCTAGGCCTCTAGTAGGCAAATAAGCCCCCCAAACTCTGTTTTTTTGTGAAAATTTACATTACTTCTCTATGCCTTTGAGATACACATTCCCTAACTAGTATTACCTGAGAAACTATCCCTTTTAAAATGCAAACTTCTGGGAGATGATTCTTAGAGGGGACAAAAAAGAGAGGAAAGAGAAGCCAGGAATATATACTGTCTGTCCTGGAGGAAACCTGATAATGAGATGTTTTAAAGAATTTTATTTTTGAAGATCTCTATGGTCAGAAGTTGGCTTAATTGAAAGCTGTTATTCAGATTACAATGCATTTTTGAGGCCTCTTTGTTCTCTCTATTGGATCCAACTGTCATTTATAAATTAGTGAGTTTTATATTATTATACCTACCTCATGGCTGAACATTTTTTAAATGAAAGCTGTACTATCTTTTTTGTCTGTATTTTTTATGTATACATGTTTTCTTTTCTTTCTTTTTTTTCTTTTTTTTTTTTTTTTGAGATGGAGTCTCGCTCTATTGCCCAGGCTGGAGTGCAGTGGCATGATCTTGGCTCACTGCAACCTCCGCCTCCCGGGTTCAAGCGATTCTCCTGCCTCAGCCTCCCAAGTAGCTGGGACTACAGGCACGTGCCACCACACCCGGCTAATTTTTTGTATTTTTAGTAGAGACAAGGTTTCACCGTGTTAGCCAGGATGGTCTCGATCTCCTGACCTCATGATCCGCCTGCCCTGACCTCCCAAAGTGTTGGGATTACAGGGGTAAGCCACCATGCACTGGCCTGTATACATGTTTTCATATATGTTGTAGGTTGTTCTTACGTGGTATAAAATGCTTTGAAGAAATTTCACATTGGCTTAAAGATAGCAATGAGCACTCGTAAATTAAATTTACTTAAAACTCCAAAGATATAGAAACTAACCCAAATACTTTTCAGGTTCACATGACTTGGGCAAATAAGACTAGTTTAATAGTGTTAGTTTAGTAAAAACAACTATGTCTTCTGAGTTACAAGAAAAAAAAATACCATATATAATTAACTTTAGAGTTCTTGCTTGGGTAGTAACTGCCTAACATACACGTGCTGTAAAATGGATATGAGAAAAATAACCTGAGATGATGCCTAGCTTTGTCTGTCTCATAAAATTTTCCAAGCATAATTATTAAAATGAGTGAATTAAACAGATACAGCAGGATAAGAGTTTATACAGGTACTTTTAAAATAATATATTTTATAATATGTTTGCTTACAAAGGTTTCGCAATCTCTTTGGTTACCATATCCTTAGAGTTTTGTGAAATTAAATTAAATGATGAATATTCACTGAGTATATAGATCATTTTCAAGTAAGATAAAATGTTTAAACATTAATTGCTAAAGATAAATTTAAGTTTATCTACTTTTGGCTTCTCACTGCAAAGAAACTAAAGATATCTGAGTCTGTTAGCAAGCTTTAAAAATTGTACTTTGAGGAAACATATTTCTAAGATATTATGAAGTGGTATTAGTCTATGGAATGCTGGTTCAAAATTGCTAAGGATTAAAACTCTAATTAATATATGTAATTAAGGCTACTAGAAATAAGAGGAACAATTCTGTATGCAAAGTTTACAAGTAAAATAAGATATATTTTTGGTGAGAAAGTTATAAGCAAGATATGAGGATCTGTTTTTATTGAGGAAAGGAGTGATTTTGTCTAAGTAGATGTTATTTAAAGGTTGAAAAATGAATGAAGAAATGATATAGAGAAAACTAAATGGATACAGAAAGTTGAGAAAAGAGAGCAAGAGAAAGTCTTGTATGGTTAAACTAACAAAAGTTGAATTAATTTATTACGAGATTTAAAATGGAGCCTTGATATCTAAAGTATACTGATATAAAACTAAAATTTGGTCTTTTTTAAAAGATTTTCCTATAGTATTGACAAGAGAAAATAAAAGATTTTTGTTCACCTTTTTAGTCAACTGTAGAGACAGAGAGAGAAGGGGAAAGAGGGAAGGGGAAGGGGAGATTCTGTGTTTCATCAAGATGATTCCCTGTGCTTCACATTGTCTTTATTGGGTCTTTGATTACTTTAGAAAATTGAGTTAAAGAGTTAAGGTTTTTCTACAACTATATGCCTTCCTATTTGCTTTTGAAGCCTTTATCAGTCTGATTAAATATTATTTCACAATCAGAATGACTATTATTTCACAGTGACCTGTGATCCTATTTTGATTGTTTTGAATCTTTTTTACAAACCTCCCAAAATCAAATTGTAAATGATGTCTTTTTTACCTTAAACTAACTTTAGGATTTCCAGAGGGCTCCCTGGAAGTCTGAAAGTGACATATTAAATAAACCCATTAGGTTTATTCTGCATGCTAAATTATATAAGAAACATTGTCAAATAACATGTAATGCTAACCTTTGAGTTATTATTTGTATGAATGTTATTAATGTGTTTCAAAACTATGATATTCCTAGAAATCTAACATGCTACCTGTCATAATTCTGATTATGTTAAATTGTTATATCTCACAAACAACCAAATTTCCTTGTCAACTGCATTATTATCATAATGAACTCCCATCAGATCTTTAACCATGGCCATTTTAAGTCTTGTTGTTCACATTTATCATAACTGCTTTATTCTGATGCTCTTTCTAAAAGCTTTTTGCAAGCAATTATAATCCTAAAGTTTTGGGTCTTCAAGGAGGTATATGGGAAGAACAAAAAGAACTCTGACCTGTACAGGTCTCTGATAACTTTAAGGAAATACCAGTGGACTAGGTATGAACTCCAGAAATCTAAAGGAGAAACTGAACTCCTAAAATTGCTAACATCGAGCAAAATTAAGAATTAATTACATGGGACTAACATGATGAGGGACTGTGATTTTTAGGACTTTATTAGAAACACTACTGATTCTTTTATTTTCCAGATTTAGGAAAACATTTTCTTCTTTTGCGCTATCTATGGCTTAAGACAATTTGGTAAAGTATACTTTTGCAAATAGAATTGAAACATTTACTTTTCTTCCTTACTTGATCCCTCCAAAATTTGGAAACTATTCATGAGTATTCTTATTTTTAGGATAATATAGGCATTTGCATAAGTTCAGGAAGAATCCGTTCTTCTTTTAATAGGATACAATTGAAAATACTGGTTATATTGCCAAAGTTTGATGAGAATGTCGTATTTTCTGATATGACCAGTTTTTGGGAACTGAGGTCCCTAGAGGAACCTCAGTTTAATGGGGCCAATAAAGGCACCTTGGAAATACTGGCCTCGTACCTTGAATACATGGTTCAAATGGTTGCCTTATAGGGTAAAGAATGTCACCTTCCTGACAGGCCCAGGAACATCAGGAATCTAGGGAAGAGAGCTATCTATCTAAGACTACTATAGGCACAATCTGATGTTGAGTCCTAAGCTTGGCTTCTTAGCCTAAGGAGGCATTTTTGTAAGCCTAATCCGAGATTCCTTATGAAGAGTTCCAGCAAAGCAGATTTTAAAAGGGCTTACATAGTCAATCACTATTTTTGCTGCATTTATGTAAATAATTAGGCCAAGTATAATAGACAAAAACTTATTTTACAAATAAACTGGTCTTACTGATTCTTTTTGGTAGAAATTAGTGTGAGAGAGGAAAAATATTTTCAGAAAAATAATAGTTCAGAAACTATAGTTCACCCATTACTAGATTCTAGCCCTGTTCATTGTTTTTGAGATTTTATTAACTACCTGCAATCTGGAATGGATCCTAAATTCTTTTAGTTTTTTCTGATACCTGGCTGTGAGTCTCCAAACTAACATTTCCAATTTTTCTCCCACCCTTTGACCTGGAATCACTGAAATTAAAATTGGGCTTTTTCTGAAGCTATGCAAGCTAAAGCTGGACAACTTGATACAAACATAAGAGAAATCACCACAACAGCTTTTGTATCGACAACCTTTATGATATTTAAACTACAAACAAGGAAAATCTGTCAGATTGCAATTGCCTGCCCCACTCCAGCTGAAGACACTTTGAGCCTAAGATTTATAAATCCTCTCAACTGGCTGCTCTCCAGACTCAGAAACTAATTTATAGACTGCTCTAAACATTAACCTTGCTTTTCCTTTTTTTTCATAGAAATGTCTCTTATTAAGTATTTGTATGCTTATACATATAGAAACCTAACATTAAAGAGATCACCCATAACACCACCTCTTGAAATAAAACATGACTGTTTACCTAAACTAACCTAGTCTCAGGACTAAGAGACTGACTCAATAAGATATGAGACAATATACTTAAATCTGTTCTTTTCTGCTGGTTCCAATCTGGTTTTCTTCCCCTTTGCCAATCACTTATCTACAACCATACCTCTCCAAAGCTACCAGCCTAGCACATAATATGTGAGACTTTCTGAAAGTAAAGTTTCAAAGGGGAGAACTGAAGGAAACCAGCCTATCTCCCCAAAATATGAAAGACCTTCGAGCTAAAGATAATTAGGATGAAGGAAACTATCTGCCTTCCCTCTGTCTGCCTAAAAGCAGGACACAGAATTACAAAGACAAGAGGTCTATCTTCTCCCCATTTCCCACCTAAAAACAAGATACCCATTCTCCTTTACAACCCATATCACCTCAGAGATGGTGGCAGAGAAATCTGCGAGTAGACTTTACCCCAGGAGTTTCCCCATAAACTCACCTTCCCACATTCTCCTGCCTTTGGAAGCCTGGAACTGCTTTCCTTTGTCCTAACACTTTTCTAAATGTATAGTTCTTTGTTGAAGACAGTATGTTGAGCCACTGCTTATTTTTCTCCCTTGCGATGTGCACTGCATGCATTAATAAACTTGCTTGTTCATGTCTTTTGTTACAGGTATCTGTCCCAATTATGAACTTACAAGGTTTGAGGGACAGATTATTTTTTCTACCCTTCAATCCTTAAGGCATCTCTTGACTATGACAGTTTCTCAGACTTTACTCATTTTTATGACCTTGACAGTTGGGAGAAGTGCTGATCAGGTATTCTGCAGAACGTCTCTCAATAGGGATTTGCTGATATTTTCCTCATGAGTCGACTGGCTTTATGGGTTTTTAGGGGAAGACCACAGAGGTAAAACGCCAATTCATCACATCACACTATCATGCTATCATCATTGTTGATGTTGGCCTTGATCATCTAGCTGACATAGTGTTTGTCAGGTTTCTCCACTGTAAAGTTACTGGTTCCCCCTTTTCCATATTGTAGTCTTTGGCAGGAATTCACTATGTGCTGCCCACACTTAAGAATCAGGGAGTTAGGGCCAGGCGCGATGGCTCACGCCTGTAAACCCAGCACTTTGGGAGGCTGAGGCGGGTGGATCACGAGGTCAGGAGACCGAAACCATCCTGGCTAACACGGTGAAACACTGTCTCTACTAAAAATACATAAAATTAGTCAGGCATGGTGGCGGGCGCCTGTAGTCCCAGCTACTCGGGAGGCAGAGGCAGGAGAATGGTGTGAACCTGGGAGGCGGAGCTTGCAGTGAGCAGAGCTCATGCCTCGGCACTTCAGCCTGGGGGACAGAGCGAGACTCTGTCTCAAAAAAAAAGAATCAGGGAGTTAAGATACACCGCTTTGAGGGGGAACATCTACATAAATTATTTGGAATTGCTCTGCATGGGAGATTTGTCTTTAATCATTTATTTATATCAGTATCAACTCATGAATATTACTTCAAATTTTGAATTATAATCCAATATTCTGTTGTTCAGAGTTCCGTCTTTGGACATTGGATGTTCTTTCCATCGGCTCTTGTGTCTCTGACAGACAGTAGTTTCCCTCTTATCTACCGTTTCACTCTTCAGGGTTTCAGTTACCCATGGTCAACATGGTATGAAAATAGATGACTACAGTACCACAAGATATTTTGAGAGAGAGAGAGAGAGACCACATTCACATAACTCTTATTACAGTATATTGTTATAATTGTTCTATTTTATTATGAGTTTTTATTATCTCTTATTGTGCCTAACTTATAAATTAAACTTTATCACAGATACGTATGCACAGGAAAAAACTTGGAATATATAGGGTTTGTTATTATCCATGATTTCAGGCACCTACTGCAGGTGTTGAAACATAGCTTCCTCCATGGGTAAGCAGGGACTACAGTATCTCCATCAATGTCAGCTTATCAGTTGGTGCATTTCCTTAGTTTCCACACTACAAGATGCCCTAGGCTCATCTTGTATATTTCCTGCCCCTTTCCTAAAATTAGCCATTTCTCCTAGGAACCCTGTTCGTTTTATTCGAGAATGGCATTAGAAGCCAAGTTCTGGGCTCTAGATGTGCTCATTGATACTGGTGCATCTAGGCTCTCTCAGCTGACAGAGCAAGAAAATATATGTATATACCAACATATATATATATGTGTAACCATCCATACCTGTATTAAGCTAAACATGAGTTCACACTGATGTCTCCAACATGAATCCAGTGCCAAAAGCATTTTCTTTTTAGAGAGATGGGGTCTCACTACATTGCCCAGGCTGGTATCAAACTCCTGGGCTCAAGGTATCCTCCTACCTTGGCCTCCCAAAGTGCTGGGATTATACGCGTGAGCCAACACAACCAGCCCAGAAGCATTATTTGTAATAGCAAAAACAAGGAAAGAAAGATAGAAATGTCCATCCAGAGGACATTAAATACATTGTGGTACGTCTGTACATTGGAACATTAATCAATTTTTAATGACAACGCTACATGTACTAATATAAAAAATTACATATTACATGATAAATACATATGCACATACAAACACAATTTCTGGAAGGAAAGAAAACAAAAGGTTAACAGTAGTTAACTTTGGGAAATGGGAATGGGGTCATAGCATGCATTGTCAATGTAGTGATTTCATCCTCAAGGAGATAAGAGAAAAGATCTTGGATATTACAATGGCTTATGGCCCTTCAAAGAGTCACAGTGCATAAAACGCCTAAAAAGTTTCCTTAGGAGAGTGATAATGAAATAAAGATTGAGAAACAATGGGTCAGATAGAATAGTTAATTGTACTTTTCACTTTACACACTTGTTTTCTATGAGCATGTGTTTATTTTTGCATTTATTTTAAAAAAGGTTCACAGCTGGGTGCGGTGGCTCACGCCTGTAATCCCAGCACTTTGGGAGGCCTAGGCGGGTGGATCACAAGGTCAGGAGTTCGAGACCAGCCTGACCAACATAGTGAAACCCCATCTCTACTAAAAATACAAAAATTAGCCGGGTGTGGTGGCACATGCCTGTAGTCCCAGCTACTTGGGAGGCTGAGGCGGAAGAATTGCTTGAACCTGGGAGGCGGAGGTTGCAGTGAGCCGAGACCACGCCATTGCACTCCAGCCTGGGTGACAGAGTGAGACTCTGTCTCAAATAAATAAATACATAAATAAATAAATAATATTAAGGAAATAGTGAAATTCTGACTAGAAGACATAGTTCCTTAGCCCACACTGCATGTTCATCTCATGGGGGGTTGCCAAACTGTTGTTCTTCAGCAACCACTCCCTAACTTTCAGAGGAAAATGCATTGTTGATAAGTACCTGGTGATTCAGATGCAGCTGGCCCTTGTACCACACTTTGAAAAATACTGATGTAAAACCAAGTTTGCACTTGAAAACAAGGCAACATTTAATTCCAAACAGCTTTCTACTGGCTGATCTCATATGCACCCAAGATTGTCAATGCTTCCGTTTTCCCAGACTGACGTGGTCATTGTGGTAGGCAATAGTTTCAGACTGTTTTGTCAAAATAATGCTCCAGTTATTTCCTGGCCTAGAAGCCAATGGAATACTGGATGCATCTTTTAATTACTAACTTGCTCTAAGAATAAGCTTGACTAGATTTCCATGTGAACTTAAGTATCATCTCAATAATCTTGGGGAAAACGATACTAACTCTAAAGGTGAAAAGAGGTTTAAAATTGCTTTAAAACCAATTACCTCACCATAGGAAATCCATTTTAAATACTGTTAGCCCAAAAATTGCCCATTATTGGGGTGGTGGTGGTTGTTTTCCTCTTATGTATGTCCTTATTATTAAATAGCCATCTCTCTTCAAAATTTCATCAACTTGGAAATGACATGGCATTACTACACTGAACAGTTTAGCAGACATGTGTTGTCTGTGTCTGCCCGGTCAGCATCCTCATGGTAGTGCACCCCATTCTGTTTTGGACTATTCCTCCAATCTTTGCAGGGGCTGCCAATTAAAGTATCCTGCCCTCCCGTGGCCAAAGTATTTGAATACATGAGATTGGCCAAACTAGGCCAATCAGACACTCCTCCTGGAATTTACATGCCTAGCACTATCTCTAGACCAGGAACTCCTCACCAGCAGAGGCAAGGTCTTATTCAGCTCTATCTCTCTGATGCCTAGCACAGTGCCTGGCTATGAATATTCAATGCATGTGGGCTGAATGAATTATACAGAAAATCATGCACCTTAAACAAATGCTGAACTAAGTCTATCATTTTCCCACTGAATTCCGGAGGGGGAGCAAATTGTATGATGTTTTGTAAGGGAAATATCCACTTTAGTAGCTAGGAAATATGCCTCGGAAATAGTATCCAAAGTTGCCATTTCTCGGTGCATTAAAGATGTCAATCAGTCCAATAAAATAAAGCCCCAAAAAAGACAAAAGGAGAATTACCTCATTACCTCAACATCTGCTTGAACATAAGCAATCACACACTGGCTAATTTTTTTTAAAGGGACATAATATAACTTTCTGGAAAGACATAATATAGCTAATTATACCATTCACTAGGAGGGAACATAAAATGTTTTGAAGTAATTCAGAAGTGGGTGTGATTTATAAGACATAGAGCTTAGGGAATGGTAAGTATAAATTAGAGATTGTTCATATTATGACAGACTCCGTCATTACATTTCACAACTTTTGTCAAAAGCAACCTTATTCACCACACCACTAAAGGCTTCACGTTAGGGAAGGCTGCTGTCAGCTTTGTGGTTTAGAGTAGACAGGAATCTCCTTTCTGAACACTCTCCTGGGGAACTGGTTCAAGTTTTAGACTTAAAACTTACTAAGGCAGGGCAAAATGAAGAGAGATTGTTTAATGGGTTCAAACATAGTTAGATACAAGGAGTAAGTTTTAACATTTTGATAGCAAAGTAGGGTGACTACAGTTAACAACAATGTATTATATATTTCAAAAGAGATAGAAGAGAGGACTTGAAATGTTCTCAACTCATTGAAATGATAAATACTGGAGGTAATGGATATCCCAAATACCCTGACTTGATCATTATGCATTCTAAGCATGTAACAAAATACCCCATGTCTTCTATAAATATGTACAAGTCTCATGTATCAGTTTAAAAAAAAATCACTAAGGAAGGACCCATATGATGAAACCTAAATGGCCAATGGCCATGTAAAAAGATTTCAAACATCACTAATAACCAGAGCAATGCAAATCTTAAAAGGTAACATTCTGCCCATTAGATTGGCAAAAATTCAAAAACTTGTCAGGCCATCAAATGAATAAAGATTGCTATTAGCCAGAGTTGACCAATGTGTGGGGAAATGGGTACTGCTGAAGGATATCTGAACTGGTATAATCATTTTGGAGGGCACTTTTGCAATGTCTAGCAAAAGTAAATGTCCGTGCCCTCTAATCCAACAATTCCATTTCTTCTAAGAATCTATCCTAGAATAAAAAAGTAATTGTACATTTATTCATATGATAACTTGAATAGTACCTGTCTTCTCTTCTAGAAAATTAATTTGGTGACAAGGACTGTGTAGTTCACTATTTACACCCCTAGTGCCTACCACATGGACCTGACATATGGTGGTACTTGATAAGTATTTGTTGAAGGAATGAATAAATATGTTTACTCAGCATTATTAAGGGAAAATAACATATTTGATAAATAGTGGTTCTTCTTGCTCACACTAAATAGGGGTAGTGGAATTATCACTCAGAATATTAACATTGTGAGTAAAAAGGTAGTAACAGGTAGTAAAAATTACTATTTTCAAAAATAAACCATGCAACCATCAGCTTACAAAATTGATCATAGTATGTACTGTTAAATGCTCAAAGACCCAGTTACCTGTTCTTCCAAATCCCTAGCTTCCCAATTAGTTCTACAGGTCAAACAGTAACTGAACACTTTTGAAGTAAATTGTTTCCACAGTCTGTGATCCAATGACAAGCAAACTACCTGGTTTTGAAATGTATAAAAATCACACTGTGGGCTGAAAAAATCCCAACACCTTTGTAACTAGACTCACTATCCCCAAAAGTGTACCTTTTAAGAAACACAACTTTGAATATCTAACTGTTCTATTACCTTTCATATGCACTTAATCAAGGAAATATATCCTCTAAAAATACCAATGCCAAGGATTTGTTTATTTTCCAATACAATGCAATAGGAGAAAGAGCCACAAATATAGAAATCCTTTTTGTCAGGCCTCAAACCCAACATAGGAATGGAGAATGTGTTCCGAAATCAAATATAAGCAATTTGCAGATTATCTACATTGTTAATCGACCCTTGATTATACAAGAAATGAAAGGGAAAATTTTTTTATGTTTATCATTATTCGAAAACTGACCAACCATAAGAAGATCTGATATCCACTGACAGATATTACCTATAATGAAAGCTCCACAAATCTAGAATATGAATCAAGTTTTAATGTTTTGGGTTGGGCGAAGGTGTATTAAATATAAAATACCAGTCAGTAGAATCCAGTCCCTCGCTAAAACACTTGAGAAACTTCAGATAAAGGCATTCTGTCCACCCACTAAATTCACTGATGCTTGTGACTTTATGACCTCAGGCTAATCTAGGATGCCAGGTAAAGGTGCTGGGAAGGCCAAAGAGACTAACATTTATCCAGCACTTTCTAGATGCTGGATATCACAGAAGAATGTGTTATGTCCATTTCAGAGGTTAAATAATTTCCCCAGGGTCACACAGTAAACAGTAATGTTGAAATTTGTTTGCCAGAGTGTGGCTTCAGAGGAATCCGGGAGCACTTCCCAACGGTGTCTGTGGTTTTACGCAACAACAGGTAAGAGTACTGGACAGGACCTCAGAAAGTCCTCCAGTTTCACCCTCGCCTTTAGTCAGGTCGGCCTTGATTGACCAGAAGATCCACGGAAGGAAAGAGACTCCTCCAAGTTCACAGAGCAGGTGAGCTGGGCCAAGAGAAGTGAAAGAGCTGCAACTAAATACCAGGTTTTGCCACAGAGCAGGGATCCTTCCATTACATGGTCTTGTCAGCAAGACATTCAGAAAAGTACATGTTCCTACACATTTTTACTTCCTTTAAATCTGTATGGTTCCTCCCTTTATTTCTTTATTATTTATTATTATTATTTTTTTTTGGAGATGGAGTTTCGTTCTTGTTGCCCAGGCTGGAGTGCAACGGCGCCATCTTGGCTCACCGCAACCTCCGCCTCCTGGCGATTCTCCTGCCTCAGCCTCCCGGGTAGCTGGGATTACAGGCATGCACCACCACGCCCGGCTAATTTTGTATTTTTAGTAGAGATAGGGGTTCTCCATGTTGGTTAGGCTGGTCTCGAACTCCTGACCTTAGGTGATCCACCTGCCTCGGCCTCCCAAATTGCTGAGATTACAGGCGTGAGCCACCGCACCCGGCTGGTTCCTCCCTGTCTTGACCCACATTCGCAGACCACCCTTTGGTCAGGGTAATAATGATAAGTGTTTAAATGTGATAGGTTAGCATTTGGTTGTTGATCTGGTTTGGTTCAGAAGTGTGGTAACTGATGAAAAAAATGATTGACTGAAGCAGGTCTTTATTAAAGGATAATCCCCAGTTACCAAGCAGTACAGAAATGCGTGCGCATGGCCTGGCTCTCCTTCGCCCAGCGTCAACCCTGTTAATTCTGAAAGCTCAACACTGGCAGGATGTTGACCTTGCTGACTAATAAACTGCTAAAATTGAGAAGTGATTAAAAAAAAAATTATGGCCTGAAAATCCCAGCTGGGCAAGGAAAGAGGAACTAGACCGAATCCAAACGAAAAGCTGGGAAGGGTGTGAAACAGCCCTACAGGCCACCCAGCGCCAACAAATGTGTAAGGGTGGGGCCAAGCTAGCTGAGCCGCCCAAAGCAGCCAAAATATCCTGCCCCACCCGCTTCTCCGGCAAGGAAGGTGGCACTGTGCAACCTCGTCCGCACTGAATCCTCGTCCCTTCCCCCAGCCCCCGATCGCCAGCAAACGCAACCAGCGGGCAGCGGGTCTCGAGCTGCGGGGCCTGACTAGCCCCGACACTCCGCGTTATCCTCGGTCCAGAGCTTTCCCAGGCGCGCCGGCCACGGAGGACGCTTCTCTGCGGGTGACGGAGCTACTGCGGTGACCACGGCGGCCGCCACGTCTCCCGCCCGGCTTCCAACTGCCCTGGCCCCAGCGCCCTGGGGCCGTCCCCGCCCACGGGCCGCGGCTGCCCACACCTGGCGCCCGCGTGCTGCCTACCTTGCTCCTTCAGACTGGTAATGAGCTGCAGCTGCTTCTCTTCGTCCGAGCTGTTCATTTTGGCGGGTGGGGCCGGGAATAAAAGGGAAAGAGGGAGCGGCGCGGGGCACACAGGAGGAGGGGGAAGAAAAAGCAAGATGCCGGTGGCTTGCGGCTCCACTACCCGGAAGTTGGATCCGCTCCCGCTCCTCCTCCTCCTGGCGCGGAGCGCGCGAGTGAGATCATCCCCACGCACCTACTCGGCGGCTGCGGCCGCTTCACCTGCAGGCGGGGCGGGGCGGGCCCAGCAGTCCCGTTCAGGGGGTGGAGGAACGAGGGCGGGTCGGCAGCCGCTATGCCAGCCTGTGGCTGCCGGCGCGGCAGGACGCGCTGGTGGGAGGGGGGGCGGCCCTGCGTGGGGTCGCTCCGCACCCTTTTCTCCGCCTCCACCTCCCGGACTCAGGGACGCGAGTTCAGAGAAAACCGGCTGTGGGTTCGCAGCGTGTGTGGGAACTCCACTTTGGACGCTTCCCGGGGGTCGCTCCCAAAGAACCACAGAGGTAGAGCGGGACGCAATGAGCCATGAACGCCTGGGCTTCTTCCCTAGTTTTCCCGCAGTAGACTCTGGGGGCGCGGTTGCAAAACCTAGCTGCCCACAGGGGCGGGCCCAGGGTGGTACATTTTGCACCTTGAAGAGGAGACAAGGATCGAATCAGGCCGCCCAGCTACTTAAATGACCATGCCGTGAGTGAAGGAGGGCCCTGGCTAGCTTTCCCCCATCGCACCAGGTTTGCCAGGTGGTCAGAACGTGGACCCTGCTGCACGTGGATGGTGGGGCCTGGAGGGCCCTTGCAGATCATCTGGTTGGTGGCGGGATGACCTTCCCTTTAGAGAGGGTGCCACTGCAGTCCGAATGCCGAAGGTCACGCAGCCCCCGGGCAGCAGAGGCTGGCAGTTAAGCCAAGCGTTTGTCCCAGTTCACTGCCCTCTGAACTATTTGAACTCATGTCTGTGTTAGACCATGCCCAGGAGAGAAGTGGCAGGTCTGCATTGTTTCAAAGGTGCTTCTCCCCAACCCCTAGTTGCGAGCTAACCTTTGGTCAAGTCTCCTGCATCTTTGAACTTCATCTGAAGAATAGGAAGAATAGTGATACCTACTCTCAAGGAAGAGTTGTAAGGATTTAATAGAGGAAGATTAACAAAACACCAAGTCCAGAATTTATAATGCAGTTTTTTTTTGTTTTTTTTTTGTTTTTTTGTTTTTAATAAAGATTACAGGTCTGTGGCCGGGCACAGTGGCTCACGCCTGTAATCCCAGCACTTTGGGAGGCCAAGGCGGGCAGATCACGAGGTCAGGAGATCGAGACCATCCTGGCTAACACGGTGAAACCCCGTCTCTACTAAAAATACAAAAAATTAGCCGGGCGTGGTGGCAGGCGCCTGTAGTCCCACCTACTCGGGAAGCTGAGGCAGGAGAATGGCGTGAACCCGGGAGGCGGAGCTTGCAGTGAGCCGAGATCGCGCCACTGCACTCCAGCCTGGGTGACAGAGTGAGACTCCGTCTCAAAAAAAAAAAAAAAAAAAAATTACAGGTCTGTGAGAAAGGGGTTGTGGTTGCTGACTATAAGCTGAAGGTTGCAGTTCTTTTACACTGATCATTAAGCATGGGAGATAAGTCCAAACTGAATTAGACTTATTGCACAGCTTGGTTTTTCTCACTACCTCTAAGCTCTTAGTTTGGGTACAGCAACAGCACAGTGCTGCTCATTCCTCAATTGCTGTTTTATGGAAGTGCCCAGCTCCATTTCTTGTGTTCATTTCTCCATGATAGTTGTAGAGTGAGGTTGAGATATGGGTAAATCCTGTAACTAGTGTCTTTCTGATACTCACTACATGCTAACTAAAATTTTGAAAAAAAAAATGGTAGCACTGCTTTCTCTTTCTCTAAAATGGCAATATAGTACTTTAGCATGAGTGATTTAGGGGTAGAATGATCTAAAAGGGCAGCATAGTATTTTTTAATACAGTGTATTAAAATGTTTAAAGTTTAAAAATAATTTTGATATGGGATTGTATTATTCAGCCCTTTCCCTAGGTATGCGTAAGATAATTCAAGATAGTTGCAGATAGCTGCCATGAAGATCCCCAGGAGATAATAATAAAAAAATCCGGGAGATTTTAATGAAAAATAATGGACATTTAGCTTTTGTCCAGCAGTTGGGAAACCTGTTAAACCTGATGAGTCATCCTGACTCATTCTCTCTCACTCTACCAAATACAAGCAGAGTGCCCATTAAATATTTGGCTTAGTTCACAAAGTTCCATTTTTTTTTAATGGCTGATTTGTCTACTCCAATTATACAGTAGTTAGATAGTATTTCTGGAGTTTAAGAATGAGTTAATTATCAAATCTATAATCAAACTTTTGGTTCCATACTAAATCTGCGGCCTCTTGCAATTAATCCCATTTATCCTCCTTAAAATTAGAAAAGGCTCCTGAGCTGAGATTCTGCCACTGCACTGCAGCCTGGGTGACAGAGTGAGACTCCATCTCAAAAAAAAAAAAAAAAAAAAAAAAAACTCCTGAAATACAATATGGCATTCACTTGAGGACATGGTATGAATTATTAGGAGGGCTATTAGAGTCCTTATTGGGATTCAGTTCTCCCATTACACTATTGTTTATTTATATGATATGAATATTGATGGAAAGGATAGAAGTGATAAATTAGTTTTTGTTCCGTTTAATAATATACAGAGTGATGGCTATGGGAGGCCGAGGCGGGCAGATCACGAGGTCAGGAGATTGAGACCATCCTGGCTAACACGGTGAAACCCTGTCTCTACTAAAAATAAAAAAAGCTGGGTGTGGTGGCGGGCACCTGTAGTCCCAGCTACTCGGGAGGCTGAGGCAGGAGAATCACTTGAACCCGAGAGGCGAAGGTTGCAGTGAGCCGAGATCATGCCACTGCACTCCAGCCTGGGTGACAGAGCGAGACTCCATCTCAATAATAATAATATACATAGTGATTTATGTTGCAGGCATCACGTTGGAGTTACTATTGACCTCCAAATAACAGGTCATTTAAAACCCTTAAAAATGTGTGTGTTTACATATATATATACAAATATATACATAGAGATAAAGGACAGACTTTTAAAAAATGAATTGGAAGAATATGTGCCAAACTCAGGATAATGGCTGTCTCTAGGGATAGAAAGTAGGGGAACAGGACCAAGGTGTGGGGGTTGGAGTGTGAAAGTGCAGTGGTCAAGAAGGAGTTTCTCTTTAATCTTTATTTAATTTTTCAGGTAATTAAAGTAAAATCACATATGTCATCTTTTGAGGTATACAGATAAATAAGATTGAAATACAATGAGGAGAAGAAGGTTCACTGTCTTTGATCCACTAATTCTATATCAGGGAATCTATCCTAAAAGGCTTATGTACAGAGCTATTTAATGTAATGTTAATTATCATATGAAAATGGCAATATTGGAATATTATTTGGTAATAAAAATAAAGTACTGATATATGGTACAACACAGATGAAATTTGAAAACATTATACTCAGTGAAAACTTGATCAGAAAAGACCAGATATTGTATGATTGCACTTGTATAAAATGATCACAACAGGCAAATCCATAGAGGGAGAAAGTTGATTGGTGAGTATCTACTGAGGTGGGGTGAAAGTAGGGGAGGTCTGGGAGAA
This sequence comes from Homo sapiens, assembly GCF_000001405.40. Lineage (NCBI taxonomy): Eukaryota > Metazoa > Chordata > Mammalia > Primates > Hominidae > Homo > Homo sapiens. Next base: position 117,008,716 of record NC_000010.11, read on the forward strand.
AACAGGGAATGGCTGCTGATAGGTGTGTGGTTAATTGTTGGGGTAATACAAATTTTCTAAAATTAATTGTGGTAATGGTTGTACAATTCTCTGAATATACTCAAAACTATAGAATTGGCCGGGCGCTGTGGCTCACGCCTGTAATCCCAGTACTCTGGGAGGCCAGGGCGGGTGGATCACCGGAGGTCAGGAGTTTGAGACCAGCCTGACCAATATGAAGAAACCCAATCTCTATTAAAAATATAAAAAATAAGCTGGGCGTGGTGGCACATGCCTGTAATCCCAGCTACTCAGGAGGCTGAGGCAGGAGAATCACTTGAACTCAGGAGGAGGAGGTTGCAATGAGCCGAGATCGTGCCATTGCACTCCAGCCTGGGCAACAAGAGCAAAATTCTGTCTCAAAAAAAAGAAAAGAAAAGAAAATATCAACCAAATATGCACAAAAGGAAAGGAGAAAGAAGTCAAAATGATTACCAAAAACATACACATTTTTTTAAAAACTAAGTATAAAATAAGGCAATAATGAAGCAAATGAAGAGCAAAAGAGCTATAAGACATATAGATAATACATAGCAAAATTGCAGAAATAAGTCATTTCTTATTAACTGTAACTTTAAATGAAGATGGCTTAAACTCTCCAAAAGGCAAACACTGGCAGGATGCAAAAAAAAGTATGATCTAACTATATGATGTCTACAAAATATTTATTTTAGATCCAAAGACAACAATAGATTTAAAGCAAAATGGTAGGAAAAAATTTAATTAGTAACCAAAAGAGAGTTGGGGTGGTTATATTAATATCAGACAAAACAGACTTTAAGTCAAAAACTGTTACAATAAACAAAAGTCTATATTCACAAAAGGGTTGATTCGGTAAGAATATATAATTACTATAAACATATATACAAGCTGGGCACGGTGGCTCAAGCCCGTAATCCCAGCACTTTGGGAGGCCGAGACGGGCAGATCACGAGGTCAGGAGATTGAGACCATCCTGGCTAACACTGTGAAACCCCGTCTCTACTAAAAATACAAAAAATTAGCCGGGCGTGGTGGCGGGCGCCTGTAGTCCCAGCTACTGGGAGGCTGAGGCAGGAGAATGGCATGAACCCGGAAGGCGGAGCTTGCAATGAGCCGAGATCGCGCCACTGCACTCCAGCCTGGGCGACAGAGTGAGACTGTCTCAAAAAAAAGGAAAAGAAAAAAAAAACTTATGGAATACCGTGAAGACAGTGCTCAGAGAGAAATTTATAGTTCTAATTACTACATTATAAAAGAAAGATACAAAATCAATAAGGTAACTGTACACCTTGAGAAAATAGACAAGCAAAATAAACCTAAAGTTAGCAGAAGGAATAAAATAATGAAGATTAGAGTGGAGATAAAATAAAAGACAATAGAAAAATAATAGAATTAATAAAAAGCTATTTCTTTGAAAGTATCAAAATTGACAATCCTTTCCCTAAATTAACGAAGAAAAAAAAGAAATATGAAAATCAGATATTAAAATGGGGACAGTAATACCAATGATTCAGAAATAAAAAGGATTCTAAGAGAATAATAAGAACAATTATATGTCAACAAATTAAATAACCTAGAAGAAATGGACAAATTCCCAGAAACACACAAGTCACCTAAACTAACTGAAAAAGAAAATTTCAGCAGAACTATTATAAGTAGAGTAATTCAGAAAGTATTAAAAAAAGAAAAGAAAAGAAAAGAAAGACACCCTTCAATGAAAATAAGTTCAGGCCCAGATGTCTTTCCTGGTGAATTCTATCAAACATTTAAAGAATTAACACCAGTCTTTCTCAAACTTTTCTAAAACACAAAAAAGGAGAGAACACTTCCTAACTCATTCTATGAGGCCAGCATTTCTGTGATACCAAAGCCAGATAAGGATATCACAAAGAAAAGAAATGTACACACCAATTTCTCTTATGAATATGGTTGCAAAAATCCTCAACAAAATACTAACAAACCAAATCCAACAACACATTAAAAGGATTATACACCACGACCAGGTAGTACTTATTCCAGGAATGCAAAAGTGGTTCAACATAAGAAAATCAATCAATGTAATATGTCACATTAATAGGAAAAAAACCAGGTGATCATCTCAATTGAGACAGAAAAGGCATTTGACAAAAGTCAGCATCGTTTCACCATAAAAACTCTTAGCAAACCAGTAATAGATGGAACATCCTCACCATGATAAAGGGCATCTGTAAAGAAGCCACAGCTATAATCATGGTCAATGGTGAAAGACTGAAAGCTTTCCCCCTGAAATTAGGAACGAGACAAGAATATGTGCTTTCATCACTGCTATTCAACAGTGTGCTGCAAGTTCAATTAGACAAGAAAAAGAAAGAAAAGGCATCCAAGTTGGAAAGGAGGACGTAAAGCTATCTCTATTCACATATGACATATAGCTATATAGAGAAAATCCCAAATAATCTGTGAAAAAGCTACTAGAGCTAATAGATGAATTCAGTAGTTTTAGCTGAATTTAGCTCTTAAGTTTAGGTCTTTGGTCCATTTTTAGTTAATTTTTGTTAGGCCTTTTCTACCTTCATACCAACTTCAGTCTTTTGCATGTGGATATCTACTTTTCCCAATACCACTTGTTAAATGGCTGTCCTTTCCCCATTGAGTGGTCTTGGTACCCTTGTTGAAAATCAACTGGTGATATACATGAGGATTTATTTTGGGGCTCTCTATTTTATTCTATTAGTCAATATGTCTGTCCTTATGCCAGTACCATCTCTATTCATAGATGGCAAAATTTCCTATGTGGAAAATACCAAAGAATTTCTTTAAATGCTTCTAAAACAAATACTTGAGTTTAGTGAGGTTACAGGATACAAGGTCAATAAGCCCTTGAAAAGATGCTCAACATCATTAGTCATTAGACAAATGCAAAAGTCAACTGTATTCCATACACCAGCAATGAACAATTAGAATTTGACATTAAAAATTAATAACATTTACAATAGCACTAAAAATACTGAAGCACTTAGGTATAAATCTAGCAAAATATGTGAAAGATCTAGATGCCAAAAAGTATAAAATGCTGATGAAAAAAATCAAAGAGTATCTAAATAAATGGAGAGATATATTATGTTCATGAATTAGAAAACTCAGGCGGGGCGCGGTGGCTCACGCCTGTAATCCCAGCACTTTGGGAGGCCGAGGAGGGCGGATCACGAAGTCAGGAGATCGAGACAATCCTGGCTAACACGGTGAAACCCTGTCTCTAATAAAAATACAAAAAATTAGCCAGGCGTGGTGGCGGGGCCTGTAGTCCCAGCTACTCCGGAGGCTGAGGCAGGAGAATGGCGTGAACCCGGGAGGTGGAGCTTGCAGTGAGCCGAGATCGCGCCACTGCATTCCAGCCTGGGCGACAGAATGAGACTCCATCTCAAAAAAAAAAAAAAAGAGAAAAAGGAAAAAAAACCCTCAATATTGCTAAAATGTCAATTCTTCCAAATTTAACCTATAGATCCAATGCAATCCCAATCCAAATCCAAGCTGATCATAAAATGTATTATGGAAAGGCAAAAAACAAAACAAAACAAAAACTAGAATAGCCAAAACAATTCTGAATAAGAACAAAGTTGGAGGACTCACGCTACCTGATTTCCAAGACTAACTATAAAGCTACAATAATTAAGACAATGTAGTATTGGCAAAAGGAAGATGCATTAACCATCCCAAAAGTTGATCCACACAAATATAGTGAATCACTTTTTTTCTGCAAAGTAACAAAACCAATTCAATGGGAAAAAAAAAGTCTTTTCAAAACTTGGTGCTAGATCAACTGGACATCCTTTCTTTTTTTTATAAAAAGGAGCCGCAACACATGCCTCATAGAAAAATTAACTCAAAATGGATAATAGACCAAAATGTAAAACCTGAAACAGTAAAACTTTAAAAATGAGACACAAGAGAAAAAACCGTGTAACCTAAAGTCTGGCAATTAGTTTTTAAATACGATGCCAAAAGCGTAATCAATAAAAGAATTGATAAATTAGATTTTATGAAAGATAAAAGAAACAGATTAACAATACCTGCCATAGATGAGGGAAAATATTTACAAATTACATATTAATTCACATTTTAAAAATCACATATTAATATTTTGTATCACACATTAAATAAATCACATATTAATATTTTGTATTCTAAATATTTAAAGTACTCTTAAAACTCCAACAATAAGAGCCAATGTAGTGGCTTGTGCCTGTAATTTCAGCTCTTCAGAAGGCTGAGCTGGAGGATTTTGAGCCTAGAAGTTTAAGGCTGCAGTGAACCACTGCATTCCAGCTTGGGCAACAGAACAAGACCCCATCTCTAAAAACTATATAAATTTTTTTAAAAATAAATATTAAAATAAGTCAAAAGTAAAAAAGATTAATTGGCAAAATATATAAACAGATACTTTACCAAAAGAAGTTTATTTATTTATTTATTTTTTGAGACTGAGTCTTGCTCTGTGTCCCAGGCTGGAGTGCAGTGGTACCATCTCGGCTCACTGCAACCTCTGCCTCCCTGGTTCAAGTGATTCTCCTGCCTCAGCCTCCCCAGTAGCTGGGCTACAGGCACCCGCCACCACGCCCACCTAATTTTTGTATTTTTAGTAGAGACAGGGTTTCACTATGTTGGCCAGGCTGATCTCAAACTCTTGATCTCAGGTGATCTGCCCACCTCGGCCTCCCAAAGTGCTGGGATTACAGGAATAAGCCACCATGCCTGGCCCAGAAAAATATTTTTAAATGGAAAATAAGCACATGAAAAGATGCTCAACATTATTTGTCACTAGTGAAATGCAAGTTAAAACAACAATGATATAATACTATGTATCTATTAGGATGGCTAAAATAAAAAAGGAACAATCCCAAATGCTGAGAAAGACACAGAGCAACAGTAACCCTCTTTAATTGCAGGTAGCTATTTTAAATGGTACAGCCGCTTTGAAAGACAACTTAGCAGTTCCTTATAAAATTAGAAATACATTTGCCATACAACTTGGTGGTTCCACTCCCGGGGCTTACCCAAATGAGCGGAAAACTTATGTTCACAGAAAAACCCATATACAAATGTTTATAACAGCTTTATTAATAATCACCAATAACTGGAAAAAGCCAAGATGTCCCTCAATAGGTGAATGAACAAATATATATATCTTCCAAATATGTGTGTGTGTATATATATATTTTTTTTCCATAAAATGGAATATATACATCAATTTTAAAAGAATGAGCTACTGAGTGGATACAGTGTATACAGATCTTGAATGCATTCTGTTAAATTTAATAATCCAGACCCAGAAGGCTATATACAATATGGTTCAATTTATATGACATCATGAAAAGGCAAAACTATAAAAATAAGAAACAGATCATGGCTACCAGGGGTTGAGGACGAATGGAAGGGTTGAATATAAAGGGGGAATACAAGGGAATTTTTAGGGTGATAGAATTATTCTGTATGGTACAGGGGTGTTGGATAGATGACTCAATGCACTTGTCAAAATCCAAAGAGGTATACATCCCAAAAATGGACTTTGCTGCATGCAAATTTAATAACAAGTCAGCCAAGATAGGGAAATCCCAGGATAGAATGCAGAAAATGACAAATAAATCGAACCATATTACTAATATATGACATTACCTTACTGAAGGGGAAGGGATGGGGGAAAGGATCTGACTTAAGAAACTTTGGATAACTGTACTTTGACTGGACACCGTAAGGCTGAAGACAAAAGGAACCATACATCAGCACCCTTCTAGCTGGCAAATCTACCTCTCTCTAGAGTATGGGTTAGCAATTCTCAAACTACTCTACATGTAGGGTAGGGTTGAATAAATAAGTAAATCAACTGTAGATAATGGGAGGCAGGTTTCTCACCATAAGAGAAAGAAGTTACAGTCAGTTCTGCTACAACACAACTTATGTGTTCTTAAAAATTATTATGCTGTGCAAAATTGTACAATAAAAACCATAGGTCTCATGGGAAAAATGAAGCTAGTAGCACAACATTTAAAAACTTATTCAGTGAAAGATTAGAACAAAAATAGGAACCTAATTTTAAAATAGTACCATAGTTTTATATAAGAAATGATTAAGAAATGCATAATGCTACAATCAATGTGGTATTTTAGTTTTAAAACACCTAAAGTTTGTGAACATAGGCATCATAAAGGCTACAGCTTTTGAGTTACTGCAAAGTGATGGAAGAAGGGTTATTTGAAATCCAATGGGAAAGTTGTAACAGCACATGTGGATGGGTGTGGCTCATTATCCTTGGTTTTGTGGTTGGATTCAAACATCACAGTACTTTCAAAGTCTTAAATCCTGAGGCATTTTTTTTTTCCCTGACTGATTTGCAGGTCCTTCAAGGAAGGCATTTGTAACAGATATCTGTTTCATCTAAGTTAGAATTTCAATCCAATAAATGGCCTTCTTCTTAATTAACTTCTGTGTCACTGTTGGACTTCTTTGCTACTTTCTCAGCTGTACTTGCCTTTCCCAGCTGGACTCTGGCTCTGCTGACAGCTGAAGGCTTTGGAAATTGTAGTAATTTTTTTTGTTTGTTTTGGTTTTTTGTTTTTGTTGTTGTTTGTTTGTTTTAAGATGGAGTTTTGCTCTTGTCACCCAGGCTGGAGTGCAATGGCACGATCTCAGCTCCCCACAACCTGTGCCTCCCAGGTTCAAGCGATTCTCCTGCTTCAGCCTCCTGAGTAGCTGGGATTACAGGCATGCACCACCACGCCTGGCTAATTTTGTATTTTTAGTACAGACGGGATTTCTCCATGTTGGTCAGGCTGGTCTCGAACTTCCAACCTCAGGTAATTCGCCTGCCTCAGCCTCCCAAAGTGCTGGGATTACAGGCGTGAGCCACCGTGCCCGGCCTGTAGTAATGTTTGAAACCACAAATCCAGCCACTATCTACACTAAATGGAACCACTTCTGCAAGATGTGGCAATTTCTTTGAAAGTCTTCATATACAGTGCTTTCTTTCTGATTGTAGGAAAAAATGTTCCTGTTTGGTTTTCAATTCAAATGCTCAACAATCTTTCTATTTCTTCTAATTCTTCAGGCTGTGTTCCTATTGACTCTATAGCATTTGAAGTTAAGCCATCATAGATGTTTCTTTTGTTTTCACGGTATTGTTCTTCAAGGTCCTCAATGTGGATTCCTTTATGCTTGAAAGATGTTATGCTATTTTGTTTTTTGATAAACACTTCATTATTTCAAGTTTCTCCTCAATACCTAAAGCTTTCTTTTTGCATTCACTGCTTAGCATTTTTGAACCACACATTTAGATGTGTTTGAGGTATATATATTTCTCACTGCTTCACAAATGTGAAAGAATAGCATTCTTATACAGATTCACAAATGTAAACAAATAGCACTCTTACACAGGTTCAAAAATGTAAAAGAATGGCATTCTTTTACAGGTTCACAAATGTAAAAGAATAGCAAAACATAACCTTATTGGATAATACATATGATGAACTAAGGTAGTTGTAGATGTTTGAGGCGTATGTGTGTCTGTGTGTGCGTTTTATGTATCCCAATTTGGCTTGATTTAGATGGATGCAATTTTCTCTGTTCATCTAGTGTTCCTCAAGGATGAAATCATACAAAAGAAATGTGAAATATGTACCATGCTCAAATTATTCCTTTTGTTTGTTTGTTTGTTTGAGACTGAGTCTCGCTCTGTCACCTAGACTGGAGTGCAGTGGTGCAATCTCGGCTGTCTGCAACCTCTGCCTCCTGGCTTCAAGCGATTTTCCAGACTCAGCCTCCTAAGTAGCTGGAACTACGGGCGTGTGCCACCACGCCCGGCTACTTTTTGTATTTTTAGTAGAGGCAGGGTTTTACTATGCTGGCCAGCCTGATCTTGAACTCCTGACCTTAGGTGATCTGCCTGCCTCAGCCTCCCAAAGTGTTGGGATTACAGGCGTGAGCCATCGCACCTGGCCAAATTATTCCTTAATATATCAGTTGCACTGGAATAAAACAAACATTGTATCAGAATTAACATAAGAAAGGAAGGCTAGAATGAACCCTATGGTGCTAGAGAGATATCAGTATGAACTCATGTTGATATTAATATATACAAATAGGTACATACATAAAGGTATATGTATATGCATGGGTTAATGTACATATACATAATTATATCCTAGTTTTGTCCACTGAGAAGGCCTAGAAACAGTGATAAACCACAAGCATGAGCATAGCCAAAACCCAGATCTTGGTTTCTGAATACCATTCTCTAAGAGAAAGAATCAGGGCTCTTTTGAGAAATGGCTGATTCTAAGGCTGTGGCAGGAGGTCTACAAGATGAACCTAGAGCATCTTGTAGTGCCAGAAAAAGAAAAGAAGAAAAGATGTAGGGCATGTCAAAAGGACTCAGGAACCAACCTGAAAGAGCTCTCAACAGCTGCAGTTAGAAAAATTTGAGCAACAAAACAAATAACAAGGCCGGGCGCGGTGGCTCACGCCTGTAATCCCAGCACTTTGGGAGGCCGAGGAGGGCGGATCACGAGGTCAGGAGATCGAGACCATCCTGGCTAACACGGTGAAACCCCATCTCTACTAAAAATACAAAAAATTAGCCGGGTGCAGTGGCGGGTGCCTGTAGTCCCAGCTACTCGGGAGGCTGAGGAAGGAGAATGGCGTGAACCCGGGAGGCAGAGCTTGCAGTGAGCCGAGATCACGCCACTGCACTCCAGCCTGGGCGACAGAGCGAGACTCCGTCTCAAAAAAAAAAAAAAAAATTAAATAAAATAACAGTAGTATTACAATCTAACCAAAAGATTAGATAAATATCCATGAGTTCATACTGATATAAATAAATGATTAAGTAGAAAATTAATGAGGAAGAAGGAAAAAAGTGTTATTTTAGATTTCCAACTAATGTATGTAAATATACCCCCGCAGGGGTTGGAGTATAACTCCCCTTTCCTTGAGTGTAGGCTGGATTCAGTCACTTGCTTCCAAAAATAAGAGATGGAAGAAGGAAAAATAGCAACCTTACAGTGGCGAATCCTAGCAGACGGCAGTTTAACTAAGTGATCAAGGTTAACATCAATAGTGGTAAGTCATATTTATTAACTTACATTGATATGACGCAATGAGAAATACACCTCTCTTCCGTGGTATTTTTCCTAAAACCCATAACCCCAGTCTAATAATAATAATAAAAAAAGAAAGACAAACACAACTTGATGGACATTTTACAAAATACCTGCCCCATAATCTTCGAAACTGCTAAGACCACAGAAAACATGGGAAGACTAAAAAACTGTCACAGACCAGAAGGGACTAAGCAGACATGATGACTACAATTGATGTAGTATTCTGGACTGGATCCTGGAACAGAAAAAGGGCATTAGTGAAAAAATGAGTAAAATCCAAATCAAGTCTCTAGTTTGGTTAAGAGTATTATACCAATGTTAATTTCTTAGTTTTGACAAATGTACTGTGGTTATGTACCCAGTGGGCTGGGTGAAGAGTATACAAGAATTCTAGGTATACTCTGTATTATTTTTGCAGCTTTTCTGTAAATCTAAAATTATTCCAGAATAAGAAGCTACACATCAACTGGCATCTACCATATTAACATAGTAAAAATGAAAACCTGTAATATCATCTCAATAGATTTAGAAAAAAAGCATTTGAAAATATTCAATATCAATTCATGATGAAAACTAACAGCAAACTAGAAGTAGAAGGGAATCTACTCAATCTGATAAAGGGTGTATGTGTATTTTTTTTAAAAAAAAAAAAAAAAGGAAAATATTTTTCTCCCCTTAAGATTGGATGTCTGCTCTCACCATTTTTTTTTTTTTTTTTTTTTGAGATGGAGTCTTGCTCTGCTACCCAGGCTGGAGTGCAGTGGCACCATCTTGGCTCACTGCAACCTCTGACTCCTGGGTTCAAGCAATTCTCCTGCCTCAGCCTCCTGAGTAGTTGGGATTACAGATGCTCGCCACCATGCCCAGCTAATTTTGTATTTTTTCAGTAGAGAGGGGTTTTCACCATGTTGGCCAGGCTGGTCTTGAATGCCTGACCTTGTGATCCGCCCACCTCAGCCTCCCAAAGTGCTGGGATTACAGGCGTGAGCCACTGCGCCTGGCCTGCACTCACCACTTTTATTGAACATCATACTGGACATCCTAGCCAGTACAGTAAGGAAGAAAAAGAAATAAAATGCATACAAACTAGGAAGGAAGTTAAATAGTCTTTATCCACAAGTGACATAATTATACATATAGAAAAACTACAGGAATTTTCAAAAAAGCTACTAAAATGAACAAATGGACTTACTAAAGTCACAGGATACAGATCATTATAAAAAATTACTTGTATGTCTATGAAATTGCAACTAATGACTAGAAACTGAAATTTTAAAAAAGATTCCATTTACATTAACAGTTAAAAAACTAAAATAATTTAATTTTTTTTTTTTCTTTGAGACTAGATCTCACTCTGCCACCCTGGAGTGCTCTGGTGCAAACACAGCTCACTGCAGCCTCAACCTCCTGGGCTCAAGTGATTCCACCATCTCAGCCTCCAGAGTAGATGAGACCACAGATGCAAGCCACCACACTTAGCTAATTTTTAAAAGTTTTGTAGAGACAGGGCCTCACCGTGTTACCCAGCCTGGTGTCAAACTCCTGGGCTCAGGCAATCCTCCTACTTTGGCCTCTCAAAGTGCTGGGATTACAGGCATGAGCCACCACACCTATCCTTAAAAACATTTAAAAAAAAATAGCTTTAACACAAAAATTGTACAATATCTATATATTGAAAAAGAAAAGAAAACAGGCTGGGTGTGGTGGCTCCTGCTTGTAATCTCAGTGCTTTGGGAGGCCAAGGTGGGAAAACTGCTTGAGGCCAGAGGTTCAAGACCAGCCTGGGCAACACAGTGAGACCCTGTCTCTACGAAAAGTAGCTGGTCATGTAGCACATGCCTGTAGTCCCAGCAACTTGGGAGCCTGAGGTGGGAGGACCACTTGAGGAGGTTAAGGTTACAGTGAGCTATGATCATGCCACTGCACTCCACAGTGGGTGACAGAGTGAGCCCTTGTCTCAAAAAAAAAAAAAAGAGAAAAAGAAAAGGAAAACAAACATTGCTGAGACATAAAAGAAGACACAAGTATTTAAAGAGATATACCATGCCCAGTATATTGGTATGGTATGGATTGGAAGACTTAATATAGTTCAAATGCCAAATTCATCTACAGACGTGATGTAATTTCAATCAAAATTCCAGCAGGCTTTTTTGTAGAAAATAAAAAATTGGTTCTAAAATGTATGGCAAGGCAACAGATCTAGAATAACCAAAAAATCTTGAAACAAAAGAATAAACTTAGTTCATATATGCAAAAGGAATTGAAGACTTAAACTACAATCAAGACTGTCTGGAATTGGCATAAGAAAAGACTTACAGGTCAATAGAAAAATAGAGAGAAGTCCGGGCACGGTGGCTCATGCCTGTAATCCCAGCACTTTGGGAGGCCGAGGCAGGCAAATCACTTGAGGTCAGGAGTTGGAGACCAGCCTGGCCAACACGGTGAAACCCTGTCTCTAATAAAAATTAAAAAAAAAAAAAAATTAGCCAGGCATGGTGACACGCGCCTGTAATCCCAGCTACTCAGGAGGCTGAGGCAGGAGAATCACTTGGAACCTGAGTGGCAGAGGTTGCAGTGAGCTGAGATGGTGTCACTGCCCTCCAGCCTGGGCAACAGAGCAAGACTCCGTCTCAAAAAAAAAAAAAAACCCACACTTATAAAGTCATCTTATTTTCAATAAAAGTGCTAAAATAATGGGGAGAAGAAAGTCATTTCAACAAACAGAATGCCTGAATATTGATAAAGAAAAGAACAAACCTCAATTCCTACCTCCACCATATTAAAAAAAAAACTAATTCAAGAAAAATCATGGACCTAAATATACAGGAAAAAGATATGAAGTTTCTAGAAGAAAACACAAAACAGCATCTTCTCAACCTGAGGGAAGCAAAAGTTTCTTAGACAAGATACAAAAGCAACAAAATTTTACAAAATGATAAATTTGACTGTAAAAATTAAAAGTTTTGCTCGTGACATCATTTAAAAAATAAATACACTATCCACAGACAGTGGAAAATATTTGCAAGACATATATCTAAAATACAACCAGTATCTAGGACATATAAAGAGCTTCTACTCAATAATAATACAACTCAGTAATTAAAAAAAAACCCAATAAAAATGAGCAAAAGGTTCACAAAGGAAGATATATAAATGGCCAATATGCATTGAAAGGATAAACATCAGCAGTCATCAAGGAAATACAAGTAAAAACCACAATGATGGCCAGGCGCGGTGGCTCACGCCTGTAATCCCAGCACTTTGGGAGGCCAAGGTGGGCGGATCACCTGAGCTCAGGAGTTCAAGACCAGCCTGGCCAACATGGTGAAACACCATCTCTACTAAAAATACAAAAATTAGCCGGGCGTTGTGGTACGTGCCTCCCTTCCTCCCTCCCTTCCTCCTTTCCTCCCTCCCTTCTTTCCCTACTGGGGAGGCTGAGGCAGGAGAATCACTTGAACCTGGAGGTAGAGGTTGCAGTGAGCAGAGATCATGCCACTGCACTCCAGCCTGGCAACAAAGTGAGACTTCATCTCGAAATTATAAAGACTGACAACACCATGTTGATAATGGTAAGATTAAATGAGAATTCTGATACATTCTTAGTGAAATGTAAAATGGTATATGCATGTTGGAAATTTTCATACCATAAAATTCATTCATAAAACTATAAGTGTATAATTCACTTTTAGTAAATTCATAGTGATGTGCAACCATCACCACAATCTAATTTTAGTGGCAGTTTGCTATAAAAATGTAATATGCATGTACCTTATGACATAGCAGTTTCACTCCTATGTATTTGCCAGAGAAAAATGAAAATATTTTATCCATACAAGAACTTATAGACAAATATTCACAGTAATTTTAGTTATAATACCAAAAACTAGAAAAAGTACAACGGTCTATCAACAAATTAATAGATAAACAAATGGAAGTATGTCCATCTGTGATGGTTAGTTTTAGTTTTATGTAGCAATTTGGCTGTGGTATAGGACTTAGCTAGGGAATAGGACCCGGTTATTTAATCACTTTATTGCTGTGAAGATATTTTGTAAATGTGATTTACATCTATAATCAGTTAAAGTAAAGCGGATTACCCTCCATAATGTGGGTAGAACCTCATCCAACCCAATAAGGCCTTAAGAGCAAAACCAGATCTCTCTGAGAATTTCTGCCACAACACTATATCATTAATTCCTGCTTGAGTTTCCAACCTATTGGCCTGCCTTCTAGATCTTGGACTCCTGACTATATCTCTATATATAGTCTGCCTGAATCTCTAACGTGATACACCATCCAATAAAATACTAATCAAAAATAAAAGGAACAAACTACTTACACATACAACACTTTGAATGAATATTTTTTGAGACTGTGCAGTTCAACTTTTTATTTTAATAAAACCAGAATATGCACAGTACATGCAGTGCTAATATCTAAACCAATACAATAAACAATTACTAAAGCTACAGTGACTTGAGGTTCAATCTTTACGTTCAGCAAGTTTAAATCCTTACACTATTTTTGAAACCTTATTTATTAGTTGAAAATATTGCTTGCTGATGAAACTTGCTTAAATGCTATTGCTGAATGTATAAGTCACTGATTATGCCAATACATCAAAGATAACCACGTTTGAGGATTGCAATATGCCATGAAAAAAAAAATACACACAACTAAACAAAACTCACACAACAAACATCTGAGAATCTAGACACTTCGTATTCAGTGTTTTGAAGTGTTTCATTAATATCTTAAAACATGTGTAGGCCGGGCACAGTGGCTCATGCCTATAATCCCAGTACTTTGGGAGGCCGAGGAGGGAGGATCACTTAAGGTCAGGAGTTCGAGACCAGCCTGGCCAACATGGTGAAACTTCGTCTTTATTAAAAATACAAAAATTAGCCAGACATGGTGGCAGGTGCCTGTAATCCCCGCTACTTGGGAGGCTGAGGCAGGAGAATCACTTGAAGGGAAGGGAAGGTTGCAGTGAGCCAAGATTGCACTCCTGCACTCCAGCCTAGGTGACAGAGCAAAACTCTGTCTAAAATAAACAAATAAATAAATGCAAGTGTATCAAAACCTTGGCATGATTTAATTTCAAGTCTCCAATTTATTTTTACTGACATCAGAAAGTTATGGCTACACTGCCAATGCCAGGTCTGCTTAATTTGACTTAAGAATTTAATATGACAACATTAAAAGCTCATGCTACCCCAAAATATATAATTTCACACATATGGTGACATTCAACATTCAAGTGCCAGTGTTTTTATACTGTCTTTTGGTCAAGTTTCTTTAAACTTTCAAAGGACCACTTTTAGGCTTACAAAAATAAGTCTTTGTCAAAATGTTCAATAAATATTACATAAAACTAGCAGCAAAATGTATCTAGAAATCTGTCACGTGCAAATAGTTTTCTCCTCAACTATCATTCCCATGGTCCCAAATAAATTTTAGAATCTAGTCCCATCCCCTTCCTAGATGAGCTGCATTCAACAGTCTCCAAGAGACAAAATAAGATTGGAAGTTTAAGGACATGCATACCAGACATATATATATGAAATTCTCTGAATGTGCAATAAAAGAAGTACTTTGTAAAAAGTTATGGGCAAAATGTACAAGGGCATACACCTAGACTAATTGAAATAGCACCATAACAAATGACCTCAATCCTGTCAAGTACACCTACTTAAAGTTTTAGAACAAGGCAGAATACACTTGAAAATCTATTGCACTTTGGGAAATTTTTGCCGTCTTCCTATGCCACTGTAAAAAGATTGAGCGTTTTGATCACCACATTCTGGCCACAAAATTAGAACAGAATTCAAAGTGGCAGAGGCCATTTTAGTGGTGGACAGTGCTCATCTTTGGCCAGATTTAGCATAAACAGACTATAAATACAATGGAAACCTATGCAACTAAAACTGACTAAAACTGCACTGCAGAGCAGAATTGACACCTTGTGTAGTTATATACGTATTTCCAACCTGTGTGATCTCAAAGATTTCAGTTTGTTACTCTTCTGAAGCTGTTTTTACAAAGTCTATAGTAAATCAGTTCAACATCTCAACTCAGCTTGAACAGAGTAATATGAATTGGCATTTAAAATAAAGCCTGCTGCATAATTCTTCCTGTTCATACCAAACAACATCAATGCTAGCATGCATTATTAGACCAAAAATCATCCGGGGCCCTAATGAGGGCTGGTTATTGCTGTGGTCAGGCACTCTGAATTTTTTTAAAAATTATGCTGAATGGAAGCGGCCTTACACAAGAGTACACGTTCCATTTTATGAAATTCTAGAATAGACAAAACTAACCTATAGTAAAAGCATTTCTGAACAGAGTTGCCTCTGAAGGACTGGGTCAGGGATTGACTGAAAAAGAGCATGAAGCAATTTTCTGGGGTTGTTAGTGTTCAATATCTTGATAGAGGTTTAGGTTGTACAGATGTATACACTTGTCAAAACTTTTCTTTTTTTTTTTTTTTTTTTTTTTTGAGACGGAGTCTTGTTCTGTCGCCCAGGCTGGAGTGCAGTGGCGCAGTCTCGGCTCACTGCAAGCTCCGCCTCCCGGGTTCACGCCATTCTCCTGCCTCAGCCTCCCGAGTAGCTGGGACTACAGGCGCCCACCACCACGCCTGGCTAATTTTTTATATTTTTAGTAGAGACGGGGTTTCACTGTATTTGTTAGCCAGGATGGTCTCGATCTCCTGACCTCGTGATCCGCCCGCCTCAGCCTCCCAAAGTGCTGGGATTACAGGCGTGAGCCACCGCGCCCGGCCTACATGTAAATTTTACCTTAAAGAAAAAAAAGGATCATCAGCAAATATTGAACTATAGTTGAGCTACACATGCTGAAGTAGTTAGGTTAAAATATACTGAAGTCTTCAACTTGCTTTGAAATACATTTTTAAAATGAGATGGATTGATGGAGGAATACAGGAGTAGATGAATGCATATGTAATAAAACAGACAAAAATGTTAATTGTAGAATCCAATAGGAATATAGATGGTTATTCACTGTACAATTCTTTCAACTTTTCTGTATACTTGAAAACTTAATAAAATTTTGGGGAAAAAAACATACAATTTACAATATCATCAAAAAATGCAAGACCTGGGACTCGGATGGAGCAAGATGGCAGAAGAGAAGACTCCACTGATAGTTGCCCCTTCAAGGACACCAATTTAACAACTATCTACACACAAAAACACTTTCATAAGAACCAAAAATCAGGTGAGAACTCACAGGACCTGGTTTTAACTTCATATCACTAAAAGAGGCACTGGAGAGGTAGGAAAAACAGTCTCGAATCACTAATGCCACCCCTCACCCATCCCCTGGCAGCAGAGGTGTGGTGCAGAGAGTGTTTCTGTGTCCCATGGAGAGGGATTGACCCAGTACTGCCTTATAGCAGGAAACAAATCAAACCAAACTCAGCTGATGCTCACCCATGGAGGGAGCATTAAAGCCAGCCCTGGGCAGAGGAGAATTGCCGATCCCAGTAGTACGAATTTGAGTTCCTGCAAGCTTCGCCACTGTGGGCTAAAGTGCTCTGGGACCCTACATAAACTTGAAAGGCAATCTAAGGACACAAAGGCAGCACCTCCTAAGTGAGTCCTAGTGCTGAACTGGGCCCAGAAATACTGAACTGGTGGTAGGGGTTGAGGGACACACAACCTACTGAGACACCAGCCAGGGCAGCTAAGGGAGTGTCAGCATCACCCTTCCCCTAACCCCAGGCTGCACATCTCAAGGCTCCAAGAGAGACCCCTTCCCACCGCTTGAGGAGAGGAGAGGAGAGGGAAAAGTGGGGAGAACTTTGTCTTGCATCTTGGATACCAGCTCAGCCACAGTAGGTTGTGGCTCCCATAAGAGTCATGAGGACACCTTTCCAGGCCCTAGCTCCCAGATGACATTTCTAGACAAACCCTAGGCCAAAAGGGAACCTGCTGCCTTGAAGGAAAGGATGCAGTCCTAGCTGGATCCATCACCTACTAACTGAAGAGCCCTTGGGCCTGAATAACCAGCAGCAATACCCAGATACTATGTCGAGGGCCTTGGGTGAGACTCTGAGATGTGCTGGCTTCAGATGAAACTCAGCACATTCCCAGGTGTGGTGGCTAAGGGTAAGACTCCTTCAACTTGAGAAAAGCAGAGGGAAAACTTAAGGGGACTGTGTCTTGCACCTTAGGTACCAGCTCAGCCACAGGGAGGTAGAGCACCAAGTAGGCTCCTGGGGTCCCTGATTCCAGGTCTTGGCTCTTAGATGGCATTACTGAACCTGACCTACGTCACAGAGGAGCCCACTGCCTGAAAGTTTGAGTCCCAGGACAAGGATCATTCACCACAAGCTGACTGAAAAGCCCTTCAGCCTTAGGGAACATTGACAGTAGTCTGGCAGTACTCCCTGTGGGCCTGTGGTGGTAGTGGTCACGGGATGAGGCTCCTCTGCCTTTGGAAAGGAGCAGAAAGAGTGGGAAGGACTCAGTCTTGTGATTTCAGTACCAGCTCAGCCACAGTACAATAGAAATCCAGATAGACTTCTTTTTTTTTTTTTTTTGAGACAGTGTTTCACTCTTGTTGCCCAGGCTGGAATTCAATGTCATAATCTCAGCTCACTGCAACCTCCTTCTCCCGAATTCAAGCAATTCTCCTGCCTCAGCCTCCCAAGTAGCTTGGATTACAGGTGTGCACCACTATGCCCAGCTAATTTTGTATTTTTAGTAGAGACAGGGTTTCACCATGTTGGTCAGGCTGGTGTCAATCTCCTGACCTCAAGTGATCCACCTGCCTAAGCCTCCCAAAGTGCTGGGATTACAGGCATGAGCCACCACGCCTGGTCAAATTCCAGATAGACTTCTAAGGCTTTTGACTCTAGTCCCCAGCTCCCAGATGGCATCTCTGGGCCTGCCCAGGGCTGGGGAGAACTCACCATCCTGAAGGAAAGGACAGAGGCCTGGCTGGCTTTGCCACCTGCTGATTGTAGAGACCCAGGGCCTTGAGTGAACATAGGTGGTAGCCAGGGAGTGGGTGTAGCAGACCTTGGGTGAGGAGCAGGCCTATGCTGACTTCTTTGACCCAGCACAGTCCCAATGATGTTGGCTACAAGGGTGCTTGTGTCACTTCCCCTCCAGCTCCAGGTGGCTCAGAACAGAGAGAGACTCCATTTGTTTGGCAGAAAGTAAGGGAAGAAAACAAGAGTTTCTGCCTGTTAATCCAGAGAATTCTTCTGGACCTTGTCCAAGACCATTGATATAGTTTGGATCTGAATCCCCACCCAAATCTAATGTTCAGTTGGAATCCCCAACATTGGAGGGGGGGCCTGGTTGGAGGTGACTGGCTCATGGGACTGGTTTCTCATGAATAGTTTAGCACCATCCCTTTGATGCTGTTCTTGGGACAGTGAGTTCTCATGAGATCTGGTCATTTAAAAGAGTGTGGCACTTCCCTCTCACTTCTTGCTCCTGCTGTGGCCACAGGAAGTGCCAGCTTCTCCTCCACTGCCCACTGAGGCCTCCCCAGAAGCTGAGCAGATACCAGCATCATGCTTCCTGTACAGCATGTGGAACCATGAGCCAAGCAATCCTTTTTTTTTAAATAAATTACCCAGTCTCAGGCATTTCTTTTTTTTTCTTTTGAGACAGAGTCTCGTTCTGTAGCACAGGCTGGAGTGCAGTGGTGTGATGTTGGCTCACTACAAGCTCTGCCTCCCAGGTTCATGCCATTCTCCTGCCTCAGCCTCCCAAGTAGCTGGGACTACAGGCACCCGCCACCACACCCAGCTAATTTTTTGTATTTTTAGAAGAGACGGGGTTTCACCATGTTAGCCAGGATGGTCTCGATCTCCTGACCTTGTGATCCGCCTGTCTCAGCCTTCCAAAGTGCTGGCATTACAGGCGTGAGCCACCGCACCTGGCCCAGGCATTTCTTTATAGCAATATGAAAACAGACTAATATAGGAAGTTGGTACCAAGAGGTGGGGCATTGCTATAAAGACAACTGAAAATGTGGAAGCACCTTTGGAACTGGGTAATGTGCAGAGCTTGGAAGAGTTTGGAGGGCTCAGAAGAAGACAGGAAGATGAGGGAATGTTTGCAACTTCCTAGAGACTTGTTGAATGGTCGTGGCCAAATTGCTGATAGTGGTATTGACAGTGAAATCCAGGCTGAGGAGGCCTCAGATTAAAATGAGGAACTTACTGGGAACTGGAGCAAAGGTCATTTTTTGTTAGGCCTTAGCAAAGAACTTGGCTACATTGTGTCCCCGCCCTATGGATCTGTGGAACTTTGAACTTGAGAGTGATGATTTGGGGTATATGGTGAAAGAAATTTCTAAGCAGAAAACTATTCAAGATGTAACCAGGCTGCTTCTAATAGCCTTTGTTCATATGTGTGAGAAAAGAAATGACCTAAAGTTGGAACTTATTTTAAAGGGGAAGCAGAGCATAAAAGTTTGGAAAATTTGCAGCCTGGCCATGTAGTAGTAAATAAAGGCCCACTTTCAGGGGAGGAATTCCTGCAGTCTGTAGAAATTTGTATAAGTAAAAAGGAGCCAAGTGCTAGCAGCCAAGACAATGGAAAAAAGGCCTCAAAGGCATTTCAGAGAACTTTGTGGCAGCCCCTCCCATCACAGGCACAGAGGCCTAGGATGACTGAATGATTTCCTGGGCCAGGCCCAGTGCTCCACTGCCCTGGCACAGCCTCAAAATATGGCTCCCTACATCCCGCTCTCCAGTTCCACCCATGGTTCAAAGGGGCCCAGGTACAACCTGGGCCACTTCTTTAGAGGGCCACTGCTTTAGACGGTGGAAGCTGCAAGCCTTGGCAGTTCCCACGTGGTGTTAAGCCTGCAGGTGCACAGAATGCAAAAGTTGAGGCTTGGGAGCCTCTGCCTAGATTTCAGAGGATGCAGGAAAAAGCCTGGGTATCTAAGCAGAAGCCTGCTGCAGGGGTGGAGCCCTCATGGAGAACCTCTACTAAGGCAATGAAGAGGGGAAATGAGGGATTGGAATGCAGAGCCCCCACTGAGGCACTGCCTGATGGAGCAGTGAGAAGAGGACCACTGCCTTCCAGACCTCAGAATGGCAGACCCACCAGCAGCTTGCACACTCAATCTGGAAATATCCACCAGCACTCAATGCCAGCCCATGAGAGCAGCCACCAAGGCCAAAACTCTGCAAAGCCACAGGGGCAGAGCTGCCCAAGGCCTTGGGAGTCCACCTCTTATATCAGTGTGCCCTGGATGTGGGACGTGGAGTCAAAGGAGATTATTTTGGATCTTTAAGACCTAATGACTGCCCTGCTGGGTTTCAGACTTGCATGGGGCCTGTGGCTCCTTTTTTATGGCCAATGCCTCCCTTTTGGAATGGGAATATTTACCTAATGTTTATACCTCCATTGTATCTTGGAAGAAACTAACTTGTTTCTGATTTTACAGGCTTATATGGGGAAGGGACTTCCCTTGTCTCAGAGGAGACTTTGGGCTTTTGACTTTTGAGTTAATGCTGGAATGAGTTATGACCTTGGGGATTGTTGAGAAGGCATGATGGTATTTTGCAATGTGAGAAGTACATGAGATTTGGGAAGGTCTGGGGCAGAATGATATGGTTTGGATCCATGTCCTCACCCAAATCTCATGTTCAATTGGAATGCTGAATGTTGGAGGTGGGGCCTGGTGGGAGGTGATTGAATCATGGGGGCAGTTTCTCATGAAAGGTTTAGCACCATCCCCTTGATGCTGTCCTCAGGATAGTGAGTGCTCGTGAGCTCTGGTCATTTAAAAGTATGTGGCACCTCCCTCCACCTTCTTGCTCCTGCTCCAGCCTTCTGAAGTGCTGGCTCCCCCATCGCTTTCTGCCATGATTGCAAGTTTCCTGAGGCCTCCCCAGAAACTGAGCAGATACCAGCATCATGCTTCCTGTATAGCCTGTGATACCATGAGCCAGTTAAACCTTTCTTTCTTTCTTTCTCTCTCTCTCTCTCCCTCCCTCCCTCTCTCTCTGTCTCTCTCTCTTTCTTTTTTTTTTTTTTTGTGTCTTAGTCTGTTGCCAGGCTGGAGTGCAATGGTGTCAACTATCTTGGCTCACTGCAACCTCCGCCTCCCAGGTTCAAGCTATTCTCCTGTCTCAGCCTCCCAAGTGTCTGGGCCTACAGGTGCATGCCATCACGCCCGGCTAATTTTTGTATTTTTAGTAGAGACGGGGTTTCACCATGTTGGCCAGAATGGTCTTGATCTCTTGACCTCGTGATCTGCCCACCTTGGCCTCCCAAAGTGCTGGGATTACAGGCATAAGCCACCATGCCCGACCCTTTTCTTTTTAAATTACCTAGTCTCAGGTATTTATAGCAATGTGAGAATGACGTAATACAACCAATAATGTGGTATCTCTATGAATGTGTGAGAACTACAGCATTGTTGGGCTTTGTGTGCCCCCTAAAGCAGATACAGGTTAGATCACAACACCCAAGTCCTTTTGAATATCTGGAAACCTTTCCCAAGAAGGACAGGTATAAACAAGCCCAGATTGAGAAGACTACAATAAATACCTAACTGTTCAATGCCCAGACACAGACAAGTATCTACAAGTATCAAGACCATCCAGGGAAACAGGACATCACCACATGAACTAAATAATGCACCAGGAACCAATTCTAGAAAAACAGATATATTGCCTTTCAGACACAGAATCCAAAATAGCCATTTTGAGGAAACTCAAAGAAATTCAAGATAACACAGAGAAGGAATTCAGAATACTATCAGACCAATTTAACAAAGTGATTGTAATAATTAGAAAGAATCAAGCAGAAATCCTAGACTGAAAAATACAATTGGCATTCTGAAGAATGCATCAGTCTTTTAGTAGCAGAATTGATCAAGCAGAAGAAAGAATTAGTGAACTTGAAGACAGGCTATTTGAAAATACTTGGCAGAGGAGATAAAAGGAAAAAGAATAAAAAACAATAAAACACATGTACAGAATCTAGAAAATAGCCTCAAAAGGGCAAATCTAAGAGTTATAGGTCTTAAAGAAGAGGTAGAAAAAAATATGGGGTAGAAAGTTTATTCAAAGGGATAATAATAGAGGACTTCCCAAACCTAGAGAAATATATCAATATCCAAGTACAAGAAGGTTATAGAACACCAAGCAGATTTAACCTAAAGAAGACTACCTCAAGGCATTTAATAATCAAACTCCCAAAGGTCAAGGACAAATAAAGGATCCTAAAAGCAGCAAGAGAAGAGAAACAAATAACATACAATGGAGCTCCAATATGCCTAGTAGCACTTTTTGGTGGAAACCTTACAGGTCAGGAGAGAGTGACATACTTAAATTGCTGAAGAAAAAAAGTT
This sequence comes from Homo sapiens, assembly GCF_000001405.40. Classification (NCBI taxonomy): domain Eukaryota; kingdom Metazoa; phylum Chordata; class Mammalia; order Primates; family Hominidae; genus Homo; species Homo sapiens. Next base: position 117,031,230 of record NC_000010.11, read on the forward strand.
TTACCTGAGAATAGTATATCCAGTAAAAATATCCTTCAAATGTGATGGACAAATAAGCTTTCCCAGACAAACAAAAGCTGAGGGATTTTGTCAACACCAGACCTGCCCTACAAGAAATTCTAAAGGGAATACTTCAGTCAGAAAGAAAAGTATGTTAATGAGCAATAAGAAATCCTCTGAAGGTACAAAACTCACTGCTAATAATAAGTACACAGAAAAACAGAATATTATAACACTGTAACTGCAGTGTATAAACTACTCTTATTTCTAGTAAAACGACTAAATGATGAACAAATCAAAAATAATAACTACAAATTTTTAAGACATAGTACAATAACATATAAATAGAAAGAGCAAAAAGTTTAAAAGAGGGGGATAGAGTCTGTAGTTTCTTTTTGCTTGTTGCTTCTATTGTTTATTTATGCAAACAGGGTTAAGTTGTTATCAGCTTAAAACAATGGGTATTAAGATAGTATTTGCAAGCCTCATGGCAACTTCAAACCAAAAACCATACAACAGATACACAAAATATGTAAGAAGCAAGACACTAAATCATATCACCAGACAAAACCATCTTCACTAAAAGGAAGAAAGGAAGTAAAGAATGAAGGAAAAGAAGACCACAAAACAACCAGAAAACAAATAACAAAACGGCAGGAGTAAATATTTACTTATCAATAATAACAGTGAATGTAAATGGACTAAACTCCAATCAAAAGACATAGAGTGGCTAAATGGATAAGAAAACAAGACCCAATGATCTGTTGCCTACAAGAAACAAACTTCATCCATAAAGACACACATAGACTGAAAATAAAGGGATTAAAAAAAATTCCATCCAAATGGAAACCAAAAAGGAGCAGAAGTAGCTATACTTACATCATGCAAAATAGATTTCAAGACAAAAATTGTAAGAACAGACAAAGACGGTCACTATATAATGATAAAGGGGTCAACTCAGCAAGAAGATGTAACAATTTTTTTTTCTTTTTGAGACTGAGTCTCACTCTGTCGCCCAGGCTGGAGTGCAGTGGCGCGATCTTGGCTCACTGCAACCTCCGCCTCCTGGGTTCACGCCATTCTCCTGCCTCAGCTTCCTGAGTAGCTGGGACTACAGGCACCTACCACCGTGCCCGGCTAATTTTTTATATTTTTAGTAGAGACGGGGGTTTCACTGTGTTAGCCAGGATGGTCTCAATCTCCTGACTTTTTGATCTGCCCGCCTCAGCCTCCCAAAGTGCTGGGATTACAGACATGAGCCACTGCACCCAGCCATATAACAATTTTAAATAAACATGCACCCAACATTGATAAATAAAGCCAATATTATTAGAGCTAAAGTGAGAGACAGGCCCCAGTACAATAATAGCTGGAGAATTCAACACTCCACTTTCAGCACTGGACAGATCTAACAGACAGAAAACCCATAAAGAAACATCAGACTTAATCTGCACTGTAGACCCAATGGATATTTACAGAACATTTCATCAGTCAGCTGCAGAATACACATTCTTTTCCTCAGCACATGGATCATTCTCAAAGATAGACCATATGTTAGATCACAAAACAAGTCTTAAAACATTAAAAAAACTGAACTAATGTCAAGCATCTTCTCTGACCACAATGGAATAAAACTAAAAATCAGTAACAAGAGGAATTTTGGAAACTATACAAATACATGTAAATTAATCAATATGCTCCTGAATGACCAGTGGGTCAATGAAGAAATTAAGAAGGAAATTGAAAAATTTCTCAAAACAAATAACAATGGAAACAGAACATACAAAAACCTATGGGACAGAGCAAAAGCATTTCCAAGAAGGAAATTTATAGCTGTAAGTGCCTGCCTACATCAAAAAAGAAGAAAAATTTCAAATAATGTAATGATTCATCTTAAATAACTAGAAAAGCAAGAGCAAACCAAACCCAAAATTAGTAGAAGAAAAGAAATAATAAAAACCTGAGCAGACATAAATGGAATTGAAATGAAAAAAATACAAAAGATTGATGAAACAAAAAGTTTTTTTTTAAACTTAAACCAAATTGACAAACCTTTAGCCAGACTAAGAAAAAATGAGAGAAGATCCAAATAAACAAAATCAGAATGAAAAAGGAGACATTACAACTGATACTGCAGAAATTCAAAGGATCATTAGTGGATACTATGAGCAACTACATGCCAGTAAATTGGAAAATCTAGAAGAAATGGACAAATTCCTAGACACATACAATCTACCAAGACTGAATCATGAAGAAATCCAAAACCTGAACAGACCAAATAACAAGTAACAAGATCGAAGCTATAATAAAAGGTCTCCCAGTAAAGAAAACCTGGGACCTGTTGGCTTCACTGCTGAATTCTACAAAACACTTAAAGAAGAACTAATATCAATCCTACTCAAAGGACTCCAGAAAATAGAGGAGGGAATACTTCCAAAATCATTCTATGAGGGCAGTATTACCCTGATATTGAAACCAGACAAAGGCACATCAAAAAAAAGGAAACTACAGGCCAATGTTTCTGATGACTATTGATAAAAAATCCTCAACAAAATACTAGCAAACCAAATTCAACAATACATTAATAAGATCATTCATCATGACCAAGTGGGATTTATTCCTGGGATGCAATAATAGTTCAAAATATACAAGTCAATCAATGTGATACATCATATCACAGAATGAATGACAAAAACCATACGATCATTTCAATTGATGCTGAAAAAGCATTTGATGAAATTCAACATCCCTTCATGAGAAAAACTCTAAAAAACCGGGTATAGAAGGAACATACCTCAACATAATAAAAGCCATATGTGACTTTCATATGACTCACAGCTGGTATCATACTGAATGGGGAAAAAAATGAAAGCCTTTCTTCTAAGATCTGGAACACAACAAAGATTCCCACTTCCACCACTATTATTCAACATAGTACTGAAAGTCCTAGCTACAGCAATTAGATTAGAGAAAGAAACAAAGGGCATCCAAACTGGAAAGGAAGAAGTCAAATTGTCCTTGTTTGCAGATGCTGTAATCTTATATTTGGAGAAACCTAAAGACTCTATCAGTTCTAATAGTTTTTTGGTAAATAAATTCAGTAAAGTTGCAGGATACAAAATCAACATATGGCCGGGCATGGTGGTTCACGCCTGTAATCCCAGCACTCTGGGGAGCAAAGGCAGGTGTGTTACCTGAGGTCAGGAGTTCAAGACCAGCCTGGCCAACAAGGTGAAACCCCATCTCTACTAAAATACAAAAATTAGTTGGGTGTGGTGGCACATGCCTCTAATCCCAGTTACTCAGGAGGCTGAGGCAGGAGAATCGCTTGAACCTGGGAGGTGGAGGTTGCAGTGAGCTGAGATTGTACCACTGAACTCTAGCCTGGGCAACAGAGCAAGACTCCATCTTAAAAAAAAAAAAATCAACATAGAAAAATCAGTGGCATTTTTTATGCCATCAGCAAACAATCTTTAAGAGAAATAAAAAAGTAATCTCACATACAATAGCCACAAATATAATTAAATATCTAGGAATTAACCAAAGAAGTGAAAGATCTCTATAATATAAACCATAAACACTGGTGAAATAAATTGAAGAGGACACAAAAAATGGAAAGATATTCTATATTCATGAATTAGAATAATCAATATTGTTAAAATGTCCATACTACCCAAAGCAATCTACAGATTCAATGCAATCCCTCTCAGAATACCAATGACATTGTTCACAGAAATAGAAAAAAAAATCCTCAAATGTATGTGGAACCACAAAAGATCCAGAATAGCCAAAGCTATCCTAAGCTAGAAGAACAAAACTGGAGGAATCACATTATCTGACTTCTAATTATACTATGGGGCTATAGTAACCAAAACAGCATGGTCCTGGCAAAACAACAACAACAAATAAATAGACCATTGGTACAGGATAGAGAACCCAGAAACAAATCCACACACCTACAGTGAACTCATTTTCAACAAAGGTGCCAAGAACATACACTGGGGAAAAGACAGTCTCTTCAATAAATGGTATTGGGATAACTGGATATCCATATGCAGAAGAATGAAACTAGACCCTTATCTCTCTCCAGACACAAAAATCAAATCAAAATAGATTAAAGAGTTAAATCTAAGACCTTAAACTGTGAAACTGACAAAAGAAACATTGGGGAAACTCTCTAGGACACTGGTCTGAGCAAAAATTTCTTGAGTAATATCCTATAAACACAGGCAACCAAAGCACAAATAAACAAATGGAATCACAAAAAGCTTTTGCACAACAAAGGAAACAATTAACAAAGTGAAGAGACAACTCACAGAATGGGAGAAAATATTTGCAAACTACCCATCTGACGGGGATTAATAACCAGAATATGTAAGGAGCTCAAACAACTCTATAGGAAAAAAAATCTAATAATATGATTTAAAAATGGGCAAAAATGGCCAGACATGGTGGCTCACGTCTGTAATCCCAGCACTTTGGGAGGCTGAGGTAGGCGTCAAGGTCAGGAGTTCGAGACCAGACTGACCAACATGGAGAAACCCCGTCTCTACTAAAAATATAAAAATTAGCCGGGTGTGGTAGCACATGCCTGTAAATCCCAGCTACTCAGGAGGCTGAGGCAGGAGAATCGCTTGAACCTGGGAGGTGGAGGTTCTGGTGAGCCGAGATTGCACCACTGCACTCCAGCCTGGGGAACAAGAGCGAAACTCCATCTCAAAAAAAAAAAAAAAAAAAAGGCAAAAGACTTGAATCGACATTTCTCAGAAGAAGAAATACAAATGTCAAATAGGCATATGAAAAGGTGCTCAACATCACTGATCATCAGAGACATGCAAATCAAAACTACAATAAGATTTCATCTTAACCACAGTTAAAATGGCTTTTATCCAAAGGGGAGCAATAACAAATGCTGACAAGGATGTGAAGAAAAGGGAACCCTCATACACTGCTGGGGGATGTAAATTTAGTACAACCACTATGGAGAACAGTTTGGAGTTTCCTCAAAAAACTAAAAAAAGAGCTACCATATGATCCAGCAATCCCACTGCTGGGTATATACCCAAAAGAAAAAAAATCAGTATATTAAAGACATATCTGCACTCTCATGTTTGTTGCAGCACTGTTTGCAATAGCCAAGATTTGGAAGCAATGTAAGTGTTCCATCAACAGATGAATGGATAAAGAAAATGTGCTACTTATACACAATGGAGTACTATTCAGCCACAAAAAAGAATGAGATCCTGTCATTTGCAACAACACTGATGGAACTGGAACTCATGTTAAGTGAAATAAGCTAGGCACAGAAAGACAAACATCACATGCTCTCACTTATTTGTAAATCTAAAACTCAAAACAATTGAACTCATGGAGATAATAGAATAGTTGCTAGAGGCTGGGAAGAGTAGTGGAGTGGGTGGGGGGAAATAAGGATAGTTAATGGGTACAAAAAAATAATTAGAATGAACAAGACCTACTATTTGATAGCACAACAGGGCTACTAGAGTCAATAATAATTTAATTGTACTTTTAAAAATAACTATAAGAGTATAATAGAATTGTTTGTAACATAAAGGATAAATGATTGAGGGGATGGATACCCCATGTTACATAATGTGGCTATTATGCATTACATGCTTGTATCAAAACAATTCATATACCCCATAAATATATATACCTTCTATGTATGCACAAAAAACAATAAATGGACGACCTTATACAGATTTAGATGGAATACAACTGTCTTTGTTTGCAGATGACATGATTGTCTATGTAGAAAATCCAAAAGAATCAACAAAAATCTCCTAGAACTAATAAGCATTTATAGCAAGGTTGCAGGATACAAGGTTAATATACGAAAGTCAATCACTTTCCTATATGCCAGCAATGAATAAGTGGATTTTGACATTTAAGACAATATCATTTATAGCTAGACATCATGGTTCATGCCTGTAGTCCCAGTGCTTGGGAGGCTGAGATGGGAGGATTGCTTGAGCCTAGGAGTTAGGGTCCAGCCTGGGCAACATAGTGAGACTTCCCCTCCAAAGAAAACAAAACAAAAAACCCTAATACTATTTACATTAGCACTCAATAAAATACTTAGAATGAAATACTTAGGTATAAATCTAACAAAATATGTATGAGATCTATATAAGGAAAACTAAAAACTGATGAAAGAAATCAAAGAACTTAATAAATGGAGAGATATTCCATGTGCAAGGATAGGAAGACTCAATATTGTCAAAATGTCAGATCTTCCTAAGTTGATCAATGCAATACCAATCAAAATTCTGGCAAGTTATTACACAGACATTGACAAGCTGATCTAAAGCTTATAAAGAGAGGCAAAAGACCCAAAATAGCCAATATCATATTGAAGGATAAGAACGCAGTTGGAAGACTGACACTACCCAGCTTTAAAACTTACCATAAAGCTACAATAGTGAAGACAGTGTGATACTGGTGAAAGAACAGACAAATAAATCAGTAAACCAGAGGCTGGGTGTGGTGGCTCACATCTGCAATCCCAGCACTTTGGGAGGCCAAGACGGGTGGATCACAAGATCAGGAGTTCGAGACCGTCCTGGCCAATATGGTGAAACCCCATCTCTACTAAAAATACAAAAATTAGCTGGGTGTGGTGGCACATGCTTATATTCCCAGGTACTTGGGGAGGTGAGGCAGGATAATTGTTTGAACTGGGAGGCAGAACTTGCAGTGAGCCGAGATCATGCCACTGCACTCCAGCCTGGTGACAGAGCGAGACTTCAAAAAAAAAAAAAAAAAAAAAAATCAGTGAACCAGAAAGGATAGCCTGGAAAATAGACTTAAATGTAAAACGTAAAACCATAAAACTCCAAGAAGATAACATAGAAGAAACTATAGATGAGCTTGGGTTTGGAGATGACTTTTTATACTTTTTGTTTTTTGAGACAGGGTCATGCTCTGTCACCCAGGATGGCATGCAGTGGCATGATCATAGCTCACTGCAACCTTGACCTTCTGGGCTCAAGCGATCCTCCCACCTCAGCCTCCCAAGTAGCTGGGACTACAGACATGCCACCATACCCAGCTATTTTTTTTTTTTTTTAGTAGTGTTGAGGTCTCACTATGTTGCCCAGGCTGGTCTTGAATTCCTGGGCTCAAGAGATCCTCCTGCCTCGGCCTCCCAAAATGCTGGGATTACAGGCATGAGCCAATGCACCCAGCCGCAATGACTTTTTAGATACAAAACCAAAGGCATGCTATGAAAGAAAGAATTGATAAACTGGACTGCATTAAAAAAAAAATTCTGTTTTGTGAAAACCTCTGTCAAGAGAATGAAAACAAGACTGGAAGAAAATATTTGCAAAAGACATCTTATAAAGGGCTGTTATCCAAAATATACAAAGAACTCTTAAAACTCAACAATAAGAAAACAAACAACTCAGTGAATAAATGGGACAAAGACTTTAACAGACACCTAACCAAAGAAGATATTTAGATGGCAAATATGCATATGAAAAGAAGATCTACATCAAATATCATCAGGGAAATGCAAATTTAAAAAACGACAACGTGATATCACTACACACCTGTTTTAGAATGGCCAAAATCCAGAACACTGACGATACCAAATGCTGATGAGGATGTGAAGCAACAAGAACTGTCATTCATTGATGGTGAGAATGCAAAATAATACAGCCACTTTGGAAGACGGTTTGGTAGTTCTTACGAAACTAAACATACTCCTACCATATGATCCAGCATCGTCCTCTTTGGTATTTACCCAAAAAGAGTTAAAAACTTGTATCCCACCCAAAACCTGCACAAATATATGTATACCAGCTTTATTCACAAATGTCAAAAGCTGGAGGCACCAAGATGTCCTTCAGTACATGAGTGATAAATGAACTGTGGTACATCCAGACAATGGAATATTATTCAGCACTAAAAAGAAAGGAGCATCAACCCATGAAAAGACATGGAGGAAATTTAAATGCATATTATCTAGTGAAATAAGCCAATCTGAAAAGACTTACTTACTGTAAGTGACATTCTGGAAAAGGCAAAACTAGGGAAATAGTCAAATGATCAGTTGTTGCCAGAGGTAATGGGGTGGTGAGGGATGAATAGGCAGAGCATAGAGGATTTTTAGGGCAGGGACTTTACTCTGTATGATACTGTATTGGTGGATACGTATCATTATACATTTGTCCAAACCCATAGGCTCTACAACATCTATAGTGAACCTTAGTGTAAACTATGGACTATGGGTGATAATGATATATACCCAACAATGTAGGTTCATTAATTGTAATAAATGTATCACTCTGATAGGGGATGTTAAAAATGGGGAATCTCGGCCGGGCGCAGTGGCTCACGCCTATAATCCCAGCACTTTGGGAGGCTGAGGGGGCAGATCACGAGGTCAGGAGATCAAGACCATCCTGGTTAACACGGTGAAAACCCGTCTCTACTAAAAATACAAAAAATTAGCCGGGCGTGGTGGTGGGCACCTGTAGTCCCAGCTACTCGGGAGGCTGAGGTGGGAGAATGGCTTGAACCCAGGAGGCAGAGCTTGCAGTGAGCCAAGATTGCGCCCCTGCACTCCAGCCTGGGCAACAGAGTGAGACTCCATCAAAAAAAAAAAAAAAGAAAGAAAGAAAAAGGGGGAATCTCTCCATGTGTGAGAGCAGACGGTGTTTGGGGAATCTCTTACATTCCATTCAATTTTGCTGCAAATCTAAAACTGCTCTGAAAAATAGTCTACTAAAAAAAAGCAGGGCCTTCATAGTAAAAATTGTAAAACATTACTGGGACAAATTAAAGAAAGCTGAAATAGAGAGCTGTACAATATTCATGATGTGGAAGACAGTATTGTTAAGATATCCATCCTTCCTAAACTGATCAATAGATTGAATACAGCTTAAATCAAAATCCCAGAAAACTGTTTTTAGATACTGAAAACCTGATTTGAAAATTTGTATAGAAATACAAAGGACTTAGGGTAGCCAAGACAATCTTTAAGAAGAAGAATGGAGGACTTACATTACCTGATTTCTAGATCTGATATAAAGGTATAGTAATTAAGGAATTATTTAAGGATAAGAAAAATAAGTAAGTGAAAACAGAGGATCCAGAAATTGATCCATACATAATAGTCAACTAATTTACAACAGTGACACCAATGAAATTCAATAGCAAAAAGAAAATCTTTTCATCAAATGGTAATGGAATTGTAAATTTTTCAGAAATTGACATACCACTACATGCCTTTTAGAATGGCTAAAATAAAATTAAAAGAATGTGTAAATATTGGTCCAGTAATTATACCAAATGTACCATACTAATGTAAGATGCTAATAATAGGGAAAACTGAGTGTGAACTATATGGGAACTCTCATGAATCTAAAACGGTTTTTTAAAACAGACTCATTTTTTAATAGAATGCATACGCTTTAGGGCAAGGGCTTTATTATGCTGCTTTAAACTGCTCAATTGACTTTTCATTACTTTTGTGGTGTTTACTATGGTCTGAACAGTTTACTTCACCTAAAATCTAAGTTGTAACAATGTTTAAAAAAATTTTTTTTTGGATTTTGTCACTTTTTTATTGAAATAGTTTAACAAACATGATTCATTGAAAATAATATTCTCATGCCATATTAAAATAGTTTTGTAATTTTATTTTTATACTCAACTCTTTTTCTTTTATTATATTTTATTTTATTTTATCTTAAAATTTTTTTATTATACTTTAAGTTTTAAGGTACATATGCACAACGTGCAGGTTAGTTACATATGTACACATGTGCCATGTTGGTGTGCTGCACCTAGTAACTCGTCATTTAACATTAGGTATATCTCCAAATGCTATCCCTCCCACCCCCGCCACCCCACAACAGGCCCCGGTGTTTAAAATGTTTTGTGTTACTTATTTCTGCAGCAAGCTCACACACCTCTTGAGGACAAGGCCTGTTTCTCTAAGTGATTTCTTTTTATGACACTCAGTACTCAGTCTAGCATTATACCTAAGTATGTCTTCGTTAATATATTTTCCCAATCTAAGTATATCTACTGAAATGCCAAAGGAAATTCAACAGAAAGTTGGGTTTTTAATGTGACTCCTCGAATTTAGTAGCTACCTATTTTTATTAAAATCAATCTTCAATGCTGAAGAAAAACTAGATGAGTAAATAAGTGATACTATTGAAAAATCAATATGTAGCATCACGGAGTCCAATACTCTATTTTTGGAACTATTTTAAAACCTGCAACATGTGTTTTCTTTTCTGCATTTCAATTTTTTCAGTGACAGGCATTGCTTCATACGAGGATAGCATATACACAGGCTTATAGTTCAAGAGGGAAAGGAGGTTCACTGGTTTAATATTCTCACCCTTTGTCTTGAAGAGTTACATTGGTTCACCTTGGTTAGGTGAACGTGTAACTTTCCGAAGCACTTGTAATTTTCTCACAATTCTAGAGAAAAATTAGTGTGCCTCTCATTGTCATAAATATCTACCGCTAGCCCATCACGTGAAGAGACGCTTAAAATCATTAGTATTTTAAAGATTATACAGATAGAACACTATATTATTCTTTTCAAAGATTCACCAACACTGAGTTATTTGTTCGAAATCATCTACTTAAATTTTAAAATTCCTTTTACTTAAAGAACCAACAGAATGATATTCCCAATTTTACATAAGAGGAAAATAAGATCCACAAAAATTAAATGATATGTTCTCATTCACTTAGCTACTTGTCAGAACTGCAGTTTCATGCCCTATGCTACTCAGTTAATTTAGTTTTTGAGTATGTATGTTAGTGGAGGAAATACATTAAGGAAGAGGAAGCAGGTAAGGAGAAAGAAAGGGAAAGCAAAAGTGCATTTCAAGTGTTTTGTAACATATCTGCCATTTTTCCTTTGATATTTACAGGCCATCTTTACCAGGAATGGTAGCTCACTAGCTGCAAAACCAAACAGCCCTTTGTCTTTGAAGCCACCCTTCAAAAGTAGCACTTTCTATGTAATCAGAGAAATGTCATGCTCAGAAGCAAATTTATCCCTTCATAATCTGCTCCAACTGAATGTCTGTGGTGGATCTCAAGTTATTCCACAGAAAAGAATATATATTCCATGGTGCTCAAGTCTGAGGTTCTCCTTATCCTCCTTCTGCTCCCCTCTCTCCTAATACTGGAAGTCCCACACCAACATTTTTAACCATCTTTCAGTAGTTACATTTGATAACCATTGAGTCTCTTCATCTGACTAACTTCTGTAGATATAAAGATAAATACCTCCCTTTTTGTCATGAAAAGCATCCAATCTAGTGAAAAACATACTCCAATACAGCTCTCAAGGGGATGTGCTTCCATTATATTCATGACCAGTAGCACCTATGCAACACTTCCTTTTTTTTTTGAGTCTCTCTCTGCTGCCCAGGCTGGAGTGCAGTGGTGCAATCTTGGCTCACTGCAACCTCCACCTCCCAGGTTCAAGCGATTCTCCTGTCTCAAGCTCTTAAGTAGCTGGGACTACAGGCGTACACCACCACACCCAGCTAATTTTTGTATTTTTAGTAGAGACGGGGTTTCACCATATTTCTTAGGCTGGTCACGAACTCCTGACCTCAGGTGATCCACCCGCCTCAGCCTCCCAAAGTGCTGGGATTACAGGCGTTTGCCATTGCTCCCGGCCCTTTTTCTATTCTATTAACTAATGTGGCATTAATAAACACAAATATTTAACCTGTCTGAAGTCTAAAACTCTCTGTAAGAACAGGTCATTGAAAGCAGTATTTTAAAATGAAGGACACCATAAGTCTATTCTTATTTTTCTATATTTTTTCAAACTTATTTTACATGATTTTCAGACAATTTCCATCTCCTAAAAGTGGATCTTTATATTTATTTATTTATTTATTTATTTATTTTTAAATGGAGTCTCGCTCTGTCGCCCAGGCTGGAGTGCAGTGGCACAATCTCAGCTCACTTCAACCTCCGCCTCCCAGGTTCGCGCCATTCTCCTGTCTCAGCCTCCCGAGTAGCTGGGACTACAGGTGCCCACCACCACGCCTGGCTAATTTTTTTGTATTTTTAGTAGAGACAGGGTTTCACCATGTTAGCCAGGATGGATCTTTATTGTTTAATGGGTACAGATATGTTAGTTTAGAAAGATGGAAAAAGTTCTGGAGACCAATGGTGGTGATGGTTGTACTACAATGTTAATATACTTAATGTCACAAAACTGCATACTTAAAAATGATTAAAATGGTAAACTTTGTTATGAAAACATTATCACAATTCTTTTCTTTTTAATGACTCAATAAAGAAGAGAGGGAGGCCTGGCATGGTGGCTCATGCCTGTAATCCCAGCACATTGGTAGGCTGAGGCAGGAAGACTGCTTGAGCCCAGGAGTTTGAGACCAGTCTGGGCAACATAGGGAGATCCCATCTCTACAAAAAATGTAAAACATTAGCCAGGCATGGTGGCACATGCCTGTAGTCCCAGCTATTCAGGAAGCTGAGCTGGGAGTATCACTTGGGCCCTGGAGGTGGAGGCTGCAGTAAGCTGTGATCATGCTACTGCACTCCAGCCTGGGCAACAGAGCAAGACCCTGTCTCAATAAATAAATAAATAAACAAACAAACAAATAAATAAATAAACAAGGGGCTTTTAGGGGAAAATAAAATATAAAATGAGAATTGTATATATGGAAAAGAATGTGCAATAAGGGGAAATTTAAATGTTTCAATATTATAAAAATTAAATGATTCTCCAGGAGACAGCTTAGTTCTAAAATTATTTTATTAATCTGTAGTTCAAATGCCAGGTTGAAAATAGATTTTAAAACTATTTTTTAAGTTACGAAACTAATATCTGCTCTTTATTTTCATTCAAGTATAGCAATAAAGTAAGTATTTTTCTCTTCCTCCAACCTCTCCACTCTACTCAAGGGTAACTACTATTATGTCTCATAGATATTCTCCTGGAAATGTTAATACATATTCTTATACACATATTTTTATAAATATGGCTCATTTATACTATTCTATAATCTGTTTTACTTAACAATATATCTTGGAGATCTTTCCATATTATCACATTGATTTACCTTATTTTTTAAAGCTACATAGTGTTCAACTATATGTATGTACATTACTTACATACTCACCTACACGAAAGCCTTATAACTATTGGAAAAAAAAGGATTTAGAAACTGTGTAACATTGTTAACAATGATGTAATTTGTGTCTGAATAAGATAAGCTATGTCCAATTTCTTTCTCAAAACTGCAATAAATACATACTGTGAAACACCCATTCTTGAAATCTGTGTAGAGTATTTTCTATATCAATTTGAAATCAAAGAAGTAATTTAGTAGGGAGTCTATAAGTACCCAAATAACAGGACAAAAAGCATTTAGCTTGGATTATTTTTCTGACCTAACAGAGTGGAAACATCAGAATTAAAAAATATACCTCCAAAAACCTCCTTGAAAAGCTGAGAATAGATGTTAAACACCTATGTTGAAGTGAAAAGTATGGTCAAAATATTTTGATGGTAATGCCTAACAATGAGAGACGATGAAATTTCATTGTTGCCTTATAACATTTTCAATGAAAGTCCTAATTTTGGCATATTAAGGTGCTAAAAAGAAAGGATGTTTCTGAGCAATTTGTGTCATTTTAAAGCTTAGCTATTAAGTTTCTTAATACTTTAACAGTTTAATATGTGCATATATATGCAGAGCAAGTATTTAGATCATCATCAAGCAATTAATATTTTAATTAAGATTAGCAGGATATACTGACAACTTACAAAACTTACAAAATCCATCTTTGATGAGTATTAGTGCCAAGCCTTTCTATAAGAAATGGAAATTTGTATTATTTCTGAACTAGGCAGCATGTTCACAACATTCATTTATGGAGAATAATCTGGAATGGTATCAGCAGAAATAAAAGTAACAAACTCTGGAAATCTTCTCCTTAAAAGCAATGAGAACACTGACAAAATTGTTGAAATCAACATTTTCAGAATTCTGGAAAATAAGCAAAAGTGTGCAACAATCTGATGGGCATTTATATTTAAAAATGACTTGATCTTGGTAAGAACAATGAGCTGAGAAACATAAAGGTCACAGCCCAGAGGCACAGGCTCACGAAAAAGCTGAGAACTAGTCACAGGACTATAGCACACTTCTCCTCTCCCCACATCTTACCACCACATCTACATTATTCAGGGACCTACTAATACAAGGCAATTACATATGAAATAATTCCACATCCCAGACCTTATTTAAGAAGAAGTCTTCAGGAAAGCCCATATACAACAGTTGAAACAAAAACAAGGACACTAGAAGAAATGTTAGCTTCTGACACATACAACTATGGCAAACAGTAAACACAGCCTAACTTCTAGTCAGATTAACCTCATGCCAAAGGCCTATTTACCTCAATTCCTTTTACTCAGTACATCATGTCCAGCTTTGAACAGAAAATTCCAAGGCATACTAAAAGACAATAAAACATGCAGCTTAAAGAGACAGAGTAAGCATCACAACCAGACTCAGCTTTTTAAATTTTCAGACTGGTATTTAAAGTAACCAGACTGGTATTTAAAGAACCCTTAATATGCTAAGGGTTCTAATGAAAAAAGTGGATGGCATACAATAACAGATGGGTAAGGTAAGCAGACAGATAAAAACTCTAAGAAGGTATCAAAAAATGCTAGAAATAAAAAATACTGTATCAGAAATGAAAACTGTCTTTCACAGGCTCATCAATAAACCAGATACAACTGAGGAAAGAATCAATGTGCTTTATAATTGGAACACCAGGAGAAGAAAGAGGGAAAGAAACAGAAGAAATATTTGAAGGAATAATGCTGGGGGATTTTCCAAAATTAATGACAGACACAATGCTGTAGATCCAGGAAGCTCAGAGAACACCAACCCAGATAAACACACACACACAAAAACTATACCTAGACATATACTCAAACTGCAAAAAATACAAAGAAGCTAGGGTAAAAAATGGCCATTTAGGACATATAAAGGTACTCAACACCATGAGTCATTAGGTAAATGCAAATCAAAACCACAATGAAATACTTCACACCCATGAAGATGGCTATAATAAAAAAACAGACAACAAGAGTTGAGGAGAATGTGGAGAAATTGGAAGCATCATACATTGCCAGTGGGAATATTAAATAGTGTAACCATTTTGGAAAACAGTTTGGCAGCAACTCCCAAAGTTAAACATAGAGTTGTCATATGACCCAGAACTTCCTCTGCTATGTATATACCTAAGAAAACTGAAAACATATGTACACACAAAAACATGAATATTCATAGTAGTATTGTTCATAAGAGTCAAGAACTAAAAACAACCCAAATATCCATCAATTGGTAAATGGATAAACAAAATATGATATATCCATACAGTGAAATAATATTTGGCCAGGAATGAAGTTCCTACACATGCTACATCATCCAACCTTGAAAATGTTATGCTAAGAGAAAGAAGTCACATGTTATATGATTCCATTTACATAAAATGTCCAAAATAGGACAGTCCATAGAGACAATAATTAGATGAGTAGTTGCCAGGAGCTGGGGAAAAGAGGGAATGAGAAATGACTGAGAGTGGGTATGGGGTTTCTTTCTGGGATAATGAAAATATTCTGAAATTAGATAATGGTGATAGTTGTACAACTTTGTAAATATATTAGAAACCACTTAATTGCATACTTTAAAAGAGTGAAGTTCTGGCAGTAAAAAAAAAGAGAAAAAATGAAAAAACAAAAGAGTGAATTTATGATATGTAAATTATTTTTCAAAAAATATATATATTTTTTGAGACAGAGTCTCACTCTGTCGCCCAGGCTGGAGTGCAGTGGCACGATCTCAGCACACTGCAACCTCTGCCTCCCAGGATCAAGTGATTCTCCTACTTTAGCTTCCTGAGTAGCTGGGATTACAGGTGCCCAGCACCATGCCTGGCTAATTTTTTTGTATTTTTGGTAGAGGTGAGGTTTCACCATCTTGGCCAGGCTGGTCTTGAACTCCTGACCTCGTGATCCACCCGCCTCAGCCTCCCAAAGTGCTGGGATTACAGGCGTGAGCCACCATGCCCAGCCCTCAAAAATATTTTTTTTTAAAAATAATCTATGTCATTCAACACTGAGAAATGATTAATCATCTATTATGTACCAGGCACTATTAGATCTGGGTGATAAGAGACATGAATATAATATGGTCCTAACTCTCAAATAAACCAGTCTGTTATTGAAAGCAAACGTATCAACGATAATTGCGATACAGTTTGACGGGGCTGTGATGGTGTTAATTCTCAGATACAGTAGTTGAGATAAAGCAGGCAATGATTAACTCTCTCTGGTACAATTAAGGTAGCCTTCCTTGAAGAATGGAAATTTCAGGCCTGGCCTAAAAGAATAAATAATAGTTTGCAGGAGGTATGCAGGGAAAGAAAACTCCAGTCACTGCAAAAGCATACACAAATACATAAAGACCAAAAAAAAAAAAAAGTCTCTCTTTTTTTTTGTATTTTTAGTAGAGATGGGGTTTCACCATGTTGGCCAGACTGGTCTTGAACTCTGGACCTCAAATGATCCACCCACCTCAGCCTCCCAAAATGTTGGGATTATAGGCATGAGCCAAAAAAAAAAAAAAATTATTAAAAGTCAGTTCAATTATGTAGTCTTAACTAACTCTCTGAAACCAAAGAGAGTTTCCTTCCCCAAATTAGATGACATCAGAAACACTGTGAACAAACTACTGAAGATCAGTTTTTATAAGTGGAGGTGCATTTTGCAGCTGTAAAAAGGGCATAGTCCGGTGAAAAGAGGGATCCATAAGTCATCACATATATAAACAAACCCGAATAGTAAACACCATAAATAAGAGCATGGCAGTAACTCTTGGAGTATATAATTAACATTATGAATAAGATTAAGTGGCTCTGTGTGCTGAGGTAATGTAAATATCTCCATCAACTCAATCAGACCTAAATAATGACTCCAGCATAACTTATCTGGATAAATAAAAGCTCTTATTGTTGTCCTATTCTGACAACTAACTAATCAACACTCATTCACAAAGAGAATATAACTATGATTAAATATAAATTCTAGATAGGAAAGATTCATTTTACAACCTTCCCAGCTGATTAGACACATCGGCACGGTCTTGTTACCTACCCCCTTCTCTGAGGCAGACTTCATCAATCTGGAAAATGAAGGCAGACCACTGATTGGAGGGCAAACCTGAAAAGGATTAAACACTTAGCATGGCATTCTAAAATACTGTAATTACAGTGCAATTAAGCATACTGCATATTAAACGTGCAACTCTGAAATGTGTTCAGACTCCCCAATTATAACTAGTTATTCTTCAAAGAATTTTGCCGCCCACATTGAACTTCTGTAGTGCTTCTTTGTTATAATTCAGGTGTGACAGTCACTAATATATCTAAAAGGACAGTTAATAAAAAGTAGACATTCTTTACTGTAAACCTAACACATGCATGCCAGGTAATACCCAGCCATTAGCACTAATTATCATGTTTCAGACAGGCAGACCTATTATGCAATTGGACTTTGCCCTCTTTAAAATATATTTAATGGTCAACTAGGAAGAGACAGTGAGATTGAGGCAAAAGTAAAGGCCTAGGTGGGAATCTAAAAACCTGTATCAGTTCTTGATTTTCCCAACTGGGCAAGTAACCTAGCCTTTCGGAGTCTCAATTGGTTCATCTGTCAATTGGGGACCATATCTATCAAGGGTTTGGTGATGACCAAAAGTCCTAACTAACAGAACTCTAAAAAATTTTATCACTCTACCCAAAGCTAAGGTGCTACTCCATTATGGGCTCAGATTGTATCACAAAAGAGTGATCAATGGAAAGGGACAGACAGAGATGTTTGCAGTCATGGTTCAGGTCAGGGATGATCTTCAAAACATCCAACCACAGCCTTAACCAATCAGAAACAAGTCAGCTTTAAGCAACTGGAATAGCCTGTAGAGTGCAGACCAGCTGAGGATCACCCTAGGTTCAAGGTGGCAAACACTTTTGAAAATAGGATAGAAAATGGCAGAACTTGTTGGAAAAAAACAAACAAACAACAACAACAACAAAAAAAACAAAAAACCTCATAGAATTTTAACCTAGCTTTGTGTTAATGGTAGTAGAGTTTCTATAACAAGGGAGATAGTGGTGATGCTTGAAATTATTTGTTTAATTATTTGTCATCTTTGCCAGACAGAGCCATAAAGAGAAGGAGTATGTCTGTTTAAACATCTCTATATTCCTAGCCAGCACAATGACTGGTATAGGACCGCAGTAAATGTTTGTTGAATGAATGAATGGGTAAATGAATGAACAAACAAAGGAATGAACAGATAGTCTAGTACTATTCTGCAATAGCTAGACCAATCCAGACATCTACGTTCTAGAAACCATGATTTAAGAGAGGCTTGGATGAAGGAAAGGGGCCACAGTTGAGGAAATTAAGGGCCATTAGACTAGGTACTGAAAAATTCCATGATGCAATAAGTATCTTAAATGTTTTTCGGTATGAAAATACACATATCAAAATATGTGGGACATAGCTAAAGTAGCACTGAGAGGGAAATTTATACTGCTAAATGCTTATATTAGAAAATAGGAAAGGTCTGAAATCAATAATCTAAATAATCATCTCAAGAAAATAGAAAAAGAAGGGCAAATCCAAAGGAAGTGGAAGGAAGGAAATAAGATAGGAACAGAAATAAATGAAACTGAAAACAATAGAGAATATTAGCTAGATGTAGTGGTATGAGCCTGTAGTTTCAGCTACTCAAGAGGCTGAGGCAGGAGAATTGCTTGAGCCCAGGAGTTCAAGGCCATCCTGGGCAACACAGCAAGACCCCATGTCTAACAAAAATAGAACGATAACAATAGAGAATATCAATAAAACAAAGCCTTCTTCATTGGAAAACAATCAATAAAACTGATAAACCTCTAGCAAGACTGATAAAGATAAAAAGATAAAATATATAAATCATCAGTATCAGGAATAATACAGAAGATTTCACTACAGCCATTAAAATTATAACAGTTTAAACAACTAATAGATTAAAAAAGAAATCACGAGAATGACTGGAAATTCTTTGAGATGAATGAAAATAAAATACAATATATAAAAACATATGGATGCAGTGAAAGCAGTGCTCAGAGGGAAATTCATAGCCTACATTAGCAAAAAATCTTAGGTCAATAATCTAATTGTACACCTTAATTAGCAAGAAAAAGAAGAGCAAACCAAACCCAAAGTTAGAACAAGTAAGGAAATAATCAATATTAGAGTGCAAATAAATGAAATCGACAATTAGAAGAACAAAATAATTGGTAAAACCAAAAGTTAATTGTTTGAAAAGATCAACAAAATGGACAAACCTTAGCTAGAATGACTAAAAAAAAAAAGGAGAGAGATTCAATTACTAAAATCAAATATGAAACTGAGAACAGGCTGGGCATGGTGACACAGCCCAGGCTTGGTGGCTCGCACCTGTAATCCCAACACTTTGGGAGGCCAAGGCAGGAGCATCACTTGAACCCAGGAGTTTGAGGCAGCCTAGGCAATATAGTAAGACTTCGTCTCTACAAAAAAATAAAAATAAAAATTAGCTGGGTGTGGTGGCACCTGCCTGTAGTCCTAGCTACTGAGGAAGCTAAGCAGGAGGATCGCTTGAGCCCAAGAGATTGAGGCTGCAGTGATGTCTGATCGCACTCCTGCACTACAGTCTGGGTGACAGAGTGAGATCCTGTCTCAAAAAAACAAATGGGAACATTATTATTAAGTTTACATAAATAAAAGGATTATAAGGGAATACAATAAACTACTATAAACCAAAATATTAGACAGCCAGGATGAAATGGACAAAGTCCTAGAAACACAAACTACCACAACTGACTCAAGAAGAAATAGAAAATCTCAATAGACCTATAACATACAAACAGATTGAATCAATAACCAAAAGTCACCACAAATCACCCAACAAAAAACAAGCTGAGGATTAAATGACTTCATTGGTGAATTCTACTGAACATCTGAAGAAGAATTAACACTAATCTTTTTCAAATACTTCAAAAAAATAGAAGAGGAGGAAATACATCCTGACTCATTCCAAGAAGCCAGCATTACCTTGACACCAAGCCAGACAAAGACAATGCAAGAAAAGAAACTGCAGACCAATATCCCTTATGAACACAGAAGCAAAAATCCTCGACAAAATACTAGTATACCAAATCCAGAAGCTCATTAGAATAATTATACATGATGATAAAGCAGATTCATCCCAGGAATGCACAGGTAGTTCAACATAGGAAATACAATCAATATAATATACCACATTAGTAGAATAGAGAGGAGGAACCATATGATCTCAATTGATCTAGTAAAAGCCTTTGACAAAACCCAACACCCTTTCATGATAAAAAAAAAAATTCACTATTCTAGTGATAACAGGGAATTTCCTCAACAGGTTAAAGGACATTCATGAAAGACCTACAACTGACTTCATATACTCAATGGTGAAATATTGAAAGATTTCCCACTGTAATCAGAACAAGACATGGATGATAGCTTTTACTACTTCTATTCAACGTTGCACTGGAAATCCTAGACAGAATAATTAGGCAAGGAAAAGAAATAAAAGTCATCCAAATTGGAAAGGCAGAAGTAAAACTACCTTTATTTTCAAATGACATAATCATATATATATATATATATATATAGAAAAGCCTAAGGAATACACAAAGAAAATTTCTAGAGCTAATAAACAAATTCACCAAAAATCTATCATAAAAAAATAAACATGTAAAAATCTATTGAATTACTATAAACTAGCAATAAGTAATTTAAGAAGAAATGTTTTAAAATTCCTTTTATAATAGCATCAAAAGGATCAAAATACTTAGGAATAAATTTACCCAAGGAGATGTAAGATTTGTATACTAAAAATGATAAAACATTACTAAAAGAAAATTTTAAAACCTAAATAAATGAGAAGACAATCCATGTTCATGTACTAGAAGACTTACTATTGTTAAGATGGCAGTGTTCCCCAAAGCTATCTATATATTCAATGCAATCCCTAGCAAAATTCCAATGGCATTTTTTTGCAGAAATAGAGAAGCCATTCTAAAATACATATGAAATGGCACAGGACCCCAGATAGCCAAAACAATCTTGAATAAGAAAAACAAAGTTGGAGGACTCACACTTCCCAATTTCCTAACTTACTACAAAGCTACAGTAAGAAAAAAAATTGAAACTGGTATAAGGATGGATATATAGATCGATGGAATAGAATTGAAAGGCAAAAAATAAAACCATATGTCTATAGTCAAGTGATTTTTGACAAGTGTTCTAAGATCCTTCAATGGGGAAAGAAAAGTCAACAAGAGATGCTGAAACAACTGGATATCCACATGTAAAAGAATTAAGTTGGGCCGAGTGCGGTGGCTCACGCCTCTAATCCCAGCACTTTGGGAGGCTGAGGCAGGTGGATCACGAGGCCAGGAGATCGAGACCATCCTGGCTAACATGGTGAAACCCTGTCTCTACAAAAATACCAACAAAAATAGCCAGGCATGGTGGTGGGCACCTGTAGTCCCAGCTACTCGGGAGGCTGAGGCAGGAGAATGGCGTGAACCTAGGAGGTGGAGCTTGCAGTGAGCCAAGATCATGCCACTGCACTCCAGCCTGGGCAACAGAGCAAGACTGTGTCTCAAAAAAAAAAAGAATTAAGAATTAAGTTGGACCCTTACGTGACCCCTCATAGCATTTACAAATATTAACTCAAAATGGATCAAATACCTAAATATAAGAGCCTAAACTATAAAAGAAGTTTTATGGAAGAAAGAAGTATTCATAGAAGAAAGAATAGTAATGATCTTTAGAATCTTCAGATTAGAAATGATTTCATAGATAGGACATGAAAAGCACAAACAACAAAAGAAAAAATAGATAAACTTGACTTGGTCAAAATTAAAATATTTTGTGCTTCAAAGGACACTATTAAGAGAGTGAAAAGAAGACTCACAGAATGGGGGAAAATATTTATGGAGTATATATCTAATAATGGTCTAATAACTAGAATATATAATACTTTTATAACTAAACAACAAAAAGACAAACAACTCAATTTAAAAATGGGGAAAGGACTTGAATAGATGTTTCTCCAAAGATGATATACAAATGGCTTACAAACATATGAAAAGATACTCAACATCATTAGTCATCAGGGAAATTCAAAATAAAACTACAATGAGATACTATTTCATACCCACTAGGATGACTATTATTTTAAAAATGGGAAGTGTTGGCAAGGATGTGGAGACATTGGAACCCTCACGCATTGCTAGTGAGAACATGAAATGGTGCACATACTGTGGAAAACAGTTTGGTAGTTCCTTTAAAAATTAAACATAGAATTACCACATGACTCAGCAATTCCACTCCTAAGTGTATACCCACAAAAAGTGAAAGTGTCAAACAAAAACCAGTATAAGAATATTCATAGCAGCACTATTCACAATAATCAAAAGGTAGAAACAAACCAAATGTCCACCAACAAATGAAATAAATGTGGTATATACATATAATAGAATATTATTCATCCATAAAAGAAACATAGTATGATACATGCTACAATATGGATGAATCTTGAAAACATTATGCCAAGTGAAAGAAGCTAAACCCAAAAGGCTACATATTGCATGATTTCATTCACATAAAATATCGAGTAGGAAAATTCACACAGATAGCAGATTAGTGATTGCCAGTGCAAACTAGAAATACTAAGCCCCTCACCAATTGAATGGATCCCTGCTTAGCCAGGGAATCCCAGAGAAATTGAATTCCCTGCCACCATGGAAGGGAGGTTGGACACGTTTCATTTACCCCTGACCTTTTGGAGTTTAGACACAACAACTGACCAGCATTAATGTTAAAATAGAGATCATAAGACTGACAAAACTGATTCTTTATGGCAATAAGATACCAAATTATAAGCAAAACCTAAGGCCATGCAAGTCATGCCTGTAGGACATCAATCTTGCTAAACAGGTCTGTTTCATCCAGTATATTGTGCTGACTCTGACATAGCATCCTTATCTTTTTTTTTTTTTTTTTGAGATGGAGTCTCACTCTATCGCCCAGGCTGGAGTGCAGTGGTGTGATCTCGGCTCACTGCAAGTTCTGCCTCCTGGGTTCACGCCATTCTCCTGCCTCAGCCTCCCGAGTAGCTGGGACTACAGGTGCCCGCCACCATGCCTGGCTAATTTTTTTAATATTTTTAGTAGAGACGAGGTTTCACGGTGTTAGCCAGGATGGTCTCGATCTCTTGACCTTGTGATCCGCCCGTCTCGGCCTCCCAAAGTGCTGGGATTACAGCCGTGAGCCACCGCACCTGGCCAGCATCCTTATCTTAACTTAAATATTTCTTTCTGCTGACTTCAAGGTATAGACAGAGCCTTACTCCTTTAACTGCAAATTAAAGAATCTCTGAATCCACCTATAGCGTGTAAGACTCCGCTTCAAGATATCCCACCTTTTCAGGACAAAGCAATATATATCTTCCATATATTGATTTATGTCTTTGTCTATAACTCCTACCTCCCTGAAATGTATAAAACTGTATTCGTCTGTTTTCACACTGCTATAAAGAACTACCTGAGACTGAGTAATTTATGAGGAAAAGAGACTTAATTGACTCACAGTTCCACATGGTTGGGGAGGCCTCAGGAAACTTAAAATCATGGCAGAAGATGAAAGGGAAGCAAGGCACGTCTTACATGGCAGCAGGAGAGAGAAACAGCAAGAAAAGCCAGACACTTCTAAACCATCGAATCTCGTGAGAACTCACTCACTATCATGAGAACAGCATGAAGGAAACCACCCCCATGATCCAATCACCTCCCACTAAGTCCCTCCCCTGACACATGGGGATTACAATTCAAGACGAGATTTGGGTGAGGACACAGAGCCCAACCATATCAACTGTAATTTGACCACCTTGGTATCCCTTACTCAAGGCTTCTTGGGTTTGTGTTTTTCCTGAGCCACAGTCACTTATACTGGCTCAGAATAAACCTCTTTAAAATATTCTACAGACTTTGGTTTTTCCATTAACACCAGGGTTGAAGAGGAAGGGGAAATAGAGAGTGCCTGGTTAATGGGTATGGGGTTTCCTTTTAGAGTGATGAAATTATTCTGGAACCAGATAGTGGTGCTTGTTGCACAACACTGTGAGTGTACTAAATGCTACTGAAATCTACACTTAAAAATGGTTAAGACCTGGGTGCAGTGGCTTGCACCTGTAATTCCAGCTACTTGGGAAGCTAAAGTGGGAGGATTGCATGAGGCCAGGAGTTCAAGACCAGCCTGGGCAACATAGCACAGCCCTGTCTTTAAACAAATATTTTAAATTAGCCAGGGATCGTGGTATGCATCAGTAGTCCTAGCTACTCAGGAGGCTGACGCAGGAGGATCACTTCAACTCAAGAGTTCCAGACTGCAGAGAGCTGTGGTCATGCCACTGTACTACAGCCTGAGCGACAGAGCAAGACCCTGTCTCTAAGTAGAGAGAAAAATAATGGTTAAAAGGGTAAATTGTATGCTATGTATGTTTTACTGTAATTTTTTAAGCCAAAAGAGATAATATGGGAATACTATGAACTTAGAGAAAATGGACCGATTCCTCAAATACCACAAGTTACCAAAACTTAACTGAGATGAAACAGACAGCCTGAATAGTCCTATAACCATCAAAGAAGTTGAATTGTAATTAAAAACCTGAAAAAGAAATTTCCAGGCCCAGATAGCTTCACTAGAAAATCCTACAAAACATATAAAGAATTAACACAAATTTTACACAATATTTTCAAGAAAGTAAAAGATGAAGGAACACTTACCAACTCAATGTATGAGGTTAGTATTACCCTGATACCAAACCAAAGACAATACAAAAAAGAAAATTACAGATCAATATTTTTCATCAGTATAGACATAACAATCCTCAACAAAATATTAGCAAATCAAATGAAGCAATGTATAAAAAGAATTATACAGCACAACCAAGTATTTATTTCAGGTATGCAAGTTTAGTTCAACATTCAAAAATCAATCAATGTAATGGTCCACCCTATCAATGGGCTGAAGGAGAAAATTCATGGGATTGATTGATTCAGAAAAAGTATTTGACAAAATCCAATACTCATCCATGATAAGAACTCTTGGCTGGGCGTGGTGGCTCACACCTGTAATCCCAGCACTTTGGGAGGCCGAGGCAGGTGGATCACCTGAGGTCAGGAGATCAAGATCATCCTGGCTAACACTGTGAAACCCCGTCTCTACTAAAAATACAAAAGATTAGCCGGGCATGGTGGTACGTGCCTGTAGTCCCAGCTACTCATGAGGCTGAGGCAGGAGAATCACTTGAACCCAGGAGGCAGTAGTTGCAGTGAGCCGAGATGGTGCCACTGCACTCCAGCCTAGGCAATAGAGAGAGATTCCTTCTGCCTCAAAACAAACAAACAAAACAAAATAAAAACAAAAACAAAAACCCTTAGCAAACTAAGAACAGAGTAACTTTCTCAAGTTGATAAAAGCATCTATAAAAATCCTACAGATGAAAGACTGAATGCTTTTGGTCTAAATTCTGGAACAAAATAAAGATGTTCACTCTCATCACTTCAATTCAGCATAGTACTGGAAGTTCTAGCTACCGCAATGAGGTAAGAAAAATAGTAAAAGGCATACCAATTGGAAAGGAAGAAATAAACTGCCCCCATTTGCAGAGAACATGACTGTTTACATAGAAAATCTCAAGAAATCTAGAATCAAAAAAAATCTAGAACTAATAAATGGGTTCAGCAATGTAGCAGGAAAACAAGATCAACTCTGGAGTCTATTGAAGGCTTGCAGCTTCCAGAGGAAGACTTAAACAGTAAATTGCGGGTTAATTTTGGTGAATTTCAGCTATTAGCTCAGCAGCAGCTATCCATCCCCCACCCCAAGCCACCTGGTAAGCAGCTGTACACATATTCCAGGAGCAGCTTGCAGTTTGCCTCAGCCAGGGTAGACAAAAAAGACCCAATCCTTCAAATGTTGGAGAGCTGGGTTGTAATCACGGATTGCTGCTTTTGATCATGGAAGTGCAGACAACACAGAGATAGGCAGTAATTGTGGCAAATTCCCATTGCTACAAGGCCCTCCCACTCAGGCAGAAATAACTTTCAGGCTATATGGCTCCTTCCCTTTTCCCTTCATTTTTCTCTTTTTCCCCTTTGGGAGCCAGGCATTTAGGGGCTAGGACATTCAAAACAACCACATATGCAGGGAATTTAGAAAGTGACTCTGCATGCTCAAGGGAAGGCACAGGCTCAGAAAAGACATTAAGTTTATACCTTAAGCTGATCCCCGGCACAGACACAGCCTACAACAATCTAAAAACAAAAGCAGAATTAAACAAAACAAGCACAAACACACAGCAAACCCTAGGGAAGGGGGAGAATCTGATCTCTAGAGTTACCACATTGTTACATTAAAATGTTCAGTTTTCAACAAAACATCACAAGACGTTTAAAGAAACAGGAAAGTATGACCCACTCAAGGGAGCTAAGACTATTCAATAGGGAAAGGACAGTCTTTTCAATAAATGATCCTAAGAAAACTGGATATCCAATGCCAAAGAATGAAGTTGAACCCTTACCTAACACCATATACAAAAATTCACTCGAAATGCATCAAAGACCTAAACATAAAACTTCAAACTATAAAACTCTTAGAGGGAAACACAGAGCAAAATCTTCATGACATTGGATTTGACAATGATTTCTTAGGTATGACAAAAACAAGCAACAAAAGGAAAAAATAGACAAGTTGGACTCCATGAAAATCAAAAACTTTCTTGCATCAAAAGACACTATCAACAGAATAAAAAGGCAACCCACAAAATGGGAGAAAATATTTGCAAATCACATAACTGGTAAGTCATTAAAAGCCAGACTATATAGAGATCTCCTAAAACTCAACAAAATAACCCAAACAACCTGATTCAAAAATAGGCAAATGAATTGAATGGACATTTTTCCAAAGAAGATATACAAATTGCCAATAAACACATGAAAAGATAGGCAATATCACTAATCATTAAGTAAACACAAATCAAAAGCACAATGAGATACCACCTCACACCCATTATGGTGGCTACTATTAAAAAAAGAACAGAAAATAATACATGCTGGTGGGGATAGGAGAAATTAGAACCCTTACGCACTGCTTGTGGAAATATAAAATTGTGCAGCCATTATGAAAAACGATATGGCAGAATTACCATATAATACACCAATTCCACTTCTGAGTATATACTCAAAAGAATTAAAAGCAGGGTCTTGAAGGGATATTTGTACACCTATGTTCATGGCAGCCATAGCCAAAAGCAACCCAAGTATCCATTGATAGATGAATGCGCAAGCAAAATGTGGTATATACATACAGTGGAATACTATTTACCCTTAAAAAGGAAAGAAATTCTGACACATACTACAACATGGATAAAACTTGAGGGCATTAGGCTAAGTGAAATAAGCCAGTCACAAAACAAAAATATTATTCCACTCATATGAGATACCTAGATAGTCATATTCATAAAGACAAAGTAGAATGTGGTTGCCAGGGGATGAAAGGAGGAGGAAATGGTTATTGTTAAATGGGTGTAGAACTTCTAGTTCTGTAAGCTGAAAAGAGTTATAGAAATGGATGATGGTGATAGCTGTACAACAATATGAAGGTACTTAATGCCACTGAATTGCAGACTAACGAATGGTTAAAATGATAAATTTTATGTTATTTTACCACAATAAAAACATGGGAAAAATACTACCCCCCACTGCAATAATAATAATGACAAAACTAAATACTGGTGAGGATATAGAGAAACTGAATCACTCACACATTGCTGGTGAGAATGTAAAATATAGAGTACAGCCACTCTGGGAAACAGTTTGGCAGTTTCTTACAAAACTAAACATGCAACTACAACATAGCCCAGCAATTGCACTCTGGGCATTTATTCCAAAGAAATGAATACTTATGAATACTTAATGTTTACACAAAAACCTGTACACAAATGTTCACAGCAGCCATATTTGTAATAGCCAAAAACCGAAAACAACATAGATGTCCTTCAACAAGTGAATCGCTAAGTACACTGTGATATATACATACCATGGAATAATGCTCAGCAATGAAAAGGAACAAACTCTTGATACACAAAACTTGGAGGAATATCCAGGAAATTATGCTGAGTTAATAAAGCCAATCCCAAAAGGCTGCATACTGTATGATTCCATTTGTATAAGATTCTTGAAATGATAAAATTATAGAAGTGGAGAACAGATAAGTGGTTGCTAGGGTTTGGTGGTAGGGGCAGAAGAGATCTTTGTGGTGACTGAACTGTTCTATATCTTGACTGTATCAATGTCAATATCCTCGTTGATATTGTTCTACAGTTTTGGAAGATTGTACCATTGAGGGAAACTGGCTAAAGGATACATAGAATCTCTCTGTATTATCTTTTGCAACTGCAAGTGAATCTATAATTATGTCAAAATAAGAAGTTTAATTAAAAATATGGGCTGGGTGTGATGGCCGACGCCTGTAATCCCAACACTTTGGGAGGCCAACGTGGGAGGATCTCTTGAGGCCAAGAGTTTGAGACCAACCTGGGCAATACAGCCAAACTCCATCCCTAAAAAAAATTTTTTTTAATTAGCCAGGCATGGTGGTGCATGCCCGTAGTCCTAGCTCCTCAGGAAGCTGAGGCAGGAGGATCACTTGAGCCCAGAATTTCAAGGTTACAGTGAGCTACAGTGGCAAAATTACATGCCACTGCACTCTAGCCTAAGCAACAGAGTAAGACCCTATCTCTAAAAATAAAAATAAAATAAAAATATATATTGTGATTTTTCATTTTAAAATGTTATTTATGCTAACACATAGTGGGTTTATTGTTGTTAGGCTTAATGACATGAAATAAATATTTTTTAAATATCTACTTTAATTTCTAATAGGGTAAATGTTGATAGATATAAAGGGAAGCTCTTTGTGGGTCTTCAATAATTTTTAAGAATGGTGTACCGAGCCAAACAGTTTGAGAACCGCTTCTCTCCCTTAAGGTCAATAAATTTAGAATTATTTCTTCATTCATGGCAAGGCATAAGTAATTACATGTAACTAGGAACTCAGATGACTTCAAAGAATTAATAAACAGAGCAACTAAAATGTAATGTCTTTCCACCCTTGTTTACCTATATAGAAGCTGTCTATAGTAGGTCAACCAAGAAAACAAACCAGAAGTGTGTACAATACACAAGAACTTCACCTTGAGTAGATAACATGGAATACAAAAGGAATCAAATTTCAACCAGATGATACTATCTTCATGATGACTGTACCATCTTGAAGTTGGTTTCATAGCCTAATAGTTCATTCAGGAATTAATGTTACAGAAAACTTGTGGTATTTTAAACTACTTATGGTCGGAAAAGCGAGAGGAAAGAAATCTTAGGAAGAGTAGCAACTCTGACAAAAACCTAATGTAGTACAGTGCCTAAAACAGTATATATCTGCCTAGATGATTCTGTTAAAGACCTTGGTTTCTAATTTAAACAGCAGTAACAATTAATGCTGAACTAGTATAGGAATCCAATTGGGAAGAAACAACAACACATTTTTAAGCAAAATGGTCCACCTTTGCTGGCAATGTTCATATTTTGTTGATACACCATTATTATGCATAGTTAAGACAAGTCTACTGTTACTATAGCCTGAAGCTTTAGTCTTTTTTTTTTTTTTTCTTTTTTTTTTTCTGAGGTGGAGTCTCGCTGTGTCACTCAGGCTGGAGTGCAGTGGCACGATCCTGGCTCACTGCAACCTCCATCTCCTGGGTTCAAGCAATTCTCCTGCCTCAGCCTCCCGAGTAGCTGGGATTACACGCGTTCAAGCGATTCTCCTGCCTCAGCCTCCCGAGTAGCTGGGATTACAGGTTTGCACTACCATGCCCAGCTAATTTTTGTATTTTTAAGTAGAGACAGGGTTTCACTATGTTGCCCAAGCTGGTCTCAAACTCCTGACCTCAGGCGATCCGCCCGCCTTGGCCTCCCATCACATAGGTTTTCTTTTTCTTTTTTTTGAAATGGAGTTTTGCTCTTGTTGCCCAGGCTAGAGTGCAATGGCATGATCTCGGCTCACTGCAACCTCCACCTCCTGGGTTCAAGCGATTCTCCTGCCTCAGTCTCCTGAGTAGCTGGGATTACAGGTATGGGCCACCATGCACGGCCAATTTTGTATTTTTTTAGTAGAGACGGGGTTTCTCTATGTTGGTCAGGCTGGTCTCAAACTCCCGACCTCAGGTGATCCGCCTGCCTTGGCCTCCCAAAGTGCTGGGATTACAGACATGAGCCACCACACCTCGCCAGGTTTTCTACAAAGAGGAAAAGTCACTCCACTTAGGCTTCTGCGAAACCTAACAATCAGCACCAACCAATTGGCCTGCTTCTACAAAACACATTCCATGCTATGTTTTAAAATAACACTCTTACTGACGTGTGCACAATGATTCTCTTTCTGAATTGAAATGTAGGTAGAGTATAATGGCATTTCATGGGTTTGCTTCAGGTTTAAATGATCTCCAAACATTATTTATCTTTTGCATTGCTATTAACCTCAAAAAAGGGTCAGATAGGTTCTGCTAAGGAATTTCAGCTCTCCCTCCAGAAGAATTACTTTCCCTTCCCGTCACTGTGGCCTGATCAAATTATTTGCATAACATTTCACATTAGTCTTTTAATTAAACTTTGTATACTTAACAAAATAACCTGATTAAAAAGGAAACACTAACAGTAAAGGAGGAAATAAATCTTAGAACTTTTCAGCTAGGAAGAGAATGATATGATTTATAGGTAAAAGTGAATTTACCCTACAGTGAAAAACATTTTTTGACCATACATTTTAAGTATCATTAGTTTAAAAAGTTCAAGATACAAAAGATCCTGAGTATTGTGTGTCTTGCTCAACTGACACAGAATTCCCATTGGGAATCTCACAAGTAAGAAATTGGACATCAATGAATTAGCTTACATTTTGAGGTTCTTATTGAGGAGCTCCTCCTAGAATTCTAGGCTAGATACTATGCTATAATTGTAGGAGCACAGGTTTTGGGTCACAAAGCCCTAGTTCAAATGTCAGCAAGGCCATTTATCAGGTTACCTTCCTCAGCCTCAGTTACCTTTACTCTAAAATGCACATAATAATAATACCCAGTTTATAGGTTTATTGTGAAAATTAAATGAGACATTGTAATGTGTTATGACATGGTAGGTATTCAACAAAGGGTAACTATTATTATTAGATTCTTTTGTATAACTCATAGGTTAATGTTGATAGATATAAAGGGAAGCTCTTTGTGGGTCTTCAATAATTTTTAAGAATGGTGTACTGAGCCAAACAGTTTGAGAGCTGCTTCTTCCCCTTATGGTCAATAAATTTAGAATTATTTCTTCATTCATGGCAAGGCATAGGTAATTACTTAGAATTATTTCTTCATTCATGGCAAGGCATAGGTAATTACATGTAACTAAGAACTCAGACGGTACCTACAGGAAAGAGAATGTAAGATCAGCAGGCTTTAAGTTGAGTGACTGGAATTCACTGGATAATACTAACCATAAATGGAGATGGCTTTGTAAACCGCAGAAGGGAAGTTTTCACAAACATATCAATCTCTTTGCAATCTATGGATTCTTTTCCCTCCCCTAATTTAAACCTTTTACTGACTCATCCTATTATTGTCTCCCATTCCTACATTCACCCTTTTCTATTCCACACGATAATATCATGGCTAGGAATCTGTAAACTACATTTCCTGTTAGCCTTTACTAACAGGAAGCATTGGCAGGAGGGTAAAAGGCAGGAAGAGGAGGAAAGCCCCCATCCCTTCAGATAGCGACTTTAGAAGTGAAGTGGATCTGTCCTTTGGTGATCCCAGTTTCAGCACCAGGCCCTCTGCTCCACGGTTTCACCACGTGCTCCAAGAGTCACTTTGGGCACTCCCAGGTTCTAAGAATATCATCAGTCCAATGGTGTGGAAAATGCTTCCTGTAGTATTAATATCAGGTTATCTCAATGGGCATGCATTGCTCTCTCAGCCACCTAGTACATGTGTTAGCCAATTCCCTGTATTAAATTCATTTTATTGAAATTTCTAGAGAGATTTCTGTTTTCCTTATGTGCCCTTAATTGATATAGCTTCCTATTGCTCTTGAGAAAAATGCAAAGCCCTTGGTGTGGCATTAAGATCCTACATGATCTTGTCCCAACTACCCCCAGGCCTCATCTACTGACCCTCTTTCCTTGAATGTTCAAGGTCTTTTTATTCCTTATAATACTCCAATCTTGCCTCATTGTATTCCTACATTTGGTGCCTTTTCTCTAACCACTCTTCCTTACACCATTCACCTGGCAATTTGTATTCATTCTTCAGTTCTCCACTGCAATGTTACTTTTTCAAAGGCCTTTCTTGATATCCCCAAATCCAACTTTTAACTTTTTTTCTAAACAAGAACTAAACTAAGATAAAAGCTATAATATACTTTTCACCATATTCCCTAAAATAAAAAAAGTAACACCAAAAGTATCACTTCGGAATAAAGGATGGTCCTTTAAACTGAATAACTTTATGAAAACTTCTCTCTGGTGTGCTCATTTCCCCCTTTACAGCAAGTCTCATTGAGCACTGGCGTTAAGAAACTGTGAAACTAGAAGCTGGAAAGTCATATATTCTTATTCAATTTTCAGTGAACTAGATAAAACAAATGTTTCAACTCAAAGCTGGCCTCAAAAGTAGATGCTCCAACCATGAGTTTGCTGTGGCTACCAATTGGGCACTGTGATATTGAGACTATCCTTGGGCTACATTTGCAAAGGTTACAAGGAACCAAGAAAGGGAGTTTAATCCAACTCTTCATACCCACTCTCAGACACATTGGCTGTATCTTGCCTCTCACTAGAAATGTACGTTCAGCCAGGCATGGTAGTTCATGCCCGTAATCCCGGCACTTTGGGAGGCCAAGGCAGGCGGATCACGAGGTCAGGAGTTTGAGACCAGCCTGGCCAACATAGTGAAACTCCGTCTCTACTAAAAATACAAAAAATTAGCTGGGTGTGGTGGTGGGCGCCTGTAATCCCAGCTATTTGGGAGGCTGAGGCAGGAGAATCGCTTGAACCCGTGAGGCAGAGGTTGTAGTGAGCCGAGATCGTGCCACTGCATTCCAGTCCGGGCAACAGTGTGAGACTTTGTCTCAAAAAAAAAAAAAAAGAAATGTACTTTCATACCCCACTGCCTTTCCAAACCCCACTTGTCCCACCCTCAACAACGATCACCATTATTGCCCAAAGTCCCACACAACTGTGGTGTTCAGAAGAAAGCCAGCGATCTAAATTGAACCTTACTGTCTGTTCTTTGGGATAATTCCGTTAGCCTCATTAGGAGTCTCTGAAACAGGGTTTCTGAAGCTGAACTATGCAAATTGTTGCCTCCCTCTTCTGTGAAAAGGTTTCTTTCGGGAGGCTCTCTGATTCCTTTCTTACTCATTTACACCTCTCCCAGAGCTTGCTTCTTTTTGGTTCTGCTGATACTAGCACATGCTTATCACCTCACTTAAGAAAGGTGGACTACATCATTCTCAGCAAACTAACACAGGAACAGAAAACCAAACACCACATGTTCTCACTCATAAGTGGGAGTTGAACAATGAGAACACATGGACACAGGGAAGGGAACATCACACACTGGGGCCTGTAGGGAGGTTGGGGGCAAGGGGAAGGAGAGCATTAGGACAAATACCTAAGGCATGTGGGGCTTCAAACCTAGATGACGGGTTGATAAGTGTAGAAAACCACCATGGCATGTGTGTAATTATGTAACAAACCTGGACATTCTGCACATGTATCCCAGAACTTAAAGTAACATTAAAAAACAAGAAAAGAAAAGTGTGTTAATGGAGAGCATCCATCAAACAGCTTCCACATCTCCCTAAGAAAAGAAATATTAGGCTGGGTGTGGTGGCTCATGCCTGTAGTCCCAGCATTTTGAGAGGCCGAGGCCTGTAATCCCAGCACTTTGGGAGGCCGAGGCAAGTGGATTGCTTGAGGTCAGGAGTTTGAGACCAGCCTGACCAACATGGTGAAACCCCCTCTCTACCAAAAATACAAAAATTAGCCGGGCATGGTGGCAGCTGCCTGTAATCCTAGCTACTCAGGACGCTGAGGCATGAGAATTACTTGAACCTAAGAGATGAAGGTTGCAGTGAACCAAGATAGCACCACTGCAGTCTAGCCTGGGCAACAAAGCGAGAGAGAGAGAGAGAGAGAGATGAAAGAAAGAAAGAAAGAAAGAAAGAAAGAAAGAAAGAAAGAAAGAAAGAAAGAAAGGAAGGAAGGAAGGAAGGAAGGAAGGAAGGAAGGAAGGAAGGAAGGAAGGAAGGAAGGAAGGAAGGAAGGAAAGGAGGGAGGGAGGGAGGGAGGGAGGTGGGGAGGGGAAGGGAGGGGAGGGGAGGGGGGAAAAATTAGGCTGGGCATGGTGACTCATGCCTGTGGTCCCAACAGTTTGGAAGGCTGAGGTGGGAGGCTTGAGGCCAGGAGTTTGAGGTTTCAGTGAGCTATGATTTCACCACTGCACTCCAGCCTGGGCAACATATCAAGACCCTACCTCTAAAAAAAGAAAAGAAAAGGAAAAGAAACATTAGAAATAGCACAGAAAAAAGTTATACACAAGATTCCATGTCTAACTAATAACAGGACCTATGGAGTTCTTGTTTACTTTTGAAAACTTTGCTTACATTTGAAAAATTACTCCCTGGGAAACAGGCTTGCAATTTTCCCTTACCAGTCCTAGAACTGTATCACCTCAATTTCTATAGCAGGTATTCATTTATTCCTCTTTCCACTAATACAATAAATATTTATAGAGTCCCTATTATACAGCGATGAACAGAATAGTCAAAGGTCCTTGTCTCCCTTGGAGAGAGAGAGAAAGACAAATGAACAAAGAAACAGTAGTGTTATGGGTAGAATTAAAATTGGGACATGGTGATAACTATGTGACTATGTTAGACTGTGAGATCAGAAAATACCTTTCTGAGGGTGATATTTACACTTGTCTAGGTGACAAGGAGCCAACTAGGTGAAGATGTGGGACAATATTATAAGGAATGTGAATAGTTACTACAAAAGCCCTAAGACACAAACAAACTAACAATCTTTACCCTATACTACCTTATTTCCATGTTTCGGCCATTTTCTGAATATCCAGCTGAATTTCCCAAGGCCTAGATGCTAGAGCAAACAGCTATCACATACAATACTTACAACACTAAGAAACAGTGGTATACTAGAAAGAACGTGGGACTTAGAAGACTTCTTTCATTCAACTGATATTTACTGAGCATTTGCCTCATTTCTGGTACTATTCTTAATGCTAAACTATGACCAGAAGGCAGCAAATAACAGGCATTACTGCTCTTATCTGTGAAATAAAAGCTACAAAAGGAGTAAGAAATGGATACTTCCAGGTACCTCAGTCACCCAGAAAACAGGCACCTCACTAAGACTTGGAAAGTAAACAAAGACTTCCTAAAAGTGTTGTTTAGGCAAAATACAAAGACAAGTAGGGCTTAAATCAATGAGGAAAGGGTTGAGAGAGGAAATGTAAGAGCATTCTGCCTAGAAGGGGCAACATATACATATGCCTGAGGAGAAAGAGTGTGGAACATTTAAGGAATGAACAGCTGGAGCACCCAGTATCAGGAGAAAAAGAAAAAAATTGTGCTGGAGACATTAGCAAGAACTAGGTTCCAAAGGCCTTATAAGTTAAAATTGATCCTGAAAACAATGAGGAGCCACTGAAGAGTTTTAAGGAGGGTGGCAATGGCCAGATTTACATGTTAGAAAGATCCCAGCCAGGTACGGTGGCTCGTGCCTATAATCCCAGCACTTTGGGAGGCTAAAGCAGGTGGATCACTTGAGGTCAGGAGTTCGAGACCAGCCTAGCCAACATGGGGGAAACCCCGTCTCTACTAAAAGAAATACAAAAATTAGCCAGACGTGGTGGCAGGTGCCTGTAGTTCCAGCTACTCAGGAGGCTGAGGCAGGATAATCGCTTGAACCTGGGAGGCAGAGGTTGCAGTGAGCCAAGATCGCGCCACTGTACTCCAGCCTGGGCAACAGAGCAAAACTCCATCTAAAAAAAAATTTTTAAATAAAAAAAAATTTTAAAATCAATCAATCAATCAATCAATCCCTGGCTGTCATGGAAAGAAGATCTGGAGGAGGAAGGACTAGAAATGGTGAGCATTTAGGAGGTTGTTGCAGCAATCCAAGGGAAAAATGACTTAAACTAAAATAATGGCAGGAAGGATGGAAAGATAGACTGAAAATATATCTAGGAGATAGAGTTGACAGTATTTGGTAACATATTGGATATGGGAAGTGGGTGAGATGGAAATATCAACAATAAACCTCAGGTTCCTGGCATGAACAATTGCATAGACAAGGAGTACCATTTACTGAGAGAGGAAGCACAAAATAAGGAATAGCTTGGAGAGCCATAGGAAGTTGAAGTAGAGACATAAAGAGTCCAAAGCATCTTTGAGGCCTCCAAGTGGAGCTATGAGAGGTGAGATAGATACTTGGGTTCAGAGCCCAAGACAGAGGCCTGGTCAGGCAGACGAGAAATGGGAACCCATTTAAGAGTCATCAGGCCAGGCACGGTGGCTCACGTCTGTAATCCCAGCATTTTGGGAGGCCAAGGCAGGTGGATCACTTGAGTTCCGAAATTCGAGACCAGCCTGGCCATCATAGTGAAACACCATCTGCTAAAAATACAAAAATTAGCCAGGCGCAGTGGTGGGCACCTGTAATCCCAGCTACTCAGAAGGTTGAGGCAGGAGAATCGCTTGAACCCAGGAGGCAGAGGTTGCAGTGAGTTGGGGTTGCACCACTGCACTCCAGCCTGCACTGCATTTAGGAACCAGAAGGTTGCAACGATCTTTACTGGGTCCGCCCAATATAGTAGTGGGCACCAATCTCGGATTACAGCAAGCTGAAGAACAAGTGGGAAGTGAGGAAGAGGTGAAAGATGTATAGATCACTCTCAAGTGGCCTGGCTCTGAAGGGGAGGTGAGGAGAGCTGTAGCTAAAAAAGAATGTGGAACTGAGAAAGATTTTGGTTCATTAGATGGTGACAGAGTGAGACTCCATCTGAAAAAAAAAAAAAGAGTCATCAATTTCTTGTTTGAATCTGGATTCAATGCCATTACTTAATGACATTAAATAATTACTGCTAATTCTGCTTAGGTATACAAATGGCACAGTGGCTATAACTTCAAAGCCCTCATGAAATGTATATTGAAATATTTACAAATATTTACAGGTGCAGTGACATGATGGGGAAGGATAAGTGACACAAAATGTGTAAAGTGCTGGTAATTTTTGCAGCTGAGTGATGAGTACACAGACATTAATTAAACCATTATTTCCGCTTTTGTTTATGTTTGAGAACATCTGAGACAGTTTTTTTAAAGAATCATCTACCTATATAGGAAACAGTGAGAAATGGATAAACTTGCTCTGGGATGACAAGAAAAGGGAAGAAAAAGGAAAGGGAGGTGAATGGAAACTGGCCTCCCGAGGAAATCTCCATATTTAAGGAAAAAGCAGAGGAACAGGAGTCACTGAAAAGACCATGAAAACTCTGCTGCAAAAGTAGGAGAAAACCAGAAGACAGTGAGGTCTCAGAAGCCAAGGGAAGAGTTAGTTGTAAGAAGGCAGGAATAATCAATAATGTCAAGTAATATAGAGAAATCAAGTAAAAGAAGGACTGAAAAGTATTCACTGCATTTAGGAAGCAGAAGGTTGCATCGATCTTTACTGGGTCCGCCCAATATAGTAGTGGGCACCAATCTCGGATTAGAGCAAGCTGAAGAACGAGTGGGAAGTGAGGAAGAGGTGAAAGATGTATAGATCACTCTCAAGTGGCCTGGCTCTGAAGGGGAGGTGAGGAGAGCTGTAGCTAAAAAAGAATGTGGAACTGAGAAAGATTTTGGTTCATTAGATGGAAAAATACTTGAGCCTGATTAAAGGAAAGAAAGGGCGGCCTCCCTTACTTACTAATCATGAACTTGTGTAGGTCACATTTATAACCCTTCAGGATTCAAACCAGATAATATAAATGAAGGTCTTCAGTAAACTGTCAAGTGTTACATTACTATTATTAAGTAAATTATTACTATTACATTTATAAAGTCCAAGTGGCTTTACCACTCTGCTTGTTTCCTCTCTATAACTAAGAACATTTTATCTTCACTAGTGTAGAGGAGAAGAGAGATCAGAGCAAAACAGCTAGTGAGTATAATCAGGAGATAACACATGCCATTTTTCTGTTGGGCATGGATGAGACAGTGATTTATTCTGCAAAGCAAATGAATCAGCAACCAATTTTTATTAATGGTACACAGGGAAAATATTTAAAGCCCTGTTATATCTAGCCAACAGATTGTACATATTACAAAGGCAAATGTAATAATAAAGGGAGTAGAGTTCTATAAAAATTAAGTAATGAAATTGGAATTCAGAAACCCATTAGCAAGGAACTACGATGATAGAAAAAGTAGTACTTTCAAGGTAAGTAAAGACCTTTGCTTTTAAAATCCATAATGAAGATGAATCAAAAAAAGTATTAAAAGCCATGGGAAAGTCTTAAAAATCAAACTGCTAAAAAAAAAAAAATCCAGCCTGCTGCATTGATGCCCATAATGGACCCCGAAGTCAATATTAAGCATGTTAGTCAAATGGCTGCAAACTACCACTAAGTGGATATGGGAGGTATACATTTTTTCTATTCTTATGTGTGTGTGTGTGGAGTGGGGAGTTCTTGTTTAAATCATAGTTTATCGCTAGAATTAAAAAATTTGATAACTCCAGATTCTAGTTTAAAACCACAGCCGGAGATTTTCTTTTGAAGTCCCTATTGACTCTTGGGGGCTCCTTTCCTCTATCTGCTTTTCTCTTTGTGTTCTATGCTTTTTTTCCCCCTCACCTTCCTTATTCCCAGCAAAATAACTGCCCAGAATTTAACGAGTTGCAGTCACTTAATTTTTTTAATGAGTTTTAGTCATTCTGGTCTATTTTCTAAGAGGTATTTATATTTTTCAAAGCTATCTCTAACAATAAAAAATAACTTTCCACATTTTGGTAAGCAGGCAGGATAGCTTCTTTTTCAGAGAAGAAGCACGCAGGGCTACTCAGGTTCTTGAGATCACGCCTGACTTGCATCCACTCAGGGTGCCACAGCGGCACCCTGAGTGGATGCAAGAGATCAGTTTGGCGGTAAATCTTCCTCTTGGCTCTCAGTTCATTCACCTAGATTTACTGGAATTCAACGTCGAATCCTTTCTTTTTCTTTTCCTAAAAGCAGGCTTTAGTAGGGATAAAGTGGAGGGAGAATGCCACTCAGGGGGCATTAAACCCAGAAGAGAAGGCTGCATCATCTTCACCAGCCCACAAACAGAGGGCCCTGTAGCAGTTGCATAGATGTTGGTTTTATAAGGATCCAAAATAGGCTTAGAGATTTTTTTTTCTCAGAAAGAGGCTTGGAGATATCAACTAAAATATAATTTTTCTTAATTTTAAAAATGTTTTATTTATGTATATTTTCCTACCTTTAACAATAAAGCAGCAATTATCTTACATGAATAAATAAAATGTAATTTCATAAAATGCCATTTTACAAGATTTAAGCAAAATGAGTTTTAATTGTCTTTTTAAAGTAATTTTCTGTGCTCTCTTGCTATCAATAATTATGATGTTTCCTCATGTTTGACACTTTGCATTGGTGAAATATTTAATTTTATTATATTTGAAAGTCTATCTTCAGAATCTCCTGTGTAACTATAATGTCAAAACAAGATCAAAGCAGGAAATACTCTCTGTTTTCTGGCCCTATAAATGGTGATTAGATAGTGAAGGAAATGAAATCTGCATGTCAGGAACTATGCTAGGACCGCTAATAGCATTACTCAATAAGTCAGCTCAGTGAATATTGCTATTCTCATCACATAAATGAGGAAACTGGGGCAAAGTGAAATT
This sequence comes from Homo sapiens, assembly GCF_000001405.40. Taxonomy (NCBI): domain Eukaryota; kingdom Metazoa; phylum Chordata; class Mammalia; order Primates; family Hominidae; genus Homo; species Homo sapiens. Next base: position 117,071,497 of record NC_000010.11, read on the forward strand.
AAGAAATTAGCCCAAGATCACATAGCTAATGAGTGACAGAAATGGCATTTATTCCTGTTCTGTCTCTAAAGTCCTTCCACATTTGTTGATAAACTTGTGAGGTGTTTTAGACCGTGAGATTCTTGACTCCTGGCCAGCCATCAGGGCTGGGCTTTTGGGGCCTCAAATCACATAATTTAGTCAGCCACTTGCTCTGCTTATTATAACAGTCTACTAGGCTGCCAGAAAACTGTTGGAGTTATCTTGAGACCTAGAATCCTGGCTGGGTGCGGTGGCTCATGCCTGTAACCCCAGCACTTTGGGAGGCCGAGGCGGGCAGGAGACCTAGAATCCTGTTGCAAATCCTGCTGTTGTATATGTCACTGCAAATTGTATTTGAGCTAACAAGGAGCATCTGATAATACCGAAATTCAAATTCCTGTGGTTTTCTTGTGAAAGACAGTAATTTGTTAGCTCAAATAAGATGCAGACCTTTTCTAAGGACTTTCATTCTGTGAAATTAATATCTAAGACTTTGTTCCTGACAGGAAATTTGCAATTTGTACTTTACTGTGTATGTCAAGCTGGTATTTCTTACTTTGGGCCAATTTTGACTACAGTGAATGAAGAAAAATTTAGTTCAAATATGCGGATGGGAAAAGAATAGACTGGCCTAGCCTCCCAGCCTACATCTTTCTCCTGTGCTGGATGCTTCCTGGCCTCAAACATTGGATTACAAGTTCTTCAGTTTTGGGACTTGGACTGGCTTTCCTTGCTCCTCCACTTACAGATGGCCTATTGTGGGACTTTGTGATTGTGGTTCCATCATAGCAGACGGGAAGAGGACTAGATTGCAGCTCCAGCTCAGAACGACAGAGCAGTGTGTAGAGGCCCACATCGTGAATTTTAGCTCCAGAATGACGGCAGGAATAAATCAAGAAACCCGAGAGGACCCACACACCCTCTGAAAGAAGTGGACTGCTCCTGCAGGACCCAGGAGACATCCCAAATACTGTGCTGGTATCCACAGCCAAGAGACCCATAGACGGTTCACATCACAGGACTCTGTGCAGACAACCCCCAGTACAAGCCCAGAGCCTGGTAGACTTGCTAGGTGGCTAGACCCAGAAGAGAGATAACAATCACTACAGCTTGGCTCTCAGGAAGTGACATCCATAGGAAAAGGGGGAGAGTACCACATCAGGGGAACACCCCATGGGACAAAGGAATCTGAAAAACAGCCTTCAACCCTAGACCTTCCCTCTGACAGTCTACCCAAATGAGAAGAAACCAGAAAACCAACTCTGGTAATATGACAAAACAAGGCTCTTTAACACCCCCAAAAATCACACTAGCTCACGAGCAATGGATCCAAACCAAGAAGAAATCCCTGATTTACTTGAAAAAGAATTTAGGAGGTTAGTTATTAAGCTAATCTGGGAGGCACCAGAGAAAGGCAAAGCCCAATGCAAGGAAATCCAAAAAATGATACAAGAAGTGAAGGGAGAAAAATTTAAGGAAATAGATAGCATAAATAAAAAAATATCAAAAGTTCAGGACACATTGGACACACTTACAGAAATGCAAAATGCTCTGGAAAGTCTCAGCAATAGAATTGAACAAGTAAAAGAAAGAAATTCAGAGCTCAAAGACAAGGTCTTCGAATTAACCCAATCCAACAAAGACAAAGAAAAAAGAATAAGAAAATACAAAGGCTCCAAGAAATTTGGGATTATGTTAAACGACCAAACCTAAGAATAATTGGTGTTCCTGAGGAAGAAGAGAAATCAGCTTAGTAGGGAAGAGTAGATGTCCAAATAACTACAAAAACGGCAAGCATTTATTAATTGCTTACTAGGCAGCAGGCACTGTACTACTTATGTGCATTATTTCATTTAATTCTCATAATAACTCTATGAAGTACATACTATTATTTAGCCATTTTATAGATGAGAAGCTAAGCAGATAGATGATGTGCAATGGTCACATAGCTGGTAAGTGGCTGAGCCACTTAACTACCATATTATAGTGCATTTCCAATATGTCACAGAAGTTAGAGGGGAGGAGAACGTTTGCAGGTGAGGAGGATAAAAGCAGTGCCACTTTTGCATTTCATTGATTAGCCTAACATCCAGAACATACCAACATCAAAGTATGGGTGATGCCACCTCTCCTCACTGGATTTGCTTTAATTTTTAGCCCCCTCCTCTAGGAGTCTGACATGAACCCTGAGGCTACTGGCTGGAAGACAACTCAGTAACTCTTCTTGAGCCCCAATTTGTGTCCCCTAATTCTGTCTCCTTCAGGTGAGCACCTGGAGATCCACTTTGCCCCTCTGCCAGTTCAATGGATGGCTTTTGCATCTTGTCATGGTCCTTGAGGCAGCCATCAGGATTAGTACCCCCTAGGCACTGTCCCCCTCCAGAGCTCCCTGAGGTTTCTACAAATAGAGCTCCCGCTGCCTATATCCCAGAATGCCTGCAGTCATTGCAGAATATATGAGACTTTTTTGAATGGGGCAGGGGCAGAGGCAGCACTAGGTGTAATGGAATGGGGAGTAAAATGCTATACGTTAAGTCCCGACATTGTGGAAATATTAGTTTAAAGCATATCATTTTTCCCCTTTAGCTAAATTTAGCTAATTCTTATTTTTCTAATTGTACATCCTATCTTTTCATTAGAAAGCTAATAGTCTCTAACTACTCTCAGCAAACACCAAATGACCCTGTTGTTCACTCCCTAATAGCTTTTGAGCTAACGGTGTCATAAATTTTAATAAAGCACATGTCAAAGCCTATAATCAAACTCTGTGACAGGGTGCACTCCTTGGAAACGTTTCATGTTTAATAACAAATTCATAGCCATAGCACCTCCAATTCTTCTCATTCATCAGTACCCAACTGTCAGAATTCAAGAGTCCTTCAGTAAGAGATCCAGCAGAGATCCTTAATCTATACTTCATGAGACTTCTGAAATTATATGCAAAATTGTGCTTATGTACATCTTTCTGGGGAGATAATCCATAACTTTCATCAGATTCTCAAGTAATCCACAACTCACAAAAAGAACCACTGCACTTCAGTGATACCACCAAAAATTTTAGATCCTCTCTTGTACAATTTTGATATATGTAAATTAATTTCCATATCACTTTCCAGAACAATACAGAATTACAGTATTTTTATTTTAGTAACCCATGCCATTTCTATTGGAGATAATTACAAGAACAGGGAACTGAGACTAGGAACAGGAAATGCAGCAGTAGGCAGGGCAGGAGTAGAAATTTTTACAACACCTTGGACAGACAAAAGAAGTCCAGGGACAATAAACCTGCTTTTGCACTGCCCTCCCGTGTCTGTAGGGAGGATGGGCAGATAGCAGGTACTCTCTACGGCTGAGAGTCATCCTGGTCAAAGCTAAGGCTCTATACTTGAGGAATTAAGAAATGTAGTAGTCTTTCAGGAGTTTCAGTTCCTCAGGACATTCAGGGAATTTAGGATTGAAAAAAAAATTAAGATATTGTGAAGAAAAAGACTCTTTTGCATTTCCTAAAATAAAACAATACAGATATAAATAACTGAATTTTACACATTATAAATTATTAAAACATGGAAACTGTACTATTATTTTCCATTTATCTTTCCCCTGGCTTGGTAAAAATGTTCTAGATCTCCTTTCCCCAGAGTTTCAACACAGTATTTAGGAATCTGCTTTGCTTTATTGTAGTTACTCTGCATCCTGAGAATCAGTGTTTCTCAAGCCCAGCCCTCAACATAGAGGCTCCCTAGATTTGATGAGTCACAGTTGTTCATTCCTGCCCTGAGTTTTGTCTCTTGGATCTTACAGTGATCTCAGTGCAACATAACTTGTGCATTTGAGATGGTAAAAGCCTTGGGTCAGCCTGTCATGGAAATCACAAGATCCTTCATTCATTCAATTATTTACCAAATAAATACCGGGCAAATTCTTAATGCCAGGTATTCTGTTAGACACTGAGGATGCAACAGTGACCAAGAAAAGCATGGCCTGGGACTTCATGGAACTTCCAATCTACTAGGGAATACAAACTAATAATTAGAGGCAATTATCCACATAGTGTGATATGCATTATGGTAGGAACATTCTAGGAGTTAGGAGTGGTCAAGAAGACACCAGAAACTCTACTTGGTTGGGAGTGGTCAGGAAGATACCAGAGATATTATAGTAGTGGCTCAACTAGGACCTGAAGGAAGAATAGAAATTAGTTAGAATGGGTTAGAGGAAGAATTGAGAACACCCATGGCAAATAATAACATTAAATAGAGTAGAATTAGAACAATCATGTAAGGAGGAAATAGCTAGAGATAAGGCATACAGGTCCAGACCATTTAAGGATTTTAGGCAACACTGACAGGATGATTTGTATTTTAGAAAGATAACTTTAGAGGCTGGGTGCAGTGGCTCACGCCTGTAATCCTAGCACTTTGGGAGGCCAAGGTGAGCAGACCACTTGAGTCCAGGAGTTTGAAACCAGCCTGGGCAACATAGTGGAACCCTATCTCTACTAAAAATAAAAAAATTAGCTAGGCGTGGTGGTGCATGCCTGTAGTCCCAGCTACTTGGGAGGCTGAGGCAGGAGGATCACCTGAGCCTGGAAGGCAGAGGTTGGAGTAAGCTGAGATTGTTCCACTGCACTCCAGCCTGCGCGACAAAGCAAGACCCTGTCTCAAAAAAAAAAAAAAAAAAAAGATAATGTTAGATATTATATATGAAAATGGACTGAATTGAACAAGATTGATGGCAGAGAAACCACTGTTTAATTTAGGAAAGTGACAGTAGGGGTAGAAAGGAGTGGATTGATTTGACATACAGTTACATCCTTGGAGCTGTCCGCTAGAGTGCTGAACTAAAGCCCAGGTTTTCTTTGCTTCAACTGCATCTCTCTTTCTTAGGAGTTCATTGCAAAGACCTCCAGATCTCCTCCATCATTCACTTATCTCTATTCCATTCCCAAACCCACCATCTGAGAATATCAACACATGTTTATATTTAAATTATAACAGAAATGATCAACTCTGCCTGAAAAATGTGCACAAATAAACATATGTATACCATAATTCCATATAAAGTCACAAATTACAATGCATATTTAGCTGCACTGGATAGGATGGATGAAAGTCACCAAGAGATTTCATCATTTCAAATATCGAAAGTTATTTTGAATCTCTGGCTCAAAGTTGGGGCTTCTAGGAAAAAGCACTAACTTTGATTCACAAAACCTGCAAAACATTAACTTTTAGAAAGAGAACCGGAAAAAATATGCCTCGCACTAATTTGTCCAAGGTCATACAGACGCCTCTGAATTTACACATTATCTTCATTAAAGCGAAATTGACTTACAAGTTTCTGGAGAAAAGGGTGGCAAATGGAAAGTAATTGCACAGTATCCATTATTATTAATTTAGGGTGTATAAAAGTTCATTAGTGTTGCCTTTAGTGTGCTGACTTTATTGCTTTATTTTAGTGGAAGAAAAGTTCTAAGGACTTTCACTGGTATATTTACATCTCAGTACCTCTCATTTTATTTTTTCATATTAGATCTTAAGCTCCCCCAGCACAAAAGCCCTTACGATTTAAGAAGAAATGTGCAATCAAAAATAGTAAAATGCTTCACCTCTACGAATAGGTTTCCTTAGTTGGCAAAGTAAATCTTGAGTTTCATAAGCAGAAAGTGTGGTCATATGTCAGCTTTTCCCAACAGCTGATCAGGAGGAGGTATGAAAGGAAGTTTGATTCTCACAAGTTTGCATTTTGACTAAAGACAACGAAGAGCTAAGATGGAAAGATAGTGAATGACATGTGACTTCTGACCTTGATAGAGGTATGTGTGTGGAGAATAACTCTACCTGGGCACTTAAGGAAATCAAGGTTTTCACTGGAAGTTTGCCCACAGAAGAAAGGATAACTATCACATAGATATTGGGAGCAATCACCAAAATCTTTTTTTTTTATTAGGAGGGAGGAGAATCTTTTTTTTTATTATTTTAAGTTTTAGGGTACATGTGCACAACGTGCAGGTTTGTTACATATGTATACATGTGCCATGTTGCTGTGCTGCACCCATTAACTCATCATTTAACATTAGGTATATCTCCTAATGCTATCTCTCCCCGCTCCCCCCACCCCACAACAGGCCCCAGTGTGTGATGTTCCCCTTCCTGTGTCCATGTGTTCTCATTGTTCAATTCCCACCTATGAGTGAGAACATGCGGTGTTTGGTTTTTTGTCCTTGTGATAGTTTGCTGAGAATGATGGTTTCCAGCTTCATCCATGTCCCTACAAAGGACATGAACTCATCATTTTTTATGGCTACATAGTGATTTAGATGGGCAAGCCTCCACTTTGGATGAATCATCAACTGTATTTATCTTGATGCCCCAAATAAATCAGCAGTTTACAATGGGTAACTCATTTTAAGAAGAGACGCAGCAGCAAACCACCCGCAACAATTTATTCTTACCTTAATCGAAGAAGGTCGACGATTAACAGCACAAACAATAGCCAGCACTATAGACATCTCAACTGGTCCAACTTACAGAATTCTAACTGAAAAATTAAAGTTTAGCAAACTTCCCATTCTATGGGTGCCAAATCATTATGCCCAGATCAGCTGCAGACAAGAGCAGAGCTTTCAATGGACATTTTAAACACATGGGATTAAGATCCTGAAGCACGTCTTTGAAGAACTATAAGAGAAGGTGAAACATGGCTCTACCGGTATGACTCTGAAGACAAAGCACAATCGAAGACACGCTTCCCATCTGTAAGCCATCTACAAGGATGGTGGCTCCTGTCAGCAGTTGACTCACCTTTCTAAAGGTGATTACCTGCCTGGCATGTAATCTTGTGGCCACCACTAGTTTTCCTGGTATGTAATCTTGTGGCCACCGCTGGTGACTAACAGCCTTTGACATTTACTCTCGCTATGATATGCCACACCTATGAGAGTAGTAGATTGTGGCCACATCATTATAGCACTTGGGACCAAGCTCTGCCATGATTTTGGGAATAAGCGTACCATGCAGATGCTCCTGATGTTTGCTGCACTGTGTATAATAAACTACTTAGCTTTGATCCATTGTGTCTTGTCTATTTTTGGCACCTATGGAGTTAATAGAATTGTTTGCAGCACATTACACACACTAGACCACTAGTAGGAGTGCTTTAGGCAGGAGGAAAATCCTCCCAGTGAAAGCACAGAAACAAAGGAAGAAATGAAGAGAACCAGAAGAGTAAAAACATGTAGGTAAATATAAATAAATTATTTATTTAATATATGAAGATCTGTTCCATATTTATTCCTCCCTGTGTGACTTTTGGAAGGTCATGTCTTTCAAGGAATTGGTCCATTTCATCTATGTTATCAAATCTGTGGGCAGAGTTGTTTATAATAGTCCATAATTATCCTTACAATGTCCATTAGATCAGTAGTGATGGCCCTGCTTTAATTTATGATATTAATAATTTATGTCTTCTTTGTCTTCATTAGCTTGGCTAGAGATTTGTGAATTTTTTTTATTTTTATTTATTTTTTTATTATTATAAGTTTTAGGGTACATGTGCACATTGTGCAGGTTAGTTACATATGTATACATGTGCCATGCTGGTGTGCTGCACCCACTAACTCGTCATCTAGCATCAGGTATATCTCCCAATGCTATCCCTCCCCCCCTCCCCCGACCCCACAACAGTCCCCAGAGTGTGATGTTCCCCTTCCTGTGTCCATGTGATCTCATTGTTCAATTCCCACCTATGAGTGAGAATATGCGGTGTTTGGTTTTTTGTTCTTGCGATAGTTTACTGAGAATGATGGTTTCCAATTTCATCCATGTCCCTACAAAGGACATGAACTCATCATTTTTTATGGCTGCATAGTATTCCATGGTGCATATGTGCCACATTTTCTTAATCCAGTCTATCATTGTTGGACATTTGGGTTGGTTCCAAGTCTTTGCTATTGTGAATAATGCCGCAATAAACATACGTGTGCATGTGTCTTTATAGCAGCATGATTTATAGTCCTTTGGGTATATACCCAGTAATGGGATGGCTGGGTCAAATGGTATTTCTAGTTCTAGATCCCTGAGGAATCGCCACACTGACTTCCACAATGGTTGAACTAGTTTACAGTCCCACCAACAGTGTAAAAGTGTTCCTATTTCTCCACATCCTCTCCAGCACCTGTTGTTTCCTGACTTTTTAATGATTGCCATTCTAACTGGTGTGAGATGGTATCTCATTGTGGTTTTGATTTGCATTTCTCTGATGGCCAGTGATGATGAGCACTTTTTCATGTGTTTTTTGGCTGCATAAATGTCTTCTTTTGAGAAGTGTCTGTTCATGTCCTTCGCCCACTTTTTGATGGGGTTGTTTGTCTTTTTCTTGTAAATTTGTTTGAGTTCATTGTAGATTCTGGATATTAGCCCTTTGTCAGATGAGTAGGTTGTGAAAATTTTCTCCCATTTTGTAGGTTGCCTGTTCACTCTGATGGTAGTTTCTTTTGCTGTGCAGAAGCTCTTTAGTTTAATTAGATCCCATTTGTCAATTTTGTCTTTTGTTGCCATTGCTTTTGGTGTTTTAGACATGAAGTCCTTGCCCATGCCTATGTCCTGAATGGTAATGCCTAGGTTTTCTTCTAGGGTTTTTATGGTTTTAGGTCTAACGTTTAAGTCTTTAATCCATCTTGAATTGATTTTTGTATAAGGTGTAAGGAAGGGATCCAGTTTCAGCTTTCTACATATGGCTAGCCAGTTTTCCCAGCACCATTTATTAAATAGGGAATCCTTTCCCCATTGCTTGTTTTTCTCAGGTTTGTCAAAGATCAGATAGTTGTAGATATGCGGCGTTATTTCTGAGGGCTCTGTTCTGTTCCATTGATCTATATCTCTGTTTTGGTACCAGTACCATGCTGTTTTGGTTACTGTAGCCTTGTAGTATAGTTTGAAGTCAGGCAGTGTGATGCCTCCAGCTTTGTTCTTTTGGCTTAGGATTGACTTGGTGATGCGGGCTCTTTTTTGGTTCCATATGAACTTTAAAGTAGTTTTTTCCAATTCTGTGAAGAAAGTCATTGGTAGCTTGATGGGGATGGCATTGAATCTGTAAATTACCTTGGGCAGTATGGCCATTTTCACGATATTGATTCTTCCTACCCATGAGCATGGAATGTTCTTCCATTTGTTTGTATCCTCTTTTATTTCCTTGAGCAGTGGTTTGTAGTTCTCCTTGAAGAGGTCCTTCACATCCCTTGTAAGTTGGATTCCTAGGTATTTTATTCTCTTTGAAGCAATTGTGAATGGGAGTTCACTCATGATTTGGCTCTCTGTCTGTTGTTGGTGTATAGGAATGCTTGTGATTTTTGCACATTGATTTTGTATCCTGAGACTTTGCTGAAGTTGCTTATCAGCTTAAGGAGATTTTGGGCTGAGACAATGGGGTTTTCTAGATATACAATCATGTCATCTGCAAACAGGGACAATTTGACTTCCTCTTTTCCTAATTGAATACCCGTTATTTCCTTCTCCCACCTAATTGCCCTGGCCAGAACTTCCAACACTATGTTGAATAGGAGTGGTGAGAGAGGGCATCCCTGTCTTGTGCCAGTTTTCAAAGGGAATGCTTCCAGTTTTTGCCCATTCAGTATGATATTGGCTGTGGGTTTGTCATAGATAGCTCTTATTATTTTGAAATATGTCCCATCAATACCTAATTTATTGAGAGTTTTTAGCATGAAAGGCTGTTGAATTTTGTCAAAGGCCTTTTCTGCATCTATTGAGATAATCATGTGGTTTTTGTCTTTGGCTCTGTTTATATGCTGGATTACATTTATTGATTTGCGTATATTGAACCAGCCTTGCATCCCAGGGATGAAGCCCACTTGATCATGGTGGATAAGCTTTTTGATGTGCTGCTGGATTTGGTTTGCCAGTATTTTATTGAGGATTTTTGCATCAATGTTCATCAAGGATATTGGTCTAAAATTCTCTTTTTTGGTTGTGTCTCTGCCTGGCTTTGGTATCAGAATGATGCTGGCCTCATAAAATGAGTTAGGGAGGATTCCCTCTTTTTCTATTGATTGGAATAGTTTCAGAAGGAATGGTACCAGTTCCTCCTTGTACCTCTGGTAGAATTCGGCTGTGAATCCATCTGGTCCTGGACTCTTTTTGGGTGGTAAGCTATTGATTATTGCCACAATTTCAGATCCTGTTATTGGTCTATTCAGAGATTCAACTTCTTCCTGGTTTAGTCTTGGGAGAGTGTATGTGTCAAGGAATTTATCCATTTCTTCTAGATTTTCTAGTTTATTTGCGTAGAGGTGTTTGTAGTATTCTCTGATGGTAGTTTGTACTTCTGTGGGATCGGTGGTGACATCCCCTTTATCATTTTTTATTGCGTCTATTTGATTCTTCTCTCTTTTTTTCTTTATTAGTCTTGCTAGAGGTCTATCAATTTTGTTGATCCTTTCAAAAAACCAGCTCCTGGATTCATTAATTTTTTGAAGGGTTTTTTGTGTCTCTATTTCCTTCAGTTCTGCTCTGATTTTAGTTATTTCTTGCCTTCTGCTAGCTTTTGAATGTGTTTGCTCTTGCTTTTCTAGTTCTTTTAATTGTGATGTTAGGGTGTCAATTTTAGATCTTTCCTGCTTTCTCTTGTGGGCATTTAGTGCTATAAATTTCCCTCTACACACTGCTTTGAATGCGTCCCAGAGATTCTGGTATGTTGTGTCTTTGTTCTCATTGGTTTCAAAGAACATCTTTATTTCTGCCTTCATTTCGTTATGTACCCAGTAGTCATTCAGGAGCAGGTTGTTCAGTTTCCATGTAGTTGAGCGGTTTTGAGTGAGATTCTTAATCCTGAGTTCTAGTTTGATTGCGCTGTGGTCTGAGAGATAGTTTGTTATAATTTCTGTTCTTTTACATTTGCTGAGGAGAGCTTTACTTCCAAGTATGTGGTCAATTTTGGAATAGGTGTGGTGTGGTGCTGAAAAAAATGTATACTCTGTTGATTTGGGGTGGAGAGTTCTGTAGATGTCTATTAGGTCCGCTTGGTGCAGAGCTGAGTTCAATTCCTGGGTATCCTTGTTGAATTTCTGTCTCATTGATCTGTCTAATGTTGACAGTGGGGTGTTAAAGTCTCCCATTATTAATGTGTGGGAGTCTAAGTCTCTTTGTAGGTCACTCAGGACTTGCTTTATGAATCTGGGTGCTCCTGTATTGGGTGCATATATATTTAGGATAGTTAGCTCTTCTTGTTGAATTGATTCCTTTACCATTATGTAATGGCCTTCTTTGTCTCTTTTGATCTTTGTTGGTTTAAAGTCTGTCTTATCAGAGACTAGGATTGCAACCCCTGCCTTTTTTTGTTTTCCATTTGCTTGGTAGATCTTCCTCCATCCTTTTATTTTGAGCCTATGTGTGCTCTGCACGTGAGATGGGTTTCCTGAATACAGCACACTGATGGGTCTTGACTCTTTATCCAATTTGCCAGTCTGTGTCTTTTAATTGGAGCATTTAGTCCATTTACATTTAAAGTTAATAGTGTTATGTGTGAATTTGATCCTGTCATTATGATGTTAGCTGGTTATTTTGCTCGTTAGTTGATGCAGTTTCTTCCTAATCTCGATGGTCTTTACATTTTGGCATGATTTTGCAGCGGCTGGTACCGGTTGTTCCTTTCCATGTTTAGCGCTTCCTTCAGGAGCTCTTTTAGGGCAGTCCTGGTGGTGACAAAATCTCTCAGCATTTGCTTGTCTGTAAAGTATTTTATTTCTCCTTCACTTATGAAGCTTAGTTTGGCTGGACATGAAATTCTGGGTTGAAAATTCTTTTCTTTAAGAATGTTGAATATTGGCCCCCACTCTCTTCTGGCTTGTAGGGTTTCTGCCGAGAGATCCGCTGTTAGTCTGATGGGCTTCCCTTTGAGGGTAACCCGACCTTTCTCTCTGGCTGCCCTTAATATTTTTTCCTTCATTTCAACTTTGGTGAATCTGACAATTATGTGTCTTGGAGTTGCTCTTCTCGAGGAGTATCTTTGTGGTGTTCTCTGTATTTCCTGAATCTGAACATTGGCCTGCCTTGCTAGATTGGGGAAGTTCTCCTGGATAATATCCTGCAGAGTGTTTTCCAACTTGGTTCCATTCTCCCCATCACTTTCAGGTACACCAGTCAGACGTAGATTTGGTCTTTTCACATAGTCCCATATTTCTTGGAGGCTTTGCTCGTTTCTTTTTATTCTTTTTTCTCTAAACTTTCCTTCTCGCTTCATTTCATTCATTTCATTCATTTCATCTTCCATTGCTGATACCCTTTCTTCCAGTTGATCGCATCGGCTCCTGAGGCTTCTGCATTCTTCACGTAGTTCTCGAGCCTTGGTTTTCAGCTCCATCAGCTCCTTTAAGCACTTCTCTGTGTTGGTTATTCTAGTTATACATTCTTCTAAATTTTTTTCAAAGTTTTCAACTTCTTTGCCTTTGGTTTGAATGTCCTCCCATAGCTCAGAGTAATTTGATCTTCTGAAGCCTTCTTCTCTCAGCTCGTCAAAGTCATTCTCCATCCAGCTTTGTTCCGTTGCTGGTGAGGAGCTGCGTTCCTTTGGAGGAGGAGAGGCGCTCTTATTTTTAGAGTTTCCAGTTTTTCTGTTCTGTTTTTTCCCCATCTTTGTGGTTTTATCTACTTTTGGTCTTTGATGATGGTGATGTACAGATGGGTTTTTGGTGTGGATGTCCTTTCTGTTTGTTAGTTTTCCTTCTAACAGACAGGACCCTCAGCTGCAGGTCTGTTGGAGTACCCTGCAGTGTGAGGTGTCAGTGTGCCCCTGCTGGAGGGTGCCTCCCAGTTAGGCTGCTCGGGGGTCAGGGACCCACTTGAGGAGGCAGTCTGACTGTTCTCAGATCTCCAGCTGCGTACTGGGAGAACCACTGCTCTCTTCAAAGCTGTCAGACAGGGTCATTTAAGTCTGCAGAGGTTACTGCTGTCTTTTTGTTTGTCTGTGCCCGCCCCCAGAGGTGGAGCCTACAGAGGCAGGCAGGCCTCCTTGAGCTGTGGTGGGCTCCACCCAGTTCGAGCTTCCCGGCTGCTTTGTTTACCTAAGCAAGCCTGGGCAATGGTGGGAGTCCCTCCCCCAGCCTCGCTGCCGCCTTGCAGTTTGATCTCAGACTGCTGTGCTAGCAATCAGCGAGACTCCGTGAGGTAGGACCCTCCGAGCCAGGTGCAGGATATAATCTCGTGGTGCGCCGTTTTTTAAGCCCGTCGGAAAAGCGCAGTATTTGGGTGGGAGTGACCCGATTTTCCAGGTGCCGTCCGTCACCCCTTTCTTTGATTAGGAAAGGGAACTCCCTGACCCCTTGCGCTTCCCGAGTGAGGCAATGCCTCGCCCTGCTTCGGCTCGCGCACGGTGCGCGCCCCCACTGACCTGCGCCCACTGTCTGGCACTCCCTAGTGAGATGAACCCGGTACCTCAGATGGAAATGCAGAAATCACCCGTCTTCTGGGTCGCTCAGGCTGGGAGCTGTAGACCAGAGCTGTTCCTATTGGGCCATCTTGGCTCCTCCCCCAGGGTTTGTGAATTTTAATAAACTTCAAGAAAACAGCTTTTGGTTTCATTGATTTTCTCTATTGTTTTCCTGCTTTCAATGTCATTGATTTTGGCTTAAATTTGTATTATTTTTCTTCTACTTTCTTTGAATTGTATATGCTCTTTCTAGTTTCCTTAGGTTAAAAAACATTATCGATTTTGGACCTTCCTTCTTTTCTCATATATGCACTCAATGCTATAAATTTCCCTCTGAACACTGCTTTTACTGGTCCCACAAATTTTGATAAGTTGTATTTTTATGTTTACTTAGTTGAAAATATTTTTAAATTTCTCTTGCGATTTCTTCCTTGCCCCATGTGTTATTTGGAAGTGTGTTGTTTAATCTCCAAATATTTGGGTATTTTCCAGCTATCTTTATTACCGATTTCTAGTTTAATTCTGTTGTGGTCTGAGAGCATATTTTGTGAGTTTTCTAAGGTACGTTTTATAGCTCAGAATGTGGTCTACCTTGGTGAATGTTTCATGTGAGCTCAAAAAGATGCATATTCTTCTGTCGTTGAAGTATTCTATAAATGTCAATTAAATCCAGTTGACTGGTGATGGGGTTCAGTTCAACTATGTCTTTATTGATTTTCTGTCTGCTGGATCTGACAATTACTGATAGAAGTGTGTTGAAATCAGCAACTGTAATACTGGATTTGTCTATTTCTCTTTGCAGTTCTCTCAGTTTTTGCCTCATGTAGATTGATGCTCTGTTGTCAAGTGCATACACATTAAAATTGTTATTTTTTTTGCAGATTGACCCCTTTTATATTATGTAATGGTCCTATTTATCCCTGATAATTTTCCTTGATCTAAAGTCTGCTTTGTCTGATTTTTTTTTTTTTTTTTTTTGAGACGGAGTCTCGCTCTGTAGACCAGGCTGGAGTGCAGTAGCGTGATCTCGGCTCACTTCAACCTCCACCTCCCGGGTTCAAGCGATTCTCCTGCCTCAGCCTCCTGAGTAGCTGGCACTACAGGTGTGTGCCACCACGCCCAGCTAATTTTTTTATTTTAGTAGAGACGGGGTTTCACCATGTTAGCTAGGATGGTCTGTATCTCCTGACCTCGTGATCTGCCCGCCTTGGCCTCCCAAAGTGCTGGGATTACAGGCGTGAGCCACCGCGTCCATCATGAGCCACCGCGCCCGGCCGTCTGAAATTAATATAGCTATGCCAACTTTCTTTTGACTAGTAGAGCACAGCATTATCTTTCTCCATCACTTTACTTTTAGTCAATTTGTGACTTTATAAAGTGGGTTTCTTGTAGATAACACATAGTTGGGGTCTTGTTTGCTTTATTTTAACCACTCTGAGCGTCCTTGTCTTTTCATTGATGTATTAGACCATTCACATTTTAATTAATTATGAATATAGTTGGACTAGTATCTACAATACTTGTAACTGATTTTCATTTGCCACTCTTGTTCTTTCTTTTTTGTTCTCCATTCTTTTCTGCCTTCTCTGGTTTTAATTTTAGTGTTTTATATAGTCCTACCTTCTCTTAGCATATCATTTATACTTGTTTTGGCAAAAATGTGGAGAAACTGGAACCCTCATACAGTGCTAACAGGAATATAAAAGGAGGCAGACATTATGGAAAAGGTCAGCGAGTCCTCAAAAAGTTAAACATAGAATTATCATATGACTCAGAAATTCCATTCCTAGGTGTATACCCGAAAGAATTGAAAACAGGGACTCAAACAGATACGTGGACAGCAATGTTCACAGGAGCATTATTTATGTGAGCTTAAAGGTGGACACAACCCAAGTATCCATCAATATATGAGTGGATAAACAAAATGTGGCACATACATATGATGGAATATTATTTGCCATAAAAAGGAATGAAGTTCTTATACACGCTGCAACATGAATGAGCCCTGGAACATTATACTAAGTGAAATAAGCCAGACACAAATGGTCAACTATAGTATGATTCAATTTATTTGAAATATCTAGAACAGGCAAATTTATAGAGATATGAAATAGATTAGAGGTTACCAAGGTTACCAGGGTCTGGATAGAGGAAGAAATAGGGAGTTATTGCTTAATGGGTGCAATAAGCAATAGGTTTAGTTGTTTGGAGTGACGAAGAATTTCTGTAAACATAATGGTGATAATTATACAACATTATGAATGTACTTAATGTCACTGAATTGTACACTTTAAAAATGGTTGAAATGGTTAATTTTATGTTATGTGTATTTTAAAACAATTTTTAAAATGCATAAGGAAAGGGGAGTAACCCTACCGGGTACAAAGATTTCACACACAGAAAATGTTAATAATTAAAGACACCATGGTGTTGGATCAGAGTTAGACAAACTGACTATTAACAGAGAATAAAAAGCCACCACATAGATACATTTATTTACATTTGGCACATGACAGAGATGACAGGGCAGAAAAAAGAGTGACTATTTGATAAATGGAGTTAGTTATACACATACAAAAAGGAAAAGTGGATCTCTATTTCATATCATACATAGAAATCAACAAAAAGTAGATTAAGATTTTAATGGAAAATAAAACTTTAAAAAATATTTACGTGACATACAGGAAAGGATTTCTTAAACAAGACAATATGAGTCAAAACATAATGATTAATACAATTGATTACATTAAAACTAAGAATGTCTATTCAGCAAAAGGCAGCTTAAAGAAAGCAAAAAGACAAACTACAAAATCAGAGAATATTTTTTGCAATGTATTTAAATGCAACAGATTAGCATCCTAAATATACAAAAACTTGACTGGGTATAGTCCCGATACTTGGGGAGGCCGAGGCAGGAGGACTGCTTGAGACCAGGAGCTTGAGACCACCCTGGGCAACATAGCAAGACCTCATCTCTACTAAAAGTGTAAATATTAGCCAGGTATGGTGGCATGCACCTGTAGTCCCAGCCACTCAGAAGGCTGAGGCAGGAGGAAACAAAACAAACCAAAATAACAGGTCAAGTGTTAGAGATTACAGTTAGTTCTGCTGTATTGTTTGTTGTGAAAATATGAATGTGCTCCAGTGTAACTAATATATTAAAGAACAATTTGTGCAAAATGTGAATTTTGCATTTGATTACACACAACTTTACCCCACGGAATGTACTAGGTGAATGCAGAAAACTGTACCTGGGTGGATGCACTACACAGGAATACACAAAACAAACCTCTAATATCTACCAGCTACCTCAGTTCACTACAGTGTTTTGAGTCACATCCATTCACATTTAGTACCTTTTATTCATAACTGATTAAAATTTAGAAATGTTTTGTTATAAGGCATTGCCTAAATATTGGTAGAGTTGATTCACGTAAAAGCTACTTTTTGAATTATACCTTCTAACTTCTCCATTTCCCTTTAAGGACATTTTCAGTAGGCCCGAAAAGGTTAGAAATAAGCATGAAAATATCAGTGTGTCCATTAGAAAAAGAAACTGGAATTATAGCTAGAAGGGAAGAAGAAGCTGAGTCATTCCCAGGAGAATGATGAACTACAAACTTTCAGAGATGCAATTTCCTCCACCCTCCTTTGTCAATTTCACGGCCACCCATTAAAAAGTCAAAATGTCTGTACTCGGCAAATCCTCCAATACAGGTGTGAGGGGGCAGCACCTGCAACGTATAGGCTGTTTACTTTGTAAGAATTCTGTGCTTGGCATTGCTACTTGTGGCTCTGGAAAGAGTCTTTGATCAAATTCACTCTGGTACTAACTTGCCTTAGGTCTGCCACTAAAACATAGATGCCTAAGTTCTCCTTTTAGGCACATTTCCTAGACCACACACACATCAGGGGTCTTGTCTGGGGCACTTTCAGTGAAGCATACAAAAGTAGCTCCTAACAGACCATGAACGTGTTAAGTATCATGTCCCATTCCTCTCTATATCCCTATAACCTGGCACATTATTATTGAGTGCTGGTGGTAAAGGCAGAATAAAACCCTATCTCTGGCACATTAATAGGGCTGTACAGCCCCACTAACCCATGGTAGGGCTGTACAGACAGCAGCCCTATTAGCAACAGTTCTAGACAACACAAAACTATAGTGAGAAAAAACAGATCAGTGGCTGTTGAGGGTAGGAGAAAGAACTGACTAAAATGGGCACAAGGGAATTTTGAGGGTGACAGAAATGTTCTAATCTTGATTGTGGTGTTGTTTATGTGGTGTGTACATTTTTCAAAAGGCTTGAAACAGTACACTTAAAACAACCTTTATGTAAGTCATATCATTGTAAAAATTTAATAAAAAGTAATTTAGAGTCTAGAAGTGGGGAAAGGCAGGATAATACTTCAGGAACTTTGTACTCTCTTTAAAAAGTAACAAAAAATCACCATTTAACTTACAACATATAAAAAATTAACTCAAAATGGATCAAAGACCTGAACTTGAGACTTAAAACTATAAAACTCTTAAAAGACAACATAGAGCAAAAGCTTCATGACGCTGGATTTGGCAATGATTTTTTTGGATAGGGCGTCAAAAGCACAGGCAACAAAAGTAAAAATAAACTGAACTACATCAAGATTAAGAACTTCTGTGCATCAAAGGACAGTATCAACAGAATGAGAAGAAAACATACGGAATGGGAGAAAATATTTGCAAATCATATATCTGATAAAATATTAATATTCAGAATATATAAAGAACTCTAAAACTCAACCACAGAAACAAACAAGCTGACTCAAAAATAGGAAAAGGAATTGAATAGACATTTCATTCATTATGGAAATACTAGGAAAATGAAAATCATTAGGGGAATAAAAATCAAACCCACAATGAAACACCACCTCATACCCATTAGAATGGCTATCAAAAAACACAAAACAAAAAACAAATAGAAAACAACATATGTTGGTGAGGATGTGGAGAAATTAGAACCCTTGTACACTGTTGGCGAGAATGTAAAATAGTGCAGCCGCTATGGAAAACAGCACAGTGGTTCTTCAAAGAAGATCCTACAATATCACTTCTGGGTATAAATCCCAAAGAACTGAAAGCAGAGTCTCAAAGAGATATTTGTACACCCATGTTCATGTTCATAGCAGCACTGTTACTAACAGCCAAAAGAAAGAAGCAACCCAAATGTCCATCAATAATGAATGGGTAAACAAATTGTAATATACATACAATGGAATTATTCATCCTTAAAAAGAAAGGAAATTCTGACACGTGCTACAACATGGATGAACCTTAAAGGACACTAAGTCAGTTTAAATAAGCCAGTCACAAAAGGACAGATACTGATATCCCACTGATAAAGGTACCTAGAGTAGTCAGATTCATAGAGACAGAAAGTAGAATTTGGTCGTCAGGGGCCAGGGGACAGAAGGCTGGGGAGTTGTTGTTTTAACAGGTACAGAGCTTCAGTTTTGCAGGATGAAGAAGTTCTGGAGATTAGCTTCACAATAATGTGAATACACTTAACACTACTAAACTGTACACTTAAAAATGGTTAAGATGGTCAATTTTATGCTATATGTATTTTCCACAATTTGAAATAAAACAAAACAATCACCATTGGGTGGGCTCAAATAAAAGTTAAGAATTCAGAAGGGAATAAGGGCTGTTTCATATGATTGTGCCAGTTGTCTTACACAAGGGCACCTAGCTATGAATTTAAAATCCGCCCCGTCCTCTGTTCTCCAAGCCATGTGCCCTAATTTGTGAAAACAGAAGGAAGGAAGGAAGGAAGGAAGGAAGGAAGGAAGGAAGGAAGGAAGGAAGGAAGGAAGGAAGGAAAGGAGGGAGGGAGGGAGGGAAAGGTGAGCCAGGAAAAAGAGGATAGAGAAGGGGAAGAAGAATAAGAAAAAGGATCTGACTGTTGGGGTGGATCTGTTCCCAAGACTTTTTCTTTAAAGGCTTCTGACCCTGTGACAGAAGAGCACAAGTTGGCTCAGAATGATGATTTAGGAACTGTGCTTCCCTTTCCAACTACAGTGTGTGTGGTAGCACTAAATTATCCTCTGGAAGAGAAGATTGAAAGCACAGGATCACCTTTTACTATTTCTCTTGACCTCTGTTCCAAATAGGAAATGACATCATGCTGAAAAAGTCCACCATTACTCTCAGTTAAATTCTGCCTTCTTCTGAATGGAAATACTCCTGAGAGTAATTAACGCATCAATATTAACATTTATCGAGCTTACGCGTTGTGCCAGGGACTGTTCCAAATACTTTACATGGATTGTATCACTTAATCCTGAAATATCTCAGATGAGGTAAATAGTATTACTATCCAAATTTTAAATTTTATAGATGAGGAATCTGAGACACAGGCTAAATAGCATAAGGTCACACAGTCAAAAAGGAAAGCTCTGGAAATCCACATTTGACTTTTCCTTAAATGACAGACATGACCTTTCCCCATAAATGACCTTTCCTTTCAGAACAGAAGCTAAGCAAATTAAAGAAGAACTGGTATTCCTTGGACTATGTCACCTTCTAAGGGGAGGTGGAACCTACTAAGTTACCCTGAGGGAACAAAAACAAAGGCCCAAAGAATGCCAGCCCATTTCCAAGCAGCCTCTCTTAACAGGTAAGCACAATCCAAAGGCTTTGAGTTCCTAACAACACTGAATTTCTTGCAGTTTTTAGCATATACATTTTCTCCAGTATGCATTTGCTCATGCTGGTCCTTCCACTGGGAAAATATGGTCCCTTGCCCTACTTTACATGAATGACTGCCTCATCCATCAAGACCGAAGGCAAGTAGTGAGTGTCCTTTCCAGGAAGGTTTCTCTAAGCCCTCTTCCTCCCACTCTGCCAGAATGAGCCTAGTTCCCTTACTACATGACATGGAAATGATCTCTTTTCCATGCCTGTATCCTCCAGTTGAGGCAGGGACTGTGTCTTATTAATGACTGCCATGTGTCAAGTGATCAGGGCTTTACATACAGTGTCTCATTTAGCCTTAAAAACAACCCTGGGAGATTGGTATTCTCAACCCCTTATAAATGAGGAAAACGTCTAAACTAATAAGGGATAGATGAAAGATTTAACCCAGATGTGACACCAAAGCCTGTACATGTAACCACTATATTGCATAGTACTTCCCGTACTTAGATTTGCATTCACTATGCCCAACACAGTAGCTTGCAAATAACCGATGTTTAAGAGATGTTTACTGAACTGATTTGAAGCCATGGGCTTAAATGATCCCCAGTAAGGATGTGAACATAATAGGTTAGGTTATAACTTTGGCCTCTCACAGGCAAGCAAACTCTAGTTTGGGTAATGACACTAGCCTCTCAGAAACTCTCTTGCTGCTGCATATGAAAGCCTATGATTCTCTAGATGACCAAGCTACAACATCCTTTATCCAGAATTTGCGACAAATGCGAGAATTGATAAATCTGTAGGAGTAAATCCCTGTGTGTTTGAAATGAACCAACACACACAAATGCAGACACGGTATTTAAAAATTGTGAAACTTTATCCCCTTTGGGGACAAATTAAGCCAATAAAAACAAAGGGGAAGAAGAAGGCATTCTCTAGACCCATCTGGCTGCACCCAGTGCATAAGGATCTGCCAATCATGAGGCAACGGCGCCCAGCTGGTTTGGGTCACTGAGAGAAAAGCTGCATGCAGATAGTTTATGTACTGGAATAAATCAAGATGAGCAATTACCATTTTCTGGAGAAGCTTGGACTTATTCAGGGTGAGCTTTCACATTGTTACTGTCTTTAGAGAACCGAATTTTAGAAAAAGTGAGGGGGAGATAAGGGAGAGACTGAGGCTGAAGGGTTTAAAAAGAAAAGGGTATGGGCTCATATGTAATACTTTCTTCAGCTCATAGATAAGAAATGCCTGGTTGAGGGACAGTTCCACCAGGTCCACTAATAGCAGTACATGAAGAATTTGACAGAGCTGAAATTCTTCAACAATTCTAAGGGCTTCACAATAAATGCAAGAATAGCAGCCAATACTTATAGAGTCCTAAATGCTTCAGACTCTACAATATATAATGAGAACTCCTTCAATAAATGTCAGTAGTAGTCATTATATCTACTATCATTAGTATTACTATCCTCAGTTCACTATCCCTCACAAGGACACTGAGTATATACTACCATCATCCCATATTACACATGAGGAACTAAGCTAAGACAAGTTAGGTAGCATGCCCAGATACATACAATTAGAAATTGGAGGCAGCAGAGCCCACAAGTGCAGAAAGTATTACTACAATAATAATGGTAGCCACCATTTTACAGCTACTGCAGGTGATCTTGTGTTGAGCACTTCACAATCACTATCTTTCAAGCTCACACCAACCCTGCAAGGCATTATTATTAATAACTTGAAATGAAAAAAAAAGCCACGTATCATGGTGCATGCCTGTGGTTCCAGCTACTCGGGAGGCCGAGGTGGGAGGATAAGCCGAGATCATGCCACTGCACTCCAGCTGGGGTGACAGAGAAAGATCTTGTCTCAAAAACACAACACAACTAAACAAAACAAAAACCTGAGACTCAAAAAAGTCATGTCAAAAGTCATTCAGCTAATAAGTAGCTGAGGCCAGATTCAAACTCCGATCTACCCAACCCCAAAGGCTACGGACTTTTTCACGACACCAGGCTCTCTTTAGTCATAAGCTGTACTGTAACAACTTACGGAACAACTAGGAAACAATTGTGGACAATGCATTGGAACCACACACAATGGGCATTCACTGTGTGGACTGCACTTTGTCAGTGCTATTGTGCAGGTAAAGAAGGGATACAGGAAGCCAAACACTCAGCAATATGATTTTCTATACATGACCCCAAGTTCAAAAACCAATGCTTTCTGTCAAGGGTAGTTGTGCACTCAAGTAACAAACCTGGGTAAATAAAAGGTTCAGAGGAAAACATGGAGCTTCCTGGAGAAATGATTTTGAGGGAGGCTAATTCTTCCAATATATTATTTTTGAGAAACAAATTTGATATATTTTAACTCAATGTGGAACTCAGGATATGTGGGCTTCCCTGACTCAGAAGCATCACAGACCATAAACAAATCACAGAGTATCTCTCCTCCTGGGCACAACTCCGTTGCTCTGCCACTATCTGAGGCACTACACCGCTCTGATGAGAAAAATGTATTGCCCCAAAAAGACCTAAGAAATACCAAAAGGAGCAGAAATGACAGTATTTGTCTTGACTTATTTTGGTGTCACAGATGTTGCCACACAGTACAAACTGTGTAATATTTGCTGATTACAATGACACGCAATATACTTCAGCTTGGATTGATATATCATCAGCACTGTAGGAAGATCTTACCTTGCAAAAAAATGTTTAATTTCAGTCCAATCTGTCAGTTCTTCCTAGGGTTTCACCTTCCCCAGTTTTCCCCTCCTCAGGAAAAAATCTTTAAAGCCATTTCATAGATAAAAATAGGTCTGGAGTTTCACAGGGGTAGCCTTGTAATTTGGTACTTCTTGGTTATTACCATGTGTTTCTTTAGAACACTTGGGTCAGTTGTCTAATTTGAAAAGCTCTGCTGACATCTCAAAGTATTTGTTCTAATTATTGCTTAACACCCTGGTAAGAGGCTTCCCAGAAGATAAGCGAAGTTTCATAATCATTTCCCTGGTTTGAACTTAGAAAGAAATGTAAATATATATTATCATTAAGTGAGTTGTGATTTTAATTACTGGAAAATGTTATTAATTCTGATAAGAATTATTCAGAAGGTAATAAAGATAAAAGCTGTCAAAATTAATTAAGCACATATTCATTAAATCCAAGGTAGCTTCAGTTTCCTTATTGCATAAATACAATTAACACTTAATCTGAATCTCGATAAGTTACATAATCATGTGCCTCAAAATCAAGGGAGGATACAACCTTGGCCTTCTCCGTTTTACATGGGAAAACATTAATGACGCTGACATCGGAGACAATTAGACAGTGTCAGCCAATTGTTTTTAGCCAGCTTTCTCTCACATCTGTGGTGTCTACAAGCAAGAAGGCTCATTGTTTCCACAGGCCTCCTTCGGGCCTTGGCTTTTTGTGTAAACCGTCAATCTCTTGGCGAATATCAAAGCCGTGAGGAAATTAGAACAGACCAGCTCTGCTGCCCCACACTAAAGCTTAGCAGGGTGCATCCACTATGCTACTAATTAGGCAGTGACCAACAAAATAACCTGTCAATGTCCGCTAGCCATTTCCCACACACCTGCATTTCATACCCTAATAAGCATACAGCAAGAGAGAAAAAGGGATAACTGCTGAAGTGTGAAAAATGAACAAAATATAACAATGTTTCCATCCCCACCTATACTTCTGGCAATTACCATTTAACATTAGGGGGACTCAACATGTCTGAAGACTCACAATACGGTATCTGAAACTAAAACCCAGGGGGGAAACCACACATTGAGACTGTATTAAGGTTTGCTTCGAAAATATCACACTAAGAAGAATCTAGAGTTATGTATAAAACCCAGGAAACTGAAAATGACCATAATTTAGATTAGGGACCAGGAGACTGACTTTTTAAAAACATTTTCCATTCAAGCCATTGAAAGAGAAATGCGTACTATTCTCTTCATCTTTTCCTTCCATAAAACAAAAATATATAACAGGACAGAAAATAGAATATCTGAAAAAAAGTTTCATTTTTTTCCTTACATTTTCCACTCTGATTTAGTGAATTTATGATCATCATCATTCTTTTGACCTACTGTATATTAATTAATTTCTTTTTCAGGTCTCTTTTTCTTTTCCCCATGGATTCCCACTGTAGTCTTTTGGACAAGATTCTGCAAGCAGCATTTTATTTGCTAGTATTTTCACTCACAGAGAAAGCTACATGCCTTGCAGTTGAGGGAGCTGAGAAGGTTCAGTATCAAATGGATTGAAAACACCTCTATTTTGCCCTTGAGCTTTAAAATGTATTTGAGAACTCACAACCCAAATATAAAAGCAGGTTCCATTGCATCTTTAACAACATAATTCTTAAGCGATTCCAACTGCATCTCTATTTAAGACTCTTCTCAATTTCTTGGGTCACAAAACCTCTGTGTTTTACCTCTAATATCTTTGTTGATTCTAGTATTCCTGAACATAAAAAGATACACACTATCTCCAAAAATTAAACGGTCAAAAAAATAAAGTGTAACGATTTGGTTATTGTGCTTAAAATAAAACAAAAGTAACTCAACTTCTCTCAACTGAAGGGTTAAAAAACAAACAAACTTTGCACAATGGCTCTCTCCACTTTATTTTGCCCCAAACAAAGATTTTGTAGTACAGGTACCCATATGATAGATTTCTTATGAAAAGGCTTCTGGCTTTTAAGACCATATATCCTTTGGAGCAGCTCCTTTTTGTGCCTCAGGATCCAGCTGAACTTTTTTTAAAAGAGAGAACAAGAGAAATGTAAGGACAAAATTGTTATGTGAAGAAACATCACTTCATCTCAATATGTGCCAAGGAGCAGGCTATATTGTGAGAGCATCCTTGATGGAATCACATACAATATAGACCAACATTCAAATGGTATTTGTTAGATACTTCTGAACACTACTTTTCTTTTCATTAGACTTTATCCAAAAACAGCATTTTCAATTATAAATAAAAACTTTCTCCACCTCTTCCTACTTGAACTCAAGTACAGAAGGCCCCTATTTAAAATGCAGCTCCGGAGCCGCCACCAGGCTGCCTGTTCAGCTGCCAGTGGCTTTTGTGTACAAAGATGTTAATTGGTTCTAATCCTCTCCTAGAAGCTGTTTTGGTAGCCTGACCTGGCACCCTGAAGGACACCTTGGTGTGAAAAACTAAAGGGTCCATTGAGGAGGGAGTGAAAGGCAGCCAAGCATTCCAACACATTTTAATTTCAGGAATTAAAAAAGAGGAACATCATCATGGAGATCCTAGAGAAATCTTACAAAGCTTTAATAACAGTGAAGTAAGTCCTACAAACACCCAAGCGCGCACGCGCGCGCACACACACACACATAGACACACACACACACACACACACACACACACACAAAGGAAAAAGGAAGCCCTAGAGTAGGGGCAAAGGGAAATTCAGATTCTCAAATTCTTCATTTCATAACTTCATCTTATAAACTGGTTTGGTTCTCTGAAATCCAAAAACGTAATTTCACTAGTTGAGACATTTGTTTTTTCTGTCCTGATTTACCAAACTGACATCCTCATGAAAATCAGATTCCCACTCTGCTCAACCCCGACAGACTCTGCCAGAATGTATGGTCTTATTTGGTTGAAGTATAGCATCTATCTCAATGACTAAGTTTAAATTGATTTTATAACTCACAGTTTCTGAAAGAAAAGGTGAAGAGAAAAAAGTAATTCTTACGGCAAAATTTTAATTCACTGTTCTACATGGCAAACAATCTTTTCTCACAATTCTGTAAAATACTATCCATACTATGTGCCAATTTAGAGAATATACATTTACACCTTGGGTGGCAAATTATGCTAATGAGATGCATGATCTACAACTGTGGGGTTTTGGATTTTTTGACAGAGTTCACAGATCAGCTTCATGGGTCAGAAGAATTTGCCTTTTGTCTGATAAAAGCAGAAAGATATGAAGGTTATAGGTTACTAAAACTACACCAAGTGCCAGATTTTCAACCATGACCCAGTTTACACTTTAATCTCCACCCTGATTTTCAAATGTATTTGAGAACTCACTACCCAAATAAAAAAAGTTTCCATTACATCTTTAACACCATAATTATTAAGCGATTCCAACTGCATCTCTATTTAAGACTCTTCTCAATTTCTTGCATCACAAAATCTCTGTTTTACCTCTAATATCTTTGTTGATTCAAAGGTTATCAAAGGTTGTTTTTTTTTTTCCATCATCCCAACAGATTCAGATAATGGCAAAAGTCAGAGGGACTCTGCTGGTGAGAACAGTGGCAAATGCTTCACGTGAAGTGGAGTGGATAGTCCCCAGAACAACTGAAGAGGCACAGAAAGGGAATGGCAAATTTTTTCCAGTAGTGAAGATTTTCTGAGCAAAAGAAGGCACTCCTGGTGTGCTTTTAAAAGATGCCTGAGGCCGGGCGCGGTGGCTCACGCCTGTAATCCCAGCACTTTGGGAGGCCAAGAAGGGCGGATCACGAGGTCAAGAGATCCAGACCATCCTGGCTAACACGGTGAAATCCCGTCTCTACTAAAAAAAAAAAAAAAAAAAAAAATTAGCCAGACGTAGTGGTGGACGCCTGTTGTCCCAGCTACTTGGGAGGCTGAGGCAGGAGAATGGCGTGAACCCAGGGGGCGGAGCTTGCAGTGCGCCGACATCGCGCCACTGCCCTCCAGCCTGGGCGACCGAGGGACACTCCGTCTCAAAAAAAAAAAAAAAAAAAAAAAGTTCCTGAAATTTGAAATGAGATAGCCTGTGGAATAGGAGATTCTAATGATCAAGATGAAATTATTATATGTAATCAGATACTGACAACAATCCTCAAAGTGACGGCAGCCCTGATTTGCTCATCAACATTTTTCCTACAAGCCACTTAACGCTTCCCACTGCATGTTTTCAAACTGTCCACCACTTGTAATAACCACTGATCACGCCAAAGTCCACTCTGAATATGAGCATCGAACATGATCATGATGTGGACCTTACAAGTCACTCTCCCAAATTATTTGCCACTTAGCAAATAGAAGAAAAAGAATGCAGGACTCAACAACTTATATACTATTGACATCAGTATCTACATTCCTGAGTTTCCCCCAAACGCTTCCTCCTGCTGATGGAGACACAATTTGTGTTCCATCACGCAAGCCAAATTCTTAGAAACAGACCAGCCCTGAAGGAGATAAAGAATAACTGTCTCCTTTTTATCTCGATCCTTAAAAGACTTCAAATTTATAAAGACCTTAACAGTACTTAGTACGGAAAAATTCATAGCATAAATCAAAAGTATAATGTTCCACAAAGAAAATGTGGTATGTATACACACACACACACACACACACACACACACACACACCATAAAAAGGAACAAAATAATGTCTTTTGCAACCACTTGAATAGAGCTGGAGGCCATTATTCTAAGTGAAGTCACTCAGGAATGGAAAAAAATACTCTATGTTCTCACTTATAAGTGGGAGCTAAGCTATTAATATGAGGACGCAAAAACATGCAGAGTGATATAATGAATCTTGGAGACTCAGGGTGGGGAGGTAAGGAGGGGTGAGAGATCAGACTACATATTGGGTACAGTGTACACTGCTTGGGTGACGGGGTGCACTAAAATCTTAGAATTCACCACTAAAGAACTCATCTATATAACCAAAAAAAAACCAGTACCCCAAAAACTATTGGAATAAAAAAATTTTAAGTATAATATTCCTTTGAATATAAAATCTCATTTAGAAATTATTTGATGGAGGCCTAGCATCTACCAATATCACTTCACTGATTTTGCTCTCAGGATGTTAAAGCCAGAACTTAACTTTCCCAAGTTCACAAAGTTGTTAAATAGTGGGGCTAAAATTTGAGTCACGTCAGATTCCAAAACTCACATTCTTTTCACCACACCATGCTGCCTTCCCAAATTAATTAAAATAAAATAAATAAAAGGTAACTAGAGAGAAGTGAAGTTAAAACATGCTAGTTTTTTCAAATGTCTAGCACTACTATAATCATCTAGGAGGCGCTCCATGAATACTTGTTGAATTAAACTTTATTGACCATTTCCTTTCTCTAACCTTTGAGGCCTAGGTTAGAATCCAAAGTTTTCCCCTTACCAAGCTGAGTGGCTCTAGACAAGTTACTGCACCTCTATGAGCCTATAAAATGAATAAATGTCTATCAGTTTGTCATAAAGAGTAAATACAGGCCAGGCATGGTGGCTCACACCTGTAATCCCAGCATTTTGGGAGGCCGAGGTGGGTGGATCATCTGAGGTCGGGAGTTCGAGACCAGCCTGACCAACATGGAGAAACCCCGTCTCTACTAAAAATATAAAATTAGCCAGGCATGGTGGTACATGCCTGTAATCTCAGCTACTAGGGAGGCTGAGGCAGGAGAATCGCTTGAACCTTGGAGGTGGAGGTTGCGGTGAGCCGAGATAGCGCCATTGCACTCCAGCCTGGGCAACAACAGCGAAACTCCGTCTCAAAAAATAAATTATAAATAAAAAATAAAGAGTAAATACATGTAAAGCATCTGGCACACATCAGATCAGGGCCTGGGAAACAATCATCCATTTTTGTAAGTAAAGTTTTATTAGAAACTCATCACCTCATTCATGATGTGTTTTCTGTGGCTGCTTTCACGCTAGGATGGCAGAACCAAGTTGTTGCCACAGAGACTTATGGCCCACACAGCCTAAAATCTTCACCATCTGGCCCTTTATAGAAAAATTTGCCAAACCTGAAGTAGATAATCAATAAATGTATGTTTTCTTGCCATTCCTTTCTTTTCCTGACAGTAGTCACTTCAAGTTGAATGAACTATATTTTTTAATGTTTTTTTAAGTTTCAAGTGTCATATTGTTAGCAAAAATCCTTACATACCCAGCCTGCATGTAATAATACAGATTGGTGGACAGTGCCACAGGAAGAACTGCACACACCTCAAAAGCACAGGCTGAAAGGTTACACTGTGCTTATCCTCAAAGCAAAGGGCTCAATTTGGCTACCATTCATTTAGCTAAGGCATTTCTTCCAGGTTATGAAAGAGCTTTTTGAAGAAATGATACCTGAGCTGAAGTCTAGGGATTAAGAGTTGGCTCGGCAAAAAATTGAGGGAATAAGCATCTGAGGAAGCAGAAATAGTTTATGCAAAGATTCTGAGGTGGGACTAAGTTTGGGAAATGGCCCGTGTAGCTGAGAGTAGTGACTAACATAGATGAAGGTAAAAAGAGGGTGGGGAGTAGTCAAGATGGAGTCACACCACAGAGTCACATTATGCAGAACCTTATACGCCTTGGTAAAGACTGGATTTTAGGCTAAGACCTAAGAAGGTTGAGAAACCCTTGAAGGATTTTAAGTGACATAATCCAATTTATACTTTAAGCTCACTTTGACTGTTGTGTAGTAATTAAATGGATAGAAGAGAAGGAGTTGAAATAGGGAAGTTCCATGGCTGAGAAAAGGCTAATATCCAGGTCTCTAAGTCTCAATTGATTTTCTTTTCACTACACTGTGCTGGTTCTGGAGAAAACACCTTATATAACATTGTATCTTGGTCTTCTCCAAGCTTTGATCAGCTCATCTGTATGTGGAGTTTCAGGGATAGGCAGCTACATGGACCAATAATCTAGTGTGAAGACTTAAAATACAAGGTGATAGAAAAAAGGTTTTCTGTCACAAGCCTCAGGAAATGAGCCAAGTTGAAAAAATATGGTTCAGCATCCAAGGGATAAGAGAACAGCTGGAGAAGGAATAGCCAGAGCCATTGTCCAGGAAGCCAAAACATTACTGCATCTAGGACGTGAAAGGCAGGCCAATACAATGTCTTGATTCTTAATTCTGAGAAAATAAGAGACGAATTCTCAAGTGAAAGAAGGAGCAGATTCATCTTCTATGGTCTCATGAGGACAGAACAGGGGTCAGTGGGTAAAAGTGTGGAACAAGGTCCAAGGGGGTAACAGAAAACTACAGAAAGACATATATTTTCTCTCACCACAAGGGAAAAGTTTCCAACACAAAGCTATCCAAAGAAAGAATAGCCTGTTCCCGAACGGTTGATTCAAATCATTTAACTGTATTCCAGATACTATACCAAGTGCTAGAGTAAGTTCCCTACCACTGAATACTTTTGGACCACTTGGCTGAATTAGGTGACTATAAGGTTCCTTCCAACATGAGATTTGATGGTTGCCACAATAAAACTAAAAATGCATGCATCAAAGTATACCTTTCTTTTAAACTTTCAATTATTTTTAAAAAAATTATAAATGGTAGAAGTAAAGCCATCAGTTGGGAACAGACTGTGAGGACAGAAAAAAAAAAAGAAGAAGAAGAAGAAGAAGTAAAGCCATCAAAAAGAAACTTTGTTCTTAAAAAAAAAAAAAAAATCACCTGACCACATGGCAAGACTAGGATGCTGACTTTCCTATCTACAGTTAAGGAACAGACCCTGCTGTTTTCTGAGGGATAGGATGACCTGCTGCATGCTCTAATCAGAGCACCTGGTGTGACAGAGGAACTCACGAAGGACTCAGTAATTTTTAATAGAACAGTAATACAGCTATCCTTTAGACTCCTGCAAACCAAATCTCAAATACCAAGGTATTTCAAATCTTTTACTAAGTCTCAGGCAGAGACCAAGATTAATTCTTTATTAGGTTCTGCAGAGACTGAGGCGTTGCTACTGAAACTTACATGCTAAAATTAATTCATCCAAATGTTCGGGGACTTACTTTCCACTCACTTCAAATACCTGAGGAAATGGGCTGCCAGTGAAAAGCCCTGCATTGTTAGAAAATCCAAACCACGACATGCTTCCTGGGATCTGAAAATTAGCAGGAGCTCACCCTCCAGCTTCCTGTCCTAGTGTTTTCTTGCTTTTTTCCCCTCCAACAAGTGGATCTGGTTACATTTGTTTCACCTCTCAGATATTTTGGCAATTTTCCTTTTTGAACGGAAGAATTCAGTTCCTTTCTTAAGAGTCCAAGCAGGAAAGGCAGGTGAAAAAGTTAACTGAAAAAACTAACAGTGCCAGTACCATAATTACCCAAGGACTATAAAGCTCTATTCTCTCAGTGATGAAAAAGGGGAATTACACATGTAACTTCCATTAACATTAATGAGACTTACCTACATAAATCCCTTAAGCATCAATGGGAAGAATGGACTCAGCATAACTACTGGCCCGGCATCTTTACTCTTTCAGTCATTTCTATTATCTGATTAAAAGGCAAAGACACGAGTGCTCCACAAATCAGAACCAGGTGAAGCTTCACGCCACTGAATTTACTGTCATCTGCCTCCTCAATGCCATTTTGGCAGAATGATTATAAAAACTGAGGCCTTGTCTCATTTTGGTTCCTTGTTCTATTTTTTGTTTGTTTTGTTTTTGTTGTTGTTGTTGTTTGCTTTTTGAGACAGAGTCTTGCTCTGTCACCCAGGCTGGAGTGCAGTGGCAAGATCTCGGCTCACTGCAACCTCTGCCTCCCGGGTTCAAGCAATTCTTCTGCCTCAGCCTCCTAAGTAGCTGGGATTACAGGTGCACACCACCACACCTGGCTAATTTTTTATATTGTTGGTAGAGATGGGGTTTCATCATGTTAGCCAGGCTGGTCTCGAACTCCTGACCTCAAGTGATCTGCCCGCCTCAGCTTCCCAAAGTTCTGGGATTACAGGCATGAGCCACCACACCCAGCCTCGTTGTTCATTTTTTACCTGACAGAAACAGAATGTAACATACCACCCATGTTTTCTACATACTTTTCCTTAGCGGTTATGGGTCTTGAGAGCTACTCTTTCTTTTTCCTTTCCTTTCCCCTCCCCTCCCCTCCCCTCTCTTTTTTTTTTTTTTTTTTTTTTTTTGAGACGGAGTCTCGCTCTGTTGCCCAGGCTGGAGTACAGTGGCACAATCTCAGCTCACTGCAAGTTCTGCCTCCCAGGTTCACGCCATTCTCCTGCCTCAGCCTCCCGAGAGCTGGGGCTACAGGTGCCCACCACCACGCCCGGCCAATTTTTTGTATTTTTAGTAGAGATGGGGTTTCACTGTGTTAGCCAGGATGGTCTCGATCTCCTGACCTCATGATCCGCCCTCCTTGGCCTCCCAAAGTGCTGGGATTACAGGTGTGAGCCACCGCACACGGCCAATGTTTTCTTTTTTTAACTTTTATTTTGGGTGTGGGGGTACAGGTGAATGTTACATAGGTAAACACATGAATGATGAATAATTTTAATGGTAATTACAAATTAATGAGCAATTAGTATTACTAGATTAGGGCTGAGGCTTTCAGTAAATTCCTCAATTGCCTCATTTCCTTTTCTCAACCTTATGAAGTATTATTGTCTCCATTTTATAGATGGGGAAGCTGAGGCTCAGTATGGCTAGTCAGAACGAGGAGTCAAATACATGTTTATCTGGCACCAAATCCACCATTTTTAGCATGATTTTTTTTTACCTCATTTTTTTTTAAGCATTTTCTACAGTCATTTCTGTCTAGCACGTTGTGTTAGAGTTTATTTTGCTTGGCCTCCAAGGCCCAATTCAAATAGTATCTCTCTCATAAAATCTTCCCTTCATCCCCAGTAATAATTTTTTTCTTAGTAAGCATGCTAATAACTAAGAATTCTCAGTTTGTATTGCACAGCAGTACACCACATTTTCTATTTTGTGTCATAGTTATTTGGGTACAAGAGTGTCTTCCTCCATTAGGGCTGTTCCTCAGCAAAGTATCTAGCTAAAATTGCTTCTCAACATAGCTTTGCTAATAATTGCATTCCAGGACAGAAATAGTAGCTCTCGGCCAGGCGCGGTGGCTCACGCCTGTAATCCCAGCACTTTGGGAGGCCGAGGCAGGCGGATCACGAGGTCAGGAAATCGAGACCATCCTGGCTAACAAACACAGTGAAACCCCATCTCTACTAAAAGTACAAAAAATTGGACGGGCGTGGTGGTGGGCGCCTGTAGCCCCAGCTACTCAGGAGGCTGAGGCAGGAGAATGGCGTGAACCGGGGAGGCGGAGCTTGCAGTGAGCCGAGATCGCGCCACTGCACTGCAGCCTGGGCGACAGAGCGAGACTCCGTCTCAAAACAACAACAACAAAAATTTTAAAACCTTAAAAAGATTATTTGTCATGAATATCTTCCAAATTATTTGTCATTAATAGTCTCCAAAGTGAAAATCTAGTATGTCTGACTCTCTGTGGGAATTACTGGAGTTGGATTAAATTCCACCCAGGCTAGTCTCCCTTCCCTTCAACACACATTCTTCTCTTCTAGCCCCACAGCCACCATCTTTGATCACCACCACACACCACTGCCCTTACCTCAAATGCGTACTCCTCCACGAAACCAACACTCCACAACCTTCACAGCCCAGAACCACATCCTCTGCCCAAAAAGCTGTCCTAGACACTGAGCCCAAGGTGATCTCCAAAACCATAACACTCTTACTATGCATATCTCATATTTGGTGACTTTATGTGAACATACCATGTCCTCAATTAGATAGCCAGCTCTCTGAAGGAAGAGCCTGAATCTTTTACTTCAGAAGCCTCAACAGCACTTATCACAATGATATCTAAAAGGTACACAGTAAATATTTGCTCATTGAGAGATCACAATAAGCAAATGCTATATAATAATTATATCCATTAACAGGTATGCTTTGTAGTATAAAAAAGGCTTTTACTGAGATTATCTTATTGAATATTCCTGAAAATCTTATTAGTTAAGCAGATTAGGAATTCTTATTCTTATGTGTAAGATGAAAGAACTGAGGTCCAGAATGGTCAAATGACTTACCCACAGTCACACAGCTGGCATTTGGCAGAGCCAGCACCAGAATCCTGGTCTTTTTTACTCCTATTTCTAATAAGCATAGAACCCGTTTGCTACTGTAGGTTTTACAAACGTAGTCCAAAGATAAACCAACCATGATGACAGTATATTTTCTAAACAAGGTGAGAACAGTTATATGCCTGGGATTATTTTTCAGACTTTCTGGTTTGACATTATCCTCCCAAAATAATCATGATTTTGAAATACCAAGCCCGACATGGTGGCTCACATCTATAATCCCAAAACTTTGGGAAGCCAAGGTGGGAGGATTGCTTGAGCACAGGAGTTCGAGACAGGCCCGGGCAACATAGTGAAACCCTGTCTCTACAAAAAATTAGAAACATCCAGGCATGGTAGTGTGCCTGTTGTCCTAACTACTTGGGAGGCTGAGGTGGGAGGATCGCTTGAGCCTGACAGGTCGAGGCTGAGGTGAACCATGTTCACGCCACTGCACTCCAGCCTGGGCAACAGAGGAGACCTGGCCTCAGAAACAAAATAAAATATAAATACCAGGCAAAAGTTGGAGTGAGCCGAGGTCGCACCACTGCATTCCAGCCTGGGCGACAGAGACAGACTCCGTCTCAAAAAGAAAAAAGATAAAAAAAAGATACCAGATCAACTAACTGAATTAAATAACAAACAGCTCTGGGCCAGGCGCCGTGGCTCACGCCTGTAATCCCAGCACTTTGGGAGGCTGAGGTGGGCGAATCAGGAGGTCAAGAGATCAAGACCATCCTGGCCAACATGGTGAAACCCCACCTCTACTAAAAATACAAAAATTAGTTGGGCGTGATGGCGGGCACCTGTAGTCCCAGCTACTCGTGAGGCTGAGGCAGGAGAATTGCTTGAACCCGGGAGGCGGAGGTTGTAGTGAGCCGTGATTGCGCCACTGCACTCTAGCCTGGGCGACAGTGTGAGACTTTGTCTCAAAATAAATAAATAATAACAAAACAGCTCTAATGATGTCCTATGTTGAGACCAGAGCCACTGAGGGACAGCAGAAACAGCCATCCCTAGGACTCCAACTTGTGTGCAGTCTTCTCAGGCACAAACTTTTGGGATCAATGACCAGGGAAACAGCTGGAAGTAGAAATAGTAGCAGCTCCTATAGGATGCAGTTTAAGCTCCCTAGCCTGGCATTTAAAGCCAAACTCGAACAAGCTCCCAGCTACTTTTCAAACCTCACTTCTACTATTTCTTTCCTTCTAATTCTTGGGGGTGATCATGTTTCTTATGCATTCTTGACTACATCCCTTTGACCATGGTGCATGTTTCTTCTAGAATGCTTTCCTTACCTACCATCTCACAAGATAGTGGGTGCCTATCCTTAAAAACCTGACAAATTACTTAGTCTCTCTGTATCTCATTTTCCTCAACTGTAAAATAAAAAAAATAAGGGTATCTATTTTGCAGGATTGTTTTGAAAAATAGCTAAGTGGACACATGTAAAGTGCTTAAAACACTACCTGACACATAAGTTCCCAATATATATTTGTAATGAAGGTATCTTTAAAGAGAATAGTCAAAAACCTCCACTTATATTCCCAGCTTTGACTTATCTCTAACTATGAGGATGATAATCAATTTAGTAATCAATTGAGCATTTACTATATGCCTGGTAGAGTGCCAAACTCCTTTACGTGGATGACAGCAATTAAGCCATCCTCATAGCAATCCTAAAATGTAGAATATCACTATACTTATTTTATAGATGAGGAAACAGTTTTGGGACGGTGAAGTACCCTGCCCAAAGTCACACTGCTTAGTGTGACTCTAAAGAGCAGGATATCAACAACCACATTATTTCCTCAGCAGCCTTTCCCTAAGGTTGCAGGCAGCAAAGCAGTTTCTGTACATCTCCCCCTGAAGCCACAAAGCTTCACTCACATACTCCGTTCCGCAATAGGACCCAGAACCTAAAGAGGAAGCAAATCACAACACATATCTACCCTCGCATTGTCAACAAGAGCAATCCTGCCAGCTCCCCAGCCTCAGTGTGATTACCAAATCAGTAAAGTGTGTACAATTATCCAATTCACTCCAGACATATATGCCAACTAAGTTGAAGTACTATAATATTAGGATGAAAGCCAAATACTAAAAACTAGTCAGAATGTGTTTGATAGCAGCAGTGACAGAGGCCAAACTCTAACTAGCCAAGTCTCAGGGAAACTCATGGACTGGACTAACCAAACAACAAACAGGAAAAGTCAGAAAGAAGATAGAAGTTTGGGGCTTCAGAATCTACCTCTATAAAGCCAAGAGGGGAGGTTTCCCTCAGCAATTCTGGGAAGGAGTTTTTTGTTTTGTTTTGTTTGAGAAAGGGTTTCATTCTGTCACCCAGGCTGGAGTGCAGTGGTGTGATCACAGCTCATTGCAGCCTCAAACTCCTGGACTCAAGCGATCCTCCCACCTCAGCCTCCCAAAATGCTGGAATTACAGGCATGAGCCACTGCACCTGGCCTATTAAAACTTTTTATAGATAATTTTTATCTTGAGCCGCCCAATGTTTGTCGTTTATGAAAAGTAGGATGAACCTAGCAAAACATGTACCTGTGCTTCTGATTACTATTTTTGTTTCCAAGGCTAATAAGGAGCTGTTTTCTTAACCACAATTTGAAAGTGCCGAGTTGAAAAAGGACATATTAACTACCATTTAACCCAGCCATCCCATTACTGGGTATACACCCAAAGGATTATAAATCATGCTGCTATAAAGACACATGCACACATATGTTTATTGTGGCACTACTCGCAATAGCAAAGACTTGGAACCAACCCAAATGTCCATCAATGATAGACTGGATTAAGAAAATGTGGCACATATACACCATGGAATACTATGCAGCCATAAAAAAGGATGAGTTCATGTCCTTTGTAGGGACATGGATGAAGCTGGAAACCATCATTCTCAGCAAACTATTGCAAGGACAAAAAACCAAACACCGCATGTTCTCACTCATAGGTGGGAATTGAACAATGAGAACACCTGGACACAGGAAGGGGAACATCACACACTGGGGCCTGTCGTGGGGTGGGGGGAGGGGGGAGGGATAGAATTAGGAGATATACCTAATGTAAATGAGGAGTTAATGGGTGCAGCACAGCAACATGGCACATGTATACATATGTAACAAACCTGCACGTTGTGCACATGTACCCTAGAACTTAAAGTATAATAATAATTTAAAAACAAGAAAAAAAAAGAAAAAGTACGTATTACCATGGATACATACAACTTATGAAATTAGTGGACATTAGCTAAGTTGACACTGATGGAGTGAGGAAAACAGAGAGGTGAAAAAAGTTTAGGCCTTTTATAGACCTGGGTACATATGCCAGCTCTACAAATTTCTAGCTGTATATATTGGGCAAATTCTTTAATCTGAGCCTCATTTTTCTCACATGTAAAGTGGTGAGAAACCTGGGAACGTGATGGAAAGGCAAAACTCTCAGATCCTACTGAAGACCTATTGACTAAGACACTAGTGGTGGGCCGCTGCAATGTCTTTACAAGATCTACCGGTGATACTGATGCACACTAAAGTTTAAGAACCACTGCTCTACGTTATAGCAACTTGTTAGCCTTGATTGCGCATTGTAATCATCTGAACAACCTTTGGAAAATACTGATGCCTTGGTCCCACCCCTAGAATTTCTGATATAATTAGTCTGAGGCACAGGCTTCAGACTTCTGAAGACCACCCCCCACCACTGCTTTGGGTGATTCTAGTATGTAGTCCATGTTGTGACTCCTGCCTTACAGGGTTGTTGTAAGGATTAAGTGATTTAATATATCTTCAGCAACTGGCACACTGTTTTGAGCACAGTAGACACTCAATACATGTAAGCTTCCCTCAATACAGAGTATCTTAATTTTATACTGTTTTCGTAAAAATTTCAGATTGGAAGGAAATACACCAAAATATTAACAGTGGTTTTCTCTGAGTTGGGAGATTGTTAGTGATTTTTATATTGTCTTTTTTATACTTTTATAAAATTTTCCAAAGGCATTAACATATATTACTTTTTTTTTTTTTTTTTTTTTTTTTTTTTGAGAGGGAGTCTTGCTCTGTCACCCAGGCTGGAGTGCAATGGCACGATCTCAGCTCACTGCAACCTCTGCCTCCCAGGTTCAAGCAATTATCCTGTCTCAGCCTCCCAAGTAGCTGGGACTATAGGAGTGCGCCATCATGCCTGGATAATTTCTGTATTTTTAGTAGAGACGGGGTTTTGCCACATTGGCCAGGCTGGTCTCGAATTCCTGACCTCAGGTGATCCACTGCCTCGGCCTCCCAAAGTTGTATTACATTTATAATCACAAAAATAAAACACAAAAATAAACACAACTAAATTTCAATAAGTAATAATCTTCAGAATATTACCTTATAAACCTGATCTTATAATTATCTGTCTCTGTCAATTAATCAATGGGGAAATCACATTATTTCCACCTTCTAGATGGAGAAACTGAATCATAGCTGGAGAGTCTACCTGAGTTTGTACTGGATTCTGCTGGTAGTTAAGGTCAAAATAGCTAATATGATAACTGCAACTAATTTCTGTTCTCTATAACATCTCTCATATCCCTCAGAACCGTATTCTTTCTGGGTATGACAAAAAAGGAGGAACTGAAGTCTTCAGCACTGAAGCTGTCCAAGTTCATTTGATCCCTAAGAACTACCTTGAGCCCCTATCACCACTCCAACTGGCTTATTGTAATCCTCTATAAAACAACCCCAGAAACTGCATTCACACATTGCTGTCAAAATCAAAGAGGCAGTCTTGAATTTTTTTCAACTTGAATTGTTTTGTTTTGTTTTGTTTTTGTTTTTGTTTTTGTTGAGACGGAGTCTCGCTCTGTTGCCAGGCTGGAGTGCAGTGGCACCATCTCGGCTCACTACAACCTCTGCCTCCCGGGTTTGAGAAATTCTCCTGCCTCAGTCTCCTGAGTAGGTGGGACTACAGGTGCACACCGCCATGCCTGGGTAATTTTTTTTTTTTTTTGTATTTTAGTAGAGACAGGGTTTCACCATGTTGCCCAGGCTGGTCTCAAACTCCTGAGCTCAGGCAATCCACCCACCTCGGCCTCCCAAAGTGCTAGGATTACAGGTGTGAGCCACCGTACCCAGCTGCAACTTGAATTTTTAAAAACCACTGAAAAATGTGGTGTCATGGGAAAAGCTGCAGCGAGGAAGTCTGAGTTTTGTTCTAGAGCAACAGCTACCATACATTCACAGGCATCACATTCACAGTGCCATACTATGTACCAGGCACCAGGCTCAGCATTTTACAAGCACTTATTAAGTAAGACTAGATTACAGCAGTGGTTCTCAAACTTTAGAGTGCACTAGAGTCACTTGGAGGGCTTGTTAAAACACAGATTGTGGCTGGGTGTAATGGCTCATGCCTGTAATCCCAGCACTTTGGGAAGCTAAGGCAGGCAGATCACCTGAGGTCAGAAGTTCAAGACCAGCCTGGCCAACATGGCAAAACCCCCATCCCTACTAAAATTACAAAAATTAGCCTGGCGTGGTGGCACACGCCTGTAGTCCCAGCTACTCGGGAGGCTGAGGCAGAAGAATCGCTTGAACCTGGGAGGGGGAGGTTACAGTGAGCCAAGATCATGCCACTGCTCTCCAGCCTGGGCAACAGAGTGAGGCCCTGTCTCAAAAAAACAGAAAACAAAAGACACAGATTGCTAAGCCTCAGCCCCCAAATTTCTGATTCAACAGGTTTGAGATGAGGCCCAAGAATGTGCATTTCTTTCTTTCTTTCTTTCTTTGAGATGGAGTCTCGTTCTGTTGCCCAGGCTGGAGTACAGTAGCACAGTCTCAGCTCACTGTAACCTCCGCCTCCCAGGTTCAAGCGATTATCCTGCCTCAGCCTCCCAGGTAGCTGGGACTACAGGCACGTGCCACCACACCTGGCTAATTTTTGTATTTTTAGTAGAGACGGGGTTTCACCACGTTGGCCAGGCTGGTCTTGAACTCCTGACCTCATGATCCACCCACCTCAGCCTCCTAAAGTGCTGGGATTACAGGCGTGAGCCACTGCACCTGGCCAAGAATGTGCACTTCTAACAAGTTTCCTGTTGATGCTGATGCTGCAATTCAACCACCCTTTGAGGACCACTGGATTAGATCATCCCTTCCAGCTCTCATATTCTGCTTGAACTCAAACCCCAATTCTTATCCTATGGCCCTACACTAAAACTTAGAACTAAATCCCCAAAACTCTCAATGTTCTTGTCACAATCCCCTATGACCTCCACTTGGTCCAAATGAGAGAGTTTGTGAATGTGAGAGGTTGTAAATGTGAATCCAGCAAAGTCAATGGACCAGCACCTAAGGCACCTGTGATGACCCTCTGTAGTTGGGAAGACCCAAACCAAGTTCCAGCCCCCAAGCACATACCAGTGTTTTGGTTTTTTTGTTTTGTTTTTGTTTTTTCTTTTGAGACAGAATGTTTCTCTGTCACCCAGGCTGGAGTCCAGTGGCACGCTCTCTGCTCACTGCAACCTCTGCCTCCCGGATTCAAGCAATCCTCCTGCTTCAGCCTCCCAAGTAGCTGGAATTACAGGCACACGCCACCATGCCCGGCTAATTTTAGTATTTTTGGTAGAGACAGGGTTTTGCCATGTTGCTCAGGCTGGTGTCGAATTCCTGGGCTCAAGAGATCCGCCCGCCTCGGCCTCCCAAACTGCTGAGATTACAAGTGTGAGCCACTGAGCCCAGCCCCAGTTCTCTTAATAATAAAGTCCTGGTCATCAGAAGCAGGATCTCCAGTCAATTACAGACACAGCCAACAAATCACCCTAGCTCATCATTTATGCATCTTTTCCTACACAAAGGTTGGTATCACATATTAAAGCCTTTTCCTCCCACCACCAATAGAGGGCCTGGCCTGCTATGAAAAAGAAGAGAAAGCATGATACTGGAATGTTATTAAGACCTTACAACGCTTTAAAATTTACAAATACATTACAATAACCATTGTTTCATTAAGGATTCACAACAATACCCTGAAGTAGATATTATTATTCTGTTTTATAGCTGAGGAAACAAAGGCTCAGATAGACTTAGTGATTTGGCCAAAGCTCCAGAGTTAATGAGAAATAGAACTGGGACAACTAGAACCCAGTTTTCCTGCGTTCCAGCCTAGACGTATTTCCACTGTGTCTGGATCCAAATTAGGGAAAAGTTCAAATTAAAATTTCTCTTCCTAACTCCCTTCATCCTTAGCATATTAGCAAGAATGAATCATTATGGGTAACTAGACGAAGAGCTCTAATTGCAGGTCTCTGAAAATGGAGATGTTTAATTACATAGTTACATATATGATTTATCAACCAGTTTTGATCGTTGACAATTCTCTTTAAAGAATTCTTTTCCTCTAAAAATTAAAGTAATATATTTTTTAATCTCCCCTGGAATGCTTTGTTTTCATTCAAATAAAGAGGTGACTGTTTCTTATAAGTGTCATGATTTCTAGGCAATTGGTCTAATGTCAGACAGGCATGAATTCCTGGTAGATTTATCACGATTAGGTCTGAAACTGCAGAGTTTTTATCTAGAAACAATAATCATTTTCTGGACAAAGCTAAATCACAGGCACTTACTTGTCTGAAGTAAGAGGAGCCATTCTTTGAGAAAGCCTACACCTTTCATTCCTAATTCTCTTTGAGCAGGAATCTCCTCCAAATACTACTCACCTTGAAAGATGCTAACACAAATTCGGTTTTGCCCTAGAGAGGGAAAAGGTGAAGGGCCATCATGTCAAAAGAGCAGAAAATGTCAAAGTTCCCAGTGTTACTGAGGCAGGCCAAGCATGAGGAATGAGCCTCTTGATGTTCATAAAAGCAATTTGGGCTTAGATCAGGATTAGGTCTCAAGGACATGACCAACTGCTGAAGCAGGCTGGAGCAATACTGTCAGTTTGCTTCTAAGTGCCCCAGGAGGGTCAGTTCCTGCTACTCCTTTCTCTCAGGATCCAAAAGGGCTTGCTTTGACCATCATTAAGACCTTCTGTTTTCTACTTTACTAGGTAACCATATGCGTTCATGCTCAGAGACATTAACTTACTCATTAGAATAACATCACTTGGCCAGGAACAGTGGCTGAATCCCAGAACTTTGGGAAGCGGAAGCCAGAAGACTGCTGAGCCCAGGCGTTCAAGACCCGCCTAGGCAAGATAGCAAGACCCCATCTCTGCAAAACAATTAAAAAGTCAGCTGGGGATGGGCGCAGTGGATCATGCCTGTAATCCCAGCACTCTGGGAGGCTGAGGCAGGTGGATCATCTGAGGTAAGGAGTTCAAGACCAGTCTGACCAACATGGTGAAACCCCGTCTCTACTAAAAATACAAAAAATTAGCCAGGTGTGCTGGCACACGCCTATAATCCCAGCTGCTCGGGAGGCTGAGGCAAGAGAATAACTTGAACCCGGGAGGTGGAGGTTGCAGTGAGCTGAGATTGCACCACTGCACTGCAGCATGGACGACAGAGCGAGACTCCGTCTCAAAAATAAAATAAAAAAAAAAAGCTGGGCACAATGGTGTGCCCCTCCAGCTACTCAGGAGGCTAAAGTGGGAGGATTCCCTGAGCCTAGGATTTTGAAGCTGCAGCAAGCTGTAATCATGCCACTGTACTCCAGTCTGGGTGATAGAGTGAAATCCTATTCCTTTCTTAAAAAAAGAAGAACATAGCTTGTAAGTGGTAGAATCGAGATTCAAACCCAAATAGAATATCATTAATTTATTTAGTCAATAAATAGTGATTAAAAGCCAGGCACCAAGCTAGCTTATGGGTATAATAAAATGAGCCTCAGAGTATAGTGAGGAAATAGAAAAGGGGCTGTGGTTTTAGGCTCAAGAGGGGTTGGGGGCAGCCTGCAAGTCTTCATAGGAGATAAAATATGCAAGGGACATGAATACCAATTGCACTTTCCCATATTAAAGCCACTCCTGGATCCAGACACTCTCTGCTGGTGTAGAAAGCATTTTGTCCTGCCTTTCTCCCTCCTACTATGGCCTCCTCAAAGGAGGCCTGACTTGCCACAGCCCAGGCAGCGTTTCCTCTACCTGGGGTGAAAACTATACACTAGGCAGGAAGCAGGCCCTTGGATGGTTGGGTTGCTCTTCTACACTTCAGCTCACATTAGAGCAGTCACTTACTAATGGTACCCTATAAAGTAGCAATTTACCAAATAGTACTAATTTAGTACCTGGTCCTTGAAGAGTTAACACACCTCTCTCCAGAGGCGCCTAACTGACTCCTTGCCAAGACAGTTTTAAAGGAGATCTGGTTCTGCA
Organism: Homo sapiens; assembly: GCF_000001405.40. NCBI lineage: Eukaryota > Metazoa > Chordata > Mammalia > Primates > Hominidae > Homo > Homo sapiens. Next base: position 117,114,839 of record NC_000010.11, read on the forward strand.
CACTGTAATTCTTCCAAGCTGCTCAAGGCTTCTCTGCTCTCATATGGGGCATCAAAGAGATGTACAGGGGCCCTGGGGTCAGGAGGACCGGGTTCTAGCACAGGCTCTGCCACTTGTCACTCTGTAACAAATCTCTTCCCATCTCTGTGCCACTGTTTGCCCAAATTTGAAATGAAGACGGTGAGACTGATTTCTTAGGGTCCTTCTGACAGTCCAGGAAGATGCTTTTAACTCTTTGGGGGTCATAAATCCTTTTGAGAATCTATGCTAAATGACCATCTCCCCACAAAATTGTGCCTATAATTTCAAAAAATTCGTGGAACTTTTAAGGTTCAAACTAAGATTCTCTATCCAGTATGGGCTCTGAAGTCAGACAGGTCTGAGATTAAGCCCTGGAGATATTTCTCTCTCTCTCCTATGGGCAAGTCTCTTACCTTTGAGCCTCACTTAGAAAAATAACACCTGCCTTGCAATACTGTTGTGAGAATGAAAAATAATTATATACAAGTGTCTGGCCCATAGAAGGTGCTCAATAAATAGCAGCTAAAGAAAAAAAAAGGTAATGGCACCTGTCATCAGCGCTCAGGGAATGTTAGTTTTCTTTCTTTCTCACAGTAACCAGCAGTTATCTGTGCACTTCAGGTGTTCCATAAATGTTACTGCTTGGCTATCAAAGTTATCTTAAAATTCCCTTCTCTGTGAGGCTGCTCTAGTGATGGAGGATCTCTCTTTACACTCAACTGGACTACTGCAAGTCTCCAAACAGATAAAGAAGTCTCTCCTTCTGTATCTCATAGAAGCACTGTCACATTAATAATCCAGAAATCAACACTGAAATTGTGATATACTCCACAGCTCACAACTTTTAATGATCCTACCATATTTTCAAACATTTCACTAGAGATTTCTTCAAGAGAAATAAAAATGGCAGCTCACTATACTGAGCTTTTGCTATATGCCAAGCACTGATTAAATGAACACATTATTTCATTTAATCCTCTCAATAGCTCTACAGACAACTTAGTGTACAGTCTGAAAGTCTAGGAGTACATTCTCTAAATGTTTGCTTGAGACTGTCTCTGATTCAACTTTTAATAGCTATACAATCTTGGACAAATAAAATTCCTTATCTGTAGAGTGGAGATAATTATAGAAATCATTTCCCAAGTAACTAGAGAATCAAGAACAAACTAAACCCAAAATTAGTAGAAGGAAAGAAATGATAAAGATCAGAGCAGAAATGAATGAAATTAAGACTAAAATAATATGGAAGATCAATGAAATGAAAAGTTGGTTTTTTGAAAAGATAAGCAAAAATTGACAAACCTTTAGGTAGATTGAGAAAAAAAAAAGAGAAGACCCAAATAAATAAAATCAGAATCAAAATAGGAAACACAACAACTGAAAGCACAGAAACACAAAGAATCATTACAAGCTATTATGAATAACTATATGTCAACAAATTGGGAAACCTAGAAGAAATGGATAAATTCCTGGACACATGCAACCTACCAAGACTGAACCATGAAGAAATAGAAAACCTCAACAAACCAGTAACAAGTAATGAGATGGAGGCCATAATAAAAAGTCTCCCATCAAAGAAAAGCCCTGAACCTGATGACTTCACTGCTGAGTTCTACCAAACATTTAAAGAATACCAGTTCCACTCAAACTCTTCCCAAAAAAATTAAAGAGGAGGGAATATTTCCAAATTCATTCTATAAGGCCAACATTACCTGGATATCAAAACCAGACAAGAACACAATGAAAAAATAAAACTAAAGGCCAATATCATTGATGAACATAGATGCAAAAATCCTCAGAAAAATACTAGCAAACCAAATTCAACAACACATTAAAAGGATCATTCACCATGATCAAGTGAGATTCCTCCTTGGGATGCAAGGATGGTTCAACATACACAAAGTAATAAATGTGATACATCACATTAACAGAACCAAGAACAAAACCATATGATTATTTCCATAGATGCTGAAAAAGTATTAAATAAAACCAACATTCCTTTATCATAAAAAATGCTCATCAAATTATATATAGCAGGAATATACCTCAAAATAATAAAGGCTGTATATGACAAACCCACAACTAACATATTGAATGAAGAACAACTGAAGGCCTTTCCTCTAAGATGTGGAACAAGACAAGGATGCCCACCTTCACCACTTTTATTCAACATAACACTAGAAGTCCTGGCTAGAGCAAATAGGAAAAAGAAAAAAAGAAACGGTGTCCAGATAGGAAAAGAAGAAGTCAAACTATCCTTGTTTGCAGGCAACATTGATCTTATACTTAGACAAACTAAAGACTCCACCAAAAGAACTGCTAAGACTGATATACAAATTCAATAAAGTCACAGAATACAAAATCAACATACAAAAATCAATAGCATTAATATGCACCAACGACGAACAATCTGAAAAAGAAATCAAGAAAGCAATCCCACTTATAATAGCAACAAAGAACATAAAATACTTAGGAATCAATTTAAACAAAGAAGTGAAAGATCTATACAAGGAAACATTGGTGAAAGAAATTGAAGAGGACACAAAAAATGAAAAGATATTCCATGCTCATGGGGAAGAATAGTGTTAAATGACAATACTACCCAAAGCAATCTACAGATTCAATGCAATCCCTATCAAAATACCAATGACATTCTTCACAGACATAGAAAACAAAAATGCTAAAACTTATATGGAACCACAAAAGATTCCAAATAGCCAAAGCAATCCTTAGCAAAAAGAACAATACTGGAGGCATCATACTATGTGACTTCAAAATTTGCTACAAAGCTATAGTAGCCAAGTCAGCATGGTACTGGCATAAAAACAGACACACAGACCAAGGAAACAGAATAAAGAACCAAATTATAAATGCATGCATTTACAACCAACTCATCTTTGACAAAGGTGCCAAGAACATACACTGAAGAAAGGACAGTCTCTTCAATAAACAGTGCTGGGGAAATTGAGTAACCATATGCGGCCAAATGAAACTAGACCCCTATCTCTCACCATACACAAAAATCAAATCAAAATAGATTAAAGACTTAAGTCTAAGACCTGAAACTATTAAACTACCAAAAGAAAAAATTGGGGAAATGCTCCAGGGCATTGGCCTAGCAAAGATTTTTGTGTAAGACCTCAAAAGCAAAGGCAACCAAAGCAAAAATAGACAATGGGATTACATTGAGCTAAAAAGCTTCTGCACAGCAAAGGAAACAAATAACAAAGTGAAGAGACAACCCACAGAATGGGGGGAAATATTTGGAAACTGTCCATATGGCAAGGGATTAAAAACCAGACTATATAAGCAGCTCAAACAACTCAATAGGAAAACACACATACATACACACAAATAATCCAATTAAAAAAGGGCAAAAGATCTGAATAGACAGTTCTCAACAGAAGACATACAAATGGCAAATAGGTATATGAAGAAATGCTCAACATCCCTAATCATCAGAGAAATGCAAATCCACCACAATGAAATATAATCCATTTCAAAAAAAAAAAAAAAAAAAAAAAAACAGGCAATACTGGATGCTGGTGAGGATTTGGAGAAAGGGGAACTCTCATACACAGGGATGGGAAATGTAAATTAGTATAGTCACTATGAAAAATAGTATGGAGGTTCCTCAAAAAACTAAAAATAGAACTACCATATGATCCAGCCATTCCACTCCTGGTTATATATCCAAAAGAAAGGAAATCAATACATTGAAGGAATATCTGCACTCCCATGTTTTATTGCAGCACTATTCAAAACAGCCAAAACATGAAATCAACCTAAGTACTTATCAACGAATTAGTGGATAAAGAAAATGTGGTATACATGTGTTCTCACTTATAAGTGGGAGCTGAATGATGAGAACACATGGACACATGAGGGGGAACAACACACACTGGGGCCTGTTGGAGGATGGGTCTGGGAGGAGGGAGAGCATCAGGAAGAAGAGCTAATGGATTCCGTGCTTTATACCTGGGTGATGCGATGATCAGTGCAGCAAACCACCATGACACGCATTTACCTATGTAACAAACCTGCACATCCTTCACATATACCCCTGAACTTAAAATAAAAGTTGGAAATCAAAAAATAAAATGTGATATATATACACAATGAAATATTATGTAACCATAAAAAAGAATTAAATCCTGTCATTTGCAGCACCATGGGTGGAATTGATGGTCATTATGTTAAATGAAACAAGCTAAATACAGAAAGACAAATATCACATGTTCTCATTCAAATGTGGAATCTAAGTGAATCTCATGAAGATAGTGAGTAGACTGGTGGTTACCAGAGGTTAAGAAGGATAGGGGGAGGGAAGGATAAAGAGAAGTTGATTAATGAGTACAAACATATGGTTTGACAATTAACAAAGTAAAGAGACAACCCACAGAATGGGAGAAAATATTTGCAAACTGCCCATCTGACAAGAGATCAATAACCAAAATATATAAGAAGCTCAAACAATTCTACAGAAAAAAATGGAATAATCTGATTTTAAAATGGGCAAAGGATTTCAATAGACATTTCTCAAAAGAAGATATACAAATGACAAACAGGCATATGAAAAGGTGCTCAACATCACTGATCATCAGAGAAAGGCAAATCAAAACTACAGTAAGATATCTCACTCCAGTTAAAATGGCTTATAATCAAAAGATAAGCAATACCAAATACTGGCGAGGATGTGGAGAAAAGGGAACCCTCATACACTGTTGGTGAGAATGTAAATTAGTACAACCATTATGGAGAACAGTAGAGCTACCATATGATACAGCAAGCCCACTGCTGGGAATACACCCAAAAGAAAAGAAATCAGTACATCAAAAGTATATCAAAGGGATATCTGCACTCCCATGTTTATTGCAGCACTGTTCACAATAGCCAAGATTTGGAAGCAACCTAAGCGTCTATCGACAGATGAATGAATTTTAAAAATTGTACCTATACACAATGGGTACTAATCAGTTGTAAAAAAAAAAAAATAAGATCCTGTCATTTGCAACAACATGGATGGAACTGGAGGTCATTACGTTAAGTGAAATAAGCCAGGCGCAGAGAGACAAACTTAGCATGTTCTCACTTATTTGTGAGATCTAAAAATCAAAACAATTAAACTCATGGAGCTAGAGAGTAGAAGAATGGTTACTAGAGGCTGAGAAGGGTAGTCGGGAGCAGTGGGGCAGGTAAGGATGGTTAATGGGTACAAAAAAAATAGGAAGAATGAATAAGACCTAGTATTTGATAGCACAACAGAGTGACTATAGTAAATAATAAATTGTACATTTAAAAATAACTGAAAAGAGTATAATTAGATTATTTGTAACACAAAGGTTAAATGCTTGAGGGATGGATATCCCATTTTTCCATGATGTGATTTTTTTTTTTTTTTTTGAGACTGAGTCTCGCTCTGTTGCCCAGGCTGGAGTGCAGGGGCGTGATCTCGGCTCACTGCAACCTCCACCTCCTGGGTTCAAGCGATTCTCCTGCCTCAGCCTCCTGAGTAGCTGGGACTACAGGCACCCGCCACCACGCCCAGCTAATTTTTTTGTATTTTTAGTAGAGACGGGGTTTTACCATATTGGCCAGGCCGGTCTCAAACTCCTGACCTTGTGATCCGCCTCCCTTGGCCTCCCAAAGTGCTGGGATTACAGGCGTAAGCCACAGCGCCTGGCCCCATGATGTGATTTTTACATATTGCACGCCTATATCAAAACATCTCATGTATCCCATAAATATATACACCTACTATGTACCCACAAAAATTAAAAATAAAAAAGTAAAAACAACAAATCTATGGTTTGGTAGAAGAAACAGAACCTAGTGTTAGATAGATGAGCAGGGTGACTATAATTTACAGTAATCTATGGTATATTTCAAAATAGCTAGAAGAAAAGACAAATATTTCAGGTGATAGATATCCCAAGTACACTGATTTGATTTTTTTTTTTTTTTTGAGACAGAGTCTTGCTCTGTTGCCCAGGCTGAAGTACAGTGGCACGATCTCAGCTCACTGAAACCTCCACCTCCCAGGTTCAAGCGATTCTCCTGCCTCAGCCTCCCTAGTAGCTGGGATTACAGAAGTGTGCCAACATGCCTAGCTAATTTTTGTATTTTTAGGAGAGACGGGGTTTCCCCATGTTGGCTAAGCTGGTCTCAACTTCCTGACCTCAGGTGATCTGCCTGCCTCAGCCTCCCAAAGTGCTGAGATTACAGGCATGAATGACCATGCCCATTTACAAATTATATAAATGTATTAAATTATCACAGGTACCCCAAAACTATGTATCTATTATGCATCGATAAAAAAATTGTTTAAAAAAGATATTATGAAGATCAAAGGAGATTACATGTATAATCTCCTATAATCTATATTTTGTGTACATTTTATAGCTATAGATTACGTATACAATTCTAAATTTTGGGCCAGGCGTGGTGGCTTACGCCTGTAATCCCAGCAATTTGGGAGGCCGAGGTGGGAGGATTACCTGAGGTCAGGAGTTCAAGACCAGCCTGGCCAACATGGTGAAACTCTGCCTCTACTAAAAATATAAAAAACTAGCCGGGCATGGTGGCACACGCCTGTAATCCCAGCTACTTGGGAGGCTGAGGCAGGAGAATTGCTTGAGCCCCAGAGACGGAGGTTGCAGTGAGCTGAGATCATGCCACTATACTCCAGCCTGGCCGATAGAGTGAGACTCTGACTCAAAAAAAAAAATTATAAATTTTATACATGTTTTATATACAGTCATACCTCAGTATGAATGGGGGTGGTTTCCAGGAACACCCCCATCAGAGGATGTCCAAGTCCTTAATGTAAAATGGCATGGTATTTGCATATAGCTTACACACACCCTCCTGTATATTTTAAATCATCTTGGCTGGGTGCGGTGGCTCACGCCTGTAATCCCAGCACTTTGGGAGGCCAAGGCTGGCAGATCACGAGGTCAGGAGATCGAGACCATCCTGGCTAACACAGTGCAACCCCGTCTCTACTAAAAATACAAAAAATTAGCCAGGCGTGGTGGCAGGCGCCTGTAGTCCCAGCTACTTGGGAGGCTGAGGCAGGAGAATGGCGTGAACCCAGGGGGAGAAGCTTGCAATGAGCTGAGATCGCGCCACTGCACTCCAGCCTGGGCGACACAGCAAGACCCCATCTCAAAAAATAAAAATAAAATAAAAATAAATAAAGAAATAAATCATCTCTAGATTACCCATAATAACCTAATACAATGTAAATGCTATGTAAATAATTGTTGTACTGTATTTGTATTTACTTTATTTTTTATTTTCATATTGCTATTTATTGTTTGTTTGTTTTGAGACATGGTCTCACTCTGTTACCCAGGCTGGAGTGCAGTAGCATGAACACTGCTACTGCTCATGCAGCCTCAACCTATTGGGCTCAAGTGATCCTCCCAACTCAACCTCCCGTATAGCTGGAACCACGGGCACATGCCACCATACCCAGCTAACGTTTTTATTTTTGGTGGAGACAGAGTCTCATTTTGTGGCCCAGGCTGGTCTCAAACTCTGGGCTCAAGCGATCCTCTCACCCCCACCTCCCAAAGTGCTGGGATTACTTGTGTGAGCCACTGCACCTGGCCCTATTGTCTTTTAAAATATTTTCGATCCATAGTTAGTTGAAACAGGTATATGAAAAAGTGCTCAACATCAGTAATCATCAGGGAAATGCAAAGCAAAACCACAATGAGGCATCACCTCACATCTCTTAGGACAATACTTTTAAGGATATATTTTCATGACATGACTTATGAAATCCTAGGGACCCAAATAAGCTGTCCTAATAAACTAACTTTGTGATTCCAGTCAATCAGTCCAACAAATGTTAAATTGTCTACTATGTACCAATCTAGGAACAGCAATTCCAACAGTAAAAACAACTTCAAGAGAACAGTGAGAACTCTCAACCTCTTCATATACTATTAAACTTAAGAAAAATAATAATTAAAGTACTTTATTACATTTTTATACAAGGCAGTTTAGCCAATGCTTCTACCCTCTTAGGGAAGTTCTGAGAAAGGTGACTCTGCCTCTGACTCTTACAATTCAAGAGAAAAGTAAGAAGATAATCTGATTGGTGAGCACTACCATTCACTGAACCACTACATGGGTTGTTTTGTTTTGGAGATGGAGTTTCGCTCTTGTTGCCCAGGCTGGAGTGCAATGGTGTGATCTCGGCTCACTGCAACCTCTGCCTCCCGGGTGCAAGCAATTATCCTGCCTCAGCCTCCCAAGTAGTTGGGATTACAGGCATGTACCACCAAGCCCAGCTCATTTTATATTTGTAGTAGAGATGGGGTTTCTCCATGTTGGTCAGGCTGGTCTCAAACTCCTGACCTCAGGTGATCTGCCTGCCTCGGCCTCCCAATACGTGGGTTCTTTAAAAGGCAGGGGTTCTATCCCTTTCCACTCTTCATTTTCCCGTTCTCTACCTGTGACTAGACAGGTAAATTCAATTCCAGAAGAGACAACTTTGAGACAACTTTGAGAGCCATTTGATGCCACTTAAATTTGGAACCCTATGTGGCACCTAGTTTGCAGTTGATTTGAGACAGAAAGAAAAGGTAGTGAGTAATTAACACCCCTTAACTTCCAATAATGACATAAGTGACCCCTGACCTTGGGGGTCACCCAACATCTACCTACATTCCAAATTATCTCTACCTAATTTTGCATGCTTGATTACTGTTCCTAATGTACTGCCAGAGTACTCTTAAAAGGATTGCTGGCCAGGCACGGTGGCTCACGCCTGTAATCCCAACACCTTGGGAGGCCAAGGTGGGTGGATTGCTTGAGGCCAGGAGTTCGAGACCAGCTTGGTCAACACGGTGAAACCCCATCTTTACTAAAAATACAAAAAAAAATCAGCTGGGCGTAGTGGTGCATGTCTGTGATCCCAGCTACTAGGGAGGCTGAGACACGAGAACTGCTTGAACCCGAGAGGCAGTGAGTCGAGATCACATTGCTGCAGCTGCACTCTAGCCTGGGTGACAGAACAAGACCCTGTCTCACAAAAAAAAAAAAAAAAATTGCTGGCCAGGCACGGTGACTCATACCTGTAATCCGAACACTTTGGGAGGCCAAGGTGGGAGGATTGCTTGAGTCTAGAAGTTCAAGACCAGCCTGGGCAATACAGTGAGACACTGTCTCTACAAAAAATAAAAAAATAGCTGGGCATGGTGGTGCATGCCTGCAGTCCCAGCTACTCAGGAGGCTGAGGTGGGAGGGTCCCTTGAGCCTGGGAGGTTGAAGCTGCAGTGAGCCATGATCTGCACCACTGCACTCCAGCCTGGGTGACAGAGCAAGATTATGTCTCAAAAAAAAAAAAAAAAGCCAAACTTCAGATGTGTCACTGATGGTCCTGACTCTAACCTGGGGGTTAATGAGCCTCAGGCAATGAAAAAAGTGGACCCTGAATTCAGAGGAAAAGCTTGAGGGTAGAGCACATTTGACAGTGAAGCAAAACTCAGGAGTTAAGCATCATGTTCAGAGTGGTATACCAGTACTCAGAAAAATAAAGTTCAAATTATAATCCCTTCACTGACACATTGATTCTCCATGTCTCAGGCTCTACATCTTTAAAACAGGCTGCACTTTGCTTTTCTCATTGAATTACTCTGTAATCCCACCACTTTGGGAGGCCGAGGTGAGTCGATCACCTGAGGTCAGGAGTTCAAGATCAGCCTGGCCAACGTGGTGAAACCCCATCTCTACTAAAAATACAAGAATTAGCCGAGCGTGGTGGTGGGCACCTGTAATCCCAGCTACTCAGGAGGCTGAAGCAGGGAGAATTGCTTGAACCCCAGAGGCAGAGGTTGCAGTGAGCTGAGATCGCACCACTGCACTCCAGCCTGGGCGATGCAGTGAGACTCCGTCTCAAAAAATAAGATAAAATAAAAGTAATAATTCTATTTACAGATGAGGATTCTGACTGAAAGAAGTTATTTGCCTAAGTTCACATGGCCAATAAAAGTCAAAGGTGGAATTCAAAGCCCAAGTTTTCCTACTATTGCTATATTGTGGGGGTTAAGGTGATGACTGGGATACCTGCTGCGGGAACCTTGCCCCGAGTTACTTGGAAACAGCTTCCTACTCTGCCATGACCTGCCCAGGCTAAGAAAAATTGCTGAGCCAAACATGGACCCAGCTCCTTACTCAGAACCTAGGGAAGCAACCTGGCCTCAAAGCCACTTATATTTGTCTCAGAATTGCAAGAACCCCTCCGATGCTGGCAGACATCACTAATGATCAGCATACTTTTCCACGGAGGCCTCAGAATCCTCCACAACTTAGTATCCCCAGGCAGCTACCATCAAATAATTCAACTTAGCACTAGAGTTGAACTTATTTGCCACCCTCCCACTGGTCTCTGAACAGAGACGGTCATAGGCAGCTCAGGGAAAGAGGATCTTAAAACGAAAATAATGGTGATGTCTAGAAACAAATGTTGGCATTAATGTGTTAACTAACTTGTTTCTCATCCCATCACTGATGAGACACCTACCTACTTTCTATCCTCCCCACCTGCAGCTTAATCCCAGACCTCGACACCAATCTGTTTACTAACCTTTCTCACCTGTCGGCACCCATCTCATCTTGTAACTGGGCTTTCCTCCCATCGTTACCCTGCCCAAAACCTCCCCTTCACCTACAGAATAGAGATCTTTAGTTTGGTCTTCAGGCCCTTCCTTGACCAGGCCACTTTGCAAGCCTTATCTTACACCTCTACTCGATGTGAGACCCCCACCTCCTTCACATCATTTCCTTTTCTTTTTCTCTCCCCTCCGTTTCTCCCTGGGATGCCCTGGTTAAGAACCCAAATACCTTCTTGATCATCTCAGAATTCTACAGGCTGTCTGCCCATCCCTGCCAATAATGCTCCCACTCCACTGTGCTTACTTTCCCTCGCATCAGCTGACAACTAGGACAGAAAACTGAATTTGCCTTTAGCTCTTCCCGGGAAGGGACTAAGCCAGACCCTCAGTAAAATGGGCTGATGACCTGACTTTCTGGCCACCGATCTAACACATGGCAGTCTTATCTAACCCATGAGACGCAAGGGAAGGAAACCAAAACAAAAACCTGGCACTCCGTCCGTCCTGTGCACCCTTAGCAAGCCCCTCAGCCCCCATGCCGCTGCTTCCCTCAGTGCAAGAAGCCGGGGGTCAAGGGCGTGGGTCTGGAGGGCGGAGCGCTAGGTGCTGGCAGGGGCCTTTCAGGGGGCGCTGCCGCCGCTTGACGTCACTTCCCGCCGCTCCACTGCCTTGGGTCACAGCTGGCGTCTTAAGGGCCGGACCCAGGAAGGTATTTTCAGTCCCTATTTCTGCCCGTGCTGGCAAGAGAGCACGGGAGCCGGACTCAGCGTGGGTCGGGGCCCTGCCGCTAAAACCGTCAAAGCAGGCCTAACTTACCACTTTCCTGGTGAGGCCCCGGCCTCCGTCGACGGAAGCTGTGGGAGATGGGCTGCGTGAGGTGCCGGGTCCAGGCTCACAGGAGGAGAGCTCCAGGAGTCCCTAGAGCGCCAGCCCTGCCTCCTTTCTAGCCCTAGCACCTGGCCCTCGCCTCGCCTCCTAGCACGCATGCCCCTCGCCTCGCCTCCTAGCACGCATGCCCCTCGCCTCGCCTCCTAGCACGCATGCCCCTCGCCTCGCCTCCTAGCACGCATGCCCCTCGCCTCGCCTCCTAGCACGCATGCCCCTCGCCTCGCCTCCTAGCACGCATGCCCCTCGCCTCGCCTCCTAGCACGCATGCCCCTCGCCTCGCCTCCTAGCACGCATGCCCCTCGCCTCGCCTCCTAGCACGCATGCCCCTCGCCTCGCCTCCTAGCACGCATGCCCCTCGCCTCGCCTCCTAGCACGCATGCCCCTCGCCTCGCCTCCTAGCACGCATGCCCCATTGTGCATGCCAAATGGCTCACATGGCGCAGGCTCCACGCCTTTCCCGCCCTTGGGCCCTCCTGCCTTCCGGGCTGAGGCCTCTGCCCCAATTCACAGGTATCTCCCCAGCTTTGGAGCCAACTCGGCCTCCAGTACCCCCACTAAACCCTTATTGGCTTCAGGCTCTCTGATCAAATTCCCTCTCTGATACAAGGAAAATGGTTTCAAAATTCCACTCGGACCCGATCTTGATATCAATGCTACCACCGGGCACCTCTAGTCAGACAGTAAGATCTGTTGGTTTTATTTAAGCAAAATGCCTTGAAACCATTTCTCCTCTCCATTTCTGCTGCCACTTCACCAAGCAACCCTCACCCCCATCCCCTACCCCCACCATCATCGCATCACCATCATCCTCTCTTGCTCTCCTGTTCCTATGGAAGTGTACTCACTAACTGGCATCTGCCTCAGAATCCGTGCACTCCTGTTCCCATGCCACCTCTTCTGGGATTCTCCCCCAGATTGCCAGAGAGACCTTGTAAAATGAGAACTACAATGATTCCATGATCTCCTTGGGAGAACTTTTCAGTGGCTCCTCATCGCCCTGATGGCAAAATCCAAGTGTTATCAACGTGGTATTCCAGGTGCTGCCTGCATTCCTGCCTCTTCTCCCACTACTTGCACTCAGCCATCCTCACTGCTTCCTCTCCATTCCCAGCTCTTAGCATTCTCCTTCTCATACCTTTCCATTGAAATTGGTTGACTCAAGAACTGAGGAAATTAGCATGTAGGAGGTTTACTAAGGAGTGCTTCAAGCTCAACAATGTAGAAGGGAAAGGAAGGAAGCAGTACTGGACAGAAGTCAAACTGCATAGGGATCCCAACAGAGGCCTCAGCCATTCCTTCTAAGAGTTTAGAAGATGGGATGAGTCTTCAAATATATCCAAAGTTGGGGTGCAAGAACCAGGCTTATCCCCAGGTCTACCAGTCATTGGAAACCACCCTGGAAAGTCATTGGAAACCACTTGAGTACAGTGGCTCTCTTCAGATGAGGCAGTCTCCAATGAACAGACAGCTGAGAGCTGTCTGCCAAGTCATTAAAATAATAATTTAGCATTTTGGTAGAGATGCTGTGCTTACTAATGGCTGTGATACCAAGTCTAAAGGCAGGGGGAGTAAATTCCATTATGCCTGACCCAATCACGTTCCCCTTCCTCAGGAAAGGACTTTAGGCCAACACCGTCATTTTACAGATGGGGAAACTGAGGCCCAGAGAGACTCTCAGATAGTCAGCTATCTCAATCACAGTCTTATAATAAATAGCTAATATTTGAGCATATAACTTATCCTAGGCTTGTACTAGATGCTTTAGATGCTTTATCCAACTAAACAACCATGACAATCCTATGAGGTAGGTGCCATTATTACTTTCATTTGATATACATGGAAATAGGTTTGGAGCAGCCAGATGACTAATTTGTCCAAGATTACACAGCTATTAAGTGGTGTATCTGGGATTTGAACCCAAGTCATTCTGACTCCAGAACCATAACTAGAAACCATTAAGATGAATTACTTTTTCTCTGTGCATTAAACCAGCATACTACACATTGTATGATACCAGGGAATGCTATGTATGTGTTTATATGTGTGTATATGTGTATGTGTTATTGCTATACATGTTATGTTGTTAACACACATAACAGACTTTTTTATATGAAGAAAACTTTTACATGAAAAATTTTATATATATTTTACACATATATATGATGTGATTTATTTTTAAGAATGGGTACAACACTACCACATAAAGCACAATATTTATTTTCTGTTTCAGGGTAAGAAGATAGGCAAATGTGTTTCTAGAAAGAAAATTATTTTCATATTAGCTAGAAATCAGAGAATACCCAAGTAATTTTCAGCTTCCATGTCCATTGCATGCCAGGTTCTCTGGACCTGGTGGCCTTGCTCCTTCCAGAACTCATGTCTCTTCAAACAGAAGCTTTCAGTTCCAACCAAGAAGGGTGTGCATCTGAATGCTTTTCAGCAAACCTGAAGGGCTCTCCTCCTCCTTTCCCCAAACTACCAGGTCTGTAAGGGAGCAGCCTCTCCAGGAAGGTGGTCCCCATTGAGTTTATAAAAGACCTTCCCTGAGACCTGAGAAACCACCAAAGTAGATCTCTCTTTTCTCTCCTGCTCCATTAAAATGAAACCTCCATGAAAATGAAAAAGACTGAAATGTAAAGATTTCCCGACGTAGAAATGGTGTTAAATTACAATAGCATAATGTGGTCCAAGAAATTCTAAACTGTGTCAGAAACTGTGGATTAATTTGTTTAACAAACATTCATTGTATTCCTACCAAATGCCAGGCCCTGGGCCAGATGCAGGAGGCTGCAGTGTTTTGGGAGTTTGCCATTTAATACAGTACTTCTCAAATATTAGTCTGGATAAGAATCACTTTGGAAAAGTGTTTAAAATGCACGTTCCTAAGCCCCAACCTAGTTTCTGATTCATCAGATGGGACTAGGGCTTAGGAACCTGGAATTTTAGCCAGTCCCCAGATGATTCTGAAGCAGCTGGTCCTCAGTTGTATCTTGAAAAACATTGACCTAGTGTGTTTTTAAGTTTTGATCAGCCATTTAATCAAGCCACTTAAACTCAGGATTTCAGGGGGTTAGAAGAGATATATGATTTCTAAAATCCTTCAAGAAATCTTAAAAAGACTTCTTAAAAAAGGCTTTCTATGCAAGAACAGCACACCAATATGACACAATTTCTTTTCAAACAGGAGAAAGACACTGTGTGTCATCATATGGCTTATGTGGCTGAAGGGAAGAAGTTAAAAGGGTATCCTTGGAGCCATTCAAGAAGGGGTGTGTGTGTGTGTGTGTGTGTGTGTGTGTAAATCATCAACTTGTATAGTTAAGCTTTGTGTACTTTACCCTATGAGTGTTTACCTCATGGATATTATAATTCAATTTATAAATAATCATTTTTAAGGATGTGTAAGACCAAAGAGTGTAAGGGGTTTAAAGATGTCATTCTAGAGAGACGTAGAGGGAAAGAGTTGGGACAGTGGCAGGAAAAAAAAAGGAAGGAGGGAGAAATTCAAACTTCTTGATGAGGGCACCAAGTAAATCCTCAGCAGCTGGTGTAATAGATGGCTAGATATGGACATTAGCAGATGTGGGTGCAAATAGGCTAAAGAATTCAGGTACCATGATCCAGACACTGTGGGCACAAAAAGAAGGAAAGGAGGAAGGAGGGGAGAAAGGGAAGAAGGAAAGAGGGGTCAAAGGGGGACGAAAGAAAAAAACTGAAAGAAAGAGGCCTCTGGCCCTAGGGGGAGCTTACAATCTTGGGTTCTGAGCAGCTATGTGGCTTTGAGCAAGTTATTTGCTTCAGTCCTGTGTGAGTCTTTAAAACGGAGCTGGACCTCCCAAAGCCACCATGAGGAATAGTAGAATGGTGTATGTAAAATGCTATTTGTAAACTATAAAGGGTTGCCAAATGCTACTTATGAATACATTCTGGCTGAAGGTTAGACCAACTGCAAGTGTGGATAGGAGCATGTGTCCCGTTTAGCTCTCCAAGTGACTTCCCACATCTTTCTTGAACCTGACCCCCAAACTCACAGGGCTTTGCTAAGAGGTTTTCTCCCTTTTTCTTTTCTGCTCTGAAACAATTTGGCGGTTGCTTTGTGCAGGCCTGAGCATCAGATTCCTTTCAGCTCCCCCCTCCTGCAGCTGTTTCTCCTTCCACCTTTCCCCAGGCAGGCCCAGCTATTGGCATAGAGGGTACCTGCCTCCTCCTCCAAGGCCTGTGAGTCTCCAGTTGGAAGCCAGAAGCCTCCAGGGACCAAGGCAGCTTACTGGAGGCCCTTGGGGAAGGAGGGAAAAGAAGATAGTCACTAAAATTAAATGAATTTTCTATAAATGTTTTTAAATTAAAATTGCAATTCTTTTTCTATGCAGAAGAGGCTCTTTAAGAACAATTGCACTCCCTGAGTGGCAGGCAAAGAGCTCAGCAGCTCTTCCCAAAGCCAGGGAGGGAAGGGAGGTGAGAGCAGAAGTTATGAGGTGACTTGTCCTTCCCTCTTTCAGGGGTAAGAAAGCAAAAAGGAGAAAGAGCAGGAAGCTGGAAGGAGGGATCTGCTTGGTGACTTCCCAGGCTGAGGCCCCTGGGAGAGGAGGCTGAATTTGTTGGGAATCCCAAGCTAGGATTTTGTGTTTTCTTTTGTTCCAAAAAGTTATGCCACCTTCTCCCTTCCTTCTCACCCCTGGAGGGTCCCAGCCACCAGCCTTGAAGCTGCAGCGAGAGCCACCCACTGCCTTGGCCTTTGGGACCCCTTGAGCAGGAGAAAAAAACCAGAAAACCAAAAGAGAGAGAGAGACCTGGAAGGAAGAAGTAATGGAGGAGGGAGACAGGGGGAACGAGAGGGGAGCCCACACCACAGAGAGAGAACTCCTTAAAGGAAGCGCAGGCGTTTACGGGACAGGAGCGCGGAAGAAAAGAGTAGAAAAGGAAAAGCAGTTTCAAGCAAGAGAAAGTAAGGAGAGGCGGACAGGGAGGGGAAGAGCCAAGAGAAGCCAAGCTGAGGGATCTGCAGCAACTTTGAGAAATAAAAGTGAACTGTCTGTGGGCGGCTGCTGTGATCTCAGCAAAAAGCGGAGCTCAAGGCTCAGGGACTCCGCCGCCCACACTGTGCCCCGCCTTATTTTGGATGCCTCCAACTTCAGCTTCAGGCACAGTACACGAGTAGGGGCAGTAAGGCCTGGCTAGGGCCGGTGCCGCACGGGAGCTGCGGGTCCCTGCAACACCCAGGTGTGCAGGCGCTACAAGAAGGAGCCGGGGCCGCTGCCCCCGCAGCGCGGACTTCGCCCCGTGCTGCACACGCTTTAGAAGAGCGTGTCCGGAAGTGTCCTCCCCGGCCCTCCTCGCTTCCCAAGATTTGTTTGCAACGTCTACACCCGTCACCACCGCATAAGCACCAGGGTGAGGAGGTCTCTTTGCAGGAATTAATATCGATTTCAGTCTCCTGCTCCTTCAAAGTTTCTCTTTGACGATGGCGAGACTTATATTCTAAGTCAGAAGAAAATAAAACCTTGCCTATTCTGGGCCCATGATTGCACAAAATCCAAAATGCTGCCGGCATGAAGATGCAGCTGGAAGACTCTAGAAACCTAGCATTAGGAGGCAGAGACTTTATAGTGCCCAGAGATGAGTTCCTAAATAAACTAAGAATTACGCAGTGGGAAATTAAGGAGGAGGGTCTGAGGGGCCGACCTCAGAGGGACAGATAGAGAAATCGAGAGCGAAACACTCAAGGAAGTGGAACAAATCGTCGTAGCCAGGCGTCTCTGCCTCTCCGGAAACCCGAAATCCGCCCAAACCTCATCCCAGGCGCTCACGGTACCAGTCGCAGGGCCCCGCACTATAGGGGCTGCCACCCTCTGCCCCCGGAGTCCCCACGCCGAGACTCATCATTTGCTGGCTCTTTCTTCCTTTTCTTCTTTTGTTTTTTTATCCTTCAAATATAAGACAAAAATACACCTCATTTATCATCATAGATATATATATTTCACTCTCACCACATAAATACAAAACATCCAAATATCCAAAACATTCAGAACAAAGTTAGTAGCCTGGATTCAGTGACACCTACCCGCGTTTGAATCGTTCATTATTTTCTTCACTATTTGCCTAGAAAAAAAAAAAAGATGAAAAAGAGGGGGAGAGTTTCCGACGTAAATAATTTACAATAAAATTACTATTTTAAAAAAGTGTTTTTCGCTTGCTTCAGATGGATGAATACATTCTAGACACTGCGGCACCTCGCAGTCTGGGTCTGTGATTTTGGTTAAAATGTGGGTGGCCGTGGCTGTAGGGACGATCGCCGCTGCGCAGGGTAAGGAAAGAGGGTGTCGCGGTTCGTGTTCTGATTTGGGACCACTGAAACCCTAAGACTGGGGAGGCGAGGGGAGTGTCTTTCCTATCAATCACACAAGACGCTATCTGGACTCCGAGACTACTGCTAGAGGAGGCCCGACCACCCAGCGGCGTCCCTGCCTCCCCTTCCGCAAAGAACTGCTCAGAAATCCAGACGTTTCCTGCGTGCAGGAAGGGTTTTGTGAATCCGGGTGTTTGGGAGAGGAGGCAATGAGTGCTGACTCGTTTTCCAAACCGAGCAATTGTGCCCGAAGCTACGCGCCTGGGAGGCCGTAGGGTGAAGCGCCGGCTGCGCAGGCTACCGCCGGCAGCCGCTTTGCTCTTTCCTGGAGGAGTGGGAAGCTGTCGGCCACCGCCCCGAACAGGCTCGGAGAAAAGATTCTGAATTTCCTTTGATTAGCGGCGTTACCTTTTCCTTTGCTTTTCCCCCATTAAATTCCTGTTTAAAGTTACAACACCCAGAACCTTAATTTTGCATTGCCCTGTGGGGCATTCTGTATCCTGAATTTTCTTACACCTTCCAAATTTCATCATTGGAAGTATTTAAAAACTGGTTCCACTTCATCTGGTTTTACGTAGCAATTGCTTTTATTGCTGATTAGATCAAATTTATCAGTGTCGTTGCCTACTACGACGTTTGTTACTGTTTCCTGGGGTCGGGGGTGGTTGTGATTGGAGTTGCCCTAAAGGGGAGAAAAACCGCAGGATTTGCCCGCCAGGAAGCTGTGTTGTGTACCGACTATCCCGAGAGGTCCGCAAAGCGGGGCCCAGGGGCTCCCACAAGCCCTGGTTTCCCTGGCAAGAGGAAGGAACGTCCTCCTTTTTTGGTCTAAAGAAACCTGGAAGCCCCTGGGGTCTGCGCGCAGTTTTCCTCTTTCAAATATTCCTAGGAATAGTCGGCAGCGGCAGCAGCCGCAGCAGCCGCGGATCTAGAGCAAACGTCCTGTGCTTTGGAGTTAGAACCAGTCTTTTCCCTCCTGGGCTGGGCACGGGGTCAGGGCATCAGGTTGACTAACTCGGGCATTTTTCCCAATTCTTTGGATCGCTCCTGGATTCAGAAGGAAGTTGGGGGTTGGGGAGGAATCTCAGAGGAAAGGTAGTAGAAAAAAAAAATAGCCCGAATGAGATGAAATTGGTAGCAGAGTCTAGTGGGAAAGGAGAGCTGTCAGAGGCCTGGTGGGAGCCAGGAGCCCAGCGCAGGAGCTCTGGGCACCTAATGCGCGTGAGTCCATAAATATCACCACAATAGATACTATAAATATAAATACAGGGAAACACTTAAAATCAGTCCAGCGCTTTTTTCTCGGCCCCTTCTTTATTGTTGGTCCGGGAGTAAGGCTCGAAGGCCGAGGAGCTCAGATATCGGGCGGAGAGTTCTTGCAAATTCCCAGCTAGCGAACCAGCCATTGTTAACGGGGCGGAGGACAGGCGGCTGGCGACGGAGCCGAGCAGCGAGGGCACCGGCAGGCTGAAGAGGCTGTGGCCCGCGGCCGGGGCGCCTGCGTGCAATCCCCCCGGCCCGGCGGGCCCGGGACCTGGAGCACCGCCCACAGCCGGCGGGTGCGGGGATGCAGCGCCCGCTGGGCCCGGGGCGGCGGCGGCGGCTGCGGCGGCCGAGCCTGCAGCGGCGCCCGCGCCCAGGGCCGGCAAGCTGGGCCCGCGCAGCGCTGAGCCGAGAGCGCCCGTGGCGCAAGGCGGCAGCAGCGCAGGCAGGCCGGGCGGCGACAACAGGCGGCCCTGCTCCAGCAGCCGTAGCACGCTGCACGTGGCCGCGGTCTCCGACACCACCGAGCGTAGCTCCGAGTCCTTGCCCTGGTCCTTCTTCTGCTTGGTGCGCCGGTTCTGGAACCAGACCTTCACCTGCGCGCCGGGGTGCGGGGAGAGTTGGAGAGAGGGGCAGGGAAGACCAGCGTCAAAGGAAGCGAGCTCCCGGGGCGCGCGGCTCCGGGGCTCTCCCCAAGTCCCAGCCCTATCCGCAGCCCCACCCAGCAGCCGGAGGGGTCCGGGCCGGGGCGCTGCTGGGGGAGCTGGCGCCGCCACGAGGGGGACACAGCTGCTCCACCGGGCTGCGCTTCCGGGTCAGGGAAGCAGGCCCAGGCAGGCGCCGCTTACACAGAACAAAGTAATAAAATGCCCACGGCAGGAACTCGAAGGAAGACCGGAAAGGGTTTCACTGGCTTCCGCGCTACCCCGCAGCGGTGTTTGGGGCTCACAGATGTGTGAATCAGTGCAGTCCCAAAGCCGGAATTTCCGGTGGAGGGTGTGAGGCCCTAGGGTGCGGGTGCGGTGAAGGAAGAGGGAAGAAGGAAGAGGGAAGTGGGAAGAGAGGCGGGGAGGGAGTATTGCCCAGCCTTTCTGGACCCAGGCCCCTGGCCCAATGCGCTCGGATTTAGTCCTAGAAGCACTACTCCTGGTGAAGGCTACAAAGGACCATTTCCTGCTTAAGACGTGACCATTAGCTAGCAGCAAGCAGGGAAAGTGGCTGCAGGAGAATAATATGTGCGGGAGACTTTATGTAGACCGAGATTTCTGCACCTCTTCTCACCAGATAGCTGCATTGAAGGGTCTGGTGATACTCTTAGTTTATCTCTCCACTGGTCTGAGTCATGAACTTGGAATCATGGGAGAAAGTCAGGAGGCTGAGGTGGATTGAATATTCCCCACTAACCTCCCCTCTCATTCTTCTGCCCCTCTGCAGGCCTAGCAGTGGCCCAGAAGAGTTTTGCAGCAATAGGCAAAGACTATCCTATCTAGATTTTATAAACTAAGAGGAGTAGTAGCAGAGAGAATAGAAAAAGCTACCATACCAACTCAAACTCAAAAAGAACACCCCTATCTGTTCTGTCAGTCCTCAGCTTTCAGCCCAGATCCCGGACCTAAAATGCTCTCCACCTGCTTCAGGGTTGGGCATGGGGAAAAGGATCAGTCTTCAGAAAGAAGGCTGCCGTAGCTAGGCCAAGCTGGTGACATGCCACTTGGCAAGTTCTTGGGTCCTCTCCTGGGCCCAGAGCCCACATGGCCAGCTCCAAGGGGCATCATATGGATTTAATGTAAAGGGAAAGATCTAAAGCACAATCAGCAGTACTGGCTTCTGGGTCCTAGATCTCCTTCCCATCACACACCTCACACATCACTGGCCCAGAAGACAGGGTCTCCTAGGTGCTCAGGGCTGGGGCCAGCTCAGAATGGGGAAAGCCTTCCTTTAAGGGTCAGGGCAGCCTGATCTGCACAGGCAGATCTCCAGGAGGGCGTACACCTAATTCCTGGGAATCACCCATGGTGCTGGGGCAGGGGGTGTTAGATCTAGCCTCACTCCTGTAGAATGGGCCTGGACGCTGAGTACAGCTGGGTGGGCCCACAAGGGGTGGGGCCTAGAAATCTAGCCAAAATGGGGTACCCCAAACAAGGGCAAAAGTCAGTTCTTTGTAGAGCAGAAGCTCGAAGGAAATGCTCAAAACCGGGGGACAATAAAAATTCCAAAAGGACAGGATTTGGGGCCTTCTGGGCCTAGGCCAAGGTGGATAAAACATGGGCCCTGGAGGATTTGGGGATGGCAGGAATGGTGGGGGGAAAGGATGTATTATCTAGGGGAAGGAATCCTTAGGCCTGTCTTACCCATCCTTCCCATCTCCTCCACCTCCCAAGGGTAGTTCTGTCCAGAGCAGGTTAGGAGGTGAAGAGCAGGCTAGGTAGGGGTGGTGGGGAGGAAGGCTGGTGCAGAACTGTGTGCGGCCTGGTCGCCGGGTACCTGGGTCTCGGAGAGGTTAAGCTGCCGGGCGAGCTCGGTCCTCTCGCGGCCCACCACGTACTGGCAGCGCTGGAACTCCATCTCCAGCCGATAGAGCTGCTCCGCGGTGAAGGACGTGCGCGTCCTCTTAGGCCGGTCCAAGTCCAGGCCCTTGGGCAGGATGATCTCTCGGATGGACCCCTTGGCATCTGGGGAAGGGGAGATGTCAGCCGCCAGAACCCTCCCGTCCCCCTCCACCTCCTTGGCCCGAGCTGGATTTGGGGACACAGTCCCCAGAAGCGTGCAGTTTTGGGGATGGGGGGCGGGGTGCGGAGCGCGACCACAACCAGGTAGCAAAGACACTGTGTGGAGGGCAAGGGGCCTAACTCCATACCGCTGACCGAAGGAGGGACCACACTTTGTCTTTTTGTAGAGTCCTCCAGACAGGGGAGAGAAAAAAATCCAATCAATTCCACATAGGCGGACGTTTCTTCCGGCCTGGGGGGGCCTCGGCTGAGCCTTCCGGGTCCCCTGTAGCCTGAGGGTACCCTTGTCGCCCCGCCCGGGTCCTGCGGGCCCCAGCTCTGGGCTTGCCGACCAGACCGTGATCCAGACGTCCCCACCCCCACCCTCGAGTCTCCTTCCCTCCGGAGTCCGCGCGGCGGAAGGAGGAGGGACTGAGTCGGGGCCGGCCGGGCCCGGAGATCTGCTGCTGGCTGGGGCGGCGCCGGGCCGGGGCCCGGCCTCGCAGCCTCCGCCGCCGGGGCTAAGTGCACGCCGCGCCATCCGAGAGCGGCAGAGCAGAGCACCAAAGCGGCAACCGCGGCTCCGTAACCAAGCCCAGCTGCCTCTCCCGGCGGCAGCGGTCGGGCACCGATCGCGGCCGTGGGGTCCTCGGCCCAGTGCACTAACTGGCAGGGCCGTAGCCCGCGATCGGCAGCTGTTCTCCGGGGCTCGCGTTCCCCCTTGGGTGCGCTCAGCCCTCCAGAGCGCGGGAGTCCCCTGGCCGGCTCCCGGCAGGTCGTCCGGCCCTTGGAGCGCGCACACCTCCTCCCGGAGTTTTCTGCTCCTTTCCCGGGTCGGAGGCCGCAGCCCGATGCCCGGCCGCACCCGCGCAGCCCCTCATCTCCCCCCGCAGCCCGGTCAGCGGGGCCCCTCCGGGCGTGGAGGGCCGAGGCCCCTGGAGAGCGCACCGGAGAGTCCCAGGCGCTTGTCCCCAGCCGGACTCGGGGCGGGGAGGGCCAACAACTTTCTCCCAAGTCCCAGCCGGCACTCCTTCCCACCGGCCTGTGTCGGCGGCAGCGCGCAGCTCCGGCCCCGGAGTCGACCCCAAAGAACGCGCCTGGCAGCCCTGCCCATCCCTACCTCGGACCAGGATCCGGCGGCAGTAATCCGGGTCCGCTGCGGAATTGGATTTACTTTTGTTACAATCCTCAGCAGCGCCCGACGCTGAGAAGGCGCCCTGCGGCTCCTTGAGGAAGGCGGCTGGGAGGTTCCCCTCCGCGCCCTTGCTCTCCCGACTCTCCTTGTGCGCGTTCTTCGAGACCCGGGCAGCCTCGGCGTCCGAGTGGCATCGAACGTCCATTTTGTCTGGTTTCCCGAACATAGGCAAGAACAACAACAAAAACAGAAAGGAAAAAAAAAGCAAAAAAAAAAAAAAGGGGGGGGGGCGGAGAAGGAAAAAAAAAAGAGGAAAAAGGGGACAAAACCCCCGACAACGCGGCCCGTACGCCCGGCCCGGCGACAGGCAAGGGGCAAGAATGAATGTCCCCGCGGGGAGGCTTCGGCGGCCGCGCGCGGGTCAGCGGCGACGGGAGAGTGGCGCGCTCGCCGAGAGGCGGCCAGTCTGGTCCAGGATCCTGGTGGAGCTGCGGCGAGGCCGCCTCGTCAGCACCCGCGTCCTCTGAGCACGTCCAGTGTCCCCAGCCTGGCGATCAGGTAGCGAACAGCGCAACTCCGAAATGCTGCGGCTCCCGCCTGTTTCTGAGACGGCGAGTTGTAGTTGTCCGACACCCGGGGGGACGCACACTCGCTGTTGCAATTGATTACGGGTAATTTCGCAGCCCCCACGTTTCGGTTACCTCATGAATACACTAAATTGTTTGGATAATATATCAGATCGTAATGGATGGTTTCTGTCCTTGTCCCCAATCAAGTAGGGGTTTAGCCAGTGAATAAACGGAAATGATTGGTCTTGCTTTCAGGAAACACACAATCAAAGACCCACACTTCCAGAAAAACTTTTGACAAGATTCATCCTGAATTGTTAGTACCATTAGCAGGCATTATTAACTTTCCTTTTGCCTTTGACCCTCCTGCTCACATACTGGCTAGAGGGGTTTTCTCCACACTCGCCAGATAGAGCTGAATGAGGGTTGGGCGGCGGGGGGGTGTGGGGGGAGAAAAAAAAAACCCTGCGCACCCTGCGGCAGAAGAAAGCAGTTGTCTGGGAGTGGGGGATGGGGGACAGAGCGGGGGGAGAAAGTTTTCCCAAAAAGTATCTCCCTTGCACTCTAAAAAAGCCAAGATTTTCCCCTAAACAACTCCTTCTTAACACACCTCGACGCAGACAGCCATCTTAAACTGCCACCTCTCTTCATTTAGTTCCAGTTGGATTTTTTCATGCCTGCACCTCCAGCAGCCCTGAGGCAGCCCATTCAAAGGGCAGCTTTGTACTCAGAGTCCAGCAGGAGAGAGAGGGGGAGAGGGAGAGACGGCCGAGAAATCTCAACTGTGAGATCTGCTTCAAAAAAAAAAAAAAAAAGTTTTCCCCTAGCTATTTCATTGTCTCTGCTACAATATCTTTGAGAAAAGCAACAGCCAGTAATCCAATAAGAGCATTGATTAGGCTACAATGATTCAATTCAAGCGCATGGCCTTGTGCAAGGAGCATGCTCCAGCCCTTCTCGTCACCTTGCCGGGGCAGAAGCCCTCTCCACGCCGCTCTCCCCATTCATTCCTTTATGGGAAATGCGGAGCAAAAGGAGTGAAAGATGGCAATTATCTAATTGGACTATTAACAAACAGTCCTCTGAGTGCGGCGGTCTGGCGTGGCTCCTGGGCGGGGGAAGGGCCGTGTTCCCTGCCCTCATTCACAAAGAGTGCAGGGGCCGGGGAGGAAAGGGGTTTTTTAAAGGGGGTGGGTGGGGGGAGAGGAGAGGTGGGAGGTTTGGCTGAGAATTTTTCCACACAATTCCAAGAATGGGGCGGAGGCGGGGGGAGGGGAGGGGGTTGGGGAGGGGGTCGCGGCGAGCGGGTGGGAGGAAGGCCGGGAGGGGGAGGGGTGCGAGTGTGTGTGGCGGGCCCCTAGGGGCTCCAGCTCGCAGCGACGCGCGCACCGTCCGCACCTCCCGCCCCGCCGCCACCTCCCCTGCCTCCGCCGCCACCCCGCGGGACCCCTCTACCGTCCCAAGCCAGGAGGGGGCCCCCTGAGCGGGGTCTTTCGCGCTGTCCACCCAGCCA
Source organism: Homo sapiens (assembly GCF_000001405.40). NCBI lineage: Eukaryota > Metazoa > Chordata > Mammalia > Primates > Hominidae > Homo > Homo sapiens. Next base: position 117,139,913 of record NC_000010.11, read on the forward strand.
CCCCTCCAGCCACTTAGGGGCACCCAGGTTTGGCCCAGCTCCGGAGGGCATCTCTGGCCCTGCAGGCCGACATCAGGCTTCCACTTTAGTTGACTGGGCGGAGCGGTGGAACTGTCCCGAGCTACTCTCCGCAGGGCGGCGGGTTTCCAGGGTCCCCAGCGGGCTGATCGCCCCTCAGCCCGGCTTCGCTGCGCACGCTGCCCTCGAAGTCCGACGCCGACTGGGCGCCCGGGGAAAGTGCCTTTGATTACGAGCTCTGCTCCGGCGGGTTGGTGAGGCGGGTGGGAGCAGAGACGGGTAAGAGGGGTAAGGGACTTTGCGGCCACCCTGTTCTGAAGATGTAGAGTGGGATTGTGTTAAAATCCGGCGAACTCTCCTGTTACCTCCCGCAACGCTCAAAAGCCCAGACTGGCGCCTTGAGGCACCGAGGGCTTTGCTCCCATGCGGCCAAGCCGTCGGGGGTGCAGCCGCCGGGTCTTGACTCCCACTACCGCGTCGCGGGTGCGGGTCCCTGGGATTCGGGTCCTCCTGATGGGGGTCCCTGCAGCAGATGGGGCATTCACTTCCCTGCAGAGCTCGGCCCGAGGGAGCTCCTGGGCCTCCTTGGGCAGGGAGGGGTGCGACCGAATTCCCTGGCACACCGGCCCTTCCTTGCCCCCTACCCTGGAGGGGTTGGAGGGGTCGGACCCTCGGACTACGCGAGATCGGGTGCGCAGGAGGATTCTAGGCCTTCCTCAGCCCTTTAGGAGCCCTGCAGGCGGCGGAAGTCCCAAACCGCAGCCTTGGCCCAAATGGGACCCAGATGGCTCTGGGTCCCCGGCCCGGCCGCACCCCTCTGTACGGCCTCCTTCTGTCGGTGAAGGCCGCAGCGGCCTGGGAAACCCATGCGGACACCTGCGGCGCCCGGTCAAAGACCTGGAAGAAAGCTTTTTAAAAAATAAAAATGGCCCAACCCATTACATTTTCTTTTAGGTAGATGGGGGAGCTGGGGGGCGGGGCGGGGGCAGTCAGGGAACAAACAGCTGCCCTTAGAAATGACACGCCCTGTGGGCAATGGCGGCGCTGGGACGTCTGCAGCCGCATTCACTGCCACAGAGAACGGCCAAAGTATGGCCAAATCCCAAATGCAAATTTTAAGTTTGGCCTCGGAAATTTCTGCCCTCCCTCATCTTGTGGCATATTTTGTTGTAAGGGGGAACTATTTGTTTGTTTGTTTGTTGTTTGTCTGAGACGGAGTCTCACTCTGTCGCCAGGCTGGAGTGCAATGGCGCGATCTACGCTCACTACAACCTTCGCCTCCCGAGTTCAAGAGATTCTCCTGCCTCAGCCACCTGAGTAGCTGGGACTACAGGCGCGCGCCACCACGCCCAGCTAATTTTTGTGTTTTTATTGGAGACAGGGTTTCACCATGTTGGCCAGGATGGTCTCGATCTCTTGACCTCGTGATCCGCCCGCCTTGGCCTCCCAAAGTGCTGGGATTACAGACATGAGCCACAAAGCCCAGCCTGTTTGTTTGTTTTTTAAACTTACTTATTTTTGAGACAGGTTCTCGCTCTGTCGCCCAGGCTGGAGTGCAGTAGCACCATCACGGCTCACTGTAGCCTCGAATTCCCAGGCTCAAGCGATCCTCCCACCTCAACCTCCTGAGTAGCTGGGAGTACAGACGTGAGCCAACGTGTCCAGGGGAATTATTTATGAAGCAGTCACTTACTGGATGCATAAACTCACTTAATCTGAACTCCTCCTTCAGAGATGTAGTAATATTCCGGTTTTATAGGTGAAAGAATGGAGACTCAGAGAGACGTTCAGTAACTTGCCCAAGTCACACAGACTGGTATGAGCAGAATTTGAATTGACTTCTGCCTGACTTCAAAGCTATTTATGCTCTTCTTTGCCACACCCCACAAGACTGCCCCATTTTTAGTTCCAAACCCATACTTGCTTTGAATTTTCCAAATCTTCAGGTGATCATGTGTGTATCAAAAAGACACAGAGCAATGACTTTAATGTTAATGCGAGGAATCCTTATTATTAGACATCAATTTTCACAAATTTTATCTAAACAACAGTAAGTAGAAATGGAATCATGAAATTCTTGTTTCTGATGATGCTATTTATTTCTGGCCATGAGCATTTATTAGGAGTTTATCACTCATCTACTAGCTGATTGGGGGTGAGTAAAAAATCATTTCCTGGGTTTCAAACTTACAGAATGATCATCTGAGAGCAGTGTCCAGGAATTTGCATTTCTAGCTGGCTCACCAAAGGATCTTTCACAAATTGAGTTAGATAACTTCACCTTTTAAACTTCGGTGACTCTGCTAAGCTTCCTGCGGGCAGGGACTTCCATCCCTCCCTCCTTACTGGACATGAAAATGCTTATTGAGGAAAGGCATAAAATGGGATATTCTGGCTGGGCACAGTGGCTCATGCCTATAATCCCAGCACTTTGGGAGGCTGACGTGGGCCGATCGTTAGGAGTTCGAGACCAGGCTGGTCAACATGGCAAAACCCCCGTCTCTACTAAAAATGTAAAGATTAGCCAAGCATGGTGGCACGCACCTGTAATCCCAGCTACTCGGGAGCCTGAGGCAGGAGAATCGCTTGAACCTTGAAGGTGGAGGTTGCTGTGAGCTGAGATCATACCACTGCACTCCAGCCTGAGTGACAGAGCAAGACTCCATCAGAAGAAAAAGAAGAAGAAGGAGGAGGAGGAGGACGAGGAGAGGGGGAGGGGGAGGGGGAGGAGAAAATGGGATATTCTGGGAAAACAACGAATTTAATTAAGCAGACATTTACCAAGAGTTTGGAGGTGCCAGGACCCAGGTAGCCCCTAAGGCATACAGGGCCTCATCTCTGCATCATCATAGACAAACCCAGTAATTAAGAGAACTCACTGGCTTTAGGTTAGTCATGGCTTCAGGTTGGCAGCACAAATGAAATAACCAAATTAAAAAAGAAAGTCAACTCTTAACTTGGTTTTGCTTTTTGTTATACATGGTACTTTTTTCTTTTTTTCTACTCCCTTTCTTCCTTCCTTCCTTTCTTTTTCATTTCTTTTTTCTTTCTTTCTTTCTTTCTGTGTGTGTGCGTGTGTGTGTGTGTCTGGATTAAAATTCTGTGGGCATCCATCCAGAAAAACCATGACAGGTTTCTGAGAGGACACAGTGGAGGACGGAAGCCCTGGGATGGAAATTTCAGAAAAGCAGCTGCTAGTCCCAGAAAAAAACTAAAGCTGTGTGCTCACTGGCAAAGAAAGAAGAGAACTCAGTCAATTATTTGGATAATCTGAGACAAGCCTGTACTGCACAACACACACAAGGACACAAGGCTGCACCAGGTGAAAGTGTTTTATTCTCTTGACTAAATTTGCCGCCCTCCCCAGTGCCCTTCCTGCCCCCACATCACTGTCTGCAGGTGCAGACAGACCCAGAATAGAACTGTAGCACTGGAAGGATTTTTAGAGATCATCTATTCCATAACCTTCATTTGACTTGACAGATGAGAAAAATGAGCCCAGAAAGACAAAGCAACTTGTTAAGGATTAGACAACTAGTTAGTGGGGGCCTCTGTGCTACATTCCTGGTCTCCTGACTCAAAGCTACATTCCCACCTCCACCCAGGCTTCTTGAAACCCGAACAAGATGCACTGTCTGGGGTTGGGTGAAATGATGCCATCAAAATGAGCTAAATCACAATCTGAGCTTTGGGGATGCTTTTCATATTCCCTGCCCCCGCCTACTTGCTTCCAGTCACAGAAAGCAGGATCCGAGGTGGCACAGAGTGCTTTCCTTTTCCATCTTCACTTTTTATTTCAGAAAGAAGTAGGAGGGGACAACTTGCAGGCAGAAAAAAAATCTGAGATTATCCTAGATTATGAGCGGTTTAGGGACAGCATAACTTAATGTCTGAGACACCATTTTAAGAAGGACTGCATCAGAAGAGATGATACAATCAGAAATTAAGTTTCTGTAACAATGAATCAGGGTACCTGATAACAATAATTAATTAAAGGGAAGAACACTTAGCATTTATACAGAGACTTTCATCTCTAATCAAAGTTGCCAGTGGTGATGAATTCAATCTCATTGAATTATCACTATTCCCATTTCACAGAAAATAGTCGGGATATTGGGGAAGCACTTGAAATAAGAACCAATGTTGACTATCCAAAGTGGAAAATGCAGCCATATATCCAGATATTTCTTACCAATTATAGCTAGAGTATTAGCCAATGTGTAGACAGCTAAATTCTGAATTATTCTGTCTACAAGTCAAGCAAAAAATCCCATTGGCCTCCATTTCTCAACTTAGCATTTTGTACCAAGAAACTATTTCATCGATTACATATACATTTTGTACTTGGAAACATCATACAATTTTAGAGTTAAAAGGAACCCCATTAATTCTATAGGCTCACTTATTCAACAAATCATACAAACATGGGTTTTGGAGTTAGTCAGGATTCCTGATTTATAGATCCATACCCCAGGTCCCTTACCTGTTAGGCATGTGGCTTTAGCAGGTCAGTTTCCTTCCCTGTGCCTCATTAGTCTATCTGCAGAATAAGGTTAGCTTTGATACTGTAGGGTTGTTATGTAACAAAAGTGCTTAAAACAGTGCTCGACACACAGTGAACACTGTCAATAAATATTTGCTATTAGAGTCTTTATTTGAGCATCTCTTATGGAGCCATAGAACCCGGGTGCATTGTGTTAAATAGAACCAGAGATACCAAGAAGGAACTAAGAGTCAACCAAGGTAACTGATTGGTCCAGGTACTCCATGGCAAAGCTTGATTGGCTTCATACTTATTCAATACTGTAAAACAGTAATGAACAGCTTGTGCTTATTAAGGACTTACTGACTAGCATTATCTCATTTACTTCTCATAACAGCACTTTGAGAAAAGAAGAATTATGTATACCCATTGTGTTGAATTAAAAATAGCTGTAAATCTTTTGCCATACTTCCCATCAAGAGGTAGAGTCTATTCCCTTTTGCTGAATTAGGTGGAGCTTTGTGACATGCTATAATCAATAAAATGAAGTGGAAGTTGTGCTTGTTCTGTCTGGGGCTAGGCTTTAAAGAGGTCTGGTAGTTTTTGTTCTTGCTCTCTCATAGAACCGAGCTGCTATGCTGTAAGGAAGGCAGTCTAGACTGTGAGAGGAAAAGAGGCTACATAAAAACTGAAGCACCCCGGCTGACAGCACCAACTTCCATTCATGTGAATGAGATCATCTTTGATGTTCCATTTCCAGCTGAATTCAGCCTTATGAGGGTTCGTGATAATACCATGTGAGGCACGGATGAACCACCCATGCTGAGCCCTGTCCAAATAGAATCTGGAGAAAACATAAGGTGGTTTTGTTTTAAGCTACTAAGCTTTGGGTAGGTTTGTTATACAGCAATAGGTAACTGAAACATCCATATTGTGAATGAGAAACTGAGGCTCAGAAAGGCTAAGCAACTTGTCCATGGTCAGGAGCTAGGAAGTGAGACAACCTAGATTCAAACCCAGGACCATCTGACACCAAAAGCCATGATCATAACCAGCGAACTACACAGTGCCTCCTATGGAATAACCAAATTCTGAAGAATAATTCACAAATTAAATTTTTGTTCTTTCCTTATTTCAGACATTACCTAATGTAGGCTGAACTAATAAAAATCATAACATGTCAGTCTTAAAACCATAAAGAATAAAAATGTTAGAGTTAGAAATGAAGGGTCGGGCATGGTGGCTCAAGCCTATAATCCCAGCACTTTGGGAGGCCAAGGTGGGAGGATCACCTGAGGTCAAGAGTTCGAGACCAGCCTGGCCAACATGCTGAAACCCCTGTCCCTACTAAAAATACAAAAAAAAAAAAAAAAAAATAGCTGGGCATGGTGGTTCATGCCTGTAATCCCAGCTACCTGGGAGATTGAGGCAGGAGAACCGCTTGAGCTGGGAGGCAGAGGTTGCAGTGAGCCAAGATCGAGCCATTACACTCCAGCCTGGGGAACACGAGCGAAACTTCATCTCAAAAAAAAGAGAAAGAGAAAGAGAGAGAGAGAAAGGAAGGAGGGAGGGAGGGAAGGGGAGAGAGAGAGAGGAAAGAAAGAAAGAAAGAAAGAAAGAAAGAAAGAAAGAAAGAAAGAAAGAAAGAAAGAAAGAAAGAAAGAAAGAGAAAGAAAGGAAGGAAGGAAGGAAGGAAGAAAGAGGCAAAAGTGATCTCTGCCAAGATCTCACCTCTTGAAATTGAAAGGAGGCATCTCACTGGAAGGTGGGTACAGACCTCTAAATTTTCTTTCTGTTTTTCAAAAACAAAGATGAAAATGAACACGTTCTGCTCTCACCTTTAGGAAACCAGAGATACATTAACACTTAGGGTGGTGAATGGAAATTGACAACAGGTGGTTGGTTGTCTCTTTGAAATTCTCCAGATGAAGCATTCTGGGAGAAAAAAAAAAAGGTTGATTTTATTACAACATTTTCTGGGTCACAAAGAATTTGAGGTTTTCTAGGAAACCTGACTTATAAATGTGTATCTTTCTAACAGGAGTACATTTGTGTTTCAAAGCGTCTTTAAACCCATCATTTTCTAAAATTTCTTACTGCATGAAAAGCTGCTGGAGCCATTTATTCAACAAGCAGGTAGTGACACCTACTCCATGCAAGTCTCTAAGAACTCCCTGTATCAAAATCATGAAGTATTTTTATTTCAGTGTGTAGGAATGCTTGCTCAGAAGTCACTTATTTTATAAACCTCACCCCATCCAGAAGAGAGCCCCAACTGGAAAAGGAAGAAGACAGTGCCACTGAGCAGTTAAAATCGGCATATCACAGAGTCTGTACATTTCAACTTGAGTTCTTTGCTCATAGGGGACCTTCTCAGTCCCTCATTCAAAGTCTATTCATGTTTATTTTTATTTTGTTTTTGAGACAGAGGTTTCGCTCTTGTTGCTTAGGCTGGAGTGCAGTGGCTCACTGAAACCTCTGCCTCTCGGGTTCAAGAGATTCTCCTGCCCCAGTTTCCCAAGTGGCTGGGATTGCAGGAACACACCACCACACCCAGCTAATTTTTTTTTTTTTTTTTTTTTTTGAGACAGAGTCTCACTCTGTCCCCAGGCTGGAGTGCAGTGGCATGATCTTGGCTCACTGCAACCTCCACTTCCTGTGTTCAAGTGATTCTCCTGCCTCAGCCTCCCAAGTAGCTGGGATTACAGGCACCTGCCACCACGTCCAGCTAATTTTTATGTTTTTAGTAGAGACCAGGTTTCACTTTGTTGGCCAGGCTGGTCTTGAACTCCCAACCTCAGGTGATTCACCTGCCTCGGCCTCCCAAAATGCTGGGATTACAGGCATGAGCCACTGTGCCTAGTCTATTCATGTTTATTTTTGACCTAATTCTAACCAGTATAATTCTCCCATTTCCCAGCCTGCAGTAGATTAGCGGCAACAAATGGGAAGGGAGAGTTGTGTTTGGAGCAGGAACACTGAAGACAGTAAGAATATCCACCAACAGCAAGTTTTGGAGAGGGATAAAAAAAAAAACAACTGACTCAAAAAAGCATCAGGTTCTGGGGTCACTTTGGTTGGATACAAGTAACTGCAACCTCAAGTGCTCTTGAGGGCATGAATGCAGTAGAATGCAGTGTGGCAGTGGATATTCAGGAAGTGACCCTTAAAAGATTACATTGCATTTCGTTTAAGAAGGCAGAGAAGCACATAACTCATTTCAGAGGTAACATAAAACAAACTCAGAAAAATTATGTATGTGACACCTTATTCCTTTACAGTAAAGGAGAAGTCACTGCAATTTTATAGTCGATTGTTGTACCACTGAGCTCTATCCCCCAACACCGTAATTTTGAAGAGCAGAACTATACCCATGTGAAAACAATGCAAGCAACATGGACTTTCCTTGGTTCACTACTTAAAGCTGTCCAAGGTGAGATGTTTGATGAAGGAATACAGAACTGAGCATGAGCATATTTTCATCCCCAGGTATTTTGTGTTGGCTCCCCTGAAACACAGGTAAAGGGATGAAAAGCAGAGATGAAATGACCCATCCAAGATCTCTCAGCAAAACCATCAGCCCAGACAAGAAAAGAAGACCCAGAGGGAGGGGAATACCTGGTACATGGTGGGCACTCGCTAATATTTACAAAAGGGGGGAAGAAAACAGAAAGACTATTAGCTATTTGTGAGAAAGCATTTGTTCTAAGAGTTTGCCAAGACTCTCAGCTGTAACAGAAGCAGAGACCTGTGGTCACAGGGTCACAGATGGCTGTAAGTGGCTCTGGAACCCGATGTGATCCAAATGAAAGAAACAGTCTCCAAGGAATGAAGCAATGGTGGGAACACCCCCATCTCCCTACAATGAGCAAGGAGGGATGGCATTTAGGAACAGGAGATGTTAATATAAAGTGTGTTGAGTAACTTCTAAATACTACTACTTAGTTCTCCTGTGGCACTTTCCCACTTCAAAAGCGCTTTACAAACATTAACTAATTAAATCAGCATGACTTCTGGAAGGGAAAATTGAGCCTCTTTAATCTGTTTGAATTCTCAGAAAAAGCTAATAAAATTAAGGTATAATGTTCATGAAAAGGAGTACACAGAACCATAAACAGCTTTTGTAAGGGATTAAATATCGAAGTGTGGTGGTGGCATTTGATGAGCTCAGAAGCTATTTATGGCGATGTTATGTGACTGCTCCAACATCAACCACTGAAGACTGAGTTGCAAATACCATGCAGGCTCTCTGGAAGGAGCCTGTGGCTGGCTGTGGTCACCTGTCATAAGGTGTTTTTTTGTTTGTTTGTTTGTTTGTTTCTGGGCAGGACCCTGAGCCCTGGGCTGATGGAAGCAGGAAGGAGGAGGACATCTGCCTCGTGGGCCAACCAAGCTCTATTCACCATTTTTACAGAAGGAGTCAGCTAAAGAGGTGCAGGGGTCAGACACCTTCCCAGTGCCCTGCCTACCAGAGCTCAGAGCTGGGAAGGTGTCTGATCTCCCTGGTCTAGAGCAGGACAATTTGCTTCCATTCAGCTACTTGGTTGCTGCTGCCACTTCAGAAATGTTTTTAAATAGTCACAGTGAGTAAAATAGTAAAATAGTCACTCTGTCACCCAGGGTGGAGTGCAGTGGCATGACTTTGGCTTACTGCAACCTCCACCTCCTAGGTTCAAGCATTTCTCATGTCTCAGCCTCCCAAGTAGCTGGGGTTACAGGCGTGCACCACCATGCCTGGTAATTTTTGTATTTTTAGTAGAGATGGGGTTTCGCCATGTTGGCCAGCATGGTCTTGAACTCCTGGCCTCAAGTGATCTGCCTGGCTTGGCCTGCCAAAGTGCTGGGATTACAGGCATGAGCCACTGCGCCTGGCCTTCCCACTGTGTTCTTAATCTGGACAAATTATTTTGCTTGCTTTTATGTTTTGCCACTTTTTTTTTTTTTTAGAAGTAAAAGGGAGACTTTGTGATTCTCTAGTGAAGGAAACAGAAGGCAATCAGTTGAAAGTGCACAGGAAGGGGGAGTTTTGGTTTGCTGTATAAGAATTCCTGGGATTCGGCATTCTGCTGGTCCTGTTTTTGACCTCGGCCATAAGTATACCACAGTACTGGCCACTCATTCAAACTGCCCTTCATGACTTGGAATCCCAGTGACTCAGAGGACTACCCTTTCTGAGGAAGATGTGGAGTTGAAGCAAAGACAATTATTTTATAGCTGTAAATGGAAGCTACAGGAAAAGGGGAAGAAAATAGAGTCAGAGGTTTAAGAGGCTATGCTATTGCTCCAAGTGGGTCACTGAAAAGCTGAGTGACCCCAGGCAAGACCCTACCCCATGTGACCTTCACTTTCTTGCTGAAGCAGGAGGCAGGTCAGGGTGATCCCAAGGGTCCTCCTGGCTCTAACATTCTCAGATTCTGTGATCACACATGGTAAGCCTAAGGGAGTTGGGTGCTTAGGCAGAGATTACATGCTTGATGGTAGAGTCACCAGGCTCTGTAAATTATATGACTGCAGTTGGGTATTTAGACAAGCTGGCCCAAAGGTGGAGTAGGTGACTTTCCATGTGCTGTTACCAAAAACATATCCCCTCTGCAATATCTACCATTACTGTCATTCTGAGGCACCAAGGCCGCAGGAAAAACACAAATAGGTCACGTCACAGAACAATAACTCTGAGCATCTTCCAAGATGACGACATGGATTAGTTTAAAGCAGAGGCTGAAAACCTGAGCCAAATCCAGTGTGTGGTTTTGGGTTCTGTTTGGTCATTGAATTTTCTTTCATTTTAAAACATTTGAGTTAATTTCCACTATGTTAAGAATAAGCGTATTGTATTAGTTCATTCTCACATTGCTATAAAGAACGACCTGAGACTGGGTAATTTATAAAGAAAAGAGACTGGGTGCAGTGGCTCACGCCTGTAATCCCAGCACTTTGGGAGGCCGAGGCGGGCAGATCACAAGGTCAGGAGATCGAGACCATCCTGGCTAACATGGTGAAACCCCGTCTCTACTAAAAAATACAAAAAATTAGCCGGGTGTGGTGGCGGGCGCCTGTAGTCCCAGCTATTTGGGAGACAAGGCAGCAGAATGGCGTGAACCTTGGAGGCGGAGCTTGCAGTGAGCCAAGATCACGCCACTGCACTCCAGCCTGGGCGACTGAGACTCCGTCTCAAAAAAAAAAAAAAAAAAAAAAAAGAAAGAAAAGAAAAGAGGCTGGGTTTAATGTGTTTAAAAACACTTCTAAAATTAGCAATATGGCCCGGTGCAGACTCGCACCTGTAATCCCAGCACTTTGGGGTGCCGATCCTGAGGTCAGGAGTTCAAGACCAGCCTGGCCAACATGGCGAAACCCCACCTCTACTAAAAATACAAAAATTAGCCAGGCATGATGGCAGGCGCTCATAATCCCAGCTTCTCAGGAGGCTGAGGCAGGAGAATCACTTGAGCCCAGGAGGCAGAGGTCGCAGTGAGCCAAGATGGTGCCACTGCACTACAGCCTGGGTAACAGAATGGGACTCCATCTCAAAAAGAAAGAAAGAAAGAAAGAAAAAATAAAAGAGAAGAGGTTTAACTGGTTCATGGTTCCACAGGCTGTACAGGAAGTATGTCTGGGTGGCCTCAGGAAGCTTAAAATCATGGCAGAAGGCAAAGGGGAGGCAAGCTCGTCTTACCATGTGGAGCAGGAGAGAGAGTGAAGGGGGAGGCACTACACACTTTTAAACAACCAGATCTTGTGAGAACTCACTCACTATCATGAGAACAGCAAGGGGAAAATCTGCCCCCATGATCTAATCACCTCCCACCAGGTCCCTCCTTCAACACTGGGAATTACAATGCAACATGAGATTTGGGTGGGGACACAGAGCCAAACCATAACAGGTATTTTAGCTAAAAACTTGAATTCCCAGTTTGTGTGTGTGTGTGTGTGTGTGTGTGTGTGTGTGTGTGTCTTTTAACACAAATGACATGGTTGCACTGGGCTCATTTTTTCATGTCAATAGTCAGCTGGAGGAGCTGGAGGCCAGGCGCAGTGGCTCACGCCTGTAATCCCAACACTTTGGGAGGCAGAGGCGGGTGGATCACCTGAGGTCAGGAGTTTGAGACCAGCCTGACCAACATAGTGAAACCCCGTCTCTACTAAAAATACAAAAATTAGCTGGGCGTGGTGGTGGACGCCTGTAATCCTAGCTACTTGGGAGGCTGAGGCACCAGAATTGCTTGAACCTGGGAGATGGGGGTTGCAGTGAGCCGAGATTGTGCTGCTGCACTCCAGCCTGGGCAACAGAGTGAGACTTTGTCTCAATAAAAAAAAAAGTCAGCTGGAGGTGAGGGGTGACCACCCCTCCTGAAGGGGCCTGTGTGCTCCAGGTCCCCATGAGGCTGGCCTGGTCACTCACATGACCTGTTTGAGCCTTGAGGCATCTGAATCTAAGATGATATCATGAAGAACAGGCATTCTAAATATTATATCTATCAAGTTGGGCAGCACGAGAAGGTGGGGGTGTAAGCTCTCTTTTCTCCCAGGAGCTAACAAAGTGGAAGTGCCTCAGTGGCACCCTTGGGTTCTCACTGCTTGCTGCTCTTGAAAAAAAAAAACAACCAACATCTAACAAGACTGCCCCATCTGGTTTGCACCATCGTTAGAGTACTTAGAACCCAAGTCACATCAGAAAAGCCCTGTGCTGGGGGAAGGGCCTTGAAGCAGAATGACCTCCCTCTCTTCTTCCTCCCCAGTTTAGAGATCCAGCCACCATGAAGCCAAGGAATGTAAGGGAACAAATGACAGGCAAGTGGTGAAAACAACACGAACAGCCACATCCACCCCATGTGTTATGAGTCAGCAAGAGCTTTCACAATCATCTCCCCACTGCCTGTCCGATTTTACAGATATGGAAACTGAGGCTCAGCGGCCCCAGAGTGACAAGGCTGGAGAAAACAGAAATAGGATCAGGAGAACAGCCTATATCTTCTGTTGCAAGGCCTGTGTTTCTGCACCCAGAGAGTTGGTGGCAGACACAGTGGACTGGTGTTTACCCTGACCAGATGGGGAACAGTGAGAGAACACGGGCATGTGTCCCTGGAGGCAAAGGTGAGTTCTTTAGCTCCAGGAGAAGAGCAAAGAAGAAAGATGAAGGCAATAACTGCCCCGGAGAGGAAAATTCCAGCCCTGTTTCAGTCCTGTGGCAGGGAAGAAGGATTAAAAACAGCAAAATTGCACAGATCAATTCACTTGACAGCAGTTCAACATTCCAGTTAAAATTTTCTTTAAAGAACAAATCTTTGCATGTCAAAAAGGAGGAGAGGGACAGAAAAGCAGAACTGGGACTGTATAGCACAGTGGCTCAGAAATGAAGAGACAGGCACTGCCACACCAGGATGATCACTCAAGGGTGTGACCGGAGAAGAACAAGAGAAGCAGACTGTTCTGACAGACGTGGCACCAAGGAGAGAGAGGAGTAACAGCTGACGATGAGCCAGGGAACAGGGTCTGATGACAACCCTGGGAAGGCAGGTCCAGAGAATGGAGTCACCACTGACAGGAAACATGCTCAGAACATCTGGCTTCTCCCTTGCTTTCTAACACTGGTGTTTTTGTGCAAGTAAAAATAAGATTCTCTCCTCTACAGTCTCTCTGCCCAAGCCAGACTACCCTGTGTGCTGCCCCTAGACACATAGCCTGTCTCCTCCAAGCCTGTCTCCCCGAGAACTTCTTCTCCTCTTCCGTCCCCTTGCATCTGCCCATTAATTTTGGCACCTCTCCAAGCCACCTTTTCCTGCAGTGACATTTTCCTTCCAGATGTCCTATCAGGAGTTCTAAAATTTTGCATTATTGCTGTTATTCACTAAATGTAACTAAACCTGCTTTACTAACACTAATACAAACAGTTAACACTAAAATAGTATCCTAACGGTCTTACATATATTAACTCATTTAATCTTTGACCACAACTCTACGAGGCAGGGACTATGACTAACTCCATTTAACAGGTAAAAAAACTGAGGCAAACAGAGGTTAAATGATTTGTCCAAGGCCAGCCAGCTGGTAAGATGGTGTGTATGTCAGTCTGCTGGGGCTGCCACAACAAAATACCACAGACTAGGTGCTTAAACAACAGACATTTATTTTCTCATTGTCCAGGGGCTAGAAATCCAAGATCAGGGTGCCATTAGAGTTGGTTTCTAGTGAGGGCTTTCTTCTTGGCTTATAGATGGCTGTCTCCTCCTTATGTCCTCACATGGCCTTTCCTCTGTGCCCATGAGGAAAGAAAGAAAGATCTGGTGTCCCTCTTCTGAAAAGGACACCAGCCATATTGGATTAGGGGTCCACCTTTATGACCTCATTTAAACTTAATCTCTTCCCTAAAGGTTCTGTCTCTAAATACAGTCATATTGGGGGTTAAGACTTCAACATATGAATTTTGGAGGAACATAATTCAGTCCATAACAGTGTGGAATGACTTTTTTTTCATTCATTCATTTACTGAGCAACTAAGAATTGCCACTCTTAGGTTAAATGGCTGGAGACATAGCAGTGAAAAAGGCAAACATTGGCTTTGTTCTTAAGGACTTTTTTTTTTTTTTTTGAGACGGAGTCTCCCTCTGTCTCCCAGGCTGAAGTGCAGTGGCACAATCTCAGCTCATTGCAACCTCTGCCTCCAAGGTTCAAGTGATTCTCCTGCTTCAGCCTCCTGAGTAGCTGGGATTACAGGCATGCACCACCATACCTGGCTAACTTTTTTGTATTTTTAGTAGAAAAAGGGTTTCACCATGTTAACCAGGCTGGTCTCGAGCTCCTGACCTCAAGTGATCCGCCCACCTCAGCCTCCCAAAGTGCAGGGATTACAGGCGTGAGCCACCGTGCCTGGCTTAGGAATTTAAGTCTAGAGGGAGAGGGTAGCAGCAGGCAAGGAACAGGTAAACACATCAATCAGCTGGATAATTCAGACAGTGTTAAGTGCTACAAGGTCATAGAATGTGTGACTGGGACTGTTTTGGCCAAGCATGTGCAGAACCAGGGAAAGAGATTCCCAGGCAGAACAAAGACAAGGGCAAGGGCCTTGAGGCAGGAATGTGTAGCATATTAGAGGAACCGAGGAAGGCTCCTTTGGCTGAGTCAAGGAGAGAGTGAAAGAAGAGCTTGGAAAGGAAGCAGGCAACAGGCCATAGAATGGCTTCGTAGGCTACGAGAGGGAGTTTATATTTATTCTAAGAGCAATGGGCAGCCACAAGAGTTTGCGATCTGATCAATGCTTTTAAAAGACCCCTGTAGCAGTGTAAAGATACCTCATAGCAATGTAAGAGTGCAAATAGGGACCCCAGTGAGGAGGCTCTTCGTTCGTTCACCCAGCAAATATTTAAGGAGCACCTACCTGCCACATAATGTGCTGAAACCCACTCTCAGGGAGCACAGAGCCTCCTGGGTTGCAGGATGGGACCTCACCTGCCATATGTGCTCCTAGTGCGGGATACTTCTAATCTTCCACTGAAATGTCAAATGAATCAAGACATTCCTGAGGGCTAAACTTTGTGGTCCAGGCTGCCTGTGGGGAAGGAGGTCAGAAGAAAGAAAGCGCTGGCCGGGGTGAGAGCCAGACTGTGCCCATGGCAACTTTGAAGATGTGGAACTCAATCCTGGCATTCAAAGATGAGCATAGGAGAGAAGCAGGTGCCTTTCTTCCAATGGCTGCAGAACCATGTCTAAACACCTCCCCATGCACATATGTATTTATAAACAACACTTCAGGCTGAGCACCAGCTCATGCCTGTAATCCAGCACTTTGGGAGGGAGAGAAAGGAGGATCGCTTGGAGCCAGGAGTTCCAAATCAGCCTGGGCAATGTAGTAAGACCCCTGTCTCTATAAAAAATTTAAAAAATAGCTGCACGTAGTGTTGCACACCTGCAATCCTAGTTACTCAAAAGGCCGAGGCTGGAGGATCACTTGAGCCCAGGAGCTTGAGGCTGCTGAGAGCTACAGTTGCACTACCACGCTCCATCCTGGGTGAGAGAGCAAGGCCTTATCTCAAAAAAAAAATTTTTTTTTAAAGAACACATGATACTGTTAGAGTACTTTCAAATATAACTACATAAATGTCTCATGAAAGTACACATAACAGATGTGCTGGTTCCTTATGTTTTCCATCTGAATAAATACAATGCTCCTTCAGTTTAGACCCAACCAGGAAACCTGTACCATAGCCCTGCCTGACTCTACGCTTCCCCTTCCACCCTCAGTCAAGGGCGGCTGGGGAATGTCCTGATGCACAGGCAAGGGGCAGAAGTGCGCAGATGCAGCCCATAGCTAGAAGGTAGACATGGCAGGACCTGCTGTTGGATTGAGTATGAGGGAAAGGGGAATCCAGGATGACTGCAAGATCTACAGAGGACAAAGGAAATACACATTGAGGGGGAGTGGAAACAATTAAGATCTAGGCACTAGCTTAGCTACTAAGAGGCTGTTTGATTCTAGGCAAGCATTTCTCTGTCTAGATCTCAGTTCCTCATCCCGAAAATGAGACTTCTAAAACTCAATAACTGGCCGGGCACGGTGGCTCACGCCTGTAATCCCAGCACTTTGGGAAACTGAGGTGGGCGGATCACTTGAGGTCAAGAGTTGGAGACCAGTCTAGCCAACATGGTGAAACCTCGTCTCTAGTAAAAATAAAAAATTAGCTGGGCATGGTGGCGGGCATCTGTAATCCCAGCTACTTAGGAGGCTGAGGTAGGAGGATTGCTTGAACCTGGGAGGTGGAGGTTGCAGTGAGCCAAGATTGTGCCACTGCTCTCCAGCCTAGACAACAGAACAAGACTCTATCTCAAAACAAAAACAAACAAACAAAAAACCTCAATAACCAAACTATATATGTTATAATATTTAATATCCACCAAAATTTATAGAATGAGATGACAAACATTTGTATAACCACCACTGAGCATAAGACACACAGCACACCAATGGAATTGAAGGCCCTCTGTGTACCCATTCCTATGGCACTCCCTCCCTCCTGCCCCCACCCCAGATAGAATGATACTACCATGCTACTAAATCTGGCATTTATTATCTCAAGTGCCCTCTTAAGGTTTAATAATAATTCTGTTAATTTTATGATTTGACAAGACCTCTTAATTTTTTGGCGTAATTGACTTGTAGTTGACAGAAATCTTCCATACCTACCATCTCATCTGATTTTCACCAAAATCCTATGAGGATGTGCTAAGCTTGGGAAGATTCTCTCCAGCTTTTCATATGAGCAAAGTGAGGTTCCGAGTGTGATATGTCATAGCACTTAGCATCCTGACCACGTTTCATCGCATTTCATGCTTTGTTTTCCATTGCTAGTTATTTTTTCATGTACCTTTGTATCCATCACTAGACTGTAAGTTCTTGAGAGCAGTGATCTCTCTCCTGAAGCTGTGGCCAGTGTGGTAACGTTACAGGGCTCAGGCTTCAGTAAAAATAAATAAATAAATACCCAGTGATGAGGGGAAAGTAGCCCACGTTACGGAGAAGCTTCTGAAGCCTGAGATAACACAGATAAGGTATGTAGAAACTGGACCTAAAGAGAGGAATAAGACACAGGATGCCCAACAGAGTATGACGGAGCTCCACGGACTGGAACCCATGACACAGCATGCTGGCAAAATTTGGCTGTTATAAGTCACGCCCCTGATGTTTGAAAAGGCAAAACAAGGAAGTTTTCGGAAGAGCTGTAAGAAAGCAGAAGGGTTATCCGGTTCACTTGTTGCCATAATCCTGGACTTTCTGCAAACACATCATACACCATGACATCATGATGTGTAATGGGATCATATCACAAAAAACCAATGTAATGCCATCAAAAGCATGACCCTTTAAGAATATTTCAGAATTCACACATTTAGGACTAGGGAACTTTAAGGAAATGGTATTAAAGACAGCCATGATCTACGGCTGGGCGCGGTGGCTCATGCCTGTAATCCCAGCACTTTGGGAGGCCGAGGCGGGCGGGTCACCTGAGGTCAGGAGTTTGAGACCAGCCTGACCAACATGGAGAAATCCCGTCTGTAGTAAAAATGCAAAATTAGCCGGGTGTGGTGGCACATGCCTGTAATCTTAGCTACTTGGGAGGCTGAGGCAGGAGAATTGCTTGAACCCGGGAGGCAGAGGTTGTGGTGAGCCGAGATCACACCATTGCACTCTAGCCTGGGCAACAAGAGTGAAACTCTCTCTCTCAAAAAAAAAAAAAAAAAAAAAAAAACAGCCATGACCTTAAAAATTTTGTCTCACTCAAAGCTGGAGTGGATCTCTTTTGTTCCATAGACTTCTCTGAGCCTCCCAATCCATCAGTAGGGAAATGAGAACTTCTTACAAGCCATTGTAAGAACTTCTCCCCTATTTCAGGCATTCCTTATGAAAGCTTTTTTTGTCACATGTCTGATATCCTTAAGGAAAAATAAAACGTGTTGGCCTTAATGATTTCAACCTCTTAGACTTAAATGGAACACAGTAATATGCCAGTTAATTTCTGCTTGTAGGTTCCCAAGTAGGGCTTAAAAATATATTCTAGCTTTCTCAACTATTTTTCATAAAGAAGAATCATCATGACTGTGAAGACCACTGTGATTTGTGGAATAAATCCATAAATGTATAACCCAAACAGATCAACTAAATGAAGCTTCCCTCGAGCATGACAGTAAGTCGGCTGGGCTCTAGGAACAAAATGTGTAAGCACAACACTCACAGAGTGGATATTCTTTCAAGTGATAGAGACAGGGTTGGGAAGGACTCTAGAGTTAGAGCCTTCCATGGGCAGTGCTGTTTATTGTATACACAAATAATAGTGACAATCGCTAATATTGACTGTGGAATGCTTTACATGCACCTTGTCATTCACACTTTCTTACAAATAATGGGGCACTATTCCTTTTATTTCTTCTACTCTTAGAAATAACAGAAGCTCAGAGTGGTTAGTAACTTGCTCTATCACCTAGAGAGCAAATGGGGGAGCCAGGCTTCAAATGTGGGTGTGTCTGCCTCCTGATCCCCAACTCTTAAGCATTTTGCCATTTCATCTTTCACCAAGGCTCTCCTGCTCTCCAGCATGATCTGGGCTCTGAACTGTTTCTCCACTAGCCATCTGAGGATAGGTTTCCACCAATTCAGCCACCGAGCTGCTGGAGACGGGGGTTATTAGATTACCATCTCAGAGCAAAACAAAATCAGTATAAAATCTTAGCCTCATTAGCATGGGACTCAGTCTCCTCAGGTAGCCAGTCTTGGCCATTGATTTTTTATTATATGCAGCAGTTACATTTCAGTTTCTCAAGTTACTCATAGCTACATATGAGTAATAAAATGATAGCAACAACTGGAGTGATGCTAACCATTAGTTTGCCTTGAGTCCAAGGACAAAACAAAGTCTTAAGTGTCCTACTCACTCCTTAGCTCCAAAGTAAACAAGTCTTTCTGCTACTAGTACTGGATTAAGCTTCATAACATTGTCCAGGTGAAAGTACTTAGGGCTGGAGGCCTGTGTAGATGCTTGTAAAGAGGGAGATGCTTTGGCAGATTAAACCCATTCTGTGGGCTTGTTCTATTTTCTGGAAAATCTCAAGTATGACAAAATAGCTCCAACGAGTTATTGTTCATCAACATCTGTCATAAATGTTAGAAATCTTGGCATCATTTATCTCTATCTCAATCTCATCTCTATCTACATTTATAATTTACTTATGTATTTAAAAAGAAATAGAAAAAAACACCCTGGTCTAATGGAAAACATCTCAGCTCTAGTGGTTCCCAACCTTTTGGGGTTTGAGAATCAACAACACAATGTTATGAAACCTTTTGGGGTTTGCTATTCAATAACAAAACAAAAAAAGATAAAACAACTATAAATAAATCCTATCTGGCTGATTTAAATTATAGAGCTCATGCAGCTTGAGCAAACCCTCTTCCCTTAGCCATGGTGTGATTCCTCTTGATTGAGAATCGAGTTTCTAGGCTACTTCTCAGAGAATGAAATTACAAAACACAAGATAGCAGATTTTTAAAAAATTGTCACCAGGTATCCCTGCTGGATATCAAGTGACTGGGTCAGAAACTCAGTTGGAAACTCTGCTTAAAGAAGAGCGGAACAAATCCCCCTTGCCTGGGAGGCCAAACAGAGCATTGTTTTAGTTCCGTAGGAGATAATGACAATGGAATAAAACATTGTCCCGGGTAATGGTCTCCCGCTGGTAGGGAAATGCGTAGGCAAAAACAAACAAGGGGCTGAACTGCTACCTTCTTTTTAAAGCAAAAACTGTTGATCCTGGAACTGAGTACCTCCTAGCAGCTTCCATTTGGTTATATTAAGTCTTACATTTGGAGGTGCTCTGGGCTGGGGTGTCGCTGGGTAAATAGGGGGCAGGGTACAGATGTTAAGAGAGCCGCTAGCTCTACTGCTTCTGAACTGCTGGCTTCAGAGATAGGCTTAGGGGACCATTTTGAATTTCATCAGCCACTGGACAAAACAGGCTTTCCATAAAAACACAATCACCACTTCATGCTTTGCTGCCAGCTGAGATCTCCCTGCTGCCATATTCCACCCTCATGCCACCCATTTTATGACTGCCGATTAGACTGATATATATTGTATTGGTAAAGTTCTGCATTTCTTGAAAAGAAAACCTTTATAAAATAAAGAAGAATGAAGCCAATAATCCATTCATTTGACACAGAAAGTCAGCACTTTCCGATCTTTCTCCTTTTTTCCCTTGCAAGATAATATAATATGTAGAGACTGTCTAATGTGTCTCTCAAAACAAGATTTAAATCAGAGATCAAAAGTGGGTAGTGATTTAAAATTCTAAATTTTGGAAAAATAGCAACTATCCTTTCATTTTTGAAACAAAAATAAATGAAAATTCAGGGCCAAAGTCGTCCTTCTGCCAACTGGAGCTTCTGTAGAACACACAGCTCAGACTCTACCACACAGATGGAAAATAGTCCGAATGCATGCTGGCAGTATTCTTTCATTCCACGAACTTCTACAGTTTCCTTTAAAGCAGCATGGCATTCAAAAGTTGAGGTCCAATTCATCTTTGCTGTTAATGAGGCATTTTACAAGTGTATTTTTTTTTCTTGGGAAAAAATTTTGAATTGGGTAAAACAAATGGCAAGTGGATATTTAAAAACAAAAACAAAAACAAAAACAAAAACAAAAAACACCTCCTTACTTGGACTGGTGATTGACTTGCTTAGAATTCTCTGGGCCAGCATTTCATTTCCTGATGGCTGCCATTTCCCCTCCCATTCCAAGTTCTCTCTACTTGGGGCTGACACAGGACGTGGAAATACTAATATGGCTGCTGGGACTCCTTTCGTGTATTTCAGCAAGAGAATTATTTCGTATCAGTGCTCAGTGTCTCTCCAACTTTTCCATTTCCTCTAAGGTCAGGTTTCCCTACAAAGAAGAACGCCATATCGATTGTTAGTAACAGGAACTAAGCATTTGGGGGCCAGACACACAACTTTTCTGTTTCATGGTGTCACTGGCAGAAGAGGATCCTGGCCTGAATACACATTGGAAAGAGGCAATTTATATTTTTATTACAGTCATTAATCTGATATTTCTAATTTAAAAACATTCATTTGGAAAAAACTCAATGATGAGACAAAACAGTGTTTTTGCCCTGTTACCTGTATGTAATTATCTCAGTTTTCTCCCTCACCTTTGTGGCTTGATGAGGATTCCCTGGTTAAACGCAACTCCAGTACGTAATAAAGGGCATCAGTTACTTTTGAAGGTGCTTTGGCAATGTGGTCACTAATGTAAGTAACCATCACAGAAACCTCAAGTCGAGAGAATAAATGGGAGAATAATAAGCAGAGAGAACTAGCATAGGGAAAAAGTTAAGGGGGGGAGGTAAAAATTTGGTGGAAACAGAAAAACTCTTTAATGTGGATGCTAAGGAACAAGATCAAAGTATAAGAATTTGGATTAGGCAGGATCAGTTCAAGTTGTTAATAAAAATATGTGGGAAGAAACGAAAGCAAACAGTTCTCGGATCAGTCTCCAGGTATTCAGGGCTGGCCAAACACAACGAGAAGTGGAAAAGGGGTGATAATTAGTAACAAATATGAAGGTGTGTAGACACTTTGGGCAATTCCGATCTTAACGCCTCCTCTTCCTCAATATCACAGTGCTTCATGCAAAACAAGGGACTGCTTAGAATTCTGTCTTCAGCCTTCATGAATCTGGTCAGGAGTTTCTGCATCTTCCTTACCTTGTCAGCATGCTCAAAATATTTAATGCGATGACCTCTCACTCAGTAGGCATGGGATGCCTAAACCTGTATCATTTCAGCCTTTGCCCTAAAGCAGAGTTCTTCAGTAATGCAAAATTTCCTATATGAGAACTTCTGCTTCAACAACAGTAAGGTCCCAGGCACACAAGGAAATGCCCAATGCAAAGAATCTGGCAGGAAAATGAATGGTTGTGAAGATTGGGCTCCAACTCCTTTTAAAAAAGAGTTCCAGGAACATGTTTACTGTGTAATTTTGCCATGAGAAAGTTCATGGGAACCATTTTCAAGTCTCAGGAAAGTCTATTTGGTAAGGTAGGAAGTTTGCAAGTTCAGAGACTATTTTTTTTTAAAGAAACAAATTTCAATCACTTTAATAAACACTTTAAAAGCAATTTATGATAACTGTAGCCTTCCAATGACTAGGGCTACACTGAACTTTCCAAGCCGAAACATTCATCCTTGTATTCAGGAAAAGTCCTCTCAACAATTTGGAAAAATATTAAAAATATGAAAGCAATTGAAAAATCACTTTCACCTGTGCAATATCCTTCTTTCATGAATGTCTCCAATTACATAGCTAGGGTTACAGATTTTCACAAACACAGTTTCATTTTTGATAGTTATGTAGCTGTAATTTCAGGCCATTTCACTCTATTGAAAGGTACGGGGGCTGCCTTTGCCCTCTCTTCCTCCTGTCGCTTAAACCATCCAAGAAAACATCAAGAAATTAAATAAGAAGGGAAAACAAGAGGTAGAGATCGTATTCAAAAGACTGGAGTCCACCACATGAGAAGAATCAAGTTTGTAACCGCTGGGGTTACCTCCCTGCTCTGTCTTCCATCTGGGCAATGGGCTAACATCCCCGGGCTGGGGGTGTCTGAGGAGGATGAAGACATCCTCAGCGCTGCAGAGGTGCTAAGAAAACAGCCAGCTGTCTCCTGACTTAGAATTTTTGAAAGCTTTCGGGCCTCTCTGAGAAAGCCGTTCCAAATCCACCCCGTATCAATTTGCCTTCTAGAAGCGGCAGGATAAGCACACGGGTTTGGGCAGTGCTCACATTTTGGGTTTATTGGCTTGATGGGGTTGTTTGGGGCGCTCTCAGTTACAAACTGCAGAAGAGTGGGGGCGGGGGACAGGATGGGGAGGAAAGGGTGGGCGAAGGAGCCGAGAGTAAGACAAGCCGAAGGGTGGAAACTGCGGGAGGGAGAGGAAACGCCGAAGGCGATGTAGAGTCCTGCGAGGGACCGGGAGAGGTAGGGAGGGATCCGAGCCGCAGTCCTGAGGGAGAGCGACCGCGCGCCCCGCAGCCGAGCTGGGTCCCTTCGCCCCGCCCGGAATCCCGGCCCCCGCCCGCCCCACGCAAGTCCCCGTGCCCCCTCCGGGAGGTGGGAGTCGCCGGGACTCTGCGCTCCGCCAGCCTCCGTCTGCTGGCCGGGTCCGGGATCCGCACCCGGAGAGGCTGAACCGAGGCTGAACCGAGGCGGACGCAGCCCCGGGTCGGTGGCTCGCCTGGCCGGGTGGGGTGGGAGCGATTTTCTGGCGGTGGCGTTTGCAGGAGGGGAGGAGACAGCGCCACCCAGGGCCTCCCCGAGCACTGCCGGCCAGGCCGGGCTCGGGGGCCGGAGTGAGGGTGCAGGTGGGGCTCCGGGTTCTGCTTCTTGAAGGCGGCGGCGGGGCGAGAAATGCAACCGCGTGGGCCCCGCCTGCTCCCCCCGGTCCTGTCTTTCCTCGACGCTCGGGAGGCGTCCCGCAGCCCCCTAGTCGCGATGCTCTCAGGTCCCCGGCGTGGACCAGCACGTGGGCCCGGGAGTCGAGTGGGGACGAAGGCATGTTGGCCGCCTCAACTTCCTGCGCCGACGGCTGGGGACGCGGAGAACCCTCTCCGAGCTGGGGTCCCCGCCTGCTGGGCAACCTCACCTCAACGTCTGGCCTGGCCTGGGGCCGCTTGGACTCGGCAGCGGCTGCACTCCTACAGAGCCCAGACGCGCCTTCTCGCTTTTTCCTTTCTGGGCCGGGGCCCTAAACTCCCGGAACTCGCCGCAAGAGGAGCGTTGAAAACAAAAGGGACAGCCCAAGCTGTCCCGCCCGCTGCGCCCGAGGAGCATCCCCTTGGCGCTGCAGGCTGTCGCCTCCCCCAGCACCTGGCGGGGCGGGTGCCAGGCTGGGCCTCTAGACGGTTTCACCGCTGCTTATCATTTCTCCTTCATTTTGCAGGGGCAGGGGAGCTGCCCCTCCCTTCGGAGAAAGGCCGCGCCTGCACCCAAAGGTAACCCTCGGGTGACCCCGGGAGCGGGGCTGTCTGGCCTTGGTGCGAGACCCCGGGCGGGGGGTCAGAGGTTTCTGTTGCATCAGAGAAACACGGCAGCGTCAAAAAGAAAAAGCTTCCAGTGGGTCTGGGCCTAAAGCTATTTTTATTTAAGTCTCAAATTGTCTAGTTTGCCATTTTGCTTCTATTTTTTAAAAAATTATTTCTCAGTGGCATGGGGGAGGGGAGATCAAAGGTGACGGATGGGTATCTCTATGTTGGTGTCAAGTATGCCTTCATGTCTGTCGTTTCTTCAGCAGTTGTCCCAGTACCGTCCACATAAAGTATCTTCTTCCAAGGACCCGTTGCAATAAAACGGGATATTTCTATTTGGACCGTTCTATGTCAAAGAAGGTTGGCAGCAGCGCCAGGCTTACCCATGATTAAAGGGGGACATTTCCTACAATAAGGTAGAGTCAATGCAGAACCCACAAGCTCATTGATTTCCATCCCTGTGTCGTCAGCTTGTTCACTTTCTCCTAAGATTATGACAATAGTAGTAATAATAATAACCAGGACACAAATAACTCTTGAGAGGTCACTTGTAACTACCTCTTCTTGGAGGTGAGAAACACACACATGCATACACACATACACCCCTGTGGACTTATGGTTTATTTTTGTCAGAGGAACTTAGAATTGCCTGAGGTGGTGTGTGTGTGTGTGTGTGTTTTTTTTTTTTAATGATTTATTTACAGACTTGCTAATGCCTCCGCAGAAATCCTGTTTATCAGCCCAATAGTTGTGACAGGGTTAGAAAACCAGTTTAAACTGTTAATCGGCCAGAAAAAGGGCCCTAGATTGATGCCTTTCACTTACCTTTGAAAGGCTATAAAAGCAACGCCATACATTGGGATGAAATTAGACAGCGACAAAATCATTACCTTGACTTCCCACAATAAAGACAACCTTAAAAGGGGGCTATTGATGGTTTCAAATTACATAACGGTGGTTTATATGTTCTTCCTCTGCGCTCACAGAAAGCAATTTTAAAGTGTGAATTCTTCAAAGAACGGGCAAAGCATTCACACACAGACATGCGTTTTTATTTTATGTATTGCAAAGCGCTATGAGAGAGAGAGAGAGAAACCAAAAACAAAAATCCCAGCAAAAGGAGGCCGAGTCCAAAGAGAATATGTCCGGTTTCTATTTCACCAAGCTCCTGGACTCACATTTGGCCCCGGAGCCGAGTGCTCGGTCTCTTTCCCCGGGACGGGACAGGGAGTGGAGTTCCTAGCCCCTTGGGTGGGAAAAGCCCCGCGCACGTCACCGGGTCCCGTCTGCTCACTGCTTCTGCATATTTTAAGCCTGGACACAGCCTCCTTTAGGATAGAAAGGCATTTCCCAAACAACACCGATTCTGGGGGTGTAGTGGGCCTGGCGCTGGGTCCTGGAGAGAAGGTTCAGCCCCCCTTCTCATCCCTGTACTTTGGGGATGGCTCGTACTTGGACAGGGGTGGGCCTCCGCCTTCTCCGCCTTCTATCGGACCTTTCTTCGGATGGATTTCTACGTAAACTCGGAAGGCGATCAAATGCAGGCGGCCAACCTCCAGCGCTTTTTTTTTTCCTCTCAAAGGCGGCGCCTGCATTTTTGGGGGCTCCAGCCCAGGCTGAGAAAGTCCCCTCAAACCTCTACTCTGAGGTTGCTCACACGGCCTGCAAAAACCCGACGGGGCACCCCGCCACCCCACCTTACGTTTCCCTAGGGCCAAGTCAGTGGTCAAAAACCAACCCGGTGGTAGCTGCCTTTACCAAGGAAAGACAGCCAGGACGCCCGCACCGACGGCAACGCGCGGACAGAGAGGACCGTGCCCTCTTTCGCATGTTACGGGGCGAGGGGGCTGTTGGCGTCAGGAGCGCCCTGGGAGGAACTTCGTAGCGGATTCGAGAGACAGAGGGAATTCAGCAAACTTGCTGCCCCGGGCTGCCGGCTGGAGCCCGGCAGATTCGCTGCGCAGCACTGCCCCCTGGTATCCAGCGCCGAAAGTGCCCCCCTCCGCAGCTGCAAGGCTCCTCCCTGGGCTGCGCGGGACAGATTTTTTCTCCTTTCCTGGCTACACGCCTAACAGAGAAGCTATCCCGAGGGACCTCAAGAAGTCCCCCCAAGCCGTACTCAAAAGCCTTTCTCCCTCCTCCTCAAGCGCTCACTTCCCCAAAGAGGACCCGGACCCCTGACTGCCTGAGCCAGGTCCCCAGCATGGTCCGCAACCCTTCTCGACTCCGGCATCCACCTCCAGGCTGACGTCTACCCGGGAGGGGGCTGGGGACCCAAGGAGACTTCGACTACAGGCCCAGGCGAACGGAAGGAAGAGGCTTGCGTTCAGAGAGACACGTTTGGAGCTGGGACTGTTCATTCTTTAAGGAACACCAGCTTCCAGGGCATCTTTCGTTGGCACCTTGGCTTTCCAGAGAAGAAAGGAAGTGGGTATCAGGGCCAGCCCCTCCTCGCACCCCAGGCTGGAGAGGTGCCGAGGTGCTTAGTCACTCAGTCCAAGGGCACCTGAGAGATGGGGGCAAACTTGGCAGGAGCTTGAGCACGGAGGCGTGATCCGCGGGGGGCGCAGGCAGGGCGGGGCCCAGAGCCCCCTTCCGCCAGCCCAGCCTGCCCCTTCCAACCCAACTTGTCTGGCACTGGCTTCTACGGGTGCCGAGAAGACTGCTGTCGTGGGCACAGGGTCCTCGACCCCAGGACGTGCGTGGCCTTTCCCACCCCAACCGGATGGTTTGTCCCAGGCTTTGAGACTGAGCTTGATAGAGAGGTAGGAAGGAAGCGGCGCCAGCTCCGGAGCCAGAGTGGGTTGGAGTCCCAGCTTGGCCACCCTCTAGCTGTGTGACCTTGAGTGAGTTACTTCGCCTCTCTGAGCACCAGTTTCTTTGTTTTTTTTTTTTTCAGGAATGGTGTGAGGATTGAGGTAATGTCCTTAGGATGCCCACATGTGTTCAGTCAAGGTCGGTCGTGATGGTTGCCGGCGTCCGCTGCAGGAAAGGCCCCCAGGAATCAGCTTGTAGGGTGGGCGCCAGCCGGTACTGCACAGGGGCATCGCGGCCTCCGGTTTTAGAAGGGGCAGAAACAGCGCAGTGTCCTCAGCCCTGAGGGCTGAGTGTTGGAGGTCCCGACGCTCCTGGGTTCTCTTCTGCCCGGGTGCAGACTACAGCAGGTGCGCAGGGCTTCGCACACCTCTGCTGTGGGAAGTGAGTCATCTTCGCTTATGATTGCATCTGGCCAGGCCAGCTACGAGAACACTGGGCCTCACAGCTGCCACGTATCCAGCCTTAACCTGTGCCAGGCACTGTGCTAAGAGCTATGCACCCACAATCCCACTTCTTCACAACAGCCTCGACCGAAGTAGATGTTTAAGTTTTTAAATTTCCATTTTACAGAGCAGGAAACAGACTCAGAGAGGTTAACTTCCCCCAAGATCACACAGCTGGTAAGTTGGAGAGCGGGGACTTGAACTGAATCTTCCTTGGAGGCCAAGCTCTGAACCACTAAGTTGGGTGGCATTAGAGAGCCAAGCTCTCGCCCTTCGGTTTCCATTCACGCTACCCTCTCTGAGCCGCAATTCTCTCTCCTGCGTTGGCACTGGCAGAAGTTGAGACACGCTCCCAGGAATCGCGGGCCGTGGCGCGTACTTCCACGCACCCCAGCTAGTTCCAGAGACTCAGCTTGTTCTGAGATCCTCTTGTCGAGCCCCCTTGGTCCCGGCGCCCGGCCTGTGTGGTGCTCAGATCAGACTTATCCACCCGAGCACCACGCAGACCAGCGCCTGGACCAAGGTCCCGGGAAGGAAGCCCTCCTCCCCTTCTCCTGTGGCTTAGCTCAGCGATCAGGGAGGAGCCAGTTAAGAAGTCACAGTCGAAGCCATGACTGCTGTGTCCCGGGGAGGCAGTGGAAGGCGAGGAGCACGGAGCGGGGATACCGCCGGACAACCCCTCCCCGCCGCCCCGTCGGCGTCCTCGCTGCGCAGGGGCTCCCTTGCTGCCCCAATCTAAAAGGAAGCCGTCGCGGCCCAGGGCACGGTAACTAAAAGGCCGTCGGGGAGGGAGACGGGAATGAGTGGGCTTGGACTTGAGGTTTCCGAGCCAGCTGCTCCCTAGAGCCGTTCCTGAGCTCGTCAGCCAGCACGTATTTAATGAATGGCCACTGGGTGCTAGGCCTTGCACGCAACCCTTTCGTCCTCCCCCGGGGCTGAGCCGAGGGTGACCCAACACTAGTCGGAACGAGCCTGGAGACATGGCGCCGGGGCTGCGCTCTGCAGGCCTGGCCTGGTCGCTCTCCACGCACCCCTCTCTCTGTAGCTGCCGCCCCGCCCGGCTCTGCCTGTGGGCGCCCCCTGGCGGCAGGAAGCCGAGCGCGCACCACGCCCTCGGGGCTCCATCCCCACTCACCCCGGCGCCTCTAGCCGCTCCACCCGCACCCCCAGTTCGCGCTGCGGCGGCCAGCCTCTTCCCCGACGGCCGACCGAATGTCCCTCAGAGCTTTCCGTGACCGGCCAGGGCGCGTGGCTGTCCGGAGCCCCTCCACGTTCCCCAGCAGCAGGCCCGGCTCTCTCTGATCAGCGAGCGCGGATGCCGGTCTCCTCCCTCCCTCTGCCGGGCTCCAGCCCGACGCCAGGCCGCTGGGGGCAAGCGCTGTGCTTTGGAAGAGGAGAAAAGCCCCAAATAAACAAAAACCCAAAGCCCATTCAAGTTCAGGGGTGGAGAACTGTTGGCATCTGAATTTTAAAAAGATCGCCGGGACTCCCAACCACCACCAAACACCCTCTTGTCCACCCCCCCCCGCCCCCGACACCATCCCACCCCACACACCCCACGCCCGCGTCCCGTGAACCGAACCGCCAATGCGCCGCAACCTTCTCGGCAGTCACACCTGTGTCCCCGATGCCATCTGCCCACGTCTGTGTGTGAAGCAAACCCCGCTGGCAGACGGGATGGAGAGAGATGGCTCCTCCAAACCAGAATTAGGAGGAAAACCCCGCTGAGGGCGTTTCAAAAACCCAACAGGCGAGCGGGGAAACCTGCATTGTCAGACCTGCTGGGCCCTGAGTTCTAGCCCCATGCACCGCGCCGAGCTAATTCTCCCGGCGACTCTCTGAGGGGTTATTACCACGTAATAATTGATGAGGACACTAAGGGCTAAGAGGAGTCAATTAACTTGTCCCTAGTTACAGAGTTGGAAGTCAGGGATGGATCTTAACTGGTGGGGCTGTTCCGAGGGCCTGTGAGAGACTGGGTTTCAGCCCAGAGCCCAACACAGCGCCGGTAGAGAAAGTATCGGGTACATTTTTGCCTGCTAATCCGGCGGTAGGAAGTCAATTACATCTTTGATGACTCAGATTTTTGAAACAGCCCCATACAACTTCCAATTACGGGGGCAAATATAATTGTGAAAGTCTATGGGATTTGGAGATGAAGGAGTAGGCCATCAAAACATAACCCAGAACTTAACTTGTTTTGGAAAAAAACATTTTATGGAAAATTTCCAACATATAGGAAAGAAAAGAGAATATTATAGTGAACTCCCATGCACCTGTCCCCAACCTCCAAATAACGAAGGCAAATCTATTTTATGGTCAATCTATTTCCTCCCCTCCTTCCCACGGACTCTGCCTCCCCAGCTGTCAAAACCTACACACACACTGCTTCCCCTATTCACACAGATTATTTGGAAGTAAAACCTGGACCTTGCCACACTTAATCTGCAAGCATTTCAGCATGTACTGTCAAGAGATGACCACATTACCAAAACTACAATAGCATCAACACAACCACAATACCAAGATATACCCACAAACTTCACATTCCTAAACACCCTGGAGTATCCAGCTGGCTGAAGCTTTATTTTAACCACAATTCCTGGCTAGAGCTTGGTTTTCACTGAGTTTCAGCTCTAGGGCCAGAATGACCTGGGTTTGGATCTTGATTTTTTTTTTTCTTTTCACTTATTAGCTGAATGACTCGGGGGCATGACTTACCTTCTCTCTGAGTGTCAGTTTAGTGCAATCTCACATGGTTGTTACAAAGATAAAAAAACAAAACAATGCATGTAAAGAGTTTGGCATAAGCCAGGGAATAGTATCTGTTATTTCTCCTAAAGCTGGACTTCGGTGAGATTTTAGCTAACGAAGGCTTGAAAATTAGGTTTGAGTTGGGGCATCAGAAGTTTTCACGTTGCATGGAGGGTAAGACTAGAGCCAGGGATGCACCACCACACCCAGTGATCATTCATGAGTTCACCCCTCCCAGGATTAACAACTGAACTCTCAGTGATGTCTTATCTTATAAGGCTCTAGTCTTATCCTCCATGCAATGTGAAACCTTTTCAGGTTCTCCAAGGATCCTCCTAGGTCCGACAGTCATCGTGGGCTTTTCTTGGGGGCAGTGCTGGTCTTTCTCCCCTGTATTCCTGCCTCTAGCATGCGGCTGGGCACACGGGGTCAGTGCTGTCTGCTGAAAGAATGGTTGATGACATCATCCCATCACGTGGCCTTTGCATAGCCAATTCCTTCTGCCTGAGACATTTATGCCTTTTCCCTTAGCTTAATTAACCCTCTCTGAATGGGTCAAATTCCCCTGGCATATGCTCTCAGAGGACCTCAGTGCACTTTCTCTTCAGAGGGTTTATCACTGGTTAAAACGTTAGATTTATTTGTTACTTATTTGTGTGATTACCAGATAGTCTTTCTTCTGTTCTAAACTTCATGAGGGCAGGAATCATGGCTGTTTTCTCATCATTGTATCTTTAGCACTTAATGCAATGGCTAATTGTTGAATGCAAGTGGTTTTTATGGTAGGGGGGAGTAGCTAGATTCAGAAACTGGTTTAACCCTAACCCTCACCCTAATCAGCAGTCATAGTAGCCAATTCACAATGCACTATTTCAATATGTTGTATAGGAAATTAATCTCCAGGCAAACTATTGCGCTACCAGGCAAACTATTCTGGAGGTAATACAATAGAAAGATCTAGTTAAGATACTTGAATCATACAGATTGTTGAATAAATTTTAAACACACAATGAGAAGCAAGAGGAAAGAGATGGGGTAGGTTAACACATATACCACAGAAGCAGGTGGGAAGTCCCCTTCCTGAATCCTGGGCCATTTAATATGCAATGTTCACATATTGCCTCCCACCCATATCCCTCCCACCCATATTAACTTTCTTTCTTAATGATGTGGTTACAAGGACCATAATTGAGGATGAGTGAAGGGACCCAACAGAAAGAAGGTGCCCGAGGCAACGATACACGCTTTTGCTATTGGAGAGCCAGGGGCAAGTTCTCCTGGCCACAGCAGGAGCATCCATTAGCCTCCTGAACAGCTCTCTCTGTTTATCTGTGCTTCTTGGGCAGAACACAACTGGGACCATAATGGGTGTCACCGATGGATGAGTGGCTGATTTTGGGAATCAGATAGCTGTCAGCCCTGATGTAGCATGAATGTATCTTACAACTTGGTCTTTTAATGTCTCTCTATTGGTCCATAGCACTCTGGTTTGTTCTATTATATGTTCCACTTATTGTATCTGTCTTCAACATCTCCCACAGGTTATTGATTTACTCATTATCCATGTGAATTCTGTGAGTTCTTCCTGAGTCTCACAGCTCCATCTTATTCATCCCCTCTTCTACTTAACACATACTATGAATTTTGCTTACGTCTTATAATCTACGGACTTGCTTGCTCTCCACATCTCATACTTATTATGAATGTATCCATTTGCTTTTCTTACCTTCTGAAGATTCCCAAATAAAACAGTACACAGGCACTACACAACACATTTATTAAATGCCTACTGTGTGCTAAGCATCATACTAGGCATCGGTAATCCCGACAGGATTCCTCTGAAACTTTCCATCTAGTGGAAAGACAGTTAACTAATCCCCCAGTCCTGTGAAATGATCCACTGTGTCAAGTGCCAGGCAGGGCTGGGGGAGATCTCTGCTGTCCCAGGAATGTGGAAGTGGGCAGTCCAGGAGAGCTTCCTTGACGATGTGGCATCTGAGGTCTGAGATCTGAAAGGTGAGCTCTAGTGTCCTAGGGTTTCAGAAATCCCTAATAAATAAACATCAAGGCAAAGTGTACTTTTGTTTGCACTATCTTAGTTTTGAGTCATATTTTGACTATTTCTTGTCCAACTTTGCCAGAGAACACTAACCTGTTGTAGTCCCCCAAAAGCACGAATGTTATGTTTTATACAACGATTGGAATGAAACACACCTATTGGCAAAAGATGCTGCACAACAGTGTTTAGGCTTACAAATGGTTCTAATGGGGATCAACAGCCTATAATTAGAATTTAACAATCCAAGAAAGGAGTAATATGCACCCTGCGGGACAGATTGGAGTCTTTTTCTTTAGTTCTGCAGGTTTGGTGGGTAGACTGGCTCCCGACTTCCCTCCTACAATAACTGTCCTACTGAGGTAAACATGTCACAAACAAGAACAATGAGATCACCAATAATATAACACTAATACCATAAACAAAAGAAACACCACCTTCGGCTCTGGTGGAATGAAAAACACAATGTGGACCAACTAACAGAGCTATTTAAAAAACAAATTACTCACAGCCAAGCCTTCATAGCTCTCCAAATGCAATTTTCCAGGAAGCTCGGTAACAAGCAGAAGTTTTTCCTGAGACGTACTAGCTTTTGCTGGTTTGGTTGCAGATCTGAGGTGTTGGACAAAGAAGAAAATGCCCCACATAAACCCACCATGACACTTATTCTCCCGGATTCCTCATTTTTCTCCCAACGTGAGACATTTCTAGTCACAGGTTACTGTAAATGGAGAGTCTTGCCAGCGTCAGTTCATCAACGACATTTTCCTAAAACCTCAGGCTTTGCACAAATGCCAAAACCCTCATCCTTGATAAGGCCATTTTTTTTAAAATGCACACATGAATAACAGAATGTGCACATTTTTATTTTTATTTTTATTTTCGGAGTCTCACTCTGTCCCCAGGCTGGAGTGCAGTGGCGCTATCTTGGCTCACTGCAATCTCTGCTTCCTGGGTTCAAGCAGTTCTCCTGCCTCAGCCTCCTGAGTAGCTGGGATTACAGGTGTGCACCCCCACACCCGGCTACTTTTTATATTTTTAGTAGAAACGGGGTTTTGCCATGTTGGCCAGGCTGGTCTGGAACTAACAGCCTCAGGAACTGCCCTTCCAACTAGAACCGAGCCAGACTGTCACCACAAACATCAGAGGAGTCTCAGCCCTGTTCCTCATTGCCCCTCTTCCTCAAGCTGCCCTGTGAAATGGGGATGCTGGGGAAGGCAGAGGCAATGGCATGAAGGCTCTAGGCCATTTCAGAGGAGGCACTAGCTGACATGAGGATGAAAATCACTGATGAAGGGGCTTGATCATCCCTGAACCAAAACCCTGAGTGTGCACCATCTTGGACAGAGTCTGCATTTTTGACCATGCATGAGAAGAAAGAGAATGCAAGTGCTCTCTTCATTCAGAGTTTTGAACCCAGATGCCTCAGAGGGCGCCTTCCACCCATCTCAGCTACAAGTCATGAATGGCAAATGAGACCTGAGCAGGGGAGGCCTGGGGGACAGCAGCAGCTCCCTGTTGGTCCTGTCGTCCCTCTTGAAGGTGCCTGCCAGTGCAGGCCAGGCTGGAGGCTGCAGTCATCTCTTGGTAGAGGGCAGGAGGAACTCAGGTCTGCCTGCCCTCTGAAGCCTTTCCAGACATCCCCAGGAATGGCTGCCGTTACCCAGTAGTCACGCACGCCTCAGATACATTGTTTTTCTTTTTTTTCTCCCCCAAGGCTCTGTTGCTTAGGCTGGAGTGCAGTGGTGCGATCTCGGCTCACTGCAACCTCCACCAGGTTCAAGCAATTCTGCTGCCTCAACCTCTGAGTAGCTGGGATTACAAACATGTGCTACTATGCTTGGCTAATTTTTGTATTTTTAGTGGAGACGGGGTTTCACCATGTTGGCCAGGCTGGTCTTGAACTCCTGACATCAGGTGATCCACCTGCCTTGGCCTCCCACAGTGCTGGGATTACAGGCGTGAGCCACTGTGCCTGGCCAGATGCAGTTTTTCTCATGCTTGTCCTTGCACATCTCCTGGGTGCAGGAATGTCTGGATCCCACAACAGTGATCTGTGCTGAACCCCCAAACCTGAAAGTCAGGGCCAATTCTCTCTGCCTCCCCCACTAGGTGAGGTCTTAGATTTTGCATGAAAACTAAAGGCCCATGAGCCCAAGGGTTCTCCCCTCTTTACAACTGTCTCCAAACTTAAAGAAGGAAATTGCTGGCTGAGTATACCCCCAGAAGAAGGAACAAGTGCTAGTGACATATTCACATGAGGACGGAAGCCTCATGAATTCAGACTATTCTAAGATACAGGTCATCTTAGGTGGGCTTTGTCATGCTTTTGGACGTGACTGCTGCATCTCCTTCTAGGAGAATTGAACCACTTCATCCTGGCAGCAAAACACACTGCCCACATCCCCATCCCAAACCGAGATGAGGGTCTGCAGTAAGAAGCGGCACATGGAATCTATAGCCGGAGTGGTTCTGACTTTAATTTCAGTGCCTGGAGAACACAGTCACAGCTCTTATCACTGTTCACAGGGCAGCTGGGGGAAGAGGGGCACTCAGGAATGGGGCTGGGACTCCTCTGATGTTCGAGGTGACAGTCTGGGCTCTGTTCTGGTTGAAAGGGCAGTTCCGGAGGCTGTAAAGCCTGGCAGAGGAGGGGAGGGGAGCGAGGGTGCTAGGATTCAGTCCTCTGGAGAGAACACTACAGACTGAATGCAGAGGCAGGAGTTCTGATTTGGAGATCATTTGGGTCTGAAGTATTTGAGTCTGAAATGAGGGAAACTCACGGTGGAGGACAGCTATTCTGTCACTCTGCAGATCCAGCATTATTCCACCATATGCTTTTCACGAATTAGTAGTGAAGTTACAATCTTGGGCGTTTTAAACTGATCTTTGCACCTGCTGGTGGCAGAGAACAGCATTTCCCCCGCCCCCGACTTCCTTTATGAGCTGGGAGGAAGCAAAATCCAGCTCTATTGTTGGAGCTCCCTCTGGTGGCAGTTTCCGAAAACGATCCAGCCCTGAGGATTTTGCGGAAGGTAGGCAACACCGAGGCATCCTGGGCATTCAGTAGGAAGCAATGAGAGGAAAGATCCTTGGCCCTTTCAGAGATGGGGCGAAGGGTCAGCTGTCCCCTCTGCAAGGTGGCAGATTCAGAAGAGTTGGAATTCCTCCGGAGTCGGCCCTGCCAACATGCGCACGTGTCCTGCGGGGTCAATGATCTGTGCAGACGACTTGGAAATCCGCTGCGTGCCGCCCAGGCGCGTGCATCTTTGCTTACCCTTTCCTAGATCGGTCTCAGCCCCGCAAGCAGATTGGCAGCTTCCGGGGTGCTGGGACGGCGCCCCCTCCTGCCTTCCCGCTAGCATCTGGCAGGGACTGGAGTGCTTCCTGGAGACCCGTAGGCCGGGGACAGGTCACCAGGTGAAGCAGCGCGCCTCCGGAGCTGATGCTGGGTGGCCGACTGCGTCCGCCACTTCTCCTGCCCGCCTGCCCGTGCTGTGTGCGTCCTCATAGGTCTTGACAGATGGTGGCGGCTTTGACAGTTCGTCAGCCCCGCGTGGACACTCGTCCCCAGTCACTGCTCTCGGATCGCCAGCTCTGCTTGAGAGACGTGGCGCAGCTGGGGTGGGAATTTGGAGGCAGCGGTGAAATGGGACGGGAACTGTGCTGTAGGAACAACAAAGACAGGTGCTCATGTCACCACGCAGGCATGGCTTGTGCTGAACGCCGGAGAAAGGCTCAGGGGAGCAGGAGGCTGCAGCACCGAGAGCATGGGACGTGAATATACGAGACCTGGGTTCCAGGCCTGGCTCCGTGGCTCTGGGCCAATTACTGCCCTCTCTCAACCCAGTTTCTGTATAATAACCCTGGTTGGACATGATGTTTTCGAAAGATCTTTTTCCAGATCCAGTATTTTCTTTAATATACATACATATTTTCTAAATGGCTGTTGGCTTGTTAAGTGGACTGGGGATAATTGCTACCGCTTTCAACGAGAGAAACTCGAGAATCTGAAACTCAGTATTTCTACGAATTTGCGCAACATGGGAGGTCATCGCCTGGACACCACTGCCCCCTTGCGGCAACTCATCTAAATTTGTAGGTGGTGACAAGGAATTCAAGGGCTTGAGGGTTCAGGCCTTATAAACTTGGGTTTATAAAGCGGTTGGATAATGTCCCCAAAGCTTTATTCATCCCTGGAAGGAACTGTAACTAGATCAGAGGCTTTATCTGCTTGATGCCATAATGCCTTTCCCCTGCCCTCAAGACAGTTATTTACAGGCACCCTCTAAGTGGATCTAGAGCCAGATTACCCAAATCCACTTGCAAATTAACTCAGATTAAAATTTGCAAGCTTCTTGGGAGCGGAGTGAGGCGGTTAAAAAAAAAAGAATAAAATTTGCAAGCTTCTGAGACCTAGTATGCTCCTACTCCAGAGCGGATTCATTGATAGAGGAGATGACACTAAGTCCATATGGTATTTCTGGTTATTAAACACCCCATTTGTATGGACATAATCTTTTCTCTTTTGTTTTTATTGAAGTAAAGTTTACATAACACAAAATTAACCGTTTTAAGTGAATAATTCAGTGGCATTTAGTACATTGACTATGTTACGTAAACCATCACCTCTATCTAGGTCCAAAATATAGATATATGTATCTTTTGAGAAAGAGTTTCGCTCTTGTTGCCCAGGCTGGAGTGCAGTGGCATGATCTCAGCTCTCCACAACCTCTGCCTCCCAGGTTCAAGCAATTCTCCTGCCTCAGCCTCCCGAGTAGCTGGGATTATAGGCGCATGCCACCACGCCCGGCTAATTTTTTTGTATTTTTATTAGAGACGGGGTTTCTCCATGTTGGTCAGGCTGGTCTCGAAATCTCAACCTCAGGTGATCCGCCTGTTTCTGTCTCCCAAAGTGCTGGGATTACAGACGTGAGCCACCATGCCCGGCCAAATATTTTTTGTCACTCCAGAATAAAACCCTGTACCCAGGATGCAGGTAGACCCCATTCCCAATACTTCATGCACCTGGCAGACACCAATTTGCTTTCTGTCTGTATGGGTTTACCTATTTTGGGTATGTAATAGAAATACATATACTTTCTGTCCATTTGTGTTTGTTTCTTTCACTTAACATAAGGCTTTTGAGGTTCATACACATCGTGACATGTAACAATACTTCATTCCTTTTTATGGTTGAATAATATTCTGTTACGTGTATATTCCACATTTTGTTTTTCCATTCGTCCACTGATAGACATTTGGGTTGTTTCTACTTTTTGGCAATTGTGAACAATACTGCTATGAACATTCATATACAAGTATTTGAGTTCCTGTTCTCAATTCTTGTGGGTATGTATCTAGGAGCGGAATTTCTGGGTCATATAGGAGTTCTCTCCAGGCTGGAGTCCAGTGGCACCATCTCGGCTCACTGCAGCCTCTGCCCCTGGGCTCAAGTGATCCTCCCACCTCAGCCTCCTGAGTAGCTGGGACTACAGGCACACGCCACCACCATGCCCAGCTATCTTTTTTGTATTTTTAGTTGAGACGGGGTCTTGCCATGTTGGCCAGGCTGGTCTTGAACTCCTGAGCTCAAGTGATCAGCCTCCCAAAGTGCTGGGATTAGAAGCATAAGCCACCTTGCCCGGCTGAAAGTGCTCTTTAGAGTGAAGGGTCATTAAGAGGGGATGGATGACAGTGTCCTCCAGGATATGCCAATTCCTAACACCTTGAATTAGGCCATTCTTGTGTTGCTATTAAGAATACCCGAGGCTGGGTAACTTAGAAAGAAAAGAGGTTTAATTGGCTCTTGGATCTGCAGAATGTATGGGAGGCATGGTGCTGGCATCTGCTTCTGGGGAGGGCGTTGGGAAGCCTCCAATTATGGTGGAAGGCAAAGGGGGGTTATGTGTATCACATGGAAAAAGTGGAAGCAAGAGAATGACGGAGGAGGCCCCACCAGTTTTAAACAACCAGATCTCATGTGGACTAACAGCGAGAACTCCCTCATCATCGAAGGGACGGTGCTAAACCATTCATAAGGGATTGAGAATCACATCAACATGAGACTTGAGAGGGACAAACATCCAAACCACATCACACCTCCTTGTTGATTCTCTGGTATCTGCCACAGGTTTGTGGGCTGGCTGGTTTGGCTTTGCTTCAGATGGGGTTCCTGGGGCCTCTGGGCACCAGGTGTCTAGGAACAACAGCTCCCAGAAAATGCTCTTCTTATGGTGCATAACAGAAGCCCGAGGGGCTAAACCAATCCATGCAAACACATTCAAAACCTTGGCTGCCAT
Organism: Homo sapiens; assembly: GCF_000001405.40. Taxonomy (NCBI): domain Eukaryota; kingdom Metazoa; phylum Chordata; class Mammalia; order Primates; family Hominidae; genus Homo; species Homo sapiens. Next base: position 117,178,356 of record NC_000010.11, read on the forward strand.
CACGGCTATTTCACTGGCTAAAACAAGTCACGTGACCAAACCAAATTTTAATGGAGAGGCCATGTTAATACTGTGAAAGAAAAGTATCTTGGGACCCCAAAATCACTAAGCTAAAAGAAAAACTCAAGCTGGAAACTGCTTAGGGCACACCTGCCTCCCATTCTATTCAAAGTTATCCCTCTGCTCACTGAGATAGATGCATATCTGATTGCCTCCTTTGGAAAGGCTCATCAGAAATTCAAAAGAATGCCACCATTTTCTCTCATCTACCTATGACCTGGAAGCCTCCTTCCTGCTTCAGGTCTTCCTGCCTTTGTTTCCAATTGTCCTGCCTTTCCAGACTGAACCAATGTACTTCTTACATGTATTGATTGATGTCTCATATCTCCCTAAAATGTATAAAACCAAGTTGTGTCCCAACCACCTTGGGCACATGTCATCAGGACTTCCTGAGACTGTCACGGGCGCACCCTCAACCTTATTTTAACTTTCCAAATTAACTGAGACCTGTCTCAGATTTTCTGGGTGTACAATACTCACCAGCTCTATCAGGCAGCACTGCAGTCACATGGCAGAGGGTGTGGCCGTATCATTCTCTTACAGGCAAGGATTAAAGGATTGGGGACGGTCATCTTCCCCCCAACTCCCAATGAGGTTTCTTAGCTGTAATTTAAATGCTTAATTTACCTTTTCTCCGACATATTTACATTTTATCAAAGACATTCATGATCTTCATACAAAAGACTTTGTACTGTGGGATATTTTTAGTTAGCGATCCCCCACGCCCAAGTGTGGAGCAGCCAAGCATCTGCAAGAAATGCCTTCAGGGAAGCTGGGCTCCCACTCAGTGGAAACCTTCAGTCTCCTTTAACCTCAGCCTTTTAAGGACCATGAATCAATAAGTGGCATAAATTATTCACCTCGCGGAACATTCTCAGAAATGGACAGCAGGCTGGAGAAATCGCCAGCAGGAGATGTGTTCTTGCAGTGTTTGGGCCTCTGCTCACCTTCTGAATGGCTGGAACTTTCTATTAAAAATTCAGATTTCAGAGAAGAATGAATCTAAGCTGTTCAGAGATTTCAATGAGACTCCATGTTTCCTTTTCAGACGCAACTAACTGGTCTACGGGGCCTCTTCTGCAGGGTCGAAGGGAAGCGCTTGTGTGCAGACTTGCTCAGTGTCAGGAGCAGCTGGCTGCCTCCCTGATGTGATCTCAGACCTGGTGAAAGGACCTGGCCTCTGCTCAGAAAGGTCTTTTCTCCTGGTGAACTGAGACATCAGAAGTTCATTCCATTTCTGCCGGGTGCAGTGGCTCACGCCTGTAATCCCAGCACTTTGGGAGGCTGAGACAGGCAGATCACCTGAGGTCAGAAGTTCGAGACCAGCCTGGTCAACATGGTGAAACCCTGTTTCTACTAAAAAACAAAACAAAACAAAAAAAAACAAAAATTAGCCAGGTGTAGTGGCATGCACCTGTAATCCCAGCTACTCGGGAGGCTGAGGCAGGAGAATCGCTTGAACCCTGGAGGAGGAGGTTGCAGTGAGCCGAGATTGTGCCATTGCACTCCAGCCTGGGCGACAGAGTGAGACTCCATCTCAAGAAAAAAAAAAAGTTGTTCCATCTCTAAAAACCATTCTGAAAGCTGAAAGTTCTGCCTCTTTGAAAGATGCCTTTCAGAATGCAAAGACTTTGGAAAGGAGGGAAGGTAAACTAACATTTATCAAACACCAATCACCCACCCACTTTAAACATTTACTTCTCTCTTGTCCTCTCTGTCCTGGTAATCTTAGCTGTCCGGGTTTCTTCAGATTCTCAGCTCATTCTTCTCACCCAGCTCTGCCATGGTTCCCCATCCCTGTGCCACACCTGGAAACTGAAGGCAGTAAGCTGCGACAACCTTAGGATTTCCCCTTGTTTCAGGGGTCACTGTCCTTTGTTGCTTGATGTCCAGTTTTTCAAAAAACCGTTGCTTCATATAATTTAACTTTTTTTTTCAGGTGGGAGGATAAATCTGATTTTTGTTTCTTCATCTTGACTGAGCAAATGACTGTCTTTGAGTTCATTAATTCTGCCTTCTATTGTGTTCAATTTTCAGTCAAATGTATCCAGTAAGCTATTTTTTTAAAAACTAGACTTCATTTTTAAAGAGCAGTTTTAGGTTCCCAGCAAAGTTGAGCAGAAAGCACAGAGTTGACATATACCCATACCTCAATGCATGCAAAACTTCCCCACTATCAACATCCCACACTTGAGTGGTACATTTGTTCAATCAATGAACCTACATTGACATCATTATCACTCAAAGTCTGCAGTTTACATTAAAGTTCACTCTTGGTGTTGCAGATTCTATGAGTTTGCATAAACGTGTAATGACATGTACCCACCATTATAATATCATATAGAGTAGTTTCATTGCCCTAAAAATTCTGTGATCTGTTTATCTCCACGCCCATCCCCACTAACTCCTGGAAATCACTGATATCTTTACTGTCTCCACAGTTTTGCCTTTTCTAGAATGTCATATGGTTGGTATCATGTAGTAAGTAGCCTTTTGGATTGGCTACTAGTAACATTCATTTAAGTTTCCTTCATGTCTTTTTATGGCTTGATGGCTCATTTCTTTTGAATGCTGAATAATATTCCATTGTCTGGATGTACCACAGCTTATTTATTCATTCAGCTGCTGAAAGACACTTTGGTTGCTTTCAAGTTTTGGCAATTATGCATAAAGTTGCTACAAATACCCATGTGCAGGTTTGTGTGTGGACACATGTTCAACTCATTTGAGTAAATACCAAGAAGCATGCCAGGCGCTGTGGCTCATGCCTATAATCCCAGCACTTTGGGAGGCTGAGGCGGGTGGATCACTTCAGGTCAAGAGTTCGAGATCAACCTGACCAACATTGTGAAAACCCATCTTTATTAAAAATACAAAAATTAGCCAGGTGTGGTGGCAGATGCCTGCAGTCCCAACTACTTGGGAGGCTGAGGCACAAGAATTGCTGGAACCCAGGAGGTGGAGATTGCAGTGAGTTGAGATTGTGCCACTGTGCTCCAGCCTGGGCCACAGAGAGAGACTCCATCACACACACATACACACACACGCGCGCACAAGCATGATTGTTGGATTATACAGTTAAGAGTATATTTAGTTTTGGAAGAAACTGCCAGCCAGGCGTGGTGGCTCAAGCCTGTAATCCCAGCACTTTGGGAGGCCGAGGAGGGTGGATCACTTCAGGTCAAGAGTTCGAGATCAGCCTGATCAACATGGTGAAAACCCATCTTTATTAAAAATACAAAAATTAGCCAGGTGTGGTGGCACATGCCTGCAGTCCCAACTACTTGGGAGGCTGAGGCACAGGAATTGCTGGAACCCAGGAGGTGGAGATTGCAGTGAGTTGAGATTGTGCCACTGTGCTCCATCCAGCCTGGGCCACAGAGAGAGACTCCATCACACACACATACACACACACACACACACACGCACAAGCATGATTGTTGGATTATATAGTTAAGAGTATATTTAGTTTTGGAAGAAACTGCCAGCCAGGCGTGATGGCTCACGCCTGTAATCCCAGCACTTTGGGAGGCCGAGGAGGGTGGATCACCTGAGATCAGGAGTTCGAGACCTGCCTGGTCAACATGGTGAAACCCCATCTCCACCAAAAATACAAAAATTAGCTGGGTGTGGTGGCAGGCATCTGTAATCCCAGCTACTCAGGAGGCTGAGATAGGAGGATCACTTGAACCCAAGAGGCAGAGGTTGTGGTAAGCTGAGATCATTCCACTGCACTCCAGCCTGTGTGACAGAGCGAGGCTCCATCTCAAAAAAAAAAAAAAAAAAAAAAAAAAAAAGTCTTGCAGGACCTAATGATTAATTAGACTTTAAATTAGGAATAATTAATTGGACTTTAAATCAATCACTGGCCGAAAGTCAGCCTCTGGCTCCTATTCCTTGCCTAGACAATCACCCAGGGTGCTGGATGGGGCAAAAGGGAAGTTTCTTTCACAAAGAGGACATATATATATATATATATATATATATATGCTTTCACAAAGAGGACCATATATATAAGGTGGGGTAGCCAGGGTTCTTCAGAAAAACAGAACCAATGGGATATATAAAGCCATAGAAGAGGAGATTTATTGTCGAGATTAGCTCACTCTATTATGGGGACTAGAAGTCCCCCAATATGCTGTCTGCAAGCTGGAGACCCAGAAAAGCCAGTGGTGTAATTCAGTCTGCGTCCAAAGGCTGAAAACCAGAGCCGCTGGTGTTGTAACTCTCAGTCCGAGGCTGACGGCCTCAGAGACTGGGGGACCACTGGTGTAAGTCCCACAGTCTTTAGACCCAAGAATTCAGAGTTCTGATGCTCCAGGGTTCTGATCAGAAGAAGGATGCCCCCAATCAAAATGAGAGCAAGTTTGCCCTTCTGCCACTTTTTTGTTCAATGCAGGCCTTCAATAGATTGGATGATGCCTGCCTGCATTGGTGAAAGCAGACCTTCTTTACTCAATCTACTGGTTCAAATGCTAATCTCTTCCAGAAACATCCACACAGACACTCCCAGAAATCATGTGGTGCCAGCTATCTGTACATCCTATGGTTCAGTCAAGTTGACACATAAAATTAACCATCACAAGTGGCTTAAAAGAAATAGAAGTTGATTGGTCTCTTGCTGATGTCCAGAAGCAGCAGTTCCAGTTTGGGGGCAGCTCTGCTCGACCCAGCCATTAAGTCCAGGGTCTTCCATTTGTTTCCCTTTTATGTTCCAGGGCAGTGGTTTTTCCAAGTGTGGTCCCTGGACTGATAGCATGAACATCATCTTGGAACTTGTCAGAAATGGAAGTTCCCAGGCCCCATGCCAGACCTACTGAATTGGAAACACTAGGGGTGGGACCCAGCTATCTGACCAAGCCTTCCAGGTGAGTCTCAGGCATTATCTTCATCTGTATGGTAAGACTGGAATCTCAGGCACACCTCTGTTCTAGCTCAAGGAAAAGGGAAAGAGAGGAAGTCCAGGTCAATCAATTTTCTTTTAAGCCAGTGAGGTGTAAAGGCAAACACCACTTCTGTTACATCCAGTTGATGACCACTTTGTCATAGCCACACCCAGCCACAAAGTCAGCTGCCAGCTGTAGCCTCTAGCAGATGTCCGTTGCACAGGAAGAAGGGAAGAACTGATCTTGAGGGCACAACTGACCATAATCCCACCAAAGGAAACAGGACATCCTAAGATGGCCGCTGAAATCACTACCCTTGCTGATGGAAACTCACATCTCTGAGCCTTTGGCAAGGGCTTTAATAAATTCTCCTTCTAGAAATGACTTCCTGCAGCCTGCTGTTAATTATCCTGGTTGGAGGAGGACAGAGTGAGGAGAACTTAAAGATAAAATACATGTAAAATGCCTTAGGAACTTTAAAGCACTGTCTAAGTCCAAAGGGTACGACACTTCTTGTTCTGGCGGTGGTGGCTATTTTTATTCTAGAATTTTGAGGTTTGAAAGTCCCATCCCTTCCCTCCTACAGGTTCCACACCAATTGGGAAATAGACACACATGTTGAAGAGGGGCCCTACATCAGCTTTATTGCTGATAAAGTTGGATCTGAGGAAGTGATTTGAACTTGAGGTCAAAATTGATTGTTCAGTGACTTCCCCCAGCCATTGAATGGATTTGCTCATTCACTCAGGGCAAAGATGACCTGTCCTAGTCTCAGAGTCCATTTCCTCCTCTCTAAAATGGGAATAACAATGGCATCTATGGCACTACTGACTTACTCAAGATGCATACCATTCTTTCCAGTAGAGGCTGGAAATTTAAGTACTGTATTTCCCAGTCTCCTTAGCTGTTAGGATTCTGGATGCAAATTAGATTAGATTCTAGACAACAAATGCAATTAGGTTTTGGATTCAAAGTAGATGTCTTTCTGCAAGATTTGGAAAGCAGAAGTGCAGTAAAGATGTTTTTCCCATCCCTTTGGGACATTTCTCTGCTGGCAAGCGGGGTCACAGAGGTAAGGTGCTTCTTCAGGACTGTGCTTCAAGACACAAGACATGTTCTCCAGCCTCCTGACTGCGCTGCCGCTGCCGCTGCCGCTACCGCTGCGTGTCCTCGTAAACTCAGTGGTTCCAGCGCCAGCCTCTGAGGTAGCAGCTCTCCTGGAGAACCAGGTCTGCACTGTTCTGGGTGTCGAGCCTGCAGGACCAGCTGAGAACCTGCTCCTTTGGGCTTTGCAGTGTTTGAAAGCACATAGTATCCCATTTTAAATCCCTTCCTGCTGAAACACCCAGAGTAGATTATTTCCTCTACTGAGGTCTGATGCATTCAATTCTTCATTTACTGTGAAGATTAAATGAGATAATGCATGTGGAGCACTAGCATATCTCCTGGCACCCAGTATGTGTTCAATAAGTGGTAGCTGTGGCTTGTGCTTGTCATGGTAATAAATTGTTTACTTGTGACCTAAGTTATTAAGATCATGTCAGGGTTTTCAGGCAAGCCGCAAACGTCTTTGATCCATATTATGACAAAACCATACCTATTCAGTTTTTTCTTAGGATACTTTTGAAACACAACCAACAAACACATAATGAGTGCAGGCCACCATGCTGGCAAAAGTAATGAATGAGCAATCATGTATTTGGACTTCGGATATGCTAGTCCTTGTGCTAAGCAAGTTAAGACAAGCTTTTGAGATGGGTGTCATCATAGCTATTTTACAGAAAGAGATACAAGCTCAGAGAGGCTAAGCAATTTGCCCAAGGCTGCACAGCTAGGTAGTGGCAGAGCCTGGTCTTGGAGGCCAGGTCTTCTTTCTTCTCATTCCACCACAACAGCCTTTTGGAGTTTTTGCATGGGTTGTTCGTTCTGGTTTTTGGTTTGGTTTTTGGATAAAAATCAAGTGTCATTTTTCAGGGCCTATGTGGCAGGCATCCCAGATTTCCATCTTATGAATGGCCCTGAGGAGCCTGTACATTGCAGCCTCATCTTCCTCTCAGATGGTGGAGACAGAAAGCCTTGAGCAGCACTGTGCTCAATCTGGTGACAGATGGTGGTCAAGGCTAGACGTTCTCCTCTGGGAAGTCTGAGGGACTGGTGAGCCCTTGGAGCAGGCCCAATGCTGGCCTTGGGCCTGGCCTGAGGGGAACCACCGCCATAGAGGAGGCACAGTTCCACGGCTTACATAGGATCAAAAAAACTTTTTATTCTTATTTTCTCGAGATGGAGTCTCACTCCGTCACTCAGGCTAGAGTGCAGTGGCGCGATCTCGGCTGACTGCAAGCTCCGCCTCCCGGGTTCACACCATTCTCCTGCCTCAGCCTCCTGAGTAGCTGGGACTACAGGCACCCGCCACCACGCCCGGCTAATTTTTGTATTTTTAGTAGAGACGGGGTTTCACTGTGTTAGCCAGGATGGTCTCGATCTCCTGATATCATGATCTGCCCACCTCAGCCTCCCAAAGTGCTGGGATTACATACGTGAACCACCACGCCTGGCCAGATCAAAGAACTTTCTAACTTCTCCCTAATAAACACAGGCAGGGTTCTGGAGCAGGGGTCCCCAACCCCCAGGCAATGGACTGGTACTGTTAGGAACAGGGCGCAGGGGGTGAGCAGCGGGTGAGCAAGCAAAGCTTTGTCTCCATCTACAGCCACTCCCCATTGCTCACATTACTGCCTGAGCTCTGCCTCCTGTCAGGTCAGAGGTGGCATTACATTCTCATAGGAGCACAAACCCTATTGTGAACTGTGCATGCAAGGGATCTAGGTTGCCTGCTCCTTATGAGAATCTAATGCCTGGTGATCTGTCACTATCTCCCATCACCCCCAGATGGGACTGTCTAGTTGCAGGAAAACAAGCTCAGGGCTCCCACTGATTCTACATTATAAGTTGTATAACTATTTCATCATATATTACAATGTAATATTAATAGAAATAAAGGGCACAATGAATGTAACATGCTTGAATCATCCCAAAACCATCCCCTCTGTGGCCCATGGGAAAATTTTCTTCCACGAAACTGGTCCCTGGTGCCAAAAACGTTGGGAGCCACTGTTTGGGAGGATAAGTCAGAGCCTGGGTCTAGGAAAGGAAACAATTGATCAACTGATTTGGTTTGGGGCCTTTCTGTTGCTTTCACTGAGGGGTATTAGAAGACTAGGGGTTTCCTGGAAAACCTTTGTTTGGGACCAACCAACTTCTTGGTACAAAATGATCTTTCAAGCTAAGTCAGATCAAGGAGGAGCTGTACAGCCATGAGTAAGTAGGATGTTGGAAGGACAGAAAGGAACAGAGTTTCTGGGTAATCTCCCCAGCGTACGCTTCTGCTGTTTACTGGCCATGTGACCTTGGGCAAGTTACTTAACCTCTCTGAGCCTCAATCTCTTCATCAGTAAAATGGAAATAATAACCTCCTTAGCAAGGTAGAAAATTACATCATACATGTAAAGTGTTTAGCTTAGAACACTCTCAAAATGTGCTAGCAATAAAATTGATGGGTTATGGTTTCAGCCAAGGACCCCACTGGACCAGTGGTTCTCATCCTTGACTGCTCATCAAGGCTACCTTAGGAAGCTTCAAAGGCTACCACAGCCAGGTGCCCACATGGACCAAATTAAATCAGTGACTGCAACGTTAGTCACTGCTGATGACTTAATGAGGCAATCATCCATCTGGATTGAGAAAGAAAGGGTGGCTTTGAAGTCAGACCTCAGTTGAAAGCCCGGTTCTAATGCACAACAAAACAGTAAACATGGGCAAGGTCCCACACCATCTGGCCTTGCCTATCTACCCAATCTCAACTAACACTGTCTCTTCTGTGTTCCAGAGCTTTCTGTTCACTCCTGCAATGCATCTACATCCCCTTTCCTTCTTGCCTCGGTGCAGTTGCACCTGCTGTTTCCTCTGCCTAGCATGCTCTTCCCTTTGCCCTCCACCCAGTGTTGCAGGAAGCTCCTCCTCATTCTTCAGATTCCAGCTGAATTGTTCTTCCTCAAAGGAGCCTTCTCTTAACTCCCTCCTTAAAACTACATCAAATCTCCCTGTGTAGAGATTGCTAGTTTCCTCTCAAATATCAGGTCTTCCCTGGTAATACAAGTTTTATCTGGGCACATGGCTTTATGCAAGTAAAAACTACATTTCCCAGCTGCGCTTGCAGCAGGAAGTAGCCATGTGACCAGAATCAGGCAAAGGAAAAAGTAATATGTGCAGTTTCTGGGTCCTGCCTTAGAAGGAAAGGTGTTTGCCCTTTACTTCCTCTTTCCCTTTTCCCACTGGCTAGACTTAGACCTGACGGTGGTAGTCAGCTTGTTGAGGGTGGCAAAACAATAGAATGAATGTGGCTTGCATGAAGCAGAGCCAGTCAGCCAGGCCTGGGCCACTTATGAGACTATTACGTGAAAAAAGAATAGCATTCTTATTTTTATTATTTCGATCAATGTTATGGCAGCTGAAAAGTTATCCTTGGTAATATGTAGCATATTTTTTTTTGCCATGATAGCATCCTATACTTCCTTATACCCAGCTCATCAAAAATTTATTACTTGCTTTCTATGTGTTAGGATATCTTACACTCTTTAAATCACGTAATTGCTTTTTATACATATTTAATTAACGTTCAACTTCTCCATTAAACTGTGAACTCCTTAAGAGTAGAGACTGTATCTGCTTTATTCACCTTTCTAGCTTTAGCACTTATCACATGTCTGAAATCAAGATGCATTTTTATAACCTGCACTGCCAGGCAGCAGCAAGGACTTTGTCGTCACTTCCCATGTGCACAAACTGAGTCACAGTTGTTCACACTTTGTCACTTCATTTGAGTTATGTCCACTGTTGATAATACATGCCAGAAAATATAAGTGACATGAGGAGAAGTTGCTAATACTCTCAGAACAAAGGAAAGAAATTTCAACTTAAAAGAGTCTGGTGTGACCAATTTATGTATTGTGTTGGGTTAACAGTTAGGATGCTAAACTTCAATTTGTCATAAATTTCTTGCTGTCTTGAAACAGACGCTGAGGAACTTCCAGTAAAATTTGATTTTGATTCAATTGAAGAAAAAAATGAAAGAATTCAGTCAAATTCTTATCAAAATTTGTGGCATGTGTCTGCAACATGGCAAAAAACCTAGAAACCACAGTAGAGCACTCTTTAAGACACACTATGGCACAGATGCTCTTCATGATGCAGAGAATGAGACTGTGTGGAAAAACATGGGCATCTGTGACTCTGATGCAGAAGCTGACTCATGGACTTGTGCTCTGGTAGCCAGGAGAAAGTAGCAAGAAGCCAGCACTCCTGCTGCAGCAACTTAAAAAAAAGACAAATAGCAAAAATCGTATTTAAAAACAATTAGAGAGTTGTGGAAACAAGGAGAAGATAAAATTTCCAGAGTGGAAACAGCCCTCCCTAGGTAAGCTGGTTGGCACCGGGCCTCTTCTTCCCTTTGGGTATTTGGTCATCTGGGAATGGCTGTAGGATTGGGATATGGCCTATGCAGAGACTTTGCTTGGGGAAAGAGAAAGCAAGAGAGCTTTCATTGGTTATTTTGGGGCTAGCACGACAAATTAGAAACTAAAGGACACCAAACATGAGGCTGACTTTCTCACATGGAAAGCTTGATATATTTTAGGGTGATGTGACAGACTGGGAAGCTGGGTTAGATAGAAAGGTAGAGTAAAATCCCATTGTGCTTAGAAGATGAAGTCTTGCTAGAGAGAAGAGTTATATCCCAAATATATGGAAAGTCTCCCCCTGAAGATGTTTGCCATATGTTGAGTCTACGTATGGCAAGAGACTAAGGGCTAAGAGATCCTCTAAAAAGAAAATATTTCATAACTGAGAAGAGAGACAGCTGCCAATCTCTCACCCAAAGTACTATTCAAGGGGATAATGCTTGAGGGACCAGAAAAATTGCAAAGATAATAGGACTTAATAAAATTGCAACCTTCCCCAGTTCAATCTATAATTGAGGTCATCAGTACTTCACCTTATCTTCCAGTAAAAGGAAGGAGGGACTTTAACTGATTAAAGATGTCATCTGGCTGGGTGTGGTGGCTCACACCTCTAATCCCAACACTTTGGGAGGCCCAGATGGGCAGATCACCTGAAGTCAGGAGTTCAACACCAGCCTGGCCAACATGGTGAAACCCCATCTCCACTAAAAATTCAAAAAAGTTAGCTGGGCATGGTGGCAGGTGCCAGTAATCCCAACTACTTGGGAGTCTGAGGCATAAGAATCACTTGAACCTAGGAGGTGGAGGTTGCAGGAAGCCGAGATTGTGCCACTGCACTCCAGCCTGGGGGATAGAGCAAGACCCTGTCTCCCAAAAAAAAAAAAAAAAAAAAAAAAAAAAGGCATCTGAAGCTACTATTGTTCTTGTGTACTTAATGTCCAGCACACAATAAAAAATTAATAGACATACAGAGATGCAGATAAATGTGACCCTAATCAAATGGCAGTGGGTGGGCATGGGGGCAAAAAGTAGACCCACAGATGAGCCAGATGTTAGAGTTAACAGACAAGTACTTAAATAGTTGTAAGTGAGATGTAAAATAAAATGGAGGAAAACATTGACAAAGGGATGAATGAACAGTTTTAACAGATAATCTGTCAAAGGGTCTATAAAAGAGAATCACCCAAGGTCAGGAGTTTGACACCAGACTGGCCAATGTGGTGAAACCCTCTCTACTAAAAATACAAAATTAGCAAGGTGTGGTGACGCGTGCTTGTAATCCCGGCTACTCGAGAGGCTGAGGCAGGAGAATCACTTGAACCCGGGAGGCAGAGATTGCAGTCAGCCAAGATTGCACCATTCCACTCCAGCCTGGGCAAAAAGAGGAAAAGTTTGTCTTTAAAAAAAAAAATAAAATAAAAAAAAGAGAGAGGGAGAGAATCAAAAGGATATTTTAGATTTCAAAATTAAAATACATGAAATTTAAAACTTACTGGATTCAAGAGAATAAGGCAAGCCACAGACTAAGAGAAAATATGTGCAAAACACATATGTGATAAAGGACTGTTATCCAAAATATACAAATAACTCTTAAATTTCAACCATAAGAAAAATTCCAACGAATATACACACCTACTATGTATTCATAAAAATTAGAAAAAGAAAAAATAACAACCCAATTTAAAAATGGGCAAAAGGCTGGGCACGGTGGCTCATGCCTGTAATCCCAGCACTTTGGGAGGCCGAGGCGGGCGGATCATGAGGTCAGGAGATTTAGACCATCCTGGCTAACACGGTGAAACCCCGTCTCTACTAAAAATACAGAAAATTAGCCGGGTGCGGTGGCGGGCGCCTGTAGTCCCAGCTACTCAGGAGGCTGAGACAGGAGAATGGTGTGAACCCGGGAGGCGGAGTTTGCAGTGAGCTGAGATAGTGCCACTGCACTCCAGCCTGGGCAATAGAGCAAGACTCCATCTCAAAAAATAAAAAATAAAGGGGCAAAAATCCTGAATAAACGCCTCATGAAAAAACATATACAGCTGGCAAATAAGCATGTAAAAAGTTGTTCAGCATCACATGTCACTGGGGAATTACAAATTAAAATGACAATGAAATATTCTATATCTCTATTAGAACAACCAAAATGCAAAACACTAGCAACACCAAATCCTGAAGGGATGTGGAAAAACAGGAACTCTCATTCATCAGTGGTGTGAAAGCAAAATAATAATACAGCCACTTCATAAGACAGCTTGGCGGTTTCTTTCTCCTTCTTTCCTTTTTTTTTTTTTTTTTTTTTTGAGACGGAGTTTCACTCTTATTGCCCAGGCTGGTTCAAGCGCTTCTCCTGCCTCAGCCTCCGGAGTAGCTGGGATTACAGGCCTGTGCCATCATGCCGGCTAATTTTGTATTTTTAGTAGAGACAGGGTTTCTCCATGTTGTTTCTCAGTTCACCACAACCTCTGCCTCCTGGGTTCAAGCGATTCTCCTGCCTCAGCCTCCTGAGTAGCTAGGATTACAGGTGCCCACCACCACGCCCAGCTAGTTTTTGTATTTTTGGTAGAGATGGGGTTTCACCATGTTGGCCAGGCAAGTCTCGAACTCCTGATCTCAGGTGATCCACCCGCCTCAGCCTCCCAAACTGCTGGGATTACAGGCATGAGCCACCATGGCCAGCCGTGCAAGACCATCTTTTTCTGAAAGAATTGTCCTTTGCCCATAGCCCCTACATAGCAGGCCACATGACTCTTGCCAGAGCAAAGCCAATGGGGCCAGAGGAGGAGCCCCTACCCAAGAGGTGCCCATCTGGGGGCTGAGTATGTGGGCTGAGTCAAACAAACAAGCTTTGGAGGCCTGGCTTTCACCCCTGCTCTCTCTCTAGCAACCTTTTTATATTAAGACTTTATTTCTTCAATTCCCACACTCTCTCCTAAAGTGATTAAACCTGTAGGCCATGAATAGAAAGTTGGCCATACAACTGGATTGTAACACAGCAATTGGATTTTAGGTACCAGTGCTGTGTTCGTGTAGGAGTGTAATTGGCTTCTCATTATTCTTAAAAGAGTTGGTGGGTACTTTGTGACCAAGTAGCCCACCTCCGAATGCCAGAGAGAGAGACAGAGACAGAGAGAGAGAGAGAGAGAGAGAGAGAGAGAGAGAGAGAGAGAGAGAGAGAGCGAGAGCGAGAGCCAGAGTGTGAGAGCATGAGCCAGAGCATGAGAGCAGGTGGTCATCAGTTAAGCAGCCAACAAGCACTTCCAAGGCCTACTGGGAGCCAGGTGATATGAGGGTACTAAAGGTCCCCCACGGTCCCATGGAAGGAAAGGATGTAGATAGATGAATTCCTATACTTAAATATGGGTGCTGGCTGAATTACAAAGTAAGATGCAAACCCTCTGTGCCTTGTGGAGTCAGAAGAAAGATGCCACAAGCTGGCACAGCCCATGCAGGGCTCATAAAAAAAGGAGCTCACAGGATGGCAAAGAGAAGTAGAATAATGGCCAGCTGACTCTTGTATACTTGAGACAAGACTGGAATGTTTCAATAAAAACTGAAACTGGGAAACAGACACACTGAGTTATACACAACTAGATAATCTGGCTAATGTGCTGGAGTTCACTCACCTTCAGCTTGTGTCTCATCACAGTGTCCCTCCCTCCCAGCTCCCTTTCCAGATGCATGACATTGTGATACCCACCATCAAGGAGGCTGGGGACACAGGGCTCTGTTAAGTCATTCTGTACACTATTCTAGATACTCAAAGTATGTTTTTTTAAAAGACTTAAAATGAGGAGTAAAAATACATTTTCAGACTTTCACCATCTAACATTTTTCTCCATTAACACTGACCTCACATGCATTAAATAACACTTAGAATGCCTTACCTAAAAAGTAACAAATAACTTGACTACTTGCTCTTTTTTTTTTTTTTTTTTTTGAGACGGAGTCTTGCTCTGTCACCCAGGCTGGAGTGCAGTGGCACGATCTCAGCTCACTGCAAGCTCCACCTCCCAGGTTCATGCCATTCTCCTGCCTCAGCCTCCTGAGTAGCTGGGACTACAGGCGCCCGCCACCACACACTAATTTTTTTTGCATTTTTAGTAGAGACAGGGTTTCACTGTGTTAGCCAGCATGGTTTCGATCTCCTGACCTCGTGCCTCCCAAAGTTCTGGGATTACAGGCGTGAGGCACCACGCCTGGCCGCTCATTCTTTTATTTAAACTTTTTTTTTTTTTTCCAGAAAAAGTCTCACTCTGTCATTCAGGCTGGAGGGCAGTTGCATGATCTCAGCTCACTGAAACCTCTACCTCCCAGGTTCAAATGATTGTTATGCCTCAGCCTCCCGAGTAGCTGGGATTACAGACATGTGCCACCAATTGTTTGTATTTTTAGTAGCTAATTTCTTTGTATTTATAGTGGAGACAGGGTTTCACCATGTTGGTCAGGCTGGTCTCGAGCTACTGGCCTCAAGCAATCTGCCTGCCTTGGCATCCCAAAGTGCTGGAATTACAGGCATGAGCCACTGCACCTGGTCCTAAGAATTAATTTTTGCCTTGAATCAAGGATCATGGGAGCACACTAAGCTGTTTTTCAAAAGTAATAGCCAGGAAAGACATACCGTATTCATGGATTGAAAGATTCAACATAGTAAAGATGTTGCATCTGCCCACATTGATCTACAGATTTAATGTAATCCCTATCAAAATCTCAGCAAGGTTTTATGTATACATAGATAAGACTATTTTTAAATTTATATTGAAAAGCCTTAAAACTGCTAAAACAATCTTGAAAACAGAATAAGGCAGGAGAAATCACTCTATCTGACATTAAGTCCTACTACACAGCTACAGGAATTAGAAAGTGTGCTATTGGTGAAGGGCTATGTGCTATTGATGCATGGGTCAAAGGAACAGAATAGAAAACCCAGAAATAGACCCACACAAATATGTTCAACAGATTTTTCAGAAAGGTGAGAGACCAATTCAATGGAGTGAAGATAACCTTCTCAACAAATGAAGCTCGAGCAATCGGGCATCCATAGGTAAAAAAGTGAAGCTTGACCTCACACCTTACCAGAAATTAACTCAGAATGGATCACTGACTGAAATGTAAAACACAAAACTATAAAACTTTTGAGAAGATGATAGCAGAAAACCTTGGGCATTCAGGGCTAGGCAAAGAATTTTTACACTTGACTCATCTGGGAGGCTGGATACAGATGGAGGGTGGGAGCAGGATGTGCAAGGAGATTGGTTTGCTCAAGGCTTGGAGATCTTGCCTTCTCTTTCTTCAGGGCGGTATAGGTGCAATGAAGCATTTGCCCCTTTCTATTTCAAATGGAAAATTATACAACTACATGTCGTCTTCACTGTTTTCCATCTCCAGAACTCTAGGCTCTGCAGTGTGAGAATTCTTGGTCCCCAAGGGGGACACGCTCACCTGGAAACCCAGCAAGGGGCACATTGAATACACCTTATGACTGCTCCCTGGGCACTTTGGGATCCTCGTGTCCAGGAACCAGCAGGTAAGAAAATGGGTGGCCATCTTGTCAGGGGCTGATATGTTTTGGCTGTGTTCCTACCCAAATCTCATCTTGAATTGTAATTCCCATAATCCTCATGTGTCATGGGAGGGACCAGATGGAGATAATTGAATCATAAGGTGGTTTCCCCATCCTGTTCTCATGATAGTTTGTTCTTACAAGATCTGATGGTTTTATAGGGGGCTTCCCCTTTCGCTGGGCACTCACTCATTCTCCTTCCTGCCACCTTGTGAAGAAGGATGTGCTTGCTTCCCCTTCCGCCATGATTGTGAGCTTCCTGAGGCCTCCCCAGCCATGCTGAACTGAGAGTCAATTAAACCTCTTTCCTTTATAAATTACCCAGTCTTGGGTAGTATCCTTGCAGCAACATGAGAACGGACTAATACAGGCGCAATTGACCTGGTCAGCAGGAGGAGACAGGGCTGCTTTCACACAATGAGGGCGGAGAATAATAGTGGGGGAGGTCAGGTGACTCACTTGGGTACCTCTTAGTACTTCTTACCCAACTGTCTGTGAGTGGACAAGCACAAGCAGCCACAACCTGAAAAGGATATGGTTACCAAGGGCTCAGAATCCGCACCCCCCTCCCACCGGGATGAGGATTAGGGTCATGCCATCAGGTAAGCCATTGAGACCAGTAGAAGAGGTAGCAGAGGGCAAGGAAAAATTAGAATGGATAGTGAAGGAAGGAGATGATGAGTGTCAGTTGCAGCCTTGAGACTGGTGGCAGTAACGGGCTGTTTGTTTTACGAACCTCCTTCTTCTAAGCTTGCCTGCAGGGGGTCAATGCAACTTTATAATAGCCATCCAAACTTATTGATCTTGTGTTTATCGCTCCTTCAATATGTTTCGAATGCGAGTCATTGCACCAGTCAACATGCCATCCCAGCTCACTGCTGGTGACAAGTTTAATAGTTGGGCAGCCACCTTGCACTAAAGGCTGCCTGTACACCATCTCCTTACCACTTGGGTATTAAGGGACCCAGTCCTCAAACCCCATCTTAGCTTTCTTTTTTTTTGAGACAGAGTCTCACTCTGTTGTTCATCCTGGACTACAGTGGTGTGATGTCAGCTCATTTCAACCTCCGCCTCCCAGGTTCAAGCAATTCTTGTGCCTCAGCCTCCAAGCGTAGCTGGGATTACAGGCATGCACCACCATGCCTGGCTAGTTTTTGTATTTTTAGTAGAGACAGGGTTTCACCATGTTGGCCAGGCTGGTCTCAAACTCCTGGCCGCAAGCAATCCGCTCTCCTCAGCCTCCCAAAATGCTGGGATTAGAGGTGCAAGCCACTGTGCCCGACCCCCATCTTAGCTTTTTGAGCAGGCTTTCTCAGACCACTTCTGGTGCCAACTACTGTTGAATCCTCTGGGAAGCAGACACCAAGATAGAGTCACAATTGCAAAAGCTTTTTTGGGAAGACTTGTAAAATGAAAATGAAGGAAGCAGATGGAACAGGGAAAGCCTCTGGATCATAACACAGACTGACAAGTTCTCTCTGTAGACCAAAGGGCCACTCTGGAACAGGCTCAAGTTGGAGGAGTCCTGTATTGGGCAGAAATGAATAGGCCCTTGGGTCCCCACCTTGCTTAGTCAGTGGGCACAGGCTTCTCCAAGAAGAGGGCTTGAAACCGGTGGCAAACCCTCAGAGAACAAAAGGGGCTGTCATGAACCATGCTCATCAAAGCTGCACAGCGAGTCCTTTCTAGAAGAGGGATCTGAACCTGCATGCATCTCCACAGCTGCCATCTGAGGCACTTTTTATCCCCACTGGTTGTCAAATGATCCTTTATTGAAATATTTTCCTTTGTGCTTAACAAGCTGAGCATTCCACTGCACCACTGTTGATGTCATGAGGGTGGTGACCATCAACATTGCAGCCCACAGATGGTGCAGTCCCCGGGATCTTTTTAATTGTTCCAGAGAGTTCCCTAACTAAAGATTGGAGCTGCATCTGTCAGGCAATGTTGACATTCTCATCAAATGATATTTTCATTGGGTTTAATGTTTTTCTGTTTCTTTCTGTCTCCTGGAGGTTCCTTGAGGGCTTTGATGATCAGGGCAGAGGCAGAAGGTACTACCTCAATCTATGCCTGCCTGTTCTGAATGGTTTCACTGTAATCCTCAGATCCTTCAAATCACCGGTTGCCCTAACGATGTCATTACCAATGTGTTTTGGAGACAGACACAGGGGTTTGATCTTAGGGGCCAGCACAGATGTGGCACCAACATCATTCCCGGTGCATCTCAGACTTTAATCTCGTTGGGGTCAAACTTAGGCTGTATGGTGGAGGTAGGTGGTGTTGGATGAACCTGGATTCAGGACCACCAAAGAAAGTTGCACATTGGTCTACTCTGAGCTGAAAATTGAAAGGTGGGGCACCTTTTCTCATGGCAGACACAGGCATAGCTAAGCAAGTCCAAATGCACAAGCACAGGCCTAGCCCCTGCTTGCATCACATCTGCTAATGCCCAGCTGTCTGGAGCAAGTGAGATGACCTACCCTAAAGCCAAGTTCAAGGAAGTACACTCTGCCCACCGTGAGGCCCCAGCAAGGGGGGGTATGCAGCAGGGGAGTGAAGAATTGGGACCAATAATTAGATCCACACAGGATAAAGGTCCTTTGGAAACCATTGAGCTCTGGCCGCATTAGTTACTATGGTTACTGTTACTATTATAGGTTACTACTATTATCACCTGTCCAGAAGACCAGGTACCCTAAGCCAAGTTGTGTCACAGACAGCTCTCAGGAAAGAATCACTTGACTAAACGCCAAAGATCAGGTTTGGGATCTGCAATTCAAAACTGCAGTTTGGGCATAGAAAAGATTAAACGTAGCACAAAACAACAACCACACTATCCTCCCAAAGCCCCTTCCAGGCAGCTCCAGGGCCGGCCCAGCGGATCAATAGCAATCTGGGGTGCTAGGGAGGGCGCCATCTGAGTAGTTCGGAAGAACTGAACATGATGAGTTGCCGGCTGCTTCCTGAGTCCTTGGGGAAGCACACGCACCATCCACTTAGCACTGGAGCCTGGCTGTTCTCCGGGCACTCCTACCCCATCTTCCTGGCGGGGCTTAGATGCTCCTGCCTCTTCCACCAGCTCCTCTTGCCCTGCATGCTTCAGGGACGATGGAGGTCTCGGGGCACCCCCAGGCCAGGAGATGCTGCCCAGAGGCCCTGGGAAAGCTCTTCCCTGGCCTCTGCTTCCTCTGCTTTCTGGTGACCTACGCCCTGGTGGGTGCTGTGGTCTTCTCTGCCATTGAGGACGGCCAGGTCCTGGTGGCAGCAGATGATGGAGAGTTTGAGAAGTTCTTGGAGGAGCTCTGCAGAATCTTGAACTGCAGTGAAACAGGTAGGTGCCTCACCTGGACAGGGTGGGCCTTTTCTCCGTGGTGGCAGCAGTCCCCCAAGAGCAGAGGGCTGCCTTCTAGGAGGCTGGGTCTGGGAGCTGCCTGCCTGGATCCTCCTCATGCCTGGGCACTTTAAGCGAGTAACTTCTTTCTGAACCTCTGTTTTCTCCTCTGAAAAGTGGGGAGACTAACTGCCTCTCAGGGTTGCTGTGAAGAATGCAGGAAAGGCCCTGAGCACCCTGAGGTGCTCAGGAAAGACCAGCTCCCCTTCCTGTGCCTCAGCACCCAGCCCCATCCAGACCAGTGGCCTCAGGGGACGATGGATTACTGGGAATTTGGTGGGGTGGGGTGCATGGGTGAGCAAATCTGGGGCTGGGGTTGGGGGGCTAGCTTGCTTTTCAGAACTATGTCTGCCTGACCCAGGATTCAGTTTGCAGGGATGAGAATTTAGGGAACAACCCAAATTGGATTTAAATTCCAGCAGGAGCACCTGCCACCCACGCCCCCACTTCCTGTTTCAAACTCCTTTTCTGCTGTCTGGCTCAGCGGAGTGGGGAGGTGTTGTGAGAAGACCTGGGGGGAGGGGTGGGGGTCCTGGCTGTTGTCCTGGCTGCTCTCCCAGCTTGCTCTGCAATCCGTGGAGGCAAAGCTTTGTTCTCTCTGGGTCTCAGTCTGCGGGAGAGAAGGGGACCCCCAATCTCAGACTTGGTGGTCACAGGGACCCTGTGAGAAGCAGAGGAGACAAGGAACATTCTGGCTCTTGGAAGACAGAAGTCACTTTATAGTGTCCTCATTGCATTTTCTTCATATTTAGTCACTTGTTTCTACTCTGCTGTGTTCCTCGAAGGAAGCTTGTTATTGTATTCAACAGAGCAAGATAAAACAAGGGAGAGTAGATAAATGAAAAACAAAGGAAAACCAGACACTAAAAGTCAGGAGAAGAATGGGGTGCAGGGAGCCCCTCCCCTCCCACTCTGGTGTGGGGGCTCCTTCCACAGCCCAGACCTTGATTTGGGAACAGGTGCAGCTCCCAGAGACAAGAGGCCAGTCCAGGGAGGCAGAGTCTCCTGTCTGTGGAGGGTCCCACTCCCTGCATCCTTGCCAGACAGACGCCAGCCTGCTCAGTGGACCTGGGAGATTGCTGCCAAAGGGACACTGCACCATCGCAGGGCCTAGACTACCAGCAAGTTCAAGGCTCTCTAAGCCAGCAACACATCAGAATCAACCAGGGAGACTGCCTAGAGTACACATCCCCAGGCTCTTCTCCAAACCCACTTAATCAGGATCTCCAGGGCTGGGCTGGGAATCTTAAAGTTTCAAGGATAAGGCCAAGCATGGTGGCTCATGCCCATAATCCTAGCATTTTGGGAGGCCAAGGTGGGAGAATCATTTGAGGCCAGGAGTTTGAGACTAGGCCTGGGCAACAAGGTGAGACCCTGTCTCTATAAAAAATTAAAAAATTTAGTCAGATGAGGTGGCGTGCACTTGTAGTCCCAGCTACTTGGGAGGCTGAGGCAGGAGGATTGCTTGAGCCTACGAGTTTGAGGCTACAGTGAGCCGTGATTGTGCCATTGCACTCCAGCCTGGATGACAGAGCCAGAGATGTCTCAAAAATAAATAAGTAAAAATAAAGTTTATCAGGTGATTCCAATGCACAGCAGGGTATGGGAACACAGAGCTGGTCCCACTCCATTTTGTACCGATTTTCACTGGAGATTAAAATGTTCCATAAGGGTTAGTTGCATGTAGACCCTGTGGCAAACACTTCACACATTATCTCACCTAATCCTCACAAGAAGCCTCACAAGAAAACAACAAAAAGTTGTCCTTCTTTTACAGATTAGGAAATTGAGGCCTTGGGAGGTTAAGCAATTTGTCCAAGTTCACAAACTAGAAAAATGGAACCAGGGACTTAAACCCATGTATCTGGATTCCAGAGCCTGAACCTTTCACCACCATCTCAGGCTGTCTCTCTGATGGGGAAACTGAGGCTCAGAAAGCAGCCTCTTGTCCACAGTTACAGAACTTATCAGGGTTAGAGCTGGGTCTAGAATCGATGTGTGTAGACTCCCAGGCTGGTGCCAATTAAAAGGAGTAGAGACTTCCTGCTGCATGCCAGGTTCAGTGCCATTCTCTTAAAGCCGAACAAGTCTAGCAGGTGGCCTCTGGGTCCCAAAGCCCACTGGCGGCTCAGGCCAATCGAGCCATTCAGGAACCTCTCTGGGAAACCAGGGTTCCCAACCCTGCTCTGTTAGCCTTGGAACCAATGTGTAGGAAGTCAAGTTTTCCCAGCTCTGTAGGAGACACTCACAGGTAGCTGGTGCCCAAAGATCACAGTATGATGGTATGATGATCAAACTCCATCAAGTTTTTATTTTTATTTTTCTAGATGGAGACTCACTCTGTCACTCAGGCTGGGATGCAGTGGCACGATCTTGGCTCACTGCAACCTCCACTCCCCAGGTTCAAGCAATTCTCCTGCCTCAGCCTCCTGAGTAGCTGGGACCACAGGTGTGTGCCACCACACCCGGCTAATTTTTGTATTTTTAGTAGAGACAGGGTTTCACCATGTTGGCCAGGCTGGTCTTGAACTCCTGACCTCAAATGATCCGCCCACCTTAGCCCTCCAAAGTGTTGCAATTATAGGCGTGAGCCATCGTGCCCGGCAAACTCCATCAAGCGTAATGACCTCCAGGAGTGGGTATGATTTGCATCTGTGTAACAGCTTGCTTTTCCTAAAAGCCTTTTGCTTTTAGTACTTGAGAACCCTGTGTGAGAGGCAGAGCAGAAGTTATCTTCCTTTGAAAGATGATAGAGGCGGGGCGCGGTGGCTCACGCCTATAATCCCAGCCCTTTGGGAGGCTGAGGCAGGTGGATCACAAGGTCAAGAAATTGAGACCATCCTGGCCAATGAGGTGAAACCCCGTCTCAACTAAATATACAAAAATTAGCTGGGCATGGGTGTGGTAGTACGCCCCTGTAGTCTCAGCTACGCAGGAGGCTGAAGCAAGAGGATTGCTTGAACCAGGGAGGTGGAGGTTGCAGCGAGCCGAGATCACACCACTGCACTCCAGCCTGGCAACAGAGCAAGACTCTTGTCTCAAGAAAAAAAAAAAACAGATGAAAGAAATGGCGGTTCAGAAAATTAAAAGGCAAAGACTACACAGCAATGCCAGGGCTAAGCTCTGGTGGGACCCCCATGGGCCTCTCTGTTAGGTGCTCTTCTCACAGGGCTAAGTGGCCTCCTTATCTCCATAGGGACTGAAGGCAGGACCCAGGCTGCAGAAATATTTTAAAGGAGGACTCCGACCACCGAGCTTTGGTGTTGATACTGACCACAAGGCAAAGGGGCTGCTGGTCCTTGGGGAAGACTATCCCTTTCACTGGGGCGGGGCTTGTCTTTACCAGCAGAACCTTTTCCTCAAACTCTTGGTCATGTCTTTCTCCAGTGGTGGAAGACAGAAAACAGGATCTCCAGGGGCATCTGCAGAAGGTGAAGCCTCAGTGGTTTAACAGGACCACACACTGGTCCTTCCTGAGCTCGCTCTTTTTCTGCTGCACGGTGTTCAGCACCGTGGGTAAGTGCAAAGCCACAGTCCCCCTCACGGTGGCCCTGTGAAGGGTGGGTTTCTGGGTGGCAAAGGACACTGGAATTGGGGTGTGGAGATGGCCCTCCTCTCCCTCTCTTCTTCCCTCCCTTCCTCAAATCTATATTGCACACCTACAAATAGCAGCAGCTGCGCTGGCCGACACCTTTGCACTGAAGATGCACCAGGCCCTGTTCTAAGACCTTTATGCTGATTAGCTCATCTAATCCTCACCAAGAGGTGGGTGCTGTTATTGTTCCCACTCCAGCAGGTCCGTCAGTTTCAAAAAGTCGCACAGTTCATGTGCGTTTGAACCCAGCCACTTGGGTCTAGACCCAGCACCCTGCTGCCTCTATGTATAACTTTCTATGCACCTGGCACATAGAAACTGGGAGGGAGATGCTTCCTCGTGCTTATGAGCAAAACGTTGGTTTACTGGCCCCTTTAAGGACATGACCATTGTGGCTGGAGGGCAGAGAATGATCAGGAGAGTGGTAGGGGATGCTGCAGGAGAGTTAGGCCTCCTGGGCTGGGGGCGTGATGCCACTGGGTCAGCAGTAACTAAGGTCCCTCTGGTGATTAAGGGCTCACTCTGAGCTGGCTGGCCCATCCCCAGCTTCCCTTCTGGTGGGGCAGCAGTGGGGCCAGGTTGGAGGGGCCAAACCAGGCCAGGCAGGAGACACAGGAGGCGATGGAGCTGCCTTCAGCCACAGGGCCAGAGCTCTTGGGTCAGAGCCCTCACCAGGAGCGTGGCCCATCACTCAGCCCCTGCCCCTCTTGGCTGGCAAAAGGGACTGTGGGCCCTCTCCTCCTTCGAGAGAGCAAGTGCCCATCCCTAGGAGGACCTGGCCCACAGGGGTTGCAGAGAGAGGCTGGGGCCCCTCATGCTGAAGGTCAGGATGGAGCACAGTGGCCAGCCTGGGTTGGAGCTGTGGAATCTCCAGCAAGGGACGTGGCCCCTCTGAGCCTTGTACTGGGACCCAAAAGCACTTCTAGACCTGCCTCTCAGGGTCAGCTGATGACTATGTATGTAAGTGGCAGCCAGGATGCCTTCAGCAGTGACTAACAGAAAACCCAACTCGCCTGGCTTAAACCGCAAGGAGAATGTCACCTTCCAAGTAAGAAGTCCAGTGTGAGGACAGCTCTAGGCTGATATGCAGGTCATGCCCAGTGCCCATTCGCAGTCATGGCATTGGGCATCAGGTTTTCTCCATCCTTCTGCCCACTGGGCCACAAGAGGCCACCAAGGTCCACAGTCCATTCAAGCATAACTGTGTCTTATACAGAAAGGGCTGCTGTCTCTCTGCATGGTTCATCAGCCATGACGATGTCTTCCCAGGAGCCACCCACTGGGCCTCCCAGCCGCCTCTAAGCTGGTCCCAGGCAAGGGGATTGGAGCACCAGGATGACTAAGACCAATCGGATCTACTCCTAAATCAGCTGGGGGAGCAGTGGGTCTGCAGGGAAGAAAGGAGGGAATGGCTGCTGGGTGGGCAACCGGTGTCTGCTGCACCCAGCTTCAGAAATAGCCACACAGCCCCAGGAGGGCTCTCACAGCCCCCACGTGGTTTCTCCCATTTGCCTGAATGCTTTTTTTTTTTTTTTTTTTTTTGAGATGGAGTCTTGCTGGAGTGCAGTGGCACAATCTTGGCTCACTGCAACCTCTGCTTCCCTGGTTCAAGTGATTCTTGTGTCTCAGTCCCCAAGTAGCTGGGATTACAGGCATGTACCACCACGCTTGGCTAATTTTAGTATTTTTACTAGAGACGGGGGTTTCACCATGTTAGCCAGGCTGGTCTTGAACTCCTGACCTCAGGTGATCTGCCCATCTCGGCCTCCCAAAATGCTGGGATTAGAGGCGTGAGACACCGCGCCTGGCCTTGTTCACCTGAATGCTGATGCAGGCAGGGATGGGTGAGGGACAGAAAGAATAAGGACAGCAGCTACACCACTCAGCACGTGCTGGATGTGGGGTCCAGGTGCTTTCGGAGCCTTTTCTTGTGCAATTCTCACCACAACCCTGCAAGGTAAGTGCTGTGACTATCCCATTCCACAGGCTCTAAGAGGGAATCACTGTGAGGGAGTCACAGGCAGGGCTGAGGTCAAACCTCAAAGCTGGACTTTCCAGGGGAACCCACAGCTCAGGGGATGCTTTGAGGAAACAATAGGCCCAGGAGAGCAGTAACTCCAAGAAAGACACGGAACTGTGCAAAGGGGCTAGAAGTTATGAAGTTTGTCTTTTTGTTTTCCTCAAGCTTTTTGAGACAGAGTCTTGCTCTGTCGCCCAGACTGGAGTGCAATGGTGCCATCTCAGCTCACTGCAACCTCCGCCTCCCAGGTTCAAGCAATTTTCCTGTCTCGGTCTCCCGAGTAGCTGAGATTACAGGCACATGCCATGCATGGCTAATTTTTGTAGTTTTAGTAGAGATGGGGTTTCATCATATTGGTCAGTGTGGTCTTGAACTCCTGACCTCAGGTGATCCATCCGTCTCGGCCTTCCAAAGTGCTGGGATTATAGGCGTGAGCCACTGCACCCGGCCATGCCTGGCTAATTTTTGTATTTTTGTAGAAATGGGGTTTCACCATGTTGGCCAGGCTGGTCTTGAACTACTGACTTCAGGTGATCTACCTGCCTCGGCCTCCCAAAGTTCTGGGATTATACGCTGATCCACCATGCCTAGCCTCCTCAAGAATTTAGGTTGGTCCAGGTGCCCTGGCTTATGCCTGTAATCCCAGCACTTTGGGAGGATCAGGTGAGAGTTGGAGACCAGTCTGGGAAATACAATGAGACCTCATCTCTACAAAAAATAAAAAAATCAGCTGGGCGTGGTGACGTGCACCTGTAGTCCCTGCTACTCAGGAGGCTGAGGTGGGAGCATCACTTGAGCCCTGGAGGTTGAGACTGCAGTGAGCCATGATCGCGCCACTGCACTCCAGCCTGGGTGACAAGAGTTGGCCTGGATGGCAGAGTCTCAAAAAAAAAAAAAAAAGAAAAAAGAAAAAAACCTCAGATGCATCTGAGGCAGGATTTCTCAACCTCAGCACTATCAGCTTCTTGCATGGGATAATTCTCTGCAGAGGAGGCTCCTGTGCAATGTAGGATGTTGAGCAGCATCTCTGGCCTCCACCCACCAGATGCAATAGCACTTTCCCCACTGTCCCTACCCATTATGACAGCCACAATAGTCTCCAGGCATTGCCAAATTTCCTCTGGGGGGCAAAATTGCCCGCTATTGAGAAATGATCTATTGCAATGGTTGTCAAAATGTGGTCCCTGAGTAACATCGACATCACTGGGGAACTTGATAGAAATGCAAATTAATTCTCAGGAGCCATTCTAGACCTACTGAGCCAGAAACCATGGCTGTGGGACCCAGCAATCTGTAGTTTAGAAAGTTCTCCATGTGATTCTGATGTGTGCTAATGTTTGAGAAGCGTGCCCTGGCTGCATGTCAGAGTCACCTGCAGAGCTTTTGCAAGCTCCCATGTGTGGACCCTGCCCTAGAACAAACAGAATCCCTAGGGACCAGGCCCAGACATCAGTATTTTCCAGGGCCCTCCAGGTGATTCTAGTGGGAGTCCAGGCTGTGAGTCACTGATCTAATGGAAATGCATTAGCTTGGCTTAAATTCCAAGAAGGCAATGCTACTGCCCATTGTACGAGTCAATTAGGACATCATGCCGCCCAGTAATTACAAACAACTGGAAGAGGATGTTGGGGAATGTTCCGCACTGTCCATAATCAATAACGGTGTTTGAAAGTCTCTCTGGTAATACTGCTTCCTGCCCTGCATCTCTGGGTCATCTGAAATGCACCTGGCCTTAATGCTAAGCACAGGATACCTGACAGCTGTGAGGCCGGTCAATCCCGTCATTCCCAACTGGGTCATCCCTCTTGGATTAGAAAGGAAAGTGCATGAGCTGTTAAGTACTCACAGGCCAAGTGCAGTGAACTGATTGTATCAAAATATATGAATGCATTCTAAGAAATAATGAGTTCCATTATGCATTTTGGCATTCAGTAATTAGAATAGTTAATACATTCCCTTTGTGGGGGTTGTGTGCTCTCTGAGACCTGCTTCCTTTAAACTTTTTCAGGAATGTGACATATTGCATATTTTGGATTGCAAAAGTATCTCACCCAGAGGCAGCCAAAAAGGCTTTGTTTATAATCCTGTAAACCCACCTTTGCCAAAGACAGCAGTAGATTCTGGTGGATTCACAGTGCCTGCTCTGTGCTCAAATCCCAGCTCCTTTCAGGCACTCCAATCCAAACCATCCTCCTGTCCTGCTGAGATTTCTGCCAGTCCCTACAGGTCTCTCCTCTCAGCTCCCACCTCAGCCAAAGCCCCCTTTATCTCTCACCTGGGCAGGAAGCATAGCATCCCCACTCATTGTCCTGCGTCTATCTGAAGCCCTACAATTTACTGTCTGTGATGCAGTCAGGATGATTTTTTCAAGATGCAAACCAAGTCAGAAGTGGTGGCTCACTCCTGTAAGCCCAGCACTTTGGGGGGCTGAGGTGGGCAGATCACTTGAGGTCAGGGGTTCGAGGCCAGCCTGGCCAACATGGTGAAACCTTGTCTCTACTAAAAATACAAAAATTAACCAGGCATGGTGGTGGGTGCCTGTAGTCCCAGCTACTCAGGAGGCTGAGGCAAGAGAATCTCTTGAACCCAGGAGGTGGAGGTTGCAGTAAGCCAAGGTCGTGCACGCCTCTTCACTCCAGCCTGGGCAACAGAGCAAGATCTCATCTTAAAAAAAAAAGATACAAACCTGATTTTATTAGTTTCTTGTGGCTGCTGTAATAAATTCCCACAAACTCAGTGGCTTGAAGCAATAGAAATTTATTCTGTCACAATCTGGAGGCCAGAAATTCGAAATCAGTTTTACTGATTTCAAAAATGAAGGTGTTGGCAGAGCCATACTCCCTCTAAGGCTCTAGGAGAGGACCCTTCCTTGCCTCTTCCTTGGCAGCTTCTGGTGGCTGCCAGCATCCCCTGGCTCGTGGCCACATCACTCTTGTCTCTGCCTCTGAGGTCATATTACCTCCTCTTCTCTGTGTAAAATATCTTGCTCAGCCTCTCCCTTATCAGGACACTTGTAATGGTACCTAGGGCCACACACACAATCCAGGATAACTTCCTCATCTTGAGATCCTTAATCACATCGACAAAGACCCACTTACCAAATAAGGTAGCATTGACAGATTCTAGGAGTTAGGACTTGGCTATATTTGGGGGCTGTCATTTTTCAGCCTTCCACACTGATCAAGGCACTCCCCCATCTGCCATGGAAGCCCTTAGATGCTGCCCACCTCCCGGCCTCCCCTTGCTCCCCTCCCCTACCTCCCTGCACACTAGACACACTGGCCTTCTCTTGGTTCCTTAAAGCTGGGTGACAGCTACACTCAGGGTGACACCTTGGTGAAAAGTTAGAAAACCATATCCCTCACTAGGCAGACACAGCCCAGTGCCCCGAGCCCTGAGCTCCAAGCTTGGTAAGTGCACGGAGGCTAGGTTTCAGCTCCCAGTCACCCCCTTGGTATATGTGCAGTACACAAGTTGCCCCACTGTCACTGTATGGATAACCCTTTGTTGAACCCGCCATAGGGTCTTTGCACAGGCTGCTTCCTCTCTCTTCACCTGGCTAGTTTGTGACCCCTTCCCAACATCAGCTCAAAAATCCCCTCACAGGAAAAATCTTTCCTGGGCCCAAATCCAGGATGGGTGCCTTTGTTTGTTTTTGTTGAGACAGAGTCTCGCTCCGTTGCCCAGGCTGGAGTACAGTAGCACGATCTCAGCTCACTGCAACCTCCGCCCCCTGGGTTCAAGTGATTCTCATGCCTCAGCCTCCCAAGTAGCTGGGATTACAGGTATGCGCCATCACACCTGGCCAATTTTTGTATTTTTAGTAGAGACAGGGTTTTGCCACGTTGGCCAGGCTGGTCTTGAACTCCTGACCTCATATGATCTGTCCGCCTTGGCCCCTCAAATTGCTGGGATTACAGGTGTGAGCCATTGCGCATGGCTTAGGATAGGTGCCTTTGTTCTAATCATTCATGGAATGGTCTGCTCTTTCACTTCCTGTTATTGATCTCCATTTGTAATTACATACTCATTAGTGTGGTTTTTAAAATTAATGTCTGCCTCTTTTACCAAACCAGAGGCTCAGAGAGATCGTATCCCATATCTACTTTGCTCAGCACTATGCCCACAGTGCATGCAGTAAGCACTCAATACTGAATGTATGCATGCATGAATGGATGAATGAATGCACATAGTTAACTGACGCTGCCATCAAATGGTACTTAGTGGAACCAGCCAGAGTGGCATGGAGTGCTCTGGAATGGATGCAAACTGATGAGACTCTTTGAGAGCCACAGCTCCCTCCCCTACACTTGGGACCCTGGTGAGGGTAGGCAACCTGAATGCCCACCTGCTCTTGGAGGGCAGAGCCTGAGGCCAAAGTTTGCCACAGGGAGCTGCACTTCTGGAGGAAGTTGGGGCTTAGCCAGCTGAGGAGTTGCCTTCAGATTAATTTACATAATTGGGCTGGGTTTTTCTGTATTAATCATCCTTTATGACATCAAAAATTAAACACAGGCATTAAATACAAAAGCTTTGTCCTCTGCTCGAATTGATGCTTGCCCGCTCCAGAAGATCTAGCCACCTGCGCTGTGGGGTTTGAGGTCTGT
Source organism: Homo sapiens (assembly GCF_000001405.40). Classification (NCBI taxonomy): domain Eukaryota; kingdom Metazoa; phylum Chordata; class Mammalia; order Primates; family Hominidae; genus Homo; species Homo sapiens. The sequence goes on from NC_000010.11 coordinate 117,207,994, forward strand.
CTGCTCCTGCCCCTCTGTAGGTGCAAGGGGAGGGGAGGGGCTCCCGACGGGGATGGAGACCTCAGCGCATCCCTTCCTTTGCTTGGCTGCCTGGTTGTCTCTGATTGAATGGTCCTGCCCCCGGATGCTCCTGAGGGTGACAGCACTGGTTGGGGACCTGAGAGTCCTGTGGATTTGACCCCAACTCCACTGTGTATCACATGTATGCTCACGGCCAAGCTACTTCGTTTCTCTGTGCTTCAGTTTCCCCACCTGTGGATGGTGATAACAATACCTCCCTATGAAGGCTGACTGACACCCAGCCCACAGGAAGTGCTCACTAGGCAGCTAAGGTCTTGAGGGTGAGGACACCACCAGTTATTAATCGCGCACTGTGTGTCAAGCACGGGCCTCATGTAATCCTCCCAGCTAGTCAATACGCAAAGTAGGTATTGTCATCCCCATCTTACAGATAAAAAAAACCTGAAAATATGAGCAGTCAAGTAATATTATCATAAATAGCAGAGCTGGGATTCAAAGCAAGGTCAGTCAGAACCTAGATGCTGGGAGGCTAATGGCTTCACTGTCATTTAGGAACATGTTTGTCTAATCTGCTAAGCCACAAATGGCTCTGAGGGCAATTGTATTTTATTCATCTTCCATCTTTCTGTTTTTCCTAACACTGTGCACACTGCTGAGCACACCATGGGAACACAATAAGTGCCTCTTAGAAACAAAGAGCTCAGTCCTCTTATGGAGGACAAGGGTAGCTTTTTTTTTTTTTTGAGATGGAGTCTCACTCTTGTCCCCTAGGCTGGAGTGCAATGGCACAATCTTGGCTCACTGCAACCTCCACCTCCCGGCTTCAAGTGATTCTCCTGCCTCAACCGCCTGAGAAGCTGGGACTACAGGCGCCCTACACCATGCCCAGCTAATTTTTCTATTTTTAGTTGAGATAGGGTTTCACTATATTGGCCAGGCTGGTCTTGAACTCCTGACCTCAGGTGACCCGCCCATCTTGGCCTCCCAAAGTGCTGGAATTACAGGCATGAACCACCACGCCCAGCCAAGGGTGGCTTCTTAAAAGCCAGCACCTTCACAGAGGATAAAGGTGGCATTGGATATGATTACAAAGCCACCCATCCTCTCTCACTTGTACTCATCCTGTCCTTCCAGGTCAGCTGAGCCCTTCCTTTGGGGGGTGCTCAGAAATGGCCAGAACAGAATCAAAGGCAATCTGTTCACCCCAAACCTGTGCTGGTCCCCTGCCAAGGACATTTCAAATCAAAGACCTGGATATCAGTTGCTCCTTATCCTAAAGGGAAGCTGTTTCACTCCTTTCCCTCCCACCAAAGCAAGCCTAATGCCAGACCAGTGGCTGAATGCTTTGAGATGAGTATTTTCAAAAACAATGTGTAAAATGTCATGCCAAGGAGGGGAGATGGCAGAAGGTCTCTTTAAAGCTTTTGGGGGGAAAAAGGGAAGGGGCCAGATGCAAACTCTAAGCTCCATCTTCTTTTTCAGGCTATGGCTACATCTACCCCGTCACCAGGCTTGGCAAGTACTTGTGCATGCTCTATGCTCTCTTTGGTATCCCCCTGATGTTCCTCGTTCTCACGGACACAGGCGACATCCTGGCAACCATCTTATCTACATCTTATAATCGGTTCCGAAAATTCCCTTTCTTTACCCGCCCCCTCCTCTCCAAGTGGTGCCCCAAATCTCTCTTCAAGAAAAAACCGGACCCCAAGCCCGCAGATGAAGCTGTCCCTCAGATCATCATCAGTGCTGAAGAGCTTCCAGGCCCCAAACTTGGCACATGTCCTTCACGCCCAAGCTGCAGCATGGAGCTGTTTGAGAGATCTCATGCGCTAGAGAAACAGAACACACTGCAACTGCCCCCACAAGCCATGGAGAGGAGTAACTCGTGTCCCGAACTGGTGTTGGGAAGACTCTCATACTCCATCATCAGCAACCTGGATGAAGTTGGACAGCAGGTGGAGAGGTTGGACATCCCCCTCCCCATCATTGCCCTTATTGTTTTTGCCTACATTTCCTGTGCAGCTGCCATCCTCCCCTTCTGGGAGACACAGTTGGATTTCGAGAATGCCTTCTATTTCTGCTTTGTCACACTCACCACCATTGGGTTTGGGGATACTGTTTTAGAACACCCTAACTTCTTCCTGTTCTTCTCCATTTATATCATCGTTGGAATGGAGATTGTGTTCATTGCTTTCAAGTTGGTGCAAAACAGGCTGATTGACATATACAAAAATGTTATGCTATTCTTTGCAAAAGGGAAGTTTTACCACCTTGTTAAAAAGTGAAGGTTTCATTATCTCTCAGGTGACAGACACTGGCTGAGCTGGTTTTCTTGTGTTGTCTTTCAGGGTCATGCAGCCTGTCACCTGAGACCTTCAGTCTTGGAGACAAATCCCTTATGAGAGCCAAGTTCAGTCTTGAGGCCCTGCAGAAATTTGGCCAATGCCCTTTGTATCAGGGCATTAGGAAAAAAAAACTATCACCATTCCCCAAAGTCCAATTAATTTATCTGTCTTCCTTTTTTAAAGCATCACCTCATGTAGATGAAGCAACCTTATGGATGTCCCTGCTTTTCTTGAAATATGAGAAACAAAACACCTTTATTCTTGGAAGTTGTACTTTTAGTTAAATTAAAATCTTCCTGAGCTGTTCTTTGTTACCTGAAAAAGAACTAGTGCGAACAACCTCTTTTCTTGAATGACTGCATGAACGCATGTAAGACCAGCCCAATCCCAGCCCCTGTAAAATACATAGATGCCGGGTGTCACCAAAATGACAAAGTAGAAGCAATCTGGCTTCACTGTCCTCCATAGAAAACTAAAAACAATGATCTAGTGCCAAGATGATAATTACCACTATCCCAGAACTCAAAATGAGGCTGTGACAAACCCTGGGGCCATAGAAAAGTGAAAAACTGTGAACAGAAGGTAGTAAAATGGACTCCTCTGTGACATCCCTTCCCCAAACTGTAAGTCACCACGCAGAAAAGTTCCCTGGACATTTCTACACTGGGAAAAATAAGATCAAGGCAGCCAGCCAGCTTCCTCATCATCTTGACTACCTACTCAGGAAAGTTTTCCTGCCTCAACCCACAGGAAGAATCACGAATACCTATAGGGTGAGGGACCCCTGAAAGCCTCTGGAGTCACATAGACAGTGGAGGTGGGGCTAGCAGCCCAGTGCGTGAAACTCTGGGGCTACTCTTCATCTCAGACAAACAAGACACTGAATCAGAGAGGTGGTTCAGCAGCATCACATTGTAAGAGGCACTCTCCACAGTCCCTCTGGGCATGAACCCCTAGTCAGCCTCCCCACAGAGCTGCAGAATCCCCTTTGATGCCCTTTATCTGTGAAAAGGCTGAGCTTTGAACTTTTGCAAGAGTCATGACAAACCTGGGCTTAGGGTGTTATTTAGTGCTGAAAAGGAGGCAGTGATCTAGAGCTAAAGGAATCAATAGGCCAAGTGCACAGAACATCTAAACACACATATGCTAAAGAGACCAAACTAACCCAGGCAGCAAAGATGAATAAATAACTAAACCTTCAATGTGAAGACATATGTGTACATGCATAAGAAACTGCTAACACCAGGAACCATGACTTCTTCAAATGGACAAAGCAAGGAGCCAGTGAGTGACTGACCCAAGCAAGATGGCAATCTGTGAGCTCTCAGATCAGGAATTCAAAATAGCAGTCTTGAGGAAACTCAGCAAACTCCAAGGTAACACAGAAAAGCAATTCAGAAACTTACCAGAGGAATTTAACAAAGAGATTAAAATAATTTTTAAAATATCAAACAAAAATCTTGGAACTGAGAAGTACGTTAGCTGAACTAAAAAACACTTCACAAAGTCTCAACAACAGAACAGACCAAGCAGAAGAAATAATTAATGAACTCAAAGACAGGCTATTTGAAAATACACAATCAGAGGAGAGAAAACAAAACAGAATGAAAGGAGTGAAGAATGTCTACAAAATCTAGAAGATAGCCTCAGAAGAGCAAATCTAGAAGTACTGGCTTTCAAGAGGGAATTGAGAAAGAGTGAGGGGGCAGAAGTCTTGTTCAAAGAAATAATAACTGTAACCTTTCCAAGTCTAGAGAAAAATATAAATATGCCAGGTACAGGAAAGTCAAAAATCACCAAAGAGATTTAACCCAAATAAAACTACCCCAAAGCATAGAATAATCAGACTCTCAAAGGTCAAGGACAAAGAGAAGATGCTAAAAGCAGCAAGAGAAAAGAAGCAAATAACATATAAAGGAGCTTTGATTCATCTGGCAACAGACTTCTCAGCAGAAAGCATACACACCCAGAGTAGGAAGGATGACATATTCAAAGTGCTGAAGATAAAAAAGACCTGTCGACTGAGAATACTGTACCCAGCAAAATGATCCTTCAAACATGAAAGAGTGATAAAGATTTTCCCAGACAAAAGCTGAGGAAATTCATAATCACCAGAACTGTCTTACAGAATTGCTAAAGGGAGTTTTTAATCTGGAAGAAAAGAACATTAATGTGCAACAAAGACATCATCTGAAGGTACAAAACTCACTGGTAAAAGTAAATACACAGACAAATTCAGAATACCCTTATACTGTAATTGTGGTGTGTAAACCATTCATTTCTCTAGTATGAAGACTAAAAGACTAAAAGACAAATATATCAAAAATAATAATTAGAACAACTTAAGAGATAGGCAATATAAAAAGATGTAAATTAAGACAATAAATAGTCAGAATATAGGGGAATGGAGTTAAAGTGTAGAGGTTTTTAGTTTTTTATTTCTTTTCTTTGTGACCAAAATTGTTATCTATTCAAATAAGATGTTTTTTGTAAACCTCATGGTAACCACAAAGCAACCACAAAACCTAACATAGATACACTAAAAATAAAAAACAAGGAATTAAAACATACTACCAGGGAAAAATCACTTGAAATACACTGATGCTGCAGAGTGGAACTGACACCTGTATTCACAGGAGCCTGAGATATTTCCAGTGGCCACATTCTGTATAGATCACTTTTCTCACTAATTAGAGTATGAATGGTGCCTCCGGAATGAGTTGGCCTCTGAAAACGTTGATGCCTAAATGAATGGATTATTACACAGGAATGCTGGCACTTGTTAGGTAGACACAATCCTAGGCTGTTCATGGATGGGTTGGCATGTGAATGGGCTGGTCTGTGTAGTAGATGCTGCAGGTGCCCTACCCATATGTCTTAGCACTCCAACTCCCTTTGCCTGATCATTTTCTCTGGCCATGAAAGCATGGACATGTGCAGGGGTAGCTAGAAGTGCCAAGGAGTTAATGCTTCTGGGAGCAGCCCTCAATCAATGACTGATAGAAGCTGGTGGATATATGGTGCCCAGCTCCCTTTCCCCTCCCATGGAATAACTCTGTGGCATGTTCGCTACTGACACTGTCTCCCCAAGTTCCCCAGTGGACTTGAGCCCCAGTTGCTCATCAGCACACCCTGTATTGACCCCCTTCATCTCCCTGTCTCACTTCTTCACTCCTTTACTTGGGCTTCCTGAGATCACCTCCAAAAGAACCACTCACTCATATCCTTGTTTCAGGGTCACTCCTGGGGACTCCAGCCTGGGAGAAGATGTAAACAAGTCAGTATGTGAACTGGTTGGCACACACATGGAATAGCACAAGTCTTTTACTATTTCCCTTGTGGGTTATTAGAAATTTTGTTTTGTTTTGTTTGCTTTGAGATGAAGTCTCACTCTGTCACCCAGGCTGGAGTGCAATGGTGCAATCTCGGCTCACTGCAACCTCCACCTCCCAGGTTCAAGCAATTCTCCTTGCCTCAGCCTCCCAAGTAGCTGGGATTACAGGTGTGCGTCACCACACCTGGCTAATTTTTGTATTTTTAGTAGAGGTTTTGCCATGTTGGCCAGGCTGGTCTTGAGTTCCTGATCTCAGGTGATCTGCCTGCTTCGGCCTCCCAGAGTGCTGGGATTATAGGCATGAGCCACTGCGCCCAGCCTAGACATGTTTTATGACTAGATCTTGCTTGAGTCTTGCAAAAATCACTCTGTGTTCTATGATTAGCAAAATCAATCAGTTCCTGGGTAAATGGTGAACATTGCTACAGGGTATAGCATACAAATTGCAAGAACCAAGAAAAAATGCCAGGAGGTTCCCATTTGAAAATAAAATAAGCACCTGTCTTTTAAATCTTTATTCATCTTAGGTCTTGGCCAATGCCCAGGCTATCTCTCAGAGGGGTCTTTCTGGATCTTTCCCCTCTTCCCTACAACTAGCAGGCTTTCTGCCCCTCCAACCCTTGAAGACCTACCTCTGGCAATGGAATTGACAAGGTATAGGCAAGAACCAGTGAAAGACACAGAGCACCAATAGTGGGATTTCAGGGAGTAGTCATAGGCACTAAGGTTTTTGTGGAGTTTCTCAGACCACATTAGCCCAATTAAGGTATAGAAAAACCTTGAACCCAGATGCAATCAACACTGGCCACTCAAGTAGGAGCCCATGATCGCACTGAAGGGCTGTTCTTTCAGTTCAACAAACATTCACTGAATGCTGGCTATCTTCCAGGCTCAGAGTATCCAAAGATGAATCAGCAGCATCTTCAGAAACACAGAGGTAAATTCATTACAAGTGGTACTGAACCTCTCAGCCACTCCCTTCTTAAGGCAATAGCAATTCCTGTTCAAATGCAAACATGGTGGTTGTCAGGGATGCACATTATGCAAATTAAAGGTCATGATTATTTGCTTATTTGCTAGCTGGAATTCTTCCATGGTTCTAAGGAAATGGTCCATTGTGCCCCCCTGCCCCTTGTTTCTTGCCCCAACTTGAGCTGTTTACTTCTGGGCCCCTGTGCAGACATGTGAATTTATTCCTTCAAGACTTTGCTCAGTGGTTCTCAACCTTGCCTGCGCACTGACACCTGGGGAGTGTCAGATATTTCATGGCATCCCCCTCCCTGCCGTCTTAGTGAGTGCAGGCTGCTATAACAAATTATCATAGACCGGGTGACTTCAACAACTCAAATGTATTTCTCATGGTTCTGGGGACTGGAAGTCTGAGGTCAGAAAGCAAGAATAGTTGGGTTCTTGGTGAGGGTCCTCTTCCTGGGAAATGCACAGAGAGTGAGGCATAAAGAGAGAAAAAGACAGAGGCCAAGACAGAGGCAGAGACACAGGCAGAGGCAGAGGCAGATCTTGTGCTTCTTTCTCTTTTTATAAGGGCATTAATCCTATTATGAGGGTTCCAACCTCATGATGTCATCTACAGCTAATCACCTCCCAAAAGTCCCACCTTCTCATACCATCACACTGGGGTTAGGGTTTTAACAAATCAATTTTGGGGAGACACAGACATTTAGTCCAAAGCACCCTCTAGGATTCCGACATTCGTCTGGGTGCCACTTGCACACTGAGGTTTTGAAAGGTCTCCCAGGTTACCCAACATGTGGTCAGAATTGAGAACCAGGGCACTAGTGGCTCTCCCAGCCTGAGGTGTCCTTCTCCCTTCCAGGCTAGGCTCACATGTCACCTCTGCTAGGTGGCATCCCCCAACTCCTGAAAGCGGTCACCCTTGTGTGCTCCATGCTCCCACTCCATCCCCTGCTACCTCTTCCTCTGTTACAGGATAACAATGTTCTCACCTGTCCTCTCCTCTCCAGACTCTGAGCTGCCCAAATAAAATGATCGTGCCTTTTTTCATCCTTATTGCTTTTTTTCCCTTTTAATCCTTGAGTCTCTACTCTGCAGCATCTCCCACATAAGGGAGGACGCTGGGTGGGACTTAGGTGCACAGAAACACCAAGGAGAGCAGCCAGCGTTTGCTGCACACCTACTTTGCGCCAGGTCCTGGGCTGAGCCTTGCGTGTGCCTCTCATCCAATGCTCCCTGCAGCCTCCCTGTGGGGACAGTTTGTGAGGACAGTAGCCTGGGAGAAGCATGAGGGCTGGGGTCCTGGGCAGGGATGCTGAAGCGGGAAAGGCCCTCCAGCCAGCGAGGCCTCCCCCAAACTGGAACTGACCCTGTCCTAATAAGAGGTAGTATTTCGTCTTCTCCAAGCTCGGTTTCTCTTGGTGATCCCAGGGGGCTGCTTCTTGCCTGGCTTGGACTCACTTGGGGGATCATCGTCAACTGCCCAGCATCACTTGGCTCCATGGGAGGGCCTGCGGGGTCTCAGGTTGGCTAAAGTCCACCTCCGGGAAGCGGGGGTCCTGGAAATTGCCCCGGAAGCTCCCAGACTCAGGAGGGGAGGGGATTTTGACGGTCACCCGCTGCATCTCCTACTTATGGGTGCAGAAGTGCCCTGCTCCGCTTGCACATCTCATCTCCAGCCTCCCGGTACCTGGACCAAAGCCTTTGGTGCGACTCACCCAGCCGCTGTGGGGGTCGTCCCGTTCAGTGGTCCACCAGCCCTGAATGCTGTATTGTTAGTGCCCTCCCCGCCTTTAGAATACGAAGAAACTGAAGATCAGGGACGGTAAGCGATTTTGTTCAAGATGACACAGCCAAAGAGATGCAGAGGGGGCGTCGAGGCGGAAGAGGGGTTCCTCGGGGAGGCCCAATCCCCGGGGACGATAGGGGCTGCGAGAGTGGGCGCTGTCAGAAGAGGGGCAGCTAGTCCAGGCCAGGCGCCCCAGGATGGGGTAGTGGCTCAGAGGTCGCGGGGTGCTGGAGCTGATGGAGGAATCCTTCCGCACACGCCCGCGGCCCCTCCGCTCCCGCGAGGTCTTGCGGCCGGGCTGCGCTTTCCCAAGCGGCCACCAGGTGGCGCGGCCAGACCGCGCAGACCCCAAGCTTTGCGCCAGCAGGTGGCGCGTCCCAAGCTCCCCGCCTTCGCCGCGAGGAAGGGTCCTCCCGGGAGCGGACATCTCCAGCCGCGGTCCCCGGGGAGGGCTCCCCCTTCCGACTCCAGTCTTCCACCGTGGACTCCTGAGAGGGGACGCCTCGGACTCTTGTTCTCACCTCCGTCCCCGGGACGGGCACTTCGCACCGCTGTCCCCGCAATCCCAAGTCCTGCCAAACTTGTCGCAGCATGCCCACTAGCTTCACCCTGGCTGCCTCTTTCCTGACCCCACAGCCTCCCTGCGGGCCTGCGGACAGACGGGGTGCAGCTCACAAGCGACGCCTGGGAGCTCCTCGTGTCCGGATGTCGCGTCCCACCTGGAGCCCCCTGCCTCGGACGCTCAGTAGCCAGGTCCAAGAATGGCCGGGATGCTGGGGCTGGGGCTTTGCTTCCTGTCTCCAACACTGCGGTGATTCTCAGCTGGGGTCGAGAACCCCTGCCTTCACCGGAGCGCTGGGGCCAGGCGAGCCCAGACAGGAAGGGGATTGGAAGGGCCTCGCGCTTCCTAAGAGGGCCAGTGAGAGAGAGGGTCTCGGACGCAGGAGACCTGGCCGCACCCCTGCCCTGCTGGGTAACCTCACGCAAGTCGAGCTCGCTCCTGGGTCTGTCCCGGGATGGGGAGGGGATGGGCAGGGGATGGGCCAAGGCAGCCCCTATGGTCCTGCCTTGTCACCAAAAGAGCAGCTGCTACTTTCATGGGCGGGAAGTAGGTGTGGCCTGTCCTTCTGGGGCACTGGCATGTGGGCTGCTGAATGCACTGCTCTGTGCTGGGCGCTGCCTCTCCGTAGGAGCGTGCCTGGCAAATGGGAGGACGGGAAGGAAGCCAATATTTAATGAGCAACTAATATGTGCAGGCTGTGTAGCCACGTCACACATTTAACCTTCTCAGGTGTGCCCGTGTGGTTCTCAGTGATCTGCCCGTCGCTCTGGCACCGTGCTGGCATGTGGTGGGCATTCGGTAAACATCGGTGCACGAATGAGTCCCTGTCACCAATCTCTGGAGTAGGTTAATATTGGTGCCTGGGTCAGAGGCTTTGCCCCTGAAGGCTTGTGCCGGAGCCCTGCTCAGAACTGCAGGAAACTTCCCTGACACTGTCCCTTCCCCAGTTCAGGTGGGCCAGGCTAAACCCCTGAAGGTGGTGCTTCAGACAGCCCCTGTGGTCCTGCCTTGTCACCAAAAGAGTAGCTGCTACTTTCATGGGTGGGAAGTAGGGGGTGATCTGACCTCCCAGGGCAGAGATATCCACTGACTCCCAGCAAGGGAGCTGTTAAGGGCAGAGATGATTTCTGATTTCCGGGAAGCTGAGGAAGCTTAGGCTCAGAGTTTCTTGCTTACTTGAAATCTCATGACCGGAAGAAACCCTGGCAATGCGCTCGCATGATTGTAGGTTTCTGTATTTGTTGGCATTGTGAAATGTGTAATTTGTTATTTCTCATTCTAAATGAATATTCATGTTCATACCTAATTTTGAATGGGCAATTTCGTAGTTTCTTTTTTTCCTTAAAGAGAGCCCCTCACATTGCATAGGCGGCAACCAGACCTGACCCACTCCTGGCCAAGAGGCATTAAACAGGAAGAAATGCTGTCCCTGGGACAGTCCCTTAAGCCAGCTGCCTGTTGCCTTTTCCAACATCCTCCCCAGGACGGAGGTCCAGCCACATTTCCATCAGGCACCAGGCCCCCTCCTGCCACATCAGCCCATCCCCACCTGGTAAAATTAACTTTAGTGTTACCGGATGGAGAGTCTTGACTGTGAGTTGTCCAGGTTCTTGGTGCGTTGAACAAAGCATTGAACAAAATGCACAAACAAAGCAACAAGAGAACGAAGCAGCCAAGGCACAGAAGGCAAGCTGAAGCAAGCGGCTCAAGAGCCCCGATTACAATGGCTTTTAGGGTTTTTATTAAGCTAGAAGAATTTGGTAACACCCCTACGTGCCCCTTAGAGGCTTCCAGTTGGTTACACCCTGTGAAGGATTGGCCCTCGACCAATCAGAGGCTGAAGTGAAGACTTCTGTCTTGTTATCAGAGCGAGCACGTGGCCTGGATGCTGCCTAATCTTGCCCAGAACCGGCTGCACCTGCTGTTCTCTTGTTTATGCCTTAAACCTTAGTTACCATAATTCCCTATTCTCCTGCCTTATTAGCATGGAGTCACAAACTAACAAGGGCTAGAAAGTGGGCTTGGCAGGGATACAGCAAAACTCCATGCCCTAGTTTCCACCATGGGTACAGCTGCCCCTTGTCCAGAGGTGTCCACAGCGTAGGTACCTGGTGGATGGGTCAAGGGGAAGGAAGTCAATGGCCAGTCCAGAAGCTTTCCCCACAGCGTCTTTTGATGTTGTGCTGACCGGGAAGTGGTGTTGTGCCCTGGTGGTCAAGACCTTTGCCTGTGGAGACATGCTGCCTGGCCAGCCTCCATGCTGGGCAGGTTTCTTGACTGACACGGAAGTGAAGTAGATAGTACCTACCTCAAAGGGTGGTTGTGAGGCCCAAATGAGATAATACATGTAAATCCTGTGGCAGTGTGCCCAGCTGTGCAAGATCTTAAAAAAAAAAAAAAAAGCCGGACGCGGTGGCTTACGCCTATAATCCCAGCACTTTGGGAGGCCAAGGTGGGCGGATTGCGAGGTCAGGGTATCGAGACCATCCTGGTTAACATGGTGAAACCCTGTCTCTACTAAAAATACAAAAAAAAAAAAAAATTAGCCAGGCGTGGTTGCAGGCGCCTGTAGTCCCAGCTACTCGGGAGGCTGAGGCAGGGGAATGGTGTGAAACCTGGAGGCGGAGCTTGCAGTGAGCCTAGATCACGCCACTGCACTCCAGCCTGGGCAACAGAGAGAGACTCCGTCTCAAAAAAAAAAACAAAAAAAACCCAAGCCATCCCCATTACTATGTTTTTTGTTTTTTGTTTGTTTTTGAAACTAGGTCTCACTCTGTCACCAGGCTGGAGTGCAGTGGTGTGATCATGGCTTACTGCAGCCTTGACCTCCTGGGCTCAAACGATCCTCCTGCCTCAGCCTCCTCAGTAGCTGGGACTACAGGCATGCCTGGCTAATTTTTCAAACTTTTTGTAGAGACAGGGTCCCATTATGTTGCCCAGGCTGATCTAAAACTCCTGGGTGCAAGGGATCCTCCCACCTCAGCCTCCCTAGTAGCTGGGAATACAGGCGTGCACCACCATGCCTGGCTACTTTTTGTATTTTTTGTAGAGATGGAGGTCTCGTTATGTTGCCCAGGCTGGTCTTGAACTCCTGGGCTCAAGTGATCCTCTTGCTTCAGCCTTCCAATGTGCTGGGATTACAGGTGTGAGCCACTGCACCTGGCCCCCATTACTGTTTAGGAGGCAGATAATGGGATGGCTCAGCTTTCTCCAGCACTCAGCTCATTGCCTTTGATGGAGGAAGAAGAGGTAAATTTCAAGGTAAGAACCTCAGGCCTGGTGGACTTAGGAGGGGTTTGCAAGATATGCTCAGTGTGGCCACCACTGAGGCCCCAGTCTTTGGGCAGAGGTAGTCTAGGCAGCCCCCACCCAGGTGGGGCACCCACAGCAGCCGGCAGTCACCACATGTTGGATGGGAGACTTTCTTCTGCAGCTCCTGCCTTGATGCTCTGGGCATGACTATCTTTCTTCCCCAGCCTGTGCTTGTCACATTCTCCTGGCTTCCCAGGCACCACATTTGCCTGGTGCTCACTCTCATCTCCCTCACCTACCCCTCCTTGTTGGCCCGTGTGTTCCATGGCTTATACCTTGGATACTCGGTCTCTTGCTCATTGATATGGTTCGACTGTGTCCCCACCCAAATCTCCTCTTGAATTGTAGCTCTCATAATTCCCACGTGATGTAGGAGGGACCCGCTGGGAGATGATTGAATCATGGGGGCAGTTTCCCCTATACTGTTCTAGTGATAGTGAATAAGTCTCATGAGATCAGATGGTTTTATAAGGAGAAACCCCTTTCGCTTGGTTCTCATTCTCTCTCTTGCCTTCTGCCATGATTGTGAGGCCGCCCCCGCCACTTAGACCTGTGAGTCCATTAAATCTCTTTTTCTTTACAAATTGCCTAGTCTCGGGTATGTCTTTATCAGCAGCGTGAAAATGGGTGAATACATCTGTCTCTGCACCCTCACCATGGTCTCATCACTCTGGTGGATAAAAAGGCTGCCTCCCTCCCTGAGTTCTCCCCAGAACTCCGGACTCCCAAACTCCTCCTGGGCACCTCTAACCCGACACATCCCAAAGCAAGCGCCCCTCCTGCCATCTCCGTGAGTGGCAGCTCCAGCAGCCCCACCCGGACTGTCTCCATTCAGCTTTCTCCTCCTGCTCTAACTTGAGGGGCGCGTGTGCAACTGTAGCCCCCCAGTCTTGCCTGTACCTCCCAGAGATGCTGATGCAGCCAGTTTCAGGTGGTGGAGCTGGGCATTTGTTTATTTTAGAAGCTCCCAGGGGACTCTGGTTATGATTTCATTCATTGACTCATTCACAGGCCTTTGTTCAGCGACTAGTGCCAGACACGGGAGTGTTATCTCTAAGGAGTGACCCGATGCACAGGCACCTGGTGGCTACTAATGCATGCTTGCAGGATGACAGTGCAGCCAATCGAGGTGCTGACCCAGACCCCTCTCCCCACAGACTGAGAGCCAATAAGACGTGCTGGGTGGAGGCTGGCGAGGTTGAGCGGCAGCCCCTGTGTTCTCTGCCCCACCTGGCTCTCTGAAAGCCAGGCACATGCTATGGCTGGCAGAGGGCTGGCCAGGGTCGAGTAGCCTGGGCAGATTGGTGGTTGCCATGGTGACTGATGTGCATCTCCATGCAGCAGAAAACTTTGAAGTTGACTTGGATGTGGGACAACAAAGGGCACTTCCATCTTGGATGCAAATTGTGGCTCCTTTTCATCCTCCCTGGCCCTCTACTCCTCTGCTTTTATTCTTGTCATTAGATCAGGAAATTAAAACCTTTCAAATGCTGTACATTCCAAACATAGGCAATTACAGACCCTGTCTCAGAGGCAAGTCCCTCCTTTAGCCTCTTCAAAAAGTAGTTGCATTTGTAGAAAAACAGAGATGACTGTGCAAAGGCCGTCAGCATTGCCTGTGTGTCTCTTCCAACAAATATTTATTTATGCAAAAAATGTATGTTGATCCAACTAATCTGTATCTGTCCAACCGATATTTATTGGGCATCTATATGTGCCAGGACTGACTGAGGTGGATGCTGGGGATGCAGTGTGCTATAAGACCAACCAGGTCTTTGCTCTCACATAGTGTATGGTCAGGACTGTCGCTCTGTGCCTCAGTTTCTCCAGTGTATAAGCCAGTGGAAGTAGCCCAGGCATTTTCATGTGGCGTTTTCTGAAACCCATGGGCAGATCGGAGTCTCTTATCCCTGATTTGGTCTGAGTAGCTTTGCTTTGCTATGTTTTATATTTGGCTTCTTATAATGTTTTGTTTGAATACAGAAGTCCATAATTAAAGACAGAAAGGGTGGGGTAGAACTGAACACCACTGACCAAGGATTCCCTAAGGTTTTTCCAGGTGGAATGTTCTGTGATGTTGCCAGCTAAGAGGACTGTAGGTTCTCTGGGCTGCTAGGCCACAACAAGGGGGCTGATATACGGGACCGGGTCAGTTGCATTTAGGATGTAAACCTGCCTGAGATGATTGACATCTGCCTTCATTTTAAATAATGCAACAAGAGAGCAAATCCTGCCATGTTTCTCACTGAGGTGACCAAGGGCTTCATTTCCAAAGGCATCTTCCCTCTCACACTCCGGATCCTACCTGGGCCTCAAGGCCCCACCATCACCCCTTGCTCCCAGAGCTCCTTCAGGGCCAGCAGCCTTCAGGGACGATGCCCTTTTCCGGGATGCCCCTGCCCCAGCTGCTCTTGATGCACCCACTCTGTGATGATGTGGGGTCCTGGCCTCTCTCTCCAGCTGGGCTGTGTGTTCTTCAAGCGTGAGGCTTGTTGAAGGGATGTTAGGTGAGGTACCGGTTGGTCTTCCTTATTCCCTGAAATGCAGGTGGGAGAAGCTAGTGGCAGCCCAGTGGGCCAGCCCTCTGCCACCTTTCCCTCCCTTCTCAGCACCCTCCCTCCTTCCTTCTCAACAGGTGACTGAGGGACACCAGGCTCTGATGACAAAGACATCCTGACTCTTTTCCAAAAGCCACATACAATGTCTGGGCAGGGAAACAAGAAGTGGGACCGTGCATTTTATGGATAATCTTTTGTTTTGAAAGCTTCAGCAAAGCACTTATTGACACAGCCAAATCAGACAACTGTCATGTGCCGCCTGCTGCCTGGGCCTGCTCCAGGTCCCAGCTGTCACTCTCCCCTAGGCTGAGCTGTCTTGTGTTTGTTTCTTTGGGATGCACATTCCTTCTCTCCCTGAAGGCTAAATTCATGCAAAGAGCAAGGAAAGCTTCGGGGCTGCAGAGCAGCTTGTATCAAAACACCCTGAGCTGTCTGAAGCCGCCCACCCTGGGGGCTGTTGGAATTTTGTTCTCTTCTCTTGTTGTCATGGGGCCTACACAGAGATCAGAGGCACCTTAGGAGCCAAGGCTGTGTCTTCCACTGCATTCCACAAGGCCCTTCAGGCCCTCTGTTAACTCACCCATCTAAGAGGTGAATGGCCCCCATTCTCCAGAATCATGGAGGAATCCCAGGACAGTGAGGACCACACACAGATGGCCTTCCAGGAGACTGGACAGCTGGGCTGACTGCAAGATGGCTGGCTCCTGGCCTTCTGTGGTGGGTGGATACTGATGCCCTTGGCCTTCAGGTGGCCTGAAGATGCCAGCCCCATTTTGCTCAGAACCCAAGGCCTCAAAATTCCCTCTTTGCACCCCTCCTTTGAGTCCACTCCCATCCTCTTTGAGCCTGAGCTGTTTGTTCTGAGCTGTGTTTCTCCCTCTTCAGGTCCACCCCACCTACCCCTGCCAGGGGATGACCCCCTCTCCATGGCTTTAATGTCCCACCCCCTACATGGAAGCCTCTCTCTTGCCCCCAGAGTATGGCGGAGCTCTGTGGACTTGAACGAGGGATTTTTTCCAGCTCTAATTGCATGTCGATTAGTGCCCAGCCCCCATGCAGTGTTAGTTCCACGAGGCAGGATGACTGATTGATTCACCACTGTGACCTCAGAG
This sequence comes from Homo sapiens, assembly GCF_000001405.40. Classification (NCBI taxonomy): domain Eukaryota; kingdom Metazoa; phylum Chordata; class Mammalia; order Primates; family Hominidae; genus Homo; species Homo sapiens. The sequence continues at coordinate 117,223,999 of NC_000010.11, forward strand.
CCTAGCACAACTTCTGGCACATAATAGGTGATCAACAAAAATGAATGCATGAACAGCAGATGGCTCAAAATGAGCCTTAATTATGTGGCAGGACTACAGGATCTAGAAGGCCTTCTGGAGCCCGCTGGTGCTGGGCTGGAAAGCTGAGCCCGGGTCTGAACCTGAAAGGAGTCACCATTCACCTGGGAAAAGACCTGGGCAAGGAGGAGCCTGGATAGGAGGGGAGATGAGTCAGAACATCCTTTGCTCTGTGCCAGTCACTTTGCTATGGTCCTTACATCTTTTAATCATCACAAGACATACAAGGGAGGTGCTATTATGATCCCCAGGGCTGAGATGTGAAGTGACTTGCTCGCAGTCCCCTACTCAGTAAGTGGTAAAACAAGAAAGGGATCCAAATGAGAAAGTTTTTCTCCAGAGCTTGGCTCTTACTTGACCACACATTGCATGCACTGTGCAGTCTTCAGCTGACCCTTGGTTTTGGCTGCAGTCATACCAAGAAGGGGCCGAACACCTGTCTCTTTAAAGTGGGCAATGGATATGTCTGTCATTGCCGTATTACTGTTGCCTCCTTTCAGAAATAAAGAAAAGTGTTCTTGGCTGGGCGTGGTGGCTCACACCTGTAATCCCAGCACTTTGAGAGGCTGAGGCAAGCAGATTATCTGAGGTCAGGAGCTAGAGACCAGCTTGGCCAACATGGTGAAACCCCATCTCTACTAAAAGTATAAAAATTAGCCAGGTGTGGGGGCATGCACCTGTAATCCCAGCTACTTGGGAGGCTGAGGCAGGAGAATCACTTGAACCTGGGAGGCAGAGGTGGCAGTGGGCCGAGATCACGCCATTGCACTCCATCCTGAGCGACAGAGTGAGACTCTGTCTCAAAAAAAAAAAAAGATGTTCTTGCTGGCTTAACTGCACATGCCACTGGGCCCTTGCCCAGCTAGAGTGTCAACCCCATATATGCAGGGCCATGGCCTCCACTATCGATGCCCATAGTGACAGGCACCGAGGCCAGCACATGGTAGGCCCTAAGCTAAGATTTGCTGATGGGGACTCAGCCTCCCTAGAAGTTAGAGGGACTGGAAATGCTCTTTCCCCACCTGTTGACATCCCCACCTGCTGCCTGGGGACCAGCAGGATCCTGCCATGAGTACAGGGATCAGAGGCCTAGGTTGGTTGGCACCCACCAAGCCTACTCTGGCCAGGCTTTGAGGGTGTGTTGGAGAGGGCCTCCTGGCGTTCCAGATGGAGTGCTGGTGTGAAAAAGCATCTCTTCCCCTGCTCACTCCCTCAGCCTTCTCTCCCCACTGTAGATTTCAAACTAGCAAAAATGAAAGTGTGGCCTGGGGACCAGATCAATGTAAGCGTGCAATTGTTTTCCGTCCTTAACAGGATAAGTTTCTTGCACCTGAACATCAGTCAATTATATCCCCAAGAACACTGTTTAGTACAGCAGGCAGTTTTTTTTTGGTAGCAAGGCTTTCTTGATGAAGAACGCAGTGTGTTAACGATTGTTAAAGAAAAAGTTATTCTGACCCTTGTTCAAACAGCAAGGAAGACTTTATTCTGGACCATTCTGATAGGTGTCAAGACTATCACAATAGGGGAGCCAGATCAAGCTCAGCTCAGAATACAGCGGAGACAGCTGGGGGCTTCAGAATCTTGCTGGAGGCAAGTCAGGGAGATCAGATTACAAGAGTGGAGAGAGACTCTCAATAAGCTGACTTAGAAGAATTCTTGCTATAACTGAACTAGGGAGGCTGAAGACAGGGCCCCAGGGTAAGACCTAGTCAGAAAGAGGGCTCTGAGGGGTCGGTCTAAAGTTTGCTCAAAGAGAGTCTTTGCCAAGCTCCCTATCCCATCATGTGCCTAGAAAGAGCAGTTGGCCAACTGGCCATTTTGAGGAGTGTTATGGTTAGAATGTCCAAAGTCATGTTGAAATTTAATTGCCATTTTGATGGTATTAAGAGGTGAAGACTTTAAGGAATGATTAGGTCATGAGAGATCTCCTCTCATGAATGGATTAATGCCGTTATCACAGGACTGGGTTATTTTCTGGGAGTCTGGCCTCCTTTTACGCTGCCTCATGTGCCTGCTCACCACATGATGCCTTCCATCTTCAAACATGGAATGTCTCTTGCGAGATGCTGGAGCCATGATCTGGGACTTCCCAGCCTCCATAACTGTGAGCTACATAAACTTCTATTCTTGATAAATTATCCAGTCTGTGGTGTTGTTATACCAGCAAAAAATGGACTAAGACAAGTAACACTGCTCTGAACAATCTCATCTTCATTTCTTTCTTCAAAAGTTTTCTTCCCTTGGTCTTGCCTAGAGAAACTTCTAGAAGAATATTGGAAGCTGTTTAATTGGAGCAAGATTCAATGGACAATAGTAAAGAAAAATACATACTTCTGCCTGAGAATAACAAGACTGAATTAAAACCTTTTTTTTTTTTTTTTGAGATGGAGTCTCATTATGTTGCTCAGGCTGGCTATGAACTCCTGGGTTCAAGTGATCCTTCTGCCTCAGCCTTCTGAATATCTGGGACCACAGGCACAGGCCACTACACCCAGCTAAGACTGAATTTTAAAAAGGAACAAGAGTTATTTCCTAGGGAAATGAGGGTGTTCAGCGCCAAGAGCTGAGCCTGTGAGGCACGCTGGACATGTGCCCTGGGGGTTCTTTTGTACACCCCTGGCAGGTTATGGGGTTGGAGACATGACTGGGAGGGAGAGGAGAGACAAGAGGTGGATGGAGGAGAATTCTACATCTACAGTTTCTACTTACCCAACGTTCTTCTAGAACCTTCAACGCTATGCTGACCAAGACTGGCCAGGATGAACCCAAGGCAGGAACCACCCCTACAGCTGTGAGGCTCCCGGCGCTTCTCCATTCATTGTGCCATGTGAGGCAGGAGGGCTGAGAGTCATCTCTTTAGTGGAGGAAACCCTGAAGCTCAGGGGATGAGGGGTGTGACCCTGATCTTACAGCCAATGAACGGAAGAAGAGATTCCAGCCAGCATTTCCCCAAACACTCCCAGCCACTGGGCGGTGCTGTTCTCTAGAAGAAAACAGTCATGAAATATGGGGAAATAGGTTTTTGCAGTGGGCTCTATCCGCAATGGAAAATTTCCCACTCTCCATCCAACTGTGCCACCACTGGGAATTTCCAAACGTGATCATTGCATAGGTGTGAAAGATGTGATCATGGAGATTGTTCCTTGTGGCATTATTCATCATGGACAATGGCATTATTTATCATGGACAATGGCATTATTCTTCATGGGCAATGGCATTATTTATCAAACACAAACAAGGCAGATGTCCACTGAAAGAGAACAATTCGGTAAAATCTTGTGCATTCACATGCTGAGCTCCTTTGAACGACTGAAAGCAAAACTTATTTGCAATCTACGTAGTTTTGCAGTAAGGCAATCACAAAATAAAAGATATTTTTAAAAATTATTGGAATAGTTTGCCAGAAAAGGATATCATTATCAAAAGTAAACTCAATGTGCAATAATTGTGCACAGCTCCGTGTGTGTGCAAAGCCTTGTGCTTAGGTCTGTGGAGGGACCAACATTTAATGACACCCAATCTTGTCCTCTGAGGATTCACATTTGGAGAGAGCTGGGACAGGGCTCTCCCTCTCACCTGGGAGAGGCAGTGCAAAGCCTTCTGGGGAAAGGCAAGGGTTCACATGGGCTTGGGTTCAAGTTCTTAGGTGGGGGGGAGATCAAGGTAAAAACAAAGGTCATACAGTGTACCAGGTGCTGGGATGCCGGTGTCTTTGGTCTGTTCAGGCTGCTGTAACAAAGCACCACAGCCTGCGTGCCTGAGAAATGGCAGACATTGCTCACCTGTCTGGAGGCAGGAAGTCCAAAATTATGGTGCCAGGAGGGTCAGGTTCTGGTGAGAGACCTCTTCTGGAGAGTAAATGGTTGGCTCCTCACTTATCCTAACATGATGGAAAGAGGGCTAGAGAGCTCTCTGGGGTCTGTTTTATAAGGGCATGAATCCTATTCATGAGGGCTCCACCCTCATGACCTGACTGCTCTTGAAGGCCCCACCTTCTAATACCATCACACTGGGGGTTAGGATTTTAACATATGAACAGGGGGAACTCAAATATTCAGTCCATTGTATAGAGGGTGCACGCAGGGGAGGAGAAGTCAGTGGTGGTGATGTTGCTTGAAGGAGAGCATCTTCCCTCTCTTCCTTCCCTCCCTCTTTCCCTTCCTCCATCCTTCCCCTTCCCTTTCTCCCTTACTCCCTTCCTCCCTCCTTCCCTTCCTTCCTTCCTCATTCCCTCCCTCCCTCTCTCCTTTCCTTCCTTCCTCCCTCCTTCCTTCCTTCCCTTCCTTCCCCTCTTCCTCCCTCTCTTCCTTCTTCCCTTCCTCTTCCCTCCCTCCTTTCCTTCCTTCCTCACTTCCTCCCTTTTCCCTCCATCCTTCCCTTCCTCCTCCTTCCCTCTCTCCTTCCCTTCTTCCCTCCCTCCCTCCTTCTCCCCTTCCTTCCCTCCCTCTTTTCCTCCTTCCCTTCCTCCCTCCCTCTCTCTCTCCTTCCCTTCCTCCCTCCCTCTTTCTCTCCTTCCTTTCATATCTCCTTTCCTCCCTCCTTCACTCCCTTCCTTCCTCCCTCTGTCTTTCCCTTCCTCACTCAGGAAGCCAAAGAACCTGGAGTCTGATGTCTAAAGGCAGGAGGAGAAAAGCATCCTGCTCCAAAAGGGAGAAAGGAAGCAGAGAGAGTGAACCCCCCTCCTCTACATGCTTTTTTTTGAGATGGGGTCTTAGTCTGTTCCCCAGGCTGGAGTGCAGTGGCATGATCAGAGCTCACTGCAGCCTCGACTTCCCAGGCTCAAGCCATCCTCCCACCTCAGCTTCCTGAGTAGCTGCGACTATAGTCGTGCACCACCATGCCAGGCTAATTTATTTTTTTGTAAAGACAAGGTCTCACTATATTGCCCAGGCTGGTCTTGAACTACTGGTCTCACAATCTTCTCCCCTCAGCTTCCCAAAGTGATGGGATTATTTTGCTTCTGGCTGGGCTCCCCCGGCCAGGGGCAGGAACGACATCCTAGGAAGACGATCTGCCTAAGCAAAGACTCAGCATCAGGAATGAGCAGAGGTTGGGGCATGGGGGAATAGCCACAGGGAATGCTGGGGAAGGAGGGGACATAAATGATTCTATTATTGTAGCTTTAATGAGCAGAGACAGCAATCCCTTGTTTCATCATAAATTGGGTGGGTTTCATAGTCACTCAGTAATTGACAGTGGGGAAAACGTTTTCCAAGCCCAGCCCCTCTACCTGCTTTGTCTCAGCCAGGCCCCAGCTGATTGGATGGTGGCCCCCACATTGAAGACAGGTCTTCCTCCCTCAGTCCTCAGACTCACATGCTATTCTCCCCTGGAAACACCTCACAAACACCCAGAAACAGTGCTCTATCCGCCATCCAGTTCTCCTGCCATCCAGTCAAGTCGACATGTAAAATTAACCATCATAGAACTTGTGGTGAATAAAACTTCAAAAAAATCTGGATGGGCATACATTTACAACTGGGAAGTGAAAAATATTCACCCTGGTAAACTCCCCATCTCCCCATGATTTTTATTCCCTGGAACTAATTCCTGTCAACACCATGGTGGGTTGATCAACTTCCATTCAGAACTGGTCCATCGGCATTTGGCCCAGACACATGTATTACAGCCTTTTGAAGAAATTTATTTGTTTACCTAAATTGGATCATCCCAGACATGCTGGTCTGTGAGCTTTGGTTTCACTGAAGAATAATATGTCTTCCATATTTCCCATGGTAAACACTGAGTTACTTAATTTTCTCTACTGGTCATGTGGTGCTCCACTGTTCAGGTGGACATTGCTTAGCTTTGCAGGTCCCTATGGGCAGGCATTCTGGAGGTTTACCAGGTTTTTCCTATTGCAATTCTGAAGGCTACTCAGGAGGCTGAGGCAGGAGAATCACTTGAACCTGGGAGGCGGAGGTTGTAGTGAGCTGAGGCTGCGCCGTCACACTCTAGCCTGGCAACAAAGTGAGAATCCATTTCAAAAAAAAAAAAAAATGACTTGATATTTGATATGGATTGGCTCTGTGTCCCCATCCAAATCTCATCTTGTAGCTCCCATAATTCCCATGTACTGTGGCACAGTCCCGGTGGAAGATAATTGGATCATGGGTGCAGGTCTTTCCCATGCTGTTCTTGTGATAGTGAATAAATCTCACGAGAGCTGATGGTTTTAAAAATGGGAGTTTCCCTGTACAAGCTCTCTCTTTGCCTGCCGCCATCCATGTAAGATGTGACTTGCTCCTCCTTGCCTTCCATCATTATTGTGAGGCTTCCCCAGCCATGTTGAACTGTGAGTCCAATTAAACCTCTTTCTTTTGTAAATTGCCCAGTCTCGGGTATGTCTTTTTCAGCAGCATGAAAACAGACTAATACAACATTCAAATATCTTAACTAGTTGTTGAAAGATTTCTCACCCTGAAGTATTTTCTCCCATTCGGGGTAGGGGTTGTCAAATGCCTGGAGTTGGAGGAGGCATTCAGTCCTTCCATGCTGCCTTTGAAAGAGATTCATGCTCTGCTCTGCCCATCTAGAACTTCAAAAGTGAGACCCAGGAAATCACCCTGTCAATCACATCTCAGGTCATCTGTGAGAAAAGGGTAAAACAGAACCTTCCCAAAAGTCTCCTAGAAAAGAAAAAAAACCTGTGTGTCTCTCTGTGTGTTTCCCTGTGGTATTCAAACAACAGTTTTGCAGGGATTCAGCATCTACAACAAGCCAACAGTCAATATAAATCCAATTGGACCTAATGACTGGCTTTCTCTCCCCTCCCAGCGATGGTGACAATGATTTCTCAGACGCCTTTTAGTTACAGACAAGTTTCTGAACAACATAATTAGGTTTGGGTCTTTGCAGCCTGCCCTGTCGGACTATTGATTATCCACTAAAATCTCCTGCCCTGAGGATGTCTGGGTGTGCAGTCGGCATGGCAAGTGAGTGAGGACAGCTTTGAGCAGGGGCATGTGGGAGCCTCCACAGGGCTGTGTCCCGAGTCTGTAGTCCCTTCCAATGTCCTCTGCTGTGAAGGACCACCTGTGGGTGCCCACCTGTCAGCACCCACAGTGTTGGACATCATCTGCCCTCAAACCACAAAGGTCCAAGAAGCAGAGTTCCAGTCCTCACCGCCCTGCCCTTACATGTGTATGACCCTGGGCAAGGCGCTGTCCCTCTCTGGGTCTGCTTTCCTGTGTGTCAAAGGCAGCCACTAGACTTAATAGCCTCAAAGACCCCTTGCAGCATATAGGTGCTACCTGGTGCCATCTCACAGAAATAGGTAATTTAAAACTTTCTCTCAGCCACATTTTAAAAAGCACAAACAAACAAACAGATACAAAACCCAGATGAAATTAGTTTAGTTGAGCCCAGGAAGTCAAGGCTGCCGTGAGTTGTGATCATGCCACTGCACTCCAGTCTGGGCAATAGAGCTATTCCCTGTCTCTTAAAAAACAAAAACAAAAACAAAAAAGAATGAGCCCAGATGAACCTACTGGAACATGGACATGGCAGAGGCTGGTAAATACTTTATCAGGGCTTTATGTGTTCTTACAGGTCAAAGCCCAGGGAGGCTGTGATGACCATGTAAAGCTCAACATTTGCAGCAGAGAGAGGACTTGAGTTGGGCTCTGGGCTAGGAATAGGATTGGGAATGGTGGAGGGATGAGGCGAATAGCATAACCGATGACTGTTTCTGGGGCATGGAGGGACCAGTGTGATTCAAGCGGAGGTAGAGTGAGGGATGGGGTGGGGTGGGGTGGATTGCAGATGATCTTGGAAGCCAGGCAGGAGAGTGTAGATTTGAGGTATCAGGGAGCTACCTTAGGCTCCTGAACAGGGGAGGGGTTTGTTGAAAGAAAGCGGTGGTTCATGGATATCTACAGAGTCACAGATAGACTGGAGGCAGCACATGGTGCCGGGTGGGGCAGAGAGGAGGCTGCTGGGGTAGGAGGTGGTGGCAGGGACAGGAGTGGGGATGAAGAGGGAACATGAAACATTCAGTAGAGAATTGGAGGGTGCCTGTGCCATACCGTGGGCCTTCAGCTTTGATGGCACAGCTGGGACCGTGGGATGACATCTGGGCATTTTGCTTTTGGCTGGGCTCCCCCGGCCAGGGGCAGGAACGACATCCTAGGAAGACGATCTGCCTAAGCAAAGACTCAGCATCAGGAATGAGCAGAGGTTGGGGCATGGGGGATGGCCACAGGGAATGCTGGGGAAGGAGGGGACATAAATGATTCTATTATTGTAGCTTTAATGAGCAGAGACAGCAGTCCCTTGTTGCATCATAAATTGGGTGGGTTTCATGGTCACTCAGTAACTGACGGTGGGGAAAATATTTTCCAAGCCAAACCAGGTAGGAAGAGGTGAGGGCTTGGATAGGTAGAAGAAAGGAAGTGGATGTTCCAGGTGGAGGAAGCCACTTAGGCAAAGGCATGGAAGCTGGCCTGAGCAACAGCAGATCACTGGACCCACAAGGAGACAGCCAGCGAGGGCCGAGCCTTCTGCGTGGTGGGTGCCTGATGGCATTTGTGAGGTGCCTGGGATGGTAAACTCACTTCGTAAGTGATCAGGGAACTTGGATCAGCCATAGCATTTACTGAACTTTTACTCTGTGCCAGGCTCTGGGGACGCAGGGGTGAACGAGACACTGAAGCCCCTGACCTCACTGAGCTCCCAGGGGGAGGGACCCAGAAGCCCAACATTAATGACAGTCATATTAGTAACATTGTGATTATAATGAGAAATGCCAGGACTGGAAGGTTTAGGGATCTATCAATATGGCACAGGGGACATACGCTCAGGTGTCATGGAAGGCTTCCCTGGGAAGAAATACCTTCTCATCCATTGACTTTCAACCTATCTGTGTTTTGACCTAGGATGTAAAGGCTAAGGGAGAATTAATGAGATGAAGGTGGAAGAGGGAAGGACATTTTGGACAGTAGGAATGGCCTGAGCAAAGGCCCTGGGGTAGGAGGGAACATTGGGTGTATGAGCAGATGAGAGGCTAGGAATGAAAACAAGATAATCAGATGAAGAGGGAGAAGAGCACCCCAGGCAGAAGGAACAGAGAGCAGAAAGGCCCTGAGGCAGAGCGTGCTTACTGAAAAGAGCCCACTGTAGCTGGGTGGGGAAAGGGAGGGCAAGAGGGAAGGCCATGGCCAAGTGGTATAAGAGGAGGCGAGGAGCTCCCAGGCCAGGGCTTCTCAGGCTGGAATTCTGGGGCCCTGGAGATACACAAAGACATCTGAAGCCATGCAAGAGCCCAGAGAATCATAAGGGAATCTGATATGAAACAGACAGCAAGGACAAATGTGGCAAATTAAGATGGAAAGAGTGGGCAGGGCTGGACCAGGCTTGTCCCATTGGGCCACATGGAAAACTTTGAACATTATCCCAAGTGAGAGGCTGTTGACGTGTTTTACACAAGGAAGTGGTGTGACCATGTTGGTTTTTTGCCGCTGTCTCTGGCTGGGGAGGAAGGTAGACTGTATGAGGCCTGGGGATGCTGGGAGCAGGCATGGGTGTAGAGTGGGAGGGGGATTGCAATATTCCAAGTGAGAGTGGAGGATCAAGGCATGAAGCAAATGAAAACCTGCTCTTCACAGCCAGCTGGCTCCTCTGCAGCCTTCAGTGACAGCAAATGTCCTTAGACAGGTTAGTGATTCTATTAAAATAGCCAAACCTGGAGACCCACATTTACAGATAATGCCACATGAAGCCAGTTAATTCAGTGATTGAATTATTAAGTTAGAGCATCTATGACCTAATGTCATTGGTAGTCAGCAAGGCATCCTTCAAGTAAATTGACATTTGCCTTCCCATTCCCTCTTAAAATCAGAACAGTCGATTTGGTTAAATTTTACACAGAAAATGTTCTTTTGCAGCTGCCTACGCAGAAAACCTCAGAAAAGCATGAGAATGAAATGCATTCTTTTTCTAATCATAGTCTCATTATTTACCTGTATGCTAAACAACTGATTGAGTTGGTGTCAAGGAAAAAACAACCCTCTACCTGAATGAGACAGATCTTGGCGGAGACTTTCCATATATTCTTGAAAAGAATGTGAAGTCTGCTACTGTTCAGTGTAAATAAATACCAATTAAGCCAAAGTGGCTGCTGCTATTATTTTGATCTTCTGTGTCTGGTGATTTTTTTGTTCAGGTGTTCTATCAATTGTTGAGAAAGGGTGTTCAATTTCCCCACTTTGATTATGGAAACATCTATTTCTCCCTTTCATTCTGTCCATTTTTTTTCATAGATTTGGGGCCTTATTATTGGGTGCATATGCATTACGACTTTTATATCTGCCTGTTGATTGACTCCTTTTCCCATAATGAAAGCTCCTTTTTAGATCTCTTTTTCAAGTTTTGTTTTTGAAATCTATTTTATCTGAAATTAATACACTCACTTCAGCCTTCTTACGCTTACAGTTTACATGCATTGTTTTTTTTCCATCCATTTACTTCCAACTGATCTGTGTCTTTATATTTAAAGAGTGACTCTTATAGACAACATAGAGTTGATACTCTTTTTAAAATCCATTCTGACAACTGCTTTCTTTTACTTGTAGTGTTCATTGATGTTTAATGTAATTCTTGATTTAGCTGGGTTTCCTCTATCATTTTATTTTTGTTTTCTGCCTGACTCCTCTGGTTTTTGTTCATCTGTTCCTCCTTCCCCATCTTTTAAAATGACTTGAATACTTTTTCTTAGAATGCATTTAGTTTTAATTTTTCTGTCAGCAGTTTAGCTATTCTTTGCATTATTTTTGACAGTGGTTGTGCTAGGATTCCATCATACATCCTTAACTTTTCACAGTCCATTTACAGTTAATCATAGGCCCTTCACATAAAGTATGGACATCTGGCTTCATTATAGCCCCGGAACCACCCCCATCCCTTAATAACAGTTGTTGTAAGTAATGCATCTACATATGTCATGAGCCCCTCGAGATGATGTTACAATTTTAATTTTAAACAGTTAAAAGTTTATAAAGACAGTTTGAGGGAAAAGGCAAAAACAAAACACACAAAACAAAAAGAATCCATCCAAGAGTCTTTTGCCTTGAGCCAGACATTGCCCTTTTCCAATGTTTTGCCATTGTTTTCTGGGGAAGGAGGTTTCCATCTGCTATCACTGCCCTTCAGTCTGGCTTGAGACAGCTCATGGCCCTGCCTGCTCCCCAGGAGGCGTCTCCCTGCGGCGTCTCCCTGCATGGCCTGTGTGTTCGGTGCAGCCAACGCTACATTGAAAGTGTTTGCCTTTTCTAAGTGTCTATGGTGACAGCCTCTTTATCACCAACACATCCTTTTGGCAGGGGTGGCAGTGGTGGGGTACCTTATGTACAGAGCAGTGAGTTGATCCTCTGCCCAGTTCTGAGCAGACTGTGGTGCCCATTTCTTGGTTTCTTTTCACTTATTTCCACTTTTCCACTTCATCCTAGATCCCCATTCCTGGCCCCCTCCTGGAGAAGGGGATCCAATTCCGATGTACTTGATTCATACCCTTGGATGGGGACGAAGCCTCCAAAAATGTAGTGGTGCCCATCTGCTTCTTATGTACCCACCTGGAATTATGCTATAGAACTTGCCCTCCTCCTCCTCCCAAGACCCAAGGCCTCCTAAAATCTGCCTGTGGAGATGTGTGCAACGCAGTGCACAGCTTCTATGGCTCCATGGTACTCTACAGTCGCGTCCTCCACATTTCACTTACATCGTCCCTAGTGAGGGAAACCCAGGTTGCATCAGTTCCCCACTGCTGCACACGACATGGCAATGACCATCCTTATCTATGCCCCTTAGGTTCTGAGTAGGGATTTCTCAGAGACAAACAGGACACACACACACACAGAGAAAGAGAGAGAGAGAGAGAGAGAGAGACCGCAGCCTACCTTCGGGTCCCTGTTCTGGGCCCTCTCACTTCCTACTCTCCAGCCACGGTGTGGGGAGCGGGCAGACCCTCCCTCAAGCCATGCAGTAATCCTCCCACTAGCACCTTGTCTTTGCTCTTCTAGGAGGAGGTTGGCAAGGAGCTCTTGAGGGTCTTGCCCAAAAGGCACTTGCTCTACCCAGTCTGAAGATGACGCAAACAAATCCTGTCTAGGTGTAGCCCTCCTGGGAAAGTTCAGCTGAGGCTGCCAGCCCTGGAAATTCAGGGGACTGGGATACAGGCCATGGGAGCCACCCGGGGCTATGTACAAATGGGATGGAATTTCCCACAAAGTGCAGTGGTAACTGTCTCAGCGACTTCCCTGGTGTGTCCTGAAACGTACAATGTATCCTACATTTACCCAGGCTCTTCCTGGGAGCAACTCTTTGTGCAGGGACTCTTCTGTGGGTAGCCTCTGGGGGGCTTTTAAATCTGGCTTCTTGGTTTGAACAAAAGATGGCAGAGAGAGAGGGAGAGAGAGAGAGAACTCTGGATCAGAGGGTGGGCACTTACTTAATTCCACCAAAAAGTTCCTGATTGCTCTCCAGAAAGGCTGCACCAGTCCCCATGCACCCCAAGGAAAGTACTCTCATTTAGCTATATTTTCACCAACAAATGGTCTCACCCAACTTCCTATTGTTGCCAGTGCTCCAGGTGTAGGGCTGTGTCTCAACCTCATTTTAATAGGCATTTCTCTGATTACTAGCGTATGAGTGTCTCTTCATGAGCTTGGTAGCTATTTGGGCTCCCCCTTCTGTGACCTATCTGTTCCAATCCTGTGCCAGCTCGCTGGCTCCTGCCTGGCTACTCTACTCTCCCTTCCTTCCCTGTCTGTGATAACTAGTACGCCAGGTTGGGCTAGGCTAGGAACCACTGAGTCTCTTGGGATGGTTTTGTTCGTTTCTGCTCTGACCCATTATTTGAATGTCACAGCTTAATGCCCAGGAGGTGAGGGTACTGTCCTTGTTTCCAAGTTCTCTGGTGGGGGAGCACCTGAGGATTTTTCCCCCAGGAAACACCTACACCTTCCCTGTATCCAGCAGTTTCCATTTTCCAGTAACAGAGAACACCTAATGTCAGGCACTAGGCAAGGCCCATCCCACTTTCTCTCTATAACTATGCTGGAGGGAGGGACTGTTATCCTGCTGGAGAGACAGATAAGAAACAGGTATGTAAAGGTCAAGTAGAATGACCAAGGTCATGTAACTTGTAAGAGACCCCACTAGGATGCTGTCTACAGCTTAAACTGTTAGTGCATCTCCAGTAATGTCTATTTCAAATAACTGCTATGTCCCAGGTGGCTACTTCCTAAATAGAATTTAGAAATTATCATTCTCAATTATTGAAATGTAATGAAAAAGTAAACTCGGGTACCACCTTTGTACCTCCTCAGTCCCCAGTGTCTAAAAAAGGTGCAAGTGAGTGGAGGGAGAGGAGGGAGAGTTACTTTCCTCTAGAGAGGAAGTAACTCTAGAGGAAGTAATGTTTCTTTGAGGGTTACTCAAAGGAGGAAGTGAAGTAAAAAGGAGAAGTAACACCTTCATGAGGGTTTATAAGGGAGGGGCCTGTCTGATGCTGGACAGCATGCTTTCCTCCATGAGGAAATAACTAGAAAAGAAGAGGAAGCGGAAAGAAAATGTGCAAAGGCCCTGGGGCAGAGAAATGCTGAGAGGAACCACTGTGGCCAGAGGGGGAAGGCGAGGGCTAAGATGTTTGAGAAGTGGCCGTGGAGGCTCTTCAGGCTGGAATGGCAGGACACTGAGTGTATATGAAGATGTCCCGAGCCGTTTGAGACCCTCAATTTTCATGTCTTCCATTCTAAAGCTTATCTGGCTGATATGGACCTGGGTGGGGACATGCACATGCTCCTGCATGGCCTCCCCTCTCCACAGTCTCCCATCTTCCCCTGGGCAAAGAAAGGCTCCCTTCCTATCTAACCTGAGTCTGACCCCCTTCCTGTATACAGTGTCCTGAGGCACAAAAACATCCTCGGCACCAAACAGAGACACTTTTGGTGTCTCTTTCAGCAAGACTCCAAAAATCCCCTCTCTATCCATCCCTTAAGTAATGCACTTTTAAGACAATTTTCCTTTTTATGTTTAATAATTATTTATCAGAATACATATTTGTGTATGATGTCTTGATCACTTAAATACCATTAATCATTGTTATAATCACATAATCCTAAAGAGAATTTTAGAGCCTTATTAATTAATCATTAATTAATTTTTGAGGCAGGGTCTTGCTCTGTTGCCCAGGCTAGAGTGCAGTGGTGTGATCATGGCTCACTGCAGCCTTGACTTCCTGGGCTCAAGTGATCCTCCCACCCCAGCCTTCCAAGTAACTGGGACCCCACGTGTGTACCACGATGCTCAACTAAATTTTAAACTTTTTTGTAGAGGGTCTCACTATCTTGCCCAGGCTGGTCTCAAACTCCTGGCCTCAAGAGATCCTCCCACCTCAGCCTACCAAAATGCTGGGATTACAGGCATGAGTCACTGTGCCTAAACTTTTTTTTATACTTTCAACTTTTGTTTTGGATTCAGGGGGTACATGTGCAGGGTTGTTACACTGGTATATTGAGTGATGTTGAGGTGTGGGGTATGACTGATCCTGTCCCCCTGGTAGTGAGCATAGTACCCAAGAGTTAGTTTTTCAACCTTTTCCCCCCTCCCTCCCTTTCCCCTTTAGTAGTCCCCACCAGGGTCTGTTGTTGCCATCTTTATGTCCACGTGTAGAAAATTTTAAAAAGCTAATGCATATTCACATATTTATTGTGGTTCACATAATAGATAGGTGATGAATACAGAATTTAAACAATAAAAGCATTAGGGTAGGATACAATTCTGTTGGAAAACGGAATGGAAACATACTTAAAAGGGGTAAAGAACACAATGTAAATATTTTGACTGTTAAAGGGATACTTGTTTATATTCTTAAGTATAACATGGCAGTTTTGTATTCTTATACAAATTCCTTTGGGTATATTTAAAAGAGAGAGATAATAATTTTATACATAAAGGTCAATAAATACAATATACCCTATTTAAATATATGATTAAAAAACTCATTTTAGATGCCAACTTGAAAATGTGTAAGGCAAACATATTGTTAAACATTTTTTAGGGGGTTTCAACAAAAAGTCTGTTATAGGCCATAGTGCTCTAGGGGTGGTGACAGTGATCCGGAGGCGGGAACGCCGGGCTGGCATTGTCCCTGGAGCCATCTACATCCAGCTGGCTGGGCTGGAGTTTGGTGTGGCTTCCAGTGTTCACTGCTATGATGCTGCTATCAGGTCAGAATGTCAGCAGGGATTTGTCTAGGCTTTACTGTCTCCCCAGCATTAACCATAGTGCCTGGCACGTAGTAAGAGCTCAACACATATTCAGCGCATGAATGAGGGGCCGGCACTTACGGAGCTCTCACTTTGTGCCAGGCACTGTGCTAAGAGCTGCCTATGCATTCCCCTGGAATTCTCACAACCACGCTGCAGTAGGTCCAGTGAGTATCCCCATTCCAGAGATGGCGAAACTAAGCCACAAAGAGGATACATAACCAGCCCAAGGCCACCAGTCAAGGAAGTAGCAGACTGGGACCTGGGCATCCTGGCAGGCACCCTTTACCATAATGCCTCTCTGTCCCCATGTGGTCCCTGGGGTAGAGTCTGCATCCTTGGGTTCTGAAACTCCAGAGCAAGCACTCTGGGGCACTCCCTGAGTGATACCCTCCTGCCATCTTAAACGGCTCTCTGCCATCTGCTTCCTCCTCCTAAGTGGTTTTCCTTCTGTCCTCCCTGTTTAATGTTTAAGTTGTGCACATCCTGTGACATCCTGGAGACCCATGTTCCTGACCTACTTACCTATTCAACCATCTCTTCTCACACATGGGGTAGCAATGAGAAGCACAGGGGGTCTCTGCAAGGGAGTAGGGAGGTGGAGAGAGCGGGGGCAGCCACACATCACACTGCTGTTCTCAGTGGCCTCCTGCTGTCAACAAGCTAACATTAATAAAACAAGCCCACTCTTCTGCTAAGAGACTGTGACAGGGTAACATTTATTCTAGGTAGCTTTTCAAGAAAACAGCTCTTGCTCCCACGGTCCCCTCGGAGGGCCTGCAGAGCTCCAGCGATGTCAGAGGGCATCTGTTTGTTTCTCCTTTGCTTATAAAAGGGACCTGGAAATCAAAGGCAGGCTCTTAGCCCTTAGCAGTGAGGATGACAGCTCTGCACCAGCCACACGCAGGCCCCTGGCTCTAGGAACCACCTCTCACCCAGACGCCCAGGCACAGCATGGTGGGGAGAGAGTACAGGACACAGGGCCTAGGCCTGCTGCCCCGCCCACAGCCCGCCCCCTAGCCCTTTCTCTGAGGCCAGGTGTACTCACCTAGCCTCCAGGGTCCCCTGCTCAGGTGGCCCCAGAGGCCCAAACCCACTGCTCCCACTTTCTGAGACCTGGGACCCTCACCTCCCCAACTCCCACCATAGGGCGACACTGAAAAGTGTCCCCTTCCCCCCCCCGTTTCCAAGTCACCAGCTTGAGGATGCCCAAGGCTCAAAGGCTCCTCCGAGTGGCACCCCGCATCGGGCTGCAGAGGTCGGAGAGGGGAGGGGATGGTGGGTGCAAAGGGTGGCTTCTTCAGGAAAGGGAAGCCTGTCCCTGGCTCCCAGCACCTGTCACCCCTGGCGATCTCACCCCGCGGCCATCATTCCCGTCCTCACGGCCCATTTCAGGGACACTGAGGCTCAAAGAGCCACGTGATTTATTCAAAGCAGCTCGAGCCACCACTTGGAGCCACAAGAAAGCCCTGGTCCGTGCCTCCTCGCCTTGGTCCCTGGCCCTTCACTCTTCGTCCAGGCTCTCTGACCTCTTTCCCTCTGCGCCCCTGCCTCTTCCCCAGGCCTGGGTCCCCAAGGCACTCGGCCACGCGCTGGGTCCGGGGAAGAGGCGCGGCCGCGGCCGAGGCGGGGACAGGGAGGCGGCAGCCCCTCCTGCGCAGCGACGGCGCGGGCGGGCGGAGGCCGGGGCGCCCCAGCCCCCCGCCCCCGCTCCCTCCGGCCGTGACGTCAGAGCCGGACGGGGTAAACTGAGCGGCGGCGGCGGGGCGCTGGGGCGGAGACTGCGACCCGGAGCCGCCCGGACTGACGGAGCCCACTGCGGTGCGGGCGTTGGCGCGGGCACGGAGGACCCGGGCAGGCATCGCAAGCGACCCCGAGGTAACACGGCCCCGGTTCCCTGCTCGCAGGGCGCGGTGCCGGAGGGGAGCGGGCCCGGGGGAGGCAGGGAGGCAGGGAGGCCCCCAGAGCTACGCGGGCGGGGCTGCGGGGACCCCGGGGCAGCCGGGGCGCAGGGCGCAGGGCGCAAGGTGCACGGGGCCGAGCGTGCAGTTTGGGAGGTGGCACAGTTGGGGGCGGCGGGGATCAGGGCAGCGTCCTGGGGGTTCTAGGTTGGGTCTCCAGATTGGGTCCCCGACGGCGCTCGCGGGCGCTCTTTCCAGGGAGCGCGGGCTCTCGTGGGGACGCGCTCGAGGCAGGTGAGCCGAGGCTGGGGCGCCCGGGGGTGTCCCCGGATGCCGGTGCGCGCGGCTCCCTGACCCGCCCTTCCGCGGCCTGGGGGACGGGAGAATGGGGGGTCCACGGCCGCCTTGGGTCCTCACCGCGCACCGCGCCCGCAGCGGAGCCCCGGAGCCATGGCCCTGAGCGAGCTGGCGCTGGTCCGCTGGCTGCAGGAGAGCCGCCGCTCGCGGAAGCTCATCCTGTTCATCGTGTTCCTGGCGCTGCTGCTGGACAACATGCTGCTCACTGTCGTGGGTACGTGCGGACAGGGCACCCCTGCCCCGGCACCCCAGCCCCAGCGCCCCTTCCCCGGCACTCCACTTACCCCTGCGCGGTCCCGGAGCTCCGCCAAGGCCCGGGAAAGTTGGAGAACTCGCTTTGCAAAAAAGACATCCCCTCCAGGCTGCCGCGCCGGGGCTAGGAGGAGCCGCGTTGTGTGGCTTCGCTTTCCTGATGCTCGGGTCAAAAACTGTGACATCCGATAAGACCCAGAACTTATGTTTCCCCCTGATAATTTCCCGCATCCTCTTGCCTGCTTTCACTGCGATGAAAAAGATTTCTGTTCCAAAAGAGAAATTCCTAAAGTTCAAAATTACGTGTTAGAATAATTATTGGGCTACTCGAAAAGGCAGGTTAGTAATTTGGTGTAGTACCTAAAAGAGCAAGTTTCGATCCCTTACTCCAAAAACAAGACATTTAGATATACTGTATTAGTGAATGACTTGAGATGGAAATATTTCAGGAACCATTGCAAGAACAATTTGAACAATCTTGGTTCTATTATTTTTCCTATAGTGGAATTTTGAAAAATTAAATAATCGAAATCCAGGTCCCTTAATTAGGCCCATTAACAGAGAAGTATTTGGCATGCATTTCCTTAAAAAAAAAAATCCCAGTTTTTAATGAATGAAAAAAAAATCACGACTCATTTAGACTGTAAGTGGTGGGAGCTGTTTCCTTTCTCTCCATTTGCAGGTTTTCTCACAGCAGTTTTCAGAGCATCTGATAGGTTTCATCTCGAGGAGTTATCAGAGCCGTGGAGCTCATCCCTGTTCAGTACCAACGGCATTAGTTCTGCTTCGGCTCGAATGCTCCATTGGACACATGTGCTCACAGCTTCGATTATATGTTTCACAATTTAATTTGTATTTTTTGTTGTTGCTTTTTATTTTGGTTTTTGTTTGTTTTTTTGAAATGGAGTCTCACTCTGTTGCCCAGGCTGGAGGGCAGTGGCACAGTCTTGGCTCACTGCAACCTCCACCTCCCGGGTTCAAGTGATTCTCCTGCATTAGCCTCCCGAGTAGCTGGGTTACCGGCATGCCCCACCAAAGCTGGCTAATTTTTGTATTTTTATTAGAGACAGGATTTTGCCATGTTGGCCAGGCTGGTCTTGAACTCCTGACCTCAGGTGATCTACCCGCCTCGACCTCCCAAAATGCTGGGATTACAGGCCTGAGCCACCGTGCCTGGCCTGTTTCAGTTTTGCTTTTTCCTTGTGAAAGCCTTAGGAATTCTTAAATCTTACAAGTTGTAGGAAAAATTACAGATTCCCACTCATAATAGAAGGATGAAGTGGGCCTGTTGCAGAATTTCCAAGTTATTACTTCCTGCAGGTTAATTTTTTTCTAAGACACATAATGAAGTGTAGTTTTCTGTTTCCTTGATTCATTCATTTGAAAGTCTTTTGAGCCTCTCTTTCTTAGAAGCACTGGTTGACTCCAGGTCAGCACTCTCTTAACGTCAGGCCACATTTTGCTTTTCTGAAATATTCCTTGAAGGAACAATGTGGAAGAAACCCACAAATGACAGAATCTCTGGGACCAGTCAGTTCAGCACAGCAGCTGCCTTTTGAGAGGAGACAGTTCTCAGGGCCGTTGGGGGCATGGTTCTTTCTAGTGAGCTAAGTAAAGTGAACTTGCTCCAATGTCGTTATAGACATATGGCACAGGGCTCCTGTTTTGGGGTAGACCTGTCACCCTCTGGACCTCTTCTGGCATTTGACACAACCATAGTTTTGTTGTTGTTATTGTTGTTTTGTTTGTTTGAGACAGAGTCTCACTCTGTCACCCAGGCTGGAGTGCAGTGGTGCAATCTTTGCTCACTGCAACTTCCACCTCCCAGGTTCAAGCGATCCTCCTTTCTCAGCCTCCAAAGGAGCTGGGATTACAGGTGGGTGCCACCACGCCCAGCTAATTTTTGTATTTTTAGTAGAGAGAGGGTTTCTCCATGTTGGCCAGCCTGGTCTCGAACTCCTGACCTCAGGTGATCCACCTGCCTCAGCTTCCCAAAGTCCTGGAATTACAGGTGTGAGCCACTGCTCCCTGCCGACACAACCATAGTTTTTTGCTGGCTTTTTTCCTGGAGAGGGTTTCAGTGTGATCACCACCTTGCCATTCTGCTCTTATCCCCAGTCCCCATCATCCCAAGTTATCTGTACAGCATTAAGCATGAGAAGAATGCTACAGAAATCCAGACGGCCAGGCCAGTGCACACTGCCTCCATCTCAGACAGCTTCCAGAGCATCTTCTCCTATTATGATAACTCGACTATGGTCACCGGGAATGCTACCAGAGACCTGACACTTCATCAGACCGCCACACAGCACATGGTGACCAACGCGTCCGCTGTTCCTTCCGACTGTCCCAGTGAAGACAAAGACCTCCTGAATGAAAACGTGCAAGTTGGTCTGTTGTTTGCCTCGAAAGCCACCGTCCAGCTCATCACCAACCCTTTCATAGGACTACTGACCAACAGGTAGGGCAGACTACTTTAGTCAAAGAGTTTGATATTTGTATCAGTCCTAGCTTATGTCCTTCCTGGAATTCTGCTTCTTACTCATTGGTGAGAGTCTGGAAAATCCATGGTGGGTGAGCTGGGGAAAACCCAGTCCCCTTCCCCTATGTCTCTGTTCCCAGATAACCACAATTTCCTATTCTATTCTCCCTTCTGTTGCTCAACAAGTAAGAAAATATTAAAGAAGACAGAATAAAGAGGACCTCTTCCACCAAGTGGGAGGACTTTGGCCTGTCTAAATGCCAGGTTTCGTAAGTGCATTTGTCAGAATCGCCCTTGGCAGCAGGAACTCTACAGCCACCATGGCTGTCATCCTATTTTATGAGCCATGTGGCCTCCTCTTATCTCCTACCTCAGGCCATGCACTTCTCTGTAGAGAGCCAAGGTGTCTTCTTTTGGAACTGGCATGTTAAAGCCTCTCACAGATACCAGGTAGGGAGTGTGGGAAAAGGTTGGACGCACTGGTGCGCAGATGGAGCTCCGAGTTGATGCCGAGGTCATGGGCTGTGTTCTTCCCTTCTGCTGGCTACGTAGCCACGTCCACGTGCATGAAAGGAAGAGAACTGAGGCTGTTGTCTGGATAATCCAAGCTGCCCAAACTAGCTTCAGATGAATCAGGCTGTTCTAGATTTTTTTGAACCCACATTGTTTGGAATAACTGTTTACTTCTCCATTGTTGGTGAAGTGTTTGTTCTTCTGTAGCTGAGGTGGACCAGTTCTGCCTGGTCCGTGGGGGCTCAAAGCTCAGGACAAGGGCCTTGCAGCTGAGAGGAGGAGGCAGGCCCCCAAGGTGTCAGTGCAAGGAGTGGGAGCTGGTACAGTTAAGTGTTGGTGGTGGGCTGCCAAGTGCGCAGTGTAGCTACCTAGGTGAAAGTTACAAAACACCAGAAATGGTGGGGAGGGGTGTGCCCAGAGTCCTACCTGCAGACCAGGCCCAGAAGCAGGAACAAAGACTAGACTAGAGATGGAAGAGATGGTGGCGAGGAGAGGGTGGAACTAAGGAGGCAGGGGAAACCAGGGCTGGGCTAGGCTGTAAGAGGCCCCAAGTGCTGGGCTGAGAAAGGAGTGGGATTCTGTGTGGGGCAGTTGGGAGCCATTAGAAATTCCAAAGCCAAAAAGAAATGAGTGAATCAAGCACTATTTTAAGCAGGGTAGGTGGGCAGGGAGCAGGGAGAACTTCACATTTCCTCTGCCTTTGGCGTGGGGAGTGGGGCGCAGGACTGGCTGCATAATTTGTGGGTCTCGGTGCAAAATGAAAATGTGTGCCCCACATTCAAACATTATGAAACACTTCAAGGTGGCAGCAGAGCATTAAATCAACCAAGCTCTGAGAGCAGAGCCCTGTGCGACTCTAGGGTTAGGGGCACCGAGAGGTGAGGAAGCCTGGGGTGGTGGCTGGGGCTCAAGGAGGGGATGGCAGATCTGGCCTTCCGCCAGCACAAGCTGCCTTGGACACATGGAGCTTGAGTCGGACAGGAGCACATTCTCAACATCTGCAGTTGAATTTTCTGGATGGAAGGGTGCCATTGAATTGATTTCAACAATCTCAAGCCATGTCCAGCCCTCTAGTCTGTGCAGAGCAATATTCTAAGGCTGCTACATAAAACATGCTAAGCAAATTAACCCAGCGAAGGGCTGACTGTGAGCCCATTAAGAAGGTGACATTCAGTGACTCCTCTGTTCTCAGGAGAAAAACCAAACCGACCTCAGTAGTTGCAGGATTGTTTTCTTTCCTTTTTTCAAGACTAAGAATGCTTCTTAAAATGCATCTGGTATAATTACAGAAAATAGCTCAGGGTTTTGTATTCTGAGAAAGCAAACAGCTCAAATATTGTATGTGAAAATTGAGGACATTATCGTAATAATACCTTGCCAATCACTTGGGTGGAACGTTACTAGCCGTACAGTGTAATACTTAGAAATTCGGCTGAAATGATGTGAGTACTCCAATCTTCCAAACGCAAATGGCAAATGAAAAGCTTTTTTAAAAATCCCATTCTTATTTTTAATGCTTTGCTTATGCCATGGGGAAGAGGCTTGTTTAAAACCAGTGAGCTCTTTCCCCTGTTAAATACTCCAACGGCTTTGAGGCTGTAGCCACACCAGGCTCATGTTTGGGACTTCAAAAACATTATCTTCCATTTTGTGACTTGTGAAATTTAGTCTATTCTCATGGTGAGTAATCCACTTTAGAAATTATCTAGAGCAAAATTGTAATCCCCAACTGTTTTGTCCAGCTACCGAGCAAATTTGAAAATGATTTTCTAGTGCTGCCTGGTAATATGGAAGGACAAACAAATTTTTTTTTCTTTTTTTTTGAGATAGAGTCTTGCTCTGTCACCCAGGCTGGAGTGCAGCAGTGTGATCTTGGCTCACTGCAACCTCCACCTCCTGGGTTCAAGCAATTCACATGTCTCAGTCTCCTCAGTAGCTGGGATTACAGGCGTGCACCACTATGCCTGGCTATTTTTTGTATTTTTTGGTAGAGACGAGGTTTCACCATGTTGGCCAAGCTGGTGTCGAACTCCTGACCTCAGGTGATCTGCCCACCTCGGCCTCCCAAAGTGCTGGGATTACAGGCGTGAGCCACCGCCCTCAGCGAGCAAATAAATTTTCATATTGTGATCCTGATTTGTAATTTGTCTCATAATTTCCAAGCCCAGTAGATATGAATTTGGGGACTGGGCAGCTCTTCTGGACACTCCAAGATTCTGCTTCCCACCGCAGTTCAGATGGATTCAGAGAAGGGACAAATGTGCATTCCATTTGCCTTTAATTGTCTTCAAGGAGTTAACTTGTGAGCCATTGCAAACAGTCTTTTGATGTAAACTGTGCCAATCACATCCTCCATGAGCAAGATGTATGACTCAAGTCTTCAGTGTTGTAAACAAATGTGTTTAAAGGCTTTTTAAAATTGGTTAATATGTTTCTGATTAAAGAGTAGTTAAAAATATGGAGCATCAGAGCTTGCAGAGACTTTTCCTGAAAGCTTTTGGGCCAGTCCTAGCATTTTATAGGCAAAGGAGTTTGCAGTTCAGGAGGAGAAAGCATTTACCACAACAGTGGCAGGACTGTAGCCACATGTTCCGACTGTCCCATTTCAAGCTTTGTTCTTCCCCGCTTCCTGTTCTTCCCACCTGCTTACAATTATACAGCTTGTACCTTTAGCTACTAGAAATAAAGAATGCAGCTCAAAATCTGTCTTTCTTGCACTGACTTGGGCTCTTCCTGGTTGTACCAGGCAGAACTGCTGGAGACCCAGTGAGTTGCTGATTTTGCTACTTTTAATCAATGAGCAGAGAGTTTAGAAAAGATCAGCCTGATTCCTGTGGACATGGAACCTCCCTGGTCCCTGAAATATTCAGTCTTTTTCCAGTCCCTGATGTGAACTGGTCCAGCCTCGTGCATCCCTAAAGATGTGTGGGGAAAGCTTCCTGTAGTCAGGCTGGGCAGAGCTATTCTTTTCCAAAGCTGCTTGTTTTAACTGAAGTGGGACCCACTCTGAATCGAGACATTCTACACCACACCACACCATAACTGGAATCCTCTATTCACAGTCGTGATGGTGCCATGTGTGTGGCTTTTGTGGGTAGGAGTCACAAAATGTAGGCCGCCTGTTTATTTATTTATTTATTTAGACAGGGTCTTGCTCTATTGCCCAGGCTGGAGTGCAGTGGGGCTATCTCGGCTCACTGCAACCTCTACCTCCCAGGTTCAAGCAATTCTCCTGCCTCAGCCTCCTGAGTAGCTGAGACTACATGCCACCATGCCTGGCTAATTTTTTTTGTATTTTAGTAGAGATGGGGTTTCAGCATTTGGCCAGGCTGATCTCGAACTCCTGACCTCAAGTGATCCTCCTGCCTCAGCCTCTCAAAGTGCTGGGATTACAGGCGTGAGCCACCATGCCCGGCCCTGTCTGTTTTTTTTAAATATTCGATAAGTTCTCACACCAAACCCTGAAAATATAGAGTAACAATTCTTGGGTTCATTTAACTGCTAATAGGATGCACATTCTTCCTGTTTCATTTGTTATTCAGATCCTGTATTTCTGCTGAAAATATATGACCAGTTAGGTGGCAAAAACCTTTGATTTGGGTGTGTGTAGTGATGACCTGGCCAATAGCACACTTTCCAAGAAAGCCTGAGGTTGCTGGATTGACCTGATTTCCATGTTGGAACCTCTTGCCTCCTATTTTATAATTTTGGCTGAACTATTCATTTCATGATTGCAGTTGTGTGCAGGTGGTACCAGAAATTATACTAGTGATACTTGGTCATCATTTGGTCTAAGAAGCAAATTTTAGATATATATGTCCATAAGAGGAAAGTTCCAGGCACATGAACAATGGGACAACACGTTTACATTTCTCTCTTCCCTCAGTCAGGTAACGATATGGCATTGTGGTCTTGCTTAGCATAAGGTTGAAATAATAGTTGCATCTTCAGAACCAAAAGATATTCCACACCAAACGACTGGCTTGGGAAAGAGTTAACTTCATTGCTGGGGACCGTTTCCCTTGCTTCCTTCTTAGCTTGTCATTGTCTCAGTGATCTGCTTTTTATCAAGCCAGCGTCAATGGCTTAATTTATTTCCATAGTTACTTAGTATATTTGAAAGCAGTTCTTTTTGCTTGCAAATCTTAGCTAACATCTGAACGACAAGGAGGAAGCCACAGGGCATGAAATCTCTACGAAATCTACCATGGTTTTATTTTATTTTTTTGCTAGCTTCAGCCAGTGGGTCTGAAGTGGGCTGTGTAGGAACAAGCAGTGACCTTTTCAGCTTCTCTATGGACAGGGAAACCGGCTGTTCTGAGAAGAGATCTCCCATCCTGCATGTGGTTAGGATGGTAGGGAGGGCTTGATGAGTCTTTGCTTCTGAAATCAGAGGAAACTGGCTGTGGAATTAGAACATTCCTAGGAGAAGCAAAAGCTCTGTTAAGCTATGTGTCAGAGAACAGGGCTCACGCCCAGGAAAGTGAGAAGTCCGTGCCCCCTGGAATTCTCTGGTAGCTGAAAAAGACAAGCAGAACCTAAGAATTTTGACAAGCGGAATCGAAGAATTTTATTTACTAAATGATTGACAAACCTCCTACTATATCCAGGCAAATTGAAAATATCATTCCATTTACTGACATTCATTTACTGCACACCTTTTAGGAGTGTGTAGGGATCACTGGAAGGGAGCTGTTGTCTCTCGTTGCATCTGGTGATAGTTTGCACCCTTCGGGGCTCTGTAGTCTGTATGCTTCTTGTAATTTACCACGGTAGAGGAAACTGTGGTTTTAGCAATCATGAGAAGAGAGCTTCCATTAGTCTCTATGGCAAGGATAAGCTAATTATTAACACTAGAGAAGTATTGTCTTCATTGACCATTTAGGGACAGATGGGGTTTCTCCAATGACTAAGTATATATAATTAACATAACTTTTATTGTTTTACATGTTTTTCTAGGGATTCATTATGTGATTTTTAGTCTTACTCAAATTGGATTAACTGCTTCGTGATGCTCTGTAGAGGATGACCGTGGGCCAGTATGACATTTGGCTAAAGGTTTGCTGAATCAGATCTGGCTCTGCTTAGCAATACTTTAATTGAGAAGGCCCTGAATTGAGACAAGGGGGGCAACTCAGACACAGATTGTGACTAATGTCAGTTGAGTTTCTGTCTGTTTAGGAGATACTGTGGGGAAGCAGAAAGGGTTTGGTCCTTCTGCCCACCACTCAATGACTAGGGACGCTGGACGACTCTCCTTCTATGGTGGGTGCCCGAGGGGCCAGAAGAGTTTGAGAACGGAGACCCAGGAGCTTCCCAGGGAGTCTTCTTTGCCTTGAAGCCGAGCTCTGGGGAAAAATGATGCCCAGCGCTTACCACTGAGCAGCCCATGCAGTGGCTTGGCCTGTGTTGAAAGTGCAGGCACAGGTGTGTCCGGTACTGAGGAGGCGGCAACATGAGCCTGGTTGTATCTGAAGCCATTGGCTTGCTCTGCAGCCATGGGTGAGCCACTCTGTCTCTGAACCTCAGCTTTCTCATCTAAGGTGAGGGTTTGGACTGGCTAGCCCTTGAGTTTCCTTCTAGCTGTGATATTCGTTTATTCCATACGTGCATTGTTAAAATCCCAAAGAAAATTAAAAAGAAAAACAGTAGCTGCAGTGTTTCTAAAGAAAACACAGTACCTCAAATGGTAAAAAGAACCCTCTGTAGGCACAAACGCTGTGGTTTTCAGTGAAACTGTGCACTCTCCATCCCATGTGCTCCAGCGTCCCCACCCAGGTGCACATCAGCAGGGCCTAGCACATGTTAACACACTCAGGGTATGCCCGTAGCCTTGAATTTGGGGCAAGTAATTCACCTCCCCGAGCCTCAGTGTTGATCCTCTGAAAAATGGATAAAACCAGCTACCCTCCCTTGGAATCTCAGGCCACCCAGCATGCTGGTTCCCTGCCTACAGTCGTGGGAATGTCTGAGTCTTCAGGTAGGGAGGGACCTCAGTGGCTTCCAGCCCACCACAGCTGTGCCCTGATGGGTTACCTGGAATACTGGCTGGACTGAACAGTGGGCACAGTATGGCTGGTGGTTTGGGGGCCACAGACAAGGGTTGCCACATTTTATTGAGTTTTGTCCTGAAACCACCCAGTGTTTCTGCCTACAGTCTGGGAAAGGGCCACAGATGTCTTATTTGCCTTCAGGGATGTCCCTGCAGCCTGAAGGGTTCCATATTAGAGCCTTATAAATAGCCAAAATGAAGAACTGGTGAAACAAGAGTGAAGCCCCTAATTCCAATAGCTTTGATACGTATTGGTACTTCAACAACTAGATTTTCCAAATATATATTGAACAGAGGGAGAAGCCTGTGTTTATTCCAGGACAGCCCGGAAGATTGTCATATGCCCGTTCTTTCATGGGACAAACTGTAGTTGCTGAAAATAAATTGCCTGTGAGTTCTCCTCTCTGAGCCTCCTGGACGTTTCCTGATTCAGTATCCTGCAGTGCCGTGTGAGCCCCCGGTGTTGGGTTTCTTTTGTCCACATGAATAAGGGGTACAGAGAATCAGCTCTGGGTGGGCTGAGACAGAAGAAGCTGTCACCCGATGGCCATCTGAACTGCAGGTCAGAATCCTGGCATCTTCTCTGGTTTACCCAATTTGCTTGGGGCCCCACTTTGTGAATTACAAGCTCATCTCTGTTCACAGCAGGGGAATCTTTGCATGGTTTGTGGGAGGGGACTGACTGTCTGGGAATCTGTCATGCTTGTGAGTTACTCTCTGTATTTTTGGTATTTGGTTTCTGGATACAGGTGAAGCAGTTAAAAAATATTTGAATATGGTCAAGAGAACTTTTGGAAAGATTCTATTTAAAGCTATATATGCCGTTTGGGTACTGGCGGAGGTGGTAAAATTTACAAGGAAAAGCCATGTGGGAATGGCCCAGGCGAAATTAGTCTGATGACATCTGATAAGTAATGACAGATATCATGCCTCAGTTTCCTCATCTGTAACATAGGGAGGTGAAATAGGGCCCTTATTAAATCATGACTAAATCTGGTGGGTGTAAATGCTTGGAGAACTGAGTGTAAACTTTAAATGAAGGCGCTATGATTATTTTTTATTTATTTATTTACTTTTGAGACAGAATCTCGCTCTGTCACCCAGGCTGGAGTGCAGTGGCATGATCTCAGCGCACTACATCCTCTGCCTTCTAGGTTTAAGCAATTCTCGTGCCTCAGCCTCCCAAGTAGTTGGGATTACAGGTGTGCACTACTATGCCTGACTCATTTTTTGTATTTTTTTTTTTTTTTTTTTTTTTTTTTTTAGTACAGACAGGGTTTTGCCATGTTGCCCAGGCTGGTCTTGAACTCCTGAGCTCAGGTGATCCGCCCACCTCGGCCTCCCAAAGTGCCAGGATTACAGGCATGAGCCATCATGCTCAGCCGATTACAATTTTTTATTAAAGCCTGGAATGGAAGAACCCTTCCAGGCTGTTGCCAGAGCTCAGGATGCTTGGCCCTTCTGCCTTCCTGGATTCATTTCATTCCTCTCCAGGTTCCTGAGGGTCCAGAGCTAGAGACAGAAGAGACTTAGAGATGTTTCAGGCTCTTCTGGGTTGGAGCAAACCTTCAATTGGGCAAGAGCTCAGCCACTGTTGGCTTCCTCTCAAGGCAGAGGGGCTGGGAAGCTGCCTGTACCCTCATGCCCCACCCACAGAGCAGGGACCCAGCTGTCTACTTAATCCAGCAGAAACAGAGGACAAAGAAGAAAGAGAATGAGGGAGGAGATGACATTTCTTAGGCACCTTCTATGCTCTAGGCACTGGTGTTAACAGTTTAACATCCATATCTCTTTCTGTACTCCAGTCCTGGGAGGTGGGCGGTGGTCTCTCCGAGGGACTGAGAGGAGACCTCCCTAGATTAAGTGGCAGGGTCATGTGTCCAGCCAGACATGGCATAGGGGAATGCCAGGGTCTTTCCACCAGCCCTGTTGACCTGGCGCCAGAGTCCTAGGTGAGCAGTGGTCTCACGGAGCAATTTGGATTTTGAAATTTTGCACAGAAAATGAGACTTTGTCTTTCTGGGTTGGCCTCATGGGGTCAACAGGAAGGCAGATCTTAACATCTTGCTTCCTAATGCCTCTTAGACATACTGCAGTCTGCCAGTGGAATCACTTGATGGCCTTTTACCCGAATCATTTGATTGCAGTGGCTCCTTTGGGAGAGCTTTAGCAAAGACTATAATTAAAGGAATCATTTTTTAAAAATGACAGAAATAGGGGCCGTGTATTTTGGATGTGTTCTGGGTTACTTGCCAATATTGTGTTAACATTTATTCCAAACAAATTTCTGTTCACAGTGGCAGTCCATAAATGTATTCACGTTCCAAGACAGTCAAACACAAAAAGGTCACATAGGAAGCACTGAGTATATGAATTTTCAGAAAAGTCCACCAAACACTTATCTGTCTGATCCCAAAGGGTAGCCAGGCGAAAATCAATATAAAGCCTTAAAAAAATAGCCTGCAGTCACCAGATTTGTCTGATGTTTGTGTTTTGCAGAATTGGCTATCCAATTCCCATATTTGCGGGATTCTGCATCATGTTTGTCTCAACAATTAGTAAGTGTGTGGTGTTTTCCTTCTGAGTGTGGGTCTCATCAGGGTGGGCATTGATGCCCATGAGCCGGGAATTAACAATACAACCTAAGGACGGCGGGGGGGCGGGGGGGGTCGTGGTTGGCTCATGCCTGTAATCCGAGCACTTTGGGAGGCTGAGGTGGGCGGATCATCTGAGGTCAGGAGTCCGAGACCAACCTGGCCAACATGGCAAAACCCCGTCTCTACTAAAAATACAAAAGGTAGCCAGGTGTGGTGGCATGCACCTATAGTCCCAGCTACTGGGGAGGCTGAGGCAGGAGAATCACTTGAACCTGGAAGACGGAGGTTGCAGTAAGCCGAGATTGCACCACTGCACTGCAGCCTGGGCGACAGAGCAAGACTCCATCTCAAAAAAAAGTATATGGCCTGGGAGGTTTGTGTATTGGCAACAATTGCAGAAAGGAATTGATAGCTTTTTACGGAACAAAAGCACAGGGTGGCTAACATGCAAATGCTCCACTGGGTTAAGGGGGGCTTCTGAAACGTTCCTGTTTGGGACGGTTGTGTCCCAGCAGCACTGATGTGCGGTCTTGGACCCCCTCTCTCGGCAGTGTTTGCCTTCTCCAGCAGCTATGCCTTCCTGCTGATTGCCAGGTCGCTGCAGGGCATCGGCTCGTCCTGCTCCTCTGTGGCTGGTAGGTGTGGAATGCCTGAGTGAGTTCGTGAGGGGCCCCTTGCAGAGTGAGCTGGACTCATTCAGGGAATTCAGGTATTGGTGGTGGTTGGGGTGCTGGGGATTCTTGGAGAAGGCACCCACTTTCCTCTTGGGTTCTGCTTGGTCTTACATTTTAGTGAATCTGACAGGTTTGGGAAGATCACAAGGCTGGCTGGAGAGGGAAGGCGAGTCACGCATTATTCTTTTGCTGTTCCCCGGAGCTGGCCTGTTGACTATTTCTTTCCCTGTGTAGGGATGGGCATGCTTGCCAGTGTCTACACAGATGATGAAGAGAGAGGCAACGTCATGGGAATCGCCTTGGGAGGCCTGGCCATGGGGGTCTTAGGTGGGTAAGGCCCCCGTGTAGGCAAACTGGCAAGAGGGGCCTGCCTGGTGCTGGACAGCGGCAGTCC
This sequence comes from Homo sapiens, assembly GCF_000001405.40. Classification (NCBI taxonomy): domain Eukaryota; kingdom Metazoa; phylum Chordata; class Mammalia; order Primates; family Hominidae; genus Homo; species Homo sapiens. Next base: position 117,254,565 of record NC_000010.11, read on the forward strand.
TCGCCCAGTGACCCTGGCGCAGTTTGCACTGACACAGAGGTCCCCTTTTTATTTTTTTCCTTTCCTGCTTTCATGGAGACTTTGAAAAATGGTAGGAAGAGCCCTGAGCTGGGGGTGGAGGGGATCAGGACTTCCCCTGCCTCTGCCCCAAACCTCCCTGGGCCCAGATGGAAAACCAAAGGTTGAACAGGATGGTCTGCCAGACCCTTTCCTCGGGAACATTCAGTGAGTTGTGATCACGGAGAACCTTGCTTTCTGGGTCTGCCTCCCCCAGCTGCCCTGGCTGACTTCCCAGACCAGGGGACAAACATCTTCCCTGAGAGGGATTCAAAACCTTTTCCTTCCTCTTCCGATTTCCCGCCTGCTTCCAGGAGCCTGCAGCCTTGCCTGCGCTGGTGTACAAGGAGCGAAGTCTCTGTTTACACATTTTCCTGTGCAGTGGAAGCAGCCCAGCCCTGGGCCTGGATCTTGTTTCTCTCGGGCCTTTGCTTTCAGGGTGACCTTTATAGACTCCTGCCCATTTCTTAGGAAAAGGCACTTGGAGGAAGTTGCCAAGACAACTGAACTCTAACCGAACAGAACAATAGGGCAGCCACCCCAAAGCCTTATTGGAACAAAGTAGAGAGAGAAACACAAGAGTCAAATAGATGGTTCTAGTACAGGGAGAGGGCATGTGTCCCAGGGGTGGTGTCCCCACTTTCTCTCCCTGCAGTGGGCCCCCCCTTCGGGAGTGTGCTCTATGAGTTTGTGGGGAAGACGGCTCCGTTCCTGGTGCTGGCCGCCCTGGTACTCTTGGATGGAGGTGAGTGAGTCCACGTGGGCGCCATGCCATGACCTTGGCATCGTGCTGGCACGCGCTTGGGCCACACCTGCTTTCTGAAGAGGGGCTTGTCTTTTTTATTTTTATTTTTTAGCTATTCAGCTCTTTGTGCTCCAGCCGTCCCGGGTGCAGCCAGAGGTAAGCGGCTGGGAATGAGGGCCCTGGGGGAGGGGGCATGGTGCTGCTTCTGACCCGTGTTTTTTTCTTGACAGAGTCAGAAGGGGACACCCCTAACCACGCTGCTGAAGGACCCGTACATCCTCATTGCTGCAGGTGGGGCTCTGTGGGTCTTCTGAGTCAGGGGAATGCGAGGTGATGGCCGCGTGCTGGAGGCAGGGGTGGATGGCCAGGGCTGATTTTCGTTTTGCTGCTAGAAATGTTGGGCTATATAAAAAAACAGAAAAGGCAAAGAGGCTACAAGTCAAAGGAAATGGTTTTCTTCCGCCATTGCTTTCTGACACTCAGCCAAGGCCCTTTTTGTCTCATTTGGGGAAAATCAAAATGGCGTATGCTGGGCTCTGCAGAGCTGCCTGGGTCCTGGGGATGCCCGGCTGGGTTTGTTTGGAGCTAAGCTTGCCCACTGTGTTTGTATGGAAGGCCATCATTGTTTGGCCTTGAACTTTCCGGAAGGAGTCCTTGGCCTCAAGGCAAGGGTCCCCGGTGGGCAGTCTGACTCACCTTGGCATATATGAATAGAAACTGACAGCAGAGCCCCACAGGGACCAGAGGGGCTCCCTTCTTGCAGAGAGCATCCCTGCCGAGCAGCAGGGAGGCCGTTCAAACACCCTTTGGCTAAAGGACATGCTTTGGCCTAGAGGGGCTAAAAGAAAGCACTGGGGTTTTGTGACTCTTGGGAAGGATAATGGTCTGCATCTATCCAAGGGACTGTTCCCCAAGACTGTCCCAGTGGTAGGAGGCTGCCTGCTTTGCCAGGCCCCGGGCTGCCTAACCAGGGACCAGCCTTGTGTAGGTGTTGCTGGGCCTCAGTACCAAGGTAAGCAGACCCTTGGGGTCAGGCCAGGAGAAGGTCTGGCTGCGCGCTGATGTGTTGGTCTCTGGGGCAGCCTGCACTGTAGCACTAGACCCAGTTAGGGTTAGACTTGTCTAAGCACGGCTCCCTAACACAGGTAGGCTGGAGGGCGCCTGGGAGAACTGGGCACCAGTAGTTAAGTTCAGCCTTTGTCAACCCTCAGGCTGGTTTTGTTTAACCCTTCTGCTGCTGGATTTGATTAGGGCAGCAGGTATGTAACCCTGGCCAAGACCCTGTCTATCATGCTTGCTGGCCAAAGGGATATGGAGGTGGCATGGTGACTTATTCATGCAGTGACGTCTGCAAGATGCAGGGGGCATCCCAGAGCTCAGATGCTTCTGGAACCCTGGCATCTGAGGTGGGGACGAGGAGGTATGGTGAGGGACGGGGGCTCCAGAAATGTGACTTCCTGAACCTCGGGCACGTCTGAGCAGGGCTGTGCAGCCTGGGCCTGTCCTGTCTTGGGCTTCCCTGGAACCTCACTGCCTAGTACCTGCTCACAGGAGACACAAAGATGCTACCCAGCACTCCTGGACTGTCATCGACACTTCCAGACAGCCCGACTGGGGAAGGGAGTTGAGAGCCAAGTGGCTGTCCACTTGAGGGGAGTCCTGCCATTGATATGCTCTGCCTTTAAGTGTCATGTCGAATGAACAGACCTTTCTTCACCATATGTGCACCTTCATCACGATTGCACAATATTCTTTGAATTTGTTGTAGCAAATTAGAGGTTCCAAGAGGCACAACACGGGAAGTTCCCAGAACGATGGAGAACAGTTCCGTGGGTCTTTTTCCAGATAGTTCTATATTTACAAAGGGTTCTGGTTAAGAGATCATGAATATTTGCATAGGTGCCCTTATGTACCGCTGAACCCCGCCCCCTCCACCTAACGGCATGCCTGTACTGAATGCACCTGATCCTGCTTGGATTTTCTGGCATTTCTAGGTATCATTAGAAATGCCCACGTATATTGCACAGTAAAACACAGATGCGAGAGCCTCAGGCTGCCCCGAGACTGTGTGTGGTCTGGAAGTGGCCTGATTGCTGGGTGGCCCCAAGCAAGCTACTGCATTAATAAACTGGGCTTCCTTTCTTCATTGATAAAACCATAATTGGGTAGGTTAAACCAAAGGAACTCTAGGGCTGCCTCCAGTCCAAACTTTGTCTCTGGGATTCTAGTTGTTTAAAATGAGGACGACGACGACCATGATGATGATGATTATGATAAACAGCCTTTGCTGTCCCCTTGATATGCGATTTATCCTTTACTTAATGAAAGTAGAAGTTGCGGTTATCTGAGCTGTAGGCGCATGGAGTCTAACTGTGCCTGGAAATGAGAGAGGAGGCAGAAGCCACTACAAAGCCCTTTCCTCCCTTACAGGCTCCATCTGCTTTGCAAACATGGGCATCGCCATGCTGGAGCCAGCCCTGCCCATCTGGATGATGGAGACCATGTGTTCCCGAAAGTGGCAGCTGGGTAAGGACTGGGGTGGGCTCTTCTGATTCAAGAGCATTTGTCCCCAGGGCAGCCTTTGTCCCCAGGGCATCCCTGCTGAGTTGCCCTTATGGGGATGATAAAGTGATTGCTTCTGTTTGACTCTTAATGGGGTCATTGCTTAGGGCAGCCTTGGGGTCTGTTTGTTCTCTGGTTTATCCATCATCCCTGAGGGGTGCAGAACTCACACAGACACATCAGATCTGGGCAGAAATGAGAGTAAAAATACAGTCAGCATCTTCCCCTGTTTCTGAACTGGACTAACTGGACAGCCATAAAATTTATGTGAAAGAGACTAATAACAAACTAATTGTTAAAAGGATTAATTCTTAAAAAGTATTTTTAATTTTGAAAAGTAATACATGCTTATTATAACAAAATCAAAGTGTGCTGATTGAGGACGTAAAACATTTTTAAATTTCATGCTCATCTTTCTCCCTCCCCCAGCCCATCTCCTGTGATATTCATTGTTAACAGTTCTATGTCTTTTTCTAGATGGTTCTGTGTTTACCACCCTATTGCATGAAATGCCTAAAAATCCAGTCAAGTGAATTTTGCCATTTACATCACTGTGTGACCTCTTGTTTTTCCTTCATGCAATTTTGTGGCCATGTTTCCGTGTCAGAACAAGTAGATTTACTTTTTAAAACTAATTAAATTTTATTTTTTTTTATCAAAGTTACACATGTACATAATTGTAAGTCAAAGATAAAAGAATTATAAGGAAAAACAGCTGTCTTTTTCCCACGCCTCTTGATCCCCAAAGCCCTTCAGATTCCATCACCTTCAACGTTTTTAGATCTTTCTTCTGCTGATACCCTTATGTCTCTAAATAATATGTGTACACCCCCGACTCTTTTTTTTTTTTTTTTTTGAGACAAAGTCTCACTCTGTCACCCAGGCTGGAGTGCGGTGGCACGATCTCCACTCACTGCAACCTCTGCCTCCCGGGTTCAAGCGATTCTCCTGCCTCAGCCTCCCGAGTAGCTGGGATTACAGGCACGTGCCACCACACCTGGCTAATGACACCCCCTTTTTAAAAATTTTCCAATTTCTGACATTGTCCACCAGCTTCCTAATACAGTAGATGGGGATTATTTAATGCCGTTGCAGCGCCACATAGAAGTATCAAACAACCAGCTCACACATTTTCCCATCTTCTGTCCTCCCTGAATAATTGCATTACAGCTTCTTGTTAGACTGGCATTCAGCACTGACATTATTGTGACTGGGTAATTATTGTTCACAGCTGACTGAGCTATGTAGGGTACTGTGATTAATTTCCTTTCTTTTTGCAAATTTAATTTTCCTGGAGTTAGTCGTTGCCTTGTCCTTTCATTTTCTTAATGTTTTATGTAGTGTTTATGAATATATCCACCAAAGTTTCTGGCAAAGATGAAAAATTCTCCAATTGCAGTCAAGTGTTGGCAAACCTGATCTTTCTGTGTATTTGCTCGTTTGTGGATGTCTGTCCTAGGTCTTCAGTCTAGACTTCCTTCCCCATCACCCCAGCATCTTCTGTGCCTCTCTTCTGTTTCCTGTATTCCTTGCCCTTGACTGACTTCCTCCTTATTGCAGAGCATAGCCTCCCACAGCATAGCCTCCCACAGCTTCCTGAGAGTGTGCGTGGCAGGTAAAGGTCTCTGAGACCCTGCATAGTTGCAAATATTTTACCCTTATCCTACACTTTGTTGACTTTGTCTGCATGTATAATTCTTGGTTGGAAATCATTTCCCTTGGGAGTTTTCGGGCCACTGTTCTGTTGTCTTCTAGCATCCAGGGTTGCTGTGGGGGAGGCCAGTGTTGCCCTCATTCCTGAGCCTCTGTAGGAGCCCGAGGGACCTTTACTTCTTCTCTAGGTTATAAAAGTCCATGTTGATGATTTGCAGTGGGCTCTGTTTTCCTCCTCTGGGCTGAACACTTGCTTAATCAGCCCTTTCACTTGGGGAACCCCATGTTACAATTCTGGGGAGACTCTTTGTATTATTACTTGAATGAATCCCCCTATTTTCTCTCCTGTTTTACTCCAGTTGGCTGAGCGTTAGGCTCCCTACTTTTATTCTTCTAATTTCTTGTCTTTCCCCTTTTCCATTGAGTTATTCCTGTTCATCTTTTAAACTGCTTATTGAGTTTTTAAAATTGATGCTATCATATCTTAAATCTGAAGAGCCTTTTGTGTATACCCTGAGTGTTTGGGGTTTTGGTGAGGTTGTTGTTATTGCAAAAACACCCTCCCACCATGTTCCTGTTTCAGCCTCTTGTGTTGCCCCGGTTGCCATTCTGGTTAATTTCTGTGGAGAAACTGTCTCCTGCCAGGGTGAAGGCTGGAGTGCTAGGGGCCCCACTGCTCTTAACACAGCCTCTCTGCCTGCTTTCATGTTGACAGCCTCTGCTTTCAGCCCCACCTTCACAGTACCCGAAGCTTCAGTTCCTTTCTGGCTGTGAGGCACAATGGCTCTTGCCTCTTGCTGGCCTCACCATTTGCAGGTGGAAGATTCCAGCATTCTCTGCGGTGTCCTCTGCTCACTTCTTCCTCGTATTGTCCCTTCTCCTCTCCCACTCTGTTTGTCCTCAGGAAGGTATGGGGGCGGAAGGGGGCATAGGCTGTGTGTCTAGAATTTTCTTCTATTCCTTTGCTAGCATTTAAATGGACTTTGAGGTGGGAGTGGAGAAAAACTATAGATTCAGTCTGCCCTGTTTAACTGGAAACCTTTTATTCTTTTTAATGGTTGCATATTGTTTTATTGTTAAAATAAAACAACATATAACTGTTGAAATCCTCAGTCAGTCCCTATTATTGGGCATTTGGGCTCATTTTGTTGCCAGAAAAGGGATCTCAATCCAGACCCCAAGATAAAGATTTTGGAAATCACTCAGGAAGGAATTCATGGCATGTCACAGAACACAGTAGAAGAGGCAAGTTTATTAGAAACAACTCTGTTAGAGCAGGGCGTCCTCAGAAAGCACATCTGGACTTTCTGCTGTTGTAGGAGAGTGTCCTTGTACGTATCTTTAGGCTGTTTCCTTAACTCTAAACATCTCATGACTATGGGTCGTGACTGGCAAGGAATGTGCTTTGCTAGTTTTAAGGTGGAGCTGAGCTTAAAATGGTGTAACTTCTGCTTCCTTAACAGTTCCAGTTTTTGCCATTAGAAACCATATGGCAGGCTGGGCCGGTGGCTTATGCCTGTAATCCCAGCACTTTGGGAGGCCGAGGCAGGTGGATTTCTTGAGACCAGGAGTTTGAGACCAGGAGTTCAAGACCAGCGAGATCCTGTCTCTACAAAAACAAAACAAAACAAAACAAAACAAAAAACCCAAAAACAGCAACAAAAAAATTAGCCAGGAGTAGTAGCGCACACCTGAAGTCCCAGCTACTCGGGAGATTGAGGTGGGAGTATTACCTGAGCCCAGGAGACAGAGTTTTGCTCTTGTTGCCCAGGCTGGAGTGCAATGGCGCGATCTTGGCTGACCGCAATCTCTGCCTCCTGGGTTCAAGCAATTCTCCCTTTTTCTTTAAGAATTTATTGACAGTCCTTCCTAGAGATTTATATTCTTTTTATAGTTCTTTCAAGGTACGTGTGGATAGCTTCAGATGGAGACTCTCAGCTCTGAATCAAGCAGACATTTTCAATGTCCCCAACCCTTCTTCAGGTGACCTTATTCTCTCACAGGCATCCAGCCCTGGGGAATGGGGGTGTCTTGCCAGAAGCTGCCCCCTGGCTTAGACTTTCCCTGTTCTGCCTGCCTCCCTGCAGTTGGGCTGGCCTGAGTACCAGTGTCTTTGGAATCTGCAGAGTTGCTATGCTCTCTCATCGAACAATACCTAAAAAGTCCCAAATGGCCGGGGGAGAGGGGGTAAGGATGGAGAGAAACTGCTAATGGGGTGTGAGGTTTCTTTGTGGGATGGTGACAATGTTCTGTAATCAGATGGTGATGATGGTTGCTCAACTCTGTGAATACACTAAACATCACTGAGCGATGCACTGTCAAAGGGTGAATTTTGTTTTTTTTTGAGACGGAGTCTCAGTCTGTTGCCCAGGCTGGAGTGCAGTGGCACGATCTCAGCTCACTGCAACCTCTGCCACTCGGGTTCAAGCAATTCTCCTGCCTCAGCCTCCTGAGTAGCTGGGATTACAGGTGCCTACCACTGTACCCGGCTAATTTTGTATTTTTAGTAGAGACAGGGTTTCACTATCTTGGCCAGGCTAGTCTTGAACTCCTGACTTCGTGATCCCCCTGCCTCAGCCTCCCGAAGTGCTGGGATTACAGGCGTGAGCCACCGCATCCTGCCCAAAGGGTGAATTTTAAACCACGTGAATTGTGTCATAAAACAAAACCCAAACCAAGCCTGACATCAGAAGAGGTATTCAGTGAAGGAGGAAGGATTCTTGGAATTAAACAAGAATGTTTCTTAGGCAGAAAATTTAGCTCTGAACTCCCTAGCAGCCAAGATGAAAGTGGAAGCCCAAAGACCTTCAGAGCTCCTAAAGAGGCGTGCCGCTTGGCAGGAGGGGTGGACTTGGATCTGACACCGAGTCAGCAAACAGCAGATGAGAAGACACCCTCCAGCCTTGTTGCTCATACCCGCTGCTGACACTGGAGAGGCTGTTTCCCAGCTTTTCTTCCCTCTGGCCCTTGAGGTGATGTGGATCTCTCGGTGTTTTCAGGAGGCGCCCGCTGTCCAAGTGGGGTGTGCACTGCTGAGTCCAGCTGCTGTGTTGACTTTGCATGCAACTCTTGAGCTGAGAAGCTCTTATTTGTTTATTTATTTTTAGAGACAGGGTCTCGTCCTGTTGCCCAGGCTGGAGTGCTCTGGTGTAATCATGGCTCACTGTAGCCTCAACCTCCTGGGCTCAAGCTGTCCTCCTGCCTCAGCCTCTCAAAGTATTGGGATTACAGGCGTGAACTGGGTCTCCCGGCCACCTAGCTGAACTCTCATCCTCTTTGAATGTGTCCTGGCCATGTGCAGGACACTTAAGATGTTTTGTGCTCATCCTCTTCAGACAAAGCCTGAGGCTTTCTTTATAAAATCTTTAAAGTCAGCCAGAAGCCATGGGCCATCAGGGGCAGATAGCAGAGTGCAGGCTGCCTGGATCTCATCAGATTGCTGTGTGGGGCCTATCACCGGCGCCAGACGTTCACTCAACCCGCTTGCTGCACATTTCCACCACCGAGGTTCCTCCTTTCATTTGCCCCAGAGATAGACATGTCTGTCTTTAAGAGAATCAGGTTTCTCTACCTGCCTCCTGTGTCAGCACCAGCAGGAGGGGAAATACCCCACCTTCCCTAGTTCTCTGTAGCTTTCAGCCCATGGCTCCCTGACCCTGGGGATGGGGTACTGTGAGTGAAGCAGTGCGGAGGACCCAGTGCTGAGGGCGGGGAGCTGCCCCTGCAGCCCAGACTCTGGTGTTCAGGAATCTTCTCTGAGCTCGCTCCAGTCCAGGGTGAAAGGGAGGCTGTTCTGCCTTTATGCTTCCCTTCACTGTTTCTGGAGAAAGACTATGATATTTGAAGTCAGGGCAAACAATCTTATTAGCTGCATGGGTGACACAGGATTGCTCTTGCTGAAGGCATTGTTTTTGGCCACATTTTTTAGGGGTAGTAAAGATGGCAGCCTACCCATCTTCCACGTCGCTCCCTTGCCAGCCTGCCCCCCAAATTCCTCATCTGCCACTTGAGGGGAAGCCCTGGGCTTGAGTGGGTGGAGAAAGAATGATTTCATGGTGTTTTCTCTATATCTGAGTTCTAGGTCAGATGGCCTCTCCAGACCCCTTGAGACTTAGGGACTTACAGTTTGGGGTGAGGCCTACAAGCCCCCAAAGGGAAACTGAAGCCCTGGACAACAGGCCCCAGACAAGGATGGAGGCACACTCTTGTCTTCTGGTTCTTCTAGCCCCTTTGTATTTAATGAGCTGTGGGGATGCAAAGTGGGATGGAGGGTAGGACACGGGCCTGTACCAGAAGACAAGAGGGACTGCCAGCCTTCTGTGGCTCTGGGGTGCGAGGACTTAGGATCCTCCTAAGCCTGCCATAGGACAGGGCAGACCATTGCCCCTATTCTGGTTCTAGGCCGAGCCCTTGGCCTTCAGGGAGGGGTCATCTTGAGCTTGGAGGAAACCCAAGGTCTCATTTCCACCTTTGCTTCCGGGGCTGGATGGCCAGCTCATCTCCCCGCAGGCTTCGTGATGACCGGAGCCCCTCTCTCACTGGCTGGCCAAGGCCGTGGCTGAAGCCAGATTGTACCAAAATGTAGAAGATCTCCCTTTGGTGAACTTTCTGGTGTGAGCAGAGATATGTGAAGAGTGTTGCCCCGCAGAAGGGAGGGTTCCTGCCATGGCCCAGGGCACTGTTGCAGGCCAGTCCCAGCCAACACTTTTCTCAGAGTCGGGAGAAGCCCTAGAAAGAATTCTTGCTGAGGCTGGGTGCGTGGCTCATGCCTGTAATCCTAGCACTTTGGGAGGCTGAGGCAGGTGGATCACTTGAGCCCAAGAGGCAGAGGTTGCACTAAGCCGAGATCGTGCCATTGCACTCCAGCCTGGGCAACAGAGCCACTGACATTCTGCCTCTATTGAGACTCCACCTCAAAAAACAAACAGGATCTTCCAATACTGGAACTGCAGTCCCTCAGGGGAGTGAATGGCCACAGAGAGTGGCGTCTGCCTTCTAGATGGAGTCTGGGCCCTCTGGGTCACCACAGATCTCTCTTTGCTCCATTTTTCATTTTATTTCTCTGACACTGAGGCTGAATGTCAGTGGTTCTTTATCATGGTATCTGCACTGTTATTTCTGCTTGCAATTTGCTTGTTTTATTCATTTATACCTACCTGGCCTTTGGGGATTCTTATCATGAGACAAATGTTGTCATGATATCTTACTATCCGGACTAACAGTCCCTAGAGCTGGTAGGAAGTCCTACGACACAGCTTTTGAGGCCAGGTTTATATACCATCTGCTCTGTGGAGCTTGGCCAGACGCAGTTCCAGGTCCCCAGAGCATGACACCTGTGTTTTTGTTATGTTCCTTACTTGGCCAGGTCACAGTTTAAACGTCATCTGCTCCTTTCCTTCAAAACACTTGCGTCAGGACAAGAATCACGTTGTCATTGTCTTTGCTGCAGGCCACTGCTGTGCTGGGCACGTGGCTGTCAGTAAATGTTTGCTCAATCAGATTACACTGAACAATTATTTGACCACCACATATTGCTAAGCATGACAGAAATAATTCTCTGGAAAATGAAATGAGATTGCTCTTTATTAGTGTTTCCCAGAACTCCCATGTCTAGAATGATCTGGTTTTGGATTTAGCTCATGGAGCCATTTATTTGGAAGTCCCTGCTGTGTTGGAAGACTCAGCCTGTTTCTGGGTTTGATGGTAGACGTTCGTGCTTTATCCTAAAGAGACAAGATCACACTTGCCCGTGAGTGTGTGGCCAGCTGCTGGGATGAGAAGGACCTCCAGGCCCCATGCATTTTGAGTGTAGCAGGCACTCGGTCATCTGATATCTACCTGCATGTCTCACTTATGCAGTCCTCTGATTGAGAACAAAGTAACTTTTACTATGTGTGGGCAAGGCTTGGAATCAAGTCTGGTATATCTGATTTCAAGGAAAAAATACTAAAATCACTAGGAGTTTGAAAAGCAGTCACTCATAAAGAGATTGTCCTGTGGTTCTGAGGACCACACACAGCTTGGATGGATGAGGACCAGACACAGCTGATGTGGACAATTCCCCTGTAGCCAAGCTGGGTCTGATAATGGTTAGGCCTTTCTGTTCAATGCGGAGGACAGGTTCAAGGCCACTGCTGCCACCACCAGCAGGGAATCACCCTGGGCACATCAGAACCTGGGGGATGCAGGTGTCCTCTATGGGGACAGCAATAAAACTTGGATAGGAGGCCGGACGTGGTGGCTCACGCCTGTAATCCCAGCACTTTGGGAGGCTGAGGCAGGCGGATCACCTGAGGTCAGGAGTTTGAGCCCAGCCTGGCCAACATGTTGAAACTCAGTCTCTACTAAAAATACAAAAATTAACTAGGCGTGGTGGCGCATGCCTGTCGTCTCAGCTACTTGGGAGGCTGAGGCAAGAGAATCACTTGAACCTGGGAGGCAGAGGTTGCAGTGAGCCAAGATCGTGCCGCTGCACTCCAGCCTGGGTGACAGAGCGAGACTCCATCTCAAAAAAAAAAAAAAAAAAAAAATCTGACTTGACAACAAAAAATGACCAGGCAGACATTTATGTTTCTGACATAGAAAAATGTTCATAAAGCTAACTGAAACAAGCAGGATAGAGTATAATCCCTTTTTTTTGTAAATCAAAACACACATAAATATATTTATATATGTAAATAAACTTACAGGAGAAAATAACTGTGGTGATTATCTGAGTAATGGATGGGGTTTGGGGTAATTTTAACATTTTTCTTTTTGTTTATCTCACGGTTCCCTAATTCTTTCAATGACTGCGTCTTACTTCTGTCGGATGAAATCACACATAAGATTGCAGGTGCTGAGCTCCCAGGCAGGAGCTGTTTGTATTGGCCCACGTGTGAAGCCCACCACCAGCCAGAGATGGAGGCAAGATGAAGCAGTTGATAGAGAAAGGACTTTCATTTCTGGAGTGTCTCAGCAGCTTTGTGTGGAGGATAAGCCACGTGGGTCCAGACCGGATCCGGCAGGCGCCGGATATTAGCTGCTGGGGTGTGGGCCCCGGGGCTTCGTTTTATCTGCTCTCATCAACATTGTGGTGTCTACAGTTATTACTTTTTCTAACATATGACTGATATCAGCACTGATAAGGTCTCCTTTTCATAAATTTACAGGCGTTGCCTTCTTGCCAGCTAGTATCTCTTATCTCATTGGAACCAATATTTTTGGGATACTTGCACACAAAATGGGGAGGTAAGATGATATGAAAACAACACTCATTCTGTTACAATAATGTAGTTCTTTCAAAAAATTCTAAGTTGTTTCTGCCTTTGCTGTTACAAGTAATTGTTTTGATTTTCATTGAAAATTTGGACTAGAAAAAAATCAAATGATCATTTCTTGATGGTGCTTTTTCTTTTGGTAGGTGGCTTTGTGCTCTTCTGGGAATGATAATTGTTGGAGTCAGCATTTTATGTGTGAGTAAAAGATGGCATTTGACAAGTGGGAACAATCTGTGAATAAAACTTGCGCTTTGGGCAAGAATCACCAAGAAACATTTTACGTTTGAGTTTGTTGATGTTTTATTACAGCTTTCATTTTATTCTAATTTTTTATCATCTTAAAAATGTTTGGACAAGACTTTCCAAGGAGTGTATTTTCATTTTATGTCAGAAATTATTTAAAATGTTTTATTTCACAGTTTAACTTTTCCCCTGCATCATCTTAAGCTTGACAGTGTCTTAAACACTTCAGGACAACCAACCTGAAACAATAGCAAGATGTTTTTCTAGAATAAAATCTCTTCTACCAATGGCCAATATCCATCCCTCATGAGGCCTACTTGTTCTTGTCAAAACTTGAGGGTGGACTAGGCTGATCTTTCACATATGCCGGTGACAAGTTTTTCATGGTGGTCATAAAACTCGTTTCAAGCTTTGACTTTTAAAGATTTGGAGGGTCCGGTTCTTCACAAACCCCACCCTTCTTCCTCCTGTTTTCTTCAGAAGGGAACAGGCATACCACGCTCAGAGAAAACACAAGTTCAAGACTTTCCGAGATGATTTAGAGTTGGATCTCTTGTTATTTTAGCATAATGTTTATTTCCTCTTACAGATTCCATTTGCAAAAAACATTTATGGACTCATAGCTCCGAACTTTGGAGTTGGTTTTGCAATTGGTAAGTCACACGAACCTTGTGCCTACATTTAAAACCGCTTTTCCACTAGGAAGGGTTCTTCTTCCTCTGGTAGACTGTAGTTCCTCAACCTAAATTTCCAGAATCTTAGAAGGAGGCTGCAGGCAGCTTAGCTAAATTACAGCCTGTCGATTCTCCGTGTAAAGACACCTGCTTCTATGCACTAGTCATTTATTTCCTGAAAACCAGTATTTTTTAAAAGCTGATATTTACAGAAGGAAACTGATGCTCCACTGCTGGGGCTGGGCAAACAAAGGAATCCCTTGCACAGAGCTCATTTTTGTGGACTCCTCCCTATGAGCAGGTCTTCTCATGAGGCTGGGGGCAAAGGCTTCACATATGTATTTTGAAGAGGTTTTAGTACAGACAAAGCAGACTAATGTGTTGATGACCGCCTGTGCTGCAGGAATTCCCATGGGCAAGGAGATGGGCTTTTGTAATGTTAAGAATGATAATATGTTAGGAAAAATCTGTCACTATTTTGAGTGAATGGTATACTTTTGTCTCTTATTTATAATATACCAATTGATCATGATAAAAATAAGTGCTCAGTCCACCCCTGTAGAAGCAGGAACGCAACCTTTGAGTGGTACAGTGGCACAGCATGGCTTTCACTGAGGACAGATGGTAGAAGGCTGCTGAGGCTGGGGTAGAACTCAGTATGGTACTCTAGGTCCTTCTCAGGTGACCGTTTGCCTGTCCTCTGCCTTGCCTCCCCTTGTCCTCCACTGTCTGGTTGGCCCATCTTTTTAGGGAGGGTGCTAGTCCTCTGGCGGCTCCCCTTGCCATTCTGCAGGTCTGGCAGAGTTGCAGGTTGCTAACTGTACGGCCCCTGGCCTGCATCCTTTTGGTGCTTCCCTGCTTTGCTGTTTTCTGGTTCACTTGTCCCTCACCACTCAGCACACCTGCATGCCTGACCCACCTCCTGCCAGTCACACCTGGGCCACACGCTTAGACTATGGGTGTTTCCAAGGTGGAGAATAATAGGGGGGACCAGAACGCCCCAGAACTCCAAGGAGTCCGAGAGATCATCTGGCCCTGCTCAGAAATTATGTGTGTGTATGTATGTTTATGTGTGTGTGTGTGTGTATGCATGTGTATCCATGTATGTGTGTGTTGTGTGTATGAGTGTGTATGTGTGTGTTGTGTGTATGTGTGTGAACTAAAAGAAGCTAAAACACACATGCACACACATACATACACATACACACTCATACACAAACACACACATTCATACACACAAACACACATACACACACTGACACACGCATACACACACACATACACACATACACCCCCCACATAAACACATACACATACACAAATATACATACACACATATGCATACATACATACACGTAGATACACATACACATACAAACACCCACCCACATACATATGCACACATACACACATACATATACACACATACACACACACCTACACACATACACATACACACACATACACAAATACAAGTACATACACAAACACATATACACAGACACATACACATGCAAACACATGTACACACATATATACACATACATACACAGATACATATATACATATACATAATACACATACACACATGCATACACACATATACATAGACATACACAGATACATATATACATATACATACATACTCATAAATACACACATATACATACAGACATACACCCCAGCAACAACCACGACCAGCATTAGAATCTCGTCTCTTGAATAGTGGGGAGCAGGTAGCATAAAGATGGTGTGTGTTCAGAGTTCCTGGCTCAGACTCCCTGGCTCAGTGAGTGTGGTCAAGCCTCGCCTCTCTGAGTATTGGTTTCCTCATCTATAAAATGGGGATGCTCATGATTGGCTGCTGTGAGCCAGTGTCTGTGAACACACTGGCAGGGACTCAGAGGTTGGTGCCCTCCCCTCCACATGTGTCAGTGGCAGGCACATGAGGAAAGTTTCTTTCATTGAAATGGTGCTTGCTGCTTCCTAATATGTACAAGTGCTGGGGATATGGGTGAACAAAACCAACAGAAGAGTTGGGCATTTAGCAAAGAATTGAAGAATGAATGACAATTGAGATGATGCTGTGAGAGAACATCTGTATACGAGGGGAACCTGACCTCCTCTGGGGGTCAGAAAAGGCTTCCTTCATTCTTTCTACTCAAAGATTAGTATCACCCCAAGACTTGCAGGTGGTGATGACAGAAGGGGAAGAGCTGGCAGGGTGGTGAGTTTAAGACACACTCCCTGATATTCGGCCCATTTTGGGTTTACATCCGTTTTCTATACACTGTGTTCCCTGACTGTCTTCAGGAATGGTGGATTCGTCAATGATGCCTATCATGGGCTACCTCGTAGACCTGCGGCACGTGTCCGTCTATGGGAGTGTGTACGCCATTGCGGATGTGGCATTTTGTATGGGGTATGCTATAGGTAAGGACATTGGCTTTTCATAAGAACCTTTTACCTCAATACGTAATGGATAACGTCTACTAAAATTGTTTAAATCTTTGCATCTTTCAGTCTACAAGACATTTGGAAGAGCTTTATCTAATTCTCTGTTTCCTGAAAGGTCCTTCTGCTGGTGGTGCTATTGCAAAGGCAATTGGATTTCCATGGCTCATGACAATTATTGGGATAATTGATATTCTTTTTGCCCCTCTCTGCTTTTTTCTTCGAAGTCCACCTGCCAAAGAAGAAAAAATGGTAAGAAAAATTTAGGATGCAGTGAGCATTTCTTGATAATTTTAGCATGGCCTTCCTGATAGCTTCCTCATGGTTTCATTCTAAAGCCTTCAAACATAAATGGTGAGAATTCCTTTTTAGTTTGTACCACATAGAGCAGTTACTTCTTTTATTTTTTTATTACTGTGAAAGTTATTTCTTTCAAGCTTATGTTTATAAACTGGGAGAATGAAATTATTTTTGTACATAGATTAGCATCAGTGTTGCTCTTTTGTCGACCAAGTATAAACCTGGAATCATTCAATTTGATTTTCTATGGTTCTTGAAAATCTTGGACACAATCTTTCTGCCTCCTGTACTTATGCCCAAGGTTAGCCATTTGTGGTGCTGTTGCTTTTCTCATAACCCTTACAGCATTCAGTAATAGTTGCTGTCTTGTCTTTACTGTATGTAGGATTTTAGAGATGATTTTACGATTTTTATGGAAAAATCATTGTATATGGACTTTGGGGTATATGTGAACACACAGAACGATTTAATTCATAACTTTATGACCAAAATTATAGCCATAGGCAAGATACAGAGTATAAAGCATCCCTCTTTTGAAAAAGTCCAAATTAATTGATTCAAAATTTGAATTTTGAAATGCATGAGTCATTTTAACCTTTCTAAGGTATTTACCTTACCCAGCAAGGAGACGCTCAGTGTTTCTGATCATCTTTCTTATCTGGTGTTGCCAGTTTTTAAAACAGCAAATGCTGATAGGTACTTGTCCAGGTGAAAGGAGAGTGTCTTGGATTAAGGATGAATGAGGTGAACAAGAGGACATGCATTTTTGTGTTTGAATAGATGTGAGGTTTGTTTGTAATGTTCTCTTGGAAGTACATCAGAAGGTCTTTCTGACAGTGGAACTGAATGCATCTTAATGCTTTGGCATTTCCTGAACTGCCCTTTGATGCTTTTCCCCAAAAGGAGATTTAAAGACAAACCTTAAAATAAGGTTATGTGCAGCCTGTGTTTGTCTTGGGTGTTTTTTACATTCATTAATTCATTCCACATATTTTAAAATATATCAAGCACTGGGCACTGGCCTTGTGCCCTTTATTTTAAATAGGATTTAACTAGATACTTTTGAGTAATGCATGGCCCGTCTGACTCATGGAAAAGGTATGGAAGGTGCTGTGGAAATAACTCAGACAGAAGCCATCCCCTTGTCCTTCCCTCCGCTTGCTTAGATGCTTCCCCAGCTCTGAAAACCACATCACCTTCTCAGACCTCTCTTAGGAGACATCTGCTTTCCAGCTTGGGTGTGTAAATTTCAGATGCATCTTTGCTTGGCTGACCCTAGCATAATACCTTGCCGAAATGGAGTCAGAAAATTCTCAGCACAAATGCAAACTGCCATTCTGTTGCCATGATAACAGTTTAAGGCTGAATGGAGGTTACTCAATGTTTTTGACCAAAAAAAGTATATATGTGTGTATATGTGTTTGTGTGTGTCTGTGTGTGTGTGTATAAAATCACCTACAAATGCTCCTGTAGCCCAGGAAACTGTTTGAAGACTCCTGGGAGATAGTTAGGGCTAGCATGGGCCTGGGAGCCACACTGGCCCCACCATGTAGAGGCTTATGAGTCTTGGTTTCCTCCTCTGTTGCATGGAGAAATGATAACGTCTACCTCATAGGATTGTTGTGAGGATTAAATGAAAGAATCCCAACAGAGTGACTGGCCCTGTGGCTCAAAAAGTGTGTTCCTATTTCCAATATCACCCCACTCTTTCCTGCTTATCTAACTCTCTGGCTTCCCCCGTCAGTCCAGCAATACCTGAATTTTCTCCCTTTTTCCTCCTCTGTGATGTGAGAGTTTCCTTTTGCTATACAGACCCCAGAACTCCTGAATGGGCTCCCCTTGCCAAGCCGGCAAACATCAGTGGCTGTTGTGATGTCCGTTTGTGAACGGCAGCCTGATGGCTTATCTGTGGCCTTGGGGAAATGAATGAGGTCAGAGGATGAGCAGAGAATGTGCTTGCCCAGCCAACTACCACTGTGTTCCGCAGAAGGACTGGCAGAAGGCAGGCCTCAGTACCCCTCCTCTTTCCCCATTTAAACGAATACTTCAGTTCATGTTTTAAAAAAATGCTGAAGGAAGTGGAAGAGACGATCCTGAAAGGCCA
Source organism: Homo sapiens (assembly GCF_000001405.40). Classification (NCBI taxonomy): domain Eukaryota; kingdom Metazoa; phylum Chordata; class Mammalia; order Primates; family Hominidae; genus Homo; species Homo sapiens. The sequence goes on from NC_000010.11 coordinate 117,272,616, forward strand.
AACAGTAAGAATTATAGGTTTCCAGGAAGCCACTTTCACTGCAAGATGTTACAATCCTTAATAAGCACCTAGCAAGATAAATCATTAAAAACTTGAGAAGGTGTGCATCTCGCTGCCCATCAATGATGCCCATAATTGAAGGCATCACATTGGATGCCATTTGACTGGCCTAATGGTGACATTTGAGAGTGGTGGCCAGCAGTTGCTGCCTACTCATTGTGCAAGCAGAGCAGGAAGCCAGCGGTGGCGGCCGACAGCACCTAATGATAAGGGGGCATGCAGGCAGGACAGCAGTGTGTGAGGGAGGAGGAAGAATCAATGACCATGCAGTTGAGAAACCCCAGAGCAGACAAGTGCTGGCGTTCAGGATGAGCAGTTGCCAAATGCTGGGGGATGTGAGGGCCAGAAGGCATACGACCCTTAGCAAATCATTCTTCCATTAGACAGCATCCTGATAACAAGGTGTTTGGACTTAAGCTGTTTTATATTGTAAGATATAATGCTGTTTTCATGGATCACAAGTGACAGAATCATGAACTAGTTTATAAGCATGTGAGTTTGTCTTCCATTTGGTTTACTGGATTTCTGTTTTTTATAATCAGCATTATCAGTATAGGTGGAGGAAAAAAACTGTTACTCAAGTCCCTCTGCACATACAGGAAATATCAACATTACCATTTGAGGAAAAGTGTCTTATAAGACAGTTACACGGTAGCGCTTCACTCTCAAAATTCCCAGTTGAGAAGAGCTGTGTTGCGGATTTTTTTTTCCAGGTTGAAGAATTATTTTTAAAGACAAGTCACGCTTCTTAATTTTACTCTTGAAGTTTCTAATTGTTGCCAAGACAAGAAATTAGGTGGTTTGAGGATTGCAGCTTTCTTTTCCTGGATGGCTCTGATAGTTGTTCCATAAAGCCCTTCCAGCAATAGCTCTGTTTTCTGGATGCCATGCGTGGGGCAAGGATGGGGTGGCCCGAGGCTGCTGAGATAGACCACATTCTGCATATTCTAAGTTGTTTATAGAATTTGTCCCTTTGCAGGTATTTAAATAGTGGGTGCAAAACCATCATTGCTTTTCTAGTTATGTTAAAGAGAATAAAACTTTCCTACTCAGAAGGCCCAGGACCTATCATCAAAATCTCAAAGACTGGCACTCTTATCTTTTAATGCTTTTATGGGTTCACTACCCCAGCTTTGTATTACTTATACTTTTCATTTGGTCCACCATGTTGGTTTGTTTGTACCACTTAGGAGATCCTAACTCATGAAAGGGGCATTTGGAGGGGCTGGGGCTCACCTCTCAGTAAGAGGGCTTTGCTCTGAATTCAAATGCCAATCCTCTCCTATTGATTTTCTCTTTGGTTGAGAGTCAAACACACCTTCCTCACCACAGCAGTGTGTGGAGAGCAGATTTAATTTACCTGCCTGCACTGCGGCCGCCCTACTTGTTCCCCGGGCACCTGACTGACCTGCTTGATGCTGTTCATGCCTTTCTTCATGGCACTTTTGAAACATTACATGCCACCTGGCTTATTTGTGTATAACTTTTTTTTAAAAAGTACAATTATTGCACAATAGATCTTTCAAGAGAGGTTTGGAAGCCAGTGAGCTAGGTTTTAAAGGCTACAGAACATTTAAAGGAGGAAAACTTCACCTGAAACAGGCTGCTAATAAATATGTTTTTGGTGAATTGACAAATGCTGGTCAGTTAAGTATGCATGATGCCAAATAGTCTGACTGAACTGCTTTTCCTGCAGTGCAGTTTTTTGTTGCGTTCCTATCATGTGCCCAGTCCTAGGTTCTGGGGTCCTTAAGATGACATATTCCTACATTCAGGTCTAATGTGGATGAGCCAAGAGATGGAAGGCAATTAGGAATAAGGTAGTGATGACCGTTCTTTATAAGGTGACCTGCCTGCCTGGGAGCCGTGCAAGGATCGAGGCCCCATGCCCTGCATTCCAGTTGGGTGTCCCAACTGGTATCTCACTGTGCCTCCTCAGCAGACCTCTGTGGTGGCCAGGCTGGCTTACTTAGTGTCCTGCTTGGTAAATAACTCATGTTTTACTCATTGCCACCTCCCTTGCTGTCCAAACCTTTTCCATCTTTCAAAGTTTACCTCAACTCCCGCCTCTATAGGATAGCGTTCCCTGGGCACTGAACCAGCAGTGAGCACTCCACCTGGGACCCTGGAGTCCCTGTCCTTGCCTGTGCAGGGAGGTAACTAAGATGCTGGGATAGGACCTTAAAGGCACTGAGATGCAACACCTAGTAGGTGTCCCGTCAGCTGTTGTCAGCCAGATGACAGTGCTGTAGTCTTAGATAATGCCATGTAACTAGGGCAGTGTTTCTCAAAGTTGACACTGTTGTCACATGAGGACAGGGCCCTCAAATTTCATTTTTTAACCTGCTCCATCTCTCCACCCCTACATTTCCTTGCGAATCATTAATCTGGGGGAGATGAGACATTTATTGTTAGGGGGGTTAAACCTTTGTGTTACATGGGGAGAACGGTCCTGGTGTACAAAGTCTAGTGCCGCCATTATTTTAAAAATTGAGCTCTTTATTGAATACAAGTATCAATTCACTTGGCAAGCAGCATAAAAAACAGTTAAGTTAGAAGCTGACAGGTTGAGCTGGCAGCCTAACTTAGAGGGTCAAGGAAGTCCTTATCTTCACATGTTACACAGATCACTGGATAATGTCTTGGGAAATGATAAATGGGTTAAGCACTGAGTCGAGTCTTATCTGGGGACAAGAGCTGGGAGTAATAGCTAACAGACAAGATGGGTTACAATAGGCCAACATCAGATACATTTTAATCTATTTAGATTTGCAAACTGCAAAAAAAATATTGGGGAGTAGTTCACATGGAGAAAAACTCAAGACATACCTGATAATTCATTTTAGTTGCACATGACGCCCCCTTGCCATCCTCTGTGCTCATCTAACTACCACGGAGTGCTGCAGGCGGCTCCTGTCTGCCCCATCCTAGCTGTACACCCCTCGGTCAAATTCTTTAACTGCTCCGTGCCTGTTTTCTCACCTCCCACAGAGGGTTATTGTGATGTATTGCCACTAAAATGCTTAGCATGGTCTTGGCATGATAAATGCCAGCTATCAAATATAAGCAAATACTATTGGACAATCTGGTTTGAAAGCAGAGCAGCACGTTTTTGTCACAGTTTTTAAATTTTCAGTAACAATAAAGGAGGGCATGAGAGTTTCATGCTCATCAGAAGAGGATTTTTAAAAAATCATATATTTTAGCTAGAGGACAGCCAGGATTGGGGACAGGCGGTCAGGAAATCACATGTGTGAAAAAATAATAGCTCTAGCATGTTTTGCCTACTAAGAAATCTAAGGGGCCATGACAATATGGTCTTAAAAGATTGGGGGCCAAGCATGGTCACTTGCACCTGTAATCCTACCACTTTGGGAGGTTGAGGCAGGAAGATCACTTGAGCCCAGGAGTTTGAGCAACCTGGGCAATGTAGTGAGATGTCATCTCTACAAAAAAAAAAAAATTAAAAATTAGCCAGTCTTGATGGCATATGCATGTAGTCACAGCTACTCGGGAGTCTGAGGTGGGAAGATGGCTTGAGCCTGGGAAGCAGCAGTGAGCTGAGATCGCACCACTGCACTATGGCATGAGTGACATTCTGTCTCAAAACAACAACAAAAGATTGTAAGGGCAGCCTGTGAAGATATCAGAACTGGCTGGGTGCAGTGGCTCGTGTCTATAGTCACAGCACTTTGGGAGGCTGAGGAGGGGGGATCACTTGAAGTCAGGAGTTTGAGACCAGCCTGGCCAACATGGTGAAACCCCATCTCTACTAGAAATACAAAAAAAGTAGCTGCGAGTGGTGGTGCACACCTGTAATATCAGCTACTTGGGAGGCTGAGGTGGGAGGGTTGCTTGAACCCAGGAGGTAGAGGTTGCAGTGAGTCAAGATCACAACACCGCACTCCAACCTGGGTGACGAAGCAAGACTTCATCTCAAAAAAAAAAAAAAAAAAAAGAAAGAAAGAAAGAAAGAAAAAGATACCAGAACCAGATTCATGAATGCAAACAATGGAAACGGGTTGTAGTCCAGACTTAGGTACATTTCTCACATGTGAGGGCTTCTCTCATTAAGGAGAGAGCACATCCTTTCAAGGTGTGTTGCTACAATGACGTCTGTAAACAGAAGTTGGACTGGGTGACCTCCAGGATCCCCATACCCCAATTCCAAGATTCTAAGTATAACAAACCTAACCTGCCTGTCCCTTGCTTCATAGAGTATAAGTTCCCAGAGTGGACTTATGGCCCCTGACAGGTATAATGAAAATACTGCAGAGACCACTTCTGTCTCCAATTGCCTGGAATTTTTAGAGTGTAGAACTACAGGTCTTTTAGGTCAGGCGTCTGGCGATTGCTCCAAATGACTGGTTAATAGCAAGTAATACTACATAGTTTTCAAACTAATAATCCTTAAAAACAGTAGGTTAAAACCATCTTATCTTTATGAAACAAGAAGTTAATATACTTGCACTTTGCTCTCTTTTAGGCTATTCTCATGGATCACAACTGCCCTATTAAAACAAAAATGTACACTCAGAATAATATCCAGTCATATCCGATAGGTGAAGATGAAGAATCTGAAAGTGACTGAGATGAGATCCTCAAAAATCATCAAAGTGTTTAATTGTATAAAACAGTGTTTCCAGTGACACAACTCATCCAGAACTGTCTTAGTCATACCATCCATCCCTGGTGAAAGAGTAAAACCAAAGGTTATTATTTCCTTTCCATGGTTATGGTCGATTGCCAACAGCCTTATAAAGAAAAAGAAGCTTTTCTAGGGGTTTGTATAAATAGTGTTGAAACTTTATTTTATGTATTTAATTTTATTAAATATCATACAATATATTTTGATGAAATAGGTATTGTGTAAATCTATAAATATTTGAATCCAAACCAAATATAATTTTTTAACTTACATTAACAAACATTTGGGCAAAAATCATATTGGTAATGAGTGTTTAAAATTAAAGCACACATTATCTCTGAGACTCTTCCAACAAAGAGAAACTAGAATGAAGTCTGAAAAACAGAATCAAGTAAGACAGCATGTTATATAGTGACACTGAATGTTATTTAACTTGTAGTTACTATCAATATATTTATGCGTTAAACAGCTAGTTCTCTCAAGTGTAGAGGACAAGAACTTGTGTCAGTTATCTTTTGAATCCATAAATCTTAGCTGGCATTAGTTTTCTATGTAATCACCTACCTAGAGAGAGTTGTAAATTATATGTTAACATGTTATCTGGTTGGCAGCAAACACTAAAGCCAATAAAGGAAAAACAGTAAATGTTCCGAAAGCAGAGAAAAGCAACCAAACATATTGTTATGAACTAAAAGCTTTCCCTTTAAGATGCATACTTGTCTTACTGGATGAAGAAAATTGAGGGTACATGTACCTTATACTGTCAAGGTTGTTTAAACATGATAAGGTTAATCGCCATCTACTTCAAGTTTTAGAAAAGGAAACAAGAAGCTGAAAACAGCTGCTCTGACTTTAATATCTGACTATATCTTTGATCTGTTTGCAGGTCATCCAAGTGTTTTCTAGGAATATATTTATTTTAGGTTGTCTGAAACTACTATTTTTTAGACTCCTGAAAGTTGTTCACATCAATGTGAAGACAAATTTTAAATGAAAATGAAGAATGAAATTATGTCTTGAATCATATATTAAGAAGTAAAAATAATAGTGATCAGGCAGAAAAGAAAAATGGAACATCTAAAAATGTATGTGCTAACTATATCATCCAGTGTGCAGTGTTGTGTATTTTTCTAAGCATGACAACATTGATGTGCCTTTTCAGTGTAACAGCAAATACTGTTAGTGAACATTGTCAATTTATGTCATTTTGTTAAGAGATATGACTGGAGTGTGCAGTGTGGAATGTCTCTAATACTACTTGTGAATCCTGCAGTTCTATAATCATAAACAAAAATTACTTAGTTTCGTTAAGCTAAGATTGTGTTTGTGTTAACTTCGACATCAAGGAGCAAAGAACTTTAGAACAGACTCCTCAATCTTGTGACTTTCTTATTCTCTAGGAAAGTAACACTTCGTTTCATGAAGCTTTTCTGTGGGGCTTCGATTATTTCAAGTCTGGTTTCTAAGTGCAGTGTGTTTGAAGCAAACGAACTTCCAACTCACTTATTTGGCATTGGGCAACTTGGCCAAGTCTGCCACTTTGGAAGATGGCTCTGGAGGAAACTCTCATATGGCTAAAAAGGCAGGCTAGTTTCTTACTTCTACAGGGGTAGAGCCTTAAAAAAGAACGTGCTACAAATTGGTTCTCTTTGAGGGTTTCTGGTTCTCCCTGCCCCCAATACCATATACTTTATTGCAATTTTATTTTTGCCTTTACGGCTCTGTGTCTTTCTGCAAGAAGGCCTGGCAAAGGTATGCCTGCTGTTGGTCCCTCGGGATAAGATAAAATATAAATAAAACCTTCAGAACTGTTTTGGAGCAAAAGATAGCTTGTACTTGGGGAAAAAAATTCTAAGTTCTTTTATATGACTAATATTCTTGGTTAGCAAGACTGGAAAGAGGTGTTTTTTTAAAATGTACATACCAGAACAAAGAACATACAGCTCTCTGAACATTTATTTTTTGAACAGAGGTGGTTTTTATGTTTGGACCTGGTAATACAGATACAAAAACTTTAATGAGGTAGCAATGAATATTCAACTGTTTGACTGCTAAGTGTATCTGTCCATATTTTAGCAAGTTTACTTAATAAATCTTCTGAACCATGTTTTGTGCCTGTTTGTATTCCTTTATAAACCAAATGTTGTTGGAATAAAATACATAAGGTATCATTTTGACTGTGGATATTTAATTAAAAACTATTTTTCTGTGCTTGTAGGCATCAGGTAAAAGCCACCCCAGGTTAGCTTGACCATACTTTTTTGGCTTTCCACAATTTATTTTAAATTGAGATATGTAACTAGCCACATTCAATGTGGAAAAAAACCAGGAAGTTATCCTTCCATCTATAAACATTGTTGTCCTGATGGTTGTCAACAAATAACCATATCTGATGAAAACAGCTGTAATATCCACCCATTTGACTTAATCCCGGGGGAGTTTGTAAAACCGTTGAAATCTGATACATTTTGAATGGTGTGCCCATGGGTATCTTCCTGCGGTGAAAGTCCACATCTTTAATCAGATCCTAAAAGCGGATCTATGGCCCAAAAGGAATTAGGGGAACCTCTCCTTCTTTTGGTAAGAAAAGCAATTATGTCAATTTAGAAGACAGTATTTTTAAAAGTAGGTATTTAAAATTTATTCACTTTTAGGGGACTTAACATTTTATTATTTATCTTATTTTTAAGAGCCAAATATTTCCAAATTGCTTTAAAAAAAATTCAGCTATACATTTAGAACTTGATAGTACCCCTCAAAATTTTTAGGTTGTGTTTTCTCCTCCCAGCATCACAAAATAGCCACTTATTTCAAGTACTTCTGATATTGAATATAAGGCTTGATATGAAGAAGTATAGCCTATTATGATTGCTAATAATGCTAAAATGTTGCTCAGTTTGTCTAAGCCATTCACTCAGCTAATACTAATGTAGAAAATATATTTTAAAGTCTAATTACTAATACATAGCCAAAGGAAACCCATAAACTTGATAATCCATAAGGAAACAATAGTAAAAAAATGTTTTGGGGCAGTCTGCAAAACAGCAATTTTGTTTAGGAAAAGTGGACTTTGTTATGCTTTTCTGCATGGCCAAATTATACCAGAAGATAATTCCATAGAGATGCAGCAATCACCTTTTTTAAAGATTTCATTAAATGAAGATATTCTTGTTTTCTGTGGTAGTCTTTATTATTATTTTTTAGCTATTGATACATAGCATGGCAGCAAGATTACATCAGTAATGTAATATAATACAGCTTTTTTCATTGAAGCTTTGTACCTTACTATACTCTAGGCTATTTGGAGTGTTCCCCCACTTGCACTAAAGTACAACTATGATGTCTCTACTGCCTCTCCCAGTGAAATATAAAAATATTGCACTACATTACAGATATAGTTTACAAATGTCATTAGCAGCATTACTGAGCTTTCTATAATTGTGGTCTACAGAGTTAAATACTTTTAAAACATGAGTAGATTCTTATAAAACCAAAGTTTTGCATTATTTCAACAGCTCTTTCAAATGCATCAGTTTCAGCAACATGCTTGGGTATCATGAAAACTTCCATGGTTTAATCAATAAACACCAGCTACTTACAAGTAGTCCACCTTCCAGGTTATCAATGGTAAGTTATTTTTTATAAAGTGGTTACACACTGAGCAGATTGCCTCAAGTGTAAGTTATGGAACAATACTTTAGCTTTCAGGGAATTTGGTGTGTAAATTCTTCTATAGCAGTGTTCTTTTAAAATAAGATCACGTGGCCGGGCGTGGTGGCTCACGCCTGTAATCCCAGCACTTTGGGAGGCCGAGGCAGGTGGATCACGAGGTCAGGAGATCGAGACCATCCTGGCTAACATGGTGAAACCCCGTCTCTACTAAAAATACAAAAAATTAGCCGCGCCTGTACTCCCAGCTACTCCGGAGGCTGAGGCAGGAGAATGGCGTGAACCTGGGAGGCGGAGCTTGCAGTGAGCCGAGATCATGCCACTGCACTCCAGCCTGGGAGACAGCGAGACTCTGTCTCAAAAAAAAAAAAAAAAAAAAAAAAAAAAAAAAAAAAAAAAGACATCACGCTTAAATAAGTAATGAAGTATACTGAGATGTTTTTGTTATAAACTTGGCTAAGAAAGGTATTTAGTACCTGAAATTTTCGCTTACTAAAGTAACAAAAGGCATGAGACTTGGCTATTGATTTTTAAAGTGGAATAACTTTTCTCCCCTCAAAAATGTCTTTCTTACTCATATAAATAATGCCTTTTACTTGTATATCTTTTTACTGTTCAAAGCACTTTTGCAGTTATGCTATTGTTTCCCTCACAACAATACTGTGAGGGAGGTAAAGTATTATTATTCCCATTTTAGAGATGGGTCCTTTTGTAACTGCCTATGCTTACACAGTTCATTAATGGAAGGGCTTGAACTTAAACTCTTTTATGGAGTCCTGGAGTCTAGACCTGGGCCCCAGTCCTTAATATTACACCATGCTTTTTCCTGCCAGCAATAAAAGCTGCTCCATCTAGTTTTAAACTCATGTCAGTTTCACTATATAGCAATCATCATAGCAGTTACCTACAAAGGGACAAACATATACTTGTCTATTTTATAGGTATATAACAGACCGAAACCATTAAGGTACCCCAACAACAGTCGAGCTTACTTGTTTTCCCTCAGTCAAATGTTACTGGGACCCGTAAAATGGACCCAGTGTGAGTATATCTTCATTTTCAGAGAACTGGTCCCAATTCCTATGTATGAATACTATTTTTGTCATTCTTTTCTTAATGAATACTCACTACAGAAGTATTCAGAATGATCACCATTCCTTTACAACTGTAAGACGCCAAAGCAAAAAGTATATTTTGCATGATTCCTTTCCTTCACAGAATACTCCTACATGAAAATGTTTTTTCTAAAACAAAACCAGCCCAAACTAGTTATCAACACAGTCATTTTAAAAAGAGTCCTCCAAAACTTTAAATACCCTTTCACATGCTTTATTTCCTATGGGAGAACTGATGAGGAAAATTATCATAAATGTTTAAACTTTTAATTATAAAATTTAAATTTCCATTTAAAAGGAAAGCATCAATATTTTAAAAGATTATATTTCAAAATGCTATGTTACTGTTTTTCAGTAATTAAGTCTTGTTATCCTCTCTACAAAATTCTTGACCAACTGCAATCTACATTTATTTCCTATTACATTGTCTTTCAATGTAAGCTCTTCAAATTAATCACCATATTTTTACCATACAGCTGCACAAAAGCTTTAGAAAAAAATTTCACAGAAGCATCGAAAGCAAGCAATATATGTAAAAAATTTTTTTTTACTAAATCAGCATAACAGACTAAAGCTGCAGCATCTGCTTTCATGTTACATTTGGCAAAAACAAAACAAAAAGCACCCCCAAACCCCCAAAATAACAAAAATCTCAAGCAAGTAGAGACGATAAACTTCATAACACAAAAGAAAGATTCAAAACCTGTTCCCTCAGTGATTGCTGTTGTCAGTTTGGGCATGCAGCAAATTTGTTATAACCATGATGGAAATGAAAATATTTTAAGAATCTAGACAGTATTCTATTTAACACTAATTCAAAAACCAAGAGGAAGAAAAATAACACAAGGGGACACCATACATACATAAACATGAAAAGCTAGCTTACATAATTACATAATTAGAAAAGTTAAATAATTTAGTAAAAATAAATTCCCAGTATAAACCCAAAAAAGCATAGCTATAAATGCAATCCAAAACAACCAATTAGTAAGCTGGTCATGTTTTTACTGGAAAACAACCTTTCTCATTTTTGTTCTTACACAAGCAAGTAACTGGAGAAGCAGGCCAGAGTGCATACGAGGATTTAAACATGGTTGTATCTGTGGTACTTTAGATGCAACTTTACCCTGTTCATTTGAAAGCTTAAATAGACCTGTCTGCTACACAGACTCGGATGGGCCAAATAAGTCATCTGATATGCTGCTGAATGGCTGAGAGTCTATTAGTTGGCTTATTTCATTATCAAGGTCTTCTTCTGTATCATCTGTGTACTTGCTTATTTTTTTGGAGTGCTGGTCTAAAGACAGACTTTCTAAAGTTTCTATATCTTCAATGCCTGCTCTGTAGTGAATCATAAGAAGTGTTAGAGCTTGTAGCCTTTCACCTGATTTAGCTAAGGCAGCAGAAAGAAGTGATTTTTTCCTTGTATCAGTTGTCTCTTTTTCTTCTCTAACAAGGGAATTATTGTGTTCCAACTCCTGATCAATTTCATTCTGTAGCTTATCCAACATGAACTCTAGTTTCTGGATCCTTTCCTCTGTAGGCAAGCCCCTGTACAGATCACGACCAATTTCTTTAACTGCAATGAAAACACTGTCATCCAGACCACCCTCTTTTCTCACTAACTTTATTCCTGTGCTGTTTCCCCGTTTAGAAGGACTGTTTGGACCACAGACCTCCGTGTCACTGCCTTCGTTGTCTGACGTGTTGGGTGTGTGTTTTGGTGAAGGTTCTACGAGATCGGTTCCTGGTTCAGAAAGGCGAGTTTTAGAGACTTGACGCAAATTTAATAAACGAGAACTAGTATTGATAATATGCCTTGTCAAACCTGTTGTTTTATTGACTGACTTGCTAGCTTCAGCATCAACACGAGGAGGCAGGCCTAAGAGGGTTTCCTGTCCTTCCAGCCTAAGGTTTTTCAGTGTCCTGTCTATTCGCCTATCAGTTGCTCCACAAACAGAAGTCTCAGCTAGACACTTTTCTTGACATTTTTTATGGCAAACATAAGCACAAAACATACACTGGGAAGCTGCTTTAGTCCAAACTTTTTTCTTACAGTAGTCACACCATGTTGGGTTCTGGAACTGAGTATCCTGAAAACTGTGTTTGTTTTCTGTTAAACCCATCTGTCCAACAAATTGCTCCTCTTTAGGGAGAACAGAAACTTCTTCAACCAAATGGGGTTCTTTTTCTTTTTCTACGTTAGTAACTACATGGTGGTCTGATTCTCCTTCTTTCAAATATTTGAAGTGAATAGTAATGTCACCATAGCAAAATTTGTCATTGAATCCCTTTTGCATACTCAGATTGCGTAGTGCGGTTCTAGTGACTATAGCCTTAGGTGAGGGGGCTTCCAGTCTCAATTTGGAAAGGTATTCCGTGTTTGATGTAGCTAGGCATCCTAAAGCCACATCTTCAAGTTTTAAACTAACATGCCCCAAACAGATGAGACCTCCCAACTTGAAAGGATCCCTGCACCACAATGCAATGTTTAAGTACCTGTGACAGGCTTCTATGTCAAACAAACAGGATGCTCTGGTTCTTGTCCATTTTCCTAGCTTATTACGATAAAGAATTTCTGATGATTCCCATGTTTGACGGTCGTCCGAACTGTCCTTAGTAGGGCAGGAAGTTTCTGAAGTGACATCTTTGGCCACTTCTTGCTTTGCTAAAAATTGCTTAGGTGCAGCTGCATCGTCTATGGCATCCACATTTTTTGCTTGCTTTTCAGCAGATTTATCTACAAGAGGAGGTGGCACCACCTTCTCTGGCTTTTCAACGAGAACATCTGGTTCTGCCTGATTTGGAGCATCGGCGGAAGGCAAAGGAACTTTCGCTTGTGGTCGTGGTGGCACAGGTGGTTTGAAAGCAGATCCTTGGGTTGGTTTTGACACTTGTGCTGGGTCTGTTATCTCAGAAGTTTTTAGGGGTGGAGGTTTATTTCCATCTTTGGACTGAATTTTCGGTGGTAGTGGGTGACTTCCTACAGCTAATTTACGGTTTAAAACTGGTGATATAGCTCCAAGGGGTTTAATAGAAAGTGTTGTTGGAACACGTTTGGGACTATGACTTAATGATTGTGCCTCATCTTTGAACTCATTTTGTGCTCTGACATCACTTGCCAAGTCTTCAAATTCAGAATCCAGCTCTCTACTTTCAGTATCTACTGTCAACCCGGCAGCTTCCTCTTCATAACCCGATTGGCATGAGCTTGACAAAAAGTTTTCTTCCAACTGGCCAAAGTTATCTTGCAGCACTGCACCTTGATTACTCTGGCCAACAGGCCTTTCATAGTACACCAGGACTCGGTCACCAGCCTGCTTGATAAGCTTCAACACTTGCAGTGTTGATGTGATTTTCACACCTGGTTTAAGATTTTAAAAGGGAAAACATGTAAATTATTGCAATAGAAATTACTACATTTGTTAAATGTATTTAATTAAATATATATAATTGCCATTACCTCTGGTTATTTAACTAATAGAAGAATAATAGGAAAATCTCAACAATATTTTATTTGGCTTTTGGATGAATCAGTGTGCTAATTCTCAAACCCTGAATGTGCTGATATCCTGGAGATGTTTACCTTTTCAAACCAGATGATGACACAGGATCCCAAAAAGAGTGCCAGGATGCTAACTCCTAATTGCTTTCTATCTCTTCTTAGGTTAGATGACATCTCTCAGTTTGAACTGAAGAAGTGAACAGAGAGAGATCTATTTAAAGGATTCTATTAATGGCTAAATCAGACTTAGAGTGAGGGAAAGCTGTGATTCCACTGAAGGAAATTCTAAAATACTCCAGGGATTACAAGACATATGATGAAAGATTCAAATTAAGAGAGCAGTGCTTGAAAATAATGTAGCAAAATACTATACTATGAATAACGTACTTTTACAGATTCTTTTTATCAACCGTACCCATCACATTCATCTTTTTCAAAACCAGAAAGAACAAGTAAGGGATAAACTGCTTTAAAGTTAAACAAGCTGGTTACTATCTGCATCTGTAATATCTACGTTGTTTTTATTTTTCTTATTTTTTAATTGTTACACGTAGTTTAAAATTTGAAAGGTATAAAGGTATAAAAAGATGTACAGTAAAAAATATTCTTTCCACCTCTGTCTCCCAGCCATACTGTCCCTTCCCTGACCTTAGTAGCTTCTAGTGTATGCTTCTATAGATATTCTAGGTGTGTTAGCACTTAAAGGTGCTACTTGTTTCCTGTCACTCTTCCCACACTCTCTAAAACAGCACTTGCCCAAGCTATCCCTTTATGTAGAACTTAGAGAAAGAATGAGAAGGCTCTTTGTTTTCCAAAGATCTTAGGGCCATCCTAAATAAATCTAAGTAACACCACCCCTTTCTCATAACTTGACTTCAGGTTTCCTCAACCTGTGTCCTCTCTTACTTCAGCTGTCTGGGAAGATCAGGCTTTAGACTCGGTCATCACTTGGAACTTGTCCACATCAAAGATCTTTCATTTTCAATTAGTCTCTGATCACAAGCTCCTATTTTTCACCTCTTACAATCCTGTCTGCTCACTACTTTTAGGCAACTTCCCGGCCCAATCATTCCTCTTTTCTTCTCATGGTCCTGTTGGTCTCCTGATACCACTTGCTCTTCTATCCAACCCTGTGTCTCAAGATTACAACGATGTTCTTACCAATATTTTATTTTCTCGTCCTCATGTTTTTTGATCCCCAGCTTTACTAGCCCCACTATTGCCCTTTCCTGCTCTTGAGCTTGCCGCTTGGATCTAGCATCAAGTTAGCCATCCATCTTTGGCAAGGTGTTCAGGGCTGCTTAGCATTCTTTTGATCAGTCTGTAAACAACTAAGTCTCTCAAACATCAGCTGTAAATCTTTCCTGTTTCCCTAAAGTCTACTCTCCCTACTCTCTTTTACTCTGTGCATGCTATCACCTTATTTGCCAAAAAGATCAATATGAAGCTACCTTTTCTCCCTACCATCATTTTTAGTATTATCTTACTTCAGAGGAGAAAATATCCCTCTATCTGTATACTTACTTTGGATCCAATCCTCCTGTCTCCTTCCTGACTTTGCTCTATCAATTATCCTTAAACTTTTTCTTCCTTTTCTTTAAAATTTTTCTTTTTCTTAGTTTCCACAACACTTTACACAATTGGTTCTGATCACCTCTCCTCTAGCTTCTTTTTCTCCACCTATACCACCTGCACCTTATATGCAACTGTTACCAAAGTTTGCCACTAGTTCTCTCACCCTTTTTTGCTCTCTCCCTGGTAAATTACAGCCACTCCAGTAGTCTCAAAAACTATCAACTTTTTCTTTGGTTTCCCTTCTTCTTCACTTTAGTTCTACATTCCCAACTACTGGACATCACCACCTGGATGTTCCTTTGGGACTAAATATTCAGCAGAGCTAAAACCTTTCTTTGACTGTCTCTCTGTCCTCACTACTATCAATCAACTTGCCACTCCCAGTTAACTCAATTTGAATCCTAGGGATATTTGACTCCCTAGAAACATTCAGCTGTCAACTCAAACTTGTGATTTCAGCCCATTTTCCTTCCCTGTTCAGATCCTCCTGATAACTGGCCTTCACTTTAGTAATAAACAGCTTTTAACTGCAATCTCTCACTCAGACCTTCCCTACTTTAAACACCAAACATATTGCTACGAAATTTTCCTAAAGCATTTGCCCCTTTAGCCTACAAACTTATCACATGGAAATTCAGAGCTTTCTAATATGGTGCTTCATTATTTATCTAGCTTTAAGTTCTACTACGTCCTTCTAACCATACTATGTCTCAGCAAAATTATAGTTTGACATATGCATAAATGAAAAATTAGTCCATCTAATGATCTACAGTAGGCAAAAACTTCAACTCAATCTGAACTCATTTTTTATGACTAAAAATCTGCCCTCGTCTCATCTATTCCTCAGTCATCAGGTGTTTTGTGGAGATGGCCATTGCAACTCTCTCTCAGGAATACACCATTCAAGTCTGGATTTTTCTTTTGGAATATTTCAAACACACTCAAAAGCTGAGGAAACAGTAAAATGAATTCCATTTTGAGCTTCAAATATAATATTTTGCCAATCTTATTTCAACTATCATCAATTATATACCCATATAAATGAATCAAAGCGATATAAAAATGTTTTGAAAAATATCTGTTGACATGGGGAAAGTTTACAACATGCTAAAAGAAATAAAGACTATTACAAAAATGCATAGTTTAGAAATTTTTGTTTCCTAAACAAAAATTGGGAAAGGCATATATTTATGTACAGAAAAAAACAAACAAACAAAAAAACAAAAAAAGAGACATACAAAAGCTTTTCTGTTATGTTCCAAGGTTTTTCTTTTTTTTAAAACAATGAATGTGTATTGTATCTGCCCTTCATCTTAATACATATTATTATTATTATTTGAGATGGAGTTTCGCTCTTGTTGCCCAGGCTGGAGTGCAATGGTATGATCTCAGCTCACTGCAACCTCTGCCTCCCAGGTTCAAGCAATTCTCCTGCCTCAGCCTCCTGAGTAGCTGGGATTACAGGCGCCTGCCACCATGCCCAGCTAATTTTCATATTTTCAGTAGAGATGGGTTTCACCATGTTGGCCAGGCTGGTCTCGAACTCCTGACCTCAGGTGATCCACCCGCCTCGGCCTCCCAAAGTGCTGGGATTACAGGCATGAGCCACTGAGCCCGGCCTGTTGTTATTGTAATTAACAAATGTTAGATGTCAAGGGATGACTTTTGCTTTTTCACTCTGTATACATTTATATCGCTTAGGTTAATTAATTTATTTTTGATAATAGGTATTTACTACTTGTGTAATTGAAACACAACCCCCAAAAAAGACCGAAAAAATTAATTTTATCCTGTAGCTAAAACCAAAATATTAAATGATATTAATATAATGAATGAT
Source organism: Homo sapiens (assembly GCF_000001405.40). Lineage (NCBI taxonomy): Eukaryota > Metazoa > Chordata > Mammalia > Primates > Hominidae > Homo > Homo sapiens. Next base: position 117,289,025 of record NC_000010.11, read on the forward strand.
GTCTATTTTATGCCTCCCTAAGTGTTTATGCATAAGCATCATCATTTGGGAGGAGTCTGTGAGAAATGAAGAATCTTGGGCCTCACTACAGGTCTCCTGATTCAGAATGCACATTTTAACATCAGGTCTGGGTGACTGGCATACATGGGAAAGTCTGAGAAGCACTGCTTATGCCATGATCAGAGATTCCCATGTGAAAATATTGACTTAATTGGGCTCCCAGATATGCAACTAAATAATTTTCATTATTTTATTGTCAAGGTGGATTTGAATCAAAGGCAGAGTTTCTTTGACATGTAACCAAGGACAACTGCACCTTGATTTGGGAACTGTTCTAACTTATTTATTGTCTAAGCTGTGAAAGAAAATATCACATTGCCCTTTTCAGATCAACTGTGACCAACCATATGTTCAAGAAATCTCTCAACAAGCCTAGAATAGATGGGACAGGTACTACAAAGGTTGAAAAGGCTTGGACTTTCCCCTCACTGCTGTGCACAGTGAGTCCTACTGCTTAGACATTTATATACAAGCAAATAACCTGCTATCTTCAGAGAGTTTTTACTGTTAACAATCCAAGTGATAGGAAGGCATGTAAGTGACACATTTTTCCACCAGTGATTTGGGCTGAATTCTGAGCAACAACATACTAACAAATGGCTGGCCATTTAGATGACACAGGATCACAGGACAGTTCAGATGTGCCCTCCTGGAAAAGGAATGTTGGTTCTTCTGCTCATCATCTAGTGCTAAGTGATGGGGGCAGTAGTGCTAATACTACCAATTTTAGGTTCAGAGTAGCAATGGTGGTAGTCGTACAGAAAGATAACCTGTTTATTTGCCCTTACTTTCACATTCAAGAAAAAATAAATAGAGTAGTAGAAGGTGGGAAGGGAAGGATTAGAGTGGTTATATAAAAGTGGTCTAAACAAAGTATTTTAAAGATTTATACACTAGAACTAAAATGGCATGTATGTTTTAAATGTATTTTGAAGGCCTCCTTTGAATTTTTATTTATAATAAAGTTTATTACTTTATTTCCATTATAAAAGTGACATATGCATATTATAGAAATAAGGAAAAAGGAAGAAAGGAAAAACCTCACACCTACTTTGTAGTTTATCTGTAAAGGTAAAGTATAATGCATATTAGCATAATTACCTCCAATGGCGATAAGTCGATCTCCCCGCTGAAGATCTGCAATTGCAGCAGGCGAGTTTGGAGCCACAGTTTCAATGATGACGTGCCCAGCATACCCATCAGTTGACTGGACAAGACGAAGTGTAAGTCCAACACTTTGTAAATTTCCTTTTATTAATTCAACCTTTGATAAAGGGGAAAAAAATGAAAACTGATTCAATGGATTCCTAGTAATAGAGGAAAAAAACAGTAACAGACTGTTATGTGCAGAGAGCACCATGGCTGATGCTGACTTTTCTATCATGGCAAATAAAGGAAGGAGAAAATCTTTACTGTAACAATATAAATTAACTATCCTTAGGCTACACATTTAAATCATCAAAAAAATTAAACACTTTATCTTCAATGTGTTTTATTATTACTCCTTGCTCCATGCTCATTGTAGAAAATTGGGAAATAAACAGAAAGGCAAAATAAAAAGAAAACCATTCCTAATTATACAATCTAGAACTATTCTATATATTTTCTAATATATATTTAACACAAAATTGAGATTTGTCTCAATAATACTGAGACATAGTAGTCAATACAATTATAATCATGAATATAATTCTGAATCTTGCTTTTTTCAAATATAATGAAAATGATCTATGTCATTCATAATATGTGCTTTGGAAACTCCATTTTGTATGGTGTATCCTTTTTTTTTTTTTTTTTTTTTTTGAGACAGGGTCTCACTCTGTCACCTAGGCTGGAATGCAGTGGCACAATCCTGGCTCACTGCAACCTCCACCTCCCAGGCGCAAGTGATTCTCTCACCTCAGCCTCCCAAGCAGCTGGGACTACAGGCGTGCACCACTACGCCTGGCAAGTTTTTGTATTTTTTTGTGTAGAGATCGGGTTTCACCACTGTTGCCCAGGCTGGTCTCAAACTTCTGGGCTCAAGTGATCCGCCCACCTCAGCCTCCCAAAGTGCTAGGATTAAAGGCGTGAGCCATCCCACCCGGCCAGTGTATTCTTCAAGTTTCTTTTTTGGGAATAGGCAAAGGAAAAGAGTTTACATTTATACTTTATTAAGAGTTATCGGCCGGGCACAGTGGTTCACGCCTGTAATCCCAGCACTTGGGAGGCCGAGGTGGGCGGATCAGGAGGTCAGGAGATTAAGACAATCCTGGCTAACACGGTGAAACCCCGTCTCTACTAAAAATACAAAAAATTAGCCAGGCGTGGTGGCAGTGCCTGTAGTCCCAGCTACTCGGGAGCCTGAGGCAGGAGAATGGCATGAACCCGGGAGGCAGAGGTTGAAGTGAGCTGAGATCACACCACTGCACTCCAGCCCGGGCAACAAAGCGAGACTCCACCTCAGAAAAAAAAAAAGAGTTATCATGTGGTGGGGATGATGGGGATGGTGGTGCACACCTGTAATCGCAGCTACTAAGGAGGGCTGAGGTGGGAGGACCATTTGAGCCCAGGAGTTCAAGACCAACCTGGGCAACATGGTGAGACCCCATCTTTATTTAAAAAAAAAAAGTTACATTGTTAATGAGATGTCCTATTCTAACCCATCAAGATCATTTTGTTTTCTAAATAAACCTGCCATCCAATTTTCAGGAATGTGGATACTAGATTAACATCATCTGTGAATTAACAACAACATCATCATGCTATGTGTCCTCATTCAAACAACTGATTTAAAAAAAAAAAACAGGCAGAGTGCTACATCCCAGCTGTTGACAAGGATTCAATTAGTGTTTATGGCGCTCAATTACAAATCAGTCTAATTGTATTATTCTCCAGTCCACATTTCTTAAGTCCTATTCTTCAAGGATATCTCATGAGGGACTTTGCCAAATACCCTAATATCCAAATATATCACTGGCTGCACTGCTTTAATATATAAATCCCACTTGGACAGAAATTCAATTTTCCTACCTAATGATATTCGCTGGTAAAAGAACCCTCACTGGAAGTTGCTCTTTAATTTGGGTGTTAACAAATTTTGTAAAGTTATTTTAAGGAAAATCTTAATCATACTGTGCTCAAGAAATGGGATATGTGGTCAAATTCTGAATTACCTAAAGGTTTACAAAACACAAAGCCCCGCCAAAACACGTAATTTGTGTTTAAATCTCCTAAGACATTTGTCCAATCCCTGCCTTATGACACAGCAATTAATCACCTTACAATGTAAAGTGCTGTACACAATTAAGGCTTTTAACAAAACCCTTAACAACATATTCTCTCAAATCCAGGAACATAAATATATTCTTAATATACAGATTGCCAAAGCTGAAATTTAGAATGTAAGTTTTTCTAATTGCAGGAAGCTAATGATAGCAAATGGGTAGAAAACCTAAACAGTGTAAGTCTGAGTACTGTAAAGTTTAAAAATTAACACCTGCATTTGGAATGTGTTTTTTTTTTTTGTTATTTACTCTGCTTTTAAAAGTAGAATGGAGATTCAGGGGGTAGGATTAGGAAGTGAATAGAGGCTAGTGTAAGGTGTTAGTGTAATTTAGTTTCTTAATTTATTTTCTATCTATAAATCATATCTTTCCCTTTGCTTTTCTTAATTCAAATGATACCTGAAGTAAACATTCCAGATGCAAAAAAAAAAAAAGATAAGGTTTTCAGTAGCAATAATTAGGGCCAATATTACATTACCTCACTTTCTCCCCAATTTTTACTGATTATTAGTAAATACTCTTAATTTCAAGTATGTACAGGGAACAGAACATAAGACACTGTTTCTTTTACAAGCTGGTTTTTGTTTCCTTTTAAGCCTGCACCCCACTGACCTAATTTTAGATTTTAATTTCAGCATTCCCTGAAATGAAAATCATCACCTTAATTAAGTTCTGACATGATTCAGAAGTTTCAGAATATAAAAACACCTCTTAATTAAAAGCCTGGTGAAACAAAGCATTTTAAAATGAGTATTTCACAAAAACATTGTTATTTTAATATAAAATTTAAGATAAGGTTCAAGACCATGCAATGATACACAACTTTTGGAACAAAACTGATTTTCCACTAGGGTAAAACTACTATTTTAAAACCAGAATAGTACAATGATATATAATATATAATTCTCTCCCATATGTATGCATCTATATCTTAAAATTATTTATGACTATTGGATATGCCTGGCACTATAAAACATATGCCAAAATAGAACTTTTAAAATGACAATGTAAAAAACAAACATAAATAGAAACCCTAAATATTTTTCCTGTACATGGTGAAGCATGCTGTGGCTTCAACATGCATTCCCTGGAATATAATATCACCTGAGAGGGTTTGGCTTTTAAGATTTTATTACAGAAAATTTCCAATATATACAAAAGTACAGAGAACAGTAAAATCAACTCAGTGGTAGACCATAAAACATGGTAACAAATTCCTCCTATCCTTATAAGCATATCTCTTTGCAATGTAACTTTACTAAAGCTGCTGCTAGAGGTATAACTTGGTTTCTTCATCCCTCTCTCAGCAACCAATATAACTAGAAAAAAATAAGTGGAGGCACAGGCAACCTCAACATCATCAACCTTGATTTAACTGACACTTATAGAACATTATACTCAACAATGGCAAAATACATTCTTTTCAAGTGTACATGGTAAGTTCACCAGGATGTAGAAGGTCATGAAACAAATATCAGTAATTTTAAAAAGACAGAACTCTTACAAAGCATGTTTTCTGACCATAGTGGAATTAAATTACAAATTAGTAACTAGGAAAACCCCAAATATCTGGAGAGCAAAACAACACACTTCTAAATAATTCATGAGTTAAAGAAAAATCACAAGAGAAATCCAAAAATATTTCAAATGAAATGATGAAAATGCAACCAATCAGAATTTGTGGGATGCAACTAAAGTAGTGTTTTAGAGGAAATTTATAGTTTTAAATGCTTATATAGGGGGGAAAATCTAAAATTAGTGACCTAAGTCCCCATTTTAAGAAATTAAACCCCAAAGTAGAAGCAAAGAAATAATAAAGAACAGAAACCAATGGAACAGATACTTAAATAATAGAGAAATCAATAAAAGCTGACTCAATAAAATGACCAATAAAACTGGTAAGCCTATAGGCTAAACTGATCAAGAAACAAGAGAGAAGACACATATTACCAAATAAATGGCTATTACCAAAAAGACAAAAAAAAAAAAAAAAAACAAAAAAACAAATATTGACAAGGATGTGGAAGAAGAGGAACTCCTATACACTGTTAGTGGGAAAGTAGATTAGTTACAGCTATTATGAAAAACAGTACAGTGGTTCCTCAAAAATTTAAAAATAGAACTAGCAATGATCCAATAATCCCACTATTGGGTATATAGTCAAAGAAAATGAAATTGGTATGATGAAGATATACTTGCACTTCCTTGATTACTGCAGTACTATTCACAAGAGCCAAGCTATGGAATCAACCTAAGAGTCCATCAATGGATAAATGGATAAAAAATGTGCGGTATACAAACACAGTGGAATACTATTCAGCCACAAAAAACAAAACCCCAGAGAAAAGTCATTTATGACAACATGGATGAACCCAGAGGACATTATGTTAAGTGAAATAAGCCAGGCAGAGAAGGACAAATACTGTATGATCTCACTCATATGTGGAATCTAAAAAACTTGATCTCATAGAAATAGACGTAGAAGAGTGGTTACCAGAGGCTGGGGAGAATAGGGGGAGTGGGGAGATCAGAAGTGGCTATAAAAAGTTACAGTTAGGAGGTATAAGTTCTGATGTTCTATTGCACAATAGGGTAACTATAGTTAATAATGTATTGTATATTCCAAAATAGCTGGAAGAGATTATTTTTAATATTTTCACCACAAAGAAATGTTTGCGGTGATGGCTATGCTAGTTATCCTGATTTGATCACTTGAGCTGGGAAGGTGGAGGTTGCATTGAGCCATGACTGCACCACTACAGTCCAGCCTGGGCAACAGAGCTAGACCCTGCCTCAAAAACAAAAAAAACCCACCACCACCAACAAAACCCAAAAAAGACTGAAAATGAACTCAGTGGTAGACCATAAAACATGGTAACAAATTCCTCCTATTCTTATAAGCATGTCTCTTTGCAATGTAACTTTACTAAAGCTGCTGTTAGAGGTAAAACTTGGTTTCTTCATCCTCTCAGCAACCAATATAACTAGAAAAAAGAAGTGGAGGCACAGGCAACCTCAACATCATCAACCTTGATTTAACTGACACTTATAGAACATTATACTCAACAATGGCAAAATACATTCTTTTAAAGTGTACATGGTTATATCAATTATATACATTAAATTCATAATTATAAGCCTTCCTTCCCAACACACAAAAAACTCCCTCCCAGTTGGGAGCTAGGTTGCTTCATCGGTGAATTCTGAAAGAAAAAATAAAACAAGGCAAACATAAAACAAGAAAACAGAAGTATAGACTAATCTCTCTAATGTTCAAAAAGATACAAAATTTAACAAAATTTTAGGAAATTCAACCCAGCAATACATTAAAAAAGATAATAATCATAACCAAGTGAATCAATCAATGTAATTTATCGTGTTAACAAAACAATGGAGAAAGCCATATTTCAATACTGCAAAAAAATTAACAAAATCCAATATTCATTAATGGTAAAAGCCCTCAGCAAACTAGAAGTATAAGAGAACTTCCTAAACCTGATTAGACATCTACAAAAATCTACAAATAACACAAAACTCAAAGATGAAAGATTTTGTTTTATAACTCAGATCAGTAACAAGGCAAGGATTTCTGCTCTTAACACTTCAACACTGTACTGGAAGTTAATGTCAGTGTAATGAAAAAAAAAAGGAAAGTGTAAAGATCGGAAGGGAGGAAAAAACTCTGTCTTTATTTGCAGATACTATGATCCTATACATAGAAAATTCCAAGAAATCTACAAAACAACTATTAGAGCTATTAAGTGAAATTAAGTCACAGACTACAAGGTCAATATTCAAAAGTCAAATGAGTGTCTCTATATCAGAAAATTATTACAATTAAAATTATAAATTATAGAATATATGGAATTATAATTAGAAAAATTAAAAAATCCCAAATCTATTACAATAGTATTAAAAATATTTAAGTTTAATGAAAGATGTGTAAGACCTATATGTTGCAAATTACAATATACTGCATTATTGTGAGAATTTTAAGGGAAATGAAAGAAGATTTAAATAAATGGAGAATACCATGGTTCATGCATAAGATTCATTATTGTTGAGATGACAGTTCTTCCCAAATTTATCTACAAATTCAACACAATCCCAGTCGAAATCCCTGCAGGCATTTAGAGAAGAAATGGACCAAGAACAGCCAAAACACTCCTTAAATATAACAGGGTTGGAGGTCTTACACTACCTGATTTCAAGGCTTGCTATATGTTAGATAAATCAAGACAGCGTGGTATTGGTCTAATGACAGACACATGAAATAATGGAATGATAGTCCACAAACAGAACAACACTTATATGGTCAATTTATGTTGGACACAGGTGCTAGATTAATTAATAGGGAAAAGGGTATACTGAGACAAGTAGATGTCTGAATAGGGAAAAAAGTGAACCTTGACTCACACACTACATAAAAATTTATGGGAAAAGGAAAATGAACCTAAACTTAAGGACTAAAACTATTAAATTTATAGATGAAAATACAGGAGAACATCTTTATGACACTGAGTTGGGCAAAGATTTCTTAAACATGACACAAACAGTATAAATCTATAAAAGAAAAAAGTTATAAAATGGACTTCATAAAATTAATGACTTTTGCTCTTTGAAAGACAGTTAAGAAAATGAAATGATAAGCCATAGATTAGGAGAAAATATTTGAAAAACATTCATCTGAGAAAGGACCTTGACCCATGAATATATAACTCTTACAACTAAATAAGAAAAAGCCCAATAAAAAGTGGGCAAAAGATTTGAACAGATACTTCACAAAAGAAGATATGCAAATGGCCAACAAGCATATTAAAAGATGTTCAATTAGCCATTAGGAAAATACAAATTCAAACCATGAGATACTACATACCTACTAGAATGACTAAATTAAAGGTGGACAATACCAACTGCTGCTGAGGATGTGAAGCAACTAAAACTCTCCTATATTGCTGATGGGAATATAAAATGGTACAGCTACTTTGGAAAGCAGTTTGGCATTTTCAAGTTAAACATACACTCACCATAGGACCCAGCAATCCTACTTTTAGATATTTACCAAAGAGAAATGAAAACATGGCCACACACAGACTTGCATGCCAATATTCACAGAGCATCATTCATAAAAGCCAGGAACTGGTCAAATGATGAGGTGAACTGTAACACAAATAGCAAGTGGTCCCTGACTTATGAGGGTTAGACTTAAGATTTTTTGACTTTACGATGTGGGAAAGCAATACAGTTTCAGTGTGCTCCTCAATTTATTATGGGGGATATATCTGGATAAGCCTATAAGTTGAAAATATTGTTAAGTAAAAAACATACTATTTTCAATTTACAACAATGGGTTTATCTGGATGTAACCCCAATGTAAGTTGAGGAACATCTGTAATGGATGAGGTGATAAAATTATTCTCTATCTTGATGAAGGTAGAGGTTACATGATTGTATACAATTACCAAAATTCACCACACTGTACCCTTAGTAAATTTTATTGTTTAAATTATACCTCAAAATAAAGCTACTAAAAGGAAAGCAAAAACAAAACCTTATATATGCCAGTTTTTGTCCTAAGATGCTTAAATATGCAGATCACTAATTCAGATAACCTTTAGTTTTCCAATTTACCTAATTTAATAAAAGACAACTTGGTATGAATTTAGATGATCCTTAAGTTAATAAGGAAGAAAAGCAATATTTATATGGTTTTTTAAATTCAACTTATGTCAATCAAATGCATACTGACTTTGACCTACCCATAATTGGAATTACTAGACTGTAGATACAGAATGAAACCAGATATAAGAAGCAAGAACAGCGTGTCTGAAAGAAAAAAAATGTAACTCAAGTTTTTACTACTATTAAAAAGAATTAGAACTTGTAATTATCAAATACTTGCATGTGGTTAAAAAATCAAATATAGAAAAATAACACAAGAGCAATAGTCCTGTCTCCTCAAGTCCCCTTTACCCCATCCCCACACCATAGCAACTGCTTTTAAACTCTTTGTTTTTAGTCGTTTTGGGGGTTACCTTTTTTCTCTAGATAATATGCATACATCATCATTTCTTAATATACCAAATTTTAGACAATGTGTTGACTTCCTACTATTACAGGCAAGGAGGCTACTCACCTTTCCCCCAAATTATAGTAATTACAGCACTGTTTTTAGTTCTTCTACATAACTTCTTTATAACTATCATCAATACAGTTATACCCCTATATTTCTTATTTATCAACTACAGACAATATATATATCTGATATCAGGACTTTATATTCTTCCCTCTTTCTCTCCTCCTTATACTTCTACCTTCTAAACTCTACTATCAAAGTTAATAACTATTATATTCCTTTTGTAACTACAGTGAAGCTACAAGGTTGATCGATTCTAAAACTAAAAATCAGCAAATAATGTTTACGATATTGTGACTACATATTGTTTACTGCAAAGCTGGGCATCATTACATTTTGTCTTGTACAGCCTTTTTCTTGAAAGTTTTTTTTCTTTAAACATATCTTTAGCAGTCAGCCCTCCATATCCACAAGGGTTCCAGGACCCCACTCGAGGATACCAAAATCGGTATATGCTCAGATACATACGCAATGAGGCATATAATGAGGCCTTATGCAAAATGAGGCAGTACAATCAGCCCTCCATATCCATCACAGTCCTCACAGTCCTAATCCACAGCTGGGTTTCAGTCCGTAGTTGGCTGAATCCCAAGATGTAAATCTGGGTGCTTCCTTATTCCAAAAGATAACCTACAATTAAGGAATTAACATTAACATCTATAGACGTTTTCACTCAAAATCTTTATAAATGGTGAAAGTTTGCCACCATCTACAAATTTAATAGTTTTAGTTCTCTTTCAGAAAACAAAGAAAATCTGATCCCTCACAGTCCACGGTTGGGTTTCAATCCACAGTTGATTGAATCTGGTAATGATCTTTTTGCAAAGAATTTCCCAGGTATTCTTTGAACTTCTTGTATTTGGATGCCTAAATCTCTAGCAAGGCCAGGGAAGTTTTCCTCAATTATTCCCTCAAATCAGTTTTCCAGACTTTTAGATTTCTCTTCTTCCTCAGGAACACCAGTTATTTGTAGGTTTTTCCATTCAACATAATCCCAAATTTCTTAGAAGCTTTGTTTATTTTGTTTTATTCTTTTTTCTTTGTCTCTTTCTGATTGGATTAATTCAAAAGCCTTGTCTTCCAGCTCTGAAGTTCTTTCTTCTACTTATTGTAGTCTGTTGTTGAAACTTTCCACTGCATTTTGTATTTATCTAAGTGTGTCTTTCATTTCCAGAAATTGTGGTTGCTTTTTCTTTATGATATCTATTTCTCTGGAGAATTTTTCATCCATATCCTATTTTTTTTCTAATTTCTTTTAGTTGATTTTCACCTTTCTTTGGTATTCCTTGAATAGCTTAATAATCAACCCCCTGAATTCTTTATCTGGAATTCAGAGATTTCTTCTTGGTTTGGATCCATTGCTGGTGTGATCTTTTGGGGGTTTTATAGAACCTTGAGGAAGATATTTCTTCCTCAGTGCAGGAATCCTGTTTTATTCAATTACTATTGCACTTGTGTGCAGTGATCTTGTTGCCTACATTTTTAAAACAACAGAACCACCACTTCTTTCAGCTATTACACGGGTTTTTGTAGACTGGCCAGGGAACCTATATGCTAGCACAGGTTATATGAGAAACCCCCCCCATGTCAAATCAACACCTTTACCCTCTCCTCCTCCAGGTCTCTTTTCAGTACCAGGCCAGTTCTCTAATTTCACCTGTTTTCTCACAGGTTAAAAAAACTGGGCCTGCTATTCCCTCATTTTAAAAAGCTGCCACCACTTAGGGTTTGTTCTGGCTTCCTAATTCCTATTATTCCAGAAAAATGCAATATTTTTGTTTCGTGGTCCTCTGGCTGGATAAACATCCTAAATAAGCAGGAGTAGAATTAGACTAATAAGTACAGAGACTCTTTAAAAATTTGCTTATATAAATGGAAGTTTTGGAAAACATGTCTGAAAGTAGAAATATTTGTTAATGCCAAATACTCTGAATATTCTCAGATTATTCAAATTTTAAAATGGTCTTCAAAAACCATTCTATAATGTAGCATCCAAACATTTCTGTCACAAAGCCTCTTAAGTTTATAAAATTTAGTCCTTCTGCTCATGAGAATATAAAAAAGCTCCTTTGGTTGAAGGAACCAAAACTCTACATGCTACAGATCTTCCAAAGGCGATTGCTATGAACTAAATATATGTGTTCCCCCATCCCCAACCTTCTACCAATTTATATGTTGAAATCCCAACCCCCTAACATGATTGTATTAGGAGATGGGGTCTTTGGGAGATGATTAGGTCATGAGGGTGGAGCCCTCTTTTATTAGTACCCTTATAAAAGAAGCCTGAGAGAACACCCTTATCCCTTCTGCCATGTGAGGACATAGGGAAAAGACAGCCAGCTATGAATCAAGAAGCCAGCAGACAGTGAATCTGCTGGTGCCCTGATCTTGGACTTCCCAGCCTCTCAAACTGTGAGGAATTCATTTCTGTTGCTTACGAGCCACTCAGTTTGTTATTTTTGTTATAGCAGTCCAAATGGACTAAGGCAGCAACTAAAAATCATCATTTTTTTCTTTTTTTTGAGACAGTCTTGCTCTGTTGTCTAGGCTAGAGTGCAGTGGCATGATCTTGGCTCACTGCAACCTCTGCCTCCCAGGTTCAAATAATTCTCTTACCTCAGCCATCAGAGTAGCTGGGATTACAGGTGCGTGCCACCACACCTGGCTAATTTTTATTTTTAGTAGAGACAGGGTTTCACCATGTTGGCCAGGCTGGTCTTGAACTGGCCTCAAGTAATTAGCCCACCTCAGCCTCCCAAAGTGCTGGGATTACAGGTATGAGCCACTGCGCCTGGCCAAAAAATCATCATTTTTGAGGGACCAGTATACAAATCACCTTTGTTTGGCTTGCTTTTGGCACTTGGCAATTGAATTCTGAATATCAGGAACTTGGGCCATTATGATTAAAGTATAAGATAATTATTTCCAAATTTTCAGTTACAATTGAGAGGTCAAGATTTCTAAAACTAAAACAACTTTTTATATTAAATAAGTTACTGAGCTGTTTGCAAGGTGAACTTCTATGTACAACATACTTGGCAGAAAATATGTTAGAAATGTAACTTTGGTTACATTTTCTGAATGAGCAACTCTGGCTATTTCGGTAAATGCCAGATGTCAGATCAATTTGTTTATGGTTAAAGGATACAATTTACTGCCAAGTGAGGGACTACCAGCTTACTGTCCATCCCAATTAGAGGCAGCAAGAAGGCTGTTGAAGATCTAGGGCTAAATTTCCTATTTTACCATCCATCACCTTTAAAAATCACAACCATAATTGACGATCCCAACTAACTCCATTAGCATTAGGCTAAACACAAAGAGATACACATTTGTTCTTGTTCATTTTTGTTCTCTCCTCCCTCCCTTTTTCCTCTAATTCCCTCTTCTCTCCCTCCCCCGGACAGCCCCCACAAACACCCTTGAGTGTAAGGTAACTCAAGTAACATGTGGTTCAGTTTAGAAGTGACTAAGTTAGAACTAGACTACTATTACTCAATTTCTGTTTATAAAGCATATTTCAGTAAATTATAATTCTGAAAAGTTAATAAAACAATTTCTAGGTTCTAGAACAAAACAAAGAAAACACATGAAAAGAAACAAAATACTGAGCTTCTGAAGGGTCCTTCTGGTATCAATCTAATTTACTTCTAAGCCAGGCAGTTTTAACAGCACAAAAGATATAAACTGAAATACTTCATGGGACCCTCAACTACTTGGAAACAATAGACCTTGTTCCAAGGAACCCACTATATTCTCAATCATTTTCCATTTAGTTCCATCACTTTAATAGAAAAACAAAGGAGATACCACATTTACTAGGTGTCATCTTTGAAACTGTCTTACCAGCAAAGAGGATTCACAATTTGGATGCACACAATCACACCATCTTTTTCAAAGTAAGTATAACTCTTTGAAACAGACATATGGCAAATGTCTTGTTTTTATCACTTGGCATAAAAATTACTATCAACTCCCACAGAACTTTTCAAAAGACCTGTCACTATATTTAAACAATTCATAAAGATATAAAATCAGAAAAGTTCTTAAACTCATAAGCCAGATAAATGGAAAAGAATCTCTCAACTAAGGAGAAATGCTGTATCTCAATTATGACAAAAATTATATATGCAGTTGTGCCTTGGTATCTGATATGGTTTGGCTGTGTCCCCACCCAAATCTCAACTTGAATTGTATCTCCCAGAATTCACATATGTTGTGGGAGGGACCCAGGGGGGCGTAATTGAATCAAGAGGGCCAGTCTTTCCTGTGCTATTCTCGTGATAGTGAATTAAGTCTCATGAGATCTGATGGGTTTATCAGGGGTTTCCGCTTTTGCTTCTTCCTCATTTTTCTCTTGCTGCCTCCATGTAAGAAGTGCCTTTTGCCTCCTGGCATGATTCTGAGGCCTCCCCAGCCATGTGGAACTGTTAAGTCCCATTAAACCTCTTTCTTTTGTAAAATGCCCAGTCTCAGGTATGCCTTTATCAGAAGCATGAAAATGGACTAATACAGTAAATTGGTACCATTAGAGTGGGGCGGTGCTGAAAAGATACCTGAAAATGTGGAAGCGACTTTGGAACTGGGTAAAAGGCAGAGAGGTTGGAACAGTTTGGAAGGCTCAGAAGAAAAGAAAATGTGGGAAAGTTTGGAACTTCCTAGAAACTTGTCGAATGGCTTTGCCCAAAACACTGACAGCGACATGGACAATAAGGTCCAGGCTGAGGTGGTCTCAGATGGAGATGAGGAACTTGTTGGGAACTGGAGTAAAGGTGACTCTTGTTATATTTTAGCAAAGAGACTGGCAGCATTTTACCCCTGCCCTAGAGATTTGTGGAATTTTGAACTTGAGAAAGATGATTTAGGGTATCTGGCAGAAGAAATTTCTAAGAAGAAAAGCATTCAACAGGTGACTTGGGTGCTGTTAAAGACATTTGGTTTTATAAGGGAAACAGAGCATAAAAGTTTGGAAAATTTGGAGCCTGACTATGCGATAGAAAAGAAAAATCCATTTTGTGGGGAGAAATTCAAGCCGGCTGCAGAAATTTGCATAAGTAGCAAGGAGCCTAATGTTAAATCCCAAGACCATGGGGAAAATGTCTCCAGGCCATATAGAGACCTTCAAGGCAGCCCCTCCCATCACAGGCCCAGAGGCCCAGGAGGAAAAAGTGGTTTCATGGGCTGGGCCCAGGGTCCCTGTGCTGTGTTCAGCCTAGGGACTTAGTGCCCTGTTGTCCTAGCCACTCCAGCTGTGGCTGAAAGAGGCCAACGTATAGCTTGGGCTGTGGCTTTAGAGGGTGGAAGCCCCCAAGCCTTATTCAGCCTGTGGGTGCACAGAAGAATTGAGGTTTGGGAACCTCTGCCTAGATTTCAGAAGATGTATGGAAATGCCTGGATGCCCAGGCAAAAGTTTACTGCAGGCTTGGGGCCCTCATGGAGAACCTCTGCTAGGGCAGTGTCAAAGGGAAATGTGGGGTCAGAGCCCCCCACACAGAGTCTCTACCAGGGCACTGCCTAGTGGAGCTGTGAGAAGAGGGCCACCATCCTCCAGAACCCAGAATGGAAGATCCACCAACAGCTTGTACCATAAGCCTGGAAAAGCCTCAGACACTCGATGCCAGCCCATGAAAACAGCTGTGAGGGAGATTGTACCCTGTAAAGCCACAGAGGTGGAGCTGTCTAAGACCATGGGAACCCACTTCTTGCATCAGCGTGACCTGGATGTGAGACCTGGGGTCAAAGGAGATCATTTTGGAGCTTTAAAATTTGACTGCCCTTCTGGATTTCGGACTTGTATGGGCCCTGTAACCCTTTGTTTTGGCCAATTTCTCTTATTTGGAATGGCTGTATTTACCCAATACCTGTACCCCCATCGTATCTAGGAAGTAACTAGCTTGCTTTTGATTTTACAGGCTCATAGGCGGAAGGGACTTGCCTTGTCTCAGATGAGACTTTGGACTGTGGGCTTTTGGGTTAATGCTGAAATGAGTTAAGACTTTTTGGGGACTACTGGGAAGGCATGACTGGTTTTGAAATGTGAAGACATGAGATTTGGAGGGGCCAGGGGGGAATGATATGGTTTGGCTGTGCCTCCACCCAATTCTCATCTTGAATTGTATCTCCAAGAATTCCCATGTGTTGTGGGAGGGACCCAAGGGGAGGTAATTGAATCATGGGGGCCGGTCTTTCCCATGCTATTCTCATGATAGCAAATAGTCTCAAGAGATCTGATGGGTTTATCAGGGGGTTTCTGCTTTTGCTTCTTCCTCATTTTTCTCTTGCTGCTGCCATGTAAGAAGTGTCTTTTGCCTTGAGATGATTCTGAGGCCTCCCCAGCCATGTGGAATTGCAAGTCCAAATAAGCCTCTTTTTGTTCCCAGTTTCAGGTATGTCTTTATCAGCAGCGTGAAAACAGACTAATACAGTATCTGTAGAAAACTGATTCTAGGACCCCCATGGACACTGGGTCTGCTGATGCTCAAATCTTACAGTCAGCCCTGTGGAACTTTTAGATACAAAAAGTCATCCATGTCTGTGGGTTCTATATCCGACAAATACCATATTTTTCATCAGCTGTTGATAGAATACAAAGATGCAGAGCCCTCAGATATATGGCAGCAACTGTATAATAAAAAAGTATTCTTGGCTGGGCATGGTGGCTGATGCCTATAATCCCAGCACTTTGGGAGGCTGAGGTGGGCAGATCACCTGAGGTCAGAAGTTCGAAACCAGCCTGGCCAATATGCTAAAACCCCATCTCTACTAAAAATACGAAACTTAGCCAGCATGGTAGTGCGTGCCAGTAATCCCACCTACTTGGGAGGCTGAGGCACGAGAATTGCTTGAATCCGGGAGGCAAGAGGTTGCAGTGAGCAGAGATTGCACCACTGCACTCCAGCCTGGGCAACAGAGCAAGACTCTGTCTCAAAAACAAACAAACAAACAAACAAAATACACACACACACACACATATATACACACACATACACACACACACACACACACACACACACACACACACACACACACATATATGGAGAGAGAGAGAGATATTCTTATAGGGGTGCATTTGAATAGTACAAGGAATGAATCCTAAATTATCTCACATGTTGAGGATCCCAAATCTGGAAATCTGAAATCTGAAATGCTCCAATGAGCATTTCCTTTAAGTGTCATGTCGGTGATACGAAGTTTCAGATTTCAGAGCATTTCAGATTTTTGGATTTGGAATGCTCAACTTGTATAACGCCTAAATTTTCAGAAATTAACATTTAATGGATAGCTAAGAAGCTGCTGAAGTCAGCCTCTCCTAAGAACTAGGGCAGATTTAAAATTAGTTTTTGAAGAAAATCTTCCATGTCATCTAGCATGGCTTTGTTCTAAGAGTTGGGTTTGAGTTTTGGCTCTAACATTTACTAGTTTTGTCACCTTAGACAAGTGATTTAGCCCCTGTGAGTCTTAACCATAAAACGGTGACATCTGATATCTACCACACTGGGTTGTTGTCAACATTAAATGAAACTATTGGCATAAACATCTGGCGCAATCTAGGTACAGGTACGTCTGTTATCTCCCCTCAAGAAGATTTCTTTCTGGATGAAAATACAAGTGACCCCCCTCAATCTTCAAAATAGAATGCCAGCTTGGCCATTTGATAACTTGGTTTCTAAAGCAACTGGATGGTAAATCGGGAATGTATCCACTGGTCACCTCATCTAAGAGACAACAAAGATCTAGAAGTATAATATCAAAAAGTAAACTCTATTATACAAATATAACCAATTTAAGAGATCTAAGGAATAAAAATGATCCTCTGCTCAGGTTCAAAAGGCTGTTAGGAAAATAATTACATCCTAATGATTACCTTGCAATATACTTAAGGTTTCTTCTTTTCTCTCTCTTTTACAATGATTGATGTTGGAAATAAATTTAAATTTTATACTACCATTCCAGTAAAATAAAAATTTCAGTAAAATATGCAAAGGCCGAGGTTGTCAGGTGAACAACAGAGTAGAACACTCTTGCCCTTTTTAATTCCTTTGTTAAATAGAAACAGTTCTTATTCTGAATCACCAGGTCAGGCCTCAACTTCATATAGTATCACTCTACTTCTGCAGATGACTTACATCTTACTAAGGAAGTATGAGAGCCTTAGGTACAGATAGGTTTTGTTTTTTTTTTTATAAATAAGGTTTTTTTTTAAAAAATTACTTTTTTATCTTGAAATAATTTCAACCTTACAGAAAGGCTCCAAAACTAGTAAAGAATTCCCATTTATCCTAAACCCAGATTTTCCAATTATTAACATTTTGCCACATTTGTTTCACTCTGCATATTATTTTTCTGAACTATTTGAAAATAAGTTATACATATGATGTCATTAACTTCTAAATATTTAAGCATGTATTACCTAACAAGGACATTCTCTCACATAACCACAGTATAACTGCCAGAGTTAGAAAGCTAACATTGGGATAATAC
Organism: Homo sapiens; assembly: GCF_000001405.40. NCBI lineage: Eukaryota > Metazoa > Chordata > Mammalia > Primates > Hominidae > Homo > Homo sapiens. Next base: position 117,306,968 of record NC_000010.11, read on the forward strand.
TATTATCTAATCTACAGACCTTATTCCAGCTGAAATATAATTTGAAATATGAATCAACAGCCTTTTATTTTTGCATAATCTTTGACCAAGGGATTACTTACATCAGTAGTAAACTACTGCCTGTTGGCTACTTATGCTTTAAGAACACACAAGCATATTCGTATGTGAGCAATGGGTGTATGTGTATGTTTATAAAGTTTTTTCTAAAAAGTTAACAGTGATCTCTCTGGGTAGTGGAATTATGGTTGACTTTTGTAGTCTTCTTTATAGGTTTCTAATTTTTTTTAAATGGGGGAAAATTGCCCATACCAATTTCTAAACATATATAACTTATCTTACACAGGTTGATTTTGTTAAAATATGCAAGTTTCTGCAAACAAATGAGTGTATCATCACAAAAATTAAAAATCTGCTTCATGATACTTCCTTTTGCTTAATGGCCTCCTACTTAAACTTCTGACAACACTCTCAGTATTGATCAACTTACAAAAGATAATTCACAATCATTCATTTAGGAAAAAAGTCATCTGTCCATACTCTAAGAATTACTAGATAACCTTTAAAAAATATAATGAATTATCCAGAAGTAGTCTTATTTACAGTAGTTAATAAAACATCCTTATCTCTTCCAGCATAGGGCATATTGTTTATACACAAACAATTTTCAAATATAACCACCTATTTCTCTAGTACAATCCAATATCAATGTAAACCAACATGCTTACAAATGGGAAACACGGCTGTTCCCAAATCGACTTTAAACTCTACTCATGTTCAATATTTAAGTTGAGAAATACACAATAACTAATGAAAATACTACAAAGACGGGTTTAATAAGACATACGAATTAAGTGTTGCTGTTTCTACCCCTTTCCACTTACCTGTTTGAAGGCAAAAACAAAAATTTTAACTAGTCTTACTTTTAGCTTATTCATTTTAAAGTACCTTCAATTAGTATATTATAGAACTTCACATTTACAGCAAAATGCAAATGGGTGAAACTAGAGATGTCAAATAGTGAAGTATCATGAACTACTTCCTAAATGCTTTAAAACTTTCTGTTATTAATTACAACTATCTGGAAGCACTAACATCCATGCTATGATATTAATATTCTTTATTCCTAAAAAGTTCTTTATTTCTTATCTTAAATATTCCTGATGAAATATAAATGCTTGTCCATATTTTATCCTCAGTTGACATGGGCAGCAGCTACTGATCTCCATCCTCCTTATAACAGCTCTTAATAAGCTTGCTGATATTCTCAAGTCATTATTTGAGAACACAATCTTAAACAACAACAACAATACCACTATCTCATGATTGAGGAGGATACTCTCCCTGCCCTCCTCACATTGTTACAGGAAGGATTTAAAAGGGTCTTATAAACTTGTACAAGAAAAAATAAACAAATAAAATAAAAGGGAGTGAGTGTAGGGGATTTATGAGGACACACAAAATATATGCACTAAAACCATAGGAACAAAAGAGGTCAATCAGGTTAAGTTAAATAATAATAGATATTATGTGCCAGGTATTATGCTAAGGGTTTTACATACATTTAACCCTTATATCCTGTAAGGCAGTTACTATTACCTCTACTGTAGAGATTATGAAATACCTTGCTCATAGTCATAGAGCGAGAGTGGAAAAAGCTAGATCTGAACCCAGGCCTATAGGACACCATTTGTGGAAATGATATAGTACTAGTTAAGAACATCAGCTGTGGAGTCACACTGCCTGGGTTTGCAGACTGTTTTTACTGCCAGCTAGCTGGGTGATTTGGATAAATTACTTCTGTCTTTACATCTCAATTTCCTCATATATAAAACAGAGATAATAATAGTGCCTATTATTATGGTATTGTTAAATGAGGATTAAATGGTTAATGCATGTAAAATCTTAAAACTATGACTGGCACAGAAAAATTGCAGAAACTTGTAATTGCTGACTACCACTGGACTGAATATATGTGGACAGGGAGTTGAATGCTACTGCCAGATCTCCCAAAACATCTCTCTAATACTTTCCTAAAGTGTGTGTTTATGTCCTAGTTCTGCATCCGTGTATGGCTCAGAAAATCAGCTATTTGGCTAAGTGGATTTTTATAGGAAGGTGCTACTGTGCCTTGAAAAGGATGTTTTAACTAGTGAGAATATATGGACTGTGTGAATCAGTTTTAGTTGAATCTCAGTAAACTGCAGGATTCTGAGAAACAGAACCTAAAAATAATGTTTAAGTTTTATGACTGTTGCCTCCTTTAACTTGCTCTTAAAAAAATTTAGATTCTTACTACAATACTGTGAAACTACTTTGCTTTTCTTTACCCTATATGAAAAAAAGAGAGCTTAAAAACATAGCATAAACCTCAAAGCATTCAACTTATTAGTTAAGATACTAAAAGTTGAAATAACAGCAGTAAAAATTAAAAAAAAAAAAAACATAGTAGATCAAAGCACCACATGAAAAACATTCCATCTCTAGCCTGGCCTTTGATAGTCACTATACCTCAAACAGCTTGCACAGAATGAGATCCTCTTTCTCCTTTTCCTTCTCCCTCCTCATAGCTCATCTTTCTGGCTTCCTTGCTCACTCCAAAAACCCTCCATTCCCAGTGGTATTCAAGCCACACAGACTCTATTTTCCATTTCCATTGCCACCTTTCTAGTTCAGACTTTCATTACCCCTCACCTCTACTTTTTCAGGTCTTTACCCTATCAAATCATCCTTGATTTTATCCATTGCTGCCAGGTTCAATAAACATTATTGACTAACTACTATGTGCTAAATACTGTGCTGGACATTTTAATATATTTAATCTCAATTAACCCTCATACAACCATAAGAAGCATCAGTCCCATTTTATAGAATAAAGTACTTGTGGATGAAACGGGTTTGGGGACTCTTGACTAAGGTCATGCTGGAAAAAGTGGCCTAGCTGAGACTCAAATCCAGCTCTCAATCTGCCTGAAGAAAGATTCTGATGTCACTTTCATTCTAAAAGCCTCCAGAGGTCCAACAGTCTTGGAGAGTAACAGGCAAACTTCTTAGTGTGGTATTTAAAGTCCTCTATAAGGTGGTCCGACCTTTTTATTCTTGTTTTGCATAACTTCCTATGCTATCATATTCTTTAGCCAACTTGAACAACTCACTCTATCTCAAAGATACTCAAATAGTCTCACTCTTAACTGGGGATTTTGTTATGTCCTCATCTTGAACTGGCCTCTCTGCCATCTCAAAATCCTATACATACTATGAGGTTTGGTTCAAATGTCACCGCCTTAATATATTCTTTTCTTGTTTTCCCAAAAGAATGTTACTTCTCCCTCATTGGAACCTCACAGTACTACTGATACTCACAGTACTGTTGCTCTGATTTCCCTACTACGAATTTTCCTTGAAGGGAAAGATGATACAATGCCTTACACCTCATACTCAGTTTCCTGTTCTCATACTCATAGTGCCTTCCACTGATTTGATCTGGAGAGTTTATGTTTGTATATTTTAACATAACTTCCTATTCTTTCCCCAGCATCTTAGAATCATAGTAAACATACTTAGAAAACCTAAGACAGAGAACTACATCCCTCATTTTTAATCAAGATGAACTTTAAGAGAAGAAATGTTCCATAGGATTTACTATTAAAGCTCAAAGGCATTTAAAGAAGCCAAACTATAGAATGTTATATATGGTTAAAATTTCATTGAGTCCCTACTGTATTCACAAGTATTATCAAATTGAACTAAACCTGAGTTTTCATAAAAACTGACATTTTCAAAAAGGCTTTATTTGCTTTAATCTTTCTCTTCCTTTTGATAAGATTAAGACTGTAAATGGCAAATGGTTAAATAGGAGCACCAAAATGCTATCTGCAAGGAATCTGGCCTTAAAAAAACACACCAAAATGCCAACTCTGAGGCATCTGGCCTAACGTATTTGTAAGTTTGTCTGTCTCAAATATTCTTACTTGAAATCACAGTTCTTTAGGAAGCTCTTTTATACTCTTTGTATGTACATTCAACAATACATGACAGAGGTGGGCTTGTAGGTGCATTCAATTTCATTCAGCAAGACTTCTAAAACTCTCCAAAACTGAAAGGGAAGTAAGGCAAGTAAAATTTTAGATTATACCTAGTCATTTTATTTAGGTTACATTAAACTATACACATAGAGTAAGAAATGTTTTTGATGTGTTTAGTAATGCCAGAAATAAAATACTATAATGCACCACATCTGTAAACTAAAATCCTCACTCTAAAAATCAGGCTTTTCACAAAATTAATATTGAGTAGTATATCTCTCATTTTGTGGACTTCCTTACCCTAAACATTTTTATTTGGTTAAAACATACATCAGGAATAGCCTTGAAGATGGAAAGGAAACAGAAGTGTGACTAAAAGTCACGCTAAAACTTTGAAGGTCTGGAAGAAGAAGGGTTGAGGTTGTATGAAGGCTCATGGTCAGACAGCCAGCCTTAGTCATACCGAAAACATTTACTGAATACCCACTGAATGCCACGTGCTATGAGCAAAACAATCATGGTACCTGCTGATACGGAAGATATTGCTGGAGACAATACTGATCACATTATCATAGAAACATAAATGCGAAATCCCAACTGTGATAAGCATTACCAAGGAGTTTCATGATAGTTAGGAAAGGTTTCCAGAGGAAATGATGATTACTGTTTTATTAATAGGCTCTAAGAAAACAGAAAACTAAGTATTTAATATGGAAGCCCTTTAAAACAGAGGATGGCTACTTGGTGACAGAAGAACTGAGTACCAAACAGGAGACAGTGAGGACACTCAGATATGAGTAACAGTTCTAAGAAGTTACTATCAACCTTTGGCTGGAAGGAAGGGCAGGGGGAGGAAGAGGTGGTATTAGTAGAGGCCAGAGGCTACAGTATCAAGCAGAAGCTGGAAATATGGTGGGCCTGTCCTGTCAGAAGCATGGTGCCACGAAGGAGAAAGAATGGCTGTCAGACACATTGTCCAATGCAGAGGGGGGAAGAGGAAGAAAACCCTGGCTTTCCCAGTTCACTCCTATTTCCCATCAGTGCTTTACATTGGTCAAACCTAGCTGAAATACAGCCTGCAAAGGTCAGCCCTCTCATGGCATACAGCAGGGAAGGGCCCAAGAATGTATCCGAGGGCAAACAAGCTAAGGTCTAACACAAGCAGAGATCGGATGAATGGGTTAACCAAGGTTTGTATGGGGAGAAATGAGTTGGGGGTAGAGTGCACATGTACCATGGCTGTGTAGAGGACAGAGAGTATGGCAAGTGTGGAGGAGTGAAAGCATGGCTAAACTGGAGAATGGCAGGGGAGAAAGGAGGGCTGAGAAATAAATAGGGACCAGGCCTGCGAGGGCTGGAATTTGTCATCCTACAATACGCAATCAGAAACCACTGAGGCAGGCAACTGATAAAATCAGATTTTTATCTCAAAAGTTCATTGATCCTCCCCTTTCCTCCCAGGACATTCACTAAACTGCAACAAGCCAGAAACTCTACTAGGTGCAGGATACATAGCGTAAAAAAAATACAGCATGTTTGTGTCTCTGTGAAGTCTACCAGCAAGTGTCTAGCATGCTGGATTATCGAAGACCTTTTAAGTATTCTTTTAGCGTGAATCATCTGATTATCATCAGGAACATGAGATTTATCTTCATTGCTCTACAGATTTAGTTCCAGTAAGGTTGCTGACTATCCTTATTGTTTACTTTTTGTATTTATATGCTTCCATTAGTCATTCACCCACCTTTGTCTTTTCAGCTGAAGAACACTAATTTTTTTCCCATCCATTTATCTTTATATGGCTATCTCATTTCCGTGTTAATTTTAATTATTTGTCCTCGCCCTATCCAGTTCTGTTTTAAATTCCTTGTATTATAGCAACCATAAATGCACAAATAATTTATTCCCAGAGAATTTCATAGTTTTAAAATAAGGGTATAAAAAGATTTCATTTTGTGACATCTTTCATGAAAAGTCAGATTTCTTGTTTTGGAAGCACAGTGACATACTGACTACTTCTTTAAGAATCCTAGATCTCATATTTTAAAGTGTAGTTTGGATTTATTTCTTACATACTTGTCCTGAGAGTTCTTCCTTCATATTCTACTTCTTAACCTGGCACTTCTGAGCTGAGTGCCATGTGTAAATCTGAAGATTATACTGTACATTCCTTCTTCTAGATCTGTGCTGTCCAATATGGTACCCACTAGTCACATGCTTCTGAGCCCTTGGAATGTAGCTGAAATTCAACCTATGCTGCAATTGTAAAATATATACCAGATTTCAAAGACTTTGTATAAGAAAAGAATGTAAAATATCTCATTGATTTTTATGTTGATTACATGTCAAAATGACCAGGTTTGGGATATATGGGTCAAATAAAACATTACTAAAATTAATTTCTCCTGCTTGTTTTTTACAGTGTCCACTAGAAAATCTAAAATTAAGTAAGTGCCACATATTATATTTCTATTAGTGCTGTTTTAAATCATTTATGAAAAATGATCAAAGTCTCGGGCTCAATCATTCAGGACACTATACCTGATCATCCTTACCCTGTTTCCCACATCTCTAAGCCAGATCTAATTGTGACAAAATATTCTCCTAGGAATTAGATGTTGGGAAACTTTGGTATGGATCTTCATCAAAAGCTTTCTGAAAGTTGAAAATGCATTTACTGTTTTCATTTCTTCTATATGCTCATTTAGCATCTTTGTATCAGGAATGATTTCCCTAAATACTGTTTTTTTCTCCCAACTGATTACTTTTCCTTTACACTAAGTCTTTCCTGAATTCAACTGCCCTAATCATTACTCTGGAAGTAAACAAAGACTCACTGGGCTCTATAATAAGCCAGACTGTCTCTGAATCAGGCTTAATCTTAGGCAAGTAAACATGGCTGATCGTATTTTGAAGGCCCTTGTATTCAAATCCCATCTCCCCATACTTTCAGATCTCTCCTTAACTCTGTTCTAAAATGATCCCATTATCATCACTACTAATTATTTGAATACCATTCACAGTCCAGTTTTTGTTAGAGGTAGTGGGATTTAATCAAACAAGTAGAGATCTTATAGTCAGAAGACTTTGGCTCTTTGTATATGGGAAGAGTATTTCATAGATTCTAAAGTGCTACATATGTTAGACATTTTGTTTGCATATCTTGTTTCTTACCCTGGCAGTAGTTCTTAGAATATAGGTATCATCTCCTCAAATATCTCTTTAATTGTATGGGCATGTTTAAAAATTGATAGGAGGCTGGTATCAATGATTTACCTTTTAGAATCGGATTACACTTTGATGAGAAAACAATAGCTTTCTTTTCTAAAAAGAAGAAAAAATACCACTCAATTCAAACAGAAAGAAAAAGTCCAAAATCTAGGAGGTGAATTCTTCAGGCTTCACAATTTTAAATATGGCTGACCCTATCTAAAGCCCTTCTTATAACGGTTGCCAGTTAATACCATGTAACACTCAGAAAGAATATACTGTTCTGATTAAGAACTCCAATATATCACTTACAGCTTCTCCCCAACTGTTAGCTGAATGCTTTTCAGGGATGCATCACTTCTTGCTTTTTAGGTAGATCTGAAGTAGCATGTCATCTCCTAATGCCTTTAACCACAGTTCCCTCTGGTACCTGCATACTGGGCTACAAAAGGTATGAAGTACTTCTACTCTTTTACTTATACTGAACAAATGATTGTTCTCTCTTCTGCCCATGTACTTTAAACAAGGGCAAAAGCTTCTTTTATAATTTCCTCTCCATTTCAAAAGAGGAAAAAATTCATATTCATCTTTCCTTTCTGATAGTGACATATTTATATACCAATATTGTTTGGATTTTCAACCTCGTGTCTCTAATTGCAAAGGGAAATACTTGGTCTCTTATGAAAGGCAATTGCTGTCAAGTACCTGAATGCAGAGCGTGGTAGGTTGAAGGAAGATGGAGAGTAGGGTTAGCATCAGAAAATGTACATAAACGCTTGTTTCTAAAAATCAGAACTCCTTACATCCTTTTATTCAGAATGAAAGAATAGGTGGGTGTTTGTACTAGCCCCTACTGCCTTTTCCTCTACCCTAGAATTCCCAGATTCAGAGGTTCCAGAGCCCATTTTCATGGTACCTTCTCTTCCCCAGTGGCCTCAAACATTCCAAATTGGAAGGATAGAGTTGGAATAGAACAACCTATTTGAAGAATCAAGTGAGTCAGTGTGGATAAATGATGAAGAGAAGATACAGAAGGCACAGGCAGACTAGCTAAAATAGGAAGAGAGAGGGAAAGAGAACAAAACTTTTATTAATAATCTATTTGGTGTCTGAGGCCAGGCGCGGTGGCTCATGCCCACAATTCAAGCACTTTGTGGGGCCGAGGTGGGTGGATCACCTGAGACCAGGAGTTCGAGACCAGCCTGGCCAACATGGTGAAACCCTGTCTCTACTAAAGATACAACAATTAGCTGGGTGCAGTGGTGCACGCCTGTAGTCCCAGCTACTCAGGAGGCTGAGGCAGGAGAACTGATCCAGGAGGTGGAGGTTGCAGTGAGCTGAGACTGCGCCACTGCACTCCAGTCTGGGCGACAGAGCTAGACTCTCTCAAAAAAAAAAAAAAAAAAAAAAAAACAATAATCTATTTTGTGTCTGGAACTAGGGGTAAAGCAACTGGGTGGTCAGTGGCAAGAAAACTCCAATTCTGGGAGGGTAAAACTTAGGATCTCTCTCTTTCAAACAATGTGTGCTACTGTGACATTTATGTGTTCTGTGGCGCTAACCAGGCACATAATGATTCACATGTGCTTTAATATATGTCAGATTAATTTATTGTGAATTTTATTTGTAAGCACTATACATTCCACAGATATTTATAGATATTTTTATAGTTTATTACTAAAATATCATGGCCTGAAACTTTTTAAAATCTGAAAACTCCTTAAATTTCTTTCTTGGTGAAAGTTAAGCAAAGTATGATCACCAAACCGGAATACTGCAATGGACCCGAAATAAATCACAAATTGCACTGTCTCTTTCTGGTGTGGTAAAGTAATTTTTAGTATTTACTCTGTCATCTCTTGTAAGATGATCCCCTAATTTTTGTTTAAGCCTAATATCTAATTTACTTATACCTCAGCTATCTTGGCTTATAGGATTCTCATGAGGAATCTTCATTATTTTCAAAGAACAAACACAACCACAAGGTACCTCATTTATCCTATGAGCTCTTTTATTGTATAAATGAGCTAAGCAGGGCACTGGTCTGAGTGAGTTTGCTCCAAACTTTTCTTGGATTTCTAATAAGGTATTTCTAAAATAGGCTTTATGTAGGGTATTTGCTAAATTATTCTTTGCAATTTCTCCCTTATGTCCCAATTTATAAAAAATTCCCTTAAAAATAAAAAGTCATGGCCAGGTGTGACAGCTAGTCCCTTTAATCCCAGCACTTTGGGAGGCTAAGGTGGGAGGACTGCTTGAGGACAGGAGTTCAAGACCAGCCTGGCTAAGATAGAAAGACCCTGTCTCTACCAAAAAAATAAAAATTAAAAATAAATAGATGAGTGTAGTGGTGCACACCTGTAGTCCCAGCTACTCGGGAGGTGGAAGCTGAGGTGGGAGGGTTAACTTGATCCCAGGAGTTGGAGGCTGTAGTAAGCCATGATTGTGCCACTGCACTCTAGCCTGGGTGACAGAGCGAGACCCTGTCTCTAAAAAAATAAAAAATGAAAAGGTCATCAAATAGATTTGTTTTCTTGTGGACTGGCTACATAAAAGCCATTCATAACTCCGTTTCTCCCTTGCCTTCTACTTCTACAAAGGCAGAAAAATTAAAATGGCTTCTCATACTGTACTTTCTTGCTGCTGAGGAGGCCATAGGACTCACTTCTGGCCAATGAGATATAACTGGAAATCCCTGGGAGGAACTTCCAGGAAAGTTTTAAAAAGGACATGGCTGACATGTGCTTTTGGCCAGCTTTAGACCACACCCTTTTTCTTGAAAGGTAAAATCCTAAGGATGCATTAGACATCTTGCAACCATCAGGGCAAAAACTCCATGCTAACGAAGATGAAGGAGGAAGCTATGTTCCTAGATTACAGTATTATACTCCTTTAAAAACTCAAGGCACATTAAAAGTATGACAGGAATTAAGTTTCTTTTATTCTGTATATTCATTATAATTAGTGACTAACTTGACTGAACAAATTTCAACATTAAATACTGTTTAAATCTAGAGATTGTATTTATACAAAGATAGCATCCTAAACTCATCAAATAATTTAGCATAATTGTTTTAATGATGTTCTATTTTCTACCCATATTTGTAATGTATTACAAATTATTGAATCCTACTCCCTGATGTTTTGTCTTAAGGAACTAATAATTCTCCTCCCTAGGAATATTAAATTCAGACATTCGTAATTTAATGCCTGTAGACACTTTGCTGACATTTTCAACATCAGATATAATTAATAACCTAGAATTCTTTCCTCAACACTACTTATGACATATACTAAGATCTAAAATAATGACAAGATTAAAGTCTTACCAATTTTTGCTATAAAATATTAGAACTGTCTAATCTCATATCTTTGCAAATATAATAAAGGATATTGAAAATGCCAATAGCAATGGCAAGTTATGACCAATTCAAAGTAAACGCAAAAATTTAGCTGGACAAAACAATAATGCTTCTTCATGTAGTTATGTATTTCAAAACAAATTCTAATGCTAGTTATTTCAATCTTCTGAGGAATTGCTTCAAATTGTTTGAGATATAACATAAAGAAGGTTGGGGCAAGAACAGCCACCAAAGAAAGGGGAAACTTTCCATGAAACCTCTATTTTGACCATGTCATTACCATGCTCAAAATGTTCAACAGCTCCCCACTGCTTTCATAAACGCAAACACTGTGGGCCAACCATCCTCCCTTTCCAGTTTTTCTTGTCCCTCCTTCTCCACTCTGATCAAAATTACCCTCTTTCTTCCAAAATAATTTCATACTGCCCAATTTTTATATAAAGATGTTCACAACAGTTAATACATAAATAAATCAGAAACAATTTAAAAGTCAAAGGAATATCCATAAAAATACTACATAGTTGTCCATTAAAGACTTAGCAGGATTTTGACTGTTATCCTGTAGTACTGGGTACATGCTTCTACTAAAATAATTATTCACTATCTGAAATTCAGATTTAACTGGGTGTCCTCTGGTAAGCCTGCTCCAGTGTCATCTCTTTAGAGTCCTATTATCACCAGATCTAAAGAGCCTCCTTTATCATAACTTATAATTCCTCTGTCATATGCCTATTTTCTTCATAGCACCTGTGAATCTTTGGGAATAGCTTTGTTCACTTTTTTTGTTTACCATTTATTACTGTGTTCTATCTTTACCCTATAAAATGTAGATCACCTCCTCCCTCTTCTAATCCCCATACCACAAATCTACCCCATGTTAGTATCACAAGAATAGGGGCCTTTTTTGTCTTGAACAGTTTCTCTTGCATCTAAAACAGTGCCCAGCACAAAGTAAGTGCTCATAAAATATCTGTCCAATGAATGAATAATGAATACTCTGAATTCACATGTATTTGAAGGTGTTTAGTTAAAATTAGTTCCTTCTAATTTCATAACTGAAGCAATCTTAAAGTTCTGAAAGGAAAGCTAGTCGGACTAGGTTTCTTGTGCAGGTAATATGAATACTATTTATAGTTTCTTGTGATTTACTTTATCACTGTAGTTGTATTGTAACGAGACAAATAAATAAGAACTGTTCATAGCTATTTGCACATGACCAAAAATAACTCTAGGAATACAGAAATAGTAATAAATGCATGCTTATAAAATAGAACTTTATATAGATATAAATCACTGTAAATCCATTTTACCGTCTTAATAGAACTCCTCTGTTTTTCTTCCCAAACACTACTGCTTAACTCAAGTGTGCAATGAACATTTGCCTCTCTGTCATAGGATCCAAAAATGAGTAACCTGCAGAATAAAACAAAACAAGGGAGAGTATCATACCTGTTATATTCATTAAAATTTTTCTTTCTGATTATTATAACAAGAAACAACACATTACTCCATTACTATTATAGCTTTAGTAACAGAAAAAAAAATTAAGTCAAATATTTTATACACCCTCTAGTGGAAACATGAAGTAAAGCTAAAATTTGGTGAGATTCCAGGATATGCTATTTTTCAGCAGCTAAGTCAAACAAATACAAAGTATTATCTACTCATTAGGTAAAGAAATTGACCAAATATGTACATGTAGCAGCAAGAGCTATACATCTTCAAAACAGACTGTTGAATTTAAAAACAAACAAGATGCAGAATAATGCTAGTATACCATCAACTCTGTAAAACACATACACACACTAAAGTGCAATATAATTGCTCATAAACACACACACACACACACACACACACACACACACACACACACTCTTCATCTACTAATGTGACCTCAGGCAAATTATTTAACTTCTCTACGCTAAGCCCAACTCCTCCTCTAGAAACTCTGGGCAAAAATAGTACTTACCTCTGAGAACTGTTGTGAGTAAAAGGCAATGCACACAAGGCATTTAGCATAGTGCCTAGCAAACACTAAGTGCTCAATAAATGTTATCTCTATTATTGTCTTGAAAACAATTGTCAAGGAATACTGGCATCATGTAATTTTACTGTTTAATATTTAGATCTAAAAAAGACATATGAGGTCCAGTCACGAGATTATATAATATAGTTTTTATTGCTGAAGAAAAAAGGTTACTCATGGGTCCAACTTCTATATTATCTATCCTCAAAATCAGAATGTAAATCTGCCAACTTGTTTCAGGAGTAAGCTTGAGAACAGCTTTAACACTAACGAACATGTTGACTGTTACTCTATTACTTTACCTCTCTATGAAGATCATGAGGTAGTAGTGAATAATGAAAAGGTGGATAAAACACATTAGAGAAATTTAAAAAAAACTGTGTCCGCAGGTTAAAGACCTCAAGCAAATCATGTCCATACTCCACAAACTAGACTCACAAACAGAAGTCTGAATAAACTCATGGTGAAAAATCAAACCCAAACAAACAAAAACAAACCCCTAAAATTCTAAGCTCTAAACAATTCTTAAATAATCTTAAAAGGAACTTTAAACTTAGTGCTTAACAACCTATTATCAAAAAGAAGGCAGTCCAAATACATACAGGATTCTTAAACATAAAACACTAAGTTTAGGGAAAAAATGAGAATTTACATTCATTAAAGCTCTGCTGCCACCACCTGTTCAAAGAGTAAACTACCTAAGGGCCTTTACTATCAGGCAGACAAAACTGCACCAGCTAGTGTCCCCAAATTCCTGACAGGTATAAATCTTCAGAATTCAGGAATGAAAAAGCAAAATTGTCAGAAATTCTCCCCTGTAATCGTAAGTTATTCCATATTTTTCACAGCACTTTAAAAATGTTTTTAGAAAGAGTAATAAAAAATTTAACAAAAATTAACTCAAAATTTAACATAAACTAACTCAAAAATTAACTCAAAAGTTTAACAAAAATTAACTCAAAATTAACAGACCTGAATATAAAAGCTAAAACTATAAAATCCTTAGAAGAAAACATAAAAGTAAATCTTTTTGACCTTGGACTAGGCAATGGTTTCTTAAATACAATAAGTACCAAAAGAAAAATAGATAAACTGGATTCCACCAAAGTTAGGAAAGTTTTAAAGTAAATGAAAAAACAACCCAGAGAATGGGAGAAAATGTTTGCAAAACAAGTATTTGATAAGGGCCTAGTATCCAAAAAACATATAAATTCTTTACAGCTCAACAATAAAAAGACAAATAATGCAATTTTAAAATGGGCAAGGAATCTGAATAGGCACATCTCCAAAGATGCACGAATGGTCAACAAGCACATGAAAAGATGCTCAACATCATTAGCCATTGAAGAAGGGCAAATCAAAATGACTTTATACCCACTAGATTGGCTATAATAAAAGAGACAATAACAAGTATTGCTGAGGATATGGAGAAATTAGAATGCTCATACATCGCTGATGGGAATGTAAAATGATATAGTCACTTTGGAAAACAATTTGACAGTTACCTAAAAAGTTAACATAGAGTTAACACATAGCTCAGTAATTTCACTCCTAGGTGTGTAAGCAAGAGAAATGAAAGCATACATTCATACATGCATGCAAATGTTCACAGCAGCATTATTCATACCTAATAGCCAAAAAGTGGAAACAAGCCAAATATCCATCAAATGATGAGTGGGATAAATAAAATGTGTCATATCCATATAATGAAATATTATTCGGCAATAAATGAAGTATTAATACATGCTACATACACTATGAATGAACCTTGAAAAACTTCTAAGTGAAATAAGCCAGCCACAAAAGACTACATATTGTATGATTCCATTCATATAAAATATCTTGAATAGGCAAATTTATACAGATAGAAAGTTATTTAGGGTTGCAGGAGGAGTACTAGAGGAAAATGGGCATTACTGATAATGGTTATGGAGTTTCTTTGAGGGGGATGAAAATATTCTAAAATTAAACTCTGACGGTGGTTATACAGCCCTGTAAATTTATTAAAAATCAGTTACTTGTATATTTTAAATGGGTGAATTGCATGGTATATTAATTATATCTCAATAAAACAATTGAAAGAAAAAATAAGTAAGCGTAACAATAAATAATGAATCATTTTTCTGTGGTAAGGTTACATTTAAAGTTTCAAAGATTTTTTTAAAAAGATGTAATAATAAATGATTGGTTTATTATGATTATAAATCAATATATTGTGACAAGATTATAAACCAATAAAATGTAAGACTGCTCTTTATTTGATACAGATATTTGATAACAGAAAACATTAAAAGGGTACCTTAAAACCAAATAAATTCAAAAACATCATTAATTGTGAAAAATAACCATACATATTAATAACATTCTTAACAATAAAAATTTAAAGCATACAAAGCATTATTTGTCCTATTCAAAGACTTGATCTTTGTTTTGTGACAAATACCACAGAAAAAGTTTTTGTTTTGGATTGTTACTGATTCGTTCAATTGTAATGAGTATTCCCAAAAACATCTCCAGGTTGGGTGCACTAAACAAAAATTATGGGAGGCCATTGTACTGAGCTCCTTCCTGTGCTAGATCCTAATAAGAACAAACCAAATAAGGGGCCCAAACAGACTTATAACTAAATTAGTTGTAGTTTTGTCTTTTGACAGTTCTGGCGGCCATATGAAGGGACATGAAGGAGATTTCTGATGACCCATGACCCAGAGACCTCGAGGAACATGGTAAAGGTGCTGCTGACCCCCCTTTTGGATCCTCTGTCTTCCTCAGGAAGCCCGGAAAATTGTTTTCTTTTGCTTTGCTTTCAAGCTTTGCTTTCTTTTGCCCTGAGTTCCCTGATCTCTGTGGTTTGGGGTTAATCTGTGCTGTGAGAAGGCACTTGACTTTTGGATTTGCAGTAGCTGAGGAGTCACTGGCAAGAGCTGCAGTTTTAAAAGTAACCGACAGTGGTTGAACTAAGTGGTTATTACTGCAGGGGGCACGAACTCTAGTTTTCAGAATTTGCAGTTATGTTGGTTCTACATTCTTCATTTTTCTTGTACACTCAGGTAAGAGAGGCCTCAGGTGTCTGGTTCACAGAGAAATGGGAAAATCATTGGCTAGGTTGATCAGTGGAATGTCAGAGCCAAAGCCATAACCTGACTGGTGGAAACGGGTGAGGCATGTAAGAGCTATTAGAGCAACCCATCACTAAAAAATAAGACTACCATGAGAAGATAAGCCTGGTCAGGGAATGGGTCAGTTAACATAAAGTTGTCCAGCAGCCACAAGAAAATATCCATGCAATGAAGTATACTGTAGAAACATTATAGGACTCAAACTCGTGGCATATCCCTCTTAGGTTTTTATCTTGGCTCTGGGAGACCCAAGACTCAAGGTAAAAATAGGATCCTTAATTTCTGAAGAGCTGAGTACTCAGCCTTCTGACTACACCTGACTTTCACATGTATGAGTATTAAGCCTGAAAGCTGCATATACTTACAGAAGTGGCAAAACCTTATTAAAGATAATTTAGAATTACAATGGCCATATGAAGACCGTTCCAGAAGAACAAGATCGTTCATCTAAGAAATGTACTTGAATCCCAAGCCTCCCAATTAATTGGTAGAGAGAATGGGATTCTCCTTTTAATTGGTATTCAGAAGCCTTAAAGAAACAACAGGATTCAAAAATAGCTTTTATAAAAGATTCATTGCAAAAAGCTAATGAAAAGCTAAAAATGCAAGATAATCCTCATATACCAAGGAAAATAAGACTGGCTTCACTACTACTGCTCCCCTCTATCCTACTTTGCCTGAATATTCAGTCTACTACCGTTTGAACTACCTTTCTTCTCTGAAAAAGCAGTTAAACAGCTTTTTTATAAAATAAAACCCCCTGAAAATTCCAAAATGATCCCCCAGTAACTTATACTTCCTGGACAAAAGCATAGACAATTTTCTAAATCCAGGGAAGAACTTCAAAATTTTTCTGAAGAATTCATGGTCTTAATTGGAACCTATGACCTGGTATTACTGACCTCTACCAACTAATACACTTTGTTGAAAGGGACCTGAGGAAGCACAAAAATGAATGTAAGAGGCAGAACAGTATTCTCCTGAGAATGGTATCAGTGACCCAACAAGACCTACCTGGATCTACTTATGGGCAAGGCAAAGCCCCCAGAATTGCAAATGACTTTCTGAAAGGCATTCCTAAAGTGTTTTTCCATTTGCACTATGTGGTCTATCATCCAGACCTGCGTGCTAGAGAAATATGAAGCTGTTACTGACTTGAAAATTCACTTGGAAGCCCTTTTGGTAAGGCATTCCAGCTTCCCCCAACTTGATGCAGGCTCATAAAAAAGACAAAAGACAGGCAGGGAGCAGTAGCTCTCGCCCGTAATCCCAGCACTTTGGGGGGCCAAGGAGGGTGGATCACTTGAGCCCAGGAGTTTGAGACCAGCCTGGCCAACATGGTGAAACCCTGTCTCTACTAAAAATACAAAAATTAGCCAGATGTGGTAGTGCACACCTGTAATCTCAGCCACTCAAGAGGCTGAGAGAGGAGAACTGCTTGAACGCGGGAGGCTGAGGTTGCAGTGAGCCAAGATGGTCCAGCGTGAGCAAGACTCCATCTCAAAAAAAAAAAAAAAAAAAAAAAAAAGACAAGAGGCTACAGGACTGAGCTAAACTAGTAATCATAGCAGAACATTTCAAGAGGACCTTAGAGCAAAATAAGAAACAAATGACTTCCAAATTATTCCAAAATTTGTAAGAGATTCCTAGAAATCTAATAGTTATCAGTCATGATTTTTGGTTATTATGTTAAATGTTACAATGCCATAGCAATAACCAAATTTCTTTGTCAATTGCTGATTATAATGAACTCTCATCAGATTTTTAGCCATGGCCATTTCTAACTCTTGGTCATCCACAGACAATGGTTTTGGTTCTTCCCTAAAAGCATGTGCAGTCAGTTACAGTCCAAAATTGCTTATTCGTCAAGATTCATTATAAGTACTCTGGAATACAAGTTTCTGATAACTTTAAGATCATACCATTGGCCTGGATAAGAATTTATAAAACTCTAATGAAGAAACTGATGGCTTCATGAAACTGCTAACCAAGATCTGGCAGAATAAGAATAAATTACACGGAACTGAATAAACTGATGAGAATAATTTTTTATGACTTTTTATTTGAAATATTGCTGATTCTTCAGTGTTTTGTTTTCCAGATTTAAAGAAACTTTTTTTTCTTTTAATCTATAGCTTATGGCAGTGTGGTAAAGTTCACTTTTGTGAGCAAAATTTGAAGCCTTTACTTTTTCATCCCATCTGATCCCTCCAGATTTTGGAAACTATTAGTGAGTATTCTTAATTTTATGGCAATATAATCATTTATGAAAGTTTCTTAAGAATCTGTTCTCCTTGTAAAAGGACACAGTTGGAAACACTAGTACCAAGCTTTGACTGGAATCTCGTATTTTCAGATATGACCAGACAACTTCAAGGAATTAAAGTTGACTTTGTGGCGCCATTAACACCTCTGTCACCCCTCTCCCCAACTGCCACCATGGAAAAACTGGCCTGGTACCTTGAATACAACAGCCCAGCCGGTGGTCTTATAGCGGGGTGAAAAATGTCACTTCCTGACAGGCCCAGGAAACTCAGGATATTTTTGGGACCTCAGAGAGGAATTCACCATAATCTATTAAGTACTATAGGTGACGTTTAATGGTGAGCCCTGGGTTTGGCTTCACAGCCTTGAGAGTCTTTTAAAAGTCTAAAAGACTTATTTGAGATTACCTATCAAAAGTTCCAGAAAAGCCAACTTTTTTTTTTTTTTTTGAGACAGAGTCTAGCTCTGTCACCCAAGCTGGAGTGCAGTGGTGCAATCTCAGCTCACTACAACCTCCACCTCCTGGGTTCAAGCAATTCTTGTGCCTGAACCTCCCAAGTAGCTGGGATTACAGGCGCGTGCCACCATGCCTGGCTAATTTTTGTATGTTTAGCAGAGATGGGGTTCCGCCATATTGGCCAGGCTGGTTTCAAACTCCTGGCCTCAAGTGATCTGCCCACCTCAGCCTCCCAAAGTGCTGAGATTACAGGCATGAGCCACCACGCCCAGCCAAAACTATGAAAAAATCCACACTTCATCTGTTAGATTACAGCCTGGTTCACTGTAAGTTTTTATTATCTTCCTATAGACTGAACTGGATCCTGGATTCTTCTAGTTTCCTCCTGATACGGTTTGGCTCCGTTTCCCCACCCAAATCTCACCTTGAACTGTAATCCCCATAATCCCTATATGTCAAGGGTGGGACCAGGTGAAGGTAATTGGATCGTGGGGATGGTTTCCCCCATGCTGTTCTTGTGATAGTGAGTGAGACTCACAAGATGTGATGGTTTTGTAAGTGTCTGGCATTTCCCCTGCTCGCACTCAATCTCTCTCCTGTCACCTTGTGAAGAAGGTGCCTGCTTCTTCTTCCCCTTCCACTATGATTCTAAGTGTCCTGAGGCCTCCCCAGCCATGCAGAACTGTGAGTCAATTAAACCTCTTTTCTTTATAAATTACCCAGTCTTGGATATTTCTTTATAGCAGCATGAGAACGGACTAATACACCTCCAATATCTGGCTCCATACAACTCTCCAACTAAGAATAATAACTGCTCTGTTCTTTAATCCCTATAAGGTGAAGCTAGACAAATCAATATAAATTTCAAGAGACAAGTTTCATGCCTAATGTGTGGGCCACACAGAGTTCAGCAAATCACCCTATGCCATAACCAGAGACATTAAAACAGTGAACCAGGACAAGAAGTTGATAGCTTTGTGCTGTGGATAGCTTTTCCCAAGACTTTGGAACAAGCCTCCTCATCATAATGAGACTCTCACCTCTCTTAATGCCTTGCTTAAGCTTTCCTCTTTTGCTTGGCGCAGGATAATGCTGTAATCAAAATTCCACAATCAAACAGCTTCTGTAGGTAACTTGATGAAGTGCTGGATCTGTCATGTCAAACCCAAATCTTTACATGACCTAAGAGATCCTTTAATATACCTAGTGGTTAACTTTAGCAACATCTCTAATACAACTGTTTGTTCAAATTGAACTAGTGGTCCCTTGCATAGAGTTAGACTTCTAGAACCACTCATTCTCTCTCCTTGTTTTAAATTAGCACAGTCATGGGAAGCTGGATAATAGAATTTCTACCTACTAGCTGAACAGGGAGGCATCTGTGCAGTTGCAGACACTTCTTGTTACAGATGGATAAATACATCTGGTATTAAAGAGACTCAGGTACAAAAAATTAACAAAAGGCGACTTGGTTAAAATGGGTAGACTTCTAATATAGCTCATTCTTTGATCTATCTGATTTGATTGCTTTGGTTCATGGGGACCCTGCTTAGGGAACATACTCCAAACTCTTCATACTATCCTTCTGATAGTAGTAGTCTCCCTATGCACTGTATTCTCTCAAATGCTTTGAATGTTTACATGCAGCCATCCGTGAAACGTCAAATGGTCTCTCTTGGCTGGAACAACAAAAACTCAAAGAAATGAGTGACCATGAGGACCCTGTAATCCATGAATGGCATGTTGAAACTGGCAATGCAGAATGATAGAAACTGAAAGTAGCACTAATGCCCTAAGTTTTGGTCAGACTCTCACCTAGGGGTACTAAAGGATCTCACCTAGGTGAGACTGTGACCAAATGGGGGGAATTGTTAAACAAAAATTATGGGAGGCCATTGTTTTGGACTAAGCTCCTGCATTAGGCCCTAACAAAACAGACCAAATCAAAATACAGTCTCTGTAATGTTAAATGCCATATAAGCAAATAGATGCCAACAGACTAGTTTTTCCTGAAAACAGGTGATTCCAGTCTACCTGAGTTAGCATAAGTCAGTCCCCTGTGCTTTAATCTTTACCAAGAAGTAACTTATGTTAACCAATCAGGTTTTTTTTCTATTGTTCTGTTTCCTTGTTTCCACCTTACCAAACCTACTGTTCTTTCTGCCATTGCCCAGTGGGAGTTTTCATTCTATTTGCAGAACAGAGGCTGTCCTGATTCATGAATCATGAATAAAAGCCAATTCAATCTATAATTAAATGTTATAATTGTCTTTTGACAGGTGTTAGGGTACACATTGCTTCACATACATTTACTTTTTTCCATGATGAAAATATTTTGTCCAATTATTCTGAATTTGGTTTTACCTTTGAAATGGATATGGCTTTTATTAATTCTGATTTTTAGATTACTTTTTTATTCTGTCACAGAATTATGCAACATTCACATCTTCTCTTTACATTTCTTCTGTTGAAGTATATATAAAGAACTGTAGCTTTTAGTGGATATTCAAATACTGGAAAACACCCACAAGCATTATTACCACTCTAATAAAATAACATTAGTGTCTCCTACAAAGGTTAGCTTCACTACACAGAAGCATCTGTCCAATCTGCCAATTTAAGGATTTGTTTTGCTCCAAAACTTATTTCTTGGAAAAAAAAATTATTTCTTAGGATTTATATAAAGTATAATATGTGCACCAACTTATTTATTTTGTTTGCAAGAATGACTCCCATCACCAAAGTTATACTCAAGACTAACTGTTCAGAATGTGATTGTTTCTCTCCTACAAGTTCCAGATTTGGTTTCTGGGACCTAATTCCCTATGTCAGTGCTTCTTGTGCCTGCTTTTGACCTGACATCAATGGATTCCTTCAACCAGCAGTGGCTCTATGTTGACTGTCAAGCTTTAATTCTCAGAAGAATTACAATATTCCCCCCTCCCCTGCATTTTCCTGATTTCTTAAGATCTCTCTTTTTTTATTATTATTATTTTTTTTGGAGACAGGGTCTTGCTCTGTCGCCCAGGCTAGAGTGAAGCACTGTGATCATGGCTCACTGCTGCCTTGACTTCCCAGGCTTAAGCAATCCTCTCACCTCAGCCTCTGGAATAACTGGGACTACAGGCACGAGCCACCATGCCCAGCTAATTTTTTTTTTCTATGTTTTTGTAGAGAGAAGGTCTCACTATGTTGCCTCAAACTCTCTTACGAAAAAGTAACTTATGTTAACCAATCAGTCTTTTTTTTTCCTATTGTTCTATTTCCTTGTTTCTACCTTACCAAACCCACTGTTTTGCCAATGCCCAGTGGGAGTTTTCATTCTATTTGCAGAACAGAAGCTGTCTTAATTCATGAATCATAAATAAAAGCCAATTAGATCTATAATTAAATATAATCCTCCCTCCTCAGCCTCCCAAAGTGTTGGGATTATAGGCGTGGGCCACAGCACCAGGCCTTGACTGATATCTCCTCTTGGTATTTGAAAAACATGGAAATTTCTGAAGAAATGCCAGAAAGGAGTTCCCACTGGAAACGTGAGTACCAGCCAGTTAGGTGAATATAGACGACATTTGCTTTAGCTTAAGGTGAATTATAATCTCTACATTTAAACAAAAGGATAACTTTTCATTTCACATTTCTTACAGTTCAATCTTAAACAAAGACAGGCTTTCCATTCAAATTATATAATGACCAGAAGCAAGCAGTAACAATCACTGGCTAATAAATATTTTGCATAAATATAAACAAACATGTGTTAAATATGCAATAAATGAGTATAAATAAATTTCTACTACTACTACTTCCAAAGGGAAGTCAGTACTACTAAACAAAAAAGCAAAAGAAATTGCCTTTTATCTCCTCTAAATTGCCGTCTATCTCCTGAAAGAGCTATTACCTCTGTGAAATTTCTTACCAAGTTCAAAGTATTCTTTTAAAGGCAAAGGTATGTTGAAACCTTCCAGTAAGCATAAATACAAACACCACCTAGAAACATGTTAAGATCGTTTACATGATTAACCCATTTATACCGGAGGTTGAAAAATTTTTTTGTGAAAAATCAGACCTTGGCGATGACGTTGAGCAGTAGGATATAAATAACTCCCACAAGCTTAGAGTTCCAATAATGGAACACTAGGTATAAATGGATTAAAGATGAAACCAATGAGAAAAGGAAAGTAATTCCCAATGCTCATGCTATAAGAAAGTCATTTCTACAAAGAAAAGTACAAAATGATGGGGCATGGTGGCTCATGCCTGTAATCCCAGCACTCGGAGAGGCCAAAGTAGGTGAATACCTTGAGGCCAGGAATTCAAGACGAGCCTGGGCAACATGGCAAAACTCTGTCTCTACAAAAAATACAAAAAGGAGTTGGGTATGGTGGTGTATGCCTGTAGTCCTAGCTACTCGGGAGGCTGAAGTGGGAGGATTGCTTGAGCCTGGCGGGTGGAGGTTGCAGTGAGGCAAGACCAAGACACTGCACTCCAGTCTTGGTGACAGAATGAGACCCTGTCTCAAGAAAGGAAGGAGGGAGGAAGGGAAGGAAGGAAGGAAGGAAGGAAGGAAGGAAGGGAGGGAGGGAGGGAGGGAGGGAGGGAAGGAGGGAGGGAGGGAGGGAGGGAAAAATCTGTTTTTTTTTTTTCCTTTGGTGACTAAACTTAATTTGAAAGGAAAACCCTGCACTTGAAGGGGGTCAAATACCACTTCACCTGTTGTTAAAAGAATCAGGCTTGGTTGACCTTTTATACATGCTCACCTCCTCTCTATATTCCCAACCCCCCTCAGAAACATCCTCATGCAGAACTCAATTTTCCTCAATTTTCACGACTTCCAAATCTAATCTTCAGTCCTCATTTTCCCCCTGCTACCTCTAAAACCCCAAGAGTTTGCAGAACACTCCTACAGGGAAATCTAACCATGCCTTACTACTTAAGATATGTAAAATCAAATTCATCTGCCTTTGAAATGAGTACCTCTATTTCCCCATCCAGTCCTGGAAGGTAACTGTGTCTTGTTCTTTCTATCCTATAACATGCAGAAAATAATCAGTACTTGCTGAGCAGATCAACGTCAATGGATACATAACTCTCCTACACTCAGATCCTTAGAGTTCCTTTGCCTCCCCTGCCTATTAACTCATCCATATATTCAGTCACTCACTAAACCCTGTCCTAGTTATCCCACGTGTCCCTTCCTTCTTGTTCCTATTAAAACATATCTATGAGGCATTTACTTCCTCACCTTTAACCCACAACACCTCTTAAATTTGTCTCTGGGACTTCAATCTCTATATATACAATTTACTCCATAAATATGCACATTTTTCTTAATATCACCTTCAATAACTTTTCTCTGATTAAAGGATCACCATTGTAACTTCTCTTGCCAGCAAATTTGGCCCTGAGACATCTACACTTCATTCAGACAAGACCTGGAAAATACTTTACAATTCTAATTCTCTTTTATCTTATGGCTCTTTTTCCAATTACCTAAAATCTACAATCCATCTAGTTTCCTGAATCTTATCCATGAAGTTTTCCATGGTAGTGTCAATTCAAAAATACTTTTTCCTTGCACTAAGTTTCTATACTACCCATCACTTAAGCCTCAATTCAAATTAGACAGCCTCATATAGTTGACTTATTTATGCATTTGTTTTTGTCTGTTAGCCCTAACTACATTTTAAGTTTCTAGAGGGCAGACACTGAGCTCCATATTTTTTGTATTCATCGTAGTATTTAGACAAAATGCATTCACTATTGATGTTGGAAAGACTGGTGGTAGTGTGGTGGAAGCAGTAGTGGTGGTGGTAGTAGCAGAAATAGTTGAAGCAGCTAACATTTACTGTAAGGACAATTCTAAGAGCTTTACATTTATTATTTCATTTAATTTTCACAATTACTCAAGGAAATAGGTAATGGTATTACCCCTAATTTACACATTAGAAAATGAACACAGAGAGGTTGAGTAACATGCCAGACATTGCACAGCTAATAAATGAAAAGTCTGGACTATATAAGTTGAGACAAATGGGTTGAAAAAATTTTGAAAGAGAGAAAATAAAGGCAGTTGTCTTTTGGTTAAAATTACAAATGCTACCCGTGAATAAAATACATTAAAAGCACTGATTATCAAAGACACAATCCTCTTTTAAATTATTATTTTCTGACCACAGTTCATTTTTGCTGAAGGTATTGTATGAGTGTATAGCATACCAATACAGCATTTAAAACATTTTGGAGTATGGCATTTTAAAAAAGAGCACTGGTATTATGTCAGCTGTGTTCCTACTTAGTTTTCTTACATTCTCTTACAATTCAGACATCAGAAGAATTAAAGAGCTATATTTTGTAGTATGAAACAGTAGTGGAGGTATACAATTACAAAAGAAACAAGGCTATTTTCCAGCATCACAACCTTAGGGAAAAGGATATGGGGAAGAAAAGAGAGCCTACATAAATACAGGAGGGAGAAATTCCAAATTTGCAGTCTTTTGAAAAGTCTGCCTCTAGTCAAAAGCAACCTAATTATACGGAAGATTCTTTATATCTGAGAGAAATGTATAAAAACTAACGGAAAACATCACTCAACTTTTATTTAACTGCATATAAGATGTTAAATAATTAATAAATGCAAACATAGTCTCAAAATCTTTACAGGAACTTGGTTCATCTGGTAGAGTTATGCCTAAATTTACACAGAATTACACAGCTTTAAAGACTTTGAGGAATAATATTCAGCAACAATTCCAAGTAATTCCTTCTGGTTTTCAAAAGCATTCATTTTGAGTGCAACTTTTCCTTTATACAAATTTAAATGTCTTATGCCTGAGCTAATTTCCTCTTATCGTTCCCTCCAAGAAAAAAACAAAAAACAAAAAACAGAACTTCAGCCTTCAACTAAAAAATACTTCATTATTATACACATTTCTCCATCCCTCGATCTTTCTGAAAAGGTAATTTATTTTAAAAATAATGCCCTGCCCTAAAAAATGTTACAATTTTCCAAAACCTACACTTCTAACATAATATAAAAGTTTTCAGAACCAAAATAATTTTTATTCTGTAAGGGTTTTTTTTTTTTTTTTTTTTTTTGAGACTGAGTTCTGCTCTTGTTGCCCAGGCTGGAGTGCAATGGCGCCATCTTGACTCACCGCAACCTCCGCCTCCTGGGTTCAGGTGATTATCTTGCCTCAGCCTCCCGAGTAACTGGGATTACAGGCATATGCCACCACGCCTGGCTAAGTTTTGTATTTTTAGCAGAAATGGGGTTTCTCCATGTTGATCAGGCTGGTCTTGAACTCCCGACCTCAGGTGATCCACCCACCTCGGCCTCCCAAAGTGCTGGGATTACAGGCGTGAATCACCACGCCTGGCCTCTGTAAAGTTTTTTTAAAAAAGGATATGGGCCAGGCGTGGTGGCTCATGCCTGTAATCCCAGCACTTTGGGGGGCCAAGGCAGGCAGATCACTTGAGGTCAGGAGTTTGAGACCAGCCAGGCCAACATGGTGAAACGCCCGTCTCTACTAAAAATACAAAAATTAGATGGGTGTGGTGGCGGGTGCCTGTAATCTCAGCTATTTGAGAAGCTGAGGCAGGAGAATCACTTGAACTTGGTAGGCATAGGTTGTGGTGAGTGGAGATTGCACCATTGCACTCCAGCCTGGACAGCAGAGTGGACTCTGTCTCAAAAAAAAAAAAAAAAAAAAAAAAAAGGGGATATGGAGGCAGAATAAGATAACAGAAAGACCGAGGAACTCTGGAGTTAGACAAAACTAGATTCAAATTCCAGTGGTACTGAGCAAGTAACTTGTGGATCTCAGTTCATCTATAAAATGGATATAATAACACTAATCTTGTAACGATGCTCTAAGAGCTGAAAATAATACATGCAGTAAAGTACCTACATATTGCAGATAATAAGTACAACTAATAATACAATTATTTGTAGAGCCATGCCCCAAATATCTTCAGATTTAGCTAGATATTTTTCCTTAAAAAAATGTCAAAACATTAAAATAAAGGCAGGTAATATAAGAAGCACCCACATACCAACTACTCAGGAAAAAAGCAAATATTATTATTTAGCCTCATTTGCTTCAGGTGGATTTAAGTTATATTCAAGCCAAAATAACCAAACAAATTTAATCAAACTCAATGCTAACATAAACGGGATTCATAGACAAATGCAAACTGGAAATATTTTGAAGTTATAACTACTAAAATAGCTCCTCTTGTAAATGAATTTCAAAATTTCATAATATTAGCAGCCTTCCCTACAGAACTAAACATTTCACTTTAAAATATGAACATAATGCTATTTAAAGGATTAATTCCCTATTTCTCTCTTCTGTCAAACTTCTACTTTGAAAATGCTTCACCTAATATGTGAATCAAGACCAGATGACAACACTAAAAAAGAATTTAATCACATAATTAAATGATTTTCTTTGCCTTAAAAGATCAATGTATTTCTGGTTCCAGAATGATGTCAAGAGTGGTGACACAGTTTTGAGTCTCCCCAAAACCCCCCCATAAAAGGACAAAAAGCAATGAGGGAAACAAAAGCAAAATTCAACAACATGTACAACAAAATGAGGTGGCCAATACTTTAACAGTAGTGAAGTGTCACTCAAATTCTTCCACAGATTGTAATTATAAAAACTGGATAAACAAAATTTTTTATCACATTTAAAGACAATGAAAACCTTCTGAATGTAGACAGAAGCCTGCTTTGAGATTAATATTTCAATTATCAAAAAACTGCAGCTGCAGGCAGGGCACAGGGCTTCATGCCTGTAATGTTGGGCTTCATGCCCAGCACTTTGGGAGGTTGAAGCTGGTGGGCTGGATGAAGCTGGTTGAAGCAGGAGTTTATGACTAGCCTAAGCAACAGGATAAAACTCTTTCTCTACTAAAAATACAAAAAATTAGCCAGATGTTGGTGTCACATGCCTGTGGTCCCAGCTACTTGGGAGGCTGAGGCGGGAGGATCGCTTGAGCCCAGGAGGTCAAGGCTGTGGTAAGGCATGATCATGTAACTGCACTCCAGCTTGGGTGACAGAGCAAGACCCTGTCTCAAAACAAAACAAAACAAAACTGACTCCTAATGTGCTCAGATACTAGATTTAGCAGATCAAGGCTTCAATGCAGCCATTATATATATATATGGCTCAAAAAACTGACAGAACATTTGTTCAAAGAATTAAAGGAAAACATAATGAGTGAACAGATAGGAAATATCAACATAGAAATGAGACACTATACAAAACAGAAATTCTAGAGCCAAAAAGTATAATAAATGAGATTAAAAATTCACTAGATGAGCTCAACAGAAAACTGGAGATAGGAGAAGACTCAGTGAACCTGAAATTAGACCACGTGAATTACTCAATCCAAAGTACACAGAGAAAAAGAATTTAAAGAAACAAACAAATAAACAAGCAAACAAACCAAACCTCAGGGGACCTATGGGAAAATGAAACAGCCCAACATAATATGTAATTTAGAATAAGAGAGGTGGGAAAAAAAGGCCAAAACAATTGGAAAAAAAAAATAGCCCAAGCTCCCAAATTTGGTTGTAACCATTAATTCATATATCCAAGAAGCTAACTGAAATGGAAGCAGGAAAAAACACAAAGAAAGCTCCCTCAGACATGGTCTAAGTGCTGAAAGCCAAACATAAAGTAAAAGGTTGGAAAGCAGCCAGAGAAAAACAACATGTTACATATGGGGGAAGAATAAAAAAAGTTGCTGACTTCTCATCAGAATATGGGATTGACATAGCCAAAGTGCTGAAGGAACAGATGAAAGGAAAATAAATTTCCAGGTAAGCAAAAAATGAGTTAATTTGTTGCCAGCAGACCTACATAACAAGAAGCACTAAAGGAAGTTCTGCAGGATAAAGGGAAGGAATACCAGATGACAATTTTGATATAAAAGAAGAAATAAAGGGCAACAGAAATGGTAAATATACAGTAAATGTAAAAACAACCCACCACTACCAAAGTTTGTTCTTCTTTTAATTTCTTTAAAGGACAGATAACAGTGTAAGGCAAAAATAACACCACTGATGGTTTAATAACCTATATACCATCTGTATATCTTTTTGTACAGTTCTGGGTTTGCAGAAGCATGTTAATACTCTATGTATTTAAAAGCGAAAATCAGTAAGGATGAAGAAAAGTAGGAGTGGGGGGAGACTAAATCTGAAAGCAATCTGAAACAAA
Source organism: Homo sapiens (assembly GCF_000001405.40). NCBI lineage: Eukaryota > Metazoa > Chordata > Mammalia > Primates > Hominidae > Homo > Homo sapiens. The sequence goes on from NC_000010.11 coordinate 117,335,658, forward strand.
CCCAACTATATTTTAAATGAACACCATAATCACACCAAAGAGGAAAAACAAGTCTAAATAATTTAAGAACACAGTACTTGACCCCCACGTTCCCTCAACCTTGGGCAGGGTAAGGGAGAATTACAAAGGAATCCTGAACTCTTTGTATTATGTTTTTTGTACTTGTATGGACAATGCATTCTGAAACTAATTAAGATTATTATAGGATTGAGCAAGTGAATAAAAGTGCCGATGTTGTTGAGAGCCATGAAGTAAGAATTGGAGGAAGAACCAAAGCAAGGAACAATTCCATAAGGATGAACTAGAGTTGGAGGTACAGGTTTGCACATTCTTTATCCAAAATGCTTAGGACCAGGAGTGCTTCAGATTTTGGAATATTTGCTTATATTTAACGAGATATCTTGAAGATGAGACCCAAGTCTAAACACAAAATTAATTTGTTTCATATACACTTTATAGCCTGAAGGTAATTTTATACAAAAATATTGTTTCCTGCATGAAACAAAGTTTGTGTACAGTGAACCATCAGAAAGCGAAGGTGTCAGGTGTGTATTTTCTACTTGTGGCATCATGTCAGCACCGAAAAACACTCAGATTCTGGAGCATTTGGGATTTCAAATTTTTCAGATTAAGGTTGCTCAACCTGTATCAGGTGAACTCATGATTTCTAAATTACGTATGTGTATGCATGTATAAGTATTGATACATGAATATATTTCCTAAGTGTCCTCTGAAGAGGTCTATGAATATATGAAGTAGCAATAAACACACCCAACATTCAGATCTTAGTTTCTATTAATAATACCATCCTTTACTAAAATGAACTAGGCAGCTAGTCATGGTGGAACATGCCTGTAGTCTCAGCTAAAAATAAAAAGAATTGGGGCTCTTTGGAAAAATAGTTGTTCTGGGACCGTGGCAGAGAAGATAGAAGATAAATGCAGAACAGCTTGTTACATCAGAAAGTAATGAAGTCTAAAAAAAAAAGACAAAAAAAAAGATGGGGTCATATCACACACAGGATCCATCTTGAGGGGGTTCCTACTGGCCAAATCTGAGACAATTTAGACACCAAAATAATTAAGGACAGTAAAGAATTATAACCATTGAGAAAAATAAAAATTCATGGGTCAATGGTGACAATAAACTAAGAATAAGGGAAGACTCTTGGTAACAGAATAGAATGTCAACTGCTGTGGTTTTCTGTATTTGTGTTATATTTAACATTTAAAACTTAAAAAAAAAAAAGATGTAATATTGAAATCCAGTGAGACCAAACACCCTAGCTGGGCATGGTGGTGGGCGCCTGTAGTCCCAGCTACTTGGGAGGCTGAGGCAAAAGAATGGCGTGAACCCAGGAGGTGGAGCTTGCAGTGAGCCGAGATCATGCCACTGCACTCCAGCCTGGGCCACAGAGTGAGACTCCATCTCAAAAAAAAAAAAAGTAAGATCTAACTAATCCGTAAAGTTTCCTTTGTTGTCTTAGCTGCCAGAAAATTGATCTCTTTTCCATGTTTTTGATCTAATATATCTTCTGCTTAAGTATACATGCTTACATGTTTTCTTTGCAAAATATCTCAAATATCTTCTATCCTTCAAGACAGAAGATAGACTATAAATTATAAATTTAAAAATAATCATCTTAACAATCTGATTGCAACACTAATGTGAAATAATTTCACCTACTAGCAGTACGACAAACAGCCATTGCATTCATCTGTGGTTAAAAAAAATCAGCTTTCATCAACTCAAAAAAACATGCAATTGTTCAGAATGACTGCTTTTTAAAAAATACTTGACAAAAGCAAAATGTGAAAACCAATTTTTACACATAATACTGCCTTTCCACCCTCAAGCTATTGCTTGGGAAATGCGAAACAGTATTTCAGATAGTTAGGAAAGAACCTCCCTTTACAATATGAGACCTTTTTAAATTAATAAAATTCAAATTCCAATTCTCACAAACAAATATGCAAGAAAAAACATGCCGTTTTTTCTTCACAGATACTGCAACGATTATCTTGAGACATAATAATAGAAGCTACATCTACTGTAGGTATCCTATGTGGTAGGCATTGTGGGTAGTTGCCTATCTCTGATTACAATTACCAGCAAAGTAGCTCCCTTGCCCATTTCACAGATGTGTAACTTGCCTAGTGACACTATATAAGGGCATATGGCTAGATTGAATTCAGTGCTTTCTATAACTCAAAAGTCTATGTTATTCCACTATATATGAAGTAATAAGCATTTTTTTGGTCCTTCTTCCAAAAAGAAAGCACTGTTATTTGTGCTTTCATTTTCTCTAGTGCCTCTTTTTGCTTCAGGAATTAGAATAAAACACACAAGCTGAATTTATATTCAAAATGAGATTAACTATTGAAATAAAAATGCTTAGGTTACAGTAATATGTCCTCTTTAGTTTGAATCCTATAAACTTAAAATCTACCTGAACAGAGTTTTCTGTTTTTATACTAAGAAAAAAGTTTACAAGAAAAACAGTAACGTTAAGTTTTTAACGGAAAGAATGTTAGGACTTAATACGAAGACAAAAAAGCAGGAATGAGTTGAGACTTACTCTTGCCTTCATACACAAATAATTCTTAAACTATGTAAACAATAACACAGTACCACAACACTGAGTAACTTTTACATGCTTGGATTTGTAAAAATGGCACAAGGAAATCTCTAGATAGTGTACTTGTTCCCAAGATGAATCTATCACTTGGGGAAAGGTGCTGGCTATATAACCTAAGCCGACAGTTACATAACTTCAGATATTAAAAAAACTATTTTTCCATGTTTTTCCCTTCAGCCTAATTATGTACTCTCTAAAAATACTGGACCTTAATTTTTGACCAGGTGATAAATAAAACAACATAAACAAGTTTATAGTGAATAGCTGGGCTATCACCTTGACCCCTGTCCATCATCATCAACCCAGTTCCTTCCCTGTATACCCCGTAAAAATTCTTATTGGTTTCTCACTTATCCTTTCAGAGATTTATTACACAGTTCCTTATTAAAATAAAGTTGGTTACAGGTACTTCACACATTCTAATGCTTTTCTTTTCATTTATCTCAACATGACCTAAAGAATGTCTGGCTATACTTTCTCAATGCCTTACATGCAGTCTTTGATTCCTGTAGCAAGGCTTTAAGTGAGCAGTACTGCAGGTAAAGCAAAAATGTGGTGAGCAAAGCTGACACCAAAGCTAGTGGTTAAATAGCTACAAGCTAACAGACATATAATCAATACCTAACCCCACCAGCAACATTAAAGCAAATGAACTAGTATTTTCTAAATACCTAGCATAGTACCTATTATATGTATTTTACTGTACACTGCAGTTCCTTTTACAAAATAGACAACATATTTAGTCTTTTTTTGATTTAAAAAAAAAGGGATTCTTTGTCTACCAGGCTTTCTAACATAATGATACACAATCCTGAGTCACCCTGGACTTAACCAAAAAAAAAAAAAAAAAAAAAAAAGGATTAAGTATATTATTAGTATACTCAAAACTAACCTAACCATTAGCAAGGACACAAATGTATTAGATATAAAATATAACCTGTGTGCTCAAGTACTTAATTGTATTATGGGTTGGAAATAAAAGTCATATGTACCAAGTAAGTGGTACAAACAAGTGTCAAAGAAATGTAGCCGGAGGATAGTATACTTGTACTTGGAATGATCAGGAGATACATTAAGAAGGTAGCTTTTGAACCAAACCAAGAAAGGTTGGCTTCATGGAGCAGAGAAGGGGGCCAAGAAAGCAGCAGCTAGTCAACACAATGGGCTTGGTGCTTTAAAATATTTAAGTAGGGAATGGCAAACTACAGCTTATGGTCTAAATTCAGTCCACTGCCTGTTTTGTATAACCTGTGGGCTATCAAGGGTTTCTATGTTTTTAAATGGTTGAAAAGTATCAAAAGAATATTTTATAACATATGAAAATTACAAAATTCATATACAAAGTTTTACTGGCACACAGCCACATTCATTCAGTTACACATTATCTGTGACTGCTTCTGTACTGCAAGGCAGAGTTGTATAGTTGCAACAGAGAGCATGTGAATCACAGCCTAAAATGTACTATCTGGCCCCTTAGAGAAACAGTCTGCCAACACCTTGCCTTGGGAAGGCCTATGTAGCTGAAGCACTATGAATGAGGGGCTGGGCGGAGGATGGTGAGACTGAAGCTGGAGAGCTAAGAGGAACCTGTGTGTCATGGTGAGGATTTGGGTCCACATCCTAAGAGTAATGGGGAAGCTGTTAAAGAGTTTTAACTAGGAGACTGACAATTAGATTTGCATTTTGAAAAGATCATGTTGGTTGTTATATTGGGGACCAGAGGACTAGGAGATATGAAGGCTAGTATAGTAAGTAGCTCAAGCAAGATATGAATATAGCTTAAACTTTGGTGCTGGCAAAGTAAAACAAGGAGGCTAGGCAAGATTATTTCTGAGATCGCTTCCAGTTCTAAAACGCTAAAAATCCACAGTGGTTCAAAGTCTAGTTTTGCAACTTTCCTGAGTGTTTCCAATTATCACAAACAATTCTCAAAACCGTTTTGATAGGTGACAAAGATTCTTTGCCAGGCCAAACTTTACTGAGGTTTCTGAATCTTCTGCTAGGCCCATCTGTCCAGTTTCAGCAAAGAACTCTGCGAAGTCAGTTTAGCAAGAAACCCCTATCCTTGATATCTGATCGTCCTTTACCATCCTCCATGATGTCTGATCACCCTGGACTGTTTTTAGCAAGAATCCTGTTAGGTCGGTTTAGCCAAAATCCCCTTTACCCTTGATGTTTCCTCTTAGTAAGTTTCCATCCACTGATCCCACATTGCTTCTTGGCTATAAATTTCCACCTGCCCATGCTGTATTCAGAGTTGAGCCCAATCTCTCACCCACTTCAAGACCTCACTGCAGTGGCTGCTATACTTATCATGATGGTCCTGAATAAAGACTTCCTTACTCTGCTTTAATAAGTATCATTGAGTAATTTTCTCTTTAACATAGGAACAGCTCCCCAGTAGGTAGAATAAGTTAAAAATAAGCCAACAGAGCACTATGCATCTAAATAGTGTCAGAATGACTACAGAGTAAATGCCTCTCCCTCCATTAAAACACTTTCTAAAATATGATTTATATTTGTTAAAGTTAGAAAGGACTACTTTTATGATATTAAATTTACAATTAAAGAATTTACAGGTAAATAATATAATTTAAATGAACACACAACACAAATACTGCTTAGGAATATTTTCACTGCACTGTTCTTCCCGTAACTTAGTAATGACAAAACAAAGAACATACCTGCTACATTCTAACAACGTAACTTTAAGACGGCCTTCAGTAAGTGCCCATTGTTGTATATGGATATGCTCTTCATCTTCTTCAAATCCTTGCAAGGTCTGGTATGGAAAAAACGGCTTAAACCTGACAAAAGTAAAGATAAGTCTAAATGTCTGAATAATAAACACCACAGTTTAAAGCATAACAAAACTCACCTGTACAAAAACACAAAGCAAAATGAACACCTAATACTACACGTGCTCTACAAAACCAAAGCTTACCACACTCCCCCATAACTGGCAGCAAATGGTGCCTTCGCTATGGCACCCATAAGTCTTGGTTTTTTGGTATGCCCCCATTGATAAGGCAAGAGAGAACAAAGAAAAGAAAAGCCTAGAGGCAGCAAGTAGGCCATGAAGTTTAGGTGGGGCAGGAGAGAGACTGTGAACCAGATGGGAAGAGTGTTCCTACGGTACAAGATCAAAATTCAGAATGCATGTTCCATGGAAATAATATACAGTCCCCTTGGCATCCATGGGGGATTGGTTCCAGTACTTCCCAAGGATACCAAAATCCCAGGATGCTCAAGTCTCTAATATAAAATGGCCCAGTATCTGCATTATACACATTCTCCCATATGTTTTGAATCATCTCCAGATTACTTATAATACCTAATACAATGTAAATGCTATGTAAATAGTTGTTAAGACTATATTGTTCAGAGAATAATGACAAGGAAAAAAGTCTGTACATGTTCAGCGCAGATTAAATTTTTAAAAAATATTTTCAATCCACAGTTGTTTGAATCCATGGATGTGGAACCCATGGATGTGGAGCCCACGAATACAGAGAGCTGACTATTACAGACAGTGATTAGTACATGATAAAGATGACTGTAATAGCAACATCAATAACAATTAACACAGCAGAGATATTCATTAGAGATGTTTACTATTTGCCAGGCAGTATGCTAAGTGCTTTTTACATGCATTATCTTATTTAATGCTCACAACCCTGAAGAGGGCAATATTATTGGCTCCTCTCTCCAGATGAAAAGAATGAAGCTTAGGAAGGTTAACAAGTTTGTTCAATTTTACAAAGTGAATGGCAAAACCAGAATTCAAGCTAGTCTAATTCCAAAGTCCAACTATATAACACCTCAGTTACCTATGAATTATCCAGGCATTCATATGCTCATCACTAATATTGTTGTTTTTATGGAGAAGTTTGTGCTGAGTTATAAACTGTAGGTTTTAAAAAACTTTTAATTTAAAACACAACTCATACTCCTCCATTAAAGCTAAAGAAAAAGAAAATGAAAGAAAATTGGGCTTAAAGCCCCGTGGTTTTCAATTCACCCTACACATTGTCACTAGCCATGATATCTACTTGCTCAGAAAGTTTTAGTGGCTTCTTACTGACCACACAAACAGATACACACACACACACACACACACACACACACACACATAGTCAAAAGTTCTTGGTTTCACATTTAAGGTCCACCACAATTAATGTTCCTTTTTTATTTTTTCTTGAGACACAGTCTTGCTCTGTTGCCCAAGCTGGAGTGCAGTGGCACGATCTTGGCTCACTGCAACCTCTGCCTCCTTGATTCAAGCTATTCTCTTGCCTCAGCCTCCCAAGTGGCTGGGATTACAGGCATGCACCACTATACCTGGATGATTTTTGTATTTTTAGCAGAGATGGGGTTTTGCCACGCTGGCCAGATCAGTCTTGAACTCCTGACCTCAAGTGATCTGCCTGCCTCGGCCTCCCACATGGCCTCCCAAAGTGCTGGGATTACAGGCCTGAGCCACCACACCCAGCCCACAATTAATCTTTCTAATCATATATTCTCTTAATATAAACATTCCAATCTAGAAAGTCACCTCATATGCCCAGAAGACACTATGAATATTCCTGCCTTCAGGCCTTTCATACCAACTGGAAGTTTTCCCAGATTCCTCAAAGCCTGTCCAAATCCTCCCCTCTTTCGCACTCGGCCATACATGCTGCTTTCACTCTTCTCTATCTTGCAGTCCTCTAAATTGCGTGCATTTATGCCTTAAAATGTCAAATATGACTTAGTCTCACAATTCTCTGCATCCATCATCCATACCTGACGGGATGTTTCACACACTATCAGGATTTGAGTATGTGTTGCGCTGATTTACAAAGAGTTAACACTAAAACTGAAATAAACACTTAGAAAATATCAATGGCCTACTATAGTTTATACTGAAAGACACTAATAGAGGGGGTTAAATGCTGTTTTATGTTTTCCCAGTAAGTAAGATTAAAGAAAAAAATTTTAAGGAAATGTTAAGTAGGGACACAGGCGATGCTCAGTGGTTTTCTCCTGTTTCTAAACTAGTATGGAAAGCAGAAAGCCCCCCGAGTTTCTCCCAACTAAAACGCTAATTTGCATTTGAAGTCATTTGATTCAGACAGACTGGCACCAAATTTTTAGAGGGAAAAAAACTAGTAACTAAATTTATATCAATATAATGTTGTAGCTGGGTGCTTTTAACACACAGTCCTTATGACTCCTGAAAAACATATAACTGTTAGTTTGTAAAAAAATTATAATAACCATATACACTAGAAACTTTGAATTTAATAATCCAAGTTAGCTAAATCACAACTGCTCTAAGAACCAGCTTTCCTTGTCAAATATAAAGTCAAAATTCAATAAAATTTCTCACAGGAGTATGAGTTGAATGTTATATGGATTAAAGTCTAATTTGGATTTACTAATGCTCAGGGGGTTTTGCTAAGAGTGTTTATGCACAAAAATAATCTAAAATCAGAACAACGTATTCCATTTTAAATGAATATACTAAACGGTGGGATAAAGCATGAACATGTTCGGCAAGCCAATAAATAGAATCCACACATTAACATTCTCTAAGAACCTTTGGTTTTCAGAATTTTTAAGTCCAAGTCTTTAAGTATCCCAAACCCATAAAGAATCCAAACAATGAAGCGGGCTACCTCTATCACTTTCTTTTATCTTCCTATTCCATCATATCATCTTTCTTCAAAATCCATTAGTCTTTATTTCCTAATTAACCTATTAACTCAAAAATGTCAGTTTTCTCACTCAGGCTTCCCCGCAAAATAGTCTTAACAAACTACCTGTACTTCCTCCTGTAGAAAACTTAAAAACCCAAACTAGGAAGATCGACTTTAAGGATGACAGTATGAAGAGCCCTGCTGATCTGCTCCCCAGTGAAATTCGTGAAAATTATTTTAAACCAAAACATTTACAGCCTCTGGAAATGATCTTAAGAGCAAACAGCAAATTTTAAAAATCTACTTAAGAAAATCGATGACAATTTGATAAGAAAGCCAAGTCTGTGGTGTTTGAACCCTGTTTCCCCAACAAGCTCAGGGTGGCAGATTCCACAGTAGACTTCTTTACTTTTTATTTTTTATTTTTTTGAGACGGAGTCTCAATTTGTCGCCCAGGCTGGAGTGCAGTGGCACAATCTCGGCTCACTGCAAGCTCTACCGCCTGGGTTCACGCCATTCTCCTGCCTCAGCCTCCCGAGTAGCTGGGACTACAGGCGCCCACCACCACACCCGGCTATTTTTTTGTATTTTTAGTAGAGATGGGGTTTCACCGTGTTAGCCAGGATGGTCTCTATCTCCTGACCTCGTGATCTGCCCACCTCGGCCTCCCAAAGTGCTGGGATTACAGGCGTGAGCCACCACGCCCGGCCACTCCATGCTAGACTTCTATTGCCAGGAACACAGGGCTCCCTCATCCCACAGCTCTCATTTGGTGGGCTTTCTCCCTGGGAAGAGGAGGATAGGAACATTTCTCATCTAGCCTCCAGTCACCTGTTACTTCCAGGCAAGTTCAGTCAAGAGGAGGGGGATTCCTTCATTGACCCAGCCCCCACTCATGGAATGGAGGGTCTACCTTGGGCACAGAACACTGAGAATACTGGAACCCTGACTGTCTTGCCCTGGCTCATGAGGAAGTGGTTCCATAGTGGGAAAGGCAAGCCAAGAGGACCTCTGGCTACTCTATCCCCAATCTAGCACTCAGCTCCTAGAGTTGTGGTATCACCCAGAGAGAAGCCTGCAGTAGTCTTCACCCCTAGCTCCAGAGACCTGGTTCTGATTATTTTGCTAAGGGGAAAAGAAGAGGGAGAGGCAAGTCAGAAAACAGATTCTCCCAATCTCTTCCCAAAGGAATTAATTTCATTTACAATAGTCTGTGAAGAAGCTCAAACCTAAAGGCACTACCAAGAACAATGGAGGTTGTGGTGAAAAGCACATGTCTTCCTTCATGGATTTAAGGAAGACATATCCTAGGCTGCAGGCTGCTGTGCCCCTAGTAGAGAAACAGGAAATAAGACAGCTGGGAGGAGCCCTCCTGGGGTGAGAGCAAATATCAAACACTTACCCAAGAAACTATTCCTGAAGGAGGCACAATTTGACTGGAATAGTTTGTAGAACAAGTTATGCCCCTGGGTGCTGTTAAAAGCAATAAGAGAGTTAACACTAGTGGGGGGGTAAGTGGGGTGGGTGTACTGTACTAAAATAATCCAGGCAGTCAACCTAAAAACAGACAAGCAAATATCAAGCTCTGGGTAAGGGGAGACCAGTATCTAAGGTTGCTACAATATATTATCTAAAGTGTCTGGTTTCCAAGAAAAAGTTATGAGACATAAAAAGAAACAGAAAAGTATGACCCATACAGCAAAAAACAAAGAAAAAACAAAACAAAACAAACAAACAAAAAAACACACACTGCCTGTGAGAAGGACCAGATGTTAGATTTAACAGAAAAAGATTCAAAATTTGTGGAGACCAAAGTTCTTATTTACAGAGGAAGCCTTCAGGTAGTAGGCTTTGGAGAGAATAGGCTGTAAAACGTTTCTTATCAGACTTAAAGTCTGTGTCCATGTTAAATATGTCTCCATAAATATGTTCATGGAAAAAGACATGATTAAAGAACTATAGGGGTTCAGCTATAGGGGTTCAGCCAGGCGCGGTGGCTCAAGCCTGTAATCCCAGCACTTTGGGAGGCTGAGGCGGGCAGATCACCTGAGGTCAGGAGTTCGAGACCAGCCTGACCAATATGATGAAATCCCGTCTCTACTAAAAATATAAAAATTAGCCGGGCGTGGTGGCATGCACCTGTAATCCCAGCTACTCAGGAGGCTGAGACAGGAGAATCGCTTGAACCTGGGAGGCGGAGGTTGCAGTGAGCCGAGATTGCACTCCAGCCTAGGCAACAAGAGCGAAACTCCGTCCAAAAAAAAAAAAAAAAAAACTATAGGGAGGTATTATGACAATGTTACACTAAATAGAGCATACCAATAAAGAGACAGGAATTGTAAAAAAAGAAACTATGAACCAAAAATAAAATTCTAAGATCCCCCCAACCACCTGATTGAATTTCCTCCTCAGCCAGGGCACTCTTAAAATTTAATCTGAAAGAATGGTTCAAGCCATGATGGCAAATGGGGGTCGGACATGCCAGAGATGCCTCATTATACCCCTCCAGCATTAATAATACAGGAGTTATTAATAAGTAATTTTTAGGCAGCAAGAAAGGGTGAAAGTTCTCGGTGGAATTTTCCTTTAATAAAAAGCAGCCCCCAAATCATTTCTTCTCTAACAGAAAGCAGCCACAGAAGTCAGGCATAATATGCAAACTAGGAGCTTTTATATGTAAATGCCAGCAGCTGTACCTGGAAGCCAGGTACATTCAGTATGGTGTCTCCTCCCCTCTTTTCCTTGTCTCCTGCCCTCTTTTCCTTGTCACCACTTTTAGGGTTTCCTGGCAGCCTCCTGGTAAAACCACGTACAGGCATCATGGCCGCCGCCAGGTGGAGGCCTCATTTGTATAATAAAAGGCTAGGGTGGGAGGGCCAGTCTTTTTGGGGCTATGTAAGTAGCACACCTGGTCAACCCAATCCCCTGAGCCCTATGTATATCAATCACTGCCCCCTCAAGCCTCTGTACAAAACCTATGGCTTTTCACAGTAAATCAGAGACCCTCTTTTGAGCTACCCACTTTCTTAGCATGAGGAAGCTTTTTCTCTCTCTTTTCTTTTTCTATTAAACTTTCCTCTCCTAAACCCACCCCTCCTGTGTGTCCCTGTCCTGAATTCTTTCTCCACCAAGACCAAGAACCAGGGTATATACCCCAGACAATGGAACCGTTTCATTAACATCAACACAGATGCGGGACAGGCCTCATTATACCCCGCCAGCATTAACATGGACACAGACTTTAAGTCTGATAAGAAACGTTTTACAACCTATTCTCTCTGAAGCCTACTACCTGAAGGCTTCCTCTGTAATAAATAAGAACGCTGGTCTCCACAATTCTTTATCTTAATTCAGACATTCCTTTCTATTGATCCCAGGTTTTAGATAAACTCAACCATCAACCAGAAAATTTTAAAATCTACCTATAAGCTGGAAGATGCCCCCTAGAGTTGTCCTGCCTTTCTGGACCAAATCAATGTATTTCTTAAATGTATTTGATTGAAGTCTCATGTCTCCCTGAAATGTATAAAACCAAGCTGTACCCCTGATCACCTTGGGCATATGTTCAAAGGACCTCCTGAGGGCTGTGTCACAGGCCATGTCACTCATATTTGGCTCAGAATAAGTCTCTTCAAATATTTTACAGAGTTTGACTCTTTTTGTGGACAAAAAAAAATGGAAATTCTGTAGTCAAAAAGTACAATAAGTGAAATTTAAAAATTACAGAGGAACTCATAACAGTAGATATGAACTGGAATAAGAATTAGTGAAACACATAATGGGAGAACCAGAAGGAGAGAAAAGAGACAAGGGAGTAGAAAAAAATACTCCAAGAAATAAAACACACAGCCAGTACGTCCTGAAGCCACAAGGATCAGATATTATATGACTCCATTCATATGAAAACCCAGAATAGAGAAATTTATAAAGACAGAAAAGTACATGAGGGGTTATTTAGGCCTGGGGGTAGGTAAGGGATTAGGAGGGTGATAGCTAAAGGTTATGGGTTTTCTTTTTGAGATGATAAAAATGTTCTAAAACTGACTGTGGTGACGGTTGCACATATATGTGAATACAGTAAAAGCCAATTAAATTGTAAGTTTTAAACAGGTGAACTGTATAGCATATGAATTATATTTCAATATAGCTGTTAAAATGAAAACCAATAACCCTGCTACCCAGAAATAATTTTTCTTGTCACTGCTTTGATGTATAACTGTTTGGTTAGAATTGTCTGATAAAATAATAAAATCATAAAATGGCACAGCTTCGTTAAAACAAATTATAGTCCCTTTTAATGCTTATGAAAAACAAACATTTATTGAATGGCTACCAAACCAGATGCTGACTGTATAAAGCACTTTATTTGCTCACTTAATCCTTACAACCTCCAAACTAGGCATCAGCACACTGTACATAAGGAAACAGTCTTAAGAGATCTCAGTAAGAGATCTAGTAAATGCTAGAGCCAAAACTGGAACTTGTGTTAATCCGCGATGGCTTCCATAACAGAACTCTGAGTGGCTCTGGAGGCTGGAAGTCGAAGATCAGGGTACAGACAGGGTTGGGTTTTGGTGAGGCCTTTCTCCTTGGCTTGGCGATGGCTGCCTTCTCACTGTGTCCTCTCACAGACTTTTCTCCATGTGCATATTCCTGTTCTCTCTCCCTCTTCTTATAAGGAAACCAGTTTTATCAGATTACTGCTCATCTTTATGATCTCATTTAATTAACCTGATTACCTTGGTAAAAGCCCTATCCCAAACAGAGTTACACCGAGGGTTGCAGCTTCAACATATTTTATCAATTTTTGAGGGGAGCACAATTCAGTCCATAACAAAACTCATATGTAACTCCAGAGCCTGATCTACAGTCCCTTAACTGACTTGATTACCACCCTGTTTTCTGCTGGAATACAAGTTCTAAACCAAGTCTGAAGGAGCCTGACAAAGGAGGCTCATGGTTTTACATACATTACTATATTTGATCCTCACAATAACATGGTATGGCAAGAATCGCAAATCATTTTCTCATTTCACACAGTCCAGGGAGAACAAAAAGCTTGCTGAAGACTACATCCTTTTATTAAAAAGTTACATGAAGATACATGCCCACAAAATAAGGGCATAAAGCAAGACTGAAGAAAGTGATCCAAAAACAGTGGATCTAAGTCAAGAGGGCAACGATGTCCTAAACCCAGATGACTGGTGTGTGGCAAGCCAAGAGAAAACCCATTTGGGGCAGGTGATGAAAGCTCCAGGAAGGAAATCTCCAAGAAATAAGAGGAAATAAATAGGAGAGGCAGAAGGAATGAGAAGGGAAAGGAATACTCTGAAAATCTGAGTAAGGCAATTTGATAAGAGAAAAAAATATTGCTTTGAATGGCACCAAGGTAACGAAACTGGAATATAGAGAAGGAAACATAAATCTGCATATTAGACAGTTCTGTAATAAACAGTACTTACATAGACATAATAATGTAAAAACACAGACCAAGGAAGACTAACTATGAACAGAACATGTTATCAATTATATAAAAATAAGGATGGCCAGGTGTGGTGGCTCATGCCTGTAATCCCAACACTTTGGGAGGCTGAGGCAGGCGACCTGCTTGAGCTCAGGAGCTCGTGACCAGCCTGGGCAACATAGCCACACCCCATTTCTACAAAAAATACAAAAACCAGCTGGGCATGGTGGTGCGCTCCTGTAGTTCCAGCTACACTGGAGGCTGGGGCAGGAGGATCATTTGAGCCTGGGAGATCGAGGCTGCAGTGAGCTGAGATCACAACACCGCACTTCAGCCTGGGTGACAGAGTAAGACCCACTCTCAAAAATAAAAAAATAAAAAAATAAAAATAAATAAAGATGTAGTTCAGTGAATGAATGGAAAATAGTTAATATAACTATATCAAAAAAGGCAAAAGAGAAGGTGAGAGGATATTACTTAGTGAAATCTTTTATCTTCTGAAGCCAATTAATAGTCACTGTCTAAAGCTTCTGACTCAAGGATAGCTATATGACACTGTTTAGTAATACAGAGGTAACACCACTATTATTAGTATAGCTAACACTTATTACATACTTAGCATGTGAAAGGCATTATATTAATTAACTTAATTCCCAAAACAATTCTTTGAGATAGGTACTATAATCAGCCCCATTTTGCAGATGAGGGAACTAAGACACAGAGAGGTTAAGTAACTTGCTCAGGGATACACAGCTAGTAAGTGGTAGAACCAAAATAAGAATCTAGGTAGTCTAGCTCCAGAATCTGTTTTTTTTGTTTGTTTGTTTCTTTTTTTTTTTTTTTTGAGACGGAGTCTTGCTCTGTCCCAGGCTGGAGTGCAATGGCATGATCTTAGCTCACTGCAACTTCTGCCTCCCGGATTCAAGCTATTCTCCTGCCTCAGCCTCCCAAGTAGCTGGGATTACAGGGTGCCCACTACCACGTTCGGTTAATTTTTGTATTTTTAGTAGAGACGAGGTTTCACTGTGTAGGCCAGGCTGGTCTCGAACTCCTGACCTCATGATCCACCTGCTTCGGCCTCCCAAAGTGCTAGGATTACAGGTGGGAGCCACCACGCTTGGCCCCAGAATCTGTGCTCTTCATCAATGCCTCTTAAAAGTTGTTAAAAATAGAAATACATAGGCCGGGCGCGGTGGCTCACGCCTGTAATCCCAGCACTTTGGGAGGCCGAGGCAGGCGGATCACAAAGTCAGGAGATCGAGACCATCCTGGCTAACATGGTGAAACCCCGTCTCTACTAAAAATACAAAAAAATTAGCTGGGTGTGGTGGCAGGTGCCTGGAGTCCCTGCTACTCAGGAGGCTGAGGCAGGAGAATGGCATGAACCTGGGAGGCAGAGCTTGCAGTAAGCAGAGATTGCACCACTGCACTCCAGCCTGGGTGACAAAGTGAAAAAAAAAAAAAAAGAAATATATAGTTACAAATGATTGCTTCTGAACAGTCTAGCTTAGGGCAGGAAAGTAAAGGGTTTAGGGAGGCAATTGCTGATTTTCATCATAAGTTCTTCTGTTTTGATTTTTAAGTTACATGCATTAAGTAAAATGAAAGAACAAACAATGCCAAATGTTGGAGAGGATGTGAAACTGCTGGTTTCGACTATTAAAACTACTTTGAAAATTGTAGTAATATCTACGAAGCCAGTAGAGATCCACCCTATGACTCTGCAATCCTACTCCTCGATATACCCAAGAGAAATGTGCACAAATGTTCACCAAAAGGCATATATAAGAATATTCATAACAACACTACCCATCAACAAAAATGGACAGACTGAAGTACATTCACACAGTGGAATACTCCACAGCAAATATAATGAACAAACTACATCTATATGCAACAACATGGATTAATCTCACAAACTACTCTTGAGCTAAAGACAACAAAAATGAGTACATACAGTATGATTCAATTTATACAAAGTTCAAAATCAGGCAAAAAACAAACACAAAAAAATCTAAAAATAGTGTTAGAAGTCAGGATAGTAGTTACTTTAAGGCAGAGGAGAGGAAGGTAGTGACTAGGTAGCATATGAGGAGCTTCTTGGTTGCTGGTAACACTCTGTTGCTTGTTTTGAATGCTGATTTCATGAGTTTGTTCACTTTGTAGACATTCATGGAGCTGAATTTTCTGATTAGTACACTTTTCAGGTGGTGAGTTATATTTTAATAAAAATTTAAAGAAAAAACATGTTTTTTTCTTTTTTTGAAGACAGGGTCTTACTCTGTTGCCCAGGCTGGAATGCAGTGGTGTGATCATGGCTCACTACAGCCTTGACCTCCTGGACTCAAGCAATCCTTCTGCCTCAGCATCCCAAGTAGCTGGCACTACAGATGCAGGCTACCACACCCAGTTATTTTTTGTAGAGGTGAGGTCTTGCTATATTGCTCAGGCTGGTCTTGAATTCCTGGGTCCAAGCAATCCTCCTGCTTCGGCCTCCCAAAGTGTTGGGATTCTAGGAGTGAGCCACTATACTTGGCGTGTTTAATTTTTAAATGTGCATTATTTTACTAACACTTAAAATACATATTTAAATTTATACTTACAAGAGAAGCCAAGCCTTCTTCTCCTGTGTAGATCTGACAGAACCTTTTGTAACATCTAAAATATGTCTTACTTTAAGATGTCTCTTCAAGTTTGCCCTATAAGCATGCTGAATACCAGCTGGTGACATCTCCATCACATGGCAGCAGTAAAACTGTTTGCAAACACTGGGATCTTTAGAGAGAAAGGTTTTACTACAACCCAATGTAAAAATATGCAGAGGTCTAGATCTACTGTTAACTGCAGTTGAGCGTTCATGTTCTTGCTCAAGTGATAAATCTGCTAGAGTTTTCAGATCAATACGAGAAAACTTTGTGACAATTAGAGCTAGTGAAAAAAGGACATGGCTTTCTCAGTATGTAGTAGCAAGCCTCTATCTCTAGAAATATTTAGGCAAAGGTTAGATGAGGATTTGTCAAGGAGACAAAAAAGAACACAAAAAAGAAGACAAAGGAACACAAAACTTAGAATCATATATACATATAGATTGTTGTCCCAACTTCATCACTGATAAAGCAGGTGATATTGGAAAAGCCTTTTATCTCCTTAAACTTCAATTTCTTGTTCAAAAAGGGAGGAGGGGAATAATCCATGCTTTTTGTTACCTATGAGAGGGTGAAGTAAAACTAATTCATATGCCAGCATCTCTTAAACTACAAGGTATTGTAACCACCTGAGGGGTTCTTCCTGCCCACAGCATAAAGACAGACCATGGTGGCATTGTCATAGAGGAAGAGTTTAATAGACACAAGGCTGGCCACACCACAGGGGAGATAAAATTTGTACTCAAATCACTTCATTCAAAGCTCGTAGGGGAAGGGTTTTTCAAAGGCAGTTTGGGGAAAGGAGTGGGGTGGCCAGCTAACAGGGGCTTGCTGCTGATTGGTTGGGGCAGAGATGAACTCATAGGGGGCTGAAGCTGTCCTCCTGTGCGCCAAATTGCTTCTGGGTGGAGCCACAGGAGTGGGGTTGTAATAAGTCCTAATACAATGCCACTTTTACTAAAACACATTTCCTAATCTGCATTATAAAGCTGTATAATTTCTATAAAGTCACAGTATCTCACTTTTAATGGTTTACAGAAAGTAAATTCTAGTGTCAATCATGGGCTCTCTATTAAATTTACTTTAGATATCTAAAACAGTACCTCTTGTCTTCCAAACTATTTTGTCTAGGTTATGATGCTGAGTAAAATATAAAGAACTCAATAAAATTGTTCAGCAATTCTATTAATACTGACTTGGAGTCCTAGAGGGAGTGGAAATCAATAATAATGGTAATGACCTTCCCAGTGCAGTTTGATGGCTCTCAAACTTTCTCGAATTATTCCAGTCCTCCAAGAAAGACCCATATTAGTCACAATATTTCAGAAGGAAGGGGTAAACAAGTCCACGTGATTAAAAGATCAACGAATCTCTCTCTGTTCTAATAAAAATCCATGCTAGTTTATTATAAGGAACACTATGAAAGTCATTTCTGAGAATCTACACCTTGATGTTTTCTAATTTGGGGATATAAAAAAATGATCCTAAGCTAGATGCTAAAGAATTATTACTTTTTAAAGGTTTGATAGTGGGATTATACTTTTTTAAAAAAAGACATATTGATGTTATACATAAATTTTGTTCAAAATAATCGGGGGAGGGGTGTGTGGCAAGATGAACAAGAGTGGCCCTAAGTTAATTACTGGCTACAGACAAAGCAAGATGAGGGAGGGGGGTGAGGGGGCGGGGAGTGGCATTTACTGAACTATTTTCTTGACTTTTAAGTGAAGTATTCCAAAATGGAGAATTAGAAAAATTGTTCTGTATACTAAAACAATGTGGTTTCTGTCTTCCTGTTTCCTTTCTCTAACTTCCCTGAGCAACATCACTTGCTGTCACTGCTTTTATCACAGTTCATACATTGGTACCTAAAAATGAGTTAAACACCCTTTCTTCAAACTTGCGCCCTTCTCTCCTGCTTTCTCTTACTGGCACCACCAATTTCAAAGACACCTGGAAACCTGGAGGTAACCTTTTATTCCTCCTCTTCTCACAACCAATTAGTTCTATCCCCATTCCCTCCATTCATTTACTGTTAAAATGTCTCTTCTGTTGTTCTGTGTTCCTCATTGGCCTGATTTAGGTTTTCATTGATTGCGGAGAATGTTGGGATTTCTGAAATTGTTTCCTTTTCTTAAAAAGAGTACTTTCTTAAACCAAAAACAAAGCCTCTACCTTTTGTTGTTGTAAATAAAAAGCTACCTCACAGGACTATTACTAAGATTTAGAGTTCACACATGTGATACACCTAATCAAGTTCGTGGCTTGTTATAAGCACACAAATTCTGGTTTTCTTCTCTTCTTTATGCCAAAGTATTACTATTTCAAACTAGCTGTCTCACTGAATCTCTGAAGATCCTACAAGGCCCTCATTCTGTTCCTTTGTGATTTCTCCTACCCACAATATGCTCCTACCCCATCTCCCTATGTCTAAAGCTAAACTATTCTGTAAGTTACCTCAAATACCATCTCACCTGTTTAACAAATAGGCTTATTTGAGAATAGAGAGACCAGTCAAAGTTAGATACTCAGATACTGCAGTCATATTTCAGGCTCAGGAATACACACAACACTATATCCTTTCTAAGGGAGAGAGTAGAACGAGCAGCTATAAACAGGCAATTGAAAGTCCTATATGGTTTATGCTTTCAGTCGGAAAGTTTTGGCTCTATCACATTAGGAACTAGCAAACATAAATGTTCTCTTCAAATTCTCCTACACCAAATATATAAACTAGATAACTCAGTGAGTGATCATTTTAAAAATGTTTCTTCATTTATTATGCTTCAGAGCCAGTACTCCTTCAAATAATGAGTTCCCCCTGCTGCATTAAAAGTGTAATTTTCAAAACCTCTATTAGTTGTAACTTTTATGGCATACATTATCATGCAAACTATGGCACGCTAATACAAAACTAAGTGTAAGCCAGAAAGAAAACAAAGTACAATGGTTCCAAATACTCCTCATTTTCTGTGTTGGTAAATTATGAATCTAAATTTCAAATTTTCAATTTTACTTAGATACTTCAATTGATATATTAAAAGGACAATTCATACACAAGGCTCCTCTATATTCACCAAGGTTAGTACTGCTGTATTATTTCTCCTGAGAAACTGTACCTGCTAAACACTCTGATGCCATACGTAGCCTAGTCCTATGTGGTAAGCTTTTCACTGCTGAAGTTCTACTTCAGTCGCCTCCTGTCTGTAACCCGTCCCTCTCCTCTACCATCTGGTAATTGTTTCCTCTCCTGTGTTCTAAAAACACTTTATATATGCTCTGTTTTACTACTAGCCATACTATTTATGTATCTGTCTCCATCTTTCTAGCTTTCCTGCAAGATCCCCTCCTCCCAACTAAATTGTGAGTTGCTTGAGAAAAGAAAGCTTACATTTATAGACAATATAAAATAGAGGTTAAGAACAGACTCTGGAGCCACACAGCTTGGCTTGGAATCCTATTGTGTCACTTCCCAGCAATATAACCTTGAGCAAACTTCTGACCTTGACCAAAATCTGAGACTCGGTTTCCTCAGAGGCAAAAGGAGGATAACAATTACACCTACCTCACAGTGCTGTTACAAGAATTGCATTGAATAATGAAAAGCACTTAGTACCATGCCAGCAAACACTCAATAGACATTAGTTATTATTACTGTTCAGCTTAAATTCCTGGTATTTAACAAAATGCCTGGCACTTAGTATACCTCCACTGAAATAAAGAAGCTATTTAATGATATGACATATACCTTAAAATGGCATACTTTTAATTATACTACAATACTTACATTTTTCTGAAAATTTTCAGAAGTTTCTAGAAGAAATACCATTAAGGTGTTGTTATTACCATTAAGGTATATCATGTTAATACCATTAAGGTATATCATGTTCTATTTTTTAAAACTCTTAAGTTATTATATGCTCGTTTTTCTCTTTTCTAAGACCATAGGAGCCTTAAGTCTTAGAAAAGATAGTATCTGGATCTCATTCATCTTTAAGTCATTATAATGAATAGATCCAGATCTCAGTCTTATTTGTAAACTATCAACTGGTTGATTCCATCTTCAATCCTTTTTTTCTTCTGTGAACTGAGAGTTTCCTACAGATTCTATTTTTAGAGACAACTGTGTTAAATCTAAAATTGCCTAATATTTAACATAATTTTCTTAACATCATTTAATAAGTTAAAAAAAAGATGCTGAGACATTTGTGACATAAAAAAAGAAAAATAAGAAAAATTTAAAAAGGTAAAACTCAATTTGAAGGTTATCATTAAAATTTGAAAATAACTAAAGCAAGACACACGAATAATAATTTATTCCACAGAATGTTAGATGTGAAAGGTAATTCCACAGATATCCAAATATTTAAATCGTTTCATTTTACTGATGAGAAATAGTCTAATTAGACCTGAGTCTAAAAACACAGGTACACTCACATCCAGGCCCATGCTCTTTTAGGAATAAAGTTATATTTAAGTGTTCCCAACTAACAAGTTAACCATATTTGGCAGAAGTTATGTTATTGTTATTCCTGACCGCATTTACAAAAGCTAAATTAGGCTGGTGTGATAAGAGAATAATATGTACTTTACTATTAATCTATCATTAAGGTAGGCATCCTAATCTGGGGTTGGGGAGAGGGAAGTAATCAATGAAAAACAAATGAGAAAAAGAAAAATTAAAAATAACCCAGATAGCTTATAAGTCCGGGGTAATTACTGAGATTACTGTCTATTTGGAAAATGAGTTCATGTTGGCCTCCTCAAAGGCTTTGGAGTACACCCTGCTCCCCCTTTCCATGATATAGAATCTTTTATCTTTCAAAAAAACTAAGGTATTTTAAAATATAGCATGTTATTAAACTTACAACTTTTCATACAGACAAACTTTTTTTCCCAGTAAAAGCAATAAAGCAGTAAAATGTTTAAAGATAAGAAAAGAATGCATTCAAGTCTAAATTAATTTACAAAGTTGAAATAAAATACAAGATAATGCTTATGTTAAACTGCTATTTAGAAAATCAGGTCTGGGCACGGTGGCTTACGCCTGTAATCCCAGCACTTTGGAAGGCCACAGAAGGTGGATCACTTAAGGCCAGGAGTTCGAGACCAGCCTGGCCAACACAGTGAAACCCCCATCTCTACCAAAAAATACAAAAATTAGACAGGCGTGGTGGCATGCACCTGTAGTCTCAGCTACTTGGGAGGCTGAAGCACGAGAATCACTTGAACTTGGGAGGTGGAGGTTGCAGTGAGCCAAGATTGCACCACTGCACTCCAGCCTGGGTGACAATGAGACCCTCTCTCAAAAAAAGAAAATCAGGATACATTGTTGAACAGAGCATGATCACTGCTATGTAAAACAAACCAAAAGTCTGTGATTAAAAAAGCCTACAGGGGCCAGGCGCAGTGGCTCACGCCTGTAATCCCAACATTTTGGGAGGCCGAGGTGGGCAGATCACTTGAGGTCAGGAGTTTGAGAACAGCCTGGCCAACATGGTGAAACCCTGTCTCTATTAAAAATACAAAAATTAGCCGGGCATGGTGGCACATGCCTGTAATCCCAGCTACTCGGGAGGCTGAGGCAGGAGAATCACTTGAACCCAGAAGGCAGAGGTTGCAGTGAGCCCCGATCATGCCACAGCACTCCAGTCTGGGCAACAGAGCAAGACTTCATCTCCAAAAAAAAAAAAAAAAAAAAAAAAAAAAAAAAAAAAAAAAAAAAAAAAAAAAAAAGGCCTACACGATCAGGAAAATGTGAACACTATTTGGATACTTAATGACATTAGGTATTACTGTTAAAATTTATTTTATATCTGATAAAAATATGAGCGCTACATACTTAGTATTTACGGATAAAATACGTGGGATTTGCTTCAAAATAATCTATGGGATTAAGGAGGAAGGGGAGTTAGAGATAAACAGGATTGGCCGTGAGTTGACAACTGTTAAAGATGAGTGACAGATCATGACTGTTCATCTTACTATTCTTTTTACCTTAGAACTATGTTTGACATTTTTCATAATAAAAAGTCAAATAAAAAAGTTCCCTGTTTCTTAAACTGTACACTGGATATGATATAAAAGCATGAGTTCTGTAATCTTAGAGACCTGAGTTTCAATTTGAGTAACTCGTTTAACCTTTTGAATCTGTATTTATTCATTTATAAGTGAAATATCACTATTATGGTTTTACTGTGGGGATTCAATGGATAATATGCATATAAAAGTATAGTATTGTCCCAGACCAAAGCAGTAGTTCACTAAATTTATTAGGGTGGTGCAAACGTAATTGCGGGTTTTGCCATGTAAAAGTAATGGCAAAACCACAATTACTTTTGCACCAACCTATAGTCATCTTTCTTTCCCCCTCATCTCCCCTCTCTTCTTTCACGGACTATAAAATAGTCTTTTTTACTGATTGCTAACCCTTAGTCCTCACTGCTGCATTCCACACCTATTTTTAATACCCACCATCCCTTATCTTTCTCTTCCCTCTGATTTTCTTCTCCTGGGTTTTCATTTATTTATTCCTCACTTTCAGCTTCTTTTTGACAAGGCAGTTTAAAGTAGTATTAAATCAATACTTGGTCTTGAATTTTGGCTCTAATACTTACTAGCCTTGACACCTTTGGCAAGTTACTTGGAACTCTGAGAGCCCCAGTTTCTTCACCTATGAAAGAATACTAATAATAATAGCACTTATTTTATAGAGCTATGTAAGGACAAGGTAAGAAATTTCTCATAAGGCATCTGGCCCAGTGAGGTGCTCTAGAAATATTTCCTATCAAACCTTCTATTTATCTATATTAAGGATGAATTCCTACAGACATGTCAGGTAGCAAACTTCTTCCCTTCCACAAGGAACCACTTCAGGACTCAGCATTCACCATGTATGATGGTCCCAGTTCATGGCTGTTTGTCTTCCTTGGGCTTCAGATTCCATGTGGTGATGATTTCAGTCCCATGCTAGTTGATTTTTTTTAATTGCGTCCTTTGTGACGATATCATTTGTTAAGTGCAAGAGAACAAATTAACAATAGTCAGGGCCAGGCGTGGTGGCTGATGCCTGTAATCCCAGCACCTTGGGAGGCCGAGGTAAGTGGATGGATTGAGCCCAGGAGTTCGAGACCAGCCTGGGCAACATGGCAAAACCCCATCTCTACAAAAAAATACAAAAATTAGCTGGGCATGGTGGAGCATGCCTGTAGTCCCAGCTACTGGGGAGGCTGGGATGGTAGGATCACTTGAGCCCAGGCAGTTGAGGTTACACTGAGCCATGAGTGTGCCACTACACTCCAGCCTGGGTGACAGAGCGAGACCCTGTTTCAAAAACAACAACAGGCTAGGCACGGTGGCTCATGTCTGTAATCCCAGCACTTTGGGAGGCCGAGGCGGGCGATCACTTGAGGTCAGGAGTTTGAGACCAGCCTGGCCAACATGGTAAAATCCCGTCTCTACTAAAAATACAAAACATCAGCTGGGCATGGTGGTGCGCGCCTATAGTCCCAACTGCTCGAGAGGCTGAGGTGGGAGAATTGCTTGAGCCCAGGAGGCAGAGGTTGCAGTAAGCCGAGGTCGCACCACTACACTCCAACCTGGGTGACAGAGTGAGACTCCGTCTCAAAAACAAAAACAACAAACAAACAAAAAGTCAGCATGCCACCCTACCTTAGTTATCACCTTTGTATTTCTGCATCAAGTTTTATAACTAAGCTTATATTAAACTGAATATATTAAAAAACTGACTTCAGGAAACCCACAGAAAATTGTTCTATTTATGAAATTCCTTGAAGTGTACTATTCTTGGGGAAATTATTTTAATTTCTGTATTCCTACAGAGAAAAAAAAGTATTCCTGAATAGTTATGAAATTAATAAGAACAAGGATAACAAATACTGTTACAAAAAAAAAATTTCTCCTGCTCATCCATATACCCTCTACCTAATATAAAATGCTCACTTTTATCCAAGCTCCTATTTCTGCATAGAATGATCAAGGTCCAAAATGCCTCACAATTTTCTAAAGCAGTTTTTATATATATGCTGAACAAAAGAGTGATAATCAAGGCTGCAGGTCCCTCATAATAGAATTCAAAGAGCTGGTGACTAAAAGATGAGTCAATGTTAACTGATAGCCTATGCACCACAGAGGTAAGGTATCAAATGAGACGAGTTGCTCAGGGAACCAAAGTAATTCTCTTGACTATGTCTGGCAAATCTCATATCTTCTTATGTTCATCACAACCCACAATGTAAGGGTCCCTTACCATGGCCTATGATCAATTAAATCAAAATTCCCAGCTTTCACATAGCTAAAAAAATGGGCAAATCCAAACTCTTATTCTTTCCTGTTCTTCTCTACCAGCCCCCCAACACACACCATTGAATGAGAATATAAAAATGACTACTTTGAATGTTTCTAGCACTTCTGTAAATTATGCAACTCTGATATATGTCCTTGATTCTCACAACTCATAACAAGGTACAGTATAATAAACATTATTTGACAAAAGAGAAAGCTAAAGCAGCTTGTCTGTGATCACATAGTAAATGGTGCAGTCAAAACTAACAAATCCACTCAAGTAAATGGTGCAGTCAAAACTGTAACAAATCCACTCAACCTTGTGTCTTACAATACCAAGGTGTACAAGCAATACTAGATAGCAACTGAAAATAACGTATATATTTAATATTTATTAAAGCTCACTGAGAAAGTGAGGCAACAGAGGTGGCTCCTTTACATATGGTAAAAATAAATAAACTTCAGGTCAGACTAGCAGTTCTTATACATTTTGTTCTTAGGACTCCTATAAACTTTTAAAAATTATTGAGGATCCCAAAGAGCTGCTGTTCATGTAGATTATGTCTATTAACATTTTGCATATCAGAAATTACAAATGATAAAAATTTTAAACATAAGAATATATAAAGCTCACATTCCATTAGCTGTGAGGGTGATGATGTCACCACATATTTAATTTCTGTAAAATTTCACCATATATTTGCGAGAGAACAAGGGTGAGAAAGGCAGATAACATTTTTGTATTATTATGAAAATAATTGACTTGACTTGGTAGACTGCCAACCCCTCAAAGGTCTGGAACATCCAAATCACACTGTGAAAACCACTGAGTCAGACTGTAACGACTGAGTCGGGGCAATTTTTTTTTAAATTCTAAGCTGTAACCCATTACCTTACTTTAAGTATATTTTCTTACTACTAGATTTTTAAAAATACCTTGAAAGGACTGTGTTAATTTACTCCCTGTTAGCACTAACTGTCTCTGCAGTGTGTTGCTCTCTGGACAAAGATGGTGTTAAACATTTACTGAATAAATTGAATCTCTTCTGAAGTCTTGTGTACTCTGGACAAAGTTGGTGTTAAACATTTACTAAATAAACTGAATCTCTTCTGAAGTCTTGTGGACTGAAAGAGAAAATACTTTAAAGCAAAATTACCACCTCCCTACTATGGTAAAGACATGAACACTGAAGTTTATGAAACAGAAATCTGGTCTTCTTTAGCTAGTCAGGTGTTATCAAACAGACAAAAATTCCTTTCCAAATATGAAGGGACAACAAAAAATCTGAATAAGACAAATAAGGAGAAGTTAACATAGCCCTCCACGTCTATGGGTTCTGCATCCTTGGATTCAACTAACCCCAGATTTAAAAAAAAGACTGTTGCGACTGTACAGAACTTGATGTACAGATCTTTTGTTTTTATCATTATTCACTAAACAATATAGTATAAGAACTATTTATATAGCATTTACATTGTATTAGGCATTATAAGTAAACTAGAGATGATTTAAAGTATACAGGTGGATATGCTTAGGTTATATGCAAATACTATGCCATTTTATATCAGGGACTTGAGCATCTGTGGATTTTGGTATCCTGGTGGAATGGGGAGGGTCCTGGGACCAATCCCCCTTGGATACTGAGGGATGATTATGTTTTAAGGTTATAACTGTCCAGCTTTCTCCTAATTTTTCCCTATCCAAATAAAAGTAAAACATCTTCTAAAGTACATAAATGATTTTAATACTATCTGTATCTCTGCATCTGCTAGTTTATAAGTACCTAACTCAAGTTAGAACTTATTAAAGGAAAATATTTATTGGGTAAAGTTTGTATATCCTTATTTGAGAGAAATCCCTACATTAAACCTATGCCAGGATAAGATGCAGCCTGCAGAAATAACAGCAAAGTGAATAAATAATGCCATCTTACATTTACATAATTCTTTTCTCTAAGAACTTTTAAAACTTTAGATTTTTCATTTCATTTAGTCTCAAAATAACAAGTTGCATGACTTGTCCAAGGATATACTAAACCAACAAATCAGTAGTAATTCCAGAAATAAAACAGGAATTCCTCATCTTCTAATCCTACTCTTTCAGGGCAAGAGGCCAAGTTACTTTCAAGAGAAATCATAAGAGCACAGATATCCTCTAGACTCTAAGAATAATTACTAAGAGTCTGGTTCAATAAATGCTTGTTGAGTGGCATGATTCTCAGAATTACTGAGTCCAAATTCTAACTCTGTAGTATTAAAAAGTTCAAATATTTTGAGTAAGCAACTTACTCAAATATTTTAAGTAGATAATTTACTCACTTTAAGTAAGCAATTTACCTAAAATGGGCTATAATTTAGATACACTGTATTCACTGACTTTATTTTACAGACTGTCAAGAATTTTCTCTTTACATTTCATTAATCTCAAAATATCTGAAGTAAATTCAGTTTGTACTACCTACCACTCCAGCATTAGTAAACAAAAGGACACATATTTTACTACAAATATTTAGTTAAATTCTTCCCATGGCAAGAGTTTGCCATTCTGGTCTCGATTAAAATCCAAAGAATTAAACATTAAGAACTAACA
Organism: Homo sapiens; assembly: GCF_000001405.40. NCBI lineage: Eukaryota > Metazoa > Chordata > Mammalia > Primates > Hominidae > Homo > Homo sapiens. Next base: position 117,362,980 of record NC_000010.11, read on the forward strand.
AGATTTCCAAACACTGAAATACATCAGATATCACCTGTCCTAAATTTTACAGAAAATAATATTATACTTAGTAATGGTGAGAACAAAATAAGATTTTCAGTGCATTATAAAAATAATTACCATACAAATGAAATTTGCTATAACAGAATGGCTTTTATTTCAGCCACAGCAGGTTTCAGAGAACAAAAAGCTTTGAATTATTTATTTGCATGACCAAATGACTAAGGTAGTAAGACCGTATAGTCAGCAACCACATCCTTAGTAATAAGTGTTAGTATAATCCCGTATGTATGAAAGACTATTGTGTAAAAAGGACAAAAAATTAGCATACAACACAAACACCAGATGCACTATTCAGAAGATATTGATGTCTCCATGAAAGTTGTATCTGAGAACAGAACATAGTCATTTTTCAAAATAGAGATTCTTGTAGCCAGCTACTAAATAGAAATTGTATCTCCCCATCACTACTACTTAAGATTTCACAGCAAAAAACAATAGTTATTTATAACTGTAGATTATACAGGTAGGATATTATAGAGTTCATCCTAGGAGAAACACCATTTCTAAAAAGTAGTTAGGTTGCAAGTTTCTGTTTAACTGGTAACTTATCAATGACCCAAGTATACATAATAGATACTTAATACAGAAGAATAAACCCAATGAGGATATTTTTACTATGCTATTCAAGCGTTTTTGTTTTTAAGTACATACCAACAAGAACTATTAATGCTGAGAAGTGAAAAATTTTCTAGCTTTTCTATCAAAGTTATGCAAATCAAAGCCCAGACATTCAGTACCCCACCCACCATATCATCAGCTCCATTCTCCCTACAATACATGAAGAATTCACAGGCGTAAATACTCAATGTGCTGATTACAGAATAAAGAGAAATGTGTTCTAAAGCATTGTGATTTCATGAAAATTGGCAATTATATACCAGACTAGTAAAAGCAAGTTTGTTATTCTATATCAATCCAAGAAAAGTATAATCTACAGTTTATCAATATTGACCTTTCTAAAAATGTGAAATTAAAAATCAAGTCTTCTGGAGTGTCAGAGAAGGTTGCAAACACATATGTGTTTAGTATTTTGTTTGTGTGTGGGAATGGGAGAAGGATACTGTGCCAGTATGGTGCCTGGACAGACCTTGAATTCAACATGGTTAACTGCTGGAGACCACAATCAACATAATTTATGGGTGTGTGTGTGTGTGTGTGTGTGTGTGAGAGTGTGTGTGTGTCTGTGTGTCTGTCTGTCTAAAAAGAAGCCACTCTCCTTCAATACTGATTTCACAATAGTATGGGTTACATGTCATCAGCCTGTGTTTATAATGACAACGTTTAACCATAAAAAATGTTAAAATATGTTCCATAAATTATGTTTAAGAAACCAAAATCACAGCACTCAGATACATGTTTCAGTTCACTTTGTGAAAATTCATCACTGTACATTTAGGAGTGGGACAGTTTCTATACGCACACAGACAGACACACACGCACACACACACACGCATATTTCCGTAGGAAGTCTGAGCAAAAAAAAATTCCAGCATTTAAAGGGCTAAACCACTATTTTTTTTAACATAATATGTTGAAAGGTGATATTTAAGAGGGACCTAAAAAATGTTGGAGTGAGCTCTTTGGCTATCTGTGGGAAAAACACTCCAGAAGAAGGAATAGCAAAGGCCCTGTGGTGGGAGCATACCTGAGAACAGCAAAGAGGCATGAACAGATTAAGTGAGAAGTGGTGACGAAAGATAAGGTCAGAGGCAGAGAGAATGGCTGAGAGTAGAGAAAAGCAGTAAATGAGATGGATTTATACATATTATCTGAAGGGACATCCATGTTACACTTCACAGAATAATTTGGAGGGTCACATTCATATTATAGTCTCATTTTACTAAGGGCAGAAGGAAGGAGGGAGTGAAAGTGGGGGCAGGAGGGAGGGAGAGGGAAGAAGGTAAGAAGAGGAAGAGAGAGAGGCACCTCCTCAATATATATAAGAGGCTTGTATATGTATGCTTGAGCATACAGTTAGGTTTAGACCTCAAACTTAACATGGGTATATCAGGGGATGAAATCAAAATGGAGAGGAGATTTTTAACTTCTTTATGCTCCTCAATACTATACAAATATATGCCAAAAAAAAAATGGCCAAAAATAACCAACAAAATCTACCATCTACACAGAGATACAGGTAGAAGGATGTTTATGGTGCCATTATTTACATTAGTGAGAAACTGAAAAATTAACAAGGAATTGGTTAACTTATGGTACTAATGGTCAATGTAATTATAAGCATCTGTTAGAACAAATGAAGTAGGTATATATAGAAAACTCAAGATACAGTAAGTTTTTTAAAAAAAGATGCTAACAATGAAGTATTGAGTATGATCCTGCCTTTATAAATTAATAGCAAATTATAATACATTTAGAAAAATATGGAAGAATAGTTCCCGAATTTAACAATAGTTTTAAGAAAAGATATTACAGAAGATTTTCACTTTGATACTACATATTTTCTAACAGCTTGAATTTTTAAAGTGAGTTTGTCGCTCATTTGAAAGGGAAAAGAATATAATGTGTCACCTAGAAAATATCTGATATATATCTAGTAAAATTAGTACTGCTCATCTAAAGGTAAATAATTAACGTGCATATCACATTTTTCCCTAGTACAAATACAGGAAGTGTACAGTTTTATGCCAGTCTTAGCAATTTGGCAAGAGAGATTTTGAAACTACTCTGTAAAACACCTGCTAATGACCAGGTAGTTGGCTTTAAAACTTTCCAATTAAGTGTGATGTGCTCTGATGCCATGCCAAAAAAGTGTCAGTACGTCCTATGACTCTGAGGTAAGAACAAAGTCATTTAATAATACTTGTTTCCTGGTGACACTGTTCTGAGAAAACAGAGAATATCATGGGAAGAAATGTTGAGTCAGTATTTAACTTTTAAACAAGGTATTTAGTAATAAGAACTCTAACTTGAAATTTCATATATTCTTACTGAACTATTGATCTAGAGTCCCTCAGCCTGCTATATGAAATCTTAAGAGGAAAAAAAAAAGAATCAAAAAGACATACACTTCATAGGATAGAGAGAGGGATTACCCCCTCCTCCAGCATTTTTAGAAACGCCTGAGCCATATGAATCCTATATACATTTTAAGAAGGTAAGCAAAATAATGAAGTGGTTAATATTGATTTCAGCATGTTAGTTTTAGTTATGTTTACGGTAACAAAGTTGTATACTTCTGTTTGTGTTTATTTTTCAACCTAAAGTCTAAGGACCCTAAAAAAGCTTCAAGGGAACTATGAACTTAAATGAAATATTTTTATGCAGAAAATTTGTTTTCTGCAGAAATTTTCTGCAGGTTTCCAAAGGACAGGACCCTCAAAGACTTAAAAGTACTTTCAATGTACACATATATAGCTTCTTTTTTGGTAAACATTGTAACTGTTGAGGGGGGTGTATTTTTAGGGTTTTTTTTTAAAGTTTAGAGCAGGGATCAGTGAATCTTTTCTGTAAAAGGCCAGATAGTATTTGTGGGTACATAAGGTCTGTCACTACCACCACCACTACCACCACCACCACTGTCACCACCATTACCACCACCACCACCACCACCAGTACTTCTTTTAACAACGTCAAATATAAAGTTTAAGAATGTAAAAACCATTCTTAATGCAGGGGCCTAACAGCAGCTAGTTTGCAGACCCCTGATTTAGAGTAACAGTTGGTTTATCTCTGAAGAAATAATAGAGCATGAGCTCTGGAAGTCCAGGACCTTTTACATTTAGGACTTTATATCACTAATCCTCCGTAAATCGCATATTTCCACATCTGTAAAACTGAGATACCAACCTCTCCCACATAGGAGTTTTAACTATTGAGATTGCAACTGCATGGAAATGCCCACACAGTGCCTAATGAATACTTAGCAAACAGTGTTTTATTAGCCCCACCCTGCTCATATGATAGATTGTTAGTAATACTTGTAAGTCAACGTTTAGTATTTGATCAGGCATGCTCCTTCAACACAATCTACTTTATAATGATCTGCTTTGGCTATTTCCAGGAAGAAACTGTGGCTTTTTGGGATAGCCAATATACTTGTACATTACTGATTTGAATTTATAGCCTCCCGGCAGGGTGTGAATCACACCTGTAATCCCAGCATTTTGGGAGGCTGAGGCGGGGGGATCACTAGAATCCAGGAGTTGGAGACCAGCCTGGCCAACATGGTGAAACCCTGTCTGTACTAAATATGTGAAAATTAGCCGGGTGTGGTGGCATACGCCTACAATCTTAGCTACTTGGGAGGCTGAGGCAGGAGAACTGCTTGAACCCGGGAGGTGGAGGTTGCAGTGAGCCAATATAGCGCCACCGCACTCCAGCCTGGGCAAGAGTGAGACTCCGTCTCAAAACAAACAAACAAACAAACAAACAAAAATTATAGCCTCCTCAAAATGACTATTCTCCCCTCAATGAATAAATCAAATTTCTAGAGCAAAGATGTAATGTATCAATACATTATTCTCCATCTAAAGTGTTTTAAAAGCTGAAATTAAAATAATTCAAAGCAGCTGGAGGAAATCCAATGTGCAAGAAGTAAAATCAGCACTAAACTGGGTATTTAGGTGGAGTACACTTAGGTGTGCTAAGAAAGCTAATGTGGTGGCTCATGCCTGTAATCCCAGCACTTTGGGAGGCCGAGGCAGACAGAGCACCTGAAGTCAGAAGTTCAAGACCAGCCTGCCCAACATGGCAAAACCCCATCTCTACTAAAAATAAAAAAATTAGCTGGGCATTGTGGCACACGCCTGTGGGAGGCTGAGGCAGGAGAACTGCTTGAACCTGGGAGGCGGAGGTTGCAGTGAGCCGAGATCATGCACCTGCACTCCAGCCTGGGCAACGAGAGAGGAAAAAAAAAAAAGCTAAGGTCACAATGCATTACATACGGTACCACAGTAATCAGGTGTTTGCCTTAGCAGAGCAGAGATATTGATCTCTCCTGTTCCAGTTTCTCACAAAACTGAAGGGCTTAAATATTTCCAATGCCACTAAAATAAGCTTTATGTGTTCTTTGTTTTCCCTAGAAAGACTAACCCTATAATAGCATGAACTAGTTTATAACCATTTTTATCACGTTTACTATACCCACCGCAACACTAGGTAGTATGCACTAAGCACTTACTGAAGATAAATGACTATTTTTTAAATGACATAATTATTCATCTCTAAGACAATGATCTTGCAATTCAACTTATACAGAGATATGACGAGATATAGAGATATGAGCAACAGTACAAGAAAAAGCACAACAGGTTAAAAATTAGCTATTACAAGATTATTCCAGCATAGCTAGAGTAATGCACAATGCCATTGTCTATTCTCCCCAAATATTAAAGGTTAGATTTCCTATCAACATTAGTAAGTAAAACTGTCACTATTATAACCATCAAGGAATTTTAGTAGCTATTTTAAAATATTTTCCAATGTAATAGAAAGGAAAAAAGTATGAAAAAGTAAATAAATACAACATATTACACTTGACTTTACAAATGATTTTGTCAGTTTTCTGTGAATTTACTTTGAAAGATTTTGAGATACGGATCACTCAATTCATTAAATTCAAATATACTGTCAATAAGTTGATGCCCCCCTTTTTGGAGATCAGTGAAGTAAATGCTTACATAGTTATTAATGACCCATTCCACTAAAGCAAACTATCCACCAAACTCGAACAAAAAGGAGACACTATCTACTTACCATCACTACATGGTAGAAAAATGGATTGCATTTCAAGGCATTTTTTTTTTTCTGGCAGAGTGACTTTTTAAAATTCAACATTATATTGACAATGTTTTTTTTTTTTTTTTTTTTTTTTGAGACAGTCTCACTCTGTTGCCCAGACTGGAATACAGTGGCGCAATCTTGGCTCACTGCAACCTCCGCCTCCTGGGTTCAAGCAATTCTCATGCCTCAGCATCCCCAGCAGCTGGGACTGCAGGTGCGTGCCATTTTTAGTAGAAGCGGGGTTTCACCATGTTGGCCAGGCTGGTCTCGAACTCCTGACCTCAAGTGATCCACCCACCTTGGCCTCCCAAAGTGCTGAGATTACAGGCATCAGCCACCACGCCAGGCCTGACAATGTCTTTTATTTATTTATTTATTTATTTTTACTTTTTGAGATAGAGTCTTGCTCTGTTGCCCAGGCTGGAGTGCAGTGGTATGATCTCGGCTTGCAGCAATCTCTGCCTCTCGGGTTCAAGCGATTCTCCTGCCTCAGCCTCCTGAGTAACTGGAATTACAGGCATGTGCCACCATGCCCAGCTAATTTTTGTATTTTTAGTAAAGATGGGGTTTCGCCATGTTGACCAGGCTGGTCTCGAACTCCTGACCTCAAGTGATCCGCCTGCCTTGCCCTCCCAAAGTGCTGGGATTACAGGAGTGAGCCACCGCACCTGGCCAACAATGTCTTTTAAAAAATAAAATTGCTCTATGACAGTCCCTTCAAAAATGTAATTAAAAGAAGGATAAAAATGATCACTCTCCCTCTCCACTCCAGCTATTAAGTCTTCTCATTTTCACTAATCAGCAACAGTAATGCTCCCTATTTACTCCTCCAGTACGGGTCTCAAATTCATATAACTCCAAGCCAGGCAAGTACCATCAATTAAGCACAGCAAATAAGGGGGGACTATAAACTCCACCTAGGAGCTTACACACCGAGTTTCAACCCCAAAGCTGCTACTACAGTCCATCTCTCCATCCTGTTGTTGCTCTGAGAAATGCAGCACTGGCGCTACAAGATATTCCAATTTTTCCTAACAGAAGCCACAAATCCAAAACACACAGAATTTTCCATTTTTTAAACAGTGCAGGCCAAATTAAAAGTACCTGCAAACTGAATCTGCTTGTCTATATACAATAATACTCCAGGAACACAAGCATCCGTAAGAATCTCAAATATTTGACTCCTAAACCCTAAACAGAGCTCCCCACCCAGACACTATTACTCAGACTCCATGTTTAAGATGAATTATCCACGTAGTAAAAGAACATTAGTGGTAATCTTTCTCCCTTGAGGATGGATTCTGAGGTTCATTTAAAAAAATATATTGCTATTATAATATACTATTTTAATTAAAAAATCAAACCAATTAACATTGAGGTGGATGAATGAAATTCCTAACTTGAATAAATCTGTAAACATATTGTCTACATATTATAATTCATTTTGTAAAATAAAATGTTTTACAAACATTGTAAGTTTGTTAACTTGGGTAAAATGAAATGTCAGTCAGCTGGGTCCTTAGAAAGCAACCACTTGAGCAACTTAGCATCTCTAGGTGAAACATCAGGAACTGGCAGTCCAGAGAGGCTGATTCACTTTAGCAACACGAAAAAGGCAAAATAAATGAAGGGGGAAAGAAGTAATAACAACGTTAACTGGCAAGATATTTGTTATGTAATGATTACAAATGCCAAAGGATCGTAAGACTCCATACAATTCTCTTTACTGCTTTAGCTCTACTAAGAAGATTAGATAGCTAAAAAAGAATAAACTAGGCCGGGCACAGCGGCTCACACATGTAACCCCAGCACTTTGGGAGGCCGAGGTGGGTAGACTGCCTGAAGTCAGGAGTTCGAAACCAGCCTGGCCAACATGGTGAAACCTGTCTCTTCTATTTGGAAACACAATTCTGCTCAATTAAAAAAGAAATGCCACGTGGGACAGTACCCAAAGATTTAGCCTCATGATTTACTTTTAAAAGGATCCTCTAAAATGACCAATTTAAGAAAAAAAAATCAGCTTTATAGTCATACTCTTCTCAAGAGTTCTAGGTTAGTTTGGAAAGATATCCCACATATTTACTATATCGATGGCATGCTTTTAAAAAATAAATCACTTAAGAACAACATAGTTTGTGTGTGTGTGTGTGTGTGTGTGTGTGTGTGTGTTTAAAGGTGGCCTGGCCTTATCAGAGCTGCGTTTCAACACTTGAAAGCTGTGTGACTTTAAGCAAGTTATTTAACTACTCCGAGCTCCATTTCCTCATCTGTAAAAAAAGATGAACACTAGCTAGTTTAATTTTCCCTGTGAGAAGTATGCTATATCTTAGATGTATTGTAATTCATTCTTATCTGAAACTTGAATCAGTCCCACATCATCACCAGTTTGTTTATTTATTTATTTACTTATTTATTTTGGAGACGGAGTCTCACCCTGTCGCCCAGGCTGGAGTGCAGTGGTGCGATATCGGCTGGCTGCAACCTCTGCCTCCCAGGTACAAGCCATTTTCCTGCCTCAGCCTCCAGAGTAGCTGGGATTACAGGCGCCCGCCACCACGCCCAGCTAATTTTTGCATTTTTACTAGAGACGGGGTTTCATCAGGTTGGCCAGGCTGGTCTCACACTCCTGACCTTAAGTAATCCGCCTGTCTCAGCCTTACAAAGTGCTGGGATCACAGGCGTGAACCACTGCACCTGGCCCATCACCAGTTTAAAACACTGGACAGAACAGCTACACAGACAAGAAGTCATCACTTGCTGAGGCAGCCCTTTTCATCGTCATACTTGCTATTTTCTTCTACTAAGCTAAAACCGGCTTCCTGGCTACTTCAACCCCATCAATCCCATTCTAGTTTAAATCTTACAAAGCGCCGGGCAAGGTGGCTCACACCTGTAATCCCAGCACTTTGGGAGGCTGAGGTGGGAGGATCACTTGAATGAACCCAGGAGTTCCAGACTAGCCTGGGCAACAAAGCAAGACCTATCTCTACAAAAAAAATTTTTTTTTAATTAGCCAGGAGTGGTGGCACACACCTGTGGTCCTAACTACTTGGAAGGTTGAGATGGGAGGATTGCTTGAGCCCAGGAGGTCGAAGCTGCCGTGAGCCATGATCCTGACACTGTACTCCAGCTCTGGGCAACCGAACAAAATCCTGTCTCAACAAACAAACGAAAAACACAAAAAAATTACTAAGTATAGCTAATTCAATTCTCACTAGACTCTAAGCTTCCTGAGGGCTGAGTTCAAGTATTGTTCAGTACTGAAATCCCAGCATCTACAACAAGGATAAGCATATAGCAGGTGTACAATAAACATTTACAGATTGAGTGATATGCTCTGTGCAGCTGACTGAGCATTGAGATGCCATCCAGTATAAATAGCACAGATGTGCATACTTCTGGAAATGATCATTTAATGCTTCACATTTAGAAGTTGAAATATCATAACCAAATTCATGCTGTTTTTAAAAAAATCCCTTCAAAGTGAAAAGCAATTTTGCCATACTTTTAAATGGTTGTTATTCAATGATACAGATAATAGTTTTTCAAAGTAATAAACTTCTCAATGCCTCCATAACTTATTCATAACTTACTTCAGATTTACCTAAATTCCAAGTCTACATTAAAAAAAAAATCTCAAAATGATATGTAATCTCACTGTCATTGGCTAGTCTACAAATTTCAAAATAATAATCTAGTCAAATTGTATTAACTGAAAGCTATCAGAAAACATCATAATTGAAGTTGTGATAGAATACCAAAATTTCTAGCAACTTTTTCTCATGACTTTTTTGGCAACACACTGCTATAAATAAACATCTCTCACTGCTTAAACACTAGAACCGAGTTATAATTTAATCACTGATATTCCAGAGGTTAAAAGTAGGTTTCATAAAGTATGTTCTACTTCACAGAACCAGAAATCGAACACAGTGAACAACCAGTTCACCACCCTCCGCAAATCTATGGAAATATTTCCATTACAAAGTAAATTTCTCCTGCCACGCAAGTTTTAAACTGTCACTCTGCGCTGTTAGCCTAAACAAAACATAATTGGTAAGGTACATCTGCCACATACAGAAGTCAATAATCCATTCCAAACCCAAAATATTTCTGGATTATCTTGCTCCTGAAAATTGACACTGGTAGAAAATTAGTGATCCAGAAATAGGCAACTTCCACTAAAAGGCAAGTAAAATTAGGTAAGTAAAATACAAGACTGACATAATTTTATAATAAAGGGCAAAATTTTAAAGGCTCAAATGTCTTAGTGAATACAAAATTAAAGGAGGACCGAAAGAGAAGTTAAAAATTCAGCTTTTTACAAAAGAAAAAGCACCTTCCACTCCACCTCTAGCCCTAAAAAAGTCTTTCCCCTTCCACTCCTACAATATTAAAACAAAATTTATATACTACTCAAAACTGTATACCACAAAATTTAAGCCATCAGATGCTGGAAGGCTTAAACAAAATTAAAATCACTACCTAGCATTAAAATACAATTTGTACAGTGACTTCAGGTCCCTTGAGAGAAGAACTTACAGTCACAGAGAGTAAATGCTTGATGGGCAGAGTCTGGATCTGTGTTCTACAATCTACCCAAAATGGGCAAATGACATTAATACAAAATGTAAAGTACACTATGTACAGGCTCCCAACTCCTTTCCCATCTGCTGTGGAAAGTATTCCCGGGCCGGGCGCGGTGGTTCACTCCTGTAATCCTAACACTTTGGGAGGCCGAGGCAGGCGGATTACTTGAGGTCAGGAGTTCGAAACCAGCCTGGCCAATACGGTGAAACTCCGTCTCTACTAAAAAATACAAAAAAAAAAAAAAAAAAAAAAAAAATCAGCAAGGCGTGGTGCCATACGCCTGTAACCCCAGCTACCTGGGAGGCTGAGGCAGGAGAATCGCTCGAACCTGGGAGGCAGAGGTTGCAGTAAGCCGAGATCGCGCCACTGTACTCCAGCCTGGGCGACACAGCAAGACTCTGTCTCAAAAACAAAAACAAAAAAAACCCACAAAAGTATTCCTTTGCAAGAGTTACCACCTCTGCCTTGAAAGGTGTCAAACCATCAAAGCAAAAGTGGCTTGCAATGTCAAATTAGCACAGACCTGGGCTATAAGCACACTCTTCACGCGTGTACTGTGTCCAGGAACAATTTCTCAAAGCGGCCAAGGGGATGCTGCAAAGCCAGTGACGCGGCTGCCCTCAATGCAGCAACCACATAGAGGGAGAGTTTCTCAACAGTCCCAGAAGCGACTCCTGGGGATTAGGGTAGGCTTCCCTTCCATTTCCAATATGCTGCTTATAAAAGGAGACGATTCTGCCCGCGTTGACAGCACCCTGAGTCCCCATGAACACGCGAAAAGGTTTCTAGCTCCTATCAATGCCGTTCGGAAGCAAAGCAAGTGTTCACGACTCGCCTTGATCTGGGGCCCTGTCCAGGGTGGGAAGGCCCCAGAAGCAGGCGCCAGGACAGAAATGAGCCTTTGCCCTTCCCAATCCACGCAGCGTCCCGCCCAGGCCCGGGTTCCCGGCAGCCAGGCCCCCTCCCCGACCTCCAGCTCACCTGATCTTGTAATTCGGTAGGGTGTGCTTGCGCTTGATGATCTTCTTGAGCTGGTTGACGATGATGGAGGTGAGCTGGGGCATGGGCCGCCCTTCAAACTGGGAGCGCACCTCGAAGTCGATCAGCGGGTCTTCCACGAAGGAGAAGAACCAGTGGGTGAAGGGCACGCGCGTAAAGACCAAGCGCAGCCTTCCCACCACGCGGGACAGCTTGACAAACAAGTAGGCGGACTTGCCGAAGACCAGGTCCACGTCGATGGCCAGGTGGAAGCCCCCGTTGTACTCCACCTCCGCCTCGAAGGCCAGCTCCTCGGGGCAGGCGGCGGGCAGCGCCTCCCCTTCAGGGCCATCGGGCTCCCCGGTGGCCGAGGGCACGACTGGCCGCACGAGCCGGATGGTCTTGATGAAGGGCACCGTCTCGCCCAGGAACACGTCCCGCAGGCTCAGCCCCTCCAGCAGGCGCCCGGCCGTCTTGGTCTGCAGCAGCTCCTCGAACTCCACCTTGATCTTCTTGGTGACCCAGCGGCGGGTCAGCGCGGTGTCCCGCAACTCCCGGAACAGGAATAGGATGGTGGCGTTGAGGAAGTAGCAAGTCTCCCGCGTCGGCGGGGCGGGGGTCTCGGGGGCCGCGGTGGGGGTCGCGCCGCCCTCAGGGGCCGCTCCGGAGGGCTCCTCATCCCGGCCGCCGCCATAAAGGTACTCCCTTAGGAGCAGGCCCGGCACTGGCTTGATGTAGCGGAAGCCCTCGCCCGCGCGGGCGGCCTCGTCCGCCGGCGGCTCGGGCTGTCTGCGGTACAGCAGGAAGAACTGGGCGAGGAGCGTGAGGAAGGAACCCAGCACGGCCGACGCCAGGATCATGAGCAGCAGCCCCATCCCGCCACCGCCTCCGCCCGGGCCCCTACTCCCGCGCCCACAGCGCCGCTTTCTTCACGCCGCCGCCCCCGCTGCCTCCATTTTGAGGACATCGGGCGGCTGGGTCGGGGCGAGCGGCTCCGTGGGCCTCGTCCAGGGGCTCGGGCCGGCGCGCTGCGGCGCCCGAGCCCGCAGCGGCCCGCGCCTCCTCAGACGCTCCCGAAGGGCCGGTGTGGCGGCGGCGGCAGCGGGGCCGGGACCGGCGCCTCCCTCAGGCCTCCACTCATTGGACGAGCAGCGCGTGACGTCAGAGGCGTGCTCGCTCCCGGCGGCGTCGCCCAGCAGTCGGCGCCCGGGCACGCGGACGCGGGTCCTCCTTTACTTCTCTGCGGCCCTTCCAACCTCGTCCCCCCACGCCAACATTCCAATCCCCGCGGCGCGCGCCGCCACCCACGTGGCCGTCACTTCTGGAGCTGCGGTCGGGATCTGGGAGGACGGCTGGGGACGCGGGCTGGAGGATAAGGCGGTCCGGCGGAGCGGGCCTGACGCGTTCCGGATGCCGGCCATCCCGTTATCCTCGGCTGCGCCCATCCCCCGTCTCTGGCCGCAGTCCCCGCGGTTACCTCTGCAGCGGCGTCGCTCATCCTGCGGTGTGCTTCTTCCACTCGCACCCGTGACAGCCCGGCTGGCAGCGGCGCTTTCCCTGCGGGCAGCACCGCAGACGATCCGAGCGGGCCTTTCGGACGCTTCCCAAGCCCACGGCGAGAGGGGACCGACTGCCTCAGAGGCAGCCATCGCGGACCTGCCGTCCCCCCGGCAGACGCTCTGCGTCCGCGGAGGGTGGGCCCTGGGAAGGAGGGACGCAGGGAAAGGGCGCGCCACGCGGAATGACTTTCCCACCGAGGTGGATCTTCGAAATTTCAGGGAGGAGGAAGTTGAAAGAACAGCCAGGAGGAGAGATGCATAGTGAAACGAGTTTGCCAAGTGATTGGAAGATTAATATGCGACCCGCTGTCAGTCTCTGGTTAAGCCGGTAGTCCATCTATGAGGCAGTTATTCACTGTTAGCCCCCACCCACTTGACAGATGCCAACACTGGTGCAGAGAGCGTGGGGAGGTTGCGTGGGGCCGCAGAGTGGAGCCTGGTTTATCTAACACTAAACCCTAATGTCTTGATCACTACTCTCTGCCCTAACACAGAAACTGCTTCAGTTGTAAGCAGGCCAGTGGGTTCCCTAATGTTCAGGAAGGGAGAATTGGGGAGGCGGATTAGGGAAGACGGCAAGGAATTTTGCATAGAGTAGCACCTTAACCAAAGCCACGAAGCTAAGCCAGGTTGCCCAGCAACAGCGTTACTCCTCCTGCCCTCTGACTACTTAGTGGTTACATCATAAATGCTTATCCCTCCAAGCACGTGGAGTTCCAGTCCTGCAGGAGTCAGATATCCCATACCTTAAAGGCCGATTCTGGCTGTACCTAAGGAGCCAGGGCAGGGCTCCTCTCTAGCCCTTGAAAACCTTCAAGCCGGCCGGGCGTGGTGGCTCACGCCTGTAATCCCAGCACTTTGGGAGGCCGAGGCGGGCAGATCACGAGGTCAAGAGATCGAGACCAGCCTGGCCAACATGGTGAAACCCGTCTATACTAAAAATACAAAAATTAACCGGTCGTGGTGGTGCGCGCCTGTAGTCCCAGCTACTCAGGAGGCTGAGGCAGGAGAATCACTTGAACCCGGTAGGCGGGGGTTGCAGTGAGCCAAGATCACGCCATTGCACCCCAGCCTGGGCGACAGTGCAAGACCCTGTCTCAAAAAAAAAAGAAGAAAACCTCCAAGCCAAGGATTCTCTTAACTGTAGGTGATTCTACCACAAAAATAGACCTGACCCAGCTGGGACAGGTACAGAACTTCGGAACCAGGCTTATCATGCCTTACCGAATCATGCCCAGATACGAAACCAGAATGGCTTTCATTACTATGAAGACATAAGATAGGTGTCTGCTGAGGAACCATGCTCAAACCATGGCCGAGATTTTTCGGAGATCTTGGCAACTTCTGTTCTCTGGTCCCCTTTGGTTCCTGGCCTCTGCTTCTGGGCTGCTCTCTGGGATCTACACTGTTTCAACTCAAATGAGAAATGTAGACCCTTCTATGATTTCCACCGTAAACCTATTCATAACATTCATGCACATTGCATATTATAAATGTTACAGAAGCTGGAAGTAGGGTGGCATGAAAGAAGTTATTCACATTCCTGAAATATAAAACCCTCAAACTGTATATTGATCCATCCCGAGTTGCAAAATATTCTTCACCCACCTCCCTCCTCAACAATGAAAGTTTGTGGTCTTCATGGGAATGAGTCCTCAGTCTTCATCTTGCAGACTCCTTTCTTTTCTCTTCTCCTCTCACTTCTGCGCTCCTCAGAATACCTGTGAGAATCTTAAATCTTCTCAGTTTGTTTTACAGAGTCAGAGTCATTGCATTCCCCAGCAAAACTTGACCCCTTAGGGACACACTTCAAATCCATGAAAGAGCTCAGCAAACCTTTTGGGAAGAAAAAAGTATTCTCCCTTGTGTGAAACATGACCAACATTGATTAAACACTAATAATAATAATACAGAGAACTGACCATGTGCCAAGCACAGTGTTAAGCATGTTATTTAGAAATATTTAAATATTTCAAACATTATTTAGAAATCAAAATATCATGAGTTTTTGTAAAGTCAAATATGCAGTCATGCACCATAGAAGGATGTTCTTGTTAACGACAGACTGCCTATAGGATGGTGGCCCCATAGGATTATAGTACCGTATTTTTACTATGCCATTTCTGTGTTTAGAGATGTTTTGATACACAGATACCATTGTGTTATGGTTGCCTACAGTATTCAGTACAGCAACGTGCTGTATAGATTTGTAGCCTAGGAACAATAGGCTATACAATATGGCCCAGGTATGTAGTAGGGTTTCCCATCTAGGTTTGTGTAAGGACACTCTGATGTTCGCACAATGATGAAACTGCCTAAAGATTCACAACTTATGTCTGTTGTTAAGCCACACTTGACTGTGTTTGATAAGTTAGGAGATAATGCTCTGGATAATATTGGTGTTAGCATGCCCTTTATTTTATGAAATTATACTATGTTAATAGAGACGAATTTGTTTTAATGCTATTTTCTGGAAAAGGATAAATTCAGCAACCCCTCCCTTTTTTTCTTATATTAATGCTGGTTCATAGAAACTCAAAAGCCTGAGAACCACTGGCCCCAGCTCTGAAGATCGATGATTCTGAATAGGTTTTTAAAGGAAGCAGTTGTGCTTAGCCTCCCTGCTGACTTTTTAATGTGTTTTAAATGACATCATTGAAATTAAGCTGCCCCAACAGCCTTCATGGAAATATCCATTTCAAGGTCGAAGTCAGTTGAATACTGGAAGATGGGTTGCATATAAGACATTCTCACCAACTAGAGGGATGCATGGACCACTGCTTGACTATGAATCATTCCTGGTGACCGCGAAAAATAATGAGAAAGCCAAACCACGTAAATGTGCAAAGTTTGTGAGTAGCATGAAAGCAAATTTGATTTTTTGAAAGATGTAAAATAATGCAAATATAGTGAAATATGGTGGGAAACATAGAGTTTATAAGGTTTGCCTAACAAATGATACATCAACAAACCATTTTGTGAACTGGGAGAATTCAAATTCCACAACTATTTTTTGAGCATCCAACAAGTACTAGGCTCCAGGGATACTGAATGAACAGGGGCGCTGCGCCCCAGGTGGAAGCAGACACACATCTGCATAACTCTGATGATAGGAGATAGTGCTCTAATAGAGGCACATGCAAGGTACTATGGGAGCAGAGCCTTCTGGTTCAGGGGCAGTGACAATTGATTGCAAGGAACAGCAACTACCTCAGGCTAACTTACAACTAAAATTGGATTCACGTTAAGGATGCTGGAATATCTCCAGGAACTCAGCTGCAAGATGTTCATAGAAATCCTAGAGTAAGAAAACTGTCTCTCACTCTCATTTCCTCTGCCCCCACCCCTACCCAGTATCTTATTTCTGCATCTCCCTGCAGGTCTGTGCCATTTTACTCCAGAAGGCTCTTGGTTTCTACTTCCCCATTACCCTCAGCACACAGGCACTTTGGGAGGCACCAGCTCTCTATCCAGATCTAGAGGGTCCTATGTCTCTGATGGCTAAGGTAGCCTGCAAGCTCAATCTCAAATCCTGGGAGAGAAATCTCCAATTGGCTGTGCTACTCCAATAATTTATGACCAAGGAGCTTGCCTCTTCTGGGCTGCTGGTGGGTGGGGCAACTTCTTCAAGGACTGGGAGAGGATTGAGAAGACATGATGGGCAATACTAGCTCAATAGGGGATAAGAGATTAATTCTTGCTGGGGAAGGTGGGAGGCTTTTGGGGCAAATGGAATTTGCATTGGCATTTAATGATTAGAAGGGCATTCTAATCAGAAGGAGACAAAAACTCAGAAGATGGAAACCCGCCAGTTTGGGGAAATTGAGACCAGGATGACTGGAAGAAGGTAGTACGAATAGGTTGGTGCATCAAGGAGAGAAGGGAGATGGAGGTAGCATAATAAAGTAGACACAAACTAAATTATGGAGAGATTAAATGTCAGGGCAAGTTTTTATTCTATTTTGCAGTTTTTGTGAAGTCTTCAAAGGTCTTTAAGCTAGAGAATGGCATTAACACTTTTCCTTCCATCTCCACCTGCAAAACCTCAACCCTAAATGAATCCAACTATCTACCTCCTCCCCTCTACATTATAAATTTATGGTCTTCGTTCTTATTAAGGCCCTCAAGGAAACCCAGACATTTTTCTCCACTACCACATTTATCCATTTTTTCTCCATTACCAGCATCTTCTTCCATGTCCCATAACAATGCCATCAAACCTTGACCAGGCTCAGCTCTTTCATCATGCTCAGGGGAGGACCCTCCTCCCACTTCAGGGAGAAAAAAAGAGGCCCTTAGGCTGGGCTTTCCTCCGCTGCTTGCTTCCCTGGTCCAAGCTCACCTGCATGACACTCCCATGTTTTCATGCTTCTCTTCTGTGGCAAAAAACAACCAAAAAACAAAGCAAAAACTTTTTTGTCCAAGGGTAACCCTGATAATCCCCCTACTTGTGCCATGGATTCCACTCCCCTCCAGGGTCAATCTCCTCTCCCTCAACACATAAACCAGATTCACTCTCCACATCTTAAAAAATGAAAACGAAACAAATCCAGAGACCATCTTCCCTTAAGCCTTCCGACTTCCACTCTTTCTTGCCCACAGAGTCAAGCTGTTTAAAAAGAGTACCCAATTCTGTCTGATTGCTTACTTCCCTTCCATTTACTCCTTAACCCTCCATAATCTGACTTCTGCCTGAACACCTCCCCATCTTGCCAAAGGCCAGCGACTTCTATATGGCCACAACCAATAGATGTTTTTGGTTCTTATCAGAGTTCTGAGGAACATCTGACAATACGAGCCATTCCTTCTTTCTTGAAATCCTTCTACTCATTGACACCATGAAGAGTATCCAGTCAGGTCGAACTTTAAACACATTCTCCCCTTTTTGGTTGTTAGCAAGAGAAATTACCACTCTAAAGTTGCCTGCCACTTCTGTGTCTAGAGCTAGTGATGTGAAGTTGCCTTGGAGAAAATCTGTGAAGAAATCTCTGGGTATAGGGTGACCAACTGTTCCAGTTTGCCCCAGAATGAGAGGGTTTCTGGGAGCAAGACTTTCAATGCTAAAATTAGAAGTCCTAGGAAAACTAGGACAAGTTGGCCACCCTACCTGGGTGGTACCTTTAAGAGTGAAAAGAATAGGCAAGTTGCTTCTTACCCTTCTGGGGAAAGAAAGTAGGCCATGCTGGCCCATACCCTCATATGCATAAGAGCCAAGGGACCGCCTGGGATTAAGGAGATCAAGACCCTGACTCCTATCTTTTTGCTTTTTTGCTTTTTAAAATAACAGCTTTATTGATATATAATTCATATATACACCCATTTAAAGTGTACAGTTCAGTGGTTTTTAGTACATTTACAGAGTTGTGCACCCATTGCTACAATCAGTTTTAGAACATTTTCCCCACCTCAAAAGGAAACCTTATATGCATTAGAGTCATGCCCTTTTCCTTCCTCCAAACCCCCTCAGCCCTAGGCAGCTGAATTTACGTTCCATCTCCATGGATTTGCCTATTCTGACATTCCACGTAAATGGAATCATACGATATATCATATTCTGTGACTGTTCTTTCACTTAGCATAATGTTTTCAAGATTCATCTACGTTGTAACATGTATTAGTACCTCGTTTTTTATAACTGAATAATATTAAATTGTATGAATATAACACAATTTGTTTATTCATTAATTGGTGGACATATGGGTTCTCACTTTTTGGCTATTATGAATAATGTTGCTATGGACATTTGCTTACAAGATTTTGTGTGGACATATGTTTTCATTTCTCTTGGGTATATACCTAGGGATTAAATGCTGGATGCTATTGTAACAGTAATTCTTAAGTTTTAAGGAACTGTTAAACTATTTTCCCATAGTCTATGTGGGTTTTGTTGGTTTATGTGAGTTTATGTGGGTTTTGTAGTTTATGTGAGTTTTGTAGTCTTGTAGTTTATGTGGGTTTTGATTTTTCCACATCCTCACCAACAGTTGTTGGTATCTGTCTTTTTAATAATAGTCAGCCTAGTAGGTATAAAGTGGTATCCCATTATGGTTAATATTTGCATTTCCCTGATGGCTAATGATGTTGAGCATCTTTTCATGTGTTTATTAGCTGTTTGTATTTCTTTGGAGAAATGTTTATTTAAATCCTTTGCCTATTTTTTTTTTGAGGCAGGGTCTTGCTCTGTTGCCCAGGCTGGAGTGTAGTGGCGTGATCTTGACTTACTGCAGCCTCTGCCTCCTGGGCTCAAGCAGTTCTCCCATCTCAGCCTCCTGAGCAGCTGGGACCATAGGTGCATAACATTGTGCCCACTTTGCCTATTTTTTAATTGGGTTATTTATCTTCTTCTTTACAGAGTTGTAAGAGTTCTTTATATGTTTTAACTACAAATCCCTTATCAGATATATGATTTGCAAAATTTTTTTCCATTCTGTGGGTTTTCACTTTCTTGATGGTGTCCTTTGAAGCAAAAAGGTTTTTAATTGTGAGGACCAATAAAGCAGAAAGATTTTTAATTTTGATGACCAATTCATTATTATTATTATTTTGCTGCACTTTTGGTGTTGTATCTAAGAAACCATTGTCTAACTTAAGGTCATGAGGATTTATGCCTATGTTTTCTTCTAAGAACTTTATCATTTTAGCCCTTACATTGTGATCTTTGACCTATTTTGAGTTAATTTTGGTGTCTGGTATGAGGTGGGGTCCAAATCTATCTTTTGCATGTGGGTGTCACGTTGTCTTGCACACTTGTTGAAGACTATTCTTTCCCCATTTAAATGTCTTGGCACCTTTGTCTAAAAATCAATGGACTGTAAGTGTGAGGGTTTTTTCCTGGACTCTAAATTCTATTCCATTGACCTATGTGTCCAGCCTTCTGCTAGTACCACACAGTCTTAATTACCCTATAGCTTTGTAGTAGGTTTTGAGATCAGGAAGCATGAGCCCTCCAACTTTGTTCTTCTTTTCCAAGATTGTTTTTGGTCCTTCTGACTCCTCCCTTTTGAGACTCAGCATTATTGACACATCGCTTATGAGTGGAAGTGGTCACTAAGGGCCAATGAAAGACTCAATAAATATTTGCTTAATGTCTGAAGAAAGACTCTGACCTGGGGATCCAAGTTCAATACTGTGCCTTGATTGCTTTGCAGGGAGGCTGGTTCAGGGTACTGGGTATGGTTAATACTGGCCTCCTTCTGGCCTGGTCATCCTGGCACTGTGTGTGTGTACATGTGTGTTGGTATGTGTGTATAATATGAGAAAGCCCAGCCAGTTCTGGGGTACAGTAAAGAAAACATGAGACATGCTGTGAGGTGAGGGGAACATTATGAAATCCTCCAGCCTTAAGGAAGAACAATCAGTTCAAACTTCACTGGCAAATCCTGAACAAGAACTAGCTCTTGGGAAAGGTCAGATAACAGCAACACCCTACAGCACTAGCAGCAGAGGATGGATGCCTGCACGAGATGTCTGGCTTTGTTGGTAGCAATAAAAGCACAACAGCATTGATGAGCTCCAGGCATCTGGTAGCAAACTGTGTAGTCCTCCAACCTCAAGGGATCTTAGAAGAGTCTTGGCTTCCATGATAAAGGGAGAGCAAACAGGACCCAATCACTGAATTCAGTTAGCTCCTGAAATTCATCCTGGGATAACAGGATGGGTGCTCAGAATAAGAATTATAATATTAAAGGTTATATGACCATATTTATATGAGGTGGTGGGGGCACCATTATTTCCTACTTTTCATGTTTCTAAGTGAAAGGACCTCAATCGATATAACACTTCTATCCTTTCTCCACTGCCTTGATCTGACTTATCTGATTTGTGGGTTTAGGAGAAAATCTGGGCATAAGTGTCTCCGCCCCTTCTGAGCTCTTCTTGAGACAATCTGTCTGCAGGAGGCATGTGTTCTACTCAGCGGTGCCATGTGATAAGGGTAGCTGTGCCTATGGTTGTTTAGCTTGGCCTGTGCCTGTGCCCGTGAATTTAATTCCAATGTGCATTTTTAAGCTACCTCTGCCAATCAGCCTTAAACTAGTAATAAAGCTAACATTTTGAGCTCCCTCTACTTGATGCCCATGCTCACTCTCAATTGGTTCAGAACTCAGCTCAGGAAGAGGAATGCTACTCATTGATTGATCACTAAAAATATTTACATTATTTTATACTGTTAAGTGATTAAACATTACTAAAACTCCTGTTTGTTTTGATTTGGTTTCATGGCTTCTATTCCTCTACTAGCCCATAAAGCATTAAGTGATTCTGTGATCCTCAACTAAGCCGTCTTTTTTTTTTTTTTTGAGACGCAGTCTTGCTCTGTCGCCCAGGCTGATGTGCAGTGGCGCAATCTTGTCTCACTGGAACCTCCACCTCCCAGGTTCAAGCAATTCTCCTGCCTCAGCCTCCCAAGTAGCTGGGGTTACAGGCACATGCCACCAAGCCCAGCTAATTTTTTTTTTTTTTTTGGTGACACAGTCCTGCTCTGTCGCCCAGCCTGGAATGCAGTGGTGCAATCTTGGCTCACTGCAACTTCCACCTCCTGGGTTCAAGCAATTCTCCTGCCTCATCCTCCTGAGTAGCTGGGATTATAGGCTCATGCCACCATGCCTGGCTAATTTTTGTATTTTTAGTAGAGATGAGGTTTCACCATGTTGGCCAGCCTGGTCTCAAACTCCTGACCTCAAGTGATCCGCCCACCTCGTCCTCCAAAGTTCTGGGATTACAGGCATGAGCCACCGCACCTGGCCAGCCATCTTCTTTTTTTACTCTACATCCTTTACCTGGAGGATGACATCCTCTCCAAAGGCTTCAACTCACACTTCTCCAGCCACATCTCTCTCCTGCCTGCTCCCAAAACATCTCCAACTCAACCTGACTGTTTTGCAGTGGGAGTATGCAAAGCTACTCCCAAAGTCTGAGAAAGCTGAGAGGCCAAAGAAAGAGGCTGACATATCCAATTCCTGAGAAATAAACATTTACTAGGGGCTTCAAACAGAAGCCATGTCTGTGTCTCGAGACAAGATAGTGGATCTCAGCGCTGTTACCACCACTCCCATCTTCCCACAGCCAGGGCTTATATTCCATAGGAAAAGGGTGATTCAGAAGGGCTGAGTAGGAAAACAGAAATACAATAACATCAAGGTTGTTTAACTTAAGGGCAGGAATTACTGTAAGTACTTGCTCTTCAACAAAGAAGAATAGATAAATGGGAAATCTTAGAGGTCTTTCTGGAGCTGGAGTTAATCAGAAGCCAAAATGGCAGATTCAAATCTAAGATGGAGTTGCTTTAGTCTCCACACTGCCCAAAAAAAGAAGTCTCCCTCTGGCAGAGACCACTAGTTGCCTGCCCAGTGTCCATTCTCCACTTCTTTTTTAGCAGCAGAACTCCCATTTTATCATGAATGACAATGCACCTAGCTAAGAGACTCATTCCTCAAACTCCCTTACAACTAGATATGTCCATGGGACTGGTTTCTAATATGTAAGAAGTGTTGTGGAGGGCCTTCTGGAAGTCTGTTAAAGGGAATTGACTCAGCTGGAAGCTATACCATTTTGCTCTTCCCTTTTGTTCCTCCTTCCAGCTGTCTGGAATACAGTCAGGATTTTGGGAGCTCCAGCAGCTATTTTAGACTATGAGGTAACTTTGATGATGGAAACCATATGCTAAAGATGACAGAGCAGAAAGATAGATGGCTGGATCCCTGATGACTTCTTGGAACTATCATAGCACCCCTAGATTTTCTGTTTTTTTCAAACACAATCTGAATTGTTTCACCCTGTAACCATCCTTCCCAAGCTGTCTCCTCCTCTGTGTTCTCTGTTTTCAGTGATGGTCCCACCATTCACCCAACTGTTCAAGCCGTGATTGCCCTCCTTACTCCCCCACATCATTTTAATTCTATCTCCTTAGTACATCTCAAACTTGTCCACATTTCTCTAACCCCATCACTAGATCCTTATTTCAGGCTCTTTTCTTTTCACTCACAATGAACTTCTTTGGTTGTATCTTAACTGGTTACTCGGCCTGTCTTGCTTCCCATACTGTTGCCAGAGTGGCCTTTCTTTAGTGCAAATCTGATTAAGTTACTTCACTACTAAAAATCCTCCAATGACTCCCCACAGTCGTATTAATAATAATGGCCATCACACAAGAGAACAGTGAATGGGAAATACTGAGCTAAGCACATTACAAGCATTTATATTTTCATAATTGCCCTTTTGGGTGAGTATCTATTTTATGGATGTGGAAACATGTACTTACGTGGACAAATAACCGCCAAAGATCACTAAGGTAGTAAGTGGAGGAGCAGAGACTTGAATAGCTCTAACCACAGAGCTTCTCATTTTAGGGCCACATTCCTTGAGGATATAGTCCAAACTCATTAGCATGGCAAAATAGACCCTTTGCAATCTAGCCTCTGCTTCCACTTCTGCCTTCTCTCTCACTACTCCAGAAGCAGATTTTAAAGCTGTTATTGATGAATTTGCTTCCAATAAAGTTAGGAAAGTGAAATTATAATAAACTCTGGTTTTGGTACAAATAAAATATTTAACTTTAAAATAATGTGAATATACCAACTTTTAAATTTTCAATATATTGTCAACTACTTTAATGTTCTGAAAAAATAAACCATTAAAATGCATAAAGGAGTGCACATTTTTCCTTTTGTCTCAGGCTCCAATATTTCCTGACATGGTGCCATCAGATCCTGTCTATATTTTTCATGGATTTCTTATTTTTATTTAAGTATTTAAGATGTTGCCTTAAATATGCTTTATCTTGATGACTGAGTTTTTTGGTGCCCTCTTAAATTTTGTGCCCAAGGTGAATGCCTCACTCCCCTCACCCTAATCCTGGTCCTGCTTATCAGCCAAAGGACTCATTTGCAGCCCCTCTCTCCAACACACAAAGATCTGTCTTATCTTCCTTATTCTTGCCATTCTTGCCTAGCACATAGTGGGTACTTCATAGGTATTTGTGGGCACACGAATGAATGCTGTTTCTTCCTACCACAACAGCCTTTGGTCACCCATCCCCCTGCCTATTTCCCAAACAACTCTTACTTGGCCTTTTTCAAGATTGAATTTGAGTGTCACCTCCACCAGGAAGCTTTCCCTGATTGCCCAGAGCTCCTTCCCTCCTGAACTCCTCTAAGTCTGGATAATGAGCTTCTTCATTGTACTCAGTGCACCCTGAATGCACTTAGGAAATAACAGTCTTTACAATATTCTGAGGTTCCCTGTTAGTTGCTATGAACCACAAGTCTATTTGTGAGCTCCTCAGGAGCAAAGTCGGGGGGTTTCTTATCTCTATATTCCAGCCTCAGTACCTTCTAGGGAGTATGCTCATAGGACGGATGGAGAAATGTATATACGTATGGGTGGATGGATGGGTGAATGGATGGAAAAGTAAGATCTGTTTTATGATATAACTGGTAGTAGACTGCAAGGGAAGTCTGTATTGAAGGGGAATGAGACTCATGTGGAATCTTTGCTAGAATCCAGGTAAGAGTTAATCAGGGCTATCAACCTGAAATAACAGAAAGGATGTGAATCCAGTTTTAAAGAGTCTATTCAAGAACAAAGCTGAGAATAGCCATTCAGGTAACACAGACTCCAAAGGAATGGGATCAGTGCTCCAAAGTTACAAGTTAAAGTCTTGCTTATACAGGTAGAAAACAAAGAAATTAGTAGGATTACAACATTTTGTACATAAGGCTGGTTTATGAGTTGCAAAAATTTGGTTACTTACAGTTTGTTTTCTTTTCCATATGGCTTGTTTTTATTTCCTCTCCAATTTAAAAGAGTATATTTAACATTCCATCTCAAGACAATGAGATAATCATAAAATCTTTGTGTGAGAGGGAAGAAGGAAGTTAATCTATAATGATGATCAACAGAGAAGAGGGAAGAGGTATTCCCTGGCACTCTTGGGTCATTTGCAACATTTTATGAAATAACATAGGTAAGGAAGAAGGCTAATCTATAATCAGAAAAACGAAGGTTACAGCTGCCTACCTTACAGCTGCCTGTCACATGGCTCAGACCCCATAATCACATTCCTTTAAGGCTCAAAATAACTTAAAGTTCCAACAGCTCGGATTTCAAATTACTTATTTTCACAGAGCCCAGATTAAGGCAGTGGCAGTAGGTTGGATATAAGAAACATTTTAGAGGAAGAATCAATAGAATTTGGCTGGGAATAAAGTGGATAGAGAAGAAGGATTCAAAGGCAACTGAGATTTTGCAACTGAGTAGGAAGTTGAGGGTTCCCTTATCAAAGACAATGTAGGAGGAGCAGACCTATCACCTGCACATGGACACTAACCCAGAGAATGGGGATGATCTTGGCAAGGAAACCCAGAGAGATGCTGTGGCCTCTCTCAAGCTACCCAGCAAGACAGTATCACAGCCCGGATCATAATCCTGGGGTCCTAACTCCTGGTGTCTCTTTTTCATCTTGTCCTCATACTTTTTCCATGCTCGCTTCACAAAATATTGGTTATTTTCTCTTTCTCAATGGAAGTGAAAAACTGACTCTAATAACACTTTCAGGAGAGTCTAACAATAGCTGTAAATTCTATCTGCTTTACACTTTAATACTGTTACTTACCAGTCTCAAAACTGCTTATCTTTCATTTGAGGCTGTTTGCTAATTTCCATTCTCCTTCACTACAATTCAGAACCTGAACTAAACCCTGGAGTTGTGAGGCTTCGCAGAAGGTCATTTTGATGGGTCCCCTTCCTGGGACAACAATAATCAAACCGTTTTTAGATAGCCGAGGCCTTAAATCAGCATTTATATTCCTCGTAAATTGTTGTGCAAGCCAGTCCACTTCTCTCCATCCCCTGAAATACCCCAGTCTGGGCCATTGTTATCTCTTGCTTTAATCCTGCCATTGCCTCCTAATTGGTCTACCTACCTTCGGCTTTCCTCGCCTTACTTTATTCTCTACTCTGCCCTCAGGACACATTAAGCTGATTCCTCCTTAAAGTTTTTCTACAGCTGCCCTTAGGCTTAAGGATGAAGTACTAGTTCCCAGTAACATCCTTCAGGCCTTTCACAATCCATCCCTTCACTTTCCCCTTTCCCCGTCACAGAGTTTGCTCCAGCCTGCCTGAGCTCTTGTGCTTCCTCCTGTGCTGACTTCTTTCTGGTATCTCCAGGCCTTTGCACATGCTGCTTCTTCCACCTGAAACTCTCTGCCTCTTCTCTTTGCAGGTAACCCTACCCTTAAAGTGTAGACTGAAATCTTCCTCTTTAGGAGACTCCCCTGGCCCTAACCAAGGCTTATCCCTTGCTATATCCTCATATAACATCCAATATATGTTCCCTCATCCTGGTGCTTATGGCAGAGACTGCTACTTGCTTCGTCCATATCCATTCACTCATTTCAAAGAAGAATTTGGGAACAGCAAATTGTTCAGATTTTAAAAATGACATTTCCCAACCAGCCTTGCAGATAAGAGTGGCCAATGAGATATAAGCAAAATTTTTGGGTGGGAGCTCAACAAAGGATTTTGATTTATTATCTCCATATCTCTTTTGTACTTCCCTCTCCCTCCCCTGGCCTGGAATTCAGATGTGATGGCTGGAACTTCAGTGGCCACTTTATAATCATGTGGTAACCTTGAGGATAGATGCCACACACTGAAGATGGTTGAGCAGAAAGACAGAATAAGCTCAGAACACTGATGACACTGAAGCTGAACTCAACTTTGCAATACCCACCTTGGAACTTTTTTTTTACATAAAAAAATTCCCCTTAAGCTGTCAAACTACTATTACAGGTCTCTGTTACTAGCAGCCAAATACACTCCTGACACAGTATTCACCACACTTTACTATCATCACTTGTACAATGTGTGTCTTGTAAACCACAGTTTCCCAGCACTCAGCACAGGGCCTCGCCCATAGTAAGTACTCAACTGGTATTTATTAAGTGAATGAATTTACATGACCTACTCTCCACTTTGGTGAGAAAGAGCCACCTTCTCCTGAAGCCCTAAGACCACTTGTTTGAAGGAAGAGGCTTTGTAGAGGGGAGCCAACACTGACACCAGAACGTCCTATCATGCTGGGAGAGGAGGGATCACTGCTGGCTCTGCTCCTCTGGCAAAGCCAGGGAAGGTAAGTAACTCTGGAAGAGAATAACATTGCTGCAGCAGCAACATGCTTGGAGATGGCAAGTCCTTGAGACTGCCAGTGGATCTAAATCTACTGTGTGGAGATCAGTGTAACTTTTGGGGCCCAAGAGCATATTCACCTCATCTCTACTTTCATTCAGTCCTTAGGTGATCTCATCCAGCCTCCTACCTTTAAATGCTATTCATATGTGTATGCTTCCAAATGCATTTACTCACTCTGAGCTCCTCTAGGAAACCCATATATCCAACAGCCTACCAGCCATCTCCACCTTGGTGTGAGATGACTTACTGTGTGTAAGACTGAGCGAATATCCATCCCATGAGAGTTCCTTGGGCATTTCCCGCCATATTTATCAATGGTACCTCTGTCATTCCAGTTGCTCAGGCCAAAAGCCTTGTGCTATCCTTGACTCCTTTCTCTCTTATCTGCATTCACACTTGCAACACATCCTATTGGTTTTACCCTCAAAATATATTCAGAGTTTCACCACTTCTCACCGCATTCACTATCATGGTTCAAGCACCATATTTGGCCTGATTATTGGAGTGGTCTCTTAGTTGGCCTCTCTACTTAAAGGTCTCTCTGGCCTTTGCTACCCTAATGTCTGTTTCAACACAGACACCACAGTGACCATGGTAAACCACAAGTCGGATCATGCCACTCAACTGTTTGAAACGTACCAGTGGTTTCTTGTGGGGGGGCCCAGAATAATGGCCCCCAAAGTTGTCCACATCCTAATCCCCAAAACCTGTGGATATATTACGTTACGTGGCAAAGGGGCGTTACTGTTGTGGGAGGAATTAAGGTTGCTAATCACCTGATCTTCAGATAAAGAGATTATTCTGAATTATCCAACTGGACCCAATGTAATCACAAAGGTCCTTAAAAGTGGAAGAGAGAGACAAAAGAGAAAGTCAGACTGATGCAATGGGAGAACGATTCAAACTGCCACTGCTGGCTTTGAAGATGGAAGGGAACTAAGAGTAAGGAATGCAGACAGCTCTAAGGGCTAGAAAGGCAAGAAAATGGATTATCCCCTAGAACTTCCAGAAAGTGAGGCAGCTCTGCCAACATCTTGATTTCAGTCCAGTCAGACCTGCTAGAGGTCTGACTTTAGACCTCCAGAATTATAAGATAATAAACTTGTTTGTTTTAAGCCACTAAGTTTGTGGTCATTTGTTATAGCAACTGCAAGAAACTAACACACTTCCCCATCTCATGCGATGTAAAAACCAAAGTCTTCATAGGGAAGTCCAAGGCTCCAAATGTCTGGGTCCCCGTTACCTCTGTCTGCAGTTGTGTCTCCGGCTTTCTGCTGCATTCACTCTGCACCACACCGCCCCTTGCCACACATCTTTGTAGAATGGATGAATGATTTTAAAACTTCACTTCCAGAGGACAGAGGAGAGGTGACTTGCCCAGGGTCCCCCAGCAGGGACTTGAACCCAGGACTCCAGCCCTGCCACAGTGGGTTACCATGTTTATTGTACTTAGCTTTCACTTCAGCCTCCTCCCCAAAAAGTCTGTGGTTAAATCTCCCCAGCCACCTACTGAAGTGCTTGAATTCCCTCCCAATGAGGAAATCCCTGTTGTAATCATATCATTCCTTGCCATAAGAGTAGCTCATTTCCTGCTGTATGAAATTCAGCATGGAAACATTTTCCCTGTAAATGGCAGGGGAAGAAATTCCCAGGGCATCAGATTGTACTGATCAATACAGGCAAATTCTTTAGGAGGAAAAGACAGTCCTGGCTTTCCTTCAGCCAAGGAGGTTTACTGGGTGGGTTCCTGTTTATACAGGAACAGGATGGAGAGTGAGCTACATAGAAACCTGGATGAGATTCTGAGTATTGCTGCCAACATCAAGCTCCACTTTTGCTGACTTATCATTTATATTTGCAAGTGAGAAGGTTTGATTGGTTAACTTGCTGCCACTCAGAGGAGGGCCCCCCGCTGGACCTTTGTGTGGAGTCACCTCAGAGCTGATCAGCCACCCTCGTGTCTGGCACATGTGTGTTGTAAGCTCTTCCCGAGACTGATCTCTGGTCTGGTCAGCTGTTGCCAGGACAGCGGAACTGGCTTCTCCTGTAAAGCTTGTGCATACCAGCCTGGCAGATACCACAGGCATGGGTTGCTTAGATTCTTTTGTCTGCCTAACTTTGCTTTTCTTTTCTTTTTTCTTCTCTTCTCTTTTCTTTTCCCCTTCCCTTCCCTTCCTTCCTTTCTTTTTTGAGATAGAGTCTCACTCTGTCACCCAGGCTGGAGTGCAGTGGCACGATCTTGGCCCACTGCAGCCTCCACCTCCTGGGTTCAAGCGATTCTCTTGCTTCAGTCTCCCGAGTAACCGGGACTACAGGCGGCCGCCACCAAGTTTTGCAATTTTTGGTAGAGATGGGGTTTCACCTTGTTGGCCAGACTGGTCTCAAACTCCTGACCTCAAGTGATCTGCCCGGCTCGGCCTCCCAACGTGCTGGGATTACAGGTGTGAGCCACCGCGCTGGGCCAACATTCCTTTCTTTTGAAAACTCCCCTCTTCCCTTCTAGGCTGTTCTGAAGTTCTCAATTCCAGGCCCACCCCTTGGCCTTAAGGATAGGCACATGTCCCAGGTCTGGCCAATTTATAGCACCTGATCCCTCTGACAACAATGATTGTTCTAGAGAAGGTGGGCATGTGACTGAGCAGGGCCACTCACAATCTAACCCCAAGATGAATGTACAGGCTTAGGGAAAGAGACACTCTCTTTCTGCTGGGGTGCCTAAACTGGGAGAACATGAACCTGAGGTCACTCAGTGGAGCATGTCTGTTTGTGCAGGAAGCCAAGCAGGATTAAGCAAAGATGAGAGGCAAATGGAGAGATGGTTCTCTATGCGGTGAGTTCCTGAGCCAAGGGCTATGGACTCTTTTTTCTGTTGCTCTTTTTTGGCTTCTCTGAGTCACCTACTGCCCTTCCCAGCTATGTGAACCAACACATTTTCTTCCTGCTGTATAGCTGGTTTATATTGTGCTTCTGTTATTTGCTCCCAATTGATTTTGACCAAAATAGGGGCTTAGGTAGGAAGAAACTGACTGTGACCACTTGCCACAGGCAAGAAAGACTTAGAACCCATTTATGAGGAGATTAATGCCACAATTCCCTTATAGGGATCTTTGGAAGGACTGGCCTGGCCTGGGATATCCTTACAATGTAAGTATATATTCAACTCCTGAATGTGCCTAATGAAATCTGATCCTGTTATTCCCTGTCTCCTTCAGTCTTAAAACACTCTGATGGTTTCCCGTAGCTGTTAAGACAAAGATCACAATCATCAATGGGCCTGCAAGGTCTGACCTCCACCATCTGGTTCAGAGGTCTGAAAACTTTTTATTAAAAAAAAAAAATCTACTTTTTTTTTTCTTTTATCTTCTTTTTAAATTTTTTTTGAGACAGGATCTCATTCTGTTGCTCAGGTTTGGAGTGCAGTGGCGTGATCACAGCTCGCTGCAGCCTCGACCTCCCAGGCTCAAGTCATCCTCCCATCTCAGCCTCCTGAGTAGCTGGGACTACAGGCTCATGCCAACAAGCCCAGTTAATTTTTTTTTATTTTTAATTTTTCAGGAGAGATGAAGTCTCTCTATATTGCCCAGGCTGGTCTCAAACTCCTGAGCTCAAATGATCTTCCCACCTTGGCCTCGCAAAGTGCTAGGATTGCAGGTGTGAAACACTGCCCCTGGCTGCAAACTTTTTCTATAAAAGGCAGACAATACATTTTCTAGACAGCATTCTGAATTTCTTCCCACCTTTGTGGGTCATAATGTCTCTGTTGCAACTACTCAGCTCTATCATTGTAGCTGAATTCAGCCCATGGGCCATAATTTGTTGACCCCTGGTCAGGAATGGTCGGAACCTTTCATCCAAACACACATCCAGCCTCACTGGCCTTCTCTCAGAATCTTCGTATTCCCACCCATAGGCTCCCTCTCCTCATGGGGCCTCTATCCAAGCTATTTTCTCAGCTTGGCTATTCTCCCAAATCTGTGTATGGTTAACCTTACTTACCACCTGGATCCAATGACAGGTTTCCAGGGAAGTCTTCCCTGACACTCTGAGACTGGGCCAGATTCCCCTAGCACATACACACCTTCCTAGCATTCTCCATCTCTCCTGTATGGCATTCACCATGGTTGTAATTTTTAGGATTTTCATGTTGGTTTGCCCTCTGTCTTCCTACTACGTAGGGAACCCCATAATGATGAGGCACTGTCTTTTTTTTATTACCTAGCAGAGTGCTTAGTACATAATAGGAGCTCAATATATATGTGATTGAAGAAAGAAAGAGAGGGAGAAAAGAAAACAGGGAGAGAAAGAAGGAGAAAGAAAGATGGAGGGAGGGATAAAGAAGGAAAGAAGGAATCAGCCCTTTGAATTTACCTGTTCAATGACTGAGAATGAGAATTCAAAGTAATAAAAGTAAATGGAATATTTTTCTTACTCATCCATTGCTGAAATCAGAAGAACATGAAGAATTGGTAAAAACTGGCACTTCTCCCTACCCATTCAGACACTTGGTAGCTTTTGGTGCTTGGGTGACATCAGATCTCTAGTCAGACTGGAATCAGGAGGCCTTCTCCTTGCCACTCTTCCTCCCAGCACCTGGACCCTCCCAGTTGCGATCATGTGTCCAAGTTCCCCACAGGGATGCCCATCAAGGTCACCTCTCTCAAAGTGCCTTTTCCCAAAGTTACTCAGGCCTCCTGGGATCAAATCCCAGCTCCAGGACTTAGGGGTTGTGTGACCACGAGCCAGTCATGGAAACTCTCCAGGTTTCTGGTTCCTCTCCATAAAGTGGGGATACCATTAAAAAATGGGCAAAGGATATGAACTGACACTTCTCCAAAGAAGAGATACATGTAACCAATAAGCATATTAAAAATGCTCAACATCACCAATCATTAGAGAAATGCAAATCAAAACCACAGTGAGATACCATCTCATACCCGTCAGAATGGCAATTACTAAAAAGTCAAAAAAATAACAGATGCTGGTGAGGTTGTAGAGAAAAGGAAACGTTTATACACTGCTGATGGGAATGAAAATTAGTTCAGCCATTGTGGAAAGCAGTTTGGCGATTTCTCAAAGAACTTAGAACTACCATTCAACTCAGCAATCCCATTATTGGGTGTGTACCCAAAGGGATAGAAATTGTTCTACCACAAAGGCACAGGCATATGTATGTTCATCACAACACTATTCACAATGGCAAAGACATGGAATCAACCTAAATGCCCATCAATGGTAGTAGACTGGATAAAGAAAATGTGGTACATATATGCCATGGAATACTACATAGTCATAAAATAGATTAAGATCATGGAGCTGGAGGTCATTATCCTATGCGAATTAGTGCAGGAACAGAAAACCAAATACCATATGTACTCACATGTGGGAGATAAACTATCACAAGTGGGAGATAAAGATTGAGTACACATGGACACAATGAAGGTAACAATAGACAACACAGCCTACTTGAGGGTGGAGGGTGGGAGCAAGGTGAGGATAAAAAAACTACCTATGCTTATTCCCTGGGCAATATGCTACCTGGGTGATGAAATAATCTGTACACCAAACCCCTGTGACATGCAATTTACCTGTATAACAAACCTGCACATATACCCCAGAACCTAAAATAAAAGCTAAAAATAAATAAATAAATAAAGTGGGAATAATGACATAGGGTTATTGGGAGGATTTAATGGCATAATATGTAGAAAGTACTTAACACAGGGCCTGGCACATATTTAGTGTCAATAAGTTAGCTATTATTAGTTAAATTTTTAAAAAACTCTATCTGATCATCTGATTATAGCAGTCAGGCTCATCTTCAACATATGTGGGGCCAGGGCTAGAGTACAAATGGTCTAAATATTTAAAATTATAACTAAGTGGCATGCGTTGTAGTCCCAGCTATTTGGGAGACTGAGGCAGGAGGATTGCTTGAGCTAAGGAGCTTGAGGCCAGCCTTGGCAACATAGGAACCCTATCTCTATTAAAACAACAACAACAACAACAAAAATTAGCTGGGCCTGTTGGCTCATGCCTGTAGTTTTAGTTACTTGGGACACTGAAGTAGGAGGATTGCTTGGGCCCAGAAGTTTGAGGCTGCTATGATTGCACACCACTGCACTGCAGCCTGGGTAACAGTGAGACTCTGTCTCTAAAAAAAAAAATTAAAAAAAATAATAATAACAAAATAGAAAATTATAAATCAAGCTGCAAAATACATTTTTTCTCCCCCTACATTGACAAATACGACTTCATAATGGAAATTTTCTTTTTAAGTTGGAAAACTATAGTTTTTATCTGACTGAAAGTCTACAAAATATCAAGAATAACTGAATTCAGGTATTACTGTGTACGTGCTATTGATGGCCCAGAAATATTTGAATGAGTGATAAAATAAAGACATATATCATGAGTCATTACATATTTCATAAATTTTTTTTCTTTCACAGCAAGAAAAAAACTAATTATCTAATTGCAATTAAAGTATGCAAATAATTTACATTCCATTGATATGATCCAAAAGATTAAAACATAAAATTATATTCAAAAAGTATCAAATTTTAATATATTTCCATCAAAAATGTAAAATGAAAGTAAATGTAATAGTTAAAGTTGAATATTTTTGAAAAAAATTTTTAAAGCATGAAAAATATTTACATTAAAAGGCAAAGTAGAGGGTCGGGCATGGTGGCTCATGCCTGTAATCCTAGCACTTTGGGAGGCTGAGGTGGGCGAATCTCAAGAGATTGAGACCATTCTGGCCAACATGGCGAAACCCTGCCACTACTAAAAATACAAAAATTAGCTGGGCGTGGTGGCGTGTGCCTGTAGTTGCAGCTACTCAGGAGCCTGAGGCAGGAGAATCACTTGAACCCAGGAGGCGGAGGTTGCAGTGAGCCAAGATCGTGCCACTGCATTCCAGCCTGGCTACAGAGTGAGACTCCATTTCCAAAAAAAAAAAAAGGGTTAGGCGAGGTGGCTCATGCCTGTAATCCCAGCACTTTGGGAGGCTGAGGCGGGCGATGGTTCACCTGATGTCAAGAGTCCAAAACCAGCCTGGCCAGCATGGTGAAACCCTGGCTCTACTAAAAATACAAAAATTAGCCAGGCATGGTGGCAGGTGCCTGTAATCCCAGCTAATTGGGAAGCTGAGGCAGGAGAATCTCTTGAACCCAGGAGGCGGAAGTTGCAGTGAGCCGAGATCGTGAGATTGCACTTCAGCCTGAGCAACAGAGCGAGACTCCGTCTCAAAAAAAAAAAAAAAAAAAAAAAAGGCAAAGTAGAAATTATAAATTAATGAGTGTAAAAATTATAGATGAAATTATTTCAGTAAAGTTACATTTTTTGTTTAAAATTTTAACAGTGGAGTTAAATCATAATAAATACTTTTACAAAAATAAACTATTCAGTATTCTAGCATTCACCGTTTTAACTTAGTTGCCAATACAAATAATCAGTACTACATGCACTTATTTCATGCCTAAAATTACAAATCATATCTTCAAGATGTCAATCATGACATTGGGTTATGGATAGTTGATACGTGATGGTTCTACTACAGCCTAACCACATGGTGACATTTTATTATGTGATTCGTGTAATTCATGAAGAGTTTAGGAACCACAAATGAAAGAAATAAAATGAAAAGAAAAGCTCAGCATGACAGGGAATGATACTATGCGAAACAAAAATCTGTTTTATTCATGCTCTCTGGGAGGAAGAAATTGACAAGTTAATTAATTTGCTTTTTCTCTTCCTAATGGTCCCTACCACTAAAATGCTCTCTGCCCTCTGAAGCTGTGTCCATCTCTGATGTTGGCAGCAGCAACCCAAAAACCTTTATGACCTTCAGGACAGGTAGCCTTTGTTTTGAGGATAAAAGGTAAGAAATATGGAAAAGTGTTCCCTAGGGCTTGAGCAGCGTTGGTGCCAGGAGCAGATGTTTAGGATTAGGGGTAGTGATATGCCAGTGCTGAGCACCAGGTCCCATGTGACAAAGGAACACACATGTTCTTTAAGAAGTGTGTATGTGTGTGTATTAGTCTGTTCTCATGCTTCTATAAGGAACTACCAAGAGGTCTAATTGACTCACAGTTCTGCAGGCTGTACAGGAAGCATGGCTGGAAGGCCTCAGGAACTTACCATCATAGCGGAAGGTGAAGCGGAAACAAGCATGTGTTACCATGGCCTAGCAGGAGACAGAAAGAATAAAGGGGAAGCGCTACACACTTTTAAAGCAACAAGATCTCATGAGAACTCATATACTATCATGAGAACAGCAAGGGGGAAGTCTGCCCCCATGATCCAATCACCTCCCACCAGACCCCTCCTCCAACATGTGGGGATTACAATTTGGCCTGCGATTTGGGTGGGGACACAGAGCCAAACCATATCAGTGTGTGTGTGATATTATGGGGTCACCCTTCTCTTTCCCAGGTCTGAGGGCAATATGGAAAGGAATACCCTGGATAATTGACTGATTGATAGGTCATCTGGGGTATTTGCATTGCAAATAAGCACTTCTGCGTAGTCCCCAAAGAAGCCCTGGGATGAAGGGGGCCTTAGAAGGTGGTTTTGAACTGAGAGACTTCTTGCCTACATTGGCCCTTTCTGCCCGCCACACATCAGAAGAATGAGGTTCAGCAGCTGGGCATCTCATTCTGAGCCTGCACTCTGTACACTTTTGCTAAGGAAAAGTAGAGTCACATTGGTTAAGAAAATACATAGCAATCAAGTGTCTTAATTCTTTTTTTTTTTTGAGATGGAGTTTTGCTCTTGTTGCCTAGGCTGGAATGCAATGGCGTGATCTCGGCTCACCGCAATCTCTGCTTCCCGGGTTCAAGCAATTCTCCTGCCTCAGCCTCCCATGTAGCTGGGATTACAGGCGCACGGCACCATGCCCAGCTGATTTAGTATTTTTAGTAGAGATGGGGTTTCTCGATGTTAGCCAGGCTGGTCTCGAACTCCCAATTTCAGGTGATCTGCCCGCCTTGGCCTCCCAAAGTGCTGGGATTACAGGTGTGAGCCACCATGCCTGGCCTAAGTGTCTTAATTCTTAATTACCTAATAGCAGAGTTTCAGGAGAGTACTTTGACAAATAACTTAATAATAAACATATCAGAATGAAACAACTAATAGAAAAGGATAAGATCCTGATCTTCAGAAAATGCCAACACTTTTGTTTTTCTAAGTCATGAAAGAAATCATCAAGATATACTGCTCATAAAATGTCTACACATAAAGGTACCATTTATGAGCACAATACAACAGCCTAAGCCCTCCGATAAAAACTGAAGGAAGTGTAGAATTCTCATTTTATAGAGAAGGAAATGGAGGCACAGAGAGGCTAACTGGCTTGCACACGGTCATACAGCTGCTAAGTGGCAGGGGCAGTATTCCAAGCCAGCCACGTCCAGATTGTGACTGTGTAACCACCATGGCATACCAGCCCTTTGCTCTCTTCCACCATACATCCAAAGGAATCAGATAGTCAACATTAGCAAAGAAAAATTCCGTGGGACCCCTAGCTGACCATCTTTCTTCTGTGCACCCTTCAGTTTCCCCCAAAAGACAAATAAGTCTTTTTAGCACCATGTAAACATTTAATAAGCGTGTGTTAAATTTTCAGTTACAAAGTGTAAAGCAACATTTGCAGGCCTACCTTTCCTGTTGGGTAAAAACCTGACCACTGAACCATGGACTACCTCTTCCCTCTAATTGCAAAATGTTGACTTACTTCATCTTTTGAAGACCAATGATCTTTGCAAGGTTACTGTATGTTTAAAAAAAAAAGTGCCTTCAGGGCCTTGAGTCATAAGATGGGAAAACATGTTGAAGTGTTACAAAAATATTGACAGTATCTCTATGATTTTTCAGTATCTTTATGATTAATGAGATTTTAGGGCTGGACATGGTGGCTCACACCTGTAATCCTAGCACTTTGGGAGGCCAAGGTGGGCAGATTGCCTGAGCTCAGGAGTTAGAGACCAGTATCCTGGGCAACATGATGAAACACTGCCTCTACTGAAATACACACACAAAAAAAAAAAAAAAAAAAAAAAATTAGCCGGGAGTGGTGATGTGTATCTGTAGTCCCAGCTACTGGGGAGGCTGAGGCATGAGAATTGCTTGAACCCAGGAGGTGGAGGTTTCAGTGAGCCGAGATCACACCACTGCACTCCAGCCTGGGCAACACAGCAAGCAACTGTCTCCAAACAAAACAAAACAAAAAACCAAGATTAATGAGATTTTAAATAGCTTTACTGAGATATTTTTCACATACCTTAAAATTCACCCATTTAAAGTGTACAGTTCATTAGTTTTTAATATATTCAGAGTCGTGTCACCATTACTACAATCTAACTTTAGAACATTTTCAACGCCCTAAAGAGAAACCCATATCCATCAGCAATCACGCCCTATTTCTTCCCAACCCAGCAACCACAAATCACCTTCTGTCTCTAAGGATTTACTTAATTTGAATATTTCATGTGAAAGGAGTCAAACAATATATGGTCTTTTGTTACTGGCTTCTTGCACTTTGCATAATGTTTCAAGGTTCATCTGGTTGTAGCAGTTATCAGTACTTGATTTTTCTTATGGTCAAATAATATTCCATTATATGGATATATAATTTGTTTATGCTTTCATCTGTTAAGTGTTTAGGTTGCTTCAACTTTTTGTCTATTATGAATAATACTGCTATGAATATTTGTGTACAATTTTTAGTGTGGATGTAGGTTTTCATTTCTCTTGGGTATATACCAAGAAGTATAAACCCTGGATCATATGACTTTATGATAGCTCTATGTTTAACCTTTTGAGAAACTGCTAAACTTTTTTTCAAAGTAGCTGTACCATTTTACTTTCCCACCAGAGAGTATGAGGATTCCAATTTCTCCATTTGTTTGCCATCACTTGTCTTGATTTTAACCATCCTAATGGATGTGAGGTAGTATTCGATTGTGGTTTTGATGTGTATTTCCTTAAAGTCTAATGATGCTTTTCTTTGGATAAACGTGTTTTCAAATCTTTTGCTCATTTTTAAATTGGGCTATTTATCTTTTTATTACTAAGTTGCACGGGTTCCTTATAAATTCTAGGTACAATTTCTTTCTCAGATATATGTTTGCAAATATTTTCTCCAATTTTGTAAGTTTTCATTTCCTACTTTGATAGTGTTCTTTGAGGCATAAATGTTTTATTTATTTATTTATTTATTTTTATGACATAGGGTCTCACTCTGTTGCCCAGGCTGGAATGAAGTGGCATGATCATAGCTCACTGTAGCCTTGACCTCCCAGGCTCAAGTGATGCTCCCACCTCAGCCTCCCAAGTAGCTGGGACTACAGGTGTGTGCCACCGTGCCCAGCTAATGTTTTGTATTTTTGTGGAGATGGGATTTCACCATGTTGCCCAGACTGGTCTCAAACTCCTGGGCTCAAGTTATCTGCCTGCCTTGGCCTCACAAAGTACTGGGATTACAGGTGTGAACCACTGCGTCTGGCCAATGTTTTTAATCTTGATAAATTCAAATTTATCTATTTTTTTTTCTTCTGTTGCTTGTGCTTTTGGTGTCATACCTAAGAAGCCATTACCTAACCCCAGGTGACCAAAGATTTTCTTCTGTTTTCTTCTAGGAATTTTATAGTTTTAACTCATACATTTAGATCTGTAACACATTTCAAATTAATTTTTGTGTATGGTGTGAGAGAGGGGTTCAACTTTATTCTTTTGCATGTGGGTGTTCAGTTGTCCCAGAACCATTTGTTGAAAAGACTGCTTTTCTTTATTGAATTGTCTTGGTATCATTTCAAAAATCAATTGGCCATAAATGTGAGGTTTTGTTTCTGAACTTTCAATTCTATTCTGTTGATCTCTACGTTCATACTTCTAGCAGTACCATGCTTTTTTTTTTTTTTTTGAGATAGAGTATGGCTCTGTCACCCAGGGTGGAGTGCAGTGGCATGATCTCAGCTCACTGCAACCTTTGCCTCCCGGGTTCAAGCAATTCTCCTGTCTCAGCCTCACAAGTAGCTGGGATTACAGATATATGCCACCACACCTGGCTAATTTTTGTATTTTTTAGTAGAGACAGGGTTTCACCATATTAGTCAAGCTGGTCTCAAACTCCTGACCTCAGGTGAACCATCTGCCTTGGCCTCGCAAAGTGCTGGGATTACAGGCATGAGCCACCACGCCCAGCCCCTTCTTTATTATTGAATATGTTCTGTCCTCTCCCCAGGCATTCTGAACATCGCTTCCTTTGGACCTCACTGTTCTCAGTACATATTCCTACCCTTGCCTCTGTCACTCTACCATTTCCTTAAATTTGCTAATATGCCTGTCACTCCAACTAGATTGTGCTCCTTGAGGGCAAGGACTATAATCTTACCTGTCTCTATAACTCCAGGTCCAGGAATTCAAAGTGTGTTAAGTGAATGAATTGGATACATTTGGTATATATGAACTCCTGTGGGTAGAAGAGCACACTCTTGGGAGGCTGAGGCAGGAGGATTGCTTCTTTCACTCAGGAAGCAGAGGTTGAAGTGAGCCAAGATGGTACTACGGCACTACAGCCTGGATGACAGAGAAAAACCCTTCACAAAACAGAACAAAGAAAAAAACAAAACAAGAAAAAGGAGAACACACTCAAATTTTACAACTGTTAACCCTGCAAGGCACATCTGCGGGCGTGTTTTTCTTTTACAAACTGAGGAGGAGCTTTGGTCATTATTGGATTTGTGGATAGGTATTGGTTTATTAACAGTCTTGTTGGGCTTTATACATACCTACTTAAAATAAGTTTATTTCAGGACCTGAATTTTCTCAAATGCTTGAATGCATTGATTAAATAAACCCATGACTGTCAAAACTCCTCTTTTCCTGCAACTCTATGGAAATTGACCTAGACTCTCATTCAACCCCCAGCAAATTTTGTTCTCATTTGTGCAAAAGCCACTTTTCTCGAACCACACTTGGGCTCTTTATATCCTCTGATACCTTTGGATGAATAGGTGGAAGATGCTCGTGTGTTTCAGATGTTTTTACCCTTACTGTCTCACTTCCTGGCTCAGACCAAAATATCTCTGGACTGAAGACAGACCAAGAGCTGACCTAAGAACATCGATCCTGCCCATTTTGGACTACATGGCTTTTTATAGTCATCTCCATCAGCATGAGCATAATTAAGAGCATCCCTAGACTGAAGAGTGTTTTGTTCTTTCCACAAAATTGCTTAGCTGGACAGAACTTTTTTCTTCCATGTTCTTCAATTGCCTCAAAAGATTATGGGGGTGGGGTTGGGGGGTGGATCCCTTTCTTAAGAGGAGGAGCAAGACTGTCTTTTTGACCGAGGATGATTTCTCACTATAACATTTAATATGCAATTCACTGATTCTAATGAACAAAACTGACATATATTTCCAATGTAATATGAAGATTAGGAATCATCTACTTGAAACTACTTTACACATCTCTATTTTGCAAAGGACCCTTCATATCACTTTTAACCACAAAGCCACTGCAGAAGGCCTTGCGTGCCCTCCCCTGCCTCCGCACCCTTGTTTCAGAGTCCAGAGGTCATATGCAAAGCATTTCGTTTGTGAAATCAAGAATTCTCTTCCCCTCTACTTTAGATATAAACTTTTTTTTTTTTTTTTTTTTTTTGAGACAGAGTCTTTCTCTGTTGCTCAGGCTGGAGTGAAGTGGCACCATCTCTACTCTCTGCAACCTCTGCCTTCCAGGTTCAAGTGATTCCCCTGCCTCAGCCTCCTGAGTAGCTGGGATTACAGGCACCTGCCACCATGCCTGGCTAATTTTTGTATTTTTAGTAGAGGCAGGGTTTCACCATGTTGCCCAGGCTGGCCTCGAGCTCCTGACCTCAGGTGATCTGCCTGCCTCAGCCTCCCAAAGTGCTGGGATTACAGGCATGAGTCACCACACCCAGTCCTACTTTAGTCATAAACTTTTTGTATTAAAGCATCCCTAACTGGGCTGGGCATGGTGGCTCATGCCTGTAATCCCAGCACTTTGGGAGGCTGAAGCGGGTGGATCATGAGGTCAGGAGATCCAGACCATCCTGGCTAACATGGCGAAACCCCATCTCTACTAAAACTACAAAAAAAGTTAGCCGGGCATGGTGGCTGGCGCCTGTAGTTCCAGCTACTCGGAAGGCTGAGACAGGAGAATGGTGTGAACCCGGGAGGTGGAGCTTGCAGTGAGCCAAGATCGCGCCACTGCACTCCAGCCTGGGTGACAGAGCGAGACTCCATCTCAAAAAAAAAAAAGCATCCCTAACTGCTCATTCTGCTGTCAAAATCGATGCGGGGTCAAAACAGAAAAATTTCAGAAGAGAATTTAGAGCTACAGCCTGTGAGAAACAGCAAAAAGTGAAAACCAAAGACCTGCTTAGGAAAACCCTCATTGAAGAGATGGGGAGGAAGGGCCTGAGCCCCCTACTCCATTCCACAATCATGTAAGTCATTCTTCTTTCTCTTGCCCTGGGGACAGAGAGAGGCCAGCAGCCTTACTCTGATGTCATTTATTTCCCATAGAAACATAAAAAGACTCACCAAAGTACTTTTTTTTTTTTTAGATGGAGTTTTGCTCTTGTTGCCCAGGCTGGAGTGCAATGGTGCAATCTCAGCTCACTGCAACCTCTGCCTCCCGAGTTCAAGTGATTCTCCTGCCTCAGCCTCCTGAGTAGCTGGGATTATAGGCATGCAACACCATGCCTGGCTAATTTTATATTTTTAGTACAGACGGGGTTTCTCCATGTTGGTCAGGCTTGTTGTGAACTCCCAACCTCAGGTGATCCGCCCGCTTCAAACTCCCAAAGTGCTGGGATTACAGGCGTGAGCCACCGTGCCCGGCCCAAAGTACTTTTAGTCAGATAATGTTGGGAAACAAGGGTCAACGTTCAATAAGCAAGGTCAGTCTGATTTCATCATTGCAGACCAGGGAGACTAATTTCCTTATGTGCATTGTGATTCTCGAGGGAGAACATGTTGTATGGTTTTCTCTAAAGGCATTTGGCCATGTAGCATTTTCTTCCCAGATCAGCTCTTCTTAAGGTTAGTGTTCCAAGGTGCAAGCTTTGAGAAATGCTGCCTGACAACTTTTACAAAAGTCTAAACCCTGGGTGTGCATGTTAATTCGTATTTCTCTATCCACACCTGGGAACCCGCCTCTCAAAGCAGTCACTTCCAAGAAGGAGGAATGTTTGTGCTGTGTAGGGCATCTGTGGTTTAATTCAGGGAATTGTCACCATGCTATTTGGCCAAAGCTAAGCCACATCCTCTAATATAGCTTTTTCAGTAATAAAGATGATATTTTTATTTCCATTTGTCTAAATACTTTGTCCTCAATTTGTTCAAAACTCAGGCAGAATTTCTTTTCTGGAATCAAAATTCCA
Organism: Homo sapiens; assembly: GCF_000001405.40. NCBI lineage: Eukaryota > Metazoa > Chordata > Mammalia > Primates > Hominidae > Homo > Homo sapiens. The sequence continues at coordinate 117,405,514 of NC_000010.11, forward strand.
ACAGGGACTGGGCATGGTGGTTCACGCCTGTAATTCCAGCACTTTGAGAGGCCGAGGCATGTGGGTCACTTGAGGTTGGGAGATGAAGGCCAGTCTGGCCAACAGGGTGAAGCCCCATCTCTATTAAAACTACAAAAATTAGCTCGGTGTGGTGGTGTATGCCTGTAATCCCAGCTACTCCAGAGGCTGAGGCAAGAGAATCGCCTGAACCCAGGAGGTGGAGGTTGCAGTTGAGCCAAGATCATGCCACTGCACTCCAGCCTGTGCAACAGAGTGAGACTCCACCAAAAAAAAAAAAAAAAAAAAAAAAAAAATTCCAACAGGGACCATGAAGCTGGGGTTCCTCTGGACACATTTTGAAAACCACTGCTGGAGGCTTATGCAATGCCAGAATGGAGATTTTTGCCATTTGCCGGTAAAAGAAGCTGCGTGAGGCTTCCTGCCAGGTCTCTGACCCCGTGTGGAGGTAAAAGAAAATGATGCAAACAAAAGCAAAGAAACAACAAGATCAAATTAAGAACTGATGGAGGGCTGGGTTTGGTGGCTTACACCTGTAATCCCAGCACTTTGGAAGGTTGAGGCAGGTGGATCACTTGAGACCAGGAGTTCAAGATCAGCCTGGCCAACATGGTGAAACCTTGTCTCTACTAAAAATACAAAAATTAGCCAGGCGTGGTGGTGTGCACTTGTAATCCCAGCCACTCAGGTGGCCAAGGCATGAGAAATGGTTGAACCCAGGAGGCAGAGGTTGCAGCTAGCCGAGATTGTGCCACTGCACTCCAGCCTGGGCAACAGAGTGAGACTCCATCTCAAAAAAAAAAAAAAAAAAAAAAAAATGAAAACAGGCCAGACGCGGTGTCTCACGCCTGTAATCCCAGCACTTTGGGAGGCCGAGGCGGACAGATCACGAGGTCAGGAGATCCAGACCATCCTGGCTAACATGGCGAAACCCCATCTCTACTAAAAATACAAAAAATTAGCTGGGCGTGGTGGCGGGCGCCTGTAGTCCCAGCTACTGGGGAGGCTGAGGAAGGAGAATAGCGTGAACCTGGGAGGCAGAGCTTGCAGTGAGTCGAGATTGTGCCACTGCACTCCAGCCTGGGCGACAGAGTAAGACTCCGTCTCAAACAAAACAAAACAAAACAAAACAAACAAACAAACAAAAACAAACGAAAACAAAGAATGATGGAGGCAGGGAGACCTGACCAAGTCCAGGAGAGAGATGCTGGGAACCTAATCCAGGGCAATGAGGGCTAGGGAGAGGGGAAGTCACTGAGAGGCGGATAGGTAGGCAGGACTTGATGCCCGATGGCTCTGGGGCAGAGGGCGGAGGGGAGCTGAGGAAGACGTCCAGGTGGCTGACTTGGATGACTGTGTGGATGGAGCTACATGAGGAGGAATGGAGGGGGAAGGAAGGTTGTAATTTTGATCTGAACTCCGTGTCCTCAACTCTTAGGGAGAGAGGAGGAGGGGAAGCAGTACTATTGGCAATTAGTAGGAAGAGGGAAATTATGAGTACAGTGTGAGGCTTTTGAAAGGAAATCCTCTCTGGGGTTGGGGTGGAAAATTACTAAGGTGAAAAACTTGCCTAGGGAAGCTTTAAGCTTTCTCTCTAGGGGGCTGCTTTACTTCACTTCCCTTCCAGACTCACAGCTTGGGAGGTGAGATGGGCAGCTTCTCAAGTAAGAAGAGCATTCCAATTCAAGGGGTGCTTTGTCAACTTAAGTTTCCAATTGCCATTCTGTTGTCCACATGTGTCATGTTTCTTTAAGTTATTGGGAGTAGATCTGTAGGGGCTGATCCCCCTGGGCCTGCAGGAGCTGGAATATCTGAGACTTTGTCTCACTGACTTCAGCAGGTTATATCCATGAGAAGCCTTGGTTAGTGGGATCGGCCTTCCTCTAATTTCTGCACTGTCTCCCTCAAGGAGGAGCTGTAAAGATCACGTGAGATAACAAACATAGTGCACCAAATGTATTGACTGGCACTTGGCCGGTGCTGCCCGCACTAGATCTTCTTTTAATATCCATAGCCCGCAAAATGCCAGATCTTGAAAAAGGCCATCCTGGTGGCTTAAAGCACTGACCTACTTGGGTGTGACTCCTGGGGATAATAATCCCACCATCAAAAGATCATGGTAAAGATTCGAAGTGACATGCCATATAAAGAGCTTAGTACAGGCCGGGCGTGGTGGCTCACATCTGTAATCCCGGCACTTTGGGAGGCCAAGGTGGGCAGATCACCTGAGGTCAGGAGTTCGAGACCAGCCTGGCCAACATGGTGACACCACATCTCCACTAAAAATACAAAAATTAGCTGAGCATGGTGGTGCATGCGTGTAGTCCCAGCTACTTAGGGGACTGAGGCAGGAGAATCTCTTGAATCCTGGAGGCAGAAGTTGCAGTGAGCTGAGATCCTGCCACTGCACTGCAGCCTGGGCAACAGAGCAAGACTCTGACTCAAAACAAACAAACAAAAAAAAGCCAAGTGCAGCAGCTGGCACCTAGCAGTACATCACAGTGGCCATTACATTATAATTATTCTCATCAATCCAAAAGAGACTGGAGAAGGTGTGACTTCAGATGTGATAGACCAAGGCTTCACTCTATCCCAGAATATTCAAAAACAAAATGCCACAAAACACTTTTCCCATTAAAAAAAACTCCAATTGCCTTATTCACATATCATCCTTCAGAATCTATAAACAGTTCGTATTGTGGGCTGTGCATCAGCTGATCACTCACACTTTGCAAGGCTGCTCAGGAATATTCGGTAAACTCATCTTAGGGCCCAGTGGGCTGTAAGGTATAGTGAGTTAAATGGTGGCCTCCAGAAAGATATGTCCAACTCCTAACTTCTGGTCCCTATAAATGTGACATTATTTGGAAAAAGGGTCTTTGCAGATATAGTTAAGGATCTAGATCATCCTGGATTAAATAGATGACAAGTGATGAGAGAGGAGAGGAGAAGACACAGGGACAAGAGGAGACGGTCATGTGAAGATGGAGGCAGGACTGGAGTTGTGCAGCCACTAGCCAAGGAATATCTGGAGCCACCAGAAGCTGGAGGAAGCAAAGAATAATCTTCCCACAGAGGCTTAGGAGGGAGCATGGCCTTCTGATGCCTTGATTTCAGGCTTCCGGCCTCCAGAACTGTGAGATAATAAGTTTCTGTTGTTCTAAGCCACCCAGTTTGTGGCAGTTTGTTACAACAGCCGTGGTTAGCTAATTTACAAGGAACAGAAACACACTTAAACTAACTTTGAGAACCAAAAAGGTGGAGGAAGGGCACTTTCTAGGAGGACTCGAGGGAATATTATGAATTCCAAGCACAGGAAGTTCAGGCTGGCCTCATAATGGACAAGGCTCAGAACCTAGACAGTTGGGAATGGGGTGGCTGTCATGACACCTGATCATTCCTCGTTTGTCATTTCTCTCTCTCTATGCCTGCAGGCTGGCTCTCTTTGGTTCCTCACTCATGGGGCCAGTCCAGGCACCTTGAACCTGACCTGTCTTCACATCCCATTTCAAGTGCCTAAGAGAAAGGCATATGGCTCTGTGGCCTGATTCCAAATTCCAGGGAGAGAAACTCACTCAACCTTGGTCCAATCAACTCTTGCTAAGGGATGAGCTCTTGTGTCTGGAGGCCTTTGTCCAAGGGTATCTGTTGCTGTCAGATACCCTTGGAAGTTCCTACTTGAGGGCCAAAGATAATTTTGAAGGGCAGAAAACCAGCCAGCTAAGTTCCATTCAGCCACCAACTTGACAGGTCAGGGAGAATCTAACCTTCTTTTCAAATCTTCCTTCCTGCTTTAGAAAATGTCCTTAGCCTTCTAACTTTCTGTCTCTGCCAACTCTTCCCTTTGATATAACCGCATCATATTACTGAGAAGGAAAAAGCAGAAAAGCCATCCATTTAGATTTTCTTTCTGTTCTAAGCATGAAGTTAATCCACTGGAACAAAAACATTATTGATTTTTATCTGTTATAGTCTTCTCCCTGAAACAACAAATGTGTACTACTATTGGTATAATATTTGGCTTGTTTTGGATGTAGACCTTAATAAAAATTACGGTTCATTATTTTTTCATATTGCCTTTGCATGGCTCCTTTAGACTCAGTGGCACATGACACGTTTGGAAGTTGAAAGACTTTATATTTGACTATAATGCTTTTGATCAACAGAGCAAAGCCTGAAACAAAACCCAAAGCCAAACCAGGCAGGGGTGTGGGGACAACAGGAGAAACAGGTTCTGGGGAGAGTCCCTTTCCTTGATGTTCATTCAAAAATCAGTGAGAGTTTGTTGAGTGCATAACTAAGTTCTGGGCATTTAGCTAAAGATAGGATTACAGAGGTGAAAAAGCTGGACTTCTATTTCCCACATGGAGCTTATAGCCGAGGGAGAGGCAGGCAGAGATAAAGGAAAATGATGCAAATAAATGCATATTTGCAAGCTTTAACAAAGGCTATGGAGGAACAGTGCTTTGGCACGATGAGAGTGAGTATGAGCAACTCGGGCAACCAGCCTGAGGGGGCAGGGAAGGCTTCTCTGAGGAAGGCTATTTCCTTGAGATCTGAAGGGTGAGTAGGTGTTTAAGTGGGTGAAGTGGAGAGGTAGAGGTTGGGAGGTGGGGCATCTTCCAGACAAAGGGAACTTTGAGTATAGATATTCATTATGCCATTCCTGTAGGAACCCATAAAATGTAAATCTACACACACACACACACACACAGACCCACAGAATCATGGAGGAATGAGCCATCAGGCAGCTGTGCTCTGCTTTTTTTGCCATCTGCAGGTAGAAGAGGCTACTTGAGGCTTTCTGCCAGGCCTCTGACCCCATGTGAATCTCCCTGGATCATTTTAAGAGGATCCTGAAATCCTTGGTCCTGTGGAGTACCCCCAGGGCTCTCCCTGTGTCAGCCTCAACTACAGTGTATCAAGGAGCTCTCAAAAGAGCCTCAGCAAACAGAAAACAGGACACTTTATCAGAAAGAAAATTAATTTGGAGCTGTCTTTAGTTTTACCGTGTCTCTAAAGGGAGAAGATGGGATTCTTTGGGCATAAGGAGACGCCCACCTGGAATCTTCCCATCTGAGCTCTACCCATTGAGGTCTGCCCATCTGAGAGCTGCTCAGTGAGGTCTGCCCATCTGAAAGCTACCCATGGAGGTCTGCCCATCTGCCAGCCCAGCTGAGGGTTGCCCATCAAGATCTGCTTATCTGAAATCTGCCCATCTGAGGTCTGCCAGCCCTTCTGAGAAGGCCACCTGGAGGAATAAGTTTATCATCCCAGGAGCAGGAATCAACGTGGGATAAAATAGAGGACATGAGCAGAGGGCACCTGGCTTCTCCCCAGGACACCTTCTTGGCCGTTTCTAATGAACTGCTCCTTTCTGTGTGTCGCAGGACTTGGGGTGCACCTCTCTATCACAGCCTGCTATATAATGCTTTACCTACCTGTCTGTCTCCCCAAATAGTTGCTGGGTTCCTTGAGGGACTATATCTTTTTCAGTTTCTGTTCCATGCCTACTGTCTGGTATCTACATGATCAGCATTCAATCAATATTTCTTAAAGGCAGGAATACATTAATTATTAATTTTTACTCTGCTATCAGTCCCCAGGCATTTTGGGGCTGAACAGTGTTACTTAAAAATAGGTAAATGGGATTAAATTAATGGTATTATTCACATGGCCTTGCACATAGCTCAATCATGACATGTCGAATGGGCGGTTATCAATATCTCTGTGTTAATCCTCTGAAACTTACATGTAGCACAATTTATTTCTTAATGGCATTGATTTTGTAACAAGGCAGCATTTTGGGGGAGCATTCACACATCCCTAAGCTGATTATTTCAGTGAGTCAGAGATCTTTTCAATTACCATTCTCTTTGTACATAAGAGTCTATATTTCTGCCCCCTCATTAAAGAAAGGATGTTGGTCCTTTGGTTGGCACCAACCGTTGTAGGTCAGGACAATTTTTTATTTTTATTTTTTGTATTCAGGAAACAAAGGCTAAAAGTCCTTCAGCAATGGCAGTTGAGGTTTCTGTATCTCCTCCTTACATAATGAGTCCTGCCAGTTAGGACTGCACGAGGTGGGAGGAGGTGGCAGCTAGCCAGGAAGGCCTGTGGCATTTTGATAAACAGACATCAATATTTATCAGAGCTGCTCCGGTGTGCTTCCTTGGCTGCAGGAACAGGGAGCCCTCCCTGGGCTTGTATATTGTTTTCTCTGTATGAGATAAATGTTTGGGGCCATTAAAGAAAAAAAAATGTTTGTACTCTGCTCCCCAGTTACCTAAGCTAATTTACCTCACTAGGAGGTCTTGTAGTTCATTAATAATATACAAATACAAATCAAGGGAAGAAATTGCCTTGTTAATTGACTTTTGCGATGGTAATCTAAGACTCATTGACTTTAAACATTGCCCAACAACTGTGTTTATACCACACTGGAAGGATCAACTTTGGAGAATGCAGAAAGCTACCCAAAGCAGATACTTGAAATCATTGCTGCTTGGCTTTGTAAACAGACACCCATCTCCATTTGTTCTCTTTAGGCATCTGGAGGTAGAAGACAGAAAAGAGACTAAGAGCGGGGAATAGACTCAACCATTCTAGAATACAGCCCGGATGTGTTACAGGATCCTGCCCTGGAGTCCTCGCGCAATCAATGTTTATGCTGTGCTCTGCTGGGCTGTGCTGGGCTGGCCTGGGCTGTGCTGTGCTGTGCTGTGCTGTGCTGTGCTGTGCTGTGCTGTGCTGGGCTGTGCTGGGTTGTGCTAGGCGGTACTAGGTGTTGCTAGGCTCCTGCCCCATCACAAATGGTTGCAACAAGATTGATTAGAAAGGGTACCATTAGATTCAGCTGACTGGTTCAATTAGGAGAAAGGTTCATCACTCTTAACACATCAAATCTCCCCCTATGTCAGTCTTTCACTGACATCAGGGGCTGGGCTTCTGTCTCCTCTTCTCTTCTCTGATCATTGCCTGTGCAGAAGACATGGAACTTTTGTCTGTTCATTAATAGAGTCCAGTGGTAAGTTTTCCCAGGCCAGCCCTGGTGGTCAAATGCTCTGGATTCGATGCCTATCCATTCTCTCCTCACCCTGCAACCACCGGTCCCCAATTCCTACAAGTCTGGAGCTGGTTTCAAGTTCATGAATGTGACCTAGAGAGTAGCAACCTCCCAGCCTCCGGCATAACCCATGTTCTCTCTGACTCTGCTTGGGCCACGTGGATAATAAATCTGGCTCCTCCTTGAAGCAGCCACTCACCCATCAGCATGGGCAGCCATGCAAATTTTCCTGCAGATTTCACAGGGGAGACAGAGCAGTTTGTAAGTTGCATGCTCCACAGCACACAGCCTTAATCCCCTTGTTTGATTTTTAAAATTCTCCCCAAGGCGCACCTTGATTGCTTTGCCTCTGGGACTCTTCCTTTCTGACCTGGCCCTTTGACATCTTTTAATTCCTCTCATTCATGCCTTTCTTGATTAAAAGAAGAAGAGAAAAAAAGCTAGATCTGGAGTGTGAAGCTTGAGATTCTTTTTTTCTGTTCTGTAAAATGGGGATGATAATAATTCCTACCTCATAAGGTGAGAGGGAGAATTAAATGAGAATTAAGTAAATATAAACTCTAAAGTAATGTTTTGCAAATATGACCCATGAAATCAATTTAATGGGTTGCTACCTGCATTAACATGAAGTAAAAAAGAATAGAAAATATCAGAGTGTATTGCATGTAGTAAGCATAAGTTTTGTGAGTCTTTTCTTCTGATTTTGTATGTGTATGTGCATGTGTGTGTATGTGTGTGTGACCACTGGCAATGTAAAATGGACTCTGCTGTGAGTTATGGTAAAAAAAAAAAGTTTGAAAAACATTTCTCTAAGAGTTACATGGTTTAGGTATTTGTCGTTAAAATTTGTCTTCAGCTTTGAAGTTGAAAGATCATTGTTGAAAAGATCAGAGATCCTCATTTACCCCCATTTAGGAGATGACGTGACCTCACACAAAAGACACAATCTGGCAGCCTGGGGATCTAATTCTGTTCAGGCAATTTTTATTAGCTCACAAACGTTTATTTTAAAAATTTGATCACGCCTGTAATCCCTGCACTTCGAGGGCCAAGGCGGGTGGATCACGAGGTCAGAAGATCGAGACCATCCTGGCCAACAAGATGAAACCCCGTCTCTACTAAAAATACAAAAATTAGCTGGGCATGATGGCGTGTGCCTGTAGTCCCAGCTACTCGGGAGGCTGAGGCAGGAGTATAGCTTGAACCAGGGAGTTGGAGGTTGCAGTGAGCAGAGATCGTGCCACCGCACTCCAGCCTGGCGACAGAGTGAGACTCCGTCTCAAAAACAAAATACAAACAAAAAAAAATTTGAATTAATTAGTATCATTTGAAAAGCAGGAGGTTGGATATAAACATCTAGATTTTTCATTTCTCATGGAAATTTGGAGATTTGGCCACATCATGTATCTTTCCTCATTTATCTCCTGTCTGGGCTCTGGAAACTTGCCAGGCTTTGACTCTTGGATGACTGTATGGGGCACAGTTCCTGCTCCTTCCTTGCCCTGGAATCTTTCTCAATCAATGTTTGTTTTAAAGAATCACAAAGCTGGAACGTCCCTACAGGTTCTCTGGGTTCAAACCCTCATTTGTCAGTGGAGGAAAGAGGATTAGGGAGGAGGAGGTGACTTACCCTATGTCATGTGGATCACCAGTGATGTGGGTGGGAAAAGAGCCCAGGTCTTCTTCCTCCTGGTTTAGTGCCCCTGTTCAGCCCTTGGGGACAAGTGGCCATCATCCTCCTCCTAAAAATTGAGACCTTCTTAAGAGATGTGTTTGATTCACCTCAAAGGTCATCAGCCCTTACTTTTCTTTCCTGTCTCAGCCAAGGCAAATGTTTACCTTGCAAAAGTGGAATTAGATCCAGAGTGGTTCCTCTTGGCTTACATGGTATTTAAATGTCTCTGTCTTTGTCCTCTGTGACTTTTCCTCATGGCCTTGCTGTGGTTGCAGCTGTTTTAAGAGATGCCTGCACAAAGTCATTCACCTAAGTGGGAGTTCAAAAAGGACACTTATTTTCAATGTTGGCTGGTTACTTTTTTAAAGCCTTTTACCGCAAGGTAGAGGAAAAACAGCTTGGGGTGCATTTTTTGTCAAGCATGGTCACAGATAATACCAGTATTAACAGTTTGACATATGTGTAATCCCCTGACTGTCCCAGAGAAAAGGTGCGGGGTAGCAGCCATGAGCCATTTGCAGAGGGGGATGCCACACTGCACTGGGCACTGGGCCAGGATTAGCCGATATTTTCAATTGTTTTAATTTTTTAAAATTTATTTTGCATTAGAAAATAGCCAAGCATAGGCTGGGCGCGATGGCTCACGCCTGTAATCCCAGCACTTTGGGAGGCCAGGGCGGGTGGATTACCTGAGGTCAGGAGTTCGAGACTAGCTTGACCAACATAAAGAAACTCCTTTTCTACTAAAAATACAAAATTAGCCAGGCATGACGGCACATGCCTGTAATCTTAGCTACTCAGGAGGCTGAGGCAGGAGAATCGCTTGAATCCGGGAGGCGGAGGTTGCAGTGAGCCGAGATCGTGCGATTGCACTCTAGCCTGGGCAACAAGAGTGAAACTCCATCTCAAAAAAAAAAAAAAAAGAAAGAAAGAAAATAAAATAGCCAAGCATACACAAGAGCAGACAAGATGGTAAAATGAACCTCCATACATCTATCACTCAGGGACTCAGCATTTATCAAGATTTTGCTACATTTGCTTTCTAGTCTCGTTTTTAACTTTTACTTTGATGTATAATTTGTACACAGTAAAATTCATCAACCAATTTAAAGTGTATGGTTTGATGAATTTTTAAACTTTTATTATTTTGAAATAATTTCATACTTACAGAAAGTTGTAAAATAATACAAAGAATTTCCATATACCCTTCACTAAGATTCCCCAAGTGTTAACATTTTATCATTCTTGTTTTTATCATTACTCATCAAACTTTATCCACATACACATTGTTAATATTTTTCTGAATACACACACTGTTAAAAAAACAATTATGCCAGGTGCAGTGGCTCACACCTGTTATCCCAATACTTTGGGAGGCTAAGGTGGGAGGATCACTTGAGCACGGGAGTTCAAGACCAGCCTAGGCAACATAGTGAGACCTTGTGTCTACTGAAAAAGAAAAAGTAGCCAGGCGTGGAGGCTGAAGTGGGAGGATCACTTGAGCCTGGGTGATGGAGGCTGCAGTAAGCTATGGTTGTGCCACTTCACTCTAGCCTGGATGACAGAGTGAGACCTTGTCTTAAAAAAAAGAAAGAAAGAAAGAAAGAAAGAAATAATTATTCAATGATACTTGTCAAAACACACTAAGGAACACTTTATTCAGGACCATAGGTATAGGGGCCACTGTAACAGGGTCTTGCAGTGAGAGAGAGAGATTGAACTTAATTCTGAATACAACATGGGCAGGTGGGAGTTTACAGCCCAGAAGCACTGTGGGGTCAATGGATGGAAAATTACTAAGAGGAAACAGCAAGGGTAAGGGAGATTCTAGCTAAACGAACCTAACACTATTCTTGCTAAAGATAGGCCAACTTGATCAGACATCACCTGCGGAATGCTGGAGGTTGGTCAGATGTCAAGGATAGGGGTTTCTTGCTAAACTGACTTAGTGAGGTTCTTTGCTAAAACTGGACCTTATAGGAAGCACACAGATGGGCCTAGGAGGAGAATCAGAAGCCTGAATAAAGTTTGGCTAAGCAAAGAATCTTTGTCAACATGCTATTATTATTTTTCTGAACCATTTGCAGGTTAATGAATTTTCACAAATGTTTATGTCCATGTTATCAGCACTCAAATCAAGTTGTAGAACATTTCCAGTACTCCAGAAAGTTCCCTTGATACCCTTTTCCAAAGGCAATCAATGATCTTATTTTTTTTAATCACCATAGATTTGTTCTGCCTCTTCCTGACCTTAATGTAAATGGAATAACTCCTGTCTTTATTTTTGCTGAATTACTTTAAAGCCTATCCTAGGCCTCATGTTATTTCATCTTTACATACTCAGTAAGTATTTCTAAAAGTTATAGGCATTTTCTTAAGTAATCATGATGCCATTGTGGTTATATAAAATGTCTTCATACCAACTGCCTATGATTATTTCCTTTTTTTTTTTTTTTGAAACAGAGTCTTGCTCTGTCACCCAGGCTGGAGTGCAGTGGCATGATCTTGGCCCACTGCAACCTCTGCCTCCTGGGCTCAAGCCATTCTCCTGTCTCAGCCTCCGGAGTAGCTGGGATTACAGGCATGTGCCAGCATGCCTGGCTAATTTTTGTATTTTTAGTAGAGATAGGGTTTCACCATGTTGGCCAGGCTGGTCTCCAACTCCTGACCTCCGGTGATCTTCCCACGTTGGCCTCCCAAAGTGCTGGGATTACAGGCATGAAACATCGCACCTGGCCAATTATTTCCATTTTACAGGTGAGTACACGAGCTCAAGGAGGTGGAAAAATGTGCTCAGGGTCACCCAGGAAGTGACTGCAGAAGCAGGCAATCTCCCTGCAGAGCCTTACTTGACACTGCTTAGTCTCTGCTGCTGTTCTCAGTGCGGGTCCCCGGCGGAGGTTTTGGCTGCCTGGGGGACCAAGGAGTGGCTGACATCTCTGACGACCCTTTCTTGTGCTTTGTGTGGTCCCTCTCAGCTGGGGCCCTATAACACATGGCAATCCATAAATGCACTCACAGTGGCCCTTTGAGCCCCCCAGCCCACAGGCACACTCACTTATGCCACTATTTTTAGAGATGCCGCCTGCTGCCTTTCAAAAGACCAAAGAAAGGAAATAGCCCTGCAGTGGCTAAACAGATGGAGACCTGGTGGATGTGTTTGAAGGCTGCTGAGAGCTTCTCATTCCCACAGTCTAGACTTCGGAAAGGTGCAGAGACAAGTTAAGCCATCAAAATGCAGAAAAGACATATTCCTTTCATATTTTAGATCATAGTTGCAAATGAGTCCTAATAACACACAAATCCCTATTTGTATAAAAACATGTAAGTAAAACTGACGGTAACCTGTTCTTCCAGGAGACAGTTAGGTAGAAACAAGCCTAAAAGGATATGTTTCCCCCCCCTTGGAAGCCCAGCACAGAACTCACTGGGAACAAGTAAATTATTATGAGCCTGAATTAACTGCTAGTAATCACAATTTTAATCTGTCTTATAAATTGTAAGGTCCATGTGGCAACTAGATAAGTCAAAGACTTAAATGTATTCACAAATCAAACCTTACACACTTCCCAGAGGATGTATTTGTTTGATAAAAGCATCCTTAATCTTGTTTCTAAAACAGAGCTGGATGAAGCTGTTTGAATGGAAATGGATTTTGATCAAAAATATATTTCCCAATTACTTAGAAATAGCTTCTCTGCTCTCCACATGACAGGCCTGTTGACTATTGCAAGGTTTTCAAGTGTTTTCTTTCTTGGCACAGTGATCAAAAGAAGGACCTTTGGAGTAGGGGGTCAGGGAGGGGAGATAAAGGGGAATGGTTGGGACTATAGCATCTCTTCTTCCTTCCCTCCCTCCCAATAAGCTACCTGGCTCCTTTTTAATCTGTTTTATGGACTAAACTTCAGTGTAAGATTACCTTTGGAAAACCACTGGCTTCATGTATCTCTTCTTTCTGTAGCATGTGAGATGCTAAGAAAGGTAACAGGAAGCTGCATAATTCCTACCTTGTCAGCACCCCGAGGGCCTAGGGAGTGGCCTTGGTCCTACAATTGTCGATTCTGGCCTGATGCCCATGGACTTGTCACTGTGTTGTTCTTCCTTCCTCCTCTCCACTTACTTCTTGGTATCCAGAGAGGAAAATCATGATTTTAAATGGGAACAGAGGCCTGAGAGGATGTTAGACGTTCTTTTTTTCGTCTTCTTCCTCCTCCCTATAATTGTTATTATTATTATTAGAGGTTGAGCCTCCCTAATCCAAAACTCCAAAATCTGCAACTTTTTGAGCGCCCACATGACACCACAAGTAGAAACTTCCACACCTGACCTCATGGGATGTCTTGCAGTCAAAACGCAGTCAAAATTTTGTTTCATGCACAAAATTATTTAAAATATTGTATAAATGTACTTTCAGGCTATACACATAAGGTATATATAAAACATAAACGAATCTCATGTTTAGACTTGTTTCTCATCCCTAAGATATCTTATTATGTATATGCAAATATTCCCAAATCTGACAGTCTGGAATCTGAAACACTTCTGGTCCCAAGCATTTTGGTTAAGGGTTACCCAACTTATGTAAAGCCACAAGTCCACTGAAAAATTAATAAAGTACAGAAGAGTAGGGAGAAGTAAAAAAACAAACAAAAAAAACCCCCTTCAACATCTATATCCTAGAGACAAGAAGTTGTATTTCTGACTTAGAATTTTTTAGGTGCATTTTAACAACATAGCTCAGACAGTAGGCACAACTTTTTAGCCTGCTTTTTGTCACAGACCCTTTTCAACACAAGCGTTTGACTTAGTGTTTAATATCTCACTAGGGGATGGCTACAAGATTTCCATCCAAGTGTGGGTTTGAAGGAGGAATTTTATTCTTTATGTATTTCTGTTCTATGAAATTCACTTTAAATTTCTCCTGACATCTCACTGGGGAGCTCACTCTTCCCTTTCTCTATGGCATAAAGTAAGGAGTGCTTCATTGTGCATTAAGCCTGTGCTCTGGGGGATAGAGAAGTCAGCCACCAACACGGCCATCTAAGAATGTGCTTCACATAGACTCTAACACAAAGACTGTTTGCATGGAGCACAGTGTGGGGGATGATGAGGTCCATGACCCAGAAGAGTGCCCTGGAATTCTCCCTGTTAGTGGTGTGAGAGCTTTTTTGTACTCCTGCAGCAATTCACGTTCTTGGAGTGGTTTCAGGAAAGCTTACTGCCCTCTCTTCTCATGAGTACTAGGTGTGCTTCAGGCCCCCAAAGTCTTTCCCAAATCTTTATTAGTCCCTCCAAAGGACCCAGAAGAGATCAGGTGTGGTGGTTCACGCTTGTAATCCCAGCACTTTGGGGGGTCGAGGCGAGCAGATCACTTGAGGTCAGGAGTTCGAGACCAGCCTGGCCAACGTGGTGAAACCCCATCTCTACTAAAAAGAAAAAAATTAGCTGGGGTACATGCACCTGTAATCCCAGCTACTTGGGAGGCTGAGGCAGGAGAATCGCTTGAACCTGGGAGGCGGAGGTTGCAGTGAGCCCAGATCGCACCACTACTCTCCAGCCTCGGTGACAGAGTGAGTCTCCGTCTCAAACAAACAAACAACCGAAAAAAAGACCCTGATCTTTCCTCTACCATCAGAAGCCAGGCTCTACGATCTAGCACTATAGAATGTAATGTCCGAAAAGGAACCACCAGAATATTTGCTGGATGTTGTCTTTGCACCAGTCATTGTGCCAAGGAATTATACAGCTGAGATTTCATTTCCTCCTCATGGCCACCTCACAAGGCAGGAAGCGTTCCTTCCACTTTACAAATGAGGAAAAGTGAGACTGACTCACAGAGAGCTTGAATCACTTGCTCAAGGCCACCAGATGGCAGGGACAGAACTGGGACTGAAACCCATCTCCCTGCCTTGAGTGCCTTATCCTGTAACCTAGCCTCGTGGCCATGGTTTCCGTTGCCTGACTTTTTTTGCTTTAGCCAGTTAGGGATCTCTTCCTCCATTCTCACCTGGATGCTGTCCCCATTAAAGAAAGGAAGGACTTTTCTCTGCCTGCCTCTGGCTGGAGGAGCCAGCTTGCCTTCTCCCAACTCTTCCTAGCACCAAAGACAGAGAGGCACACTTCACCCCACAAAAAGGCCTTACGATCTTCCCAGAGCCTGATGGTTTTCAGAAAAATGGGAAAGAAAGAACCCTCTGGAGACAGGGCCTTTTTATTTTATTTCATTTCACAAACACAATGAAAAAAAAAATCCTGCTAATAGGATTGCCAACTCAGCAGGCCTAGGCAAGCAATTCTAAGTAAATAGAAAGCATCCTGGCACACCTTGAGATTGATTACAAGTCAGGAACAATGATAGGCAACCAGAAACTAATCAGGAGAGTTGCCTTTTACTAAAGGGAGGGGATGGAGAGAGAGAGAGTGCCAGGGCACAGCCATTACAACCAAGTCCTATCGATTTTGTGCTGGTTTCCCAGGGACCTCCATGGCTCCCAGGAGCAGAGGTAGCAGCCAAGTTGTTCTCTGGGCTGCCTGACCGCAACAGCTCTGATGATACCAGCCTCTGGGCAGTTGCACTGCCAGCCAAGGAGGGGCTTCCTCTGGTCCAGGTGTAATAAACACCTGGTCCAGGTGTGATAAATCCCTTACTCCACTGGCCTCACCAGAAAGGCACAATGCCTTCTCGGCCAAAAGAGGCCCCGCCTTTCTAACCTTGGCCTGGCACCAGCAGCTCTAACATGAGGTTGATGGCCTTGAAACTGCTACCGGCCATCTCCCCAGCTGGGCTGATCTCACCTGGATCTTCCACCTTGTGTCCTTCCTGGGTCTTATCTCTCATCTCCGTCAGGCAGCTTTCTACTGTTAAGGGAGCTGGCCAGAGAGCAGGCTAGGATCTGATGGGGGAGGCAGCTGCCCTGAGGGAAGGCAGAAAGATGCAGACCTGGCTGTGCCCTGGGGCCCGAGTGGCCCACAGCTCTTCCTCTTCCAGGTCACAAGTGCCTCCCTGGAAAGTGATCTGTGGTTGCTCAATTCTTACAGGTGTAGTCTAAACTCATTGGATGACATTCAGGGCTGTCGTGAACTTGCTGTTGACCTTACCTTCTCTTTTGCTTTCCTTCCACACTTTTCTCCCCACCCCAGCCATTTAGTGTCTAATTACTACTCCTTCCTCAAGTCCTAGGTCATATTGCCTCCCACCTGGCTCTTGGGAGGCCTTCCCGCGTGTAATCCCCACTTGCTCTGTTGGCCCTATAAATATCAGGTAACTGTCATCCACCTACTGCTATATACTTTTTTTTTTTTTTTTTGAGATGGAGTCTTGCTCTGTCGCCAGGCTGGAGTGCAGTGGCATGATCTCGGCTCACTTGAACCGCCTCCCGGGTTCAAGCGATTCCTGTGCCTCTGCCTCCCAAGTAGCTGGGATTACAGGCATGCACCATCACACCCAGTTACTTTTTTTTTGTATTTTTTGTAGAGATGGGGTTTCACCACATTGGCCAGGCTGGTCTCGAACTCCTGACCTCAGGTGATCCTGCCTACCTTGGCCTCCCAAAGTGCTGGGATTACAGGCTACTGCTATATACTTTTAAACCCAGTTCAGTGCCATACACCAAAGAAAGAAAGGCCTGATACAGGTGTTTTGGGCATCCCTTGGGGGAATACAGGCAAATCTTAGGGGTAGCAGGCATTGGATCCGTATTGAATCTCAAATCTTGTTACAGAGGTGCCACACTGTTTCAATTTTCTTTTGTTATTTTAAAGGTCTCCCTGAGCCTCGAGACCATCATTAGAAACACTTGGCTTCATTCATTTATCTTCATTTTATGACCCAGCAGTCACTACTAAAAGTACTGACCCCTGTTGATGGGAAGCATCAACCACTTCCTTAATTTTCACTGTCTCCATTCCTCTTAGCAAAGGGCAGGACTGCGGTGTTGGAACTGTCTTTTGCATGTTTGGCTTTCACAGCTGCATTTGTAGTCCAATAGTTTCCTCCTGTTGGTCACAATGCAACCGAATTCATCCTCTCCAGCCACGTTTATTCTTCAGACCCATCGTGCTCTCTGGGCACCTGCCTTTCTGGTTGGGGAGGAGAGAGCAGAGGAATGCCCAGGTTTGGGAAGAACAGTGGGACCTGTAGAGAAATTGCCATCCAGAAACTATGGACGGGTAGGAGTTGGAGGCTTTTGAGAAGTCAGTCAGCCCATTTCTGTCTTACCACTTAATAATGCTGAGAGGTTGCAGGAGTTTGTATTGTTTTAATTTACGAAGAGCAGGAACCTCTTAGTGCTATGGAAGTAATTGAAGAGGCAACATGGCTATGAAAATTATCAGGCACCAAACAGCAGTGATACTGATGGGGTGAATGCCTGCATCCCAACTGCCCCTTCTCAGGATGAGCCTCAGATACATAGGAGCAGGACTGAGTTTGGGCTATGTGACCCCATCCCTGTGCCACACCCATGCACTTGAGTGGTCCAGTGGTGGGCACCTGACCCAAGCTGAGCCAATTAGAGTTCTTCCCTGAGAATTTTCCAAATTCGAACCATTTGGAGGTAGGAGGCATTAGGATGTGAGACAGAAGCTGTGAGCTGGCATGTTCTCAATCGTTCAGAGAAAACTGGGCTGCAGTGAGAGAGTGTAAAATCCACATACAGAGGAAGTCAGCTTTTGAATCCCTGGTTTCATTGTTCCTATGGCTCAGCTGCAGCTCTCCCCTTCTTTTTAGTTTGAGCTAGTTTGAGATGCATTTCTGTTCCTTGTGACTAAAGTGTCCTGACTCACAGAAACCAAACTATATCAAGCATCTGACATGGCAGGAGCTCTTTGTCCTTAAAACCCCACACCTGCACCTTAAGAAAGACCATTGCTTCTATAGGAGATGTCATGAGAGAATGCAGCAACTTCAAACTGTCTGAATCGAAGTTACATGAGGCCCGCAGGAAGAGTTTTACAACTAAATAAGTGCAACATTTGGGTTTCCCCAACTGATTCTGTTCTCTAAGCTTCTTCATTGCTGCTTCTGCTCTGCTATCCTTCATCTAGCCTTGACACGTGTGTGCTGAGATGGAGGAGCACTGGACTGCGCGTCCTGATTCTGCCCTTCCCCAGTCACATGATGTCAGGCAAACCATGGACCTCTCTGAGAGTTTATTTTCTCATCTACAAAATAAGGATAATAGTAATGCCCAGCTCATGACTTTACTGGGAGGCCCACAAGGGAGTGAAGTTTCAAATTCAAGTGCTGTGACTTTCTCTTGTAAAACAAAAAGCAGATCACATGGCCTTACAACTCTTTGATCATTCGATTCAATTCAATTCCACTTAATAAATATTGCTGAGTGACCACCATATGCCAGGTCTGATGAGAGCTGGAGCTCTTGTAATGAGCAGGACAGATGAGGGCTGTCTTCATGCAGCTGACATTCTAATGGGGGACAGCAGAAAATAAACAGGTAAACCAAGAAATGAACAACTAAGACAGTTTTGAATGGAGAGAAGCCCAAGGAAGAAAACAAAATGGGATGTAGAGTGAGTGGGGTATGTGCTTGAGAGGAGAGCAGGGCAGGCTATTTCAAACTGGGACAGTTTTAGAAATTCTGGGGTATGTATTGACCATGGATATAAGCCATCTCGTTAGGTCCCATGCCCAGCATGCAGGTGTTGGGCCCAGGGTCAATGAAGGATGTGTGTGAATGGCTGAAGAACTCCGCATGCACACTGCCTTGCCAGCTTTGGACTCTGCAACCTAAAGAATTGATATCCAGACTCAACATTTGTTGAATCTTAAAAAAAAAACATGTTAACTGAACAATTGGCTTGAGCAGGGGAAAAATGCTCACTCTGGGCTCACATTTTCTTCGCTTATTTCCCTTGGTATTTCTTTGCTATGGATAATACCCTTTTCTTTCTTTCTTATAATTTTTTTTTTTGGACAATATCTTGAAAAGCATCCAGGTCAAGATTGATATGACATTGGCTCTTTCCTTGCAAAATTAGGCCTTGCTCAGTCTGGGGGCCCAGCGTTTCAGAGTTTCCTGCTGCTGACATCTTCAGAAAAGACTTCCACTTTGAGGTTTAAAATTTTTCTTCCATGGCAAGTCTAAATGGGAGGAATGTGCCTTAGGCATTGTACTAGGCATGTTATATCATGTAATTCTTGTTTTTTTTTTTTTGAGACGGAGTCTCACTCTGTTGCCCAGGCTGGAGTGCAGTGGCCCATCTCCGCTCACTGCAAGCTCCGCCTCCCGGGTTCACACCATTCTCCTGCCTTAGCCTCCCGAGTAGCTGGGACTACAGGCACCCGCCACCATGCCCGGCTAATTTTTTGTACTTCTTTTTTAGGAGAGATGGGATTTCACCATGTTAGCCAGGATGGTCTCGATCTGCTGACCTAGTGATCTGCCCGCCTCGGCCGCCCAAAGTGCTGGGATTACAGGCGTGAGCCACAGCTCCCGGCCATATCATGTAATTCTTAAAGAAGTGAACCTGTGGAGTTTTAAAGAATTGGCCAAGGACATCAAGCAAGTTACAAGGTGATCACACGTACCTCTAAGTCCTGCCTGGGTTCACTCCACAAAGGTCATTCACAAATTACAGCAAACATTGCATAGTGTGCTTTAAACAAAGCCACCTTACAGAAGCTCTTTTGCACCCATTATCAACGATCTGCACAACAGCTCCGTGAGGTGTTGTGGACGCTTTTATTATGACTTGTCAGTACCTCTTACCCTCTTTTTCAGCTTTGCTCTCCCCTCTCAAGGAACAGCACCTTCCTCATTTCAGTGAATTGGTTCTAGGGCTACGGTGGTATCTTGCTCCTCTGGCTGCAGTGATTGGCCCAACAATGTACTTGTGGCCCACACAGGGCCAATCAGAGTCGTTCTTTGGGTTCTTATACCTTGAGCTAGAGGCGTATACTCTTCTTCCTGGGCAGCCACTGCACACGTGAGCCTGAGGGTAGCTGTGTTCCAGCTTTGCACAGAAAGCAGGTTTGGGAGAATGAAGCCAGAGGCCAAGGAGAGAATGCGGAATCCTGGAGTGTTGAAGGCCCTTGTTTTGATTCCTCGCGTCCTCCAGTGTGAGTGAGTTCACTTTCTAGGACATGCATTCAAAGAACTCCCACTGAGGGGCCAGCAGGAATTAGTTTCTGAGGCAGCAACTAGGGGCAGCAGTTGCACACAGGTTGTTGTTTTTTTTTTTGAAGCTGTAGAAGAGGAAAGCCTCTGTGGACGATATGCAGAAAGGTATCTTTCTCTGCGCCAGACCTCTTTATGATGCAAATGACAGAAAATCCCAGCTTAAACTGGTTTAGACAATAAAGCAAGTTTAAAAGCTAAGGTAGGGCAAGGCACGGTGGCTCATGCCTGTAATCCCAGCACTTTGGGAGGCCAAGGCAGTTGGATCACTTGAGGTGAGGAGTTCGCCGACATGGTGAAACCCTGTTTCTACTAAAAATACAAAAATTAGCTGGGTGTGGTGGCATACGCCTGTAGTCCCAGCTATTTGGGAGGCTGAGGGATGAGAATTGCTTGAACCTGAGAGGTAGAGGTTGCAGTGAGCCGAAATTGTGCCACTGCACTCCAGCCTAGGTGATAGAATGAGACTGTCTCAAAAAAAAAAAAAAAAAAAAAGCTAATGTAATTTAGAAGTCTAGAGACAGTCTACCTTCAGGTGATGCTTGACCCAGGCTCTATTGATGTCCCTGAACGAATTTCTTCACCCCTCTAATCTGCCTTCCTCAGTTTTCGCAGAATGACCTTGAGAAACTTTAGGCTTCTCTTATTGCAGCAGCATGCCTCAGTTTCAGATCTTCAGAGAAAAAGGGTTTTACCCCACCCCCATGGATTTTGCACAGTGCAGAGATGTGCTTTTCCTTGATGACCGAGGCTGGGGCAGATGCCCAGTTTTGATTAAAACACTGGCTGGGGGAGGGTGCTGTGTTGCAGCGAGGGGCTAAGCAATCCTCTCCCAGTTCCATGGCAGAGAAGGGAGGAGAAAGGATTCTCTAAAGGCAAATCAGAATACTGTTGGGGAGAGAAGCAGGAAATGGAGACAGTAGATGTAGTGATGTGGCAGGTCAGGTCTCACTAATGCAGGCCTCCATGACAACTGTTTCGTACTGACTGAGTAGTTAAGTTAAATATTAAAAGTGGAAAGAGTCAGTGTCCTTATACAAAGACTGGAATGTAACAAAAGCCCACCAAGAGTTTTGCCTAGGTCTTTCCTGGGCTTTAAAACATGACAAAATAACAAAAGAATTCTTAACAGGACCCATTTAGGATGAAACAAGTTTTATTGAGGGTCTGAAGAAACTCCCCAGGCTTCCACAAACAAGTTTACTGGGGGTGTAAAGGAATTCCCCAAACCTTTATGATTTAGCAGGAGACAAGATAAGGATAATCACTTCAGCACCTGGGCCCATTTAGATTAAGTAAATTTACTGAGGCTCCAGAGGAAGGTCTTCAGGACTCAGACCTTAGTTATGCATTAAAAAAAGTTAATCACTTATGTCTTTAGATGAATGCACACTTACACACTTACATGTAGACATGTAGCTTAGAAGGTATATAAGCTCTGGAAAACTTTGTAATTTTGAGTTGGTCTGACAATAATTTCCAGGCCTTCTCCCTGTTACCTGTTGCAGAAATAAAAACTCTCTTCCTCCCCAGTTCATCTGCATCTTGTTACTGGGCCACAAGAAATAGCAGCCTGACCCTCAGTTTGGTCCAGGAACAGTGACACATGGCCACTGCAGCTCTTATTGCTAAGGTCACTGTATGTCCAGGTGAAGGCTGGGATTGGCTGAGATGCAGGAGGAATGAGGGCAACTCAGCTTGTGTAGACAAACTGAAGTGAAGGTTTTAAACATGGCTGCAGGCCGGGCATGATGGCTCATGCCTGTAATCCCAGCACTTTGGGAGGTTGAGGTGGGTGGATCACTTGAGGTCAGAAGTTCAAGACCAGCCTGGCCAGCATGGTGAAACCCCATCTCTGCTAAAAATACAAAAATTAGCCGGGCATGGTGGCACACACCTGTAATCCCAGCTACTCGGGAGGATGAGACACGAATTGCTTGAACTCAGGAGGCGGAGGTTGCAGTGAATCGAGATCATGCCACTGTACTCCAGCCTGGGTGACAGAGCAAGACTGTCTCAAAAAGAAGAAAAAAAAAAAAAAAAAAAAAAAACCAGCTGCAGATGAAACACACTTTGGGGTGATTTGTAGCACCTGGTGCGCACTTTGCCAAACAGTTCCCTTCATGTGGGGACCTAGTAGATGATGTGTGACACAGTCTTTCTGCTGCCTCCCCCATGTGGCAGAGTGGGATTCTTAACCCTAGCTATCTGACACCCCCAGGATCCACTGCCCATCAAGGTCAAAGCCATGTCCTCTCTCCTGCTCTCCTGGCCCTTTTTGCTTCACCTCCCTGGCCCAGACGCTAACTAGCTGTGCACTTGCACAACAAGACCCTGTCTGCTTTTTGCAAACGGCAGGCCCCTTAGGGATAGAAATTGGGGCGGGGGGAGGGGTGTTTTTGAAACCCTCATGCTGACAACTGAGGCTCCATCAGTGTCTGCTGCATCAACATCTTTAGGGCTTAGGCTATTTTTTTTGTTTTTTTTGGTCTTAAAAAGCTGGCTGAATGGATTCTCCTGACTGCGTGCTTATTAGAAAGATATTGCATCAAAATGTGGTGCAGAGTTTTCACTTCTAGAAATCTGACTTTTCCAAATGCCTGAACAGCTGTTCCTTTTGCATTATGCATAACAGGGAATAATTAGAGATGACCTCAGTGTCCATCAGGTAGGGCATCTCTCCGATAGCACACTTAGCAGCTCTTTTTAAAAAATGAGCTAGTCACATGTCTTCCCATGGAAAGATGTCCAGGATATGTATTCAAGTGACAAAAAAAAAAATCGCAGAACAATATGTAATCCAACCACCCCCCTTCCCTGGCAAACGATGTACAAAAATCACTGAGAGGCTACACTCCAAATTGTTAATAGTGATTCTCATTGGAGAATGGGATTGAGGTAGTAAAACATTCATGTTTCACTTCATTTCCTATTTTTTATTTATTTATTTTTTGAGACGGAGTCTTGCTTTGCCGCCCAGGCTGGAGTGCAGTGGTGCGATCTCGGCTCACTGCAAGCTCCGCCTCCCGGGTTCATGCCATTCTCCTGCCTCAGCCTCCCGAGTAGCTGGGATTACAGGCACGTGCCACCATGCCCGGCTAATTTTTTTGTATTTTTAGTAGAGAAGGGGTTTCACCGTGTTAGCCAGGATGGTCTCGATCTCCTGACCTCGTGATCCGCCTGCCTTGGCCTCCCAAAGTGTTGGAATTACAGGCGTGAGCCACGGCGCCTGGCCATTTTTTGTTATCTTTAACAGTTAGGCAGTCAGGCACTCTTAGATAAGATTTGGAAGGCGTAAGCTGACAAGCACAGCTTGGAGGGATTGGACTTTATTGGGGCTGTGTTAGCAGAGGTCTCCTGTCTGATTACTGACTTTGTGGAGAGGGTGCAGAGCACCATTTGCTAGTTTGCATTAGAGCAGCTGTGATGTGGTTCTGCAGCCGCTTCAGCAGGAAGCTTTTCAGTTTAGCAGGTAACTTTCTGATGGTTAATGAGCCAGCTACTCTCTTGTAGACTGATTTTGCTACTGGATTCTGTGACTGGAAATTGTACTTTTATTCAGCCCTTCCTATAATTCTATAAACTATTTGTGATAAACCTCTTTTGTTTAAGCTAGCTAGAGTGGGTTTTTTTTTTTTCTTTACACACACACTGATACGGAAATCTGGAAAAAGCAGCATATTTCTTTGCGTTCAAAGCTGTCTGATCCCTTAAAAAGCATGAGAGAATTGCTTTTCTGTTTCTTTTAAATTAAGCTCAACTAGGAAGACTAAACTTCTTAAAGTTCCTCCCAGTAGTTTATGAAATCTGTTGGCACAAATTGAAAGAGTCAGAAGTGTGGTCTCTAAGCCTCCAAAATCATCTCTCTACATTTCCTCTGTGTGCACACACCATTTCTCTATCTCTGGTCATCCCATAATTTCATTTAGAACCACTTTGCAAAACTAGTTTTCCTAGACCAGATACTAGACCAAATACAAATAGAAACACAAGAAAAAAATTATGAGAGAGTGAAAAGTGCGTAGTCTACTAGTCCAATTGATATTAACAATAGCTTCCTTTAACATAGAATGAATGATGACTCACATTTTTCCTTCAGGATAGGATTCTATTCTTTTTTGAGACAGAGTCTTGCTCTATCACCCAGGCTGGAGTGCAGTGGCACGATCTTGGCTCACTGCAACATCCGCCTCCCAGGTTCAAGTGATTCTCCTGCTTCAGCCTCCTGAGTAGCTGGGATTACAGGTGCTCACCACCATGCCCTGCTAACAGGATTCTATTTTTAAAAACCTGTTTGATATGCAATTTTCAAAGTTAAGTGGCATTTGAAGTTACTTACCAACGTTTATGTCAGAGATTTGAGTCCAGAGAAAAATGAGGAATGCCCTTCTCTGATGAGGTCATCCTGACAGTCCAAGGCAGAGTCTCTGAGGCTTGAGAGAAATTGGAAACCAGAAGTGCAATTTGTCATCTGGCCATGCCTCCATCTGGCCATAGTACCTCCTCACCAGCTCCACTTTGCCCTACCCTATCCATCAACACCCACATCCCAGCAGCCCCAGCTGTGCAGCACTGTACAGTTTACAAAACTCTTTTGCATATGCATTCCCATTTGGCATCACCACCACCCTATGAGGCTGGCAGAGCAGCTGGCATTAGCCTCACTTCAAAGAGGAGGAAGCTCCAGTGCAGAGAGCTTAAGGGACTTGCTGCAGGTGACACAGAAGCAGCGCCAGGTCTTGAATCAAGGTTTCTAAGTCAAAACCCAGTATGTTTTCTAGAAGCCATGGAGCCACTTGTGTTTTATTCTTCTTTGAAATTTATTTTTATTTTTTATATTTTTAGAGACATCTCTCGTTCTGTCACCCAGGCTGGAGTGCAGTGACATGATCACAGCTCACTGCAGCCTGGAATTCCTGGGCTCAAGGGATCTTCCCACCTCAGCCTCCCAAGTAGCTAGGACTACAGGTGCACATCACCATGCCCAGCTAATTTTGTTTTATTATACTTTAAGTTCTGGGATACATGTGCAGAAAGTGTAGGTTTGTTACATAGATATACACGTGCCGTGGTGGTTTGCTGCACCCATCAACCCGTCATCTACATTAGGTATTTCTCCTAATGCTATCCCTCCCCTAGGCCCCCACCCCTTGACAGGCCCCGGTGTGTGATATTCCCCTCCCTGTGTCCATGTGTTCTCAGTGTTCAACCCCCACTTATGAGTGAGAACATGTGGTGTTTGGTTTTCTGTTCCTGTGTTAGTTTGCTGAGAATGATGGTTTCCAGCTTCATCCATGTCCCTGCAAAGGACATGAACTCATCCTTTTTTATGGCTGCATAGTATTCCATGGTGTATATGTGCCACATTTTCTTTATCCAGTCTATCGTTGATGGGCATTTGGGTTGGTTCCAAGTCTTTGCTACTATAAAGAATGCCACAATAAACATATGTGTGCATGTGTCTCTATAGTAGAAAGATTTATAATCCTTTGGGTATATACCCAGTCATGAGATTGATGCCCAGCTAATTATTTTTATTTTAATTTTTTGTAGAGATGAGGTCTCACTATGTTACCCAGGCTGGTTTTGAATTCCTGGTCTTAAGTGATTCCCCTGCCTTGGCTTCCCAAAACACTGGGATTACAGGTGTGAGCCACCATGGCTGGTGTGTTTTATTCTTTATGGTCTTACCCCCTTACGAAGATGGGCCCCATTTCTCCTCCTGGCTCTTGGGTCAGCACTCAAATAACCATGGACATCTTGCAAACTGGCAAGGCCTTGACCTGAGTTACTTGGTATCTGGCTGCAAGTTGCACAGTTCTCCAAAGTTAACAGCACTGGTAGCTGTCATTTTTCGCCACTCCTCCTTCCTCTGTGTGAATACCCATTCATTTTTGGGAAGAGAAAAATGAAGAGCTTCAGGCAGATAATTCTCTGTGACCACTGGATGTCAGTACTGATCTATGCTTGATAAGTGATCCTCTTCCCAGGCCAGGCAGAGCCGTCAGCACTCGGGTTTATGATGAAGCAGGCGCTGTACATTGACCAAAACCAAAATGTACAGTGACTACATATTTTAATTAAACAGCTGTGTTCCTCCTGCTCCCTCTCTGAGGATTCTTCCTCTAAATTGCTTGATTGAGCTGTTCTGGACCCAATCTCACAAGAGTGAGGGAAGAAACAGCTTTGCAAACACAAGCTTAGATCATCTCTGTTGTCTGATTAATTCCCTTTCCGAGGATGGCACAACTTCAGGTGTATCAAAAGTATTAAAGAGCAGAGAGCCTAAGTGGTCCTTTGAGATGGGGAAAATTGGAGCGGTGAGCCTTGTAGAACTATGTGATTCATTACACTATGGGAATGTGTAGCTTTAAAAATAAAAACATAGAAGTGTGATAAAGCAGCTACTAAATGGGGAAGGAAGAAAAGTAAGAGAAGGAAGGAAGGGCTTATGGATTGGACACAGTGGCATTGGGTGTGAGGGTTTTGGGGACCCTGGACTAGAAGCTCTTGTTGCGTTAACTCACTAATTCCTCCTTTAGCCCCATAGCAAGCTCATGAGGTGCTACTAGATGAGGAATTGAGGTTTAAAGAGGTTAAGTCCAAGGAGCCAGTGAGTGGTGGGATTGGGCTTCAAACCCAGTCCTCTATGATTCCAGAACTCATGCTCCTGACCGCTGTTATCCTGTCTCCCTTCACCTTCACCCACGTGGTCTTGGTGACTTGTCTAACATCACACAATGTTTGGGGATACAGGAAGTGGAGTGGGGCAGAGACTAAGTGTTGGGGTTTCCTGACGGTCTCAAATGTTCTTCCCATGGCCTCACTGGGCAGTGTCCGAATGTCTGCGTCAGAAAAGAGGTAAGGTGAGACCAAGGACCCTGCTCCCTGAATGAGCCTTGGGGAGAGGCCAGATGACTGTGGCAGCCATTTTGGAGAGGGGAGTCAGGTTCAACGCCTGCCCCCCCACCCACCCTGCACCCACCAAGCACAGCTCTGAGCAGCCCAGTGGGTAACTCACATTTCCTGGGACCCTCCTGCCTTTCCTCATGTAGCCTGCCTAACCCCCCCACCCTGGACTTATTATGATATTCCCAAACTGGCAGGTGACCCCTATCTCCCCCATTCCTCCACCTCTGCTCCTGGGAGCTGATTTTAGTTCAAGGCAGCCTTCCAGGCCTCTAATCTCTGCACATTGTACACACATTGTCAGGGGCCTTTTTCTTATAGACTGAAGCCTAGCGACAGGGTCTGCACAGCAAGTACGTACCCTGGTGACTGGCAGCTAAGTGCATTCTGATCTAGTCACCCTGGGGCACTGGAAGGTTTCCAGACTGACCCTGGAAGATTTCCTCAGACTGCTTGGTGGTTCAAGTTGGGGGGACTCAAAGGGAAGAGAAGCCCTTCAATCCCCCAGTTAATGACAGGCAGAAGCCCCAGACTCTTTATTGTCAAATGGCAGGGCGGAGCTGGGGGACCCTCCATGGCCATCCAGCTCTAAAGTTCCATGTTTCCAAGGTAAGTTGAGTTTGGAGCATGGCCCGAGCAGTCTGGGCTGATGTCATTCACAATGACAGAAGTGGACAGAGTCTTGGCTCACCCTCAACTGTGGGTGAGAGTGATTCTGTGGTCTCAGATGGCAGATGGGTAAGGTCTGGGGAGTAGAAAGGTGATTTTTATCTTTAACCAAATGAAAGTTCCTACCCACGTGACAGCTTTGGTTTAGGGGGTGAGAAGGCACCCTTGAGGTGATAACAAGATTGATAGGGAGGTTGGGCACCCGCCTAAATTCACTGCTGTCTCAAGGGAGACTCTTAGGAACTGGCAAGAGGACTTGATAGGAACCTCATCATGGTGGAAAGGGATGTGACTGAGTGTTAAGTTTGTGAAACGGATGGTCTTGTGGGAGAGATGTAGGAATAAGCCCCATGTGTTGAGAAAGACATAAAAGGACATTGAATACCACAGTGTGCACACGTGTGTGTGTGTTTTAAACTATTATAGTTCCTGGTTTAAAACACACACACGCGCGCACACACACACACACACACACACACACACACACATGCACACTGTGGTGTTAAATGTCCTTTTCCGTCTCAGTTCCCCAGCTGGTCTCTCAGCTTCCCCACTATTCCCGTCTTCCTTTCTACACAGACCTAACAGCCTAAGGCCCCATTTTCAACTCATTACTCTCAGATCTTCTGGGACAAGCTTCCTACCTGCTCCGACTTCAGGCCTCCCGTCCCTGGCTGCAGCCTTCCAGCCACCTTTGCTCTTTCCTGTTTCCCATCAGCACCCTACCCCGCACCACAGGTTCACGCTCACATGGATCTCACACTCACGTTTTTACCCACCTGCAATTCTCTCCACATTCTTGCCTGTCAACCTATCCACATTCTCCCCTTTTAAAAATAGCATTATTGAGACATAATTCACATACCATATAATTCATCTATTTAAAGTGTAAGATTCAGTAGTTTTTGGTATATTTACAGATATGTTCATTCTTCACCACAGTCACTTGTAGAATATTCTCATCATCTCCCTATACCCCTTAGCTATCACCTCCCAGATCCCCCAGCCCCATGCTGGCACCCCAGGTAAGCACTAGTCTACTGTGGGTCTCTACAGAGTTCCGTGTTCTGGACATTTCATATGCACAGAATCAGAAGTGCGGTGTTTTGTGTCTGACTTCTTTTGCTTAGCGTAATGGTTTCAAAGTTCATCTATGTTGTAGCTCTATCGATACTTCATTCCTTTTTATGGCAAATGTTCTAATTTCCCCTTTCAAGGGTCAGCTTAATCCTCATGTCCCCCAGAATGCTTTTGTTAACTCCTTGGGCCCTCTTGATGGCTCTCCCATGGATGTTTACAGTGTGGTATGGGGTTGTCTTTGCATCCTCTGTGAAAACCTTTCTTGCCTACTAGACTGTGTCCCAGGACAATTCTCTGGGAAGCAGGTTCTGAGAAGGAGATCTGTGTTCAAGAAGATTCTTGAGGATAACACTTGGGACCTACATCATGGGGGAGTGACCGATGCAGGAGGGGGCAGAGGGAGAAGCTGAGCTGCAATGCAGTCCCAACAAATGTCTCAGCCACCCTCCAAGTGATCTAGAGCTGGGATGGCCATCAGAGTTGAGTGAGGGCTGGGTTGTAATACACCCGTATCAATGGTCAACAGTCATTGGATACAGCTGCTTCAGGAAGATTGTGTCCTTGGGTTGGTCATCTCATTGCAGCCAAGGACAAGTCCTGGCGGCACTCCCAGCAGCCTGGAGAATGAAGAAACCATGGCATTCACGGTGGACTAGAAGACCCTTGAGAACGGGGGCCATGTCATCCCTCCTGCTTGCCTCTCCCCTTCCCTAACACCTGCATTTTGCTTGAATTCAGGCCTTGAGGTCAAACAAATGTGAATTCAAATCCTAGCTCTGCCATATATTAACTGAGGAACCATAGAAAGTTACCAGATCTTGTGGGTCACACCTGTAATCCCAGCACTTTGGGAGGCTGAAGTGGGCAGATCATTTGAGGTCAGGAGTTCGAGACCAACCTGTCCAACATGATGAAACCCCTTCTTTACTAAAAATACAAAATTAGTGGGCATGGTGGCAGGCCACCTCTAATCCCAGCAACTGGTGCGGCTGAGGCACGAGAATCGCTTGAACCCCAGAGGCAGAGGTAGCAGTGAACCGAGATCATGCCACTGCCCTCCAGCCTGGGCGATAGAGTGAGACTGTCTCAAAAAACAACAAAAAAAAGTTACCATATCTCTTTAAGCCTTAGTTTCCTCATCTGTAAAATGGAGATAATAATAGTCCTCACCTTATAGAGTTACTGTGAATATGAGGGGGTCAATGTATGTAATGCATTTAACAGTGTCTAGTACATAGTAAGCTCTCAATAAAGGTTAGCTTTTGTTCTTCTTAGTAGAGTCTGGAGGCCGTCTGATAATTGACTGATTTAAAGGGGTGGAAGCTAATATAAACTAAGGGTCAGCAAGTGAACCAGACACCAACACTGAGTTGTTAGCATTGGAAAATTATTTTTCAAATCAAAAAATATTTCATACATAGAGAAAGACATAAAGAGTGATTTACTGAACACCCATGTTCCTATCATCCACCTTGATTTTTTAAAATACAGATATATTAGAAAGCTTTTATTCATCCCTCCCCTGCTTCCGAGGTGAATTATGAAGGAGATGTTCATCATTCCCAGGAATGTCTTGATGCTGTTGCCGTTTGTGTATGAATCTCTAGGTAATACATAATCTTTTATATGTTTTAAAACTCTGTGGGCTGGGCAAGATGACTCATGCCTGTAATCCCAGCACTTTGGGAGGCTGAGGCAGGAGGATCACTTGAGCCCAGGGGTTAGAGACCAGCCTGGGCAATATAGTGAGACCCTGTCTCTACAAAAATAAAAAATTTGCTGCATGTGGTGGTACATGCCTGTAGTCCCAGCTACTTGGGAGGCTGGGGTGGGAGAACCACTTGAGCCTGGGAAGTTGAGGCTGCTGTAAGCTATGAGTGCCATGGCACTTCAGCCTGGGTGACAGAACAAGACTCTGTCTCAAAAAATTTTTTTTGGTATGTACATAACATCATAGTGTATCATTCTTCTGCTTTTTCACTCAACACAATGCTTGACATCAAATGTGAGATTTGCACGTTTTTACCTGCAGCTCAAGTTCATTTATCTCCTTCCAGTGTAAGGTTGAAACTCCTGCTCCCAAAATGTAAGAAGTGGAGGGAGAGAGACTCTTTGTGACTGAACTGTTTGCCCCTACTTTTTTCCAGCCATCCTCATTTTCTGGAGAGGCAGCGTGACCTAACGACGAAAGCCTCCACAACTGGTTTCTGTCGGTGTGAGTCCCAAATCTGCCACTGGCTGGCTGGGAAACCTTGGGTAAGCTACTTAACCACTCTGTGCCTCAGTTTCCTTGTCTGTAACATGAGAACAAGAATGCCTTCTACCTACTTCATAGCATTGTTTCTAAAACACTTAGTGCAGTTGCTGGTTTGTAGTGCAGTATTGGTAAGGTTAGCTATTACTCTTTTATTTGAGTTGTTTACAAGCAGATGGTATGGAACACAGCTCCATGAAGTATGGTCCCAATCACTAGGGCCTGATCCCTGCCTTGCAGGGAAGGGCAGCTACACAGTCTGGGATTCTCTGCATTTGAGAAAGCTGGGTAGCTGACATTAGGAAAGCTGATTGTTTGCTTGTTCTGTTTGATATTTTGCCAGTGGCTTCTGGCACAGCCGTGAAGACAGGGTTCCCAGTTTCTCATCCATCACCACCTTTGATCTACCCAGCTCCCTCCATGCCATCTTTATTATTGTTCCCATCACACAGATGAGTAAATGGGCTCAGAGATGTGAGGTGACCTGCCAATAATAGGTGGCATCCCTGAGACTGGAACCAAGTCTGCTCATTCTTAATCCTGGGGCCTTTAGCCATAGAGTGGGCCTCTCCAACTACTACTGATTGTTTTCTTGCTTGAGGGCAGGGACAGGACCCTGGGGCTCAGAAAGGAAGAGAGGCACTTTTCAGGGCCACTCGCCCTGTCACAAGTATGATCTGCTGTTGGCCTTGCGTCCCCAGCGATCAGATGGAAGAGAGCCAGTTTAGAACTAGAGGGGGTTTTATATGTGCTTTTTTTGCTTCTGTTTTTCCTTGAACACTTTAATTGAGTGGTTAAAATCTACCTTCCGGCCAGGCGTGGTGGCTCACGCCTGTAATCCCAGCACTTTGGGAGGCTGAGGTGGGCGGATCATGAGGTCAGGAGTTGAGAGCATCCTGGCCAACATGGTGAAACCCTGTCTCTACTAAAATACAAAAAATTAGCCAGCCATGGTGGTGCACACCTGTAGTCCCAGCTACCTGGGAGGCTGAGGCAGGGGAATTGCTTGAACCTGGGAGGTGGAGGTTGCAGCGAGCCGAGATCGCACCACTGCACTCCAGCCTGGGTGACAGAGCAAGGCTCTGTCTCAAAAAAAAAAAAAAAAAAAAAAAGCGTACCTTCCAAATTCCTAACAAGCTGCATGGCAAGTAGGATGAGTGTCAGGGGAATCTGTGGGTAGGTGATGACTGTGGAGGCGGATGGTGGTCAGCCCATGTGGCTTTCATTCATCCAGACATGCAAGTTTTGGCTTGCCTCACCTTGAGCTGGAGTTTTCTCAGAGGAAAATATGTCAAGGTAGACAGATTCTCTCCTTTATGAGATGTCATATGACTATTTTTGCATGCAGTTATTTCTTTTCTTTTCTTTTTTTTTTGAGACGGAGTCTTGCTCTGTCCCCCAGGCTGGAGTGTAGTGGCACGATCTCAGCTCACTGCAAGCTCTGCCTCCCAGGTTCACACCATTCTCCTGCCTCAGCCTCCTGAGTAGCTGGGACTACAGGTGCCCACCAACACGCCCGGCTAATTTTTTGTATTTTTAGTAGAAACAGGGTTTCACCGTGTTAGCCAGGATGGTCTTGATCTCCTGACCTTGTGATCCGCCCGTCTTGGCCTCCCAAAATGCTGAGATTACAGGCATGAGCCACTGTGCCCAGCTGCAGTTATTTCTTTTTAAACTAATTCATAATGGCAGAGCTCACCACCATAATCAGTTTCTGTTTCCATTATAAATCCAATTTTGGAGGGTAATGGTGTCTGCCATTTCATCTTGCTTAGGGCTTCAGCTTTATATTCTCTCTCTCTCTCTCTCTCCTCTCTCTCTCTTAAAGGAAGCAGTTGCATGCATGTTTAAAGAAACTAAAAGCTTGGGCTTTTGGAGGATGGTTTAGCAATAGGAATTTAGGCAGGAAATAACAAATAGGTATCCTTGTGGACTTTGATTGGTTAGTAGTGGATGACTGGAGTATTGTGTTGAGAAGGATCCTGAGGCCATATCCAGCATAAGTGCAAAAGAGCTGTGACTGACAAGTGATGTCTGTCATGAATCCTTGCAAGTGGGAATGGAGAGTAGCAGAGAGAACCCTGCAAGCAGTCATCCATAAACCAGAGGAAGCATATTAAATTTGCTCCTAATAGCAGCTCCTTACCTCTTTATAGCGTTGGATAGTTTCAAAAACATTTTTCATGTGCTTTATTTTCATTTAACCATTACATCAACTGGGTGATCTCTGTAGGGCTAATCTGTCTTCATATTAATTAACTTATCTATTAAATGCTTATTGAACAATTACTCTAGTAGGCTGTGGACGACAATCTTGAAGAATGTCTGCCACCAATTTCTTCCCTTCTTGTTGGTGCATGCCACCTGTCTCATTTAGAAGTGGAGTCTAATTCCCTTCCCCACCCGCCCCCCCCCTTTTTTTTTTTGAGACAGGGTTTCACTCTGCTGCCAAGGCTGAGTGCAGTGGCGGGATCCAACTCACTGCAACCTTGACCTCCTGGGCTCAAGTGATCCTCCCGCCTTAGCCTTTTGAGTAGCTGAGACTACAGGCACATGTCACCATGCCTGGCTAATTTTCATTTTTTTTTTTTTTTTTTTGTAGAGATGGGGTTTTGCCATGTTGCCTGGGCTGGTCTCGAACTCCTGGGCTCAAGCGATCCTCCTGCCTCAGCCTCCCAAAGTGCTGGGATTAAAAGAGTTAGCCACCGCATGCCTGGCCCCCTTCCTCTTAAAGTTGGGTTGTTCTTAGTGACTTTCTTGACCAAGAGGATGTAGCTGAAACAATGTTCTGGGACTTCCAGTTTAAGGTCTTAAGAAGGCTTTCCGTTTTAGCCTAGGTTTTCTTTAAACATTTGCTTTTGGGGCCCTGATCTGCCACATTCAAAATATGACTGCCCATTTGAAAAGATCATGTGGAGAGGCTGTGAAGCTAGAGAGAGGGGCCCAGCTGAGCCTGGCCTTCCAGCTGCTCACTAAGGCTCCAGTTATGTGAGAAGACATGTTGGACCTCTCAGCCAAGCCCAGCTGCCAGATGAATACCACTGAGTCACCCCCGTGGAGGCTGTGTGGAACAGAAGAATCACCAAGCCAAGTCCTGCTGAAATTCTGGATTCACAAAATCAGGAGGTGAAAAGATGGTTACTTGAAGTGACTAAGCTTTGGGATGGTTTCCTGGGCAGCATGTTATGTAGCAATAGTGTGTTATATAACCAGAACATTGACACTGGGCTTTCAGGGATGAGTAAGACCCAGTTTCACTCCATAGAGAACTCCAAGTCTCCTGGGAGAGATGGACAGATGAACAAACAAGTCACAATTCAGTGAAAACAAACATGTGCAAGAAAAAATCGTAGCCCAAAGAGCAGATGGAGCAGGAAAGGCTTCCTGAGGGAGGTGACGTCTGTCTGGCCCCAGCCCCATTGTTCTTGGCATACATGGCCCACAGAAAGTCATTTTTTTTTTTCTGGGGACGTCCCCAACATGAGAGAAGGGTCCCCAGTGACCAAGTTTATATTAGGTAACTCTGTTTTCCTGGCCATAGCTGATAGATCCAGGGGTGGATGAGCACTCAATGTGGGCCAATCAAGTTTTCTCTCCCAGTAAATTGAAATTTGGAATGGAGAGTTTCGGAGGCTGGGCGTCATTGGAACTAAATCACGGTGAGAGAAGCTCTCTAAAGCAGGGTTTCTTAACCTTGGCACTATTGACATTTAGGCTGGCTAATTCTTTGCTGGGGTTAAGGGCACTGTCCTGTGCATTGTAGAATGTTTAGTAGCATCCCTGGCCTCCACCCAGCAGATGCCTGTAGCATCCCACTCCTAGTCACATCTCCAGACATTGCCAAACGTCCCTTGGAGGACAAAGTCGCCCCCAGTTGAGAACCACTTCTCTAGAGTGATAGCTCCAAAATGCATGAGCAGTCCTATCTCTCCCCTCGCTGGTCCTATCTCTGCCCTCGCTGGGACGTGGCAGTTCAACTCTTGTACCCGTGAGGCATCCCAGACCCTTCTAATCACCTAGAGTCAGTTTCTATATCATGCAACCAAAATAACCCTAGTTCATACAGTATTGAAGGTTGGAATGGAGTTTGTTACACAGTTGGGTCCTGGAAGGGCATCTAGCGGAGTAGAAACTGTTTGTAGGGAGCAGGAAACAGCAGTATGATGCTGTTGGGTGTGGCTGGAGGGCTGGAGGGGCATAAGGGCCAGCCCATGCTTGGCAGACCACACTTAAGTCTGCAGACCAGGGGGTGGTTACTCTCGGGACCGCCATAATGAACCCAAGTCTGTACTTTCCATAGAATCAAAGGCCTCCCACCAACTCCCATTGTCTCAGGTGGAAGGAAGGTTCTTCTTCTTCTTCATTTTTAAATTTTTTGATATAGGGTCTTGCTCTGTCCCCCTGGTGGGAGTGCAGTGGTATGATCATGGATCACTGCAACCTCAAACTCCTGGGCTCAAGCAATTCTCCTGCTTCAGCCTCCAGAGTAGCTGGGACCACAAAGGTGAACTGCCATGCCTGGCTAATTTTTGTATTTGTTTTCTAGAGATGGAGGTGGGGGGGTCTTGGTATGTTGTCCAGGCTGGTCTTCAATTCCTGGACTCAAGCCATCCTCCTGCCTTGACCTCCCAAAGTGTTGGGATTATAGGTGGGAGCCACTGCATCTGGCAGGAAGGTTCTTAAATGGCTAGCCTTCTAGATTTTTGGACTCTAGAGGATGATGTTCCACCCATAATATTTCTCCTTGATGAACAATCAACTGCTCTTAGATTTTATTTTATTTTATTTTTGGAGGTGGAGTCTCACTTAGTCACCCAGGCTGGAGTGCAGTGGCGTGATCTTGGCTCACTGCAACCTCTGCCTCTCGGTTTCAAGGGATTCTCCTGCCTCAGCCTACCGAGTAGTTGGGACTACAGGTACCTGCCACCACACTCTGGTAATTTTTTTTTTTTTTTGAATTTTTAGTAGAGATGGTGTTTCACCATGCTGGCCAGGCTGGTCTTGAACTCCTGACCTTAAGTGATCCTCCTGCTTCTGCCTCCCAAAGTGCTGGGATTATGGGCGTGAGCCACCGTGCCCAACTGCTGTTAGATTTTAACCTTGTTCATGTCTCTTAGACAAACTAAAGTGAGTAACTGAAGACATTAAAACAATTTACACTGGATCTCCCATATCTCTCCAGTGCAAGGCTAAAGTGGAGTCCTTTAGGCTTGAGTCAGTCAGATAAGTGTCCCGTCGCCTCCTTGGTTATGAGTGCATGGGTTTGGATGTGTGACAGGGATACTCTGGGTCTCCAAGAACGAAGACAAATTCAGATGATTTCCAGCCACAGGGCACATTAAGAAGTACCCCTCATTCCTGCAAGCAGCCATGCCACAGCCACCTTGTCCTCTCCTCTGGAAATTCAGCTCCGCAGCTTTGGTTTCCACTGCTCTTGCTACTACCTGGTAACAGATTTTATGCAAGTGTCAAGTTCGAGTTCTCCGGGAGAAAGTCTGGTTGGTTTCAGCCCTGATCTAGGACAGAGTTTGGCTCCTGTCCAACTATAAACCACTGCCGTTGGGGGCTGTGTCCACCCTTGGTTAAACCAGATACAAAGCCTGGCGGGCGCTTTGTGGAAAGAGAGTCTCAGAAGAGGGTTTTGAGGAAGTGAGACCTCTCAGCTGCCCCAGAAAGTGAAATGTCCTTGCCAGTCACCATCCTGTGTGCCTGAGTTATGGCTCAGCGCTATCAGTCTCCCTTCTAAATTACAGGGTATGTCTCTGGACCCAGAATTCCTGGTTTCTGACCAATTGGCCAAATCCAGTAGCCTTGGGCAAGTTGCACCCAGGGGAGGGCACTTCTCAGGAGTGAGCTTCCAGGAATAAATTCCCTTGGGAAACTCTGCGGGCAGCTTAAACCTCAAGAAAATGACTCATTAGGAGCTTGGGGAGCTGTTAATTGCCCTGTCCAGCCAAGATCCAGTGCCGCTGTGCCAGCCTGCTGAAAAATAATGAAGTCACTAGAAGTTCCAGCTCAGTCCCTGTCTGCCCAACTTCCCTACTGTTTCCTCTTCTTCCTCTCATCCCAGACACTGTGTCCCCCTGCTGCTCCACTGCCCAGAGACCCTGACTGTGATGTTCAAACAGAACTGCCCCCCCAGGGACCTATCACTGCGGCAATCACATTCTCAGAAAGAACATCCAGGAAAACAGAACATGGCAAAGGCTTGTTTTGCTGAACTGTAAATATATTCATTGGAAAGCTATGTTTACCAAGGTATAAGGACTAAATCACATAGAGCTACTACTTATCCCTGCTTAGAAAAATGTGAAAGCTCAAGAAATTCATCCAGTCTTGGAAAAGCTGTGACTTAGGGTCGCCATGGCAATGCCACGTCCTCTGCCTCTGGGTCCTACGCTGTCATAGGCCAGTCGCAGGCAGGAGGACATTGGCTCGGGGCAGGGAGACCACTGGATGGGAAGCTGGGAGGCCCGTGTGCAGCCCTGGTGCCAACACTAACCAGCCCTTCTGTGCTTCTGGATCAGGAGTGTTGAACTAGTAGGTTTCAACTCTCTTCTAGAAGGAACATTCCATAGTAAATTATCTGAGTGCAGGGAACCTTAGACCCTTTTAAGGGACCTAGCATGTGAAGCCACTTGGTACTAGGGTGCGTTCTTCATAGAGTGGGTTAGGGTGGGAAGGGCCCCCCAGCTGCTGGAGGAAGTGAGAGTTGATTGGGACAGAGGCGGTCTCTCTGCTCTCGGCCACCAGGGGGCAGCACCCAACCTATGCTCAGGCAACTGGCGCTTTCTCCTGGGACTTTCAATCCTGAGCGTGACCGGAAAAGGTGAGCTCAGGGAGAGGCTATTTAGCGCGGCAGCTGAGGGGCCAATGCAGTGGCCAATGCAGCGGTGGGGAGCCGTGCCAACAGTGTTGCCTCAATCACACTTTTCCTGTGTCATGAACGTGACCGTTCTGTTAATTTCTACAGTCTTGCCTCTGCTTCTTGTCAAATTTTGTAAGCAACTCAATGTTTTCAATAGGGATTTAGTGTTTTCTCTTTAGTTGGCCAGAGATGATTTCTATTGTTTGAAATCAGGAATCTCCTCCAGAACCTTGGTGAACTAATTAACCCACAGTTTGCTGTTTATGATGGAAAGAATTTTGAGGTCTTACCTAATCCCAAAGGTGTTTATGGCTTCAAGGAAGTTGCTGGTATCAGCAATATCTCAACCCGAGGCTGCCACGTAGACATCACCTCACCTGCCAGTCCTGCTCGGTTGACAGTGGCTTTGTGGGGCACTGTGTTGAGGAGGATTCTGAAACCAAAACTCATTAACAAAGTCAGCCAGTGGGAGACAGTTGGCAGAGCCCCTACTAACTTTCAGGGGGTTGGGAAGATATATGTTGATATGGTTTCGTTCTGTGTCCCCACCCGAATCTCATATTGAATTGTAATCCCCATGTGTCCAGTAGGGGCCTGGTGAGAGGTGGTTGGATCATGGCGGCAGATTTCCCCCTTGCTGTTTTAGTGCTAGCGAGTGCGTTCTCATGAGATCTGATGGTTTAAAAGTGTGTGGCTTTTTTTGCTCTCTCTCTCTCCTCTCTCTCTCCTGCTCCACCATGGTAAGACGTGCTGGCTTCCCCTTTGCCTTCTAACATGATTGTAAGTTCCCTGAGGCCTCTGAGCCATGCTTCCTGTTAAACCTGTGGAACTGTGAGTCAATTAAACCACTTTTCTTCATAAATTACCCAGTCTCAGGTAGTTATTTTTTAATTTAATTTTTATTTTTTTGAGGTGGAGTCTAGCTCTGTCACTCAGGCTGGAGTGCAGTGGTGTGATCTTGGCTCACTGCAACCTCCACCTCCCAGGTTCAAGCGATTCTCCTGCCTCAGCCTCTCAAGTAGCTGAGATTACAGCGTGAGCCACAATTCCCAACTAATTTTGTATTTTTTGTAGAGATGGGGTTTTACCATGTTGGCCAGGCTGGTCTCGAACCCCTGACCTCAAGTGATCCGCCCACCTTGGCCTCTGAAAGTGCTGGGATTATAGAGGTGAGCCACTGGGCCTGGCCTCAGGTAGTTCTTCACAGGAGTGTGAAAATGGACTAATACATATATTATGGGGATGGTGATAGTGGGGTTATCCCAGATCCTCTCAACCCTGCTGCCTCTGTGGAAAGCAGCTGAGTGTCCTTTGCCATCATCCTTCAGTAGGGCAGCCTCTCTGACAAACCAAAATGATCAGGTCAACCTCCCTATGGACCCTGGCAGAGGCAGACTCAGCATATGCTGTTCCAATGACTGCAGCTGCAAAGCCTGAGGGACCAGAGCATCAGAGCTGATGGATCCCTTAGAGGTCATCACCCCAATGCTCCCATTTTCACAGGTGGGAAAACTGAGGCCAAGCGAGGGGAGGGCTGACTTGCCTGTGACTGTGCAGTTAAGTTAGTGGTAGTTTGGGGTTTCACACATCATTTGGCTTTGAGGCCAGTGTTCTTCCCACATCACCGCCATCTCATAGCCACTGTCTTCCTCCTGATATTTAGTCATCCCTATCTTTGGAACATCCCACTGTATTGGTTTCCTATCGCTGTTGTAACACATGACCAAAAAATGTAGTGGCTTAAAGCAGCACAGACTTATCTTAGAGTTCTGCAGCTCAGATGTCTGACATGCATCTCACGGGGCTGAAGTCAAGGTGTCTACAGTGTTGCTTTTTCTTCTGGAGGCCCTGGGGTCAAGTCCATTTCCTTGCCTTTTCTGACTTCTAGAGGCTGCCCATCTTCCTCAGCCTGTGACTCCCTTTCTCCATCAGTAAGGCCAACCTTGGCCAGTTGAGTTTTTCTCAGATCTCACCTCCTGACACCAACTGTTCTGCCTCCTAGTCATACCTCTAAGGCCCCTTGTGATTACACAGGGTCCCCTAGATAACCAGGGATCATCTCCCTATGCTAAGGTCAGCTGATCAGCACCCTTAATTCCACCTGCAATCTGAGGTCCCCTTTGCCATGTAAGGTAATATATTCACAGGTTCCGGGTGTTAGGACAGGGACATCTTTGGTGCCATCATTCTGTCCACCACACCCACCTTCTCTCTGAGGTCAGGGTTTCTCATCCTAAAAAATCATTTCCTTGATCCTGCTGTTTCCCTCCGGGTATCACCCAGTGCTCCTTTTAGATCCTCTGCCAAGCATCTCCATGGAGGCTCTATTCTTGCTGCTTCCCTTCTACCAGCCCTCACTCGCTTTTGAAACTGAGATCATATTTACATACCATAATATTTCCCCTTTAAAATGTATACTTTAAGCCGGGCATGGTGGCTCATGCCTGTAATCCTGACAGTTTGGGAAGCCGAGGTGGGCAGATCACCTGACGTCAGGAGTTCAAGACCAGCCTGGCCAACATGGTGAAACTCTGTCTCTACTAAAAATACAAAAATTAGCCGGGTGTGGTGGTGGGTGCCTGTAATCCCAGCTACTTGGGAGGGTGAGGCAGGAGAATCACTTGAACCCAGGAGGTGGAGGTTGTAGTGAGCCCAGATTTTGCCATTGCACTCCAGCCTGGGTGACAGAACAAGACCCTGTTTCCAAAAGCAACAACAACAACAACAACAACAACAGCAACAACAACAACAGCAAAGTACACTTTAGTGGTTTTTAGTGTGCTTGCTGTGTTGTGCAGCCACCACCACTATCTAATTCATCACCCTGAAAAGAAATCTTGTACCCGTTAAGCAGTCACTGCTGATTCCCCCTTCCTTAGCCTCTGGCAATCTCTTTCCTGCCTCTGTGGATTTCCCTATTTGATCCTGGATACTTCATATAAATGTCATCATAGAATATGTGGCCCCTGTATCTAGCCTCTTTCACTTAGCATAGTGTTTTCAAGGTTCACTCCTTCTTAGGAACCCTCCCTGCAACCTGGCTTCTGTGAGCTGCCCCATGACTTCTTTGCTAAGCTCGCCAAAACATCCATTATGAAGTTCCCAAACTCCACAGCCTTTATCAATGCACTGGCGGGAGCTTCCTCTGAGCATGCTTCTTCCTTGGCTTCCACCATGCTGTCCCTTCTTGATTCTCCTTCCATTTCTATGATCTTTTCATTCTGCCTCTGGCCCAAGTCTTTCTCCTCTTGTCTCCTGAAAATGACCTGTCTCCCAAGGATCAGCCCAAGGCTCTCTGCTGTTTCCTGTATCCCAGAGGTTCTAGGAGTCCATGACTGGGCTCTTTTATGAGATTCCCCCACCTTGAACTTGTAGACAACCTTTCTTGCATTCATCCAGAGCTTTCCATCAGCTTCTGAAATGGGTATATGGATAGTAAAGTGTTAAAAGTCAGCTATGTAATCTTTCTGCCTTTGAGAGCCAAGTTAGCTAAGATTCTTTGGAGTGCAAGTGATAGAAACCCAATTCAATCTGACTTGAAAAGAGAGAATTTAATGACTCTCATGTCTGCAGTAGCTCAAAGAACTGAAGGAAGTAATGTGGAAAGCACAGAAGCTTTGGGAGTTTCTGAGACTGGAATCAGGAACACGTTGCAGTCAGGATTCTCCCCCTCTCTATTTCTCAGCTCTGCTTCCTTTGATTGGCTTTATTCTCTCCAGCAAATTAGCTTTCT
This sequence comes from Homo sapiens, assembly GCF_000001405.40. Taxonomy (NCBI): domain Eukaryota; kingdom Metazoa; phylum Chordata; class Mammalia; order Primates; family Hominidae; genus Homo; species Homo sapiens. Next base: position 117,446,924 of record NC_000010.11, read on the forward strand.
TCATATTCCACAGAAGATGGCCCCTGGTATGTCTCAATTCCTTCCCACTCGGGGATGCAAAAGACAAAGCCCCTTCTCTTTTAATTCCAAATTTAAAAATCCCCAGGAAGGACTCTGAGTGTCCCATGCTGAGTCGTATCTTCCCCACTGCAGCAATCACATGGCCAAGGGAGCTGCCTGCTTGGATGACCAGGGGCCCAGGCCTCTTATCTCCCCTTGCATTTTATTGGGACTGTCAGTCCTGCAAATACTCATGACGGCAATGGAGGAGGAGCAGTTGTTTGAAGGTGTGTGTTATGTTGGACAGTCAAAAATGGCATTTGTTTCCTACCAGACCTCACCCATGCCCATCGTGTCTTTAACGACCACCTGTGGATGACTCCTACGGTCTCCAGCTGCCAGGTGCCTACTGATGACTACCTGGTTGGCCCACTGGTCTCCCAAACAGAGTATCTTTGGTGTCCCCAGTGGGTATCAATGGCACCACTGCCCACCAAGTCTCCCAAGCTTCTCCCAGTTCCTTGCCTTCACAAATGGTGATCCCCCACCCCTCTGTAGGGAGTTGCCAAGTCCTGTTGATCTTAGCACTTCGGCATCTTTCCCAGCCATTGTTCTCATCTGCAATTTCATTAGTGCCCCTGGCCTAAGCCACTCTCCCAGTCTCTTAGTGGATCTCTCTGCCTCCAAGGCAGATTCTGTCACCGGCTATGGAATCCCATGTAAAAAAGAAATCTTCATCACAGTTACATGAGTGGGATAGTGTTAGCACCACTTTACAAGTTAGGAAAGTGAGCCTCAGTGAATTAAGGACTTGCTGAAGAATGAGAGGTGGTGGAAGGATTTGAACTTGGGTCTCTAATTCCAAGTGTAACATCTATTCTGGTTCCCCTCCATGCCTTAAAATAGTTGCTGAATGAATTCATGAAACCTGATTTTATGGCGATTTTTTCTTTTGCATCACACAGCTGTTCTGAAGCCTTTGGAGTTTACAAATAAGAGTCTTCAAGCAGTCTCGGGCCTTGCCCAGTGCTCACAAAGTGAAGGGCTGCTAAGCTCACCCTGGTATTTGGGCTCCTCTGAGAGATTTTGCAGCCCTTGTCTCCCTGTGGGCACCTGAGGGTAGGGGGAAAAAACCTGTTTCCAAAAGGAGTTCAGCAGAAGAATCTGAGCCAAACACTTAACACTGAGCCTGGCCCCTGATAATCAGTGAACACTCTGAGAGGCCCTGTGAGTTCATCATAGCTGGAAAGCAGAGCCCTGGGGTTGGGATGGGGTGGGGCTGAGGGTAGGGGGGCCTGCATTGTCCTGGCTGCTCCATGGAGGGGGTGCAGTGTGGCCTCCTCTGGGCTGCTTCTCCAGCTGAGGACAGCTCTGTCACAGGCTTCCTTCTCTGTCTACTCATTTACATGTTCATTCTCAGGCTTTCTATGCTCCCCTCAAAAAAGCTCCAAGTGAGGACCCTGCCTGTTTTCTTCTGCACCAGTGCTAGATACATGAGTAGTTGCTCACGAAATAATTGTGGAGTGGGTGGGTAGATGGATGGATGGATGGATGGATAGAATGGAGGGATGAAGAAAAGAGTTTCTAGTGAAAGTCCTGGAATGAGATATTCTGAATTATTATAACATCTAGTTATTCCACTCATGTGGCGATGTATTTTCTACCAAGTTGACCAATGTGTCCACACAGGGCAAATCCACAAGGACGGGCTCTGTAAACACTTATTGAAGACTCCATGATAAAGGCCCTCCCCGTCCCCCTCCCACAGTTAAACTTCCTGCTACAGAACACTGGGCTGCTCTAATTGACCTTGAATGAGATGGTGTTTACAGCTGCGACTTAGCATCCATTGATCTTGAATTGATTAAGCGAGCATTTTGCAAAGGAGAACTACAAGAACAGGGACAAAGAGCCCCATGCATTGAGGATTTCATGCCACCCATTCACCCCCTTTGCTTCACACATCTAATGTGTGTGTGCTTTAAAAAAAATAAACAAACAGTGAATGAATTACTGTAAAGACAGAAGAGGAACCGGGTCCAACTTTCACTCAGCAGGAGGGCAAATTGGCTGCCCAGGGCCCTGAAAGGGCATTCCCAGCCCTCATTAGTTTTAACCAGAGGGGCCCTGTCCAATTCCCCCAAGAGCAGGCAGCCCATCAGAGCTCGGTGGGTTGGGACTTCGTCAGCGATTGTAAACTCTTTGGATCAGCTTTTTTTTGTGTGTGGCAGTTCCAGCACTTGGCTGGGCCCCCGGAAAGAGCAGAAAACTTGGGTTCTCCTCTTGGCTCTGCCTGGCTGAGCTTAACTGGCAAGACGTTTTGGGGGCCTCAGATCACTCATCTGTAAAATGAGGGGGTTGGACAAGAAGAGTGACTTCCAAACCTTTAATTTTTTTTGTCCTGAAATCTATTCTTTCTGCAAAGCCTAACTGGGCCACGTCTCCCCCTACAGTAAGTTAAAACAAACTTGGAAAAAAGATGAGGTGGGGAGAGGCAGTGTGGTCCCTTACTCCTCCCACCCCTGATCTCCAGTCTGAGAGGGGGCTTCATGGGACCCCTCAGCTCCTGCAGAATGCAGTTTGCAAACCACTTCAGGATCTTATCCAGTTCTGATTGGAGCTGCTCCCCATCAGGAAACTATGCTTGCAGCAGTTAGGAATTGTACATTGCTGCTGCTAATAGGAACCTGACAAGTGGGGGCTTACAGAGATTACGGGGTTATTTATTCATTTATTTGGTTACAAGAAGTCCAAAGTCAGGCGGCCCAGGGCTGGTACGGCAGCTCCACAGCGCCATCTGGGAGGAGAGACTCAGGCTCCTTTTCTCTTTCTGTCTCATCATCCTGGGCACAGGACTATCATTCTCCAATTGGGCTCATGGTCCAAATATGGCTGCTGAAGCTCCAGACATCACATTCACATTCTAAACAGGAAAAAGGAGGAAGGGGAGAAAGACAGACAGGAACACGACAGTTCAGTCTGCTCCCTTTAAAAAGCTTTCTGGGTGCACTACTCACCATTCCAGCTGTCATCTCCCTGGCAAGAGCTGTGTCACATGACTTTTTTTGGCTGCAAGGGAAGGCAGGAAAAGCTATTATTTTAAAACTCGGGTTATATTGGCATCCAACATAAAACAAGGGTTCTGCCAATAATAATGATGAAAAGGATGGAGACTGGGTAGACCCAGGAAAAAACGCAACAACAAGCTAGAATCTGTCAAGCACTTACCATGTCCCGGGCAACATGCTATGGTGTGAATGAACTGATTTAATTCTCGTAACTGCCTAGTGAGGTAAACTCTCGTTCCCATTTTACAGCTGAGGATGTTGAGACACAGAAAAGTCACGTAACTTGGCCAAGATTCCACAACAGATAAGTGACCAAGACAGGATTTTAACTCAGACATTTAGATGCTACAGCCCAGACCCTTCACCCCAGATTATTCCTCCCCTGTGAAGACCATAAAGTAAATTAACGCCCCGGACCTTTCAATGCTGTTTCAGCATCTTTATTTAATTTAATTTCATTATTATTTTATTTTATTTTGAGATGGAGTTTTGCTCTTGTCCCCCAGGCTGGAGTGAGATGGCACCATCTCAGCTCACTGCAACTTCCGCCTCCCGGGTTCAAGCGATTCTCCTGCCTCAGCCTCCTGAGTAGCTGGGATTACAGCTATGCACCACCACACCTGGCTAATTTTTGTATTTTTAGTAGAGCTGCGGTTTCACCATGTTGGCCAGGCTGGTCTTGAACACCTGACCTCAAGTGATCTGCCTGCCTTGGCCTCCCAAAGTGCTAGGATTACAGGCATGAGCCACCACGTCTGGCCATCAGCATCTTTAAAAGAAAGGGTATACAAAGCACGGAGTGCCAGAGCCTGCACCCCAGTTTCCTTATTGTCTTTCTCCTGGCACTAAGGCAGCAGTGACAGGCCAAATTGTCCATGATGCATTTATCAGGAGGTAAGTGTTTCAAATACTGTTTGGAGGGATTTCAGGGGAAACATTTTCAGGGACTTGACTTGCAGGAATGATTTATGAAGAAATATGAAAAGAGCTAAATATATATGGGCTGGCAAGTATGAAAAGAGCAAGAAAGGAAGGGAGGAAGGCAGCATAAATTAAAACACACAGACAGCCTGATTTTTCCAGAAATCCAGGAGAGGAGGGCCGCAATGGGAGGCAAAGGGAGGCATGACTCAGATCCAGTTGAAAAAGGAAACACAGCAAGCCCTTGGCTCCATCCATCGAATGTGTCTCAGTGCTCACTCCATCATCAGCTCAGGGATGGGAGGTGGGGATGGCCTCTGCCTTCATGGCACTTAGGAGCCAGGAGGGCAAGCTCAGTGGAAAGACACACTGTGTAGGTAGAGCTTGGTCAAACACTTGGCCTCCTAAGGGGAAGGAAGCAATGTCTACACCAGGCTTTATATTTATTTATTTATTTATTGATTGATTGATTGATTGATTGATTGATTTTTGAGATGGAGTTTCACTCTTGTTGCCCAAGCTGGAGTGCAGTGGCACAATCTCAGCTCACTGCAGCCTCTGCCTCCTGGGTTCAAGTGATTCTCCTGCCTCAGCCTCCCGAGTAGCTGGGATTACAGGCCTGCACCACCACACCCGACTAATTTTGTATTTTTAGTAGAGACGGGGTTTCACTATGTTGGTCAGGCTGGTCTTGAACTCCTGACCTCAGGTGATATACCCACCTTGGCCTCCCAAAGGGTTGGGATTACGGGCATGAGCCACTATGCCTGGCCCGAGCTTTATATTTATAGACCATGTTGGCAACATTTTCCTCTTTTAATTATCACTATATTATCCCCATTTGGCAGATGAGAAAATGAAGGCAGAGTCAGCTCAAGTGACTTCAGGTTCAAGTGACATCACACAGCCCCAGTCAGTGACAGATCCAGGAATGGGGACAGCAGTGTTTCCACTGGTTGTATTTTCAAAAGCAGCATCTTCATTCGGCACAGAAGCTGACACAATAGGCGCATAATAAATGCCATCTCTCTTTATTTCATGTAGCTTATAACTAAATCCATGGATATAACCCCCTGTGGATCGTGATTTTTCTAAAGGGAAATTCACCTTCAGTTTCAGCTCGTTCATCAAGAGAAACACTTACCAGTATTACCAGAAACTGAAAACATAGTCCTCTAAGAACAAGGATTTGGAAACTTAGTCCTCTAAGAACAAGGAGTGATGCAAACTAAATTCTCATGAACCAACATGGAATGAGACAGCTACTAACCTGGGATTTTATTTTCTAATCAGACTCTTGTTTGGCAGGAGGTGGCCTTTCTGGGGTGTTGGTTACAGTCTATATCATGATTCATTTATGAGATTTCTTTGAGCTCTATTATCTGTATCCTTTTTTTTTGGCATATATTAAAAATTTTTTTAAAAAAGCAACATCTGGCTGGGCGCGATGGCTCGTGCCCATAATCCCAGCACTTTGGGAGGCCGAAGCGGGTGGATCACCTGAGGTCAGGAGTTTGAGACCAGCTTGGCCAACATGGTGAAACCCTGTTTCTACTAAAAATACAAAATTAGCCGGGCGTGGTGGTGCATGCCTGTAATCCCAGCTACTCAGGAGGCTGAGGCTGGAGAATAGCTTGAAACGAGGAGGTGGAGGTTGCAGTGAGCCAAGATCGCGCCATTGCACTGCAGCCTGGGTGACAAGAGTGAAACTCCGTCTCAAAAATAAATAAATAAATAAAATTAAAAAAATTAAAAAGCAACATTCCTCCATTCCTCAGCAATTTACTGTCCTAAGCCGGCATATTGGTTAAGACTACGATGTGGCAGAGACCACTAGGGGTCTCCCAATTTCACTCTCCTTTTCACATAGCCCGTTGGAATAAAAATAACATCTTCTAGCTTCTCCCACAACTGGGTGTGGCCTTGTGACAAGTTCTGGCCAATAGGATGTAAGGGAAGCATAGTGTACAACTTTCAATAAGTCCCCTTAAGGCAGGTGACATGCCCTTCTTTCCTTCATTTCTCCTTTTTTGCTGGCTTGAAGTAGATGAGATGGCTGGAGTGTGGCAGCTCTCTTGGTCCAGGAGGTGTAAATGGTGCTGCAGGTGGCAGCTCAGGGACGGCTGGTCCTGGGACTGTGGAGCTCCCACAGAAGCCCTGAACTGCTTCCCTCCAGCTCTCTCTTACAAGGGTCAGTAAACTTCTAGCTCACTTGAGTAACTATTTTGGGTTTTCTGTTATTTGTAGTCAAACTTAATCCATATGATAGGCACAAGAGTCAGCTGATTTTGAGAAGGGGGAAGAGAGAATGGATCAGCTTCAACTCCATTGGTAAATGCTTTGTTTCTTAAGCTGAATGGTGGGCATGCAGGTATGAATTATGTTATATTTTACACCTCTTTGGCATATCTAAGAATCACTTATTAGATCTTTTAAAAAGGCAATGGTAGAAGCAGTGTTAGAGCAAGACCATGAGTAGCACAGAAAAGAATCAAATAGAGGCAACTTTGGCTTCACCCAGGCTCTGCTCCCAGACTGGCTTTGGAGTTAGGGTCTGAATATAGCCTCTGAATAAGCCTCATGGACAGAAGAAACAAGACTTGAAAGGGCAAGGGTGGGTGTATTCATCCGTTTTCATGCTGTTGATAAAGACATACCCACGACTGGCCCAATTTACAAAAGAAAGAGGTTTAATTGGACTTACAGTTCCACGTGGCTGGGGAAGCCTTACAATCATGGCAGAAGGCAACAAGGAGCAAGTCATGTCTTACATGGATGGCAGCAGGCAGAGAGAGAGCTTGTGCAGGGAAACTCCCCCTTATAATAACCATCAGATCTCATGAGACTTATTCACTATCACGAGAACAGCACAGGAAAGACCTGCCCCCATGATTCAATTACCTCCCACCAGGTCCTTTCCACAACACGTGGGAATTCAGGATGAGATTTGGGTGGGGACACAGCAAAACCATATCAGTGGGTTCAGCCTGTGGGTACCAAAGCCAGGGTTTGGAAGCAAGAAGGGACAGGGAAAGAACCCAAGGTCTGGGCACCACTCTTTCCTCCACCTGCCTCAACCCAGGATGTTTTTGCTGTAGGCAAGTCCTGGAAGTCTCTTTTGACCACACCCTCCCACCCCCTCCTGTTCTCCACCAATCCCCACCTTCATTTTAAGGGATTTCATTGCAACCAGGTCAGCCAGATGTGATTAAAGTAAAACGTGGACATACTTGCCTCCTGGGCTCTAATCCTACCTCTCAGAGCCAGCCACAGTGAGCAGTAGAGCAAGCATGAGACCAAAGTAAAGGCTGGAACCCTAGAGGGACCAGGCAGACATCTCCAGCCACCGGTATCCTCTGCTGGGATCTGCCTCAGATGCCAGAGGCTGCACTGGCTGGGGAAAGGGCTTCAGCTGTAGTACTAGGGGAAGTACTAGGAACTCCTTGAACCTGTGACTCTGCTCACCTCTGGGATCAGGACATTTCGGGGAGGCAGGCATACCTCTTGCCTCACTGATCAAGATTCCTTCCTGGGGCCAGGGCTAGGACTGGGGCCCAGGTTGCTATGGAACACACAGTCCTTGTTTCCTGAACAGAATGGGAGTTCTATTCAGCAAGAAAGAGTGTAGAGGCATGGACTGGGGAAGGGGATGGCTGTGGGGTAGGCAGCCAACAACATCTGCCACTCCTCACCTCTCCCTGCTCAGGGAGGCAGGGGTTCTGATGGAGTCAGTACAGTTAGGAAATTTCTTCCTTCCTGGCTTATGATGACGGCTTCAATGATGCAATAACTAGCCAAGGTCACACAGGAAAGGAGAAAGTGAGAGAGGGAGGAAATGGCTCCTTAGCCTCAACACTTTTGTGGCTAATGTGCCACATTTCTGTTTTCTCAAAATGTGGTCTCTGACCATCTGGGCACCTTAAAAATGCCAATTCTTGAGCTCCACACTGACTTACAGAGCTAGCATATCTGAGGTGAGACCTGAGATTGGCATTTAACAAACACAAGTGATTCTTAATACGCCCTCGAGCCTAAGAACAATGGAATTAGATGCAACAAAAATGAAGAAATGTGCTCCAAGTTTTCCATTTCTCCGGGAGGGTGAATTTAGTTTCCTTATCATTTTCTTTTGGATCCTAGCGATTTGGGAAGATGGAAAATGCCAGCTTCAAAGCTGGCTCATGGGGCTAAAAAGAAGCGACTCTGAAAATGAGTGTTCTGTTGCCTGTGGAGCTGCCTGGAGGTGTCCTCAGCAAGGCCCTGAATCACCATCTGGGAAAGCTGCATGTGCTGGGCCAAGAGAGGTGGCCTGGGATGCCCAGCTTGAGGAAGGTGCAGGGCTGGTGTTTGGGGTCACTGTGTGGCTCTGTGCATGAGTGTGACTGTGTGTGCAGATGTTTGTGCCGGGGGGAGGGTGCGGGGGTGGTCCTTTAAGGTTCTCTTGCAAAACTGTAAGAAATATTAATTGGTCTCTACTCCTTGATAGGTGGATTTTTACCCTGGAACAAGTGACATGCAAATAGGCAGCTGAACACAGTGACTTTCCAGGCCAGGCCTGCTCCAGCTGCTGTGCTCCAGCCTCGGGGCCTCAGCCTCCCCTCTGGTTCGTGCTGCATGAGTGATGAGTCTGATCATGTCCTGTCCCTGAGTCCTGGCCTCCCCACGGGCCAGAGTACCCACAAGTCCTCTGGAATCTGCTCCGCTGAGTGCTCTGGCTAGTTGCTCATCTGCCTGCCCCTCTGCTCTGCCACACAGAATACCCTGTGGTTTCCCAAATGTGCATTGTGCCTCTGTGCAATTGTTGGCAGCGCTTCCTCACCCTGAACTCATCCTCCAGTTCTTAAAATGAGGGCTTCTATCCAGGAAGCCAGTCCTGGCCTTCTACCCCATGCAGGGATACCCACTCCTACCTTTGGGTCCCAACCGCACCCATGAAGACTTCTGTAAACCAAAAAGTGACAAAGGCTGGTGTCTCAATTGGTTAGAGGTTTATTTAGCCAAGATTAAGGACCCACGGAGAGTTGGGGGTGGGGAAACAAATCACAGGAGCATCTGTGACCTATGTTTTTTGGGAACTTCATATTTAAAGGAGAAAGAGCAAGCAGGAGGGGGTGGGGAAGGGAGGGAAGGTGGGCAGTGAGGCAGACAGATATATCCTTGTGAGGCTCTTATAAGTCTCAATAAATCTACATTTTACATGTGAAAAGAAGGAGTAGAGGAAAAAGTCAATTATGCATTGTCTTGGGCTCAGTAAATCTACATTTCACATAAGATAAACATGGGCAGGGCCCGGTGGCTCACGCCTGTAATCCCAGCACTTTGGGAGGCTGAGGCAGGTGGATCACCTGAGGGTTCCAGACCAGCCTGGCCAACATGGCGAAATCCCGTCTCTACTAAAAATACAAAAATTAGCCAGGTGTGGTGGCACATGCCTGTAATCCCAGCTACTTGGGAGGCCGAGGCATGAGAATGACTTGAACCCAGGAGGCAGAGGTTGCAGTGAGCCGAGATCGTGCCACTGCACTCCAGCCTGGGCAAGGGAGTGAGACTCTGTCTTAAATAAATAAATAAATAAAGTAAATGTGTGAGAGGAGAGAGTAGAGGCAATGAGGCTATGACCCCAGGTTGTGAAATTATAGGTATCTGTTTGGGAACAAAAGGAAGGCAGTGTTGGTGACTCACTTCCCAAGCTTAACTTCCCCTTTGGCACAGTGAGTTTGAAGTCCCAAATCCCTGCAGTTGCAGCCCTTTACTATGGGGCTCCAGGATGTGTCTCCTTTGGCCCTGAAGAGTTCCTTGAGGAAAAGGCTTATCTCTATATGCCTTGAGCCTTCTGACCAGAAGGGGCCCCTTCAGAGTTTGTAGACTGACTGAATGACGTGTTTCCTAGACATCTGTTTAGTGCCAGATCTGAAACGTCTGTGTTGTGGGAGAGTCTCTCCACCTTTCTGGGGGCCATACTCCAGAGGAAGAAAATCCTCCCAATCCCTGCCATCCTCTGATTCCAACAGGTAAAAACAAGCCAACCTCTGCTAGGCACAGAGCCCTCTAAGAAGTGGGAGCAGCTCCCGGAGCAGGGGCTTAGCCCTGCTGGGAGGGCTGAGAGCAGCCTCCTCCTGTGGAATCTGGAAACAATTCAGGAGGGGAGAAGGCAGGAAGGACCAGAGGAAAGGGGACGCCATGAGACACCAAGGGGACAAAGACTTCACCATGCAGCATCTTCTCATTTAATCTTCATGAAAAACCCTCAGAGCAGAAGTCACTTTTCTCCCCATGTCACAGCGAACACCAGCTCAGTGGGAGAACTTGCTCATGGTTCCACAGCAGGAAAAGGATGCCTGGCGTGGGCTAGTCTCTTTGTTTCTGAATAAATAGAAGGTTGGGCTGGGGAATGCTGTGACCGCTTCTGCATGCCGGCTTGAAAGGGAAGCTGCTCACCTGTGTGGGGAGACAGGTCCATGTGAGCAGGAGGGCACTCCAGCCATGGGGTCACCTCTAGAATGGACCGGCCAAGGCTCCCAGGCCCCACGCCAAGCTTGCCCTACCGGGTACAGGCCAGCCTGGGGCCAGCAGACAAGTCACCCAGGCCATAGAGGCCAGCTAGGCAGGGAGAAGAATGGCCCAGCTGATTTACGAGCTCATTGTATGTAGATGAGCTGGAAGGAGCCACCTGCCTCCCCCTGGTCCCTGAGCCCTGCTGGCAGCTCTGGGTGGAGAAGGTGCTGCAATGTCACCCTCGGTTCCCTCACTCTGATGGCTATTGTCTCAGGTCCGTTGAGCAGAAGAAAGGAGACCAAAGTAATTACAGGCAAAAGAGCACTAAATGAGGTCACTTTTCAAAGTCTAAGACTTGTGGGTTTCAATAACTTCCTCCATGCCCCAGCTTACTTCTGGAAGCCGTGTGGCAAATGCCAAACACACACAACCTGGGCACTGTGTTAATACATGCCCCCAGGCCCAGCTTTAGATTTCCTGAATCAGCTCCCCAGGCCTGGCCCCCCACCCCTCTGGCTGACTGAGGACACAGAGCCAATTCCATGTCCCTTGGTTTTGAAGGGCTGGAGCTGCAACTGCCATGGCCTCTTGGAGAGGAGAAGCCTCACTCACAGGACCGCCCTCTGGCCTCCTCTTCCCAGAAGTTCTGTGTTTTTCCATCAGCAGCTGCATTCTGGTTCCTCCCTCACCGATGGCGGTCCTGGTCACGGCCCTTTCTTCCCTGGGGCAGGGCAGCCTGATATGACATCGTCGAGGCAGGTTTGTTGGAATCATAAGATTCCCCCTGATCCAGGAGTTTGGAAAGAAGAGAGGGAGGAGGTGAGAGGGAGGGAGAACAGGAGGATGGGCTGGGACAATGTGTCTGCAGAGGAAACTCCTGGTCGTCTGCAGGGCTTCCTGGGGGAAGGGAGACTCCCGTCCAGCCTGCCCATCCCTCCTGTGTTTCCTGAGCCAATGGGGTTTAGGGCTTATTCTGCCCCTAGCTGCCCCATCACCACCTTGCCTGACTCTGCCCATCACACCCCCGAGCCCTGCCTCGTCCCCTGCCAGCAGCATGTGGGCCCCCGACCCGTGTCTACCCCCATGGAGCTCCATTTTCCTAACACCTGGCACAAGCACGACCTAGTGAAATGCTCACAGCATCTCTTCGAGATCGGTGGCGTTTTCTCATTCATTTTTCAGATGGGTAAGCTGAGGCTTAGAAAGTTATGATGTGTAAGGTCATGTTGGCTACTAACAGCTTAGACTGGATTGGAGCCCTGTTTGTCTGCCTTACGTTCTTAACCTTGACACCTCCCATAAACTCTTTTGACCTCTTTTGACTAAAAAAGAGAATGTTTCAATGACTAGGATTTGTTTGATTTAACCCCGGACGGCTGTAGCAACACAGAACGTTTGGCTGAGTGCCTGACACAGAATAAGCATGAAATGATTGTCAGCTATTAGAGTAATGAAAACAACTAATGATATAATAGGAACAACTTCCAGTAGGGTCCTGATGTTTGACAGAGGAAAGTTTGGCCTCCACACAGTGGAGCTCTGTGTACAGGGAAGCAGAGGTCCCCAGGTAGGGCTCTCTGCCTTCCTTCTAGTCACCTTCTGGGGCCATCTTTCCACGTCTGTCAGTGATAACTAGTGAGGTAGTAGTCATACCTCATCCCCACATCGTTAGAGAAGTTTCAAACTGTTTTCATGGCCTCTGTCTGATTTGATCCTCACTATAAGCCTGTGAGGTGGGGAGAGTAATAACATTTTGTTCCCAGTTCACAGATGGGGAAATTGGAGCCCAGATGGGTGAAGTGACTCTCCCAATGTCACACAGCCTATTTGAAGCTGAGCTGGGACAAGTACTGCAAAGCCTTCCCCCTCTTTGTCCAAATGGGAGATGTTGATGTAGAGTGGCACAGGTTTGTAGAGCAGGGAAGACCCTCTGGGCATCACCTTATCCAAGTCCTTCTCTGTACGGATGAGTGAACTGGAGAGCAGAGAGCATCATGAAGTGTCCAAGTTCAAAGAGCTGGCTGGGGGGGAAATGCCCAAGAGGGTTTTCCTCCTACTGCTGGTGGTGTGATATGCACAAGGACACGCAACAGCAAAGATGATGCTTGTACACACATCTCCTTTAACTACTAATATAACAAAGCACAGAGCTCTTTAGTTCTGCTGCTAAAGGTTGCAAAAGGAAACATTATATAAAACATGAGGCCAGGCGGCCGGGCCTGGTGGCTCACGCCTGTAATCCCAGCACTTTGGGAGGCCGAGGCGGGTGGATCATGAGGTCAGGAGATCGAGACCATCCTGGCTAACAAGGTGAAACCCCGTCTCTACTAAAAATACAAAAAATTAGCCGGGCGCAGTGGCGGGCGCCTGTAGTCCCAGCTACTCGGGAGGCTGAGGCAGGAGAATGGCGTGAACCCGGGAAGCGGAGGTTGCAGTGAGCCGAGATTGCGCCACTGCAGTCTGCAGTCCGGCCTGGGCGACAGAGCGAGACTCCGTCTCAAAAAACAAACAAACAAACAAAAAAAAAAACAAAAAACATGAGGCCAGGCACAGTGGCTCATGCCTGTAATCCCAGTACTTTGGGAGGATGAGGCAGGAGGACCTCTTGAGCCCAGGAGTTTGAGATGAGCCTGGGCAACATGGTGAAACCCTGTCTCTACTTAAAAAAAAATAGCCTGGCATGGTGGCACATGCCTGTAGTCCCAGCCACTTGGGAGGCTGAGGCAGGAGGATTGTAGTGTAGCAGGACAAGCCTCAGACAAAACCCCTCAGACACCGAGTTAAAGAAGGAAGGGCTTTATTCGGTCAGGAGCTTTGGCAAGACTCACGTCTCCAACAACCGAGCTCCCCAAGTGAGCAATTCCTGTCTCTTTTAAGGGCTCACAACTCTAAGGGGAGCCACGTGAGAGGGTCGTGATCGATTGAGCAAGCAGGGGGAACATGACTGGGGGCTGTACGCACCGGTAATTCGAATGGAACAGAACAGGACAGGGATCTTTGCAGTGCTTTTTTTATGCAAATAACTGATTAGGTCAGGGGTCAATCTTTAACTACCAGGCCCAGGGTATGGCACTGGGCTGTCTGCTTGTGGATTTCATTTCTGCCTTTTAGTTTTTACTTCTTCTTTCTTTGGAGGCAGAAATTGGGCATAAGACAATATGAGGGGTGGTCTCCTCCCTTAATGAAGCCAGGCGCAGTGGCTCATGCCTGTAATCCCAGTACTTTGGGAGGCTGAGGCAGGAGGACCACTTGAGCCCAGGAGTTTGAGATGAGCCTGGGCAACATGGTGAAACCCTGTCTCTACTTAAAAAAAAAAAAAAAAAAAAAAAAAGCCTGGTGTGGTGGCACATGCCTGTAGTCCCAGCTACTTGGGAGGCTGAGGCAGGAGGATTGCTTGAGCCTGGGAGGCAGAGGTTGCAATGAGCTAAGATTGTGCCACTGCACTCTAGCCTGGGTGACAGAGCAAGACCCTGTCTCAAGAAACTCACAAAAATCCAACAAAACAAACGGACAAAAAACATGAGCATGCTAGAAAATGTAGAAGAAGGTGGACTCCTGGAGAGGAGAGGTTTTGAAATCAGATGACCTGTGCTTCTCAGCTGAGTGACCATGGGTAAATGACTTCATCCCACTGAGTCTCATGGAAATAACAATGCCCACCTCACCTAGCTATTTAAAAGTTTTAATGTGTGTAAAGCACTTAGTTCAAGCTTGGGCCATAGTAGGCACTCAGTGAGTGAAGCTATTATTAATGCTGGTTAGTGTTACTATTGATATATATTTTTGCCTCCTCCAAGCATCCTGCAGAGTGCTGAGCCCAGAGAAGGCAGGAACTGTCTCTCTCTCACTCACCTCTGCATCTCTGGTGCCCAGGCATGGCCTGGCACAAAGCCGGCACTTGGTAAAGTTCATTGGGTTGAACTCAAGACTTGCTATTCTTCACTGTTATGTGTCACTTTGGACTTTTCCAAATCCTCTGAGTACAGTATTCCATGTGAGCCCTGCCCGATGCCTGTGGGGCAGGCAGGACAAATGATGTTGTCCTTCCCATTTTATAGCTAAGGAAAATTGAGGCTGGGAGAGATGATGCTTCCTGCCCAAGTCACAGGACTGAGCTGAGATGGGATGAGTCTCTTCAGACTCTGGGTTACGTGGCCACTCTGTGTAAATAGCATCCTTTGGAGGAGGATCCCCAGAGAGACCGTCCCCTTCATTAAATCCAAGGGCTTCTTGCCCATAGATTCAAAAAGGGCTTCAGAGAATGTTTGAGCGAAATTCATCAGGTCACACTGATCTTGGCCCCTCTTCCTACACAGGCTCAGCCCTGCTGTTGAAACTGCGGTAGAGCTGGATGCTCCCAGCCCAGCAGAAAGGACCTAGGGAGCTATGCAGATTTCAGGCAGGGGCTGCCTAGGACCCTCAAAGGAGCTGGAAGCAAGAGGCCTTGCCTGGCCACAGAAGACACCCAGGTCCTACATCCAGGCCTGGCTGACAGCCTCACTGACAGGTTTATTATCAAGTTTTACGACTTTCAAGCTTAGTCACTGCTTAAGTCAGCCTGCCCAGAAACAAACACATAGCAAAGCCCTGACCCAGATGCTGACGCCAGGAAAGGCGCACCCCGCCCCTGGCAGAGCTGGCTCCCAGGACCAAGTCTGGGGAGACAGCGAGGCTGGGGCTGGTTGAGATGTATTTTGGTGATCCACATGGTTGTCCTTTATTTTCCTCAAGTCTCCACTACCGAGCTTGTGGGGTGTAGGAGGCAGAGGCTGTCTGCCTGCAGAGATGGCCTGACACTTACCAAGGCATCTGATCCCCTGCCCCCAGGCCTTCCTTGAGAACTAAGCCTCTGACATACAACTCACACCCCCTCCTGGCTTTCAGGTCACGAGTGAAAGGTGGAAGCCCAAACCTTGACCCAAAGCCCTTCAATCTCAGATTCCAATTCCCATTGTTCCCCTGCCCACCTGCTATCCCTGTATGTGGCCTCTATTAAAGCCAAAACTTCCCCAGAATCTCTCTAGCCTTGACACAGCACTGCGGTTCTTCCTCCCTGGGGCTGCAGCAGGCCTGGATGGAGTGGCAACAGCCCCTCTGCCCAACTGTGTGTGGCAGAGCCCAGGGGCAGGGCAACAAGGAACCCTAACAGTGGGGCAGCCCCTCCTGGTGGCCGAGGCTGCAAGGATCTGGGGACCCGCTTCCTGCTGGTTGCTTCTTCCTCTGGTTCATTTAGGGCGCCTTCTCAGGCTGGAGAAGAAATGAGGAGCCGAGTTAACTGGAGACTGGCTCTGGGCTGATTAACTGCAAGAATCTCCTCACTGATCTCCCGCTGGAGTGAGAGCTGCATACCAGCCCCTTGAATTGAAGAATAATAATCATTTCTCCTTTTTCTTTTGGGGATGTTTACCTTCTCATATATAAACCATTTCTTTCATTCTCTTTCCCAACATATGCTGACATTTTATTCTAAAAGTTACTCTTGCTCTCTAACTAATTATAATACAGTAAGATCTACTGTAATGCTATTAAATGGGGACTAAAAATTAACACACATTAAATGTGAGGTGGCATTCTTGAGAAGTTTTGAGAATGACTGGGTGAACCTTGTAGCTGGGCAGCTCTGGGCTCTAGAGGTCTGCTGTCAATTGTATCACATCCAAAGTTAGATCATCACAGGTGTCCAGCAATGCAGGGTTTTGCAGGAGCAGCACCAATACTTACATTTTGTACTTTAGCCCCAGAAAGTCCTAGATGTAAATCCCAATTCTGCCACTTACTAATTTATGACACAAGCCTATGTAGAAACCTCAGTTCTGTGTTTTTTCATCTGTAAAATGGGAGAAATAATACTGGCCTCTTAGAATTGTGAAGTTTGAAAGTGTATCAGCTAGCTACTGCTGTGTAACAACCAGTCATCACCTTTCAGAGGCAGACAGCAATGAGTATTTATTTCTCATGTTTTTGAGGTTTGGCTAGGACCAAGTCTGCTTCCAGTGGCAAGTCTGGCTGGCTCAGGCAGATTCGTGGCTGCCCCATGAATCTCACTGTGAGCCAGGCCAAGGTGGCAGCAGCTGCATGGGGGAATATCTTCTTATAGCAATGGCAAGACACAAGAAGAGAGCAAACTCCACAGCTGAAGCACATTTCAAGCCCCTGCTTGCATCTTATTTAGCCACATCCTATTGGCTAAAGCAAGTCACATGGCTGAGCCCAAAACCAGGGGTGGGGAAGCACACTATGACCACAGGTAGGCCACAGCAAGAGCATGGATGCACGGAGGAGTGAGGAATCAGGACTAATAATTCAGTCAACCACAGATACCTCATTCAAAGCATGTCAGCTTCTGGACTGTGGTAGGTGCTTAGGAAACAGCAACTATGATCATTGCATGACTTCTTACAGTTTGTGTAAAGCCACATGTCTCAGTCTCATTCTTGGCAAGTAGCAAAGTCAGGAATGGAATCTGGGCCTCAAAGCATCTTGCTATCATTCAACATTTTCTAAATGGTCCCATCAACAACTTCTCATGTGTGACTTGTCACAACCTCATACATGGATGGAGGGAGGGAGATTTGGAAGTGGGGATGTGGAAGTGGGGATGTAGAAGTGAGAACTTTGGGCTGTAGTGGCTCAAGGTACATCCAAGACATGTAGACTGAACATCGAAGGGGAAATTGATGAGTTCCCCCATTCAATTCTCCTTTGCATAGTAAGGGGCATGAGTTGGCATGGGAGAAAGGGCAAGGCCTTGGGCTTGTGTCTGGTTTTGGAACTGGGTGACTGTATGCTCCCCAGAAGGAAGCTTTCCTTGAGTCCCTACCCACAGTAGACCCCCACGTCATGGCACCCCTGGACCTTTCTTTACTGTGTTTCATGGTGATAGATAATTGCATATTTGTTTGTGGGCTTGTTTCCTTAGTGCCAGACTTGCTCAGCAGACTGCACAGGGCCCACATCTTTTGAGGTCAGTTATCACCAGTGCTTGGCACAGTGCCTGGCATGTTCTGGTTGGATGAATGAATGGACCAATTCAAACTCTCTGAGCTTCACCATCCTCATGAAATATGAGATAAGAATATATTCTTTAAAGAGTTTTTAAAAAATAAATTTACAGCAAAATGTTATGAAACACCTTCCACAGGGGCTGGCCTGGTCCACGGTATATATATATATACTTATCTTTAATTCTTACCACTGGGTGGTTAAGAACACAGAGTGTAGAAGATGTTCAAAACAGATCTGTGCTCCTAGCTTGTCTTGGCAGCTCATTCCCAATCTCCTCAGTGGGCATGAGAAGCCTTGGTTCTAGCCTCGTGGGGCTGCTCCACTTAGCTGCTGCTCTCCAGCCAGTAGGAAAAACCCTCTGCTTTGGGCCCCTTCTGTCTCCCCACCTTCCTATTACTGCTCAGCCCCTCGGACTCAGGGCTGCCGTTCAATGAGAACATACTATTAAGGCCTCATTGTGATTAGAAGATTGAAACCCTCTTATACCAGGGGGCAAAATGTATGACTTAATGAGACTATCAACCACCAAATAACATTGCCCACAGCGGCCCCGGGGAGGTCACCAGGCCTGAGAGTGGTGCTGGAGAGGATGCTGGCAGCCGTGGGAGGTGCCATGTGGGCAGAGGCAGTGAGGGTAAATGCCATGACTGCCCACCACTCCAGAGTAGCCAGCATTGGTGGGTGCGACACAGCAGGAGGTGGAGCAGGTGGCCACTGTGCCAGAGGCTGTGTCCAGACCATGTGGTAGGTGTGTGTTCCCAGGCAAGATGTGTGGACAAGGCGCTGTGTAGCTCTGGCTGCTACAGAGCACCAGGTGCCGGGGACCTAGTGACCATCATTGTACTGGGAATGTCCTTGGAAGAGTTTGAGACAGTCCCCATAGCCAGCCATGGATCAGACAGAAACCTCCCACATATCAGTTGGTAATTATTACAAGGATTCAATGAATAATTTGTGCTGCAGTGTTTATCACTAACAAGCAGTTTCAGCATATAGTTTCATTTAGAGTATAGGAGGTAAGATCCTTTAAAATTCTGATTGATATGCTAATGAATTAATTACTGCCCAGGTTGTAAATACCTCGCACATCCTCTGACCCTGGGGTGCTCCTAGGAGCCCTCTCCATGTGGCCTTCTTACTTTGCAGTCACTCAGGGACACCTGCCTGGGCACCTGCTTTGGCCTCAGGCTGGGGCACTGGCAAGACAACGAGGCCTTTGTCTGTGGCTGTCTCTTGCATAGCACTTATATGTTTTAATGCTAAGTGGCCCATTGTCCCTTCTTTTTCCATCTCAAGCCCTGTGATGGCTGATTTCTTCTTCTTCTTTTTTTTTTCTTTCTTTTTTTTTTTGAGACAGAGTCTCACTCTGTTGCCCAGGCTGGAGTGCAGTGGCACAGTCTCGGCTCACTGCAAACTCTCTCGCCTGAGTTCAAGCGATTCTCCTGCCTCAGCCTCCCAAATAGCTGGGATTACAAGCATGTGCCACCACGCCTGGCTAATTGTTATATTTTTAGCAGAGACGGGGTTTTGCCATATTGGCCAGGCTGGTCTCGAACTCCTGACCTCAGGTGATTCGCCTGCCTCGGCCTCCCAAAGTGCTGGGATTACAGGTGTGAGCCACCGTGCCCGGACTGATGGCTGTCAACTTGACAGGGCCACAGGGTGCTCAGATACTTGGTCAAACATTATCCTGGGTGTTTGTGTGAGGGTGTTTTGGATGAGAGGGACATGTAAGGCAGCAGACTGAGGAAATCAGGTGGCCTTGATATGGGTGGGCCTCATCCAATCAGGTGAAGGCCTGAATAGAACAAAAGGCTGACCCTCTCAAGAGAAAGAGGGTCTGTCTGACTGCTTTGAGCTGGGACGTGGGACTTTTCCTGCCTTTACACAAAAACATCAGCTCTTCTTGGGTCTCAAGACTGCTGGCTTTTGGACTGGAACTTTCTATACCATCAGCTTCCCTGGTTCTCAGGCCTTTGAACTCTGGCTGGGTCTACACCTGGGCTCCAGCTTGTTGATTGCAGATCTTGGGGCCTCTCAGCCTCCAGAGTCACATGAACCAATTCCTTATCATCTCTCTTTCTCTCCCTCTGTGTATATGCAAATATCTCCTGTTGGTTCTGTTTCTCGGGAGAACCCTGACTAATCCAAGCCCCGATTCTCCAGGTTCCTAGCTTCGGCATATATATGTTGGTGCCTAGCAAGGCCCGAGGAGAGAAGCCTCCCATCTAAGGCACTTGTGGCTTCAGGTATCTTAGCTCTTAGATCTTCTGTGCCCTTCCTCTCTCGTTGCCTCCCCACTGTGTTGATGGGTCTGGCTGCGTGGGTGGCGTATTTCTGAAAAGGTGGTGAACCCCCCGCCAGAGGCTTCCCCAAAAGCCTTATCGGAGCCACAGGGAGAATTCCACTTGAACTGGGTTTGTTGGGTGCTGATTTAGGTCGCTTTTCCCAAAGACTAGAGGCTGAATGTCAGGGCTGCTAATCTGTCTCCGAATAGCTTTGGGCTCAATCCACATGAAATTCAATCCAGAATTAAAATTCAGAGCTTGTTCTGGACTGGAAGGGCAGACTTAGCTCTTTCCCTTGGGGAAAAAGAAAAGCCCAAGGTTGGCTTGAGAAGGCTGATTGGATCGGGGGTCTGCTGGGTTGATGGACTGTCTACTGAGTGTGGAGAGGCGACAGAGTCCCTGTCACTGTCACCATAGGGTTTACAAATGCAATAGGGGAGCCTGGAGTGGGGATGGGAGGCTAAAGAACCCTCAGATAAGAACCCCAACACAGTGGAGAGGCACCTGGTTCCCACCTGTCAGCTCTCCCTACAGGCCAGGGCACCTACACTCTGTCCTTATAGCTGCCACTTTCTCCCTGGCCTCGCTGTAGGTGGCTGCCTGTTTTTTCGCCATTTGCTGTTTCCCCTTCCAGAGGCTGCCTGTGTCCGTGGCAAGAGGAATGCGCGAGCCAGAGAGAACCAGGTGGAAGGATGGTCTGCTTTCTCAGCCAGCAGGAAGCCTGCTTTCATGCCACTCAGTCATGCCTTAGGCCAGTGTGTAACCCAGACCTGGGGGACCCCAGTAGGGGACCCACTTATCAAAGGAGGCGGCACAGTGGAGTTGACTGTTTGGAGGCAAATCCCAGCTTTACCCTTTAGAAGCTCTCTGACCCCAGGCAACATAGTTCACTTCTGTGTGCCTCACTTTCTCCATCTATAAAATGGGAATGATAATGGTTCCCCTCTTTCAGGGTTGTTCCAGGTAATGTCATTAATGGATTAAAAGAATTCATACCATAAAGCACAGGGGCAGGCCTTTCATAGGCACTTGATTCTGTTGATTATGAAATCATAATTACTTATGACTAGTTACAGAAAGTCCACCATGACCTTTCTGGGTTTTCTTTTCTGTTAAATGAGATGATGCTTGTAGGTTGCATTAATATTAGTTCATTTTCACACTGCTGTAAAGAACTGCCTGAGACTGGGTAATTTATAAAGAAAAGAGGTTTAATTGACTTACAGTTCTGCATGGCTGGGGAGGCCTCAGGAAACTTATAATCATGGTGGAAGGGGAAGCAGGCATGTCTTAGACGGCACCAGGTGAGACAGTGCAAGAGAGCAGGGAAAATTGCCTTATGAAACCATCAGATCTTGTGAAAACTCACTATCACAAAACAGCATTGGGGAGACCACCTCCATGAGCCAATCACCTCTCTCCCTCGACACGTGGGGATTACAGGTCCCTCCCTCAACTCGTGGGAATTACAATTGGAGGTGAGATTTGGGTGGGTACACAGAGCCAAACCATTTCACAGGTGTTGCCTTGTACAGGCTCTGGGGCAGGTTCTCTGAATTCTCATTCCTTCCTTTTCTCCTTGGTCAATGTCCTCTTCTCTTATTGTTGGTTGTTTAGAGACTCAGCATTAATCATTTATGCCATAGAAGTGTCATCAGGAGTGTTGTTGGTCTAAAATGTGGCCTTGTCTTGAAAGTCCCTGCTGCTGGAGGCAGGCCCTGCTTGGTCTCAGGGTTGGCAATGGAAACTGTTGCTCAAATGTCTGCTCTACGAATGGTCACCTCCCAGGGCCTGCAGACCCGACAGAGTTAACTTCTCTACATGTCATGGTCCCTGCTGCTGCAGGACTCAGGAAGATCTCACAAAGGAAAGTCCCCAAGTCCTGGATACTACCACCAGCCTGTGGTGGGGCACCCGGTTCTCAGCTCTCCCTTGCTTTGGGGTGAGTGCCACTCTTTCCCTCCTGATTTGGAGATAATCTTTGTCTCCCTTTTCTTTGGGTACTTGGGATGATTAATTTTATATATCAACTTGACTGAGCCATGGGCTACTCTGATATTTGGTGGACATTGTTCTGGGTGTGTCTGTGGAGGTGTTTCTAGGGGACATGAACATTTGAATGGGTGGACTGAGGACAGCAGATGGCCCTCCCTAATATGGGTGGGCTTCACCCAATCAGTTGAAGGCCTGACTAGAACAAAAAGTCTGCTGCTTCTCCAAGGAAGAGAGAATCCCTCCTGCCTCACTGCCTTCGAACGGGGGCAGCAGCATTTTCCCGCTTTCAGACTAGAACTAAAACATTGGCTTTTCCTAGGCATCCTCCAGCCTGCTGGCCTTTGGAATGGAACAACACCCTTGGCTTTCCTGGGACTTCTTAGCCTCCATTATTGTGGGGCCAGTATCTAAACCTCTCTTCTATATGTTTATTTTTATTTTTTTTAAGACAGAGTCTCCCTCTGTCACCCAGGCTGGAGTTCAGTGGCGCGATCTCAGATCACTGCAACCTCCATCTCCCAGGTTCAAGCAATTTTTCTACCCAGCCTCCCGAGTAGCTAGGATTATAGGTGCCTGCCACCACACTTGGTTACTTTTTGTATTTTTAGGAGAGACAGGGTTTCGCCATGTTGGCCAAGCTGGTCTCGAACTCCTGACCGCAAGTGATCCACCTGCCTCGGCTTCCCAAAGTGCTGGGATTACAGGCATGAGCCACAGCACCAGGGCTCTTTTCTATATGTTTACATCCTTTTGGTGCTGCTTCTCTGGAGAACCCTGACTAATTGGGTGCCCTGGAGTAGTCACCTGGGGGCCCTTCTCTCAGGCTCACAGCCTTTCCACCCTTTCTCCCACGAGGTCCTGGAGCCTCCCTGCGTAAGAGGCTCCTCTGGTGTCCCAAGGCTCCCAAAGGGGCATGGATCTGATGCCCCCGTGCCTGTGGCCACTCCTCACCCTTAAATACCCAAGTGTTCTGGGAGCTCCGCTCCGCATAGATGGGAGCACACTGCCAATCCCTGCTCCCTCCTGGCTTCACTGACCAGGAGGGAGCCGCAGATCCGATGAATATAACCCATCAGAGAGTCCTGACCTGAGTCTTGGTTGGAAGCTCATGTGAGAGATGGCAATGTTACAATTAAGTAAATGGATGACCTCAATTCGGAGACAATGTTTGTCGAATTGAATCTTCAGTGGGTTAACTTTCCTCATATGAGTAAAAATGATATTTGGGATTAAATTTTCACTGCACTGAATGCATTACTGGATTTCTGCCTCTCGTCATTAGAAAGGGGACATAACCTTCACTAAGGCGGTCTGCAGGGACCAGGATGGCTGGCATAAGTGCTGAGTGCTGACTGACCACAGGGGATTAGGGCCGAACACAACTCATTTCACACTGTAAATAAGCTGATTTGTTTTTGTTTTTAAATAAGCCTTATTAAAAACTGGCTGCCACTCACGGAGGATCTGCAGCAACATTGCAGGGCAGGGCTTTGACTTTCCTGGCTTGGCAGACACAGCAAAGCCGCTTTCAAAAAACTGCTTCTGCCTGCTTCAAGTTTGGGAATAACCCAGAGGGCCTCCCTGCTGTCCAGGTCCCTGGGGAGGTCCTGGAGCCATGGCCCCAGGGAGTGGTGGAGTGTGGGCAGCTTTGGGGCCAGCACTAAGCTGCAGAGGACACTGTACACAGGTCAGGCGGGCATGGCGGGGTCTCTTGGGCTGTTCTCTCTGCAGTGCATCAGCCTTTCCTCCTTAGCTCCTCCAAATGTATTCTGGAAATGTGCGGAAGTTCTTTGGAGCCCTTCAGATCTGTAAAGTCAAAACTATTTTCATAAGAATATAATGATGTTGCCAAGTGCGGTGGCTCACATCTGTAATCCCAGCACTTTGGGAGGCCGAGGCAGGAGGATCACTTGAGATCAGGAGCTTGAGACCAGCTTGGCCAACATGATGAAACCCCATCTCTACTAAAAATACAAAAAATTAGCCGGGTGTGGTGGCACATGCCTGTAATCCCAGCTACTCGGGAGGGTGAGGCAGGAGAATAGCTTGAACCCAGGAGGTGGAGGTTGCAGCGATCTGAGATTGCTCCATTGCACTCCAGCCTGGGTGACGATGAGACTGAAACTCCGTCTCAAAAAAAAAAAAAAAAAAACATAAAGCATATGATGATGTTATTTGCCCTTTTCCCTTTCATTTTGTCACAAGTGTGCAGTGGAGGTTTTTGTGGCCTATGTGACATGGGATGATGTCATCACTCTGGTGACGGATGGAAGTTACACCTGTGTATTCTTGTTGGTTAAATATTTCTCAGTTTTTATTTAGCATATGGAAAATATCGATAGCTATAAACCACATAAACATGAGCTCTTTGGAGTTCTTAATTATGTTTTAAGAGTATAAAGAGGTATTGAGACCAATAAGTTTGAGAAACTTGTTCCAGATTTTTTCTTTCTTTCTTCAAGATAAAGTGTCATATGCATTGTGATACTTATATACTCTCTCACCACTGAACATGTGCAAAATTGTGCTATGGTTATTATTAGATTCCTATCTTTTCAAAATATGTAAATGACAGTCTTTGAATGTTATGGGTCAACTCTATTATTCCCATGAACCCTGTGATTTTCATTGTGCAATTTAAAAAAATTATTTGTGATTGTGGCAAAATACACCTATTATAAAATTTACTCTCCTAACCATTTTTAAGTGTGGAGGTCAGTGGCATTGTGTATCTTCACACTGTTGTGCAACCATGACCACCACCATCTCCAGAAATTTCTTCTTGCAAAACTGAAACTCTTTACCATTAAATGGTAACTCCTCCTTCTCCTCACCTCCAGCCCCTGGCAACCAGCATTCTATTTTCGGTCTGTGGATTTCGCTTACCTCATGTAAGTAGAAATAGACAGTATTTGTCTTCCTAGATCTTTCTTGACTCCCCCCCACCTGCAAAACTACCTAGCCTCAGGGTCCTGGGGGATGATGCAATACCAGAGCTGAGAGCTCTTGTCTTGTAAAGATGTGTCACCATGCTCTTCCTCCATGTCACTTGTGTTGTGATGGCCAGTCTTGTTGGCATTGGCATGTTGGAAAGATCATAGACCTTGGACAGGGCCAGTTTTAAAACCTGGGTCCTCTGCTTTTGAAGCTATGTGACCTTTGCATAGGACTTAAACGCTTTGAGCCTTAGTTTCTTCATGTCTACAATTAGGATACAGATCCCCTCATTGGGGTGGTTGTGAGGATTAAAAAAAATGTGTGGAGGAGAAGGCAGGGGCCTTCCATGCATGGTCCATGGTTGCCAAAACCCTGCAGTGAGGGAGAGGAGGCCATAGGTGGGTGAGGAGATGGCAGGAGCTCAATTTGCCAAGTGTAAAGTGGAAGGTGAGGAGTCACATCACGGAGGGACTCACGGCTACTTGGAGAGACTGGACTTTTTTCTGAGGGCAATGGGGAGCCACTGAAGGTTTTAGGCAGAAAGAAGACCGCCAGATTTGCATCTCAGGAAGGTCATTCTGTCAGTGTGTGGAGGACGCATTGGTGGGGGACATAGTGGGAGATCAGTGGGGACGCTGCTGCAGTGGCCTCGGTGAAAGATGGCTCAACACAGCAAAACACCAGAGATAGCCCTCGAAATGCCTTTATTCTTTCCTCAATGTTTCTGTTTCCTGCTTCACCTTTCCTCTCTCTTCGAATCTACAGTCTCTAGAAACTTCTTTATTATCCCAAGCAACCCCACTTTTGCTCTCAGCTGTCACCTCTTCTCAATGTCAGAGAAATGGTTGGCTGGATATAAACCATCTCTTGCTCCTCACGGGCGGCTCCCTGAGGGTGTCTCCCCAAGCTCACACCCTCTGCTCCAAGAACTTATCAATTCCCCAAAGCAGTCAGCTATTGTGAGGAGGTCTCTGAGAAGAGACGGGGAGCTGATACATTCATTCCACATTTGCTCCTGGTTTTTCCTGTTATCAGTAATGCTCCCCGCATTTTGGCAGATGGATCATCACCTCGAGAGAGGATCATTAGAGCACAATGAAGAGAACAAGAGCTAAATGTTTGGCTTTGAGTATTGAAAGCCAAGATCCAAGTATGGAATAAAAGATCTGGAAAACTCTGATTGCCACAAGCCCGTTCCCCCTGCTCTTGGAGAGGAGATCAAGTATGCCTCAGCAAGGGGTAGGTGGAGGGCAGGGCATGGGAACACAAGGCTGTAGCTATCTGAGGGCTCCTCCTCTGTGGGCTGAGCCCCTGTGTATTTTTTTTTTTTTTTTTTGAGCAGGGAGAGGTGATGCAGGGGGATTCAATGGGGCCTTGAGATAGGTTTGGGGAGCTGAGGGGCAGAACCACAGAATGAGCCTCTGTTCAGCGTGATGTGAAGTGGAAGAAATATTTGCATAGTTAATGATAACAGGACCAGATGCCGCTCATTCTGACCCCCTTGAAGACGAATGGAACAGAGAACAATTTCATGTACTATTTGGGATGTTTCTCTTGCAAGTAACAGAAAATACCCCTCCTGTTGACTTAAATGAGAGAGTTTATTGGCTCATGTAAATGAAAAATGCAGGGATAGGGCGGTCTTCAGGTGCAGTTTGATTGAGATGTTTCACAACAGCATCAGTGCGTGGCTCCATTTCTCTCCCATTCTCCTGGTTTTGCACTTTTCCCCATGTAGGCTTTGTCTTCAGCTCATGGTAGCCAGATGCCACACGTTTCCTTGCTTGTATCTTGGGGGAAACAGAAGAGAAAAAGATTGCATTTCTCTCCGTCTAATTATTGGACAAAAGTCCTGAATTTTGCTCTAATTGGACTAACCTGGGTCATAGGACTTGAGCCAATGTATGGCCTACCATGAATGAAGGGGAGAGGTTGAGGGGGGTGAGTTCCTGGAGGTGGGCAGGGGCCACATCTGGGGCGGGGACTGGATAGCCAAAGTAGGGTCTGGACTCTATTCTAATGGCTTGGAGGAGCCAGTGGGGATGGAGCAGGGGTGTGATATAATCTAATTTACATTTTTAAAAGAACACTGTGCTAAGAGTGGAGAATGGATTAAATGAATGAAGCTTTTTGGTGTGGAAAGAAGTGAAAACTTTTTGCTACTTACAACCCCTGCTTCTTTTTAAGGAGAGTAGAGTCCATTGTATGAAAGACCCTTTTGTCTTGCTCTTACAAAATCTGAGAGTAAGGGCTGGGCAGAACTGAATTTCACTGTGCAAGAAAAGGGAATAATTTTTTTTTTTTTTGAGATGGAGTTTCATTCTGTTGCCCGGGCTGGAGTGCAGTGGTGTGATCTTGGTTCACTGCAACCTCCTCCTCTCAGGTTCTAGAGATTCTCCTGCCTCAGCGGGCTGAGTAGCTGGGACTACAGTTGCTTGCCACCACACCTGGCTAATTATTATTATTATTTTTGTATTTTTGGTAGAGTCAGAGTTTCACCATGTTGACCAGGCTGGTCTTGAACTCCTGACCTCATGTGATCTGCCCACCTTGGCCTCCCAAAGTGCTGGGATTACAAGCATGAACCACCATGCCTGATGGGAAATAATTATTATTGTTGGAAGTTGTTCTTCTGAGAAAGAGGACAGAGTTGCGGGGAGAGAAACAGATGAGGCCAGGCATGGTGGCTCACACCTGTAATCCCAGCACTTTGGGAGGCCAAGGTGGGTGGGTCACCTGAGGTCAGGAGTTCAAGACCAGCCTGGCCAACATGGTGAAACCCTGTCTCTACTAAAAGTACAAAAAAGTTAGCTGGGCATGGGGGTGGGCATCTTAATCCCAGCTACTGAGGAGGCTGAGGCAGAATAATTGCTTGAACCTGGGAGGTGGAGATTGCAGTGAGCCGATATTGCATCACTGCACTCCAGCCTGGGCAACAGAGTGAGATTCTGTCTAAGAAAAAAAAAAAAATGGATCTAGTTAAGATCAGAAGTCTAGGGCTTCCATTTCAGAAATGTTTGGGGAGGGGCCATAGGAGATGGAGGATGGGGATGGATCCCTAATGAACAGACTAATGCCATCCTGAGGGAGTGAGTGCGTTCTCAATCTTCCAGGAATGGATTAGTTCCTGCAAGAGCAAGTAGTTAAAGAATCTGGCTTCCCCAGTTTCATTCTTTTTCTTGTCTTGTGATCTCTTTGCACTTTTCCTTCCCTTCTTTCCACCATGAGTGGAAGCTACCTAAGGCCCTCACCAGATGCAGCAGCCCAATCTTGGACTTTCCAGCCATCAGAATTGTGAGCCAAATAAACCTCTTTTCTTAATAAATTACCCATCTTCAGCTATTCTGTGATAGCAACACTAAAAGGACTAAGACGGGGCATTTTTAGAAACTGGTTTATTGAACTTTGAATTTTAAGTTGTATGTGTCCTAAGATGTGAGTCCTTCCAGGTACACTAAAGTTTCAGTAGTCTGTACACTATGAATAACTGTATGTGAGGAGGGTGTGTACATGTATGTATTATAGAAAAGGGCACAGTCCCAAGTCTAGGTTAGTGTGGCACAGGCCACAACAGCATGTGTGGGATTACGAAATGAACCCAAATGGAATGATTTCAGGCCCCTGCCCACCTCCAGGAACTCATGCCCCTCAACCTCTCCCCTTTATTCATGGTAGGCCATACTCACATTGGCTCAAATCCTGCGACCTAGGTTGGTCCAATTAGAGCAAAATTTAGGACTTTTTTCCAATAATTAGAGGGAGAGAAATACAATCTCTTTCTCTTCTGTTTGGAGCTACAGTAAGGAGCTTGAAGTGACTTTAAAACTATCAACTCCCCCACTTCTCACCCTGCATCAGGAGCTTCCAAAACCCTGGGTGAGGCAATGGCTTAGGGAAATTCTGTAGAATGGAGATTGGAAGTGCTATTACTTAGAATTTAGGAGTAAATCATCACCGGCTGACATCTCAGTTGTAAATGCTTTAGAGTTTATAAACTAATTTTGTATGTTTTATCTAAATATAAAGTGAAATCCAAAAAAAGGCCTTCCCTGAGAAATTACCACCCTCTGGTTTTGGAGTTGAAGACTTATTCTGAAGGGGTGTGAATTGCAAGATCTTTCTGAGATGCTATCTGGCAGTGTCTACTGCAATTTGAACATAGGTTTCCTCTGTCGCGTAAATCTTTTAGACCACTTTTAGAACTTTGTCCTACAAAATAAAACTGCCAGTACAGCAGGAGAGATGCACAGTAATTATTACAGGGTCATTTATAATAGTAGGAAACACACCAACAAACCAACAAAAATCCCTAAACCTGAAACAATTTGAATGTCCATCAACAGAAGACTGGTTAATAAAATCATGGCACCTCCACACAATAGGATGCTATGCAGCTGTTAAAAAAGAGTCAGAGCCATATCTCCTGAGCTGGAACAATGGCCAGGATATATTGTTAAATTTTTCAAAAGCTAATTGCTTGTCCCAGTTTTGTCTGGGGGAGAAAAGCCAATAGGGGAATGTGTATTCATAAGCATTACATTAAAAAAGCATGAATAAAAAAATCAATGATACACATCAAAATAGTAATCCTGAGAGTGGTGGGATTAGAAGGAAAGAGGAGAAGACCGTGAACTTTAAAATCTATATATTCCTATATAAAACTTTATATAGTGTGTGATTTGGTTCTATATTTATGCAATAAAGTAGAAAAATTTCCAACTTACTCTGAGGAGGAGCTGCCATTCCAAGCAGTGGGAAGTATGTTTCAGAGCTCTGTGGATGGCTGCTATTTTTCTCAGGGTCAAATCAGGACATCCAAATACCTGATTCTTTGCTCAGCCACCCAAGAAACATCTTCTGCACAACAGCGTGTGCGTGTGTATGTGTGTGTGGGTGTGTGGGTGGAAGGGGGGGCATACCTCCAGCCAGTCCCTATAAACCCCTCATCTCACACATCTTAATCCACAAAACCTCCAGGATAACCAAAAACAAACAAACAAACAAACAAACAAAAAAACATGGGTGGGGGTGCAGAACCACTGTTGGGAATGGAGTTCTAAAATGGAGGCTGAGTTTCCACACACAGAGGAAGTAGGTGGAAAATTTGACAAAACTCTGGAGATGGCTGGCAGAGACCCAGGAAAAATTAAATTATCTCCAGATTTGAGTTTTTCTGGTAGAGGCTTAAAATCTCCTCATCCCGTTGCATGGGGAGCACAGCTGGCAAAGGAGTGTTGTCCAACATTGGCCCCTGCTGGATTCTCCACTTCCTGTCCCTCCACTTCCTGTCTCTCTGCTTCCTATCTCTCCATTTCCTGTCTTTCTGCTTCTTGCCTGACTTGCCTCTCCTTAAGTATCCTAACCCGCTGCTCAATGCTCTGGGGCTGGCCTGGGAGTCCAGATGGCTCTGGGTCTCAGCCCCAGTAGAGTTGGCTCCTTTGTGGGAGAATTGTGCCCAGGTGGCCCCACTCTGGCTCCGCAGAACAACATCACTTGGCGTTTTATCAATGGATTACTTTCCTGGTTTTGTTTACTCTTTCCTTCTCTTTTTAGCACCAGAGTGAGGAGAGGCTAGGAGGAAGAGGAGACTTTGAGAAGCTGCTTCTTTGCCAGGTGAACTAGGACTTGGACTGGAAGGGAAAGTGAGTTTTCTCAACCCTGCAGGCTTAATAGGAGGCAACTGGACACTGTCTCTTCTGGTGCCTGCCAGGAAGGTTTCTAAATCACACTCCCTGGGGTCCCTGGACAGAGCCTCAGCAGACTCAGGCTTGGGTCATTCAGCATAAAAAAATATGAAATGAACAATGACTTTCTGCAAATAAATGGCAATGTTCCATTGGGGAAAATTTATTTTCCATTTAAAAGCTAATGAAAACCAGTTATGGTGAAAAACCCAGCCAAAGAAAGGATTGAGGCTTTCTTTTCTTCATGAGGAGAATAATGCCAAATTCTGGCTGGTTCTTTGTGGAATCCAGATCTCAGGGAGAAGAGGGGCTGGGCCATGTGGAGTCCCTCAAACCCTGGTTGGAAAATGTGTCTTGGGGTCAGACAGGAAGCTTGATGGGGTTGGCAAAGGCTGGGGGGAGCCCAGGAAACATGCTCACTCTTCTGAGGGGGTGTGGGACACGCCTGAGCAGAGGAGAATTCTGGAGCATCTAAATATAGCATGAAAGGCAGAGCCCAAGAGCCCGAGACAGGAACTCAGTGGATTTAATACATCTGACACTTTCTCAGCTGTTTCTTTTTTAGTTTGCCCATGCTGAGGTGGAGGCAGGGAAATCCAAGACTGAGTCTGAAATGCTCCAGGTTTCATGTGCCTTGTCTGTGGCTTAATTTGACCATTGCCTTTTCCTATCAACATGCTACCTTCATCTGAGCATTGGGCCTAACTGGAGTGCCCTGCCTCTAGGAACCTTGTTGGCTCACCCTACCCATGTTCTTCTCTCCCATGACTCAGAGCCCTGACAATATGGTTTACTTCTACTGACCTGTGATCTTTCAGATGCTCTCTTCCCTGCTTAACAACCTTCAATGGCTCCCTATTGCCTCCAGAAGTTCTATTTTTTAGGTTTCTGTTCAAAGCTCTTGCTTCTGCCTCCCTTCGCAGCTACGTCTCCCACCATTACCTTGAAAACCTCTTAGATTTTAGAATTGAGCAAATAGCTCATGCCCCCTGTGTTCTTTTATACCCAGGTGTTTTGCATATACTAGTCTTGTTCCAGGAATTCCTTGCCTTGCCTGGCCTGCTGGAGGTTGAGTCATTTAAGAAGCAGCTCAGACACTATTCTTCCCTGACCACAACTTGCTCTGAAAAGTCAGTCTGAAGCTCCCAAGGCAACGTGTGTAGGCTCTAGTTAGAGCACTTTGGACACCTAGTGGTGATTATTCAGACGATGGACACATTCCAGAGTCTAAGGTTCCTCGTCTGCAAAATGGGGATACTAGGACCTCCTGCATGAGAGTGGGTTAGGATTACAAATGAAACAAAGCATGCAAAGCCCCTGGAAGCCCTCAGTTGCTGAGTGGAATTATATTATTAGACGGTAAACATTTTGAGGACAGGGACAGTGTCTCATTCATTTTTGTATCCTCGACTCCTAAGGCAGAAGTTGGTTGGAGAGTTTTGCTGTGCTTGTTTGTTGAAGAGAGGGATGGCTGTCTTGTGGTGTGTTATTTGTCTCTCTCTCTCTGGGTGCGTGTCTCCAACTAGGTCTGAATCCTTCCTGACGATTCTTATCCTCTTCCCCCCACAACGCATGGCTTACTGCAGGGGCTCAATGAACATTAGCCCAGCAAAGAGAGGCAGGGAAGGGGAAAGAGATGAACATCCTAGTGCTCCCTTGGAAGGCTCCTCTTCCCCTCCTCAGACACCTGGGGAGGCACCGTTTCTTCTCTCCAGGGAGCCAAGGCTGGGGACAGTGACCAGCCCTCCTAACCAGGGCTTTGCTTGGTTCTGTGGGGGAATGAGAGGGCCCCTCAGATTTTTTTTTTTTCTGAGATGGAGTCTCACTCTGTAGCCCAGGCTGGAGTGCAGTGGTGTGATCTCAGCTCACTGCAACCTCTGCCTCCTGGGTTCAAGCGATCCTCCTGCCTCAGCCTCCTGAGTAGCTGGGATTACAAGTATGCACCACCATGCCCAGCTAATCTTTGTATTTTTAGCAGAAATGGGGTTTTGCCATGTTGGCCAGGCTGGTCTCGAACTCCTGACCTCAAGTGATCCACCTGCCTCGGCCTCCCAAAGGCTCATGCTGGGATTACAAGCGTGAGCCACCGCAGCCAGCCCCCCTCAGATGTTTTGAGTCTCCAGCAGGATGAGACAGAGGCAGAAATGGCAAGTGGCAAGGAGGCACTTCCTCAAAAGGCAATGGTGCATTTAATCTTTAGCAAGAGAGCAGCCTCCTCTGTGCCCGCAAGCCACCAAGCATTGTGTGTGCATTCTCTTGTTGACTCTCACAAGTCTAGTGGGGCAGGCACTGTTATCCTGCCCATTTTACAGATGAGGAAACAGGCTCAAAGAGTTCAAGAGGCTTCCCGAGGCCAGCTTGTTTATAGAGGGGCTGGGAGTTGAGCACAGGCCAGCCTGAATCTATAAATTGGGCACATAGATGCCAGGTATAGAGCAAAAGGAAGGCATTGTTATACCACGTGTGGATGTACCATGCAGATGGCAAGGGCTTTAACCTGAGCTAGCCAGTTTACCCATCTGGTGGTGAGGGCTTTAACCTGAGCTTGTCCATTCACCAGTCTGGTGGTGAGGGCTTTAACCTGAGCTAGCCCATTCACCCGTCTGGTGGTGAAGGCTTTAACCTGAGCTAGCCCATTCGCCAGTCTGGTGGTGAGGGTTTTAACCTGAGCTAGCCCGTTTGCCCATCTAGTGGTGAGGGTTTTAACCTGAGCTAGCCTCTTTGCCTGTCTGGTGGTGAGGGTTTTAACCTGAGCTAACCCGTTTGCCTGTCTGGTGGTGAGGGTTTTAACCTGAGCTAGCCCGTTTGCCCATCTGGTGGTGAGGGTTTTAACCTGAGCTAGCCCATTTGCCCATCTGGTGGTGATGGCTTTAACCTGAGCTAGCCTGTTTGCCATCTAGTGGCTCCAGGGAGGTTCTTTCCAGCTCACAGAAGAAGAAAAGGGGATTTGCATCAGGTGGACCTGTTGCAGTCCAGCCAGCTGCATCCAACCACAGTGTCTTCCTTGCAGACCAGGCATGACCTCCCAGGTCCTGGTAAGCTTGTCTTTAGGAATCTGACTCCCACCACCATCCCAATCACCTCTGAGAGTGCTCACCTGCTTCCACCTCTCCAGGCTGAACCCAAAGATACAAGCCTCACCTGCAGCCAGAAGGGACTTAGGAACCCTGAGTTTCTCTGGCTGAGCTGCAGGCCAGCAGCCTTCTGGGCTGGGGCCCCTCCTTGAGGTGGGTCTCGGCCACATGACTCCAGGCATCTCCATCCTCCCTCCTAGGCACAACGACTTAGTTCCATCATGGGGCTTTGATCTCGGGCTGATTCTTCCTCAGGGGTCACAGTGCATGGGCTCCAGAATCTGTCTGGGGGTGTCCTGCCCAGTGCTGGGGACCAAACTGAGCCCTGGATGAGCAGGTGCTTCCACTGGACCCCCAGGTACTGTTTTCAGAGTGGCTGCCCTGCGATGTGTCCTTAACGAGGTGAAACTCTCCCTGTGGTGCTGGTGGCTGGGAGGGAATTTTACCTGTGGCCTCTGTTTGGAGGTTTGAGAATGGGCCATGTTTACTTTCATTAAAATTTTTAAAAAGTATATCTGGGTGTTTGAGACTAGGGGAAGGGGATATTGGGGCAAAAGGAGAAGGACAGATTATCATAGAATGGCAAGGGAAGCCCCTTGAATACCTTTGCAAAGTTTAAAGTGTACAGGAAGAGGCTGGGTGTGGTGGCTCACACCTGTAATCCTAGCACTTTGGGAGGCCGAGGTGGGTGGATCACTTGAGGTCAGGAGTTCAAGACCAGCCTTGCCAACATGATGAAACCCCATCTCTACTAAAAATACAAGAATTAGTCAGGCGTGGTGATGCATGCCTGTAATTCCAGCTACTTGGGAGGCTGAAACACCAGAATCATTTGAACCTGGGAGGCGGAGGCTGTACCCCAGCTTGGGCGACAGAGTGAAACTCTGTCTCAAACAAAGCAAAACAAACAAAAAATAAAGTGTACTAGAGGAACACAGAGCCAGTTAGCTGCTCTGAGCCGCCTGCTCTGAGCCCCACCTGGGACTCAGTGATGGAGGGGTGGCCTGAGGACCGGCTAGGCAAGGAGTCCGGCTTCCACAGCTCCCCTTTGTGTGATAGCTGGGGGTTAGCTGGGAAGTCCCCTATTAGGGCTGGGACCCCAGGGCCCATCCCAAAGCCAACCCCTCCCATTCTAGAGGAGGAATCTGAGGCCCAGAGAAGGGAGAGACATTCTGAGGTCACTCAGGCAGGTGAAGCCAAGGCTGGCTCAGACCTGGGAGTCCTGCCTGTCATCATGATACTCTCTCTAATGCCTTGAACCATGCCTGAAGGTGGTGAGTGAAGATGATAAATGATGAAGATGATTAGTAAAGAAGACTCTTGGCCGGGCACAGTGGCTCACACCTGTAATCCCAGCACTTTGGGAGGCTGAGACAGGGGGATCACCTGAGGTCAGGAGTTTGAGACCAGCCTGGCCAACATGGTGAAACCCTGTCTGTACTAAAAATACAACAATTAGCCAGGAGTGGTGGTGGGCACCTGTAATCCCAGCTACTGGGGAGGCTGAGGCAGGAGAATCTCTTGAAGCTGGGAGGCAGAGGTTGCGGTGAGCTGAGATCATGCCATTGCACTCCAGCAGCCTGGGTGACAAGAGCAAAACTCCGTCTCAAAAAAAAAAAAAAAAAAAAGACTCTTCACCAACAGGTTGGGAGTTAAAGGTCAAAGGTCAAATTATCATCAGGATGCCACTCCCATTCCAAGTCCAGTGACTCAGGTCAGGGGATGACAGATCCACACTGTAGAGAGTCATGGAACATGCCTTCTCCTGGTTTCAACTGCTTGTTGTGAAACACTTTCACAGGGGCATATTTCCCTGGGCATGGGGCTACTTTCCAGAACTTCACAGACACTTGAATCTTCTGGACAAGTGCGTTTCACAGTGAGAGAATTCTGGGACTTTGCCTACTCTCCCAGGTAACAGGATCATGGTCACTCTTGGGCCTCCGTGTGGGTCAATGTTGAAGAGAGATGCTAGACAAAGCATGCAGGCCTAAAGGCAAGGATTTCTAGAATTTCAAGGGCAGAGGGCAGGTAAGAACCTGGGTTCCAGGGAGGGAGGGAGGGAGGGCAGGTGGGCAGTGGTGGCTAGGGAGCAGAGACCAGCCCAAACAGGAATGAAGTAGGGTCAGAAGATTCCATGTGCTGGAGATGGGGACACACGTTCCCCATCACATACATTCTGGATGAGAGGGCCCACTGGCAGAACCTCTTAGGAGGGCACTGTGGCACTATCTAACAGAAGCTAAAGGGCACATACCTGTTGGCCCAGCAACTCCACTTAAAGGTATTTATCTGACACACTCCCACATGTGTGCAAAGAGGTATTCAGAAAGCATTCTTTATTTAGGTGAGAAATGAGATATCTCATTAGACCACCTCACTGGGGGACTGAGGCATCAGTCATACAGTAAAATGCCAACATGTGAGCCAGTCGAAAGAATGAGGTGGCCTCATGTAGGTGGATCTCTAACATATATTAGGTTGAAAAGCAGAGCAAGTGAATGACAAGGTGCAGGATAATACGCATAACATGCTCACATTTGAGTAAGAAAATCCTATTAATGCGTGTGCTTGTGTATGCGTGGAAGCGCTTCTGGAAGGACATCGAAGATGCTGGGGAGAGTGATTGCCTCTGAGAAGATAACTGGGAGGCTGGGGTGCCAGGAGGGAGGAAGATGTGCTTCTCACAGTATGTCCTTGGATTGCTTACATTACCATGTTCAGTGCACAATGTATCAGATCCTTCTTTCATGCCCCCTCCCCTGTCCCCCGACAGCTGCAAGACAGGGAGGGAGTGATGGCCTGAGCTAGTGAGACCTGAAACACAGGGCCTGACTGATGGCCCCAAGGTGAGGGTGTGGGTGAGGACACACCCAGCGTGCCAGTGTCTGTTTTGTGCTGATGAACAGATTTGTCATTGGCACTTTTGCAAAACTGCAATGAAATTCTGGCTCAGGGCACAATCACCCAGCTGGGGCCCCGAGGCTTTTGGAAGTCACCCGTGGACAGCTTGTCAGCAAATCTTTATGGAGCAACAACTCTGTGCTAGGTGCTGAGTACACAGTGATGAGCAAAACATGCAAAGACCGTGCCCTCTTCAACTTGGATGGCCAGTGGGGATTAGGAAAACAAATAAGTCAACAAACCCACAATACCATCAGTGTTGTGTTCAAGTAGGCTATGCAGAGGGACAGGAGGGCCTGAGGGCTGCTTCATACAGGGTGAGGATGGAGGGGTTCTGAGGAGGGATGCCCAGGCTGAGACCCAAAAGGTGAAAATGAGCTGATAGGGAGAGGTGGGTGGCAGCCAGGAGTGAGTAGAATTACAGGTGGAGGGACCATGTTGGGAGGCTCCACGGAGGACAGTCTGGAAGGACTGAAGGACAGCCAATGTGGCCAAAGAGTAGTGAGTGTGAGAGAGGGGGAGCCAGGTGAGGTTGGTGGGGAGGCGGTAGGGACGCCACGCTCCTGCTGCCCTGACTGTGGGGCACAGGGTGGCAGTCAGGCCTGTGGGTCACCCACCTTCTCAGGGGCTGGCATTTGCCTTTTCTTGCCTTGCCCTTTCAGTTGGATGCAACCACTCCATGACTCCAGTGGAGGATGAGACCCTGGGATCAGTTCCTGCCCTGGCCACAGGCTTTGCTCACCCTATGTTCTAATGATCAGTATTTCTGCAGTAACATCTTGCAGAAATAGTTTTAGTTCACCCATGCTGAGGTGGAGGCAGGGAAAACCAGGACTGAGTTGAAAATGCTCCAGGTTTCATGTGCCTTTTCCGTGTTCTAGGTGATCAAGATTTCTGCAATAGTATCCTGCAGAATTAGGTGGTGTGGACAAGGGGGCTTCAGGGTGCATCAGGCAACATTATGTTTGGCTGCATGGGACAGAAAATGCCAGATCATGTAGCTTTAAGAAGATAGAGTTTTATTTTTTGTAGATAAACAAAGTTTGGAGGTAAATCTAGACCCTTGAATTAGTCCTAGATCATCCATAAGAAGCTACCACATGGCCCAAGATGGCTGCTCAAATGCCAGCAGTTGCATCTACATTTCAGACAGGAGGAG
Organism: Homo sapiens; assembly: GCF_000001405.40. Classification (NCBI taxonomy): domain Eukaryota; kingdom Metazoa; phylum Chordata; class Mammalia; order Primates; family Hominidae; genus Homo; species Homo sapiens. The sequence goes on from NC_000010.11 coordinate 117,484,454, forward strand.
GAATGTGTGGGGAAGAGAAGGGCACACTTCTGTTTAAGGTCCCTTCATGGAAATCGTATATGATTTACTTCTGCCTGTATTTCATTGTCCAGAATTTATCCCAGGGCTGCCCCTAGCTGCAGGAAGAGCTGGGAAAGGTAGTTTTTATTCTGGGTGGCGATGTGCCAAGCTAAAGACATCAGGGGTTCCATGTTAAAGGAGGAAGAGGGAAATGAAGAATGCCAGACACAGCATTTTCTGCCACATATGATCAAATAAATTTGAGAAATACTTGGTTAAACAAAATGAAATAGGCTTCTTCACTGCAGAATGTCTCAACCTTTAGTGCGCTCATGGACATTGCTAATCTGTAAAAGAGGCTGTAGTAGTATGTAGCCTTTCCAAAATGTATTAAATGATAGAATTGGTGTGTGTGTGTGAAGCACCTTACGGAATTGGTGTTCTGCAGAGGCTATTCAGGTAAACGTAGTCCTTGATTATAGAGTTCAAAAATAACCAAGCTAGGCAACATGCTTTCATTTTAAAGACTAAATGCCATTCCTTCAATCAGCCTAGACCACCTACCCTGGAAACGACAGGCCCTGGGCCAAGTGCTGGGATATATGGCTGAGTCATGATTCCTGCTCTCAATAAGTTCAAAGTCAAGAGAGACACATTCTCAGCAAAATAATGACAAGAAATGCCAGAATAGAACCTGGACTGGAAGAATGTGACATTGGCCTGCAGAATCAGGTGGCTGGGGTGGAGGCTGTGGACAGCATAGAGTGGGGTGGGCGGAAAAGGGTTGGTGCAAGGCAGTGAGTCTGGAGGGGTGAGTGCAGCCAGTGGTGAAAAGCCTCAAGTGCTGTGCCAAGGATGTGTGCCTTCTCGTTGTGGCACCTGGAAGGAGACTGCGGGGTGCAGAAGGGCCATGTACCAGGGAGTGGATCGTGATCTTTCCTCCTCCCTGGCTCCCAGCCTGCTGCCCGTATGAAGGGCTTCTTCCTGTCCCGACACAAGACAGTGAATTGGTCACCAGAACACATAGCCCTCCTCCCGTTGCAAAGCTCTGTCATCTCCTTTCTCTTACATTGTCACAAGAAGCCTTAGAAGTGGAGCAGGCCGGGCGTGGTGGCTCATGTCTGTAATCGCAGCACTTTGGGAGGCCGAGGCAGGTGGATCACCTGAGGTCAGGAGTTTGAGACTAGCCTGGCCGACATGGTGAAACCCTGGCTCTACTAACAATACAAAATTAGCTGGGCGTGGTGGCAGGCACCTGTAATTCCAGCTACTCAGGAGGTTGAGGCAGGAGAATCGCTTGAACCTGGGAGGCGGAGGTTGCAGTGAGCCGAGATCGTGCTATTGCACTCCAGCCTGGGAGACAGAGTGAGACTCTGTCTCAAAAAAAAAAAAAAAAAGAGCAGAGAGGGCTGCCCTTCCCTCACTTTACAAAGAGGCAGGGACAGCTCCAGCATCCTGCCACCTGCAAGTGGCAGAGGTAAAGGGGAGGGATTTCACACCTTGGTCGGGTGTGCGGAGAGAGGAGGCTGAGAGAAGTTCCTCTGAGGCGGGTCTGAGCTCCATGCGATGCCTCTTCCTGCTAGCAAAGGCTCCCCTTGGAGGCTGCTCCACCAGGCAGGCAGGGAAGGGCCTGTATCCATTCCTGAGGGCTGCCATGATGAAGGACCACAGACTGGGTGCCTTCAAACAAGGGAAATCTGTTCTCCCATGCTTCTGGAGGTCAGAAATCTGGAATCAAGGAATCAGCAGTGCATGTTCCCTCCGAAGGCTCCTTCTCACCTCTTGCAGCCCCAGGGGGTTGCTGGCAATCTTGGCGCTCCTTGGCTTGCAGCCGCGTCACTCCGATCTGTGCCTGCGTTGTCCCATGGAGTTCTCCCTGTGTACATGTGTCTCTGTGTCTTTGGCTTTTTCCTCTTTGTGTGTCTGTGTCCAGATTTCCTTGTCTTATGAAGACACCAGTCACTGGATTAAGGCCTGACTAAATCAGCGTTGCCTCATCTTTCCTTGATTACATCTGCAAAGAGCCTGTTTGCAAATAGCACAAACAGAGGTACCCGAGGTTAGGACTTCAACAGATCTTTCAGGGGAACCCAATGCAACCTAAACAGACAGTTTTGCCTCTTCAGCTCACACCTGAGCCAGCCTGGGGCCATGGAAAAGACCCAGAGCTGATGCCAGACCCTGCAGCTCTAACCTCCAGCAAATCTACAAATCCCACTTATCTCTAATTTATTAGCCTTTGCATGGATCTAATGCCCTTCAGTGCAGAGCCCTACAAACACACACTGTTTTCCTACTGACTCCTAGCCAGGTATGTGGTGGGGGAGCTGGGCCAGCTGGCAGAGAGCATCACCCATTGCCAGGGAGGCAGGCAGGGATGTGGCCAAATTTTCTTCCTGGGCATCTCCTCCTAGCCACAGGTGCTCCTTGGCAACCAGGCAGTGAGGCAAGCTGGTTCTGCAGGCAGCCTGGGCCCACCTGGAGCCCATCTCCCGCCCTGGCCTTCCGGCCTTCTCACGCGGCTGCATCATTTTGAACAGCTTTGAAAGTGATGGCCTGGGGTGGTAGTGATAGGGGCGCTTCGATTCTATTATTTTCAACAACTGTGGCCAGTTGGCTTTCTCTGTGCATTACAAATTCCTACCTGTCCTACAAGGCTGTATTAGCTCACTAGAGCTGTTGCAACAAAGTACTACAAACTGGGTGTTTAAATGACAGAAATGTAACATCTCACAGTTCTGGAGGCTGGAAGTCTGAAATCCAGGTGTCAGTAGGGTTCTTTTTTGTTTTTCTGAGATGGAGTCTCGCTCTGTCACCCAGGCTGGAGTGCAATGGCACGATCTTGGCTCACTGCAACCTCCACCTCCCAGGTTCAAGCGATTCTCTTGCCTCAGCCTCCCGAGTAACTGGGACTACAGGTGCACGCCACTACACCTGACTAATTTTTGTATTTTTCTGTAGAGATGAGGTTTCACCATGTTGGCCAGGCTGGTCTTGAACTCTTGATCTCAGGTGATCCGCCTGCCTTAACCTCCCAAAGTACTGGGATTACAGGCGTGAGCCACTGTGCCTGGCCTGCTTCTTTTGGAGGTTCCTTCCTTCCTCCTTTTTGCTGGGAGGGAGAATTTGTTCGAGGCCTCTCCCTGGCTGCTGGTGCTTTGCTGGCAATCTTTGGCGTTCCTTGGCTTATAGCCGCATCAGCCAGGTCTCTGCCTTCATCTTCTTGTGTGTCTGTCTTCAAATTTCTGCTTTTTATAAGGACACGAGTTGTATCAGATTGGGGTCCACCCTCTTCCACTGTGACCTCATCTTAACGAATTACCTCTGTTATGCTTCTGCTTCCAAATAAGGCCACATGCTTAGGTACTACAGGTTAGGATTTGAACATCTGAATTTTGGGGTGGACTCAATTTAGCTCATAACAGAGGCCCATCAGAAATCTCGCCTCCTCCAGGAAGCCTTCTGCACTCAAAACCAGGCAATCCCCCTTTCTGGAACTCCCATAGCACATAATGTCTGAGGAACTCAGTGGCCCAGGGCCACTTGGGTATTTATATTCTGTCTCTCTGAGGCTGGACTTAACTCTGGGTCGATGGCATTTATAGTTTTTGAAAACAAGTGCAGCACAGCGGAAGCCCTTTTATCTGATGTTATTAGGACTGGTAGTTGGGTAGTAAACTGAAAATCCAAAAGGAATGCCAGAAAGCAGCATGGCTCAACATGCGGTAGGCGGAAGATTGATGCAGGAGTAGAGAGCAAAGGTTAACCACTGTGTTAGTGAAATCGACGTTGGCTGGGAGAGATTCTCCTGCACAAAAACAAACAGCAGCCACCAAAGCCCAAGATGGATGAAATCTGGATGCGAAGTTATCCAGCTTCCCATTGAGAGTGGATTTCCTTTTAAAGAAACCATCAATACTCTGTGTCATTTAAGACTCCTATCTGGTTTGGGTGTCAAGGGAAGTGGCCATACAAGCTGTTTGGGACTTTAAAAGTGGAATGGAATCCAGGACACAGTGAGGGTCCCCTACAGAACCTGAATGATTTTGTTTTTGTTTTTTGAGATGGAGTCTTGCTCTGTTGCCCAGGCTGGAGTGCAGTGGCACGATCTTGGCCCACTGCAACCTCCGCCTCCCGGGTTCAAGCGATTCTCCTGCCTCAGCCTCCCGAATAGCTGGGATTACATGTGTGTGCCACCATGTCTGGCTAATTTTTGTATTTTTAGTAGAGACTGGGTTTCACCATGTTGGCCAAGCTGGTCTCAAACTCCTGACCTCAGGTGATCTGCCCGCCTTGGCCTCCCAAAGTACTGGGATTACAGGTGTGAGCCACTGCACCTGGCTGGGAACCTGAATAATTTTGGAAAATAAAGTTGTCTTTTGAGAGTTAAACTATAAAACAAACATAATAGGCCCAAAGCAGGGAGTGGCAAAGACTTTGTTTCACCTGCTTCACAGTGTCAACATAGCCCCAAAAGATTGGCCATCAGAACTGTGTGTGTGTGTGTGTGTGCAAGTGTGTGTGAATGTATGTATGTGTGTTGTGTATGGCAGTGTATGCATGTGAGTGTGAGTGTGAGCATGTCTGTGGGCATGTGGGCTTGTGTAATGTGTATGATCATGTGCATGTGTGTGTGAGTGGGTGTGGATGTGTGGACAGCCAGGGAGGCCAAGGAGAGGGAGAGCATACTGCCTTTGCCTAGAAAGGTGTAGCAAAGCCAGGCAGTGTGTCCCTGGCTTTCCCCAGGGGAAGAGGGGGACACTGGGCCAGAAACTTGAGCTCCTGGCCTCTGCTGAATCTCTGTGCATTCAAGGGGAGATATGTGCATGAAGTCATTGCAGTGTGACGCCTCTGTACTCATCAGATCACCCACGTCATCTAATGCACTCCCATCACATTCCAGACTCAGTGCTGCCATCAGCTCCCTAGGAGCTCTCCCTCCAGGAAGGGAATGTGTCCACCGTCAGACACTCAGACCCAGCATGTGGGGACAGAGGCTGATGGCCTGTCTGGCCATTCCTCTCAGTTCCTCTCCTCACTAGCTTGTGTCCTTGTGCAAGTCACTTACCCTCTCTGAGGTTCAGTTCCCTCCTCTTTGAAGTGGGTTTAATAATAGTACCTGCCACATAGGTTGTGAAGATTGATGAGATTAACCATATAATGTGCTTAGCACAATGCCTAATGTATGGCAAGCCTTCCAAAAGTATACGCTACCATCATAATGATCAATATGATAATAAATCAAAACATCCGTATTGTTTTTCATATGTGCTCCAGCGGGCTGACTGTGCAGTCGGCTTCCTGATGGCACAATCTGCCATTCATCCTGTATCCCCAGAGCTGAGCTCAGGGCCTGGTGTATAGCATATGCTCAGGAAGTGTTTGTTGCAGAAATGAATGAATGATAGTGAGTGAGTGAGTGGCAAGTAATGTTTCTAGGCCCATAGGTCCAGGGCTGATAGCTTTGCACAGGTAAGCCGTTCTATACACTTGCACTTGGCAACTGGGCCACCTTTCCCTGGGGACAGCAGACCCCAATGAACTCTGGCACATTACTCACTCTTGGAGGGGAGGCAGGAAGGGAAGGAGTTTGGAGATAGAGCTCTCTGAGCAGCCACTTGGTCACCAGGCCAGGGCTTGGGTCATTATCACCAAACTTCTCAGGCTGTTGAATTGGGCCATTTATGTCTGCTTTTGTTTTATTTTAGTTTGGACGGAAGCCCAAGCATCACTGAGCAAAGTCAGTATCCTCCTATACCTTGCTACTTATTCTAAGTGTGTTTCATGGACCAGCAAAATGGACCTCATCTAGGAGCTTGTTGGAAATGCAGAATCTCAGCCCGACTTACGGAATCAGAATCTACATGTCAACAAGATCCCCAGGGGCTGTGTGTGCACATCAAAGTGTGAGAGTTTTCTGCCCTAGTGCCACTGCTTTAAGAACTACAGCTTGGTCATCTCTAGAAGAAAATCTAGCATTTGTGAGTTGCCACTTCTCCTGCACTCCAAAATGCACGTCCCAGCCCCTGACCCATTAGAATGAGGTTGTCCAGGGATGTACGGTGCTCTTGCTCCTTCTGGCCATCTCATCTCCCCTCTCCTTTTCTGAAGCTCTTTCACTGGTCAGCAACCCGGCCCTTCTTTGCCATTATGAGAGAAACTTCTCTGCTGTTTGCTGATCGAACTGATAATTTGTTTTCTTGAAAAGCGTGTTTTAATTCAAGGGAGTTGTTGTTAAGGCAAGTCTGTCTGCTGTGAGTTTTATCTCCTCTCTGTTGCTTCCTGGCAGTGCCACCCAGGGTCCTGGCATGCATCTTCTGGAACCCAAAGGGCAAACAACACCCTTAGACTTCCACACAATCCCCGGCTTCTCCTCCACATCTTTCCTCAGCTATCCAGCTGTGCAGAGCTGGCACACGGGCATGCCCTGCCTTCATTCTTCCCAGCTCATACCTGCTCTGGAGAGAATACACACATACGTCAATGACAACACATAAAATCCAATGACAGCCCAAGAACTCCTAAATCTTCCAAATTGCCATCTGCACTTCCTCTCTCTTTATATCCTGGCATGCCTGAGCTGACCTGCCCCCCAGATCCAGTCCCAGCAGCTGTAATCATGTGTCTGCGTCTTCCAGCTGCTTTGGGAAATGCTGGGGCTCCAGGTACCAGCGTCTTCCTGGCTGCACCTCTCCAGAGTTGGATACAGCTAAGGAGTTAGGGTCCCTGGGGATTGGGAACAGAGGACAGGGCCTAGAGCACTCCCAGACTCAAGTGTCCCTTGGCTTTCCACGTGGAAAACCAAGAAATGACTAAATCCAGTGAATTAGCCACAGGAATCCCACTGCAGGAAAAAAGAGAATTCCCAGTTAGAAGAGTTGTGGCAATGGGACAGTGCCTCCTTTCCAAGCAGCTGTATGCTAAATAAGGAAACTCCAAAGAAAGGTTACAATTTTCCTTGAGCATCTGGAAATTAGGTTCTGTTCTCAGGTTCAAGTTAAAAACAGTGGTTGGAATTCTGGTATCAACTTTGCCAGATAAGGGGGAATTGGGGGAGCGCCTCGGTGGTGACGTGACATCCTGGCTGGTCTCTGTGCCTCAGTATTGATGAAGGATTTTGGGAGACAAAGGCTCCAGGACAGCCCATTTGCTCATTACAGGTGCAAAGAGGCCAATACTTGGCCTCCAACCCTTTTTTTTTAACTCTAGGAGAAGCAAAGCCATTTAATAACTCATTTCATAATGAAGAACGAATCATTTTTAAAAGCTTTCCACCTCTTTTACCAACTGACCCTATAATTAGACAAAGCATTCATTTCCTTTTTACTGCTGGCTCCCCAAAGCAAGATCTAATGGTCAGGGGCTATCAGGAAACAGATGCACACTCAAATTAGGATGCTTTAAGGAGTCCCTTAAAATAAATGTGTATCCTGCCCACACCTGCCTTGACTAAGGTGTGGGCAGGGTATACAGAAACTGAAAGGGCTGGTGCAATATCCTGGAGCTGGGATCTCAGTTCAGGGCTCTTACCATCCCTGGGCCTAAAGGGCAGACAGGAGAGAGTTACCGAATCTGGAAGGAGACAGTCAAGCAGAGAGGTGGCATTGACAGGAGCTGGGATCTTCAGCTGAGGCATGCAGCCAGCCTGAGATGACCCTGTGAGAACAGAGACAGAGGAATAAATATGCCAGCTTCACTGACCTAGTCTATCAGAGACCCCATTGACCAGACCCAGCCCAGAGCCAGAGGGGGTGCAGCCTATTACTGTAGGACAGACAGGCCAGTCTCGTGGGGTAGAGAGCGGCATGGAGAGGGGCAAAGGGTGGATCTGGAGAGGCTGAGAGGAGCCACCTGGGACTGGAGCTGCTCTTACATTCCCTCTGCACCCCGCCTGATGCATTCCTTCTTAAAACTGCTGCCGTGCAAACATCTTGTCATTTTGCTCTGGAGCACCCATTTGTGGTTGTCACTATTATATATTGCCTGGATCTGTCTTCTGCCAAGCCAGCTTGCAAGCCCTTAGAGACAGAGATTGTGTCTCTCTTGGATTTACCCACCACCCTGGGGTACATATGTTCCAAGTCTCCTTTGGCTTTCTACATGGAAAACCAACCAAGAAATGAATAAATCCAGTGAATTAGCCACAGGAATCCCACGACGGCAGGACAAAAGAGAATTATCAGCTGGGAGAGTTGTGGCAAAGAGAGAGTGCCTCCTTCCCAAGCAGCACAATGTGTATGCAAAACATGTGGACAAGTGCATGTGTGTGTGCTTGCTCATCAGTGAGGAGAGGCCATGTGACGTTGCAAGTAACAAGCACCCGATCTCAGCAGCGTTGTACAATAAATGTTTTCTTTTGTTCACATTACCTGTCCATTAAGGGTCAGCATGGAGTGGTGTCATAGTTTGGGACCCATGATGGCTTCGTCTCAACACACACATCCCCAGTACAACAGAAGAGAGAGTATGAAGTGAATTACTCACTGGCCCAATGTGTCCCTTCTGTACACATTTGATGGGCCAAAGTGGGCTTGTGGCCATGCCTAACTTTCACAGTCAGGGAAGGAAAAGCCTCACACACTCAGAAAGCAGAGAACTAGAAACATTTGGTGAACAGTCTCCCAAAGTGGCTGAGGTTGGTCTCTACCAGGGAGCCATGGAGGAATGAATAATTTTGAATTAAATGGAACAGTGGGTGTCAATAAAAATTAAACGAATAAACAAATCTATGCCTTTTGACATAGTAGTTCAAATCAGTCAACTCAGCAACAGAAAAAACATGAGCAAATCAAGTACCCAGGAATTATAGAAATCAAATGATTTGTAAGACACAGACTAGTTTATACTACAAGACCCCATGTCTTGCTGGTTTTAGCATAGCCTATGTTGTTTGACATGAATTGTGCCTGGGATGTGGATTCTTCATTGGGGGAGAGTCGAATTCTCCCCCAATTCAATTATGTTATGGTTTTCCAGATTCTCATGTCCTTGGCTATTCTTTAAGACTCAGACAGATTGATAAAGATCTGCTCATTGATCCTGATGCCCTCTGTGGCTCAGCTCCAAAGAGGACATAGCCGCTGCCACACCTGCTTCCCTGCCTTTTGTGGGACATCCCCATGCATGGCACTGTGTACTACCCCCAGGCATCAGGTTATAAAATTGCCCTATCCTGAGCCCCTCCCAAATCCCTGGACCTTACAGGAAATCACCTCACCTCAAAAGTAGAAAAGGGTGAAAAAAACATTTTCAGATCTGGGCAATCACTTTGTTGAAAAAAATTGAAACCAAGTTTTCAGGATTATTTTCAAAAGCAGAAAAGCATGTTCACTCATCTTCAGAAATTGTCCATACCTAAAAACTGTTTAGGTAGTGATGCAGGTTGGCTGAGTTATCATCAAATTGCCTCAGCCACTTGGCTTCCCAAAGAAATTGCCTTGAAAAATCATGAAGAGACTGTGACAAAAGATGTAAGAGATGGCAATATTTTTTTAAAAAACAAGATCAAAAAACTACGATATCTCTTCTCTGTTCCCTCCTATTTTTAAGTAATCTTTTGCACATCATGAACCCTGAAAGCAAATGCTAATACTGCTTCCTCAGAGTAAATTGTCAAAGTAATTTTGATGGCTGGACTTAGGCAGGTGGTTGTTTTATTTACAATGCCAAACCAGATATCCTGGGATAAACACTAATTCATGAGATCTCTAAGCACTTTTGTGTGCCTAGAAGAGAAACATGAAAATGACCCTGTGACTGAAAATGTGCATGGTCTCAATGAGAAAGTTATTGTCGCAGTAATCTTACAAGCCTATAAAAGTTGGGTGGCTAGCAGGGTCCTTCCCTGTCTTCTGAGGGGTCTGGGTCAATTCAGCTCTGGGACCTTCTTAAGGGCCCTTTTGAAGTCCTGTCATCTTCAGTTTTTTTAGCAACTCACATTCTGATATGACCTGCCAGGGAGAGGGTGAAAATGATCAGCAATGGCAACTTCCACTATTATAATTCATTTTCCTGATGGTAAAACTAGGACATGCTCATTGCAGAGAATTTGGAAAGTATGAAATAAAAAGAAGAAAATAAAAGGTAACCATATTTTCCCACCCACTGATAATCACCATCAACTTTCTGATGTCCTTCTCTTCCTTTTTAAGCTTCAGTTTTCCGGGTCTTGATTTTTAAACTATTTCAATCATGCGTTCATCCTTATTTATTGAGAGCATACTATTGTTCTGTTCCCGTCATCAGTGATGTAGCGATAGAATAAATAAAGTCCTGTTCTCATGGAGATGAAATAATATCAGAGACAGTTACTAAAATTCAGAGGGCAGAAAGACCACGGGAAAATCTTCAAACACTTGGAAGTTAAACAGCATACTTCTAAATAATTCATGGGTCAAAGAAGGAGTCTCAAAGGGAATTAAAAACACATAGAACTCTAAGGTGCAGCTAAAGCAGTGCTGAGAGGAAAATTTATAATACTAAATGCTAACATTAGAAGAGGAAACATCTGAAATCAATAATCAAAGTTCTCACTTCATAAAACTAGAAAAATAAGAAGAAAATTATGCCCAAAGCAAGCAGAAGAAAGGAAATAAAAATAAGAGCAGAAATAGATTGAAAATAGGAAGATAATAGAGAAAAATCAATAAAACAAAAAGATTGTTCTTCAAAAAAAACCAATAAAATTTATACATCTCTAGCAAGACTGACAAAAATAAAAAGAGAGAAGACATATTACCACAATCTCAGAGTTGAGACAGAGGATATCACTACAAATCCTGCAGTTGCTAAAAATATGATGAGCAGATGCTTTGAACAACTTTACGCTCATAAATTCAACAACTTAAAAGAAACGGACCAATTCTGTAAATACTGCAACCTATCAAAACCCAACCCAGATGAAACAGACAATCTGAATAGCTCAAAAACTATGAAAGAAATGGACTTTGTAATTTAAAAAGCTTCAGAGATGGTTTTTCTGGAGAATTCTTAAAAAAAAAACACGAATTTTACACCATGTTATTCAGAAACTAGAAGAGAAGGGAATACTTCCCAATTCATTTTATGAAGCTAGTTTAACCTTGATTCCAAAGCCAGATAAAGATTGCACAAGAAAAGAAAATCACAGACCAGTGTCTCTCATGAACTTAGATGCAAAAATCCTCAACACAATATTAGCAAATCAAATCCAGAGATGAATACACATACCTAGGGAGGTAGGGGTGACTTAACAAAATGAGCTAAGACTTCACACTTAGACAGACTTAGTTTCAATTACCAGTTTCCCATGCGATACAATAACTCTCTGAACCTCAGTTTACCTATCTGTAATACAGGGGCAACACACATATTTTAGGATTGGTTCATGTATCTAGTAAATGAAATTATATGTCTAAAAAAAGCCAACGGAAGTTATATTATTTTGTCATGTTTCTTTCTTCTTCTTCTTCTTTTTTTTTTTTGTTGATAGAGATGGGGTTTTGCCATGTTGGCCAGGCTGGTCTCGAACTCCTGAGCTCAAGTGATCCACTGCCTTGGCTTCCCAAAGGGGATTACAGGTGTGAGCCACCACACCCACCAGGTTTTCTCTTATGGAGGAACTAAATGTTACAGCAATACCTGGTATTTTGTTATGGCAGACAAAGGTGACTAATATAGTCATGGCCCTTAAACGTGGCCCATGAGACCCTGCACCTTCTGGCCTCCCCTCTTTCTGATCAGTACCATGACCTTTCCTCGTGGCCCTCTCCCCCCAGCACCGCAGGCCTCCTTGGTATTCTCTGAATGACATGAGCGCATTCCTACCCCAGGGCCTTTGCACTCCCAGCCAGCCTCACTCTTCCTCCATGGAAATTTCCCTCATTTCCTTCAAGCTTTTGTTCAAAAAGCTTCAGCCTTCTCAATGAGGCTGACCCTGAAAACTCTTTACAACTCACCTTTCCCCATCGAGCACTTCAACCCCCCCTTACATGTTCTACTAAAAAAAAAAAACTTCCCACATATTGGTCACTTCCTAACATATGGTATCATGTATTTGTGATATTGTCTATTGCCTGTCACCCTCTGAAAAATGATAAGCTCCAGAAAATCAGGTATACGGGTCTCTGTTTTGTTCACTAAATCATTCCAAGTGCCTAGGACTCTGGCTGACACATATTTCCTGCTCCAGAAATATCTCTTGGCTGAGTGAATGAACCTCTTCCCCCAGCGAGCGAGCCTGTCGGCCGAGGAGACCACGCCATACCAGGATTTTCCAGCAGGTGGCAGCCGACGCACGCCAGAGACAGCTGGGCGCCTACACTTTGAACTCAAGGTTCTTCCAATTAAGTGCAAGATAAGGAGCTTGGAGACTCATCGCGTTTGGCTTACTCCTGACGCAGACTTGCACTGGAGGTTGTGTGGAGGGGATGAGCCGGTGAGCTGATAAAGCCTTTATCTAATACGGGAGACTGTTTACCCACAATTCAGGGGTAAAAAAATGTAAACAGCTGTTGAGAAGAAAGGTCAGAGTCCTCCCACGGTGGGGAAAAGGGGCAGAAGAAAGCCTGTGGCCACGGATTGGCGTCACTCCTGCAGATGGAAAAGTGACATTGGACAACTACTCAGGGAAAAAGGTGAGCCCCTAACACACCGCTGGGGTCGTGGACGTTTCTAGTCTTACTTTTTTTTTTTTTGAGACTTTTTTGAGTTTTGCTCTTGCTGCCCAGGCTGGAGTGCAGTGGTCTGATGTTGGCTCACTGCAACCTCTGCCTCCCGGGTTCAAGCGATTCTCCTGCCTCAGCCTCCTGAGTAGCTGGGATTATAGGCGCCTGCCACCACACTCAGCTAATTTTTTGTATTTTTAGTAGAGAGGGGGTTTCACCATGTTGGCCAGGCTGGTCTTGAACTGCTGACCTCAGGTGATCCACCCGCCTTGGCCTCCCAAAGTGTTGGGATTACAGGCGTGAGCCACCACGCCCGGCCTAGTCTTACTCTTGACACACCAGAAGATGCTTTGTTATGAAACCTTGAATCTTCCTGTGGGCTCCTGCCAAGCTGCCCTCCTCCCGGGTGCTTCTGTTATCCATCCAGTCATGGAATTGAGTTGCAGTGGTAAGGAGCCCTTTAAAAGCCAAGTGCAAGGTGAACCTGCCTTCCATCAAATTCAGCGTTTAAGTGTGTCCGTTTAGCAGGAGGCTCTGAGGCAGAAATTGCTTGAGAATCTGAGTCTACAGGCCCAGAACAATCCATGCCAGCTGATCAACCTAGTAACTACCACAGTGACTACAAGAGCTAGCATTTATTGAGTGCTTCCTGTGTACCAGGCATGTGCTGGATACGTTTACCTGCACTATCTCATTCATTCTCAGTGCAGAGTTCTGAAGTTCACCCTCTTCTCATCCCCAACTCACAGATGACACAAGAGAGGTTGTCACTAGCCCAAGGACCCAGTTCGGTGCTCCGAAGCTCACCCTCACCCCTGGAGGGGAGGAATCTGTGAGTTGTGCCCTGGTGACCTGATAGACCTCAGAGAACATCTAGTCCACCGCTCCGTGTTGACAGATGGGGGAGCTGAGGCCCAGAGAGGGGAAGGGACTGGCCAAGTTTACACAGAAGCCTGCCCAGTCCCTGTTCAGAAAGAGCAACCCAGTGCGCCTTTAACATTCCCAACCAATGTCAGGAGGTCAAGCACAGGCTTTTATTATTTATTTCTTTGTTTATTTAGAGACAGGGTCTCTCTCTGTTGCCCAGGCTGGAGTGCAGTGATACGACCATAGCTCACTGCAGCCTCGAACCCCTGGACTCAAGCAATCCTCCCTCCTCAGCACTCCCCACCCCCAGTAGCTGGAACTATAGGCATGTGCATCACCGTGTTGTCTTGCTCTGTTGCCCAGGCTGGTCTCGAACTCCTGAGCTCAAGTGATCTTCTCACCTCGACCTCCCAAAGCGCTGGGATTACAGGTGTGAGCCACCATGCCCGGCCAGTCACAGGCTTTTAGTTTGCTTTCCTCAGATTCCTCATTTGCTTCAGTCCTTGCTGGCACTGAACACTTTTGCATAAGAGCTTGTGAAAATAACACCACCTCTCTTATTTTAGGAGTTTTATCAACTAGCAGACTGTTCAGCTGGAATCACTGGCCTCTCATAATGTGAATTCTGGTTTCTGTGGTTATTAGCTGGTGACTTTGGTCAAGCTGGTTTGTTCATTGGTAAAATGGAGGTAGTGGTATATATTCATGAAAGGCTAGATTCTAAGCCAGTGCTGTCCCATGCAAATGTAATGGTAGCCACATACGTAATTTTAAATTTTCTAATAGCCACATCAAAAAAAAAAAAAAAAAAAAAAGGTAAAGGGCGAACCAAAGCACACGCCATGATTAATTTTCATAAATTGTTTCATTGAATGCAATAGCTTCCAAATACCATCATTTCAACATCTAGTCAATATCCAGTTGTTCATGGGATACTTTGTTTCATTTTCACATGAAGTTTTCAAGATGGGGTGTGTGTTTTGCACTTACAGCACATCTCAATTTGGATTGGCCACGTGGCAAGGGGCTGCCCTGTGGGACAGGACTGTTTTCGGCCTCCGTAGCATTTTGAGCACGTAGCTCTGTGCTTTAGGAGGATCTTTGTATCTACACCTTGTCTGTAGAGGGTCATCATTTGGGACCCTAACGGAACAGAGATGGCCTTCTTCTTGGCCTAATAAGTCCCCAGTACTCCCCTGTCATCAGCAGGCCTCTGGGCTGCCTTTGAAAACCTTCCCTTCCCGGATAGGTTTCCTCCAACACCACAGACAGGTCTTTCCCATTCTCTGCAAATATTCACGTCCATTTTGTCCTTGATGTGGTGGAAGTGTTCTTAACAACTGCACAGCAGACTGAGATACGGTGAGAGAGAGGAATGCAGAGGATATGGGGCGATGGGGGAGGTGGAGAGATCGCATCCTCCCTCAGGATGGGCTTGGTATTGTGGCAACCTGGGGCTCAGGGCTCTGGTCACTGTGGAATGTTGTCTTTGCTTGCCAGCTTAGAGCCTCACCTTGCCGCACCCAGCTCAACTCTGTGGCCTCAGTGGAAACACCCTCATTACAGGAGTGCCCCACCTCCGCGACCGCGACTTATATTTGATAATAAGCAGGTGTAAGGGGGGCAATTGTGCATGGGCAGTGCTCAGAGAAACATGAAAAGGCTCAAACCATGCTTCACCCTCAGGGGCCTGGGCTGGGAGATGGGAGCCAGCGTCTGCTTGGGTTCTCCTGACAGCAGTGGTCACTGGGGCTCATGGAGAGTGACAAATGCAGGTGGGGTAGCTCAGACACAGGGCTCTGGGCTCTCCAGTGGGTCTGGGGGTGGCAGAGGCCCCTCTAACTCTCCCGTCACTCCCAGCTCCCAGGCAGTTCCATCCTTTTTATTTTTTCTGGAAGGCAGAGGTTGATGGCAAGAGCTCTGCATTCAGCCTGCCTTTGTTCACATTCCAGCTCTGCCACATCCTGTGTGGCTTTGGTGAGTGACCCAACCTCTCTCTGCATTGGTGTCCTCCTCTATGAGTGGGGTGGTAACTCCTTCTCCGGGTTTTCTGAGGAATAAATGAGGCAATAAACAGGAGACTCAGCATCAGACCAGGGTATCATTATTATATTTTACAGGGAGAGACCTGGTTCCCAGTACTTTGGCTTGTCCAGAATAGAGGCATCTTTTTTTCCCCAATCAATGTTATAGTTAAAAAATACAATATGAATAAAATCTATGCTGATAGAGAACAATCTCCGAGATGTACTCTGAAGTGAAAAAAGCAAAGTGCAGAATAGTGTACAATATAGGCCAACGTGGAGCATGGATGTGTGACCTGTGTTTGGGATGGCACAAAAGTTACTGGTAATGGGTGACTGGGAAGGGGAGCCGGGGACAGCGGTGCGAGAGAGCTTGACTTTTCATTCTCTAGCCCCTTGTAATATTCCCATTTTACCAGGAGTATGTATTCCTGCTTTTTTTTTTTCATTTTGAACGTGAATTAATTTTTTCAGTAAAAAAAAAAACTAATTCAAATATCCTTCCCTACCCCCACCAATGATAAATGGTCATTGTAAAAAATTTCCCAGTTCTGAAGAGAGAGCCTGAAAATGCTGTACCATTTCATTGCTGGGTGTTAGAGGATCCAGGGTCCCTGCCTGGGAAGTTGGTTTGCTCCGAAATTCGTTTTCCATGTATCACCACTTAAGCATCTGTCAGGGTTTAACTTGGGCGAGAGGAAAGCACCCAGCAAACACAGCACCACAGCATTTCTCTCTCACACGTGCACGCATGCACACACACACACAACCTAAGGACTACACATGCAACCCTCAACAACCAAACCACTTCATACCCACATACTAACAAATGAGCCACTTCACCTATCCACATCCAATCCCAAAAGCCCTTTACACCTACAAACGCACAACGCCCACCCCAACAACCAAGCACTCCACACACCACAACAACCTTTACACACATGCACCCAATGACCAAAGTACTTTACACATGCAACCCAGAAATCAGAAGGGCTTCACACATCTGCCCAATAAGCAAAGCACTTAATATACACACGCACAGAGCTTTACACACATACACACCCCAACCAAAGGGTCCACACACATACTCCAACACCCAAAACACTTCGCACACACACCCACATGCACACCCAAACAGCTTTACTCCTTCAACCAAAGTGCATCATACACAGTCCCCAACAACCAAAATATTTTACCCCCATGCACCCCGACAGCCAAAGCTCTCCTTACAGACCCCCCTTCAAAAGCCCCAAAGTGCTTCAATTGGTTTGATGCAGCGGCAGATACTTGAACACCAAGACATTAGAATGCAACTTTCTTTTCAGATTAATGAGCAGAAAAAGATTGGAGGAGGGAGGGAGTGAGAATGGCGGGAGAGAGCAATTACACCCAAATCTTTTCTCTGTTGATTAGGGATTCCTTCTCTAGCCTGCTTTGGCTCCAGCTAAATCTTTTTCTAATGAGATGTGGCTTATCCAGATCAAGGCGCTGAGAAAAAAAGTTGCAATTAACTTTAAGAAGAAAAAGAGTGAGTGAGAAAAGGAAGGAAGAGTGGAGGGGGCGGCCAGGGGTTGAGGATGGGGGCAGGGCCAGGGGCCTGGGCGGGCAGGCTGGGAGGAGCCCAGGGTCTGGAGCAGGCTCCCAGCAGGTGGAGAGGCGCAGGCCCGGCTGTGGTTCTGGAGTTTAGGGAACGGCCCTGTGATGCCTCTGCCAACCTGAGTCAGGCCTCGTGGCCACTTCAGGCTCAAATCAAGGTTTGGGAATGGCGAGTGCCCTCGGGTTTGGGCTTTCCCGGCTCTGCACCCCCATCCCTGGCAATGGCCTCTCTCCCTTCTGTCTGCCTGCCCTCTGGAGGACATGGGCCCTCCACTGTCCACCCAGAACCTCAGGTGGTGTCCGGTCAGCACTGACTCTGCTCTTGGGAGCTGGTGGGTTCAGCAGTCCTCCAGCGGCCAGGAGCCATGGGCTTGACATGTGCCTCAGCACTGATGGCTGCTGCTGAGGTCCCCCTGACTTGCCCCACTCTTTCCATCTGGGAGTAAGGTCTTGAGTTATTTTCATGTGAGCCACTTAGAAGGGTGGACAGGGCCTAGGACTGAAGGAGACACTTCATGTCGAGATGCTAAAAACACCTCAAGATCCTAGAACTGACACAGATTGACCTTTCTGTGCTTCTCTCTGGATAAAATCAAGCTAGACCTAGCTACAGCTGATGAATGGTCACTTCCTCTCTCTGATGCTCAGTTTCTTCACCTGTTCGGAAAACTAAAGAAGTGGGGCAGTGGATCTCCAGAGTCTCTGCCAACCTGACACCCCCAGATTCAACAGAAGGCACAGACGCAGACTCCACGTGTCCTGATTTGAGTACTCATGGTTCCCTCCCCGACTCCCAAGCTCTGCTTGGCACATTCGTGGGACACTTACACCTTCCTGAAAGTTGTTATCTGTGCAGAGATTGGTTTTTGCCCTATTTGGCAAGAAATATCCAGCAATGCCTGAAGGCAGCTTTCACAAATCTTGAGGTCTCTAACCTGGCGCTTGTGGTGGGGTCTCGGCTAATAACTCAACATCTGTATGCCAGCCGAGCTGGGGACCCTGAGCCTGGATCAGATGGAGTTAGAATGGGTGGGGTGGATGGCGGGGGGTGCAGGAGTGGGCTGCAGTCTCCCTTCTCTTTGGTCACACACAGACACACACAGCCAGGTATGCAGAAGGGGTCTGGGCAGATTGTTTAAAGCTGAAGTCCTTTATTTTCCTACTGACAGCATTTCCTTTTCCCATTCTATGGATCTCCCAGTGCAAATTAAAAGGGATTTTGATGGCACGCTGGTGACTCCGTGGGAAAAAGTGAATCTGGGTCTCTGCAACTTGCTTGGCTTCCAAAGAAGCAGGGCCCTTGCATGTTGGTGGCCACCCACACACGTGGGCTTCCTCATGGGATGTTTGGGTGACCCCTTGCCAAATAAGCCATGGAGATGACCCCAGGCCTGGGCACAGATGAGCTGGGCCCGTCTTTCCTGTGTCTAAGTTCTAGAGAGGTCACACAAGTCCCCACCTCCAAGCCCCAAGAATTTCTTTTGAGCCTGGTTCCCGGGTCCCCAGCCAGCCCTCCCTTCTGTCCCTGCCCTCCACACTGTTAGCTGCTGGAGACAATCTGGGCTTTCTCCTGTCTCTCTCTGGCTGTCGCCAATGTAATAAGCATATGTGCTAGAAATCCTAGCTGCAGTGCTAAGTTAGAAATTCTTCTTAAACATATAGCAAGGTCAGATGAAGGGAAAAAAAATAGAAAACAAAACACAAAACCCCGAAACAGAAATTGGACACAGGAGGGCAGATGCAGACTGAACAGGAAGTGCTGGCCCGAGGCTAAATGAAACAGCTGTCACCATTGTTCTGGACTAAAAACTGCCTTTGCAAACTCCATGCGGTCCAGGCTCAGAAAGCAGATGTTAATAATTACAGCACATGAAACGAAGGGCACAGGATTAGGCAAGTGACGAAAAAGAAATGGTACCAGTAGATTTATAACTCGCCTAGGCAAATCTGCTTGCTGGTGTGGGGGGTGGGCTGGGCGGCTTCCCTGCAGAGGCCCCTCCTCAACCCCCTTCCTAGTTTGGCATTTTGGCTTCCGGGATGATCTCAGAATTTGGGGATTGTTTTATGGTGGGGGGCCATGGAGACCCATTCAAGCTGCCTTTCCCGGGACCCCATGCCTGCAGGGCCATAGCCGGTTGCCTCTGACCTACAGGAAAAAGGATAAAACCCCTAATGCTCAGCCCAGGTACCAAAAGGGGATCTGTGGGCAGAAAATAGTTGGATGGGTTCCTGAAAGCAGGGACTCATGTGGACACAAAGCTGGGCAGCCATTCTTGGAGCTCTTGCTTTTACCAAAGAGTTCATGTCTAAAATCCAGGAGCTCAAGTTCTTTGCAGCAGAAATTGATTCGCACTTTAAAATCAGCCAGCCCCTAGCGTCTTGGCAAGGGAGCTCGGGTAGAATGTTGGGACACTTGAAGAAAGTAAGCAAGGCGAGTTTCTTGGGCTAATTACATAAGTAGAAAAGGCAGAGTCTTCACATGTTTTCTGAACATTCCTCGGTGCTTTTCCATGTGAGCCAGAGTTGTAAAAAACAAAACAAAACAACACACTCACATCTACAAAAATTCCTGCCATCCCACCACCCCCTAGAAAGGACGTTTCTAGGAAAGGTTAGGAAGAAGGTAAAGCATGTGTTTGGCATCTTTAGGCCTGATATGGAAACCATATGCTTATATACACTAGCAAACATACTTAATATAACACTCTCTTTTATTAAATGTGGTTTTATAAACGCTCTCCCCAGCCAGGGCACCTTCCCCATGCTGGAGGCTGGAACTTGGCAAAATAATCTTCCCGCTGTTACATCTATGGATACACATTTTTTGAAAATGAGTCTCGGACCCTTGGAAAATAGACTGGTTCTGATTATTATTGCAAGAGGGAAGGGGCACACGAGGGCATCTTTTTTCCTCTGATAAATTAAAAGAACTGTAACGGGTGCTTTCTGCAACCTGTAAAAGGGCAGAGCCATCTGTAATTCATTTAGCAGCTCCTTATAGAAGATTTATTTGATTAATTCAGTCAGAAGAGAGAGTATGGATTTTCCCCTTCTCTGAAAGGCACATATACACTCACACATGCACACATGCACCCACCCATGGGTAGACATCTCAGGAATGAAAAATTACTAATCGTATTATTGGAACTGGTGAACGCGGGGCCTCAGTGGTGAGATAGCAAGCTCCCGCCCTGCCGATGGGAGGGCCGGTTTCAGAAGAGATTTAATATCCTCAGGCCCAGTGCCACCAAAGAGTGAGCCCAGAGGATAATACCGTGAACTACTGGATCGCTTTGCTTAGGCATTGATTACTGAGTGCCAGGCACTGTGTTGAGCATTTTGAATGCATTATCTCATTACATCATCACAATGACCCTTGCGGGAGGTACTGTCGCCATCACCACTTTATAGACTGGGAGACGGCCCCATTCCCAGCAGCCCTCAGCTCAAAATTCTTTTCACTTTTTCCAGCGGAATTTTGCTTTCTCAGTCCTCCGTGCCTACAGCAGACAGATGGAGGCCACGCCTTACATTTATCTAGTGGTGGGTGATCTTGGAAGGGGTTATCCACATTGGCTATGCTTTATCCCTGTAGGTTTCAGTTCAGTGCTGATTAGAGAAACACTCTCCTTTAGGCTTATCTCTAGTCTCAAGGAAAGCTCTGGCCTCCTCTGGCCTTGGTTGCCTCTAACTTACGTGACCCAACCCTATAAGCAATCATCTCTAGACCACTGTCAATTCCTGGTCGGGGGAGGTGGCAACAGCCCCTGAGAGAGGTCTTTGCAAAGGGCAAAGAAAACAGTACAGGTGAGAGGAATCATAAAAGCACACAAGATCTGAGCCAAAGAAGACTATGGATGTCAATGTCAAGAGTGGCAAATATATGGTAAGTAAATGTGTCACTGCTCTCTTTCCCTTCCTCACAGCAGACATTGCTAATTGATCCCAGCTCTCTCTTCTACTAAGCCTCAAAATCCTCAATACAGAACTCTACGCAGCCTCTACCAATAGATTAGAATTAGCAAAAATAGTTGAAAGCAGTTTGCAGTCCCTTTCAGTTGAATGTTTCATTTTGTGGAGGGAGAAACAGGGGCCCAGATAGAATAAGTCAGCTACAAAAGCAGTCAGAGAAGGTCAGTACCCAGCCTCAGATCTCTGGCTTTCTCTGCCCGGTATTTTCAGCATCCACACCAGTGGGGCTGGTCCAAGCCAGGGTGCAGTGGATCAGAAACCTCTCTATTTTGCTGGGTCTCTGCTGTCACCCCCTCCCTGCAATAGAACGTCACCGAAGCTGCTCTGCAGACAGGATAAAAGGCATCCTTTTGAAGGCGGCAGAAAATTGAAATCTTTGTGACTTTAACATAATTAACCCCAAACCAGGATGGAGTGGGGCAGCCTGAGCCCATGATCTGTTACAATCCAGGGTCTAAGATTCTAGAAAGAAGTAGAAGTTTTCATTTTGGAAATACTGGCATCAGTAGACACTCCTCATTCTCTCACTGGCTGGACCACAGGAAATGCCTAGATCAAAGGCAACCAGGACTCAATAGGCTTAAGGTATTGAGGGCTTGTCTCGGCTGCAGGGCTCTCACCCCG
Organism: Homo sapiens; assembly: GCF_000001405.40. Classification (NCBI taxonomy): domain Eukaryota; kingdom Metazoa; phylum Chordata; class Mammalia; order Primates; family Hominidae; genus Homo; species Homo sapiens. Next base: position 117,506,181 of record NC_000010.11, read on the forward strand.
GCCCTCAGACTTTTCAGCTGGGCGGAATTTCTCTGTGGAAAGAATAACAGGATTTTGTGAAAGGAAGAAGGAGGCTTCAAGTTCAGAAGTTCCCTCCAGAGCTCTTTCCTGCTGCTCCCTTGCTAGGACCTAATCTTCAATGTTTCTCAGCCTGACGTAGCTCAAGGGGGATTTTGTGGCTCACTACTTAGTTCTGTTGAATATCTGATTGGTGGAGAAAAGCTTTTCCATAGAAGAATAAGACTGAGTACCAGGACTTAGGTTCAGAGAATCAGAGGGTGAGTCTGAAATCCAACATATTTTGAAGGGAGGCAGTCATGGCCCTTTCAGTATGAAAAGCGTTTTCACTATCCCATTGGCAGGGGTGCCTGTGGGGTCTTTAGGGGGCCTGCTTAAAGAATAGACAAGTATCGTGTGCAACTTGCCTCTCAGCCCTGGGGTTGATCCTGGTACTCCTGCTATTTTTGAGGAGGCTTGAAAACACTTTGTTTAAACCTTCCTTCTACAATCCTGTGTATACTATGAATTTCCATTATCTAAAAAGAAAATTTTGCTAACTGAATCAAACTCTAGCCCAGCCCAACTTCTTGAAAAGATCACAAATATTGGACGAGTGAGGTCCCAGATACTGAGGATTTTACAGGGCCCAAATACTGCCCCTTGAGGGGGTTTGTTGACCAACATCATTTGTTGAAAGAAGATGCTTATATTACAGAAGTGGTTTTCCAGAATGTTCCTGAGTGGGTGATTGGACAGTCCAGAGAAGGAGCCAAGTTGCGGGTCAGGTAATGAAGAGAGGAGGTCCTCTGTGTGCCTTTTTTTTTTTTTTGATGGAGTCTGGCTCTGTCACCCAGGCTGGAGTGCAGTGTCATAATCTTAGCCCACTGCAATCTCCCCCTTCCAGGTTCAAGTGATTCTCCTGCCTCAGCCTCCTGAGTAGCTGGGATTACAGGCACCCATCACCACAACTGGCTAATTTTTTTTGTGTTTTTAGTAGAGACACGGTTTTGCCATGTTGGCCAGGCTAGTCTCGAACTCCTGACCTCGGGTCATCCACCCACCTCGGCCTCCCACAGTGCTGGGATTACAGGTGGGAGCCACCATGCCTCGCCCCTCCCTGTGCCATTTCTGATTCCACTTACGGATAAACGAGCAGGCTGAGGTGCATATGCATTACCCTGAAGACACAACTCAAAAGAGGACTGTGTGCCTCTGGGAATTACACTCAGTGGCCAACCAGATCTTCACTAGATGTGTGATTTTGGACAAGTTAGATAACATCTCCTATTTCCTTCTCTGTAAAATAGCAGTAACAAAAAGCACCTAACTCACAAGGTTGTTGTGAGGATTCAATGAGATAAAGCACTTAGAACAGGGACTGGCACAAAGTACCAAGAAAATATTATCTCCACAATCTCCATCAGCTGATGAATGGATGAAGAAAATGTGGTCTATCAATGAGATGGAATATTATTCACCCATAAAAATAAATGAAGCGCTGATACACAGTACCATGTGGACGAACGTGGAAGACATTACGTTGAATGAAAGAAGCCAGACACATAGGCCATCTATTGTATGATTTCATTTATATGAAATATCTAGAATAGGCAAATCTACAGAGACAAAAAGCAGAATCATGATTTCTTAGGGCTGGTAGGGGTGGGAGGACGGGGAAGTAACAGCTAAAGGGTATGGGATTTCTTTTTGAGATGAGGGAAATGTTCGAAAATGGACTGTGGCGATGGTGGCACATATCTGTGAATATACTCAAAACCATTCCATTATATACACTTTGAATGACTTGTATGGGATGTGAATTATATCTTAATAAAGCTGTTTAAAATAAAACTTTTTGGGCCAGACGCGGTGGCTCAAGCCTGTAATCCCAGCACTTTGGGAGGCTGAGGCGGGTGGATCATGAGGTCAGGAGATTGAGACCAACCTGGCTAACACGGTGAAACCCCGTCTCTACTAAAAATACAAAAAAATTAGCTGGGCATGGTGGCGGGTGCCTGTAGTCCCAGCTACTCGGGAGGCTGAGGCAGGAGAATGGCGTGAACCCGGGAGGCGCAGGTTGCAGTGAGCCAAGATCGGGCCACTGCACTCCAGCCTGGGCGACAGAGTGAGACTCCGTCTCAAAAAAAAAAAAAAGAAAACTTTTTTTTTTAGGTGAGTGTGGTTACGAAAATGGGATGATGGAGCCTTTGACAACTGGGCAACTGGGGAGTGGATGCTCTACCTAGAGACATTCAGATAGAAAATAAAAACACGCCTGCGGGCCAAACTCAGCCTCAATTTCCTCATCTTCTAGACAGACAGAAGTTCCTCCCTCAAAGGGCCGTTGGAAGGAAAAATGAGATAATTCATCTACAGCACTTAGCATGGAGCCTGGCATATTCCAGGCACTCAGGAGGTAGCAGTGGCATTGCCATTATTCTTTTAGACTCTAGAATTCCATGCTGGAGGAGTTTGGGGGGCAGTCTGATTGGAAAGGAAGTGGGTAACTAGGGGTCGTGTCTTGAAGCTACATTTGCAAATGAAGCCTACTGCATCAGCTTAGGTCATATGTTACAATAAAAAAGACATTTGCAAAGTTTTCTAAACATGCCTTTATTCACACTGTCATAGTGTTGAAAACACACCTGTAATCAAATAATAACATTGTTAAAAAGTTGAAGTGTCTTTGATGAGAGGCCCATGAGGATTTTGGAGGAATTTGAGTCTCCCTGATCGCTGAAAACTGATGCCATAGGTGCCTGATTCCATAGGTGCTACCACTGTCGTTAGAATTAATACTTAAGTGACCACCTGTGAAGGGCACTGGACAGAGTGAAGAGGCTGGGTTCTTGACCTGACCCAGCCACTCACCAAATGTGCAACTTAAGGAAAATAGTTTAATTTCCCTGGACTTCAGTGTTTTCAACTATAGGATGAGAAGATGGTGGGTGCAACCTCTGAATGTCCTTCAAGCAAAAAACTTCAGAATCCATGATAATGGCCCAAATCTTATCGCTGCCTAGGTAAGCCAGACTGGACTGTCCGAAGGATGTCTCCCATAGACTGGAACGTGTCCCTTCTATTCCAAGGGTCTTGAGTTCTAGATTCTAGGCCAAAGCTCACAGCACACTTGCTAGAGAAGAGCCTCACCACTACCTCCATTCTGATTCCCCCTTAGGCTGAAGTGCCAACATAGTTAAGCCTCTCTCTGGGGCTGGAGACACCTGAATTGAACAGTATCACCCCTAAATTCATGTCTACTGGATCCTGTGAGAGTGACCTTATTTGGAAATAGGGTCTTTGGAGATGTAATCAAGTTAAGATGAAGTCATACTGGATTAGGTTGGCTCTTAATCTGATGATTGGAGTCCTGCTAAGAAGAGGGAAATTTGGAAAACATGACACGGAGAAGAGAACATCATGTGTACGTGGAAGCAGAGATTGAAGTGAAGCTGCCGCAAGCCAAGGAAGTCAGACTGCTAGCACCAACAGCTAGGAGAGTGACATGGAACAGCAATGTTATCATCCCAAGGGCATGGCCAGAATTTCGTGGCATCAGTGATGCTGTAGCTCACGCCTCCGAACTTGCTTCACACAGTCCCAGAGTAACTTCTACACCCCGCCAGCTTTCTGGTGCTCCATGTTTTGTGGGCCAGACACCAACTGGACAGTACCCTAAAGCTGTCCTATTCTCCCTCCCTACTTTGACTTGGTGCTGAGCCTGGCCTGTGGGTTTCTGCAGCAGTGAGACAGGATGGGGCTGAAGGCTTGGCATTTCCTCAGGCATGAGGGATAACAATGGTTATTGAAGAAGAATGTCTAATGACAGAAAAGTGCTCATGGTTCATTTGTTCATTCATTCAACAAATATTAATATTACTTGAGCACCCACTCTGTCACAGGCACTGTCTCAGGCACTGGAGGTAGAGCACTGCTGGTGGGAATGGGGATGAGCCAGTCCAGGGATCCTGGGGCTCTAGGGTTGGCTGAGATTGTTCTGTGGACCCCTGAGCATTTTTGCAGTTTCTTAATCTCTAATGGAGATGGTATAGTTACTCCCAGCAAGATCACTTGGGCTGACATGTCACCTTCCTTTGCAGGAATCTGGAATGACATCAGCTGGAAATGGTGATGCTAAATAAATATCTTGTGGTGGTCAGAAGCTGCCTGAAAGATAGGACTGCAGTTAGAATTAAGTTTTTTTGTTTGTTTGTTTGTTTTGAGATGGAGTTTCTTTCTTGTTTCCCAGGCTGGAGTGCAATGGCATGATCTCGGCTCACTGCAACCTCCACCTCCTGGATTCAAGCGATTCTTCTGCCTCAGCCTTCTGAGTAGCTGGGATTACAGGCAACCGCCACTATGCCTGGCTAATTTTTGTATTTTTAATAGAGACAGGGTTTCGCCATGTTGGCCAGGCTGGTTTCGAACTCCCGACCTCAGGTGATCTGCTCGCCTCCGCCTCCCAAAGTGCTGGGATTACAGGTATGAGCCACCATGTCCAGCCAAGTTAGAATTAAGTTTTTAAAATAGGAGAGCAATTAGTACATTATAAGTGCCTTGGCTTGGTAGACAAACAACTTTCAAAATGTAGAACTAGAGGGAAGGGCCAAATAATTGAAAGTGTTCTTGGGGAGAGGAAAGCCCTTTATTCAACTTAATACATTGACTAAGTTTATTTAATATATACCTTAGAATAGAACCTGTGTGCTAGGCCCTGTGGTCGGCGCTGGGGACAGCGACACACAACACAGAGAAGGTCCCTGCTCCCACGGGGCTGTCGCACTTACTACAGGAGACAGCCAACAGGCAAACAAAAGCCACCTTCTTAGGCACTCAATACATGATAGTTATTCTAGTTATTCACTGTTTCCAGTGAATAACTATCATGTATTGAGTGCTTAAGAAGGTGGCTTTTGTCCCACACAGGCACTACCCTGGGCTCTGGAGACTGAGCAAGGAGCAGCAGAGGCCAGCTCAGGCCAATTGCTTGCTGTCCTGAAACTTCCATCCTATCAGGGCAGGCAGCTAAGAAGCAAATGGGGAAAAAAAAATCCAAACAGGAAAAGGTCAGATGGAAACATCAAACAGAGTGACACGGTTGAGACTTCCAGGGAGATGGGAGGGGGGTACTGTAGCAGGTAGTCAGGGAAGACTTCTTAGAGGAGGTGGTCTGGAACTAAGGCCTGACCAAGAGGCAAAGATGAGGAATCCCAACACTCACTTCTTTCAAGAGGCAAGGTGAAGGATGGAGAAGCACGATTTCTGCCTAGACTTGGCAGGTCCGAGCTTTGTAGGAACTAGCTAGCTTTGCTTTAGGGCCACAGGTAGGTAAACTGAGGTGATGTGGTCTGTCTAGGGTTGCTCAAGAAGTCAGTGGCAAAGCCGGCCTAGAACTCTGGGTTTGGGCTCCGTGGGCAGTGCTCTTTCCATGCTGTGTACCATCCTGCCTCTCAGGAAATGACTTCCTGAATGCTTTTATGGACCTCTGGCCGCACAAAGGATGTGTCTCTGTGTCAGGCGGGTCTCAGGGATTTCCAGAAGTCCTAAAATGTGCATGGTGCTATGCCAGAAGCCACGAGGAGTGTGACAGTCCAAGCTATGAGGGATCTACACTCTCACAGGAAGATGAAAGCAGCAGTATCAGAGGGTGTGGGTGTGGATGTGACAGTGTCCCATCGTGCTGCTGAGAGAAGCGGTGGGTTGAAGGGGCTCCCGGGAGGAGAGGCCACGGCAGTTGGGCTGGGAGCTTAACTTCTCATTTACTCACAGACAACTTCTCAGCCCGCATTTCACCGGCCCCCCAGCCCCCAGCATGGGGGCCCAGGGACAGGAGGAGGTCTTGGCACAGCTGGGGCTGGAGGCCTTTGCTTGAGCCCTGGGTTGAGGTGTCTTCGACCTGCAGAGAGGTCCCTGCCCAGGGTTCCTATGGGACTAGCCCTGCCCCTGCTCACTTCTGTTCCTTGTTGCTGTGCCACCGCCCCCCACACCCCCCGGCTGGCTTTGATGTTAGTCCCACTCAGCCTGGCCTCCTGCTGCGACGCCCCAGGATGGCTCTCCAGCTCGCAGGGACTCTCCCTCTCTGTATCACAGCCCAGATCTGGCCTCCTGCTTGCTGGGCTGTGGCAGCGGGATCACTCTGGGGCCCAGGGAGAGGTAACGAAGGAACAAGGTAAGTTTGGGCCAGATTGAGGGGGTTTTGTAGGCCTGGGGTCGCTAGGCAGATGTGCTCTGATGGATGACGGGGAGTCCCCCATTCCTGGCCATCTGAGTGGCATGTGAGGCCTAATGGGGGTAGTTGGAAATAGTGGTCAAGAGTTTCCATTTCCTCCCTGAGTAGCCATGGTCAAGTTCCTTAGCAATACCTGCCTTGTTGACTTTACTCTGTGCCTCAGTTTTCCCATCTGTAAAATGGCGATAATAAGAATGGGCAATTCACAGGGTTGTTATGAGGACTAAATGAGGATGTGCCCGGCTCACTGTACTCTCTCTAAACTGTAGCTGTCGTTGATGCTGAAGTCTCTGCTGGATTTGGGAGGAATTAGCCCTTTGGAGCACAGCTGCAATGGTGCTTGGACCCTCTTTGCTGCCTTCGGCATGACAGGAGCCTGCCTTCCCTGTCTTGAGTTTGTGTTTTCCTCCTTCTCTGGCACTTGGCCCAGTTTGGCCCTAATAACCTTTGAGGGACCTTCATAGCTGACCCCCAGCCTCTTTCTGCTCACAGCTGCCCGATGGATCTTCCAGCCCTGCTCAAAGTCCTCTATGGCTCCCAGGGGCTACACAGCAAATATAGCCACCTCCTTAGTCTTTATTTAAGATCTTCTGCAATTTGACCTTTGTCTTAACCTTTCAGCCCCATGTGGATCTGGGGAGTCCAAGCCTGAATTTGAGTCTGGGTTCCACTGCATCTGAGCTGTGAAACCTTGGGAAATGCATGTAACCTGTATGCACCGTGGTTTTCTTATTTGTGAAATGAAAATAATTACTCCTGCCTTGTGGACTTCACAAGGATGTTTGAGGATCAGATGAATGGGGATGTGTATGGTGTTCGTAACCCAGAAAGCAACTCGCTGTTTGGGGGCCATACAGTGGTTTCCTTTCTCTAGGCCTTTGTTCACACTATTCCTCCACCTGGAGTTCCTTGTCTCCCTCGGTTACCATTATCCAAATGGGTATAGCTATGTTCAGAGCCCAGGGAAGACGCCATGTCTCGTCTGTAAAGACGCCCTGACTATTCTGCCTGAAGTGTATGTTTCCTACATCTGATCCTCACACCTCTCACAGACACGTCTTCCTGTATCTGCTGTCTCCTTCCTTTGACTGGGAGCTTCTAAAGGGCAGGACGATACCAAAATCAGCTCTGCTTTTTCCACGGCACCTCGTACTCCACACACAACAGGTGCTTGATGAGTACTTGGTAAAAGGATGGGAGAGTGTGTGGATGAGTGAGTGAATTTGGGGAGAGTGATAGCGCACTGAAGCCAAAAGCATGGCCCCATCCCCTCTGGGACCTATTTCATGGCCCTTGATGACTGTGCCTAATGGACAGCCATTTCCCACGCGTGGCTCAAATTTTCACAAATAGGATAGATCCATTCACCTCTATAAGGAGGGTTTAGGGGCAGAAATCTGATTGGAAGTTGGGGAGTGGGCTTGTCTGGACATTATATTATGCAGACCAAGCATATGTTTTGAAAAATTATGTATATAGCTGGGTGCAGTGGCTCACACCTGTAATCCCAGGACTTTGGGGAGCCAAAGTGGGAGAATTGCTTGAACCCGGGAGTTTGAGACCAGCCTGGCCAACATGGAGAAACCTTGTCAATATGAAAGAAAAAAAATTAGGCTAATGTGGTGGCAAGTGCCTGTGGTCCCAGCTACTCGGGAGGCTTAGGTGGGAGGATCACTTGAGCCCTGGAGGTTGAGGCTGCAGTGAGTGGTGATTGTGCCATTGCATTCCAGCCTGGGCAACAGAGCAAGACCCTGTCTCAAAACAAACAAACAACAACAACAAAAACCTCAAAAAAAGCCCAAATCAAACCACACACACAAGCACACATGCATCATCCCTTCAATGTGGGCATGGCGGGGGTCAGAGGCACATCACACAACTAGATCAGAGAGTCGGGGTGAGTCAGGGCAATACCTCCCTCCTCCCAGGTTGGGGTAGGGGAAGACTGGGGCTACGTGGGAGCTGAGGAAGTGACTCTTGGTGACCTGAATTATGTTCCACACTTAGGAGCACCTGATTTATTATCAGGGACTGAAACACACAAAAGAACAAAGGGCCCTGGGGACATTTGTGACCCATCTGCTCCTTCTCCACATTGCACCAAGGCACTGCACTCTCAGCAGTTCTCAGTGTCTTTGCATCTTTGCGGGAGCCCCTCCTCAACGTCCCCCTCCCCACCCGCCCCACTTACATTCTAGGGCCACACATTCCTCAGGCCGTGCTGAATCCTAAGTATTTTAATGCCTGATATCTATCTCCGTATGGATTTTTTTTTATCATGAGGCCACTGGAAAGTTTTTTGATATCTCTTTGAAACAGATGTCAGCAAAAGCTTCCAGCACAGATCAAGGGCAGGTTAAGGCCTTTGAGATGGGTCTGAATGTCCCTTTAACATCGTTCAATCTAATACCCAAATATACCTCGAGTCATTACCCTGTTTTTATAAGAAGCTCTGAACCATATGTTCGGGAACTAATTAAGCATACAAATCAAGCCCTGGGATCAGGTGGCGCTCTGTTTAAATATCTTAACCTTTTATGATTATCTTAATTTAGAGAAAATTCAAAACACATTCAGAAGTCTTAGAAAATGAGTTCACTAGGAATTTACTGGCCGGCTTTTTTTTCTTGATGTTGGGATCCTTTCTTTACAAGTCCAGCCGAGATTCCTGGGGAAGTCCTCCGAGCTCACACCTCCCAGGAAATGTAGACATTTGCCGGCCTGGGGGGCCCAAAAGGCCACACCTGTCTTTACCTTCCACTAGCAGCCTCTCCCAGCCAGAAACTCCACCTGTCCCCACCTCCCAGCCCACATGGCCCCCATTTGCCAGAAGGAAGGGGAGAAAAACCGTGGACTCTGCACTTGGAAGTTTTGCCTTCCTTTTAGATAAAATAAGGTATGAAATGAGTTGGGGGGAAACATTCCTGCAGCCCATGTTATTTTGGGGGAAGCCATGGGAGGAGCTAAGGGCAGAGACTGAAATGTGATTGCACAAACCTGGCTCCAGAATGGCTACAGGTGGCTGAGAGGGAAGACAAAAGCTGGAAACCATCCTTGTTTTAGATTCTGGGTGATTCTAGCAGTGGGAAGTGTGGGCTGGGGTAGCAGATGGGGATCTGTCTTCTCACCTACCTCAGGCAAAGGAGATACTTGATCTAGAAGGCATGTCTAAAATGTGTACACATACCAAATTGAATTGACTTGTGACAAGTTCTTCTAATCTTTTACCTGCTCAGCCAATATATCTTTATTGAGCACCTACTATATGCCAGGTCTGTTCTAATGTCTTTACAAGGACATTAAACTGCCTTTGACACAAGTGCCCAGTTTACTTACAAAGACTGGACTGGATCTCAAAAACACTCTTTCTTAATGTTCTTAGGACCAGTAAACCTTTACAATAGGGTTTCCAGATAAACTGTAGGATGTTCAAGTTTAAATTTCAGATGAACAACAAATACTTGTTTACTCTAAGTATGTCCTGAATTTTGCATGGCACACACTTATACTAAATCATTATTCATTGTTTATCTGAAATGCAAATTTAGCTGGGTGTTCTGTGTGTTTATTTGTTAAATCTTGCAACCTGACTTTAGAAAAAGATATAAATAGATATGGGTGCTGTCTCAATCTTGGATGTTAAATACTAATTTTGGAGGAAGACAACAGAAAGCAGCTTTGTGCAAGGCCCCCTTACATATGTGATTTGACTTAGACCTGTATTAGTCTGTTCTCATGCTGCTAATAAAGACATACCTGAGACTGGGTGATTTATAAAGAAAAAGAGATTTAATGGACTCACAGTTTCATGTGGCTGGAGAGGCCTCACAATCACGGCGGAAGGCAAAGGAGGAGCAAAATCACGTCTCACATGGTGGCAGGCAAGAGAAGAGCATGTGCAGGGGCAACTCACCCTTTATAAGACCATCAGATCTCATGAGACTTATGCACTATCATGAGAACAGCACAGGAAAGGCCCACCCTCATAATTCAATTACCTCCCACCTGGTCCCTCCCACAACACATGGGAATTATGGGAACTACGATTCAAGATGAGGTTTGGGTGGGGACACAATCAAACCGTATCAGACCTTATCACAACTCTAGGAAGGGGGTTCTGTGATCATCCCCATTTTGCCTGTGAGTGAGCTGAAGCTCAGAGAGCTTGAGGGACTTACCCAAGGTCATCCAGCTTTTTCTCTAGCCCAGCTCTGCTGGACTTTGAAGCCTGGGCTCTTTACAGTGACAAGTTGATGGTTATCTTTCCAGAGTTCTTATTTTCCTAGAGCTTTCCCTGGCTTCTCTCAACTTCTTCCCCCCTTTCCCACAAATATGCAAGGAGAGATTCACTCCCGTCAGATCAATGTCACTGCCATAATGAAAACCACCACCCGAGTTCATGAAGGACGAGATCTGTCGAACCCTAATGAGAATGGTTCCAATTATGCAAAAAGCAACCTCATGGTTATTCTAATGTTACAAGTAAATAGAAAACATTTAGAAATACTTGGCTTGGATATTTTTTTTAAGTACAGATGTCTGACTCTCTGCCAGTTTGTTATTAAAAATGCTACAGTGGTTTGGGTACAAAGATTGTTATAAAAATAAAAGCTAATGCGGTCTGAGCACTTGTTTTGCCTTTGTGGGGACCTCAGCCACGGTAAGGCCAAAGGAGATGGTGGCTAGTGGTGGCTCTTAAGCAGGCACCCCAACATTCATAGCTCTGTTAGTGCCCTGCTTAAAATGATGCAGGAGCTTCCTGGTGTCCCTCAAATCCCGAATCTGCTCCTGCAGGGTTCCAGCCCTATCTGTTCCCACTCCCTCTTGCTTACTGGCTTTTTCTAGCTCATCATGCATTTGCACTTGCTGTGTCCTCCACCTGGTGTGTTTCTCCCAGCCCTTCACCTCGATGGCTCCTTTTCTTCCTCGGCCTTCAGGTCTTCTCTGACCAGCTTCTCTGTATGGCTGTCCTCTTGCCTCCAGTTACTTTCTATTGTAACTCTCTGCTTATTTCTTTTATTTTTCTTATAACTCTCTGAAGTTATCTTGCTCACCTTTTGTCTTTCCCACCAGTAAGTCAACCCCATGAAGGAAGGGACCCTGTTTGTTTCATTGACACACATCATCTTCAACACCTAGAACAATGTTAGGCACATAGTAGTTGCTCAATAAGTATTTGTCGAACAAGCGAATGCATCTACCAAAGCACCTGAAGTCTTGCATTGCTTAATCCCGCCTGGGGCCACGGGCCAGAAGAAAAGTAGCAGCGTCTACAGTTTTTTTTTTTTTTTTTTTTTTTTGAGACAGAGTCTCACTCTGTCACCCAGGTTGGAGTGCAGTGGCATGATCTGGGCTTACTGCAACCTCCGCCTCCTGGGTTCAAGCGATTCGCCTCAGCCTCCTGATTAGCTGGGATTACAGGCGCATGCCACCACGCCTGGCTAATTTTTTGTATTTTTAGTAGAGACAGGGTTTCACTGTGCTAGCCAGGATGGTCTCAATCTCCTGACATCGTGATCCGCCTGCTTCGGCCTCCCAAAATGCTGGGATTACAGGCGTGAGCCACCATGCTGGGCTGCATCTACAAATTTTAATCAACTCAACTCATGGAAAACAATATAACTTGGGAGAATCCTAAACTCCTGTGAATGATGGTTTTGAGTCTAGCAGGAGTTTCCAAGACTGTGCTTCAAACCATGGCAATGAAAAACTTCATTGCTATAGCATTTGCCTACGTGTAGAAGGTGAAGTGTAAACAGAAAACTGGGGGTGTTCAAATGCATCAAGGAAAACATTGTCACCCTAATAATCTTTCAGACAAATGTGTTGATGTGAACAGAACCATTTTGGGGTCATGGGAGGGGGATCACTCTTTAGAGGCTATTCCCCTTAGCTTGGCATTCGAGACTTTGCACACACTTGCTGAGGCCTGCCTCTCCTGATTTCTTCTGCCTCTCTCCCTGCAGCCTGCTGTCCGTTGGTCCCGGGTTGTCGTCACACCCCCACTCCTTGCATGCTTTCCCAGGCTTGCTCCTTTATCTTGCTCTGAAGAATGCTCTTCCCCATCTGTGCATATCCAAAGCCTAATCACATGGGCCTGGTTCAAAGGTCGTCTCCACCCCAATCTTATATCTCATCTACCTCTACCTGGTGGCAGCCTTTCCCTCCTTTGAAGTCTCTGGGCATTTTTTTTTCTTTTCTTTTTTGAGACAGGATCTTGCTCTGTCACCCAGGCTGGAGTGCAGTGGTGCAATCATGGCTCACTACAGCCTTCACCTCCCAGGCTGAAGCGATCCTCCCACCTTAGCATCCCAAGTAGCTGGGACTACAGGTATGCACCATCACACCCAGCTCATATTTTATTTTCTGTAGAGATGGGTCTCGCTAAGTTGCCCAAGCTGGTCTCGAATTTCTGGGCTCAAGCAATCCTCCCACCTCGGCCTCCTAAATTGCTGGGATTATAGGCATGAGCCACCGTGCCTGGCCTCTGGGCAATTTTTTTCTTTTTCTCATCACCTTCTACTTGACATCAAGCCTGACTTCAAGCTGCTAAAGGACAGGAACTGTGTCTCATTTTTGTGTCCTCCACTGCCCCAGCACAGTCATTTTTGTTAATAGTGAGTTAGTGATGCTTTTTAGGATACACAGCCCCAAGTCTTCAGCTCCCGACAATAGTGGTGCCGTGTCAGGAAGCTATAGCCAATCGGAGTCCATAACATTACCTGCCCCCACCCCAAGGTGTGAAGGAGAAGTGATGTGGTTTACAGTGTGGACAATGTAAACCAGTGTCTGCATGACCCCACATGTCCAGATGAAAGACCCAGGGGGCCAAAGATCCAGAAAACAGACTGAACTTTCCCTTTTCCATTCAGATGTTTTCCTGTTGGGTGGCCCAAAGCCTGAAACGGCTGAATTCCTGGGCGCTCTATAAACCTCTCCCATTCCAACCTTCCCAAATGTTTTCTTCCAAAACTCTGTCCAAACAAAGAAACAAAAAAAAAAAAATCCCTCAAGAAACTCAAGTGCTAACACTGAACACATGAGCCCAAGAACCAGCGGTCCAAGGGGAAGCAAATACCCTGTTTTTGCCAGACAAACGTTGTCAAATATATGAGCATGCAAATATATTTATCTCAAATGAGTTACAAGGAGAGTCGCACAGGGTCCAAAGCCACTTGCAAAAGATGGCAATCGGTTTTGAAGAATTTCACACATATTAAGCCAAGGATCCTCCCTTTCTGCACGATCTAGGAGATTTGGAAGTGTTCTGCGAGCAATGTGGTTTTCAAATGAGGTCCAGTACAAGCTTTTGATCTATATAGGATAGTATGAATTCATACGCAGTACTGATGAATTGACAGGCCACATTTAAACATTCCCCTCACGTACACAATCTGGATTTATGATTTTGTTTTTGTGCACACATATCCTTTGAGTTTCTACATATATGACACATGGAGAGGCAAGGAAGGAACTCCTGGTAATCTTTCAAAGGCTGACACCCAAGTGTGATCTTGACAGCTTTGGGGTCATTGTCATATTTTTGACAAGCAATCGCACTGTTACAGAGGGAGCTAGTAAAAATGTTTCCCTGAACTCATCGTGGATTGCAACAGGAGGAAACACTCCATCACTGGAAAGTGACACTAATGCATTCTATTAGATTTGCTTATCATGTTAAAGAGCATATTAAAAGGAAATGTTTGGAAAAGAGATGCCATAACTTGGTATGATGGGTTGAAAATTCCTAATTTGGAAAAAATGTGCTAAGACAACATGATTGATGTGAGTGACCTACTTTATTTTATAAGAAAGTATGAGTTGCCTCGGGCCCATTGGTACACATATTTGGAAAAAGTTGTTTTTTTTCCACATTAAGTTTTTATTAACATTTCAAAAGAGCAAAAACACCATAGAAGGATATAAGTTGTAACTTGTCAATGCAGATGTGTTTGTAGCCATTTGCTGCTGAGAAAAACATATCACCCTTGCTGGAAGGGTTTCTGAATTAGGTGAGTTTCTTGCCAAGCGAACACCTGATGGGGAGAAATATGACAGTCTTTTCCCTGATAAAAAATGACAGGGAAGAGGTGTTTTTATTTAAAGCACAAATGACTCTTCTGCTACTTGTAGGCAGTGATCTCTTAGAGTGATTAACATTTCATGGAGCCTCCCAGCCACCTTTCTGTGTAGGTGGCAAAGGATTGGGGCTGAGTTAACCATTTTAGCTCTGCTTGAGAAGATGGAGTTCAATGCCCTCATCCTGTTCCTCAAATGAAGTCCCTTGGTTTGGAAGTCAGGAGCTCTTAGGTTTATCTCAGGCAACAGAAGGGACAGCTGAGGGTCCAGCAGAGGGTTGGTCCTCTCAAAATACTCTGTTACCATTCAATCAGTATTGCCACTGAGTTTAAGACCTCAGGAAATGCCTATGGTACAATGTTTACTGAAGAAAGTAAGATTAAAAAAATATATAGACCTGGCACAGTGGCTCACTCCTGTAATTTTCTACATTAAAAAAAAACAAACAAAAATAAGAAATTAGCCAGGTATGATGGCACATGCCTTTAGTACCAACTACTTGAGAGCTGAGCAGGAAGATGGTTTGAGCCCAGGAGTGAGTTCAAGGCTGTGGTGAGCTATGATCATGCCACTGTACTCCAGGCTGAGTGATAGAACCAGACCTTATCTTAAACAAAACAAATATCTTAATAATGTAAGTGGGAGAATAAATTGGCACAAACTTTCTGAAATGCAATTTGTGAATTTGTCACAAAAGCTTTAGATTGTTGCATACCTTTGGACCTAAAAATTCCACTTCTAGAAATTTCTTCTAAAAAACAACTATGAATACTTATAAAGATATAGCTAATAAGATGTTTACTATATAATTATTTATAATATTAAGAGATAGACTCAACCTAAATGTCTGAAGTTAGAGGATTGCTTAAATAAAGTCATACAATTAAAACAGCCATTAAAACGATAATGTGTAATGTATAAGAGTTATGTGGAAGAAGGTTTGTAATATTTTACAGGAAAAGTGGGTTATAAAACATGCATATTATGATGCTATTTGAAAACTATACATATGTCTACTTAATTTTTAGATATCTACATATGTCTACTGCAGTAGACATATGTATAGTTATGTATATATTCTTATACTGTCTTTAACTATATGCATATATATGTGAAGGACATTTATCAAAATGTTAAGTGTAACTATTTCTGAAGAGTAAGTCTTCCAGGTAGTTTTTGTTTCTTTCCTTTTGTATGTTTTCATTTTCTATGCTAGCCATGCTTTACTTTGATAATAAGTAAAACAGTTATTAAATGGGAAAAATCCAAGAGATTTAACAGGTTACTTAACAGAAATAAGAGAATTCACAAGGATTACCCGGCACAAACTAGTTTTCTCATATAATAGTAAACAGGTTAAAATATAAAATGAGAAATTATTCCATTCACTATAGCAAAACAAAACAAAACAAAGCATAAATCATCCACAAAACTGAAAATGCAATGACTAATTCATGCAAGAAACATCCAAGACCTATTTAGAAGCAAATAATGAAGTACATCAAAGAAAATCTAAATAAATTATTGTGTTTCTGGTTGGAATGACCAAATATTGTGAAGATTTCAACTCTTTCCCAAATTAATTCATACATTTGATACAATTCCAATAATGGTTCTGATTAAAATAACTGGCAAGTTGATTCTAAATATTATCTAGGAGAACAGATGCATGAGAATAGTTTTCCTAGGTGAAGAAAGATGAGAGCAGCTTTGCCCTACTGGATTTTAAAAGATATTACAAAGTCAGGGTCATTAAGCAGTATGCTAATTTTGTAGGAATATCAAATATGTTAATGAACAAAATAGAATGCAGAATAGAATAAATAGAATAAAATATAAGAATCTAGTATGCGATAAAGGCTGTATTTCCTGTTAATGGAGAAGGGCTATATTGTTCTGCAGATGATGTTGGAATAATTAGTTATCCATTAAGAAAAAAAAGTGGGTCTTCACTTCAAGTTACATTCACAGAAAAAAAGTCCAGATGTATTAAAGACGTACACATTTTAAAAAATTATAAAAGTTATTTAAAGGACTAAAAACAATAATCCCATAATCTTGAGAATGAGAAAGACTTTCTTGAAGAGAGATAAGCCTCAGACTCCATAAAGGATAAAACCAACAATTTTGCCGGCATAAATATTTAAATCTTTGGTATGAGAAACATACTATGAGCAAAGGACAAACTAGGAAAAAAATGCAACTTGTATGATAAACAATAGATTAAGAGCTTTACTATATAAAGTGCTGTTTTCAGATAAGAGAAAGATTATCATTCCAATAGAAAAATTGGGAAGATAGAAGCAAAGCTTTTTATAGAAAAAGAAATATGAACATACAAAAAATGCTCAACCTCACTAATAATCAAACAATTTAAAATTAGAACAATAAAATATTATTTTCACTCACCACTGTCAAAAGTTTTAAAAGGGAATGATCATATTTAACGTATTATGAGTGTAGAGAAATACTTTGATGCAGTAATTTCATCTCAGGGAATTTACTCTGTGTAAAGATTCAGAAAAGGGTTCCAAAAGTCTGGAATCCTATGCAGTTGGTTAAACAAATGAGGCAGACCTGTGTACTGATGGAGGAAAGTCTGAGGTATATCAACACATGAAGAGAACTGGCAGGAAAACAATATAGCCTTGTGATCCCAACTTCTGCTTAATAAACATACATAGCTATTTGTATATATAAAATAATTTTTATAGCAGATGTTCCATGGCAGTAGGATTAGGGGGTGATATGGTTTAGGTGTGTCCCCACCCAAATCTCATCTTGAATTGTAGTTCCCATAATCCCCACGTGTTGTAGAAGGGACCTGGTGGCAGGTACCTAGTGGGAGGTAATTGAATCATGGGGATGGTTTCCTCCATGCTGCTGTTCTTGTGATAGTGAGTGAATTTTCATCAGATCTGATGGTTTTATAAAGGGCTTTTCCTCCTTTGCTCAGCACTTCTCTCTCCTGCTTCCATGTGAAGAAGACGTGTTTGCTTCTCCTTCCATCATGATTGTAAATTTCTTGAGGCCTCCCCAACCGTGTGGAACTGTGAGTCAATCAAACCTCTTTCCTTTATAAATTATGCAGTCTTGGGTAGTTCTTTATAGCAGCATGAGAATGGACTAATGGCAAGGGGGTGAGCGGGGAGCACCTTCATTTGGACTTTCTCCTCTTCTGTCGTATTTTAAAATTTTTAGGATCATATATCACTTTTGTAATAAAAAGCAACACACATCTGACAAATCTGCCTAGAGAGGTGAGGTGACTTGCCTAAGGTTAATAGCACATGAAGACCAGAAGCCACTGGGTCTCCTGACACCCAGGCTCTTAGTGCCCCCAAAGAGTCCCTTCTTCTTATTGAGGAACCCATGGGACCATGGCATAGCCTCTCTCTCAAAGGAGCCCACAAATGTCCTAAAAATGCTATTTGCAGCCTCCTATCAGGCTGCAGATCACCCCATCCCCTGGGCACTCTTGGATGGGAGAAGTCACATATGCAGCATTGGGTTGATGAGTTTCAGGGTGGGACCAGTGCCCTCAGAAGTGCCCATGCCAATGCCAGCTTGCCCACTTGCCTTGTAAGGAACTCTGGATGGCCCCCTGTAGCCCACAAGTGGTGAGCAGGCCAGGGATTCCTTCCCCAACCCCCATGACTGCTTTTGCACCCACCATACTGGAAACCTCACACAACAGACCTGGCAAAGCGGGATGGGTCAGTTAGGAAGCAGGAAGATGCATCACTTCAAAGTACAACAACATTAGCTTATATCTTAAAGTGCTTTATAATTTACCTTTCTACCCATCACCTTGTTTGATCTTCAGAATCATCATCTGAGAGAAGAACAAGTGTAATTGTTATCATTCCCATTTCATGGAAAAAGAAACTGAGGCTCAAGAGGCTGAGCCACTGACCTGGTCACATAGCAAGGAAGTGTGGAGAGAGAAGGAGAGGTTGGGTCAGCTTGGCACAAATTCTCCACTTTTGCCACATTCCCTCTTTTCCTCTCTCCTGAGTAAACTCCTACCCACCCTCAGCCCATGGAAGCATGTTCCCCTTAATCCAGCTTGGTCTTGGCCAGGGCACTATGGCACTTCTTGCCATAGTACAGTTTGACTTCTGACCCCAGCCCCTGACTCAGTGTCTACTGCACCTGGGCCTCCCCAGCAGCCTTCTGCTCCTTGGGGGATAATACTGGTTGGGGAAATTCTCTGGAGCCCCCAGAGAAGGGCACAGATCTGAGGGTTCTCTAACTGAGGATACTGTCCTGTCCAGGAGAGCTTCTAACCACTCACATCCTGGTCTGTAAGGATGTGAGTGGTTAGAATCATATATCACTTTTATAATAAAAAGCAACACACATCTGACAAATCATTCCATTGATTCACACTTGTGCTCCCACAATCTAGCAAAGCACCTGGCATACAGCAGGTGATCAATAAAAGTTTACTGAATGAGTGGAGTGGCCAGAGGACCCTGAGTCCCATCACCAGTCCACCTAGAACTCCTGTGACTTCAGGCCATCCCTGTCCCCACGCTGAGACTCTTTATTCCCTCCTGTAAATAGGTGTGAGTTAGTCTCTAAGAACCAGAAGCCACCCAGCAGAGGTAGAGGCTCTACCAGCATTACATTTAGAATAAAGGGACTGGAGGAACAGAGGCCAGTTTTACCCAAGAGATCCAGAGGCAGAGAGTGGAGAGGGATCCCCACACATCTATTCTGAGTCCAGTTCTGGGAAACTGTCTGAGTGTCTAGCAGATCCACCAGCTTCAACATCTTCAAGAATTGGATGCCACCACGAGCAGCTCCTTAAGGCCAGGGGATGTGCCTCCTTGCTTCTCTGTCCCCAGCACACAAGCAGGTGCATGTAAATGAATGCATGGATGGAGGGCTCCTGTAACAACTTGTCATAATAGAAATCAAAAGTTTGGGACAGGAAATGACATTATAGGCCATGTGGTTCAACTCCTTCCACTGGAGACCAAGAAACAGCAAAGACTTGCCCAAGGTCACAGAGAGAGACAATGGAAGAGATTTGGGTGGGATACATTAGCTGGTTTTCAGGGATCAGCCAAAGCTAAGGCCAGCTTGCTTGAGTTGGTTCAGAAACCAGGGGAATCCTGTTGGGAGCCACTCCTCACACACTAGAACCCCCACATTGGCTCTACCCAAAGCTCAATTACTGCTGGGAGAGGCCTTATGCTCTCATAATGAAGTCATATCTATGGCAAAGATCCTTGAGGCTAACAACTGTGAAATAATTACATGTGCCTCAGAACTGGGAGATCAAGGATTTCCATCCAAAATCCCATGATGCTCTTAAAAAAGGTTTCACTATAAACTGCAGGAGGGGTGGGGAGAGGCGAGATTTCCAAGCCAGGTTGCCATATTTTAATTCCACCTTTTATGTGTTGGCATCATCCCATCTATGTGTATATCTCACTCCATAGACATATTAAAACAACATCAAAGGAGATTAAAAGAGTAACAATTGTCATCCATAATCATATTGCTATAACTAAATTATACCCACATGCATGTATCTGTCTCCCTGTTCAATTATGCAAGCAATATGTGAATGTATTCTCATCATCAGAAATCAAGAAGTATACATTGTAGTCAGAATAAGTACCATGACCACACCAATTCCTGCAAGTTCCCCTCTCTTCTCCTGAAGCAATGCAGTTGTCAGGTTGGTGTGTATTTTTCCAGAACTTTTCTCTGAATTTATATCAAGTATACACATATAACTATATATTAGTATGTGAATACACACATGCACACACACAAACAAGCACAAACAAGTAGTATTTATTTTAAGCATTAATGGGATCATATCATGTATTGTCCTGGAGTTTGTTTTTTCTCCCCTTAATAGATCTTGGAGGTCTTTCCATGACACTACAGAAAAAGAGCTACTTCCATCTTTGCAATAGCTATATTACACAGTTTTCCATAATATGGAAACATACTTAAAAAAAAAGTCCCCATTAAAGAACATTTAGTCTCTTGGGTTTCCAATTTTTCAATATTTCAAATAGTGAATATGCGTATATATATATAGAGAGAGTATATATATATATATATATAGTCTATATATATACTATATATAACTGTATCTATATAACTATATATATAACTACATCTATATAACCGTGTGTGTGTGTGTATATATATATATAGAGAGAGAGAGAGAGAGAGAGAGAGAGAGATTCAGCCTTAAGCACTCTCTCTCTCTCACATGGCTGATCAATCTTTTTATTCATGTCTGCAGACTGTCCTGCTTGGGGAAATGTCAGCTCCACCAGGGTAAAGATTTTATCTGCTTTTCTCCCTGCTATATCCTGAGTGCCTGGAACAGTGCCTGGCTTAGCACACAAGAAATATTTGTTGAATGAAGACCAGCAAGGGGAGAACATAGCCGCAAACTATTTTAACAAATAATGCTTGTCTAATGCCTGCATTTTCCAAAGGCACTTTGACTCCCTAATCACATTCTACCTGCAGAACAACCGTGGGGGCTCAGTAGATCCTGCGTGGTTAATACCCCATGCTGAATTGTGTTCTCAAGTCAGGGCTTAGGAAACAGACAGAGAAAGGTTCAAATCCTAGCTCTGTCACTTTCTCCGTGTGTCTCTGGAGAATTTACTTAACCTCTGTAAGCTGCAATTTTTTAATCTATAAAAAAATGGATATACATACCTTCCCTTGAAGGATTTTATGACAATTAAATGTGTTCTTATATGTGAAGTACCTGAAATACTGTAAGCACTTAATAAATGCTTGTTCTCTTTTGTCCCTTGCTCAGTATATTCTTTCTACCTGCTCAGGTCAATCACCCATGGCCCTCCTTGTAATGTCTTACTGTCTACCAATTACTGAAATACCTTACAGTTTTTCCTAAAAAATATCCTGGTATATCAGTTTTCCTCCACCCCACAGGAGTTTCTTGGGAAAGAAACAAAAGAAATATTTTCTTGTCTGTGTTGTTTAAACATAACATCAGTGGCTTTTTCCTGAGCATTGTATGTTTGGGCACTTATCACGTTCAATAATATTTAGCTGTCTAGTTCCCTAACTGGTTCTCAAGGGCAAGGACCATGACAGACTCAATTTTTTAACCCTGTTAATTACAGGTCAATTGCAAATTTCCTTATAAATGGTAAATGCTCGATACTGGTGGAACTAATAAATGATCTGAAAATACTATAAATATCTGATTTTAAGTGATCCCATACGTTCATACTTCTGGGAGCACAGGGACTCCTAACCCACTCTGCTCTCATGATAGCACCCAAGCTGTCCTGAGTCAGCTTCATCATCCAGTGGTTGATGTGGGGAACTGACCTTTTGTTTCTTTTCCAGTGTTGGGGTTTATGCTTTTTCCTTCCTCCACACTCAGTCAAATCCCCCTCTGGCAGTCCTTCTCCTGGGTTTACATACCTTTTAAATGTTCTTTTCTTTTCCCTTTGAAATTGCAAGTTTTCTCACCTCTACTCCCTTCAGATAATTTGAAAGTCAAAAAACAATCAACCCACCCCAACAGGGCTTGAGAAGTTAAACTGTAATGGTCTTATTGTAAAAGAAAGAGACATTTGGAAATAGTGTCAGATCCAGGGCCATTGTGCCCATGAACCCTGAAAGTCTACCTAAAGGTCTGCATCTAATTCCTTACCCCATCAGCCCTCCCTGCTTTAAAATTCCTTTCCCCTTGCCAACCGACATTCACTTCTATTTTTCTGTTTTGTTTAACTGTGACGACCTCTATCACAATGTCTGTGAAGATTTTATTGTACTTATGTATTTACAAGGTTAGTCTTCCTCGGCTAGCTTCTTGAGGGAGGATATCATAGGACTTTTCATTTTTGAATTTCAAATGCCAACACAGTGTCTGGCAGATAGGAATATTTTTGGGAAAAAAAGAATATTGTTTTCCTCTAATTTTTTTTTTTTTTTTTTGAGACGGGGTCTTGCTCTGTCGCCCAGGCTGGAGTGCAGTGGTGCCATCTCGGCTCACTGCAAGCTCCGCCTCCCGGGTTCGCGCCATTCTCCTGCCTCAGCTTCCCAAGTAGCTGGGACTACAGGCACCCGCCACCACGTCCAGCTAATTTCTTTTTTGTATTTTTAGTAGAGACGGGGTTTCACCATGTTAGCCAGGATGGTCGCTATCTCCTGACCTCTTGATCTGCCCGCCTCGGCCTCCCAAAGTGCTGGGATTACAGGCGTGAGCCACCATGCCCGGCCTCCTCTCATTTTTTTTTTTTTTATGACACACAACCACTATCACTTAGGAAACACAGTTTTTCCTAAAGAATCTCCTAGTATATCAGTTTTCCTTCACCCACCAAACTTAAAATTCTGTATTTTTATGAGTAGACATTGAACAGATTGTTTTGGGTAGCATCTTGACCACCATTTATAACATTGCTTCTGAGAGACCACATTCTGAGTTCCAGAGAGTGGCTAAGAAGGAAACTTTTGGAATCTTTTTGAAAGCTAAGGCCTTTTACCTTCCTTCCTGACTCAAGCACGGATTCTCGTTACATTCCAAGGGACCCTCACCCCATCAGGAAATGCAGTGCCTCACTGTGAACGTGGCAGAGTGACAGCATTAAAGAAGAGGGAGGCTGGCAAGCGGTGAGGCCCAGCAGGACCTTAAGATTGTATTACCCATTTAAGGATCCAGCCCTCTTGGATGTACCTGCAGCCTGCCTAGGAGGGCCTCTGAGAGGCTGGAATGGAGGGGAGCCAAACCTGGTCTTCCTCTTTGTAAAGCTCCAGGTGTTGTGTGGCTGGTGTTAGCTCAGCATCTCCTGCTTTTTAGGTCAGTCTTTTGCTACTTCATCTCTCTTGTTTGTTTGTTTGTTTGTTTTTTGATATAATATTTGTCCAAGATTCTTTCTTTTTCTTTATGAAGATCTAAACATTTACAGTAAAATACTTTAAAATCTTAGGTTTGATGACTTTTTGCAATTGTATACATCCGTGTTACCATCACCCAAATCAAGATATAAAACCATTCCTGGCAGCCCAGAAAGTTTCCCGGGCCTTTCCCAGTCAACCCACTCCAGAGGCAAACACCATTCTGAGTTCCATATCCGTAGATTTATTTTGCCGGTTACCTCACATAAACAGACTCACATAGCCTGTTTCTTCCCTTTCAGTCACTAAAACAACAATGACAATGTTGTTAGACATATCTAACAATATTAGATGTTAGACAAATGTAATAATAACAATGTATAGGCATAACCTAATTCCTTTTTTCTTTTTTTTTGAGATGGAGTCTCACTCTATCACCCAGGCTGGAGTGCAGTGTGGTGTGATCTGGGATCACGGCAACCTCCGCCTCCTGGGTTCAAGCTATTCTCCTGCCTCAGCCTCCTGAGTAACTGGGATTACAGGTGTGTGCCACTACGCCCGGCTAATTTTTTGTATTTTCAGTAGAGCTGGGGTTCACCATGTCAGCTTCCTAAAGTGCTGGGATTACAGGCATGAGCCACCACACCCAGCCCTAATTCCTTCTTTTTTTTCAGTTAACATCTCAAAATGTTTGGCAGTGGTGACCCCCACATAGGGGTAATTTGCATGATTGTTATTGACTTCTTTACACATTCTGGCATAATGTAAAAAAAAAAAAAAAATATATATATATATATATATATATATATATATATATATATAACATTTCATGATAATGAGGAAAAAAAGCTTCTTCATGGGGTAGGAGAGCATAGCTTTTGTGGAGAGGTAAACAAGTGAGATTCAGAATGAGCCTGATGAGGGAGCTTTGGTTGTCCGAGGGCTGAGAACATCCTTCCCTTGCAGGCTTTTCCTGGTGGCAGGGGACTTCTTACAGTATCTTAAGATCAGAGACCCCTTGAGCCACTTCCTGTCTGCATTCTTGTTTGTCTCTTTGAACATGGAACTATTTGACCAAAGAATTCCTTCTGCCTCAAATTCTTCCTCTTGGATCTTAGCAAAGAGAAAACATTGTCTAAAGCGAGAGTTAACTGTACTTTGAAAGTCATGAAACACACACACACACACACACACACACACACACACACATACACACACACAGAGCCATACCATTGAAAACCCTTGACCACACATTTGAGTTTGAGTGACACAAGTAAGGCAAATGGTAATAGAGCAAAATATAGAGTTATCCATAAAACCTATACACCATTGAGTATAGGTCTCTCAGTATCATCTGACCACAGATAAGGGGCAACTCCTTGTTCTGTTTCCTTGATGGCTTCGCAGTACAAATGGGTACATACATGGAAAAGGTATGAGTCTCAGAGAGGCAATAAATGCAGAAAAAGTTGGGTCCTGAAATAATATGTGCAGGAATACTTAAAACATGAAAAAGAGAAAACTTAGCAATTTCACAACACAATGCAAGGTCTAACTTCATTGGTTAAATGGTCCCATATGTGGTAATCTACAAAGCTGGGAGACTTGGAATGGGACAGCCAGGGCTCTGCGCACAATGGATGGGGAGTGAGCAACTTGTGCAACCTCGTTGAGTCCATTCCTGCCTCTCTAAGTGGGGTAATAATGACAGTGTCCACCTCACAGGGCTGGTAGGAGAGGTGACTGAAGTGAGGTATGGTCAGGCTATTTGTAAACCATCCACGCTGTCCATGTGCCAGTAGTCTGTTGTCTCTTTCAGAGTCGGAATAAATGCTCTGGAGGGGATGTGGGATCCAGACTCTTTATCCTATGGTCATTGACTTTTTGGAGGACTAAAGAGCAAAGTGTTGTCTCCTTCCTCACCCAGTGGCTTCCTCTTTGGGGAAAGGTGGGCATTTTGATATGAAATCAGATGTAGGGAAGCGGGGAGAAAGAAAAGCTTTTAGAGTCAGAAAGACCCGGGTTGGAATCCAGACGTCCTCATTTACTAGCTGTGTGTGTGACCTTGGATGAACGTCTTAACATCTTAGAGCCTCCGTTTTCTCATATGGAAAATGGGAATAGACTTCAATGGATTTCTGGGAGGACGAGATGAAATAAATCCTCGTAATGGGAGCTCAGCACAGTACGTGGGACTGGTGCCATCAGTGATAGAAATGAATTATCTCTCATGTGAGATGTCCTGGCAGCAGATGAGAAATGAAATATAGTCTATCTCGCTTTCAGCACACCCGGGCAGCTGCCCTTTAAACCAGGATCATGGAGACTCAGAGAACAGGGTAGAAATAAGGAACGCTGGTGCTAACACAGAATAAAGTTCTCCACTACACCGGGCAGGGACGAGATGGATCACCTGGATGCAGAAAATGCTGCAGACAGGCCAGATGTGCCCAAGCCCATCTGGGGAAGACCCACATCCACATGGTTGGCACTGCAATCCGCTCCTCATCTGGAAGGCCTGCCATTCTGTACGTGTTCAGAGGCCTCCCAGTGCTGCCAGGGCCAGAGACTGCAGCCATTGGGGTGAGGGGAGTGGGTTGTTTTATTTTTAGCAACAAGAAGACATTCTCCTCCCTCCTCTGATCTCAGCCCCTCTACCCACTTCCCAGCTCATCCCAGCAGGTGCCTGGGAGCCCCTTCAGGGACAGAGCCGGGAGGTACTGTCTCTACTTTTCCACACCCACAACAACCTTTCCCAAGGCTGGGAACTGGACCAGATCCCAAGTGGGCTCTGGGCCTCACTGAACCTCAAGTTTTGCCAGAAGTGGGGAGACTAAACTGCCTGTTCCAGGTTTTAGCCAAGTTTCTTTGTTTTGTTCTACAAGATGTTCACCAGGTAACCGTTTGGGGGTTTTTGCTTTTGAGAAATAAACAGCCCACGGCATCCTGACAGTCTCCTCTCCCTCTTGCCCTTTTGCTGAGCCTACCCTCCCTACCTCCCCACCTCACCAGCCCAATTTCCTTCCCCAGCTCCCAAGCTTCTGAGTTAGCAGCCTCCTGTTTATTAAGCTGTAAAGTTAGGACGGTTCTCATTTCTGATCTTTTCTTTGGCTACACCTGACTTCGTCTCTTTTTTTCTTTTTTCCCCCCACCTCCCTAAACTAAATCACTTGCGCGGTTCTTGCCTTTTAACGGAGCGATAACGTGAGGACATCTGAAATTCCGACTTTATTTTCCTCCAGCACACCTGGCCCCTGCCCTCCAACGGGAACTCCCGACTGCTTGCTTATTTTAGCTCTCAATTGGTATTAAAAGCAGACTGTAGTTGGGACCATCTGATCTGTAAACGATGCAAGCCCTAGACAGCTTTTCCCAGTCCGGGGTAGGGACGGGCGGCCGCGAGCTGGGGCAGAGGACCTGCGGGAGCCCGCGCAGCGCCTCCGCTCTGCCAGGCCCCTCCGCATCGGGCACCCAGGCTGGAGCCCTGCAGTTTGTCGTCTGGAGCCCGGAACCCGAGGTGAAAGGCCTCCGCTGAGCTCCCAGACTCCTCAGCCGAGCATATGCTGCACTCCTCACATTCATTTTTAATTCATGACATCAGTTTAGGGATCACTAGAGCCTCTAAACAGCCTCTCTCAAAACCAAAACAACCACCATAACACAAGCGAGGACAGGAGACGGCCGCGGAGTCCAGAACATCAGAACATCGGCTCCTCTGTCCCCGGGGAATAAACATTTGGAAAATCACTTTCCAATGGGGACCTGCTGTCCCTCACAGCAGCTACCTTCCCCCCAACTTTGTCCTAGAGCCGACAGTGGACTCCAGGGTATTTTGCTATAAAGACATAGCTGGTTTCAAAGTGGCTTCGATTAGGACTTTATAAAGTTACATTAAAATGATCAAATGCATACTTGGAGATTAAAGGCTCTCCCAAATACATTCACACACACACACATCTAGAATTGTATACAACATACATTGTATAATAATATATGATAAAACATTGTTAGATAAGTAATATAACAACATTATATCGGAACTGGATGTTAAATATTAATTTATGATATGAAACCACATAATACATATTTATATGTTAAACAGCATATAATACAAACGGAACATCTATGTTATAGATGGTACATAGGAGACATCGTGTCCTCTGAAATAGCCCAGGTACCGATCTGCTCCTTGTCGCCGAGCACCAGCTCAGTACAAGGCGCTGGAGGGGAAGGAGGGAAGCACATCAGCGTCTCCTCATAGTGATGCAGCCACCCCAGCCCTCACCCTATCCCAGTTCCCCACGCGCCCACGTGCCTTTGGGGTGGATGAAAAGATCTCAAACGACCAGCTCCTCATTGGGGTAAAGGAGTGAAGAGATTATCTCTGATAGAGGTCAAACTCCAATTGGGAGGAGGGCACCAATTCTGTAAATGACACCCGAGGGCACACTCACCAGGTTCACTGCAAGCCCTGAGCGTTTTGCGTTTGGTGCCCCGAGTGTAAGCCTAAGTATTCTGTCTCCGACACGTAAAACAACTTAAAGTGCCATTTTCCAACGGAGGCATTTAGAGGCAATTTGAAAATTGAAACGAATCTTTATATGCAAGACTGGAACGTTCCAGAGGCCCTTTAAAGCTGCGGTTAGAAAGGCAGTTAGGGAACTCAATGATGGGCTGGAAGGAGACGATTGAACGCACAGCCAAATGCACAGTTAGAAATTTGATATTAAACACGCTCTCTCAAGTAATGCAGTTTAATGATAATTGCTGCGTGTTTACTCTTCACTGGTTGGGGAAATAGAAGAAACATTTTGACAGAAAAGTTACCCTAAAGAGTTACACCATTTACAAGGGGAAAATATCTCAGTGGCCGCTGCTGGCTTACTAGCAACCCAAAACAGTGTGTGGGGGGAATTAGTTTTTCTCCAGAGCTACCGAGAAGGGGAACCTCAACATCAAGTGTCTGGCAGATGGGAGTGTGTGTTAAGCGAGGGCTGTTTTCGTTGGGAACGCACAGCACAGCTCCCTTCCTCAGAGCCACCTCCAGACCCCTCGGCCCTCCCACGACCCCCAGTTCCCGGGTCCGAGGTTCTGGGCGCCAGCGGCGGCCACCGCGCCGCGCGAGCAGCTTTTATTCGCACTCTCTTTAACTCGCCCTTTCTGGTTCTCTTCCCTTCGAGCGCCCTGCAGCGGAGTGTTAGACAAGCCCTGTTGTCTGTGGGCTCTCACCTCAGAGTCAATATTATCTCAGATGGGCACAATAGACTGGAATGAAAAGCTAATATTGAATCAATGCTGTCCCTGTCCGCGCCGCTGCGATGCCACCCTTTGTTGCGCACGCCGCCCCCGGCAAGCTGCTGGCGGCCGGGGCTAAGCGGAGGGCGGCCGCGGTCGGGCCTCTCCGGGTCCACGCCAGGGGTGGGAGGACACTTCGGGCCCAGCGTAGAGGAGGCCTCCGAGGCCCAAGCGGGCTTCGGCTGCTGCGAGTCCCCAGAGGCTCCCTCGGGCCTCACTCGCGGTGTCTCCTCCAGACGCCAGGGGCAGGCCACGAAGCCGAGGGCTCCGCGTGGCCGTGGGAGAAGCGGGGTGCACGGAGCCTTCCCGCGCCCAGACGCCGAGGGGATGCAAACAGGGGAGCCGGGCCTGGTATGGCCAACCTCCAGGATCGAGGGGCCCCAGAATGTGCGTGTGGCCGGGGGCGGGGGCAGCTGCGGGGGCCAGAACTAGAGTATTCCTTCGCTCTCCCCTGGGGGCCGGGCCCCCACGAGTTGCAGCAGAGCCCGTCTGTAATTAGGGCCTCCTGGTCCGGCAAAGCTGCGGCTGCTCCCAGAGAGAGTTGGGGTCTTCTCAGGGCCCGCGATGGGGGAGTGGTCGTGGTCAGACCCCCGTGAGCCCCTTCGGAAGGTCCCAGTCCCTGTCCATTCTTCTGTCCCGCAGCTCTCTCCGCGCAGGCGGGGCAGAGCCGGGGAAGAAGACGCTGGACGAGGGGTCTTGGGGCCGCCTCGCTGGCTGCGGTTGGAAGCACCCGTTTTCCCGCCCGCCCGCGCAGGCGCTGCTCTGTGGCCACCAGCAGAGGTTTCCCGGCCGCTGTGAGTCGCCCACGCGAGCGACGTGGGGATACGGGGCGCACGGAGTCTCAGCTGCCGCCACGCAGCGCTTGCCCTGCCCGAGCTTCGGCTCACTGGCAGCGGCGAGGCCACCGACCACCCTCCGCCTTCCAGTCCTAAACTCGGGGCTGGAGACCGCAGGAGCTAAACCAGGAAGAAGAAAGAGGGCAGGGCCTGAGGCCGGGAAGAGCGGCCCGGGGGTCAACGGTGAGCGGGTGCATACGAGGCAAGAGCCAGAGTGACATTAAGTGGGGCCGCCCGGGCAAACCTTGCGCGTGCACCCCGGCCCACCTGCAGGGCATTCTCCCCTGCCTTTTCTCCTTGGCTTGAGTGCGGGCGGCTGACTCCTGTGGGCGGGGAGGAGAGGGTGGTCTTCCCAGGGCTCCAAGTGGAGTGATCACTGCACCCATGGCCAGGAGGTGGGGGTGCGCGGAGTGATTTTTGTAACTTCCCTGAGCCTCAGTTTTCTCATCTGAAAAGTGGGTATCACGACTGTTTCCCTGACCACACCAGGTTGTGATGTTCACTGAAATCATGGGCTTGAGCACACATACTTTTAAAAAATTGCTAAAACTCGATACAGGTGAGAGGAATTGTTAGTTTTCTTGTAAGTCTTGCCCCAATCCTCCCCATATTTCAAGGAGGGCCGCAGAGTCCAAAATAAAAAACCTCCAGTTTCCTTTTTTTCCTCAGTTGGCTGGATTTCCCCTCCAAGCCCCAGCCCAGCCCCCACGTCCAGAAAATGGGGAAGTATTAAAGGAAGAGACGATTAAGCCCCTGAGAGTGTGGCTCCTGGGACGCCAGCGTTTCAGAAGTAGCATAGGCTCCTAGATGGACGCTGACAAACCCAAGTAGCGCCTTACATTGTCGGGCGAGGACCAGACTCCAAGTTAAAAGGCCGGCCGGGCTATCAGTGGCAGAGAGCAGAGCCTCAAACACGAAAAGCCAGAAAGCGCTGCAGAGGCGTGGAAGGTGCGCCCCGCTTCGCTCCCCATGCTGGTCCTCTGGGAACTCAGGAGCCGGTGCACGCTCTGGTGGGCTCATAGAGATGTAGCTTTGGGGGCGATGGGAAGGACTTGCCACGCTCCCACCCACCCTCCATCCCGAGAGAGTGCAAGGGAGACGCAACTGTCTTCATCCCTATCCCGGGCTGGCGCCCGAACTAGAGAGTGTACTTCTTCCCTAGCTCCTGCACCACCGTCTGTGTGTACGTCTGTCTGTCCCTCCCAGTCCTTGCTCGGTCCTAGGCTTTCATTTGAAGGCAGCTGAGGGAGAAAGAAACTGCAAACCCCTTTGGTTCTGTTTCCTTGCTTTCAATAATGAATCGAGACAGCGTGTGTGTGGTGAGGGAGTGACGAGTTTCAACGTGATGAAGGAGATAAAACCCGACGGTGGGGTCCTGCCAGTGGCTCCATGCGTCACTGAAACATTGGGTCTCAAAACGGATAGATCTCCGGAGACGCAGAGGTTCGCGCGGATGTCCAGAGGAGGACAGCGCCCCTGCAGCCACCCGCGGAGCCCAGGGCCAGGGTCAAAACCCTGCCGCAAGGGCTCGGAGCTCCAAGCAGTTATGCTGAGGGCGCCGGTCCCAGGCCGCCTTGCTATGACACGGGTTTCCAGTGAAGCCCAAGCGGATTCCACGGCCCCACATCACCGGAGGAGCCAGGCTGCCCCGGGATGGATGGGGTCCGCGCGCTCCGAGAGGAATGGGCTAGTCAATGTGCGCTGCTAGGAGTGTGTGGTAATCAATCGCCACCCCTGCCAAAACCAAGGACCCCCTGTGTCGGGCGTCTTCAGCCAGCCGCGAGGGGGCGCGGATCTGAGAGAGTCGCACCCCGGGACCCCAGCTCTTCCTACTCCACCCCAGGCAGGGCCCGCGCAGGCCGTCCAAGGCCTGTTCTCTGAACCACCTGGGTTGGGCCGCGAAATATGGGACCTCAGGCATGGAATTGTGGCTGCACAGGTGATCACGGCTTCCTAGTCCTTCTTAGAGCAGAACCTGTCCCACTCCAGCCCACCTCTGCGCCCCCTTCGGAAGGAAGCCTACTGGAGCTGGAATTCCAGCGTGGGTGGCGAACTCTCAAGCCAAGAGCTGGAGCTGATGGAGGCAGGAGGGACGCACTTCCAAGCCATCCGGGCTCCTCCGTAGCCAGTGAGCCTCCTTTAACCCCTCCACTGGCCTGGATGACGGCCTAGGCGAGACTTTGGCAGTGTGGCGCGACCCCAGCGCTCCCCCGCCCTCGGGCTCGGGGGCGCGGTGGGTACCGCGCCCGCGCCCGGCCCTCGCCACTAGGCGCCGCTGCGCTCACGCCGATCGGGGCCCCGGGTCGCCGCGCCCGCCTGGCGAGAGGCCTCTGGGGAAGACGCCAGAAAGGGATTTGTCGTAATAATTTTTAAAAAATGTTTTTAGGGCATTAATTATACTTTTCGTTTTCTCACCGCCACCCTGCGCGTTCGGAGAGGCCGGCGTGACTGGGGATCTCAGTGGGTTGGAGGAATTCTTAACGCCCCCGAGGCCTTTCCAACTCGGGACACCATTCTCGCGCCTCGGGCCGGGAAAGGGCTCGCCCTTCACGGGCGTCGGTGCGGTCCGCGGCGAGCCGCGGGAGCACAGGGCGGGCTCAGCATTCTGGTTCAACGTGAGGACCAGAACCTCGGCGATCAGGGACCAGGACGTGGCAGAGTGCAGCGGGTAGCTTCGACGGCACAAGGCCATGGCCTAGCAATAACTAAAATGTGATGAACGCTAACAGTGTGCTAAATATGAGCTCACTCACTCTCTCAACAACCGTTAACACATCGCTATTTCCTTTTCACAGATGAGTCAACCGTGGCTTAAGAAGGTGAAAGTCACACAGGTGGTGACCCCAGACAGCTCCCACACACCTATTCTCAGTTGCAGGAGGCCATGCACCCACCCCAGGTACCTCACAGGCCTAGCACGGAGCGCAGCTATAGTGAAGCACTGCCCTTTGCTCCTTTGAAGCCCGGGGGCACCTTGCAGGAAACTCCTAGCAGATGCTTATCAGAGATCCCCAGGAGTCTCCGCCCTTTGACACCAACCAAGGAGCCAGGACTCCAGGCCTTGCTCACCCCAAAATCTCCCTAGAAAAGCTCTCAGCTTTTGGGGGAGCACGGAGGAGTGTGGCAGGAGTGTCAGCATTAGCTGATGTTTGTACAGCTATATTGTTCACAGACTCTGAAACCCAGTAACAAGCCTTGGAGGTGGGTATGTAATAGCAGCATCAAGGACAGGAGCAAACTTTTATTGTAGTTCATTATGTGCCAGACACTGTCTAAGCACTTTACTTTGTTTATCTCATTGAACAAACCCAGAGCAAAGGTACTATATTATTTATTCCCATTTCAGAGAAGAGAAAACCGAGGCACAGAGAAGTTAGGTAACTTGCCCAAGGTCACACAGTTAAGCTGTAAATGCAAGTCTCTCATCTTGGGGGATGGGGGCAGGTGTATTAAAGTATAATTACATATAGTAAAACTCACCCTTTGTAGTATATGGTTCTGTGAGTTTTGAAAAACACATAGAGTCATGTAAATACCACCACAATCAGGAAGTAGGATAGTTCTATCTTTCTCCAAAACAAGCCCACTGCTACTCCCCACTGCCTCCCAGACAGCATTGGCTGTATTTTTACATATGACAAAATGAGGTGGGGAGGTTTCTGTGTTGCCCAAGGTCATTCAGTGACAGATTCGGAATTAGAACGTTTGAATGTGTCTGCTAGTCCAGCTACCTGGAAAGGTAGATTCCTCAGTCTACAGAGCCCAAGAGGCAGCAGTGGCTTGGGGCACACATGGGGCAGAGGGAGGAAGCCCCTTGCTCTAAGCTGGAGCCTCAGAAATCCCCACATCTCCCACTCCACGCAGGGCTACTTAACCAAACACCCACTCCTTGGGCAGCTAAGGAACAAAGGTGGCTGTATTCTGCAAGGCCTAAATCCACAAGTAAAGTTGAGTGGCAGGGCAGCTGCGCCATCTAGGAGCTTAGGGTCCAGTCCAGACCACAGTGCCCAGTGCCCTGGCACGACTCCACTGGCCAGTCTGGTTAATGAGTTACTATCCTAGTTAATTTCCCTGCACATCGGGGCCAGACCCCGCGAACCTTCCCGGGCCCTTCTGGCCCCGGGAATTAGCATAGATTACCCATGCATGAATTAGCATAGATTACCCAGCTTCTGGGGTTCTGAACTGCCCGACTCACTGGAAACCTGCTTCTCCTTCAAGGGGCTGGAGTGCAGCTCGGGTCTAGCAGCACTTGGAGCAGAGGAACTAGCATATCCTGGTTCCTTCAGGAAGGGGGACACCAGATCTCAGATCCTGCTGCCCCTTTACCCCTGCCTACGTGTTGGCTAGCTAGAGCCCCTGGGGCAAACCTGGCCACAGAAGGGCAGTTTATAAAAGGCAGGTAGCCTGCAGAGGATGCCGACTGACTGAAGTGGGACTGTGGAGCACTCTACCCCTCTACTGCAGCCAGATGTCCCTGCCTGGGGCAGAAGGCTGAGGGGTCCCATCTCCAGCCCAACACTGTCCTGGTTAAGGGAATAATGATTGCACCTTAGCGCCCAGGGCTGCAAGTTTTAAAAGAGGGAAGGCACCCATCACCCTTATACATCACAAACCATCTGGGTCTCACCCAATCTCCCAGACAGACTGGATACCTGTTGCCCTAAAGGTCAATGACTTTTATGCCCCCATCCAAGATCACTAAGGGTGGAGTTTCAGTGGCTCCAGTTTGCAACCTCTGAGTCTCAGGCTGAGTTTGGAGGGTCTGGCCTGAGGGCACTGCCAGAATCTGGCCCTCCAGTCCTCCTTCTGAAGTTTGCATGAAAGGTGCACTCTCCTGCTTGCCAGGATTCAGGATGCACAGTCTGCCTAAGCTGAGTGTTTGTTTCCAGCCTCAAAAACCTGAGGGCGGACCTCTAGCTCCACCCTAAGCTTACTGGCTGGGCACAGCCAAAAGACCTCCCCCCTCTGCCATGTCTTCAGGCTCCCTGCTGGCCTAGCTGGGGTTAGAGGAGAGGCCTGTAACCTCACAGCCTAATTGAGAGAGGGATTTCCAAACTGTAGACAATATTTTGGGGGACAGTGGTCCAGGCCCAAGGGAGGTGCATCTTTAAGTGCACCCCTACCCCAAGGGCTGGATCCAAAGCCCAGAATCTTTGGGCCTGGAAAAAGGGGAGGAGGAGAAAGCAAAGCCACCTGGAACTGACAGAGGGACAATACTGGGCTAGGACCCCAGCCCAGAACTTCGAAGCCTAAGGGAAAGGCAGGTGTCTCCCACTGTGAGGGCAAAGCTGAGGCGCACACCTGTCTCATCTGTGAAGATGTGTATGTGTGTTCCCTGGGAAGGTGTGGGGTGGGGGCAACAAAGATGATCTCTGCCAGTTCCTCACGAATCTGTCTGGTGCCCTGACAACCCCGGAAAACACTGCTCCCAACTCCTCTCTTGCCTGGTTTCCCAAAAGAGGTTTTTGGACACTTGCCCCAACACAACATTATATCTGGAATAAAGGAGTAATTGACACAAACATAAATATACACCAGATGAAACCAAGGGAGGAAGCAGGTAGCTCGTCCTGAGACCTGTCCCCTCAACTATGCATCTGGTGGCAGTGCAGCCTGGCTCACGGTGGACTTCACTCTTCTCCTCCCATTGCCATCGGCTTCCCAGGTTTCACGGCAACCTAGTCACCAAACACAGGCAATTCTGCGTTCTTAGGAGAAATGACAGGGGCCTGGGAGTAATAGTTTTAAACGACGCTAGAATTTTTTTTTATCATTAATTGTAAACGTGCAAAATACCTGCTGGTACTTCACTTTAGAAGAATGTAATTGGCAAAAGGAAAAAAAGGAAAAAAGAGGCGGCTGATGAATAGATAATAGATCTTTAACCACCAATAAACAGAGAGCAGCGCCAGCAGCCTGGGGATGTGATCATAATTATGCCGCCGCGCGAGCCAATGGGGACGAGGGAACTCGGTCCTAAAATCATCCCAAAACCGAAGGCGAGCTCGAAAATGCGGACACGGCCCGGGACCGGAGATGCGATCCGTAGTCGTTAGTTGCACTGGGTTTGCACAGCAACCACCACCCCCCCACCAACCCCGGGACAACAGATGGCATAATAATAATAATAGAAATAATAATAATAAAATAATATCATCTATAATAATAATAACATTGACCACACTGACAAAAATAATTACGACGGAACCTTAATAGTACAGTAGCACCATATCGGGCTCTCCCCTGACCTTGGACTGCCGGTCCCAGATATTCCAGAAGGAATTGTTTTGGGGAAGGAGGTGAGCACCCTCCCAGACAGAAAACGCTAGAGACCGTGGGGCGAGAGAGGGAGAGAGTTGGAAGCCCACTGCTCCGGCGGGGTCGGCAGCTCCCGGTCTCAACTCGCAAACGAACGAGCCGGGTCAAGAATCGCGAACGCACCGACCCTGGGACCTCGAGGCTAAGCGTGGTTGATGGGGTGGGAGGACCCCGTACCCCTCACTCCAGGATCCCTCCTGGCCTAGGAAACCGCTGGGAGTTTTGCTAAGTGTGGGGATTGGTATAACCGAACGGCGCCTTTAGCCCGGGAACCAGCCCCTGCCCGCTTACCCTCGCGGTGCTCTTGGGGCGATCCCAGTTCTCCCGACGCGGGGCCGCGTAAGGCAGCAGCGGCGGAGCGCTAGGCTAGAGGAATCTGTCTGTCCTTCTGTCCTACCAGCTTGGGCGAGGCAGGCTCGGGATTCAGGGGGCCGCAGCGGAGGCGGCGCCGGCCAGGGACTCTGCAGGGACCGGGGTGCCCCGGAGGGAGTGGTGCTGGTGGAGGAGGAGGCGGTGGCTGAGGGGGAGTAGGTGGGGAAAGAGGAGGAGGAAGAAGAGGAGGAGGAGGAAGAAGAGGAGGAGGAGGAGAAGAAGAAACTGGAGGAAGAGGAGGAGGCGAAGGAGGAGGAGAAGCCGCAGCGGGCGCCGCAGGAGCGAGTGAGCTGGGAGCGAGGGGCGAAGGCGCGGAGAAGCCCGGCCGCCCGGTGGGCGGCAGAAGGCTCAGCCGAGGCGGCGGCGCCGACTCCGTTCCACTCTCGGCCCGGATCCAGGCCTCCGGGTTCCCAGGCGCTCACCTCCCTCTGACGCACTTTAAAGAGTCTCCCCCCTTCCACCTCAGGGCGAGTAATAGCGACCAATCATCAAGCCATTTACCAGGCTTCGGAGGAAGCTGTTTATGTGATCCCCGCACTAATTAGGCTCATGAACTAACAAATCGTTTGC
This sequence comes from Homo sapiens, assembly GCF_000001405.40. Classification (NCBI taxonomy): domain Eukaryota; kingdom Metazoa; phylum Chordata; class Mammalia; order Primates; family Hominidae; genus Homo; species Homo sapiens. The sequence goes on from NC_000010.11 coordinate 117,542,748, forward strand.
ACAACTTGTGAAGAAGCGAACACTTCCATGGATTGTCCTTGGACTTAGGGCGCCCTGCCCGCCTTTTGCAGAGGAGAAAAAACTTTTTTTTTTTTTTGCCTCCCCCGAGAACTTTCCCCCCTTCTCCTCCCTGCCTCTAACTCCGATCCCCCCACGCCATCTCGCCAAAAAAAAAAAAAAAAAAAAAAAAGAAAAAAAAAGAAAAAAAAAGAAAAAAAATTACCCCAATCCACGCCTGCAAATTCTTCTGGAAGGATTTTCCCCCCTCTCTTCAGGTTGGGCGCGTTTGGTGCAAGATTCTCGGGATCCTCGGCTTTGCCTCTCCCTCTCCCTCCCCCCTCCTTTCCTTTTTCCTTTCCTTTCCTTTCTTTCTTCCTTTCCTTCCCCCCACCCCCACCCCCACCCCAAACAAACGAGTCCCCAATTCTCGTCCGTCCTCGCCGCGGGCAGCGGGCGGCGGAGGCAGCGTGCGGCGGTCGCCAGGAGCTGGGAGCCCAGGGCGCCCGCTCCTCGGCGCAGCATGTTCCAGCCGGCGCCCAAGCGCTGCTTCACCATCGAGTCGCTGGTGGCCAAGGACAGTCCCCTGCCCGCCTCGCGCTCCGAGGACCCCATCCGTCCCGCGGCACTCAGCTACGCTAACTCCAGCCCCATAAATCCGTTCCTCAACGGCTTCCACTCGGCCGCCGCCGCCGCCGCCGGTAGGGGCGTCTACTCCAACCCGGACTTGGTGTTCGCCGAGGCGGTCTCGCACCCGCCCAACCCCGCCGTGCCAGTGCACCCGGTGCCGCCGCCGCACGCCCTGGCCGCCCACCCCCTACCCTCCTCGCACTCGCCACACCCCCTATTCGCCTCGCAGCAGCGGGATCCGTCCACCTTCTACCCCTGGCTCATCCACCGCTACCGATATCTGGGTCATCGCTTCCAAGGTACGTGCCACGTCGCGGAACTGCAGCGCGCCGCTCCCGCCGCATCCTTCACTGCCCCCGGCCTGCTCCGGGTGGGCGCTTGGCAAGGCCTGGGCGGAGGTTCCTCCGGCTCGCGGGCCAGCGCGCCCTGTTGGGAAACTAGGCGGCGCGGGGCCGGGCGTGGTGTCGATCCCCAGTCTCCGAAGCTACGACTGGTTTGGAGTGATGGCCTGCGGGCCGCTTGACCCTTTGGGAAGGGGTGCGAACGGAGAAGTTGTCCCCCAGTGCGCTCGAATCAGAGCAGGCTGGGCTGTGCGTGCCCGGCGCCGCGGAGCCCAGAGCCCGCGGGATCCCCAGGCTCCTGGTACCCTCGGCAATGCCCCCAACCGTCCTGGCTCCGAGGGGCGCGGACAGGACTCGGCCGCCAGGCTTGCTTTCGACTGCGTTCGACCCTGTTCACCACCCACTTTGCGCCCCTTCAGTCCAGACCCGCGGCTTCTTAGTCTTCCACCCTCTTCTGGAGGCGAGAGGATCCTCGCGCCCCGGGAGAAAAGTATGGGATTTGTTTTTTCTTTCCTGCTTTTCGGAGGCCTGGGGAGGGGCGGGAACCCGTGCGGGAGGAAAGCTCCAGGGCTTGGCGCTCTCGCCGCGACCTGCTTAATTGGGGCGCCGAGCAGCCACAGCGGGAAGGCAGGTTCGGTCTGGTTTTTGTTTTTCTTTCTTTCTTTAAAAAAAAAAAAAAAGAACCTGGTCAGGAAACTGTCTTAGAGGGAAATATCTGTTCGTGTGTTTTCATTTCTTGCGATATTTTTTATTTGTTTGTTTTTCTCTGGGTACGGGGTGGGAGGAGGAGAGTTAAAACTTCAGAAAAAGGAGTAATTAGTTTACGGATTGGAGTCAGTAAAAGACCTACCTCCGGCGGCAGCCGATCAATACTCCGCGGCTTGTCCATTCATTAACCCATTGCGTTCCTGCCGGAGCCTAGAATCGGGTAGATGTCACCCCCCTCCCCATATTTTAAAAAATCAAACCAAAGGAAAAAAAACCCAAAAAGCCTTTTACCCTTAATCCCGAACTGGATTTGCCTGCATCCTGCCTGGACTGTCGGCTTGTTTTTCTTTGTTTGGGTTTTCGGTGAATCGATTTCCTATGCTAATGAGTGAACCCAAAACTCTGAGGCTTTGCTTGAAAAGTTTAGGGCTGCCCTTCCTCATTCGCTATCAGTCATGCTTATGGTCCCCTCACCAGACCCGGAGCCGCTGGGATCTTCCTGCGTTACAGACTGTCCTGGCGGTGTCTGCAAGTCGGTAACCCCCCGGGTTTCGATCCCTTCGCTCGCGTTTCTCTTCTAGTTCTCGGGAGCCGGGAGCCCCGGAGCCCAGTTCGCGAGAGGCAGCAGCGGCTGTAGCCAAGCACACCCGCCGGCCAGATTTCTGTCCCGATCGGGCTTCAACGACTCGCCCCGCCTCTATACTTTTCCGGAGGGGCAATAAAACAAATAATTTAAAAATAAATCTCCATGAAAACTCTGGAGAGCAGCCCGCCGCCTTTCCACCGTGGGTCAAAGTTCCCCGAGAGGTTAGAAAGAAGAGAAAGTAGTTTCTTCGGGTTGTGGGCGCCAATCCCCTGGCCAGGCTCTGCGGCTCCCTCCCCTGCCTCCAGCGCCCGGCGAGGAGGTGGCGAGGCCCGCGGCGCCAGGGCGGCTGCGGAGCCGGCCGAGGTCAGGAGCCTGGGGACTGGCTCCTCTGCGACAGCGGCTGGTTGGGTGCCGCACCGGTGGAGACCCGGCGTTCCGGGCCGGGCAGCTGAGCAGGCGTTCCCTTCGTGAGCCCTTGGGAGGACCACCGGCCCCCGCAGGTCGAGCGGCGCGGCTATGCGAAGGCCCTGAGCACGGTGCCGGGCCAGCCCGGCTCGGGAGAAGTGCGCGGCTCCGGTCAGAGCAGCCCCCCCTAATGGGATTTCTGCTGTGCTCCCCGCAGGGAACGACACTAGCCCCGAGAGTTTCCTTTTGCACAACGCGCTGGCCCGAAAGCCCAAGCGGATCCGAACCGCCTTCTCCCCGTCCCAGCTTCTAAGGCTGGAACACGCCTTTGAGAAGAATCACTACGTGGTGGGCGCCGAAAGGAAGCAGCTGGCACACAGCCTCAGCCTCACGGAAACTCAGGTGACTGCGGCCCGGGCGCGAGGAACCCATCTAGGCGTGCGCCCCCTCCCCAAAGCTGGCTCCCAAGCACACCCATGAGCACGGAGCTCTGTGAGGGCCTTCCGCACAGGTCCTGGTAGCTGGTTCCACGCCTGGGCTCGGGATGTATGTCTCAAGGTGCTGGCTTTGTTGGGCTCCAGAAAGGGGCTGTAAGTGCCAATCTGCCCCAGGTTCTGGGGAAACGCGCCGAGTTGTTTCTCTGTCCAGTTGGGCATGTCCTGGCTAAGACATCCCTGCATTTCTGGTGAGACTTTTGATGAGAGTGTGAAGACCCCTGCTGGGGTCCAGGAAGAGGGAGAGCACAGTGGGGTTTCTGGGTGTTTGGAGCTGGAGGCTGGTAAGGACAGGATGTGGGTTAAAGATGAGTTCTGAGCGACTGTGAGCCCACGGCTCACACCGTCGGCTCCAGTGACTTCCCTGAAGGAGATGGGCGATGGGAAGGTAGAGGGCAAGCGTCCTGTGTGTACCCTATATCAGAGAAGTAAAGTTGGGAGGCTGCAGAGAGGGTCTGCCTCAGGGCACAGGCCTTCTGCACAGCAGGGTCCCTGGGCGGGCCTGGCTTGGGTTTATCCCAGGGTGGGGAGGGGGTTTAGGACTACACTAGGCGCTACTGTACACGGAGCCGCAGGGCGGGGTCAAAGTTCCCAGCAAACAGTAACGTTTTTTTGGGCAGACTAAGTTGTAACACTTTTCCTGGGCAGCTCAGAAAGGTCGAGGCTTTTGTTTTAAAACATGTTCCCCACCCCAAAACCGAGGAGGGCCTGGCGGGTTTGTGCGGAGCCCGGCACAAGGCGCGGCCCGGCTGATTTCTCCTGGACAGCCGAGGCGGCGGTGGTCTTTGTCCGCCTCGCTGCCCACGCTGCCTGGAGTCTTTGTGTGCGTGTCAAGCCCCGAGCGCACCGACGCGCGCCTTGGGCCAGCGCCGGGGAGAAATGAACCGTCCTCCCCCTCAATTAGCAAACTCAAAGCAAATTAAATTCAGCCTTGTTCCCGCTCAGCTTTTTTCATGGAGCACTTTGGGCGACTGTGGCTTTCCGGGAGAGCAAGACGGACCGGCCTGCGGCCTCAAAGGAGGGAATGGAATGGATCCCAGGGGTCCAGGGACTGGCACTGGGCTGTGGGGTACTCTTATCCAGATAGAATAGGAGTTGTGGGGGGAGGGTATCAGAGGTGCAGTCACTGCCATCTCCCTTACCTGTACACCACTGCTGTGAAGATTGGACTGTGTTACTGTCTGGTGGCTAAATGAGGACCCACGACTCAGCTTTCCTAGGGGGCCGTGGGATGGCAGCCGACTCCCACCTCATTGCTCCTGAGACCTCTCACAGCCGCTCTGGTGAGGCCGGGCCTCCAGCCCCACCCTGGTGGGAAGTGATGGGACTGGGGTCCGAGGTTGTGTGACCAGCAGCCTGTTCCGGGGCTGTTTAGAAGGAGGGAAGAGGGGGCTTGCTGTCACCTCCCCTTCTCTTAGTTTCTCTTACTTTCCGTGTAACCCACGGTCTTTCAGAAGCTTTCAGTTTTGAACTCATTTTCCTAGCTATAAAGGTACAGCTGGGTTGGTCTGGAGGCCTACACACTCCATGTCCCTCCTGGCCTCCTCCAGCCCCATCCCCTTCCTGCTCACCTGTGAGAGTCCCCCGCACGGAGGATGCAGCTCAGGCAAACCCTGATCGCCTACCCAGGGCCCCCGCCACGAAGAGGAGACGCTATATTTAGGAAACGCCGCCCAGACCAGCAGAAAATAGAAAGCACATTGGGCCCTGAGGGGAGCTGCAGCAGCGGCGGACTGAGGTCTCTCTTGCACTCGCTTGCTGGAGGGAGTTAGGGACATGTCTCTTTTTCTTTTAATCACTTATTATTTTTGTAGGGGCTTCCCATGCTTTGCAAGGCTTTGCTCTCAGCGGGATATAGATGCCCTCTGCAGGGCCAGGAGAGATGGGGCTCAGTGCACTCCGGGCCACAGGGCCCTGGGGAAAGGCTCTTCAGGAAGCCTCAGAAGGGCAGGGAGCTGGGCTTCTGTTCCACCACGCACTAGCGGCCCTGCTCCCTGAGGGCAGGCCTTGGGGAGGCTGGACCTTAGGACTTGCATCTCGGGGGCTGGGTCTTTGCTGAGTCTGGAACTGGAGTCTGGGCTGGGTGAAAGGATCAGGCACTTGATAGAAGGGTGCTCTGAAAGAACTAACGCACCCCATCTGCCTCTCACCCGCAGGTAAAAGTATGGTTTCAGAACCGAAGAACAAAGTTCAAAAGGCAGAAGCTGGAGGAAGAAGGCTCAGATTCGCAACAAAAGAAAAAAGGGACGCACCATATTAACCGGTGGAGAATCGCCACCAAGCAGGCGAGTCCGGAGGAAATAGACGTGACCTCAGATGATTAAAAACATAAACCTAACCCCACAGAAACGGACAACATGGAGCAAAAGAGACAGGGAGAGGTGGAGAAGGAAAAAACCCTACAAAACAAAAACAAACCGCATACACGTTCACCGAGAAAGGGAGAGGGAATCGGAGGGAGCAGCGGAATGCGGCGAAGACTCTGGACAGCGAGGGCACAGGGTCCCAAACCGAGGCCGCGCCAAGATGGCAGAGGATGGAGGCTCCTTCATCAACAAGCGACCCTCGTCTAAAGAGGCAGCTGAGTGAGAGACACAGAGAGAAGGAGAAAGAGGGAGGGAGAGAGAGAAAGAGAGAGAAAGAGAGAGAGAGAGAGAGAGAGAGAAAGCTGAACGTGCACTCTGACAAGGGGAGCTGTCAATCAAACACCAAACCGGGGAGACAAGATGATTGGCAGGTATTCCGTTTATCACAGTCCACTTAAAAAATGATGATGATGATAAAAACCACGACCCAACCAGGCACAGGACTTTTTTGTTTTTTGCACTTCGCTGTGTTTCCCCCCCATCTTTAAAAATAATTAGTAATAAAAAACAAAAATTCCATATCTAGCCCCATCCCACACCTGTTTCAAATCCTTGAAATGCATGTAGCAGTTGTTGGGCGAATGGTGTTTAAAGACCGAAAATGAATTGTAATTTTCTTTTCCTTTTAAAGACAGGTTCTGTGTGCTTTTTATTTTGATTTTTTTTCCCAAGAAATGTGCAGTCTGTAAACACTTTTTGATACCTTCTGATGTCAAAGTGATTGTGCAAGCTAAATGAAGTAGGCTCAGCGATAGTGGTCCTCTTACAGAGAAACGGGGAGCAGGACGACGGGGGGGCTGGGGGTGGCGGGGGAGGGTGCCCACAAAAAGAATCAGGACTTGTACTGGGAAAAAAACCCCTAAATTAATTATATTTCTTGGACATTCCCTTTCCTAACATCCTGAGGCTTAAAACCCTGATGCAAACTTCTCCTTTCAGTGGTTGGAGAAATTGGCCGAGTTCAACCATTCACTGCAATGCCTATTCCAAACTTTAAATCTATCTATTGCAAAACCTGAAGGACTGTAGTTAGCGGGGATGATGTTAAGTGTGGCCAAGCGCACGGCGGCAAGTTTTCAAGCACTGAGTTTCTATTCCAAGATCATAGACTTACTAAAGAGAGTGACAAATGCTTCCTTAATGTCTTCTATACCAGAATGTAAATATTTTTGTGTTTTGTGTTAATTTGTTAGAATTCTAACACACTATATACTTCCAAGAAGTATGTCAATGTCAATATTTTGTCAATAAAGATTTATCAATATGCCCTCAGAGTAGTCGTCTTGGGAAATTGAAGTGGATCTTTAAAAATGTATCTCAGTAATTTGAGTGTGGTCCTTCCCCAACTAGGCTCAAGAAACCCAGGCTCCTCACCCACAAAAGGGCCAGATTGATGGATTCTCAGGCATTTTAAAGAAAGATGAGGGTGGAGAAGGGAGAAGATTAGGAAAACTTAAGTCCTTCAGAAAAGAGATGGGAGAAAAGTTTTTCAACCAGACTTTGCCCATTGTATGCCCTCCTGAGGGAGTTTAGTTTGAACTTCAGGTTAAAATGCTTACTTCTCTTAACCTCTGGTTATTAAAAAAAAACTGGACATATAGTTACACATTGAGGACTACTCTCCCAAAATATTGGGGAAAACATGTAGCAGAATCTTGCAACTTCTAAACTTTCTGACTTCAAACCCCAAAGTACAAGTCTTACTTTTCCTTCCTTTCTTTCCTCCTCTCCCTGGCCCCAATCTGCTGAAGGTGATGGGCCAAGCCCAAGGGCCTCAGCAGCCTTATAAGGCAAGTGTTCTGAAAAACCTTCAACTCTTAATTTTAACATTAAAGAAAAAGTTGTAATCAGACTTGGAGGAAACTTAGCTTTTTTCCCTCCCTCCTTCCCCCTTCTGGGGGTACGAGGTTGTTTTTGCATGCTTCATTTGCTTCTTATCCTGATAGGCTGCATTAATCAGTTTTATTTCCATTGATAGAGAAACCTCGTCTGTTCTGTTCGAGCTACAAAGCGTCCTGCGAGCTTTTGTGAAAGTGCAAATCAGTTTAAGCAATTATCATACCAGGAATATGAAGGGGAAAGAGGAGGCCTTGCCCAGTGGTCTCCTTTAATCTCTTAATCCACGGATCCAGGGGGGCTGCCTGGACATAATTTAGGACAATCTCCCCACCCTTTACACTGTGATAAGGCCAAGTTACAATGCAGGGCAAAAATACAAGCTTTGTTAACATCTTGCCTTGAAAAGTTAAGATTAGACATTCCGTGCACGTGTGGGGACTATAGGGCACTATGGAAATTTTTTCTTTTTTTTCTCCTCTTCTCTAAAGCAGAATTCATTCTCCGTCTCTTTCTCCTTTCCCCCATCTCTGCCTGTCTTCCACCTCCCCTCTTTCCCCCCATTTCTGTCCCTCTGTAGAAACCTGGCTGCTCATAGTGCATTTTCACAGACTCTTCTTGGAAGGTGTGTGTGCCGTGAGGGGATACACCGCCGCCGGGAGTTGCCGGGGGAGGAGGGAGACGGGGTGGCCTCAGGAGACCCGGGCTTGCGTCTCACAGGGACAGGTGCGCCTCGGGGTATCCTGGAAACCCTCGTGGGGCTTCCAGGCGCTTTGACAGCACGACCCTCAGTGACCACCAGCTGTCTCAAGCGCTTTGCAGTCAGTGCTCCCGGAAAGCATCCCTTTCTCTTCAACAAGTACAAATTACCTTTTCCTTCCACTCACCTTCCAAAACCCGGAATACCTCAAACACCGAGCTCATTCTTAAACATTCTTAAAATTCAGATGGTCTGTCCAGAAAAAAAAAAAAATTCCGTCTTAACAGAAGGTTTACTTCTGCCGAAATTATATACTTTATACTTTTTAAGTACAAGAAAACGGGGCTGGTGGTGAAGATTTTTCTTTTTTTGGGTAAATGTCCTATGTAGTGTAACAGCAATAAAATCATCACAGAATACTATTAGCTTTGAAAAAAAAACTAAAAGCTTTATTACAAACCAAGCTTTGAAAATAGGGGGGATTAGGCGGCTGAAAGGGTCCCACAATGGTAAGAAGAAAAGGTTTCATGCTAATGAGGTTAATGCCCTTTGTATCTCAGGCCTCCACATCTTCATTACGCGCTATCTCCGGCTGCACGGAGCGGCTCAGAGAGCCGCAATCCACTCCAACGCCCCCCTTCCCGGCCCAAAGAAGGATTTGATAGCAGCTCTGTTCAAACTAGATAATTATATCTTTTCAAGTCGGAATTAAGATAAAGAAAGTGAAGCAGAGGCGGCTCGCCTTGATCCACTGCAAACAAATTTGGCGCACTTTCGAGTCCTTCCTCCGCCTCAAAAAGGCAGGACAGTCAGCTTATTAGCCGCTCGTTTGCTTTATTAATTCATCTATTTAAAGTGGCAGGATTAGAGTGTCTAATGTGGACGCGGGCTGCCGTGGCGCTGAGGAATATAAATATTTGCGAGATGCCATCCCACGATGACTATCTGGGAGTGGGGCGCGGGGCAGGGTGCGCGTGTGCCCTGCCTCTGCGTTCCCTTCGCAGTGCGCGCGTGCTGAGCTGAGCAGGGGGTTGTAGGAGCCATGAGCCGCAGGTCTATGTGCCCCTTCGTGCTATATGGGTGCCAGCCCTGGATGCTCCCGGGCAGGGCTCAATGGGCATCGTGGGTCAGATTCTGCGCTCCTTCTGGGACACGGAGAACTGTATGCACGTTGCCATTGGGTCCTGCCTGGGACCCCTAATGGGGATGTAGGATACAAGTTTGATCCATGTTCCGTTTCCTTGTTAATTACTTGTGGACCTTCCCTGTGGGACCCCTTGGCCAAGCGCATGTTCGGGAGAGGCACGGGTTCTCCGTTTGCGCTGCCCTGAGAGGGTCAAACGGAATCTACCAAGCGCGTGTGCCGCGGCTACGTTCTCCTGCGAAGTACACATGGGTTCCGTGTGCGTTTCTCGCGGAGGCGCCAGAAAGTCCTAGGGTGAGAGAAGCCTTCGACCTCCGAACTTCCTGGCTCTCGTTCTGGGTGTTCAGTGCTCCAAGCTCCCTCTGGCTCTGCTCCTGGCAGGCAAGCCGAGCAGGAGCTGGCGCATTGGCTGCGGCCCGGAACCTGCCGGGCCACTTTTGTGCGAGGGGCGGATTGTGGCAGCCTGAGAGCCGCGCCAGGCGGGCCAGGCAGAAAGGGGGCTCCGGCCTGCGCTCGGCTTTGGAAACCTCGGCTCCTCCCCGTCCCCGCCTCGAGTCGCAGGAAACAAAGTCTGGGACGCGCAGGCCGGCTGGGGAGGGACTCTGGCTGCTCGGAGGCCTGGCCCGGGGCCCCACTCCGTGGTGGGGGTTTTAGGGCTGGTCCAAGTCGGTGTAAGGCTGGCAGGGTGAGGGTCTGTTCTTGTGTGTTTGTATAGGGTGAGAGCACTAGTTTGTGGTATAATGGCATTTGTGTGGATTGTGGAATAGAATTGTGTGTCTCAGCTAGGACTTTAGTCAATTTGTGTCAGTTCTAATTGTTTGAATAAGTTAAAGGCTGGAGAGGCTGGGGCTACTTATGTAGATTTGGTCAAGATGTCTAGCTGTCCTTGTGCGTCTAGATTGTTTTGAGTTAGGGCCAGCACGTGCAGTTGTGAGGCTGCAGAGTGCCTATGACGGTGTGGAAATGCAGTTTATTGAATGTGTGTGCCGCGGTCTGGTTGCACTGTGTATCTGCGAATTCGTCTGGAGTTGCACATCTCAGAAGATGGGGGTGGCCTCGGTGTGTGTGGCTTGCGGGGACGTTTCTCGGTGTTTGGATGGGGGTCCCTGTGATGGATGTCCATGCCCAGCCCTAGGGCAACATCTGTGTGTCTTGGGATCGAGGCGTGTGTGTCTAGTGAGGAGGCTTGGGCTGGGGTGTCGTTCCAGCAGCGCCCCACTAACTCCGGAGTTTGGCAAACAACAGCCGTTTTGTGTAACTGCGCATTTTTCTAGACCAGTCTTTATTATTCCAGCAATCAGCGCTGGAATTACTGGGGCGCCGCCTAGAAGCAACCGCCGGCGGGGCGGCAGAGGATGCCGGCCTCCAGCGTCGGGGGACCGCGCCCGAAAGCCGGGCTGCTTTGTGGGGCCTCTCGCGCCTCGCCCGCAGCTTCCGGCCCGCGCCCTCCGCTCGACCGCCGATTTTCTCGCCCCAGCCAGCCCCGTAGCCAGAGGAAAGTGGGAGTTTTGAGAACCCTCTGACCCCAGCCGTGACCCCTCTCCGGGAGGTGGCTTCTCCCGCAGGACCCGGTGCGCCAGAAAACTCTAGGCGGCGCCACGCTTGGAAGCGCAAGGTCCATTCATCAGCCGCGCCCCAGCGTCTAATTGGCCTTTTGTTTATTAGTGTCTGTTGCCCGGCTGGGAGTCTCCGGAGGGCCCCGGAGCTGCGAGTCGGGGTGCCAGAAGCGGACGGCGGGCCAGCGCCCAGAGCTGGGGTCCGGGTAGGGCAGAGGCGCGTCGCACTCCTCTGAGGGGGCGCCAGAGCGCGCCAAAGATCACGCCCACGTGCGGAGATGCGCGCATGGAGGCTGGACTCCAAGTGCTGGAGCCTGGTCCTCCCGGCTGCTAACGCCCCAGGCTTCGCCCCTGCCCCCACCTCCACCTGCAGACCGAGCCCTCCCCATCTCTCCACACCCTCAGGATTTCAGACCCGCCTTCCTGCCTCTCCTAAGTACCCATCCCAGGCGCTGGCCTTGTGGCTCGGTTCCGCTCACGTCCCGCCCTTCCTCGTTCTTCGTGCTTCGAGTTCATTAGTCGTGGCTCCGCCGCTAACCCCGGGGAGAAAGCTCCCCTTTTACTCTGGGTTTCCCTCCCTAAACACCAACCCGGCAGTATGGAGCCAGCCTCCTGCTTCGCTGGGTGGTGTGATTGAGAGAATGTTTTTGGCAAGGCAGGGAGAGAGGGACGAGACAGAGCACTCAAAATTCCACCTTCCTCACCAAGTCAAACCTCACCTTCCGATCCCTATCTCCCACCCAGTGTTCAATCTCCACATCGAGCCTCGCCATCCTCCTCCCTACCCCACACTTACTGCCCCTCCTCCCATTCCCGAGAGACAGTACAGAAGTAAGGTCTCCATTCCCAGCACAGGCACAAAGGCCAAGATGCACCTGGGGGTCCTGAAGGTGCTTGGGATGGGCATGCGGTCTCATTTGGAAAATGACTTGAGGATGATTGGCCTCGCCTGGCGGTGGCCTGGCTGCCAGCAACGTCTGGATGGCTGGGCCTCAGCCTGGCCCCAGACGTCCCCTGCTCCCAGCCAGCTCCAGGCCCTATATATAGCACGGGTCTCCATAGCCCTGGCTGGACCCTGACGTCAGAAAGAACTTGATCTTGCCTGCTTCGCTCCTGCTTCTGAAACTGATCCTTGAAATGAGAGAACAGACTCTACACAATTCCCATGGCCTTGACATAAGGTACAGCGATAAATATACACCACTAATGAGCAATTACCATATAATCACCTTCCAATTAGCTCGCATAATGATGAATTAAACATTCTAGCAGGCGGGATTAGGTTTCTTACTTTGTATATTATTTACGAAGGCTATAGCTTCTGCAAAGAACCAAATATCAAATTAGATGGGGGAATTTTCACTTGGGGGTAATTATGCATTCAGGCCAGCGGCTGTGTTCTGGTCACTTGTCAACTGAGGCCTCCTGCAAGGTACTGACCAGTGCTTTTGGGCATTTATTTTCCTTTTTTTCCCTCTCTCTCTTTAAGTTGCAATTGCCTTTTCCTTTTCCTTTTACTACTCTGGCCCGTGAGGTGAGAGGCTGGGGACACTGAGGCGGGGCACTAGGTGGGGTTTGGGGAGGGACCTCAGAGAGGATGTGGTGCAGGCATCAGGCCCTGTCCTTCTGGCCCCATTCGCTTGGCTCTTGTTCCCGTTTCTCTCCAGCCCAAGAAGGATGCCTGAGCAATCGGCTCTGCACAGCTACTGAGCACAGGGCCAGCGCGGCTGCCCACTCACCTAATGCCAGGGGCTTCCTCCCGCTGCACCTGGTGCCACCGCCTGACATTCCTTAGGCCCCCCCGGGGCCTCAGTGCAGTCTATGCCAACTTTTACCCCCACTCCCACCCCAGTAACAGGGAGAGAAAGGATACGGGGAGTTGAGAAACCAACGACAAACCTCCACATCGCCCGCAGCCACCTCTCTTGTTCGGAAATGAATTTTGGCAAGAGATTAGTTCCTAATCTGATCTAACGCTGCTGACATTTGGGAAGAAGATGAAAATGGCAGCTCAATTTCATTCTGAAACAGGGTCACTTCGCAGGGCTCTGCTCTTCAGAGAATGTGGACGCCCCTCCCCTCCCCTAAAACAGAAGAGCTAGAGGGGCAGCCATGCCAGGGACTGCCCATCCCCAGGTCAGCCAGAGCCCCTGGGCCCTGGGCCTGTCTGCGGTTGAATGGCGGGAGTGGAGGGAGGCTGTCTGGGCTGGGGCCACTGCCTGCGTCCTCTGCTGTCTGCCTTCAGGGCACTGCGCTTGCACACAGATAGGGGCTCCTGGGCACCCATAGAAGACTCTTTAGGCTAGAGAGCCTCTTTCTTGTAGGGAGGCCCTGGGGAAGGTAAAAAGTTTCAGGAGTCACCAGTGGAGTAATTAAAGGAAGATGTCCCCAGGGCCTGTGGGGGTACTTTCCCCTGTGCTTACTGGGTAAGTAAAAGCACAGCTAGGGCTGGGTGGCTGGCATTGGCTGAGGGTCTGGCTTACTTGGAAGCCATGGGTCTGGAGACAGCTACTCTGGCACTTGGCTCCATGAGGCTGCAAGGTCCTCCTGGAGGCAGAGCTCTCCCTATCCCCCGCTTCCCTGCTTTCTCCCAGACACACACTCACCCACTGCAAACCCAAGAGGTGGGTGGGCCATGTTCTTGGTCACCTAGCAGAGCCCACCATGTCCAGCCTTTGTCCTCAACAGGGGCCACTCTGGCAGTGGCCTCATCCTGGGTCAGGTAAGAGAGGGCAGGTAAGTCAGTTGTTGGGGGACCTGCCCGGTCACTGGATCTTGTTCCTGAGGGATCAGGCACTTCTGAGACCTTGTCTGTGGGGTGCAGGGCCTGGAATGGGGGTTGAGGGCATCATCATCAGCTCAGGTCAAGGCCAAGCAGGAGAATCTGTGCCTGGGTCCCTAGGAAGGGGTGTGCTAATGAAGAAAGTTCTGTGCCATGTACCTTGCATGCTGGTGGCTGCATATGTATGAGTGGCTATACCTGAATATGCTTGTACAGCATGCAACTTTGAACACGTGGATCACAAACATGTATGTAAGTGTGCACGTGACCGTGGGGATTGGGGTTGCTGTAGCCCATACTGTGTCTTTGTGCAGCTTAGAAAAAGGCATCCCTTCTTCTGGGTGGAAGGCACCCCTTTCTCTCCTGTGGCTTGCCAAGTGGAATGTGAGCTGGATTTCAGCAGAGCACCCCGTCACCCATCCTTTTGTCCAGACTTCTTAAGCAGTACACAATCTCGAGTCCATAAACTCAAACTCTGGTGGAGACGTCTGTGTGTTGGGTGTGGTATTATCCAAGGGTGACTTTATTATTGAGAATCAGCTTTATTCCTAGGAGTCCCTCCTTCAGTGGCACCTAGCTAGGGACTGCCTCTTGCCCCCTTTGCAGTACGGAGGACCTGAAGAGCAACAGCCACCACCATCTTGGACCCTTAAAGCCCCTGATCAGTATGTAAGCCTGGTAAGCACAGGTACATTTGCACTTGTGAGTGGGGCTGAGTAACAGAGTACATGTGTATGGATGGATGTTCGGAAGTGTGAATATTTGTGTGTGTGAGTATAGGTGGGCACAGGGGTGACCATGAGGGTGGAGAGGGCATGATTGGACATGTTTGTGGGAGCCACAGTGAGGTGCATGGTTGCGGGGTACAGCTGGCTTCTCTGTGGTGGCTCCCCCAGCCTCACACAGGCATAGCCCCCCTCCGGCCATGGTGGTCTGCTTCCTAAAGGGCTCACTGCCACTCCTCTCCTTGACCCACTCTAAATGACTGCAATTGGCCGGGGGCAGTGGTTCACCCCTGTAATCCCAGCACTTTGAGAGGCTGAGGTGGGCGGATCACAAGGTCAGGAGATCGAGAGCATCCTGGCTAACACAGTGAAACCCCATCTCTACTAAAAACACAAACAAATAGCCGGGCGTGGTGGCAGGCACCTGTAGTCCCAGCTACTCGGGAGGCTGAGGCAGGAGAATGGTGTGAACCCGGGAGGTGGAGCTTGCGGTGAGCCGAGATCACGACACTGCACTCCAGCCTGGGCGACAGAGTGAGACTCCATCTCAAAAAAAAAAAAAAAAAAAAAAAAAAAAAGACTGCAATTATGGCCTTCCATGAAAGCCAGACGTGGTATCTGCTACTGTAGATCACTTCAAGTGGAAGGCCACTGCTTTATTAAGTAAACAGCACCATGTTGACTCAAATGTCACTTTCTATACTTGCCGTTTAGGGGCAGCACAAAGGGACTTAAGCAGCTACAAGGCCCCTGGGTGGTGGTGTCATTCAGGGTTTATTGAAAGCCAGAGCCCTTTAAAGGCCCACCTTCTCTGCCTACACCCTATGGCACCCCACAACCTGCTTCCCTCTCAAATCTTGTTTTCATAGCTGAAAAGGAGACTTTATTTATAATATACTGAATATGCTAGACCACATCCACTTGTCAGCCTCAGGAGGGTAGAGGAAGAGAGCATGTGTGGGCCTGTGTGTACACATGTGAGGGGTATGGGTGTGTACCAATGATCTAAGCCCATTAGCTGTTCGTGGAAACCCCAGGAAGGGTAATCTCTAGAGGGGTCACTTGGTTCTTTGCCCCAGGGAAGGGAATAGGTGAGCCAGGAGCCTCTGGGAGTCTAGCATCCAAGTCTCATGCTCATTTCGGAAGCTCTCTCCCCACCTCTGGCCTTGAGTTAGATTGTAGGCCAGCCTGTGGGCAGGAGTAAATAGCCACTGCTTCTGCTTCAAATGCCTACTCAGTGCCAGCACTTCATGAACATTACGGCTGTCTGCCCCCCACCCCTACCCCCATGGGTCAGGCCCTAGTTACCTGCCCTCCCTGCTCACTGCCCTTTCTGGCCTCTCCTTCTATTGCAGACTAGTGGATGATGGGAGGCACTTGGGGAGGGAGAGGACCTTGTGGTAGTTCCTTCCCGGCATCATGACTCGCTCTCTCATCCTGGTGAAAGGGACCAAGCCAATGGGTGTAGAGGTGTCACTATAAAGAGACAGGATCCAGCATAGCCCTGTCCTGAACCTTCCTGCTTCCAGTCTGATCATGATTTTCGCCCATTTCCCCGTGTCTGCTTGCTTGAGGCCACAGACGGGGCTGTGCCCAGGAAGGGGAAAGTTTTTCCCCTGAGTCCTGTACCTTCTCTCAACCATCCAGCCCTTCCTTCCTTCCTTCCTTCCTTTCATAATATTTGTTTAACTTAGAGAGATTTATTCCACAAATGAACTCATTCATATGTGAAGTGACATATATATATAAGATTATTATCATTATTATTATCATTTATTTTTGAGATGGAGTCTCGCTCTGTCGCCCAGCCTGGAGTGCAATGGTTCAGTCTCAGCTCACTGCAACCTCTGCCTCCTGGGTTCAAGTGATTCTCCTGCCTCAGTCTTCTGAGTAGCTGGGATTACGGGCATGGGCCGTCACGCCTGGCTAATTTTTGTATTTTTAGTAGAGATGGGGTTTCACCATGTTGACCAGGCTGGTCTTGAACTCCTGACCTCAGGTGATCTGCCCACTTTGGCCTCCCAAAGTGCTGGGATTACAGGCGTGAGCCACCATGCCCAACCTGTGTGAGATTAATTATTAAGTGCTGTTAGCTATAGGGAAATATTTGAAGCAATCAAAATGTTCATTGCTAGGGGATTGGTAACGTAATTTATCCTAGGATGGGATGTTATGCAGTAGTTAAAAACAAAGAAGCATAATTTGTGTTCTAATATGGGAAGCTCTTTAAGATATGTAACTGTTAATTGATAAAAGCAAAAGGAGTGTGCATGGAATATCATTACTATAAAAGAAATACATATGGGTGTGTATTTGTTGTGAAACTTGCTTGTAATATTCCTAGCAGGATACAAGAGGGACTGGTAAAGTGGATTCCACAGTCTTTCTTGAATGCTATGGCATGCTTTCCTCCAGTACCTGGCCGCTCCTCTCCAGATGCAACTCTGTCCCTCTTGAGTGGTTAATGGACCATTTGCAAAGGGATTCTCAGAATGGAGCATCATAATCCAGCTGATCCCCTCCAGTTCTATGTAGAGCAGGACTCTCCCATTCCTTGCCTTTAGCCACCGTCCTGTTAATGCAGTCCACAAGGGCACTGGCTTTTTTTGGCAACCAAGATTTGGACAAAGTTATAGAAATTGGCCAGCCCAGCTTCCCTTCCATGAAAGACTCCTACAGGAGGTCCCACTGGTGGTCATGCAGGCTGGGCTTGGATATTTCCATGCTGAGAAGCTCTCTACCTCCCACGGTTGCATAGTCTCTTCTAAAACAGTAGAGTTTTAGGATTTTCCTTGAGCTCTGGAGAACAAGTTTTACCTCTCTGGAGTTTAAACTGGAGTTGAGTCAGTTGTTTGAAGCACTGCTCCCTTGTTTGCCTACCCACTCCGCCCATTATTATGAAGAAAATGCAAATTTATACAACAGTAGAGTGAATAGTGTAATGCATACATCTCCCATCTTCAGTAATTATGTGATGGATTGAATTGTGACGCTCCCTCAAATTTACGTGTTGAAATCCTTACCCCAATTACCTCACAATGTGAACTCATTTGGAGATGGGGGCTTTATAAAGGTAATCAAGTCAAAAGGAGATAGCTAGAGCAGGCCCTAATTCAGTGTGACTGGTGACCTTACAAGAAGAGGAAGTTTGGTGGCTTGTCTTGGATCACACCTGTAATCCCAGCACTTTAGGAAGCAGAGGCAGGAGGAACACCTGAGTCCAGGAGTTCAAAACCAGCCTGGGCAACATAGTCAGACCATCTATCTAAAAAAAAATAAAAAATAAAAATAAAAAAAAGAAAAGGAAGCTTGGACATAGACAGACCCAGAGGGAAAATGATGTGACGATCCAAGGAGAAGATGGCTGTCTACAAACCCAGACCTGGAATAAAGCCTTTCCTCGGCAGGACCAGTACTGCCGACAACTCCGTCTTGGATTTCCAGCCTCCAGAGCTGTGAGAAAATAAATTTCTGTTGTTTAAACCACACAGTCTGGTGGTTTAAACAACAGCAGTCTTAGCTTGCTAATTACAAATGATCAAGTGAAGGTCAATCTAGTTCCATCTACCCTTCCCAGTCTCTCACCAGCCCAGGCTATTTTGGAGCAAATTCCAGACATTGTATCTTGTCCTTAGTAACCATGTTAGGATGTATCTCTAACAGGATTCTTTTGAAAGCTTAACCGCAGTACCACGATTCTTTAATAATTTGACTGTCCCAAGAGGGGATGCCCCACAGGATGAGCAGACGCCTGTGTGGTGACTGCTGCCCAGCTGGCATGGACTCTGAGCTCTGTCCAGAATTCAGTCTCCACTTTCCCCAAAGATGAGATCCCTGTTGGATCCAGGTAAACCAGACTCTCCAGCCCTGGTCCTGGGAAGGGGGCTCTCCTACTGGGTGGAGCCTGGTGATGCTGCCCATTTCTGCCATTCCCACCCTGCCCAGCTCCCCTGACTAAGCTCATGTAATTTCAGGTATACAGCAAGAACACTTCTAGGATCTGTGGGTCTCATTTAACAAGATGCTCTCCAAAATTTCCAGAAACATTCCCCAAAGCAGCAAATGCTAAGTAGAACTAAAAATACGTATGCAATTCTGGCTGGGTGTGGTGTGTGGCCTCTGTGTGTGTGTGTGTTTAGGGGGAAACGTGGATGCCTCCCCCTTCCTCTGTGGGACATGAATCTTGATGTTGCCAGTCTGGCCATACTGTGGACATCAGCAGGGCTACAGGGGTCTCAGGAGGAGGGCTTTGCTCTCTTACCTGGGGCCTTGGGTGCCTGTGGTCATGGTCCTGTCCCCCTTGGGTGCCAGCAGCTTTAGCCACTATCTCCCCTGCTATGTCGCAGCACAGATTAACCATGGGAACCAGGCCCCAGCAGGAGCTGGCAGCCCAGAGTAACCAGGATAGCTGAGGCAGAACCTAGGTGGAGTTGCTCATGTCCTAGAGCTGCCTCCCAGAGAGGGCCCACTAGGGAGGAACCCACTGGGAGGGTTAGCCTGGGAGTGTCCTCCTAGTCGCTCTGTGAACACCTCCGAAGGACCTTTCTAAGGTTTCTGGCATGCAGGTTGCTTCCAGCGAGCAGCTAGCTAGCCAGGGCTGCCTTCTGCTGTTCTGGGCTGCTGGGGGGTCTGTGGCCCTGGAAACCACAGCTATGGGGCTGTAGCCTCTCTGAGCAGAGCCAAGTGAGGCTCCAGTCTCCTCTGGCAGTGGCTGTATTGTCAAGTAGCATACAAGCAATTACACCCATGGCAGCTCAGTTGCACCCTAAGCAAATTAGGTGCTGATCCAAAGGTGTAATTAAGCAATAGTGAGTGCAATTTAGCAATTGCAAGTGCCTTCCTCACTAGTACAGCAATCACAGGCCCATTCAAAGACCTGTTGGAGGCCCATTTTGTTTCTACGACCCTGCCTGTGCTAAGTCCAGACCTCGAAGCCAAGTTCTGTTGGCTAAGAAAGATCTCGAAGCCAAGTTCTGTTTGATTTCTAAATATTGGGGGAGAACTTTGGATGTGTCAAGGTGCCAAACATAATTAACATTCCTTAGAAACAAAACACACAACAAGCCTGCTATTGTTTTTTTTTAATTATACGTCTTCTGATATAAAACAATCCCTTGGTGTTGGTGATGTGTTGATTAATTATCCCAGACAGTTCCTTCTGAAAGTTAGGATATGTGTTTCTTGACCTCCTTCTCCATTTCAAGGTAGCCAACCTATCGAGTTTCCTCAAGTGCGTTGTCATTACCTGTGCTGGAAAAGTGGAGGGAGAAATGGATATCCTTGGGTGGTGGTGGGGCCAGGCTGGCCTGTGGGCTTTCGGGGGCTTTGTAGGCTTTGGGGCTAGGGGTCTGGGTGGCTTTCTAGGTGGACCCAGGGGAGCCAGGTCTGCAGCCCCCATGTGTGCCCTAGATAGAGGGCCCAGTGGGGAGGGCCCAGTGCTTGCCATGCCTGGTGGGTGAGGACGGAGCAGTGTGGCGTTTGTCTGCAGACTCTGGACCCTCCAGTCACGAAGTCCCTGGTGACTTGCTGAGCAGACTCTCCCATGGCCACTCCCCATGGACCACTCACTTTCTGCTACCCTTTTCTGCGTTTCTGAGTCCTCCTGTGAGCCCCTGAGAGGCATGCCAAGGTGAGGCTGCAGCTGACACAAGACCTGACCTGAGAGAGCCACAGGGTGGCAGCCAGGAGAGGGGCCCGAGTCTTGGCAGGTGTGTGCGGGTAATTCTGTGGGTGCTGAGGGGAGGGGAGAGGCCCCTCCAAAGAGCCATGAAGGTGTATGTGTGCGCACATGCACAAATGTGTGTGTGTGTGGGGCTATGTGTGGTTGCTCATGTGTTTATATAGGGGACTGTGTGGGTGCTTGTGTGTGTGTATGGATGTATGTTTGAGCATGTGTATGAGTGTGCATAGGTGTGTATGTGTGTATATGGGTGTGTGTGGGTGTGTACATGTGTATGCATATGTGTACAGGTGTGTCTGTATGAGTGTGCATGCGTATGGGTAGGTGTGTATGAGTGTGTATCAGTGTGTGGGGATGTGTCTGTGTGTATATGGATGTGTGCATGTATATACAAGTAGGCATGTGGGTGTGCATGTGTGTCCGTGGGTGTGTGTGTCTGTGCATGTGTGTCTGTGGGTGTGTGTGGGTGTGCATGCATGTCTGTGGGTGTGCATGTGGGTTCGTGGGTGTGTGTGGGTGTGCATGTGTGTCTCTGGGTATGTTGGTATGTATGTGTGTGGGTGTGCATGTGTGTCTATGGGTGTGTGGGTGTGCATGTGTGTGCGTATGTGGGGGTGTATGTGTCTGTGTGTGTGGGTGTGCGTGTGTGTCTGTGTGTATGTGGGGATGCGAATGTGTGTCCATGGGTGCATATGGGTGTTCATGTGTGTCTGTGGGTGTGTGTGGGTGTGCATGTGTGTTCGTGGGTGTGGGGGGGTCTGCATATGTGTCTGTGTGTGCATGTATGTCTATGGGTGTGTGGGTGTGCGTGTGTGTCTGTGTGTGTGGTGTGTGTGAGTGTGCATGTGTGTGCATACGTGTGGGTGTGCTTGTGTGTCCATGGGTGCATGTGGGTGTTCATGTGTGTCTGTGGGTGTGTGTGGGTGTGCATGTGTGCCTTGGGTGTGTGGGTGTGCATGTGTGTTTGTGGGTGTGCATGTGTGTCTATGGGTGTGTGGGTGTGCATGTGTGTGTATGGATGTGTCTGGGTAGTGTGTAGGTGTGTGTGTGTGTGTTGGGGAGATGAATGAGGGTGGGAACATTTTCTGTCGCAGTTTCCTTTTAAGCACCTGGTCTCGGTGTGGCTCATAGGGGCCTAATGTTCCTGCCTCTGTGCCCTCACGGGTAGCACTTCCTTGCCTTGCCCACCATCATTTCCCTAACCTGCTGACCCCAGTGGTTCCCTCCCTCTAAATCTGTAAGCCCAGTCTCTCCAACAGGCAGTAAGAACGCGGCGCGAGGGAATGGGGCTGGTCCTTGCCCCTCTTGGTTGCCCTTTGGTGGTCGGTCCTTCTAGGGGCGCTCAGTCTCTTCTTCTGTCCTTCCTGCCCCACCGCCCCTCCTCCTGCCCCTCTCTCAGTCCTGCCTTCCCCATCACCTCTGCCTGTCTCTGTGTGGCTCTCTGAGTGTCTACTTTTCCTGCCTGATTACACAAAATATCTGAAGTGGCCCTCAGGGAATAGAATTAAACTTTATTAATACATTTGTGGTATAAACACATTATAATGTAAAAATAAAACAGTAAGAAATCAATATGGGAAAACCATAAATTAAAACAGTCAAGACCAGGGGAAAGTTAGAAGGCAGGTATAAGATTTTGAGTATTCACGGCAACAGTGCTTGTGACCAACAGCTATTGAATGTGCTCTGTGCCATTCAATTCTGAACTTTATGAATTCTGAACTTTATGTGCATTCTCTCATTTAATCCTCTTGATGACGCCCCCAGAGAGGTAGAAACTCTCACCAACTCCGTTTTAGAAGTGAGGATATTGGGCTCAGAGTGGCTGAGTGCCTTGCCTAAGGTCACACAGCTGATAAATGGCAGAGAAGGAATTTGGGTGGAGATAATGTCTGGCCTCTGGACAAGCTCATTTGCAGGCTGTACCAAGGAGTGACAGAGCCCCTGGGAGCACGCGCCGGGGAGGAGGGAGAGCTTACTGGGGGCAGCAATGGGTGGAGAGAAAGGAGGGAGGAGGGTAATCTTGGCCAACCCAGAAATGTTGGGAGGTAAGTGAGGTCCACAGGGGAGACAGGGGAGCTCAGGGCAAGCTCAGGAGGTCAAACCTAGGTGCTTGCAGTGGGGAGGTGGGAGAGCACACAGACTCAGCCAGAGCAGGCTTGGAGATGAAATCCCTACCCTGTGGGGTGGCCTGGCAGCCCAACAGCAGGAAGCAGAGCCCTTTGTGCCCCCTTCTCACGGGGGAGGGTTCTCCAGAGAGGGAAAACAGCCTTGTCTTAGGCACACCTGGCTGCCCCACCAGCCCAGCATTGGATTTCAGGAGCGCCAGATAACATACCAGGGGCACTCCCCTGGGGAGGGGTCTGGTACACAGTTCTCTGCCCATATCCGGTCCCCTTAACTGGCCATCAACCAAAAAACTACTTACTTTCTTGAAGGCAAATGAGCAAACAGTACCCCTGTGTGGTGTCAGGCGCTGTGATAAATGGCTGCTGAATGCAGTGGCTGGGCTGAGCTGAGAATGGAAAGATGGAAAGACGGGGTGGTGTGGGGGGGTGCACAGGGAAGAGCCATTCAGAAGGAAAGGAGGGAGAGTGTCTTCTCTCAAGGGGAGAGTTGAAAGGCAAGGTTTACAAGGTAGCAACATGATCACTTCCTGTCCCCTGTCCCAGGCATCAGTTTTGGAAAATCTGTTAGTGAGATGGGTTTAAAGATCTTAGCTGAAATTGATGACTCAGGCAAGAAAAGTGGCCAGGAGATATAGCTGCCCTTGGCTTGGAGAAAGAGGGTTCAGATCCTGGTGATTAAATGATAGCCCATCTTCACGGGCCCTCACTCACAGCAGCCGCTGAGGCATCTGAAGAACTGACTTCTAGAGACCAGTTTATTTAGCACAAGGAAGCCAGATTCCTACCTTGGCTCAAAGTGCACATCTGGGTAAAGTGGCCACTAACCTTGCCAACTGTGTGACCCGGGGCAAGTATTTTGGCCTCCGTTTCTTCATGCATAAATGAGGGCAATAGTAAAATTTACAACCTGGGAGTACTGTGTATATTAAATGAGCCTAGCATGCCATAGGTGCTCAATAAATGCTAGGCACTACTATATTCCTGCAAGTTGGGGAACAAATGGCTGCCATTGAACTGTCAAGAGTTCAGCTTTCTTTTGACTGTGTCCTAGTATGAGACAGAGTCATTGTAGGCAGTGGACAAGCCTTGGGCTAGAGCCAGAAGATGGGGATCCCAGTTCCAATTCTTTCTCTGATGGCTATGTGACATTGGGCAAGACCCTTTCCCCCCCGGCCTTCAGATTTCTCACCTGGGTAGTGAAGGAGCTGGACCAATGGAACTTCTCAGCCGGATAGGTCCGTGATGAGGCCTCCTTGAACATCTCATAGAGTGGCTTCTCCTCAGCATCCGAGGGAGGCTTGGCAGGATGAATCCTAAGCTTATCAGGAAAGATCCCAATGGGAAAGGTGATTGAAATATTGTTTATCTTAGTGTAACTCAGCCAGACCCCTGGTGTGGCTGCCCCTATTCTGCAGGCTTTGTTCAGAGTTGGGTGGAGATGACTCATTCTTGTGCCCTCAACAGACTTCTGTCAGTGAACATACTGAGCACACTCCCAGTAGGCATGGAGGGACACACGCAATGCACACATATAACACACGTATGTATACATGTGCACACACGGACATGCACAGAGCTGTTTCCATGGTCTGTGTAGAAATGACTGCCCTGGGGATGCTCTGATTGGGGGTCTCAGAACACCTGGACCCTGGAGTAGCATTGCCAGATTTAGCAAATAAAAAGATAGGATGCCCAGCTAAATTAGAAAAATAGTTCTAAAGGCTGAATTTTGTAATTTATTGACAAAAGCTAAATACAGGGTGTTAATTATGGACCATCTTGACAGTTTATACAGGAGTTGCGTCACATAAGTAAATATGAGACACATCCTTGTATACAAGATACCTGGCAACCCTACCCTGGGGGTTCCCAAATCAGCAATGAATTGGACTGAAAGCTGGAGAACTTCTTGGCTTAGAAGACAAGTAGTTTACTTAGGAGACTCTCAGATTGGGGGCTGGAGGAGAAAAAGGGAGAAAATAAAGGGAAAGGTCCAGGGTAGGGCTTAGGGCTTTGCTAGAACTCTGAGGGCACTGAGGTCCTGGCTGCACTGTCTTCCAGATCTGAACCCCACCTCTCCCTCACTGACCAATGCCTGGCATTGGTCACTGGCCACTAACCTTGCCAGCTGTGTGACCCAGGGCAAGTATTTTGGCCTCCGTTTCTTCATGCATAAATGAAGGCAATAGTAAAATTTACAACCTGGGGGTATTGTGTATATTAAATGAGCCTGGCATGCCATAGGAGCTCAATAAATGCTAGGCACTACTATATTCCTGCAAGTTGGGGAACAAATGGCTGCCACTAGCCTGTTGACTGGGGGCAGCTGCCCGGGCACTACTGCTATTTCAGGATGGAACTGACTCATAGCAACAAAAAATGGACAGAGGGAAGGACCTAGCTCAGACCCCGCCCCGAAACCCCATATAGGTGCCCCAGCTAAGATCAGCTTCTTTCTAAGTCATTGTTCATCCACCCCTTATTGGGCAGGGGCACTTTCCACTTTGCAGATGAGCAAATGGAGGCTCAGGGAGATCTGCTGGGCCTCTAGGATGTTTGCTCTGGGACTAGAAAAAGGCCACTAGCCCCCAGCTGAGCCCCAGCTGGACTGGATTCTCTTGGTGTGTGGGCTTTGTGCCTGCCTAGGAGGGGTGGGAGCTGCAGTTAGTGGGCACTGTGGTGTGCAGGAGACTGACTTAGCTGTGTAGCAGAGCTGAGGCTTGGGGAGGTGAATTAATCAGGTAAAATACCTTGTCCAGTGCCCACACAGCACACGGGGTGGGGGTAGATGATCATTATTGCTATATTAATGCCAATCAAAGTGATGTTATAACTATATTATTTCTGTGCACATTTATAGAACAGCTTTGATACACCAGGCATTGTGCTAGGGGCTAAGGGGACCCTCAAAGAAAGTGTTTGGTACTGCCCATCCCCTAGGAGCTGCTGACAGTCTAGGTGAGGATCTATGCATGACATATTGCGTGAACAAGGCAAGTGGTGGTAAAGCCACGTGACTTGGCCTTAAAGTTTAGGAAGACATCAAAAGAGAGGGCTGGTCTCACTGACCAATGCCTGGCATTGTGTGGTGGTCAGGGAAGGCTTCCCGGAGGATGTGAGGATCAGGCTCTGGTCCTGGCCCACTCTCAGCCCAGTGTGTCCTGTTCAGCACCCTGGGCTTGCAGTCATGTGGCACAGGGGTGACACTCAGTGAGTGGTCCCAGTGGTGTGTCCAGGGCTGGACAGAGGGCCCTAGGTAGGAGAAGCTGGGAGTGAGTGTCCATGACCTGGCCAGAGTTTTGAAGGGCTGGGGTAACATCAGTTCTTTACCTGTTCCATCCTCCTCTTAGGCCCCAAGGAGAAGAGCCAGGTAAGAGCCGGGTGTTGCTCATCTGTGCCTCTGGCTGGGAGGTTGCTCTGCTGAGAAGCTGACAGCTCCTCCCTATCCACATTGACCCTAGGTGCCCATTGCAGCCTTTGTCCTACTGCACAGGAAGGAAAGATCCTTCTCTGCATCTCAGGGATTCCATCTGGTTTTTATTTTCATGTGTAGCAGTGATGAATGTTGCTACAAAAAAACCCAGAAAGAGGCAAGAGAACCATACCTCCTCCTGCATGGGGTGTTTCATTGCATCGTGTCCGTGCTGGCTGACTGATGGAATTTGACATTCCGAGCTCATTAGCTCAGGAGTCACTTACAGCGAGCAGTTTGCGCATGGAGGTTGAAAAGGGGCTTTAGTTTTGGCGTCAGTGCAAAATTTGGCTTCCAAGGAGAAGCTCTTTGGCGGGGCTCATCCCTTCCAGTGGTTTCCCTTCTGCTGTGCCCAGGCTTGGCTTAGCTGGGATCTGTGTCCCCTCCTCCAGGGAGAGGGCCAGCTGGGGCCACCCTCCCCATTTCATCTCCCAGGTCAAGACACTCGATTGTCAAAGTTGGAAGAGAAAGTCTGACTCCAGCAATTTGCAGAGTAGCAGGGGAACTGAGGCCAAGAAAGTGGAGGGGCTTGCCCAAAGTAGTCCAACATGTCAGGGAAAGAGGGGCTGTAGATAAGCATGTGGATTCTGGAGGCAGAAAGATGATGCTTTGAAGACTGCCTCTGTTCCTCACTGGCTGCGTGATCTTGGCCCACAAATGCCCTCATCTCAGAGGACTGCAAAGAGATGAAGGTAATATATCTAAAGAGCCTAGCACGGTGCCTGTTTCTGACCAAGGGCTCAACACATGCTAGTTATTGCTGTTCTTATTCTTGTTATTATTGTGGTTCAGCCCTGACTTCCTGACTTGCAGTGTGGCCCATTACTTCATGGTGAGGTCTTTTCTCTGCCTTCATGAGTTGCCCAGCGAAAGTCAAACAGCAAAAGCAGCCTGGAGACTGCTGGGGGAAGCTCTGCTCTGGCTTTGCCCTTTGGCCTGGAGCTAAATGGCAAAGTCTCTGAAGACCAGGCTGAAGGGAGGCAGAGCTTCAGTAGGAGGGGAGATGTCCCCGGGGGGCAGCAGCATGTGCCAATATCAGTCATCAACCAGCCCCCTGCTCCAGAATATCCTTACTGAGTGACAGAATGATAAAATGTTTGCCCGTTGTTGATTTTTCTACACCTGGGCCCCTTGGATGCTCCCCTCTAAGGCAGAAAGAGCATGAGTGTGGGAGCCAGCTGGCCTCAGTTTCTTCGTCTGCAAAAGGGGTTATATTTCTCTCTTGGGACTCAAGGAGAGGGTGTCGGTAAAGCATCTTGCACATAAGCCTCATTCCACTTCCACCTGCACAGACAAGCTCCAGCTTTGAGGTCAACTCTCCTTCCATTGTGTTCCTCAAACCATTTTGAAGAGGTAGGAGAGAAGTATTACCACTCCCATTGTGCAGGGGAGAACACCGCGGCCCCAAGAGGGTAGCTGACTTGCTCAAGAAGTCATCAACAAAGCCGGGACCTCATGCCAAACCTCTTGGTTCTCAGGCCAGTACCCAAGCTGCCAAGATGCTTCCATTTCAGCAGATGGACAAAAACACGGTTGAAACTAAACAACAAAGTCAGCAGTTTCTCAGCCCTTCTCTTCACCCACCCTGGGGATCAGTTGAGCTTTCCTCTTCCAAGACATAAACACTCCCCCTGGGTTAAGGGAGCCTTGGATCTACCCCACAGACCTGAGTCAGACTTCAAACAGGGCTTTGGATGAAAGGGAAGGGGTTCTCAGCCATAAGATGGGTCACGTGGGCAGGGTGCTGAGACCCCAGGCTGGGGATCCTTCCCAGGCTGACTTCCTGGGCAGATCGTGTAAGCGTAGTTTCCTCCCAGCTCCTCTCAGGAAACCCTGTACAAACAGTACCCTCCCCACCTGGCTTGGAGTCCTGGTGATTAGGATTTAATGAGCTGGCTGCAGAGAGCTCAGTGGGCTGGGGTCAGTCTTCTAGGCCTGCGGAATGCACCTCTGCTGGGCTGGGGCTCTGAGTTTTGTGTTTTGGGCCAACCTGATCCTCATATATCTATTTGGAACCAGCGAGTCTCCCCAGAATATTTTATCAAGTTATTTTGAGTTAGGAGTTTAATAGACATAGAAGCCTTTAAGGAGAGTGAGTAAATGAAGTTGGCAAGGGGGAGTAGGCAGGGGAGAGAGGAGGAAATCCCAGGCTAAGTTTTGGAAGAGGGCTTGATTATGTTGGTGACAGCAGGCTGCATCTTCCAGGACAGGAATCCCCCCGTGGTTTACAAAACACTTCCCCTTACATAATCCTATTTAATTCACACGACAAGCCTAAGAGTTAGGGAGGGTTCATTTGCCTTATTAGCCCGTGTTTACAGATGGTGAAACTGAGGCTCAGAGAGGTGCTGAGATCACACAGCAGGATCATGCAGCAGACCACGGGCAGGGCTGGGATTCCGGACCAAGCTTGGCATTCTTTTCCTGGCACCACAGTATTTGGCTTTCACAATTTTAATCTGGAAACACTTTAACTACGAATTTTCATTTTGAAGTCATGTCTCAGATGGATTCATAACAGTATAGTGATCCATAAACTATAAGAATACTAGGATTTTTATTGCTCAGGACTTTAGTAATACTCTAATTACTAAAAACGGAAACTAAAGTGGTGACATTACTACTGCAAGCCCTCTGTGTTTTCCACTCCTGAGTTAGATGTCACTGGTGGTGCTGTAGAGGGGGCTGCTGGAGCACTGTCCTTCATGTGAAAGGGGGTTCCCTTTGCCCTTTTTGGGTGCCCACCCACAAGCTTCTCTGTGCTCTGCTTCCCTTCGCTCTCCAAGATGCTACCTTAGAGCTACTGGAGCCACTTTGTTCAGGCAGAGGGCTGTACGTGCCCTAGGGCTGATGTGCCCCTGGAAAGGTTTGCAGCTAAGGACTGCCTGGAGCAGGGATATGAAAGCCCAGCTTTCTCGGCTCGAGGCAGGGCAAACTCCTTTAGAGCTCCCCATGGGACTGGTCCCCTGCTGGGGCTGGGACTTCACCTGAAACTGCACTCTTCTCATTTCTCTCTGTCTTGCTCCCCCACCATGTCCTCCCTCCAATCTTTCCTGGGAGCACTTCCTTAATTACTCATGAATCCAGACCTTTAGATGAGATACAATCTTTTGTTTTTTGAGACGAAGTCTCACTTTGTCACCCAGGTTGGAGTGCAGTGGCACAATCTCAGCTTACTGCTTGAACCACCTCCTGGGTTCAAGCAATTATTTTGCCTCAGCTTCCCTAGTAGCTAGGACTACAGGCATGCACCACCACACCTGGCTAATTTTTGTATTTATAATAGAGACGGGGTTTCCCCATGTCGGCTAGGCTGGTCTTGAACTCCTGACCTCAAATGATCTGGCTGCCTTGGCCTCCCAAAATGCTGCGATTATAGGTGTGAGCCACCGTGCAGGTGTGGTAAGATAAATTTTCATTTTCCTCTAAAGGTCCGCTTCTGACCTGGACCCAAGACAGGTGCTGAACAAGGGCAGGGCTCCAGAATCAAGATCATGAAAGGAGATGAAATTAGAAAGGGAAGGGGAGCTCCTTCACCGAAATTTAAGCTTGAGGGGAGCCCTTTTTGAAGCGTTGGCTAGCACAGAGATGGGGAAGAGGTCATCTGAGAATGTGCTAGAGTGTATTTGTGAATGAACCATATCTTAGAGGCTGTGATCTCATCATCTCTTCTGAATGACAAGGGTAAGGGGTTGGCCCATGGGTCTTGGCTATGAACAGGGACACAAACGTGCTGGAGACTGAATTGTGTCTGAGACACAAATTAGCATGCAGGACATCGATTAGGAAATGCACTTAGGAACAAAACCTACAAACAAATCAGGGAAGGAGGATGGGGTGGAGGGAGATGTTGGGCTGTGATTCAGTTGCAGACCCCATGGGACCCTGGAGCTGGGATGGCCTTTCAGAGATGACCTGAATGAGGCTGGGGACTGGGTCTTTGTACTCCTGCTTGGACCAGTCCTTGGATGCTAGCTGCCCCAGGGAGGGGGGTAACCTTGAACTAGGCACCTTCCTCCAGGTGAAGGAAAGTTCTGGAGAAGGACTCAGCTGCGAGGCATGTGGGTGGTGCAGCACAGAGTTCCACCATCGCTCATGGACTGTCTGTTGGGATGTTTCCACCTGGCATTTTCTTGCCACTGGTTCATCCAATCTTTGGGTACAGAGGCTGTAGAAAGAAGGGAAACATACCTGCTTTCAATTCCATTTAAATTAACATGGATTTCCTGAGGACTTCCTATATGTTGGACCCTTTAAGGCCTGACAAATGAAGAAGAGAAGGTCTTTATCCTCAGGAAACTTCAGTCCAAGTGGAGAGATGCAACTTTTGCCTGTTTGAGGAGTGAAATGGTCATCCAAAGGAGTGGGTGTCTTGATGACTAGTGTTTATCAAGCACTTACTATGTGCCAGGTACAATGTTGAGTACTCAACCCATTTATCTTCTCGTAACAATTCATGATGACTTTAGAGTATTTTAGCTTCATTTCACAGATGGGTTAAGTGGCTTTCCCATAAATACTAGGAAGTGGTCAAAATGGGATTTGTAATTTGAGCATTCTAACTCCAAAAGCCTGAGCTCTGAAGAATCACCTTCCACTGTGTGCGTGGGAACTGAGAGGATGCTGCAACTTTTTGCAGAGTAAGATGAGGATTATCAGGGAAGACTGCCTGGAGGTGGTGGTACCTGGAATTGGTGGTACTGACAGCATGTGTGTTAGGGGAGTGGAGTTTGCACCAATGCTACACAGAGAGACGGCAATCTCTTATTGTAAATTGGTTTATGAAATGCTCTCTTCTGTGTGGTCTGCCTGGATCAATCAGACGTGTAATGATTGAATAGTACACCCTCTCCTGAGCGGAGGAGGAGTTTTTCTGTCTTCCCTTTTCATCTTTTGCAGCGATCTCTGCATCCCGACAGTTACATTCTGTCTGTGCAGTACCCTGACTTATAGTGTTTGGCAGTTTCTGTGGTGTAAATACACCACCATGGCTGATTCATGACTAGTGTCATGAATAACATGTCACTGGAGGTGGAGTTGGGAAGAGATGCCTACAATTGGCTGTCAGACCACTGCAAGTTACCTCTTGTGTCTCTAACATCTCCACTTCCAGAGTTGGATTTTAAGGGTCAGGTCTTGACTTTTACAATGTCTGGGAAGAGGAGTGATTCCTTGGTTCTGTTTGGCCCTCACTCAATGAGTGATATCTCACATCCTCATATCCCCAAGTTGAGGACATGGATTACATCGTGAAAGTCAATCGTTCACACAGAGTAGATATCTTTCACCACCCACCCTGGGATATCGCACTGTCCACCCACCTCCTTCCTCCATGTCTGATACTTAGTGGTCTGGCATCTGCCCAGGACCCACTTTTGCTCTTATACCATAATAACCCTTCACACGGAGAGGGCATTTACAAAGTGCTTTTCAGAGCCATCTTCCCATATAATCCTCCCAACAACCCGTGAGGTCAGCTGAACAAGGTGTGACTTCTATTACTTTACAGATAAATTATCCAAGGAGGTTTAAAGACTCACTCAAGGGCACACTGGCTGGTAAATGGTGGTGGAGTAGAATGTAAACCCTTTGGCCTGGAAGGCCCAGTCTGGCAGATTGTTTTGGACAGGTTGAGCATCATAAATATTCCAGAGTACATTATAAGTGAAAAGCTGGGTTAAAAGTTACATGTCTGGACTTATCCTTTTATTTTACAATATTAACTTTAAAAATTCTGCCAGACTGGGTGAGGTAGCTCAATCCTGTAATCCTAGCACTTTGGGATTCTCTTGAATCCAGGAGTTTGAGACCAGCCTGGGCAACATAGCAAGACTCTGTCTCTACAAGAAAAAAAAAAAATTAGCCAGGCATGGATGGTGGTGGACACCTGTAGTCCCAGCAACTGAGGAGGCTGAGGTGGGAGGATCACCTGAGACCTGGAGTTGGAGGCTGCAGTGAGCTGTGATTGCACCACTGCACTCTAGCCTGGGCAACAGAGTGAGACATTGTCTCTAAAAATAAATAAATAAACACTAAGATATTTAAAATTGTGCCAACTTATACCCAACTCCTTTTTTCATTGTTCCCTTTTGATTTTCAGCAGCAGTTGGGAACCAGGGGTTTTGGGGCGGGTGGCATGGCACTTTTCGTGGGTGATTCGGTCCCTTCCTGGCCTGCTCCTTGTCTTTTCAGCCTCCCACAAACCCAACACTGCAACAGTCCGGGTGACTGTGAAGGGGCCGGGTTACAGTGAAGGAGTAGGCAGAGGTAATATTTCAGCCCAAGGTGTTTCAGATCAACAACTTCTTTAGTCAAGACGACAAAAGTATTTATTACAGGAAATCCCTGGCAAGGACGATCTCAGGCTTCTCAAAGAGACAGCAATAAAGGCAAACTTTTGCCTGGAGCACCGGACTTCTGAGGCTGAGCTGCAAATATCTGACGGAGGTGGCATTAACATTCCTGCAGGAGGTGGAATCTGTCCTTCTGATTAGGAAGCTGCGAACAATGTACAAACATCGGTGTCCGCCTTTGAGGGGAGGGAGATTTATACCTGCGATTTCTCTTGTGATCTGCTGTCCTCTAAGCTTCGGGATGGAACAGCTGCTGTGTTTGACTCAATTTTTCAGGAAAGATAAACCTGCCATCCTCCAGATGCACCCACCCACCTGCACACCCACAACCATGCTCTTTATGGTATCTCATCCCAGTTTTCTTCCAGTGCAGAGTCAAAATGTGAATAGCTTGGATGAATGTTTCAAAAACTTGCCCAGTAGAAAATTAAAAGATACTGATTCTGAGGTTCTCCCTGCCCCTACTCTGCAGTCTGATTCATTAGGTGGGGTGGGGCATCTAAGAAGCTATAGTCTTAACAAGACCACAGGTAATTCTTATAATTGGATACGTTTGAGAGGCAGCAGGTATGGACCAGTGTGTTTCACACAGAGCAAGCACCTGAATCAGCAGAAGAGCTTGCGAAAAATGAAGTGCTGACCCTCTTGTTGGGTGGGTGCATCCAGGGGTTTCTGATAATTTGCATTTGGAACACACTCTCAAGCCATGGGGATGCTGATGGTGAGGTAGGGGTAAAGAGCACAAACCCTGGAGCCAGACTTAACCTGTCTAAGCCTCTGTCATCTGTAACATGGGGTTGGCCATAACATCCACCTCTTAAAGTGTTGTTATGAGGACTAAGTAGTAATACTTGTAAGGCACTTAGAACAGATTCTGGCAGGTGGCAAACTAGTATTACATGTTTGTTAACTAGAGTAAATAAATTGCCAGCCTAGGTTGGAGGTTTGTATTCATTCATCCACTCAACCAATGCTTTCTGAGTACTTCCCCTGAGCTGGAACTGTAGTAAGTATGGGACGACGCAGGCGTGCAGGCGGCAAAGGCAATCCCTTCTTTCTTTGGTATTTTACGTGTAATAAGATGCTAAAAGGACACCTACCAGAAGATTATAAAGGATTGAAGCAAAGAGGTCAGGGCAGAGGACTTAGGGGCTAGTTGAAATGTGGTACATTTCCCCATTTTACAACTCCTTCTGCTCCCTGCACCCTGCCCTGCCCCACCCTGGGAGGTGGTATTTCCTTCTCACTCACAAGTCAAGGGAGACAGGCTCAAGCAGGACCACTGAGAAAGCTTGACCCATGTTCCCTAGAATTGGGGGCCTGGGTGAATGAGCCTTCCCATGAACCAAGGAGATCTGCAGGAGACAGTCGACTTTGGCTAGTCAGACAATGTGACCTCAACTGAGAACATCTGAGTTGGGAGGACCTCTGGAAGCCCAGGGGCTGGGGTGTCTGAAGTAGCAGGAGGAGAAATTCCTAGAGGGAGAGTTCTAGAGAAACCCAGAAAAAGCACCCCTCAAGAAAGTGAACTTTGAACGTCTATGGTAGCCAGTTAAGGCACAAGATTACATCTGAATCCTCTTCTTCCTCTTCTTTTCCAAACCTGGAGGCCTGGGAGTACGGGGGAGTAGAGGAGGAGATACACAAGACTGGGAAGTGGAGAGAAGACCACACTGTTGCCCTTGGCCCCCCTGGGCCTCCCTGGCTAAAGCTGGCCTGAGCTGGGGAGGGCTCCTACACTGTGGGGAGAGTAAGGAGTTAGTAATTATGACTCTGGGCCTGAAATTTTAATTACTGAAATGAGACTATGCTTGGGACTGAAAGTGACTGCAAAGCAGAAAAGCTCTGGGACCTGCCAGAGATTTTATTCTCAGGGCAGGGAAAAAACAACCTGAAGAGCTGGTTTGAAGGGACAGTTGAGGCTGGGATGAGCAGTGTTGGAGAAAGTTGTTCAATAGAATGGTGATACAACCACATTTACCTGAATGCATGAAAATATACATAAATACACATGTATAATACAGATTCATATCAATATATGTACATATGGACATAGCCATGTGTATAACAGATATATCTGTATTCAAAAACTATCATTTTTGAGAGTCCACTACTGCACATGCTCTAGACCAGGTATCATTACATACTAATGTATGTAAAAGGTATTATTACATACTAAGGTATGTAAAGCGAATGCTTTAATCCTCAAATAAGATAGATACCATCCCTGTTTTACAGACGATAACACTGAGGGTCAAAGACATGAAATCTTTTATCCCAAGATCACTTAGCAGGTGGCAGAGCTGCAATTCAAACCCAGATTCCCTCCCTCATCCAGACTGGATATCTGTGGTTCCCCTGCCATGCTGCCAGTCCTGAGATGGGTCTGTCCCCAAGGTCCAGGCCTCTTTAGTGATCTTATGTGGCCTGTAGATTTGTCAATTCCTGTGTCAATATATAGCTTTCTCTTTATGCATAGATTAATGTGATCTGCTATTGTGGTTAATTGATATGCATTGGCCCAGGCTAAAGGATTCCCCTTCTCCCTTAGCTTGCTCAAGTTTAAGGCAGATAATACAAAGTCCCATGGCTAAAGCATTAGAGGAGGGTGACTGAGCTTTTGAAGACTTGGGGGCCAAAATAGTGGTAATGGGGGAATCCAAGGAGACGCAGCATGGAGACTGAACCTACAGCATGATTAATTGGTAAAATAGGTCCCCATGCTCTGGCTGAGTTTCAGGATAGGCAGCTCTCCCTCCTCCCTCTCTTCCCTCCTCTGTGCATGCTACCCATGTGGCCAAGAGAACTCCTTTGTCCCTGGCGCAGTCACCTTCTGGGACCATGCAAGCCCATTGATCCCATGTCACTTGGCACTGTTTTAGGTACTTAAATCCAGTCTTCCTAAAGCGGGCTTCAATCCTGGGCACCGTGCTGGGGGAGGTGGAGGACGAACCAGGTGCCTGGGCGTGCACCTGCGCATATGCACAAGACCCTGTGTTTGATTCAAAGCTCCACTGTTTTCCTCTTAACACGTTTTGAATAAGGTGCCCCACATTTTCATTTTGCACTGGATCCTGCAAATTATATAGCTGATTTTGATGGGGGGCATTTTCGTCCAACAAATCCATGTATTCTCCATAGAACCTAGCACCATGCAAATTCAGCCTGAACCATGTTGTGTGTAAACTTGGTAAACAAATAGGCCTGAGCTGCTGTGCGTGGTCAGCGTTGGGGTGGTGTGGGCAGGGTGGAGAGATGTTGTATGTGTTACATGGAGAGAGACATGGTGTCCAGCCTTCTGTGCAATGATGAGAAAAAAAATCCACTCTTAACTGGGATCTCGTTCAGGAAGTTACTCTTTTCAACTAAAGGAAAACGATACAATTCTCCCCTCTCCCCAACCAATTTGCACACCGAGATGAACTCCAGAAACAAATACCCACGGCCAGGCATCTGGCCATAAAATTTCTAAAACAGAAAGAAGCCATCCCATCCCCTTGGGTAATAGGTAATTAGTAGCAGGCATTTTACTAAAGGGATCGGAGAGATGCAAAGCTTTCCCAGCAAAGCGATTGATAGAGAACTGGCACTGACGGTGGACTGGGAACAAGCCATAAGCAATGACAATTAATGTTCTGCAAATCTCAAGGGTCCTGCGTACCAAGTGACCAACCATCTGTATGGTCAGGAGCAGACCAGGAAAACAGGAAACATGTCAGGTATTTACAACAGGGGAAGTGTAAGACAGGGAATTTAGGACGCAGATGGTATGGAGGAGCCCAGAAGCCAAATATGGTTATTTCAATAAAGTACCCCAGAGATTAGCAAGGGGCGGGAGCTACTACCCTGCCAGGCTGGAAAAACGGAGGGAAGAGATGGTGTTACTGGAGCCCAATGTAATCTGGAATCAAGTGGGAGTGAAGCTTGGAGGAGCTGCTGCCTGAAAGACACCCCAAGGCAGAGAGTCAGGAGGAGAAGGACCCTGGCTGCCTCCTCTTCCCCACCCTCCAGTACGATCTCTCTTGCCTCCCATAGGCTGACATGGGAGTCTGGGAAGTGCAGCTTGTAGGGTGGTCTCTGCTGTGATACAGAGCTGGGAAAGGGCACAAGGTAGCTCAGTGGCACCTTAGCACACAGTGGTGAGGCACGCTGCCCAGGAGAAGATCAGCAGAGCATCTCAAGGGGATAAGAAAGTTAGGTAGGTTTATCAGCAAGAGTGACATGAGGCCAGTTGCAGTGGCTCACACCTGTAATCTCAGCTCTTTGGAAAGCTGAGGCTGATGGATTGCTTGAGCCCAGGAGTTCAAGACTTGCCTGGGCAACATAGTGAAACCTCGCCTCTACAAAAAATACAAAAATTATCTGGGCATGGTGGTGCACGCCTGTAGTTCTAGCTACTAGGGAGGCTAAGGGGAAGGATGGGTTGAACCCAGGAGGTGGAGGCTGCAGTGAGCCACGATCACATCACTGCACTCCAGCCTGGGCGACAGAGCCAGGCCCTGTCTCAAAAAACACAAACAAACAAAAAAAGAGTAACATGAGTCATTTATTGATGACATCATGTGCCAAGGGATACTTGATTTCACGGAAACTTTTATGACAGTATTGTGAAGTAAGTGTCCTTATCCCATTTTTAGGTATGAGGAGACTGAGGCTCAGACACTGAATAACTTGCCCAAGCTCTCAGTCACTCAGTGGAGTGGAGGCCAGGTCTGTGCCACTCAAAGCTTCACTTCTTACCACCGCAATGTGGCCCCTGCTCAGCCATGCCTGGGCCAAGTGAAGGGCAGATTGACAATATCAGAATCCCCTGAAAATCATTAATAGTAAGGTCACTGAGTTGTAAAATGTCTAGAATTTGTACTTCATGAATTGGTTCAGCAAATTCTTCTCATTCTCAGCAAATTCTTTTATAGGCATCATAAAGTGACCCCTCCAGGTATTATTTTGGCCAACTACCCAAACTGGGAATATCCCTTCTGACAGCCTAACTGAGGTTCTGGTCCCCAAAGTGGGAACTTCTAGGAGAGCAGAACCCTATAAACAAGGCTTATTCTGTTTCGTTTGTTTGTTTTTAGCAATTTTAGTCGTTGTGTAGAAGAATCTCATTATCCTTTCTTTTTCTTCTTCTTTTTTTTTTTTTTTTTGGTGAGACAGTCTCTTGCTCTGTCACTGAGGCTGGAGTGCAGGGATGCAATCACAGCTTATTGCAGCCTTGACCTCCTGGACTCAAGCTATCCTCCCACCTCAGCCTCCCAAGTAGCTGGGACTGCAAGTACATGCCACATGCCTGGATAATTTTTGTATTCTTTGTAGAGATAGGGTTTCACCATGTTGCCCAGGCTGGTCTTGAACTCTTAAGCTGCATTCCACCTGCCTCAGCCTCCCAAAAGGCTGGGATTACAAGCGTGAACCACCATGCCTGGCCTCTCATTATCCTTTTAATTTTCATTTCTCTGATGACTAATGATGTAGAGTATCTTTCAGTGTTCTTATTGTCTATCAGTATGTCTTCTTTTGAGAAGTGTCTGTTCAAATCTTCTGTCTGTTGTTTTCATTGGGTTCTTTGTCTTCTTATTGAGTCATAAAAGTTCTTTATATATTCTGTATGCACATTCTTTTTAAGCTATACATATTGTGAATTTTTTCTTATTGTCTGTTGGTTGCCTGCTATTTTTCTTAATTGTGTCTTTTGAAGAGCAGAAGTTTTTATTTTGATGAAATCCACTTTATTTCTTCTTCTTTTTTTTTTAATATGTGTGTATGTGGGTGTGTGTCCCATCTAAGAAATCTTAGCCTAAGCTAAGATCTGAAAGTTTTCCCCCATCTTTTCTTCTAGAAATTTTGTAATTTAAACTTTTGTGCTTAGGCTTATAATTCATTTTGAGCTTTTTTTTTGTGCATTTGTGAGCTGTGGAGCAAAATTCATTTTTTTCTGAATAACTTTCCATTTGTTCCAGCACCATTTGTTGACAAGACTATCCTTTCCCTATTGAATTGTTCTGGTACCTCTGTCAAACATCAGTTAACCACACTGTTTTAATTGCTGTAGTTTTCCAAGTAAGTCATCTATCTATCTATCTATCTATCTATCTATCTATCTATCTATCTATCATCTATCTATCTATGACCTGTATAACTTATATAGTAAGAAATCAAGTAACGCAACTCCTTTTCTTTTTTCCTCTTGGTCAACATTCTTTAGGCTATTCAAAGTTCTTTGCATTTCCGTGTCAGTTTTAATCGTCAGCATTTCAATTTCTACAAAGAAGCCTGTGAGGAATTGCATGGAATTGCATTAAATCTATAATTTGGAGTGAATCAACATCATAACAATATTGAGTCTTTCAACCCATGAATATAGTATATATCCCTCCATTTATTTAGTTTATTTCAGAAGTTACTTGTCTCTAATACAATGCTGAAGTTTCTCTGTTACTTGTTTTATTGATCTCCACTCCTATATTTATTTTTCCCTCTTCCTGTTAGCTTTGAATTTAAATGGTATGCTCATTATTGTTACTATTTTTGTGTTGCAATTTGGTAGATGTTTTCATATTGCTCTCATGGAGTAGTCTATTTGGATTTTCACCAGCAATATAACTGTGAGCCTTTTTCCTATATTTTTGGCAACTGTTTGATCTTTACATATTTGGTGGGTAATCTTTGTTTCTTTTAATATGCATGAGGGTGGCCATCTTTTCATAAAGTTAAGAGCCTTTAGCACTGTACTTCCTTTTCTGTGAAATGTCCATTCATGACTTTTTCTCTACTTTTTATAATTTAAAGAATACCAAATACATATATAAATAAATGAGAGGGTTGAACTGGCTCTTTTAAGTCCCAACACACTCTAAAATTTTAAAGCAAAACCACTCCAGTGCACGTCAAATCAACAAACAACACACCCCAAAGATATAAATGGCTCTTGATCTATTGGAGCAGAGACCTGAATGGAGGAAAAAAACCAAGATAAGTGTAAGATTCAGAATTTGGATGAGTCCAAATGCAATCCCTTAATAAGAAACCAGGGAAGAGTGACTTCTTGACACACGTGAAACAGACCTAGTTGGCTGAAAGAAAGCCCAGTATGTGTCACAAGTGTGGGAGGAAGTG
This sequence comes from Homo sapiens, assembly GCF_000001405.40. Classification (NCBI taxonomy): domain Eukaryota; kingdom Metazoa; phylum Chordata; class Mammalia; order Primates; family Hominidae; genus Homo; species Homo sapiens. The sequence goes on from NC_000010.11 coordinate 117,581,768, forward strand.
CCATTCCAGTGTCAGGCTGTGAGGATGGAAATGCGGTTGCTGGGGAGGGAAGGATTTCTCTGTGGTGGACTGGTGAGAATTCCACACTGGCTTCTGTCCTTGGTTGTTGGATCTCTGAAAAGAAGTGGAAACCTTTCCAGAGAAGAGAGCTCAAGTTACTAAAGAGACTTGAAACCGGGCCATGTGAGAAGTGATGGAAGGCACTGGGGACACCCAACAGAAGGCAGAAGGTTAGGGTCCCATGAGCCAAGTCCTCAAATGAGGGAAGACCTTTCCTTGGGAAGAACGGGTTCTGCTTGTCTCAAAGAGGGAGATTAAAGATCTACAGCTAGAGTAAGCAGGGAAATAAATATCAGTTCACTTTAAGAACTTTCCAATAGAGCTGCCCAAAGATGACAGATGCTTCCCTAGAGAGTGCTGAGTTCTTTATCATCAGAAGTATGCAAGTATAGGCTACAACTCTTCCAGTGGGGAGGGCTTCAAGTATCTTGTGTACTAGTTAGCCTGTGAGATCTCTTGCAATTCTGGTACTCTCTGATTTCTACCCCTTTCTATAGACATCGAAAACCAGGCTCCAACAGAAGGCCTTGCAGTGGGATTAAATGACTGAAAAATGGCAAAGCCAGGTCTAGAACATAGGTTTTGAAAGTCTTGGTGGAATTTATTCTAATCCATTTCCATCTATACAATCTTGGGACAAGACTAAGCAAGACACTTCTGGAAAGTTGTCAGTGAGGGGAGGATTCTGACATCACGGACATACCTGGAACCCAAATTCAGGAGAACTGAGATTGAATTCTGGTTCCCCCATCCTTTTTTTTTTTTTTTTTTTTTTTTTGAGACGGAGTCTCGCTCTTTCACCCAGGCTGGAGTGCCGTGGCGCGATCTTGGCTCACTGTAATCTCTGCCTCTTGGATTCAAGCAATTCTCCTGCCTCAGCTTTCCAAGCAGCTAGGACTACAGGCGCCTGCTACCATGCCCGGCTAATTTTTGTATATTTACTGGAGATGGGGTTTCACCGTGTTGGCAAGACTGGCCTCAAACTCCTGACCTCAGGTGATCCACCTGCCTTGGCCTGCCAAAGTGCTGGGATAACAGGCGTGAACCACCGTGCCTGGCCCTCATTTAGATTTATTAAACTTTCATGGTTTGTGCTTTCCATACGTTTTGTTTGAGGCAAGGTCTCTCTGGAGTAGAGTGGTGCAAGCCTTGAACTCCTGGGCTCAAATGACCCTTCTACCCCGGCCTCCCAAAGTGCTGGGATTACAGGCATAAGCCATGGCACCCGCACCCCCACTGCCATCTTTATTATGCCAGTCGTTTCATCTTTTCCAGTCTTAATCCCCTTATATACCAAATATTGGTGATCTCAAGTGGCACCATCTCTGCTCAGCCAGCCTCTGGAACTTCCCTTTCCTCAAAAATTCCTGTAGGATTTATTGTCTACACCAACTACTATATCCCCTTCCTTATGATTCTTCCCCAAGTGTGTGCATGGTGAGGACAGGGGCCAGACCTTATTGTTGCTTGCATCCCTGAAGCCTCTTATGTAGCAGCTGGCACTTAGCAGGTGCACCCTAAAAAGGGTCTTCTTTTTTTTTTTTTTTTTTTTTTGAGGCAGAGTCTTGCTCTGTCACCCAGGCTGGAGTGCAGTGGCATGATCATAGCTCACTGCAACCTCAAACTCCTGGGCTCAAGCGATCCTCCCGCCTCAGCCTTTTAAGTATCTAGGACCTACAGGTGTACACCACCATGCTCAGCTAGTTTTTATTTTTTGTGGGATTGGGGTCTTGCTGTTGTTGCCCAGGGTGGTGGTCTTGAACTCTTGGGCTCAAGTGATCCTCCTGCCTCGGCTTCTCAAAGAGCTGGGATTACAGGTGTGAATGTGAATGACTATGCCTGGCCAAGGGTCTTGTTTTCTAACATCCCCTCAACTCCTCTTCCTGGGGCCTGGGGAAGTTCTATGGGCTAATGAATGAGATCTCTCTTTACATGTGTTAAGAGAATGTAATAACTCAATAAAGGTGCTCTGCAAGATAGAAAGACAATCCGGCCATCTGCTCTGCCCAGGTGGTTCAAATCAACATGTTTCACAAGGAAGTTTTACCCAGTTACCTCGAAAGTGTTCTGCTGTCTTAACTGCTAGAAGAGGTTTAATCATAAAAATGTGTCCTGGACAACAGTCCCTGTCAGATATGGATATCATCCAATAGTGCTGTTTTCAACCTTGACTGTAAGATCCTAGTGACATTGGATATCAGAAATGACGACAAGTGTCAAAACAGGCAAAATCTAATGCTTCTATTCTGACAAATGTAGCCCAGTGGCCTCAGGGCTTTGTTTTCTGTGGGAAGACAAAACCTTATGCCCATGGCATCTTTTTGGCCATTTCTACTATGGGACCTGGGAGCAGAGAAGCTTCTGGGAAAGTGCTGGTCACCTTGCAGGGCAAGACTGGCTGACCTGCTTGTTACTTCTAGCTTTGAAGTGATGGAGCCGGGGTGGAGGAAATGGAAAGATCAGGGGGCCAGGGTGGCAGGTTGTAGCAGATTACAAAATTGGACTGGATTCTTTACTTCTATGTAGGAGTATTCCACAACCACACCTGACATGGTTTTGTGGTATACAAGGGATATCTCCCTGCCTTTTGACTTCAGGCTTAGCTGTGTAACTTGCTTTGGACAATGAGATGTTCACAGTTGTGATGTAAGCAGAAGATTGAATGTTATTGAACAGTTGAGCTCTCTCTGTTGTACTTCTGCCATTGCTAGGAAAAGCATGTGCTCTGTGTAGCCACTGCCCTTTTGGTCTAGACCCCAAAAGGAGACACGTGGAAGACAGCAATCCCAGCTGAGCCTAAAACACAACTGAACCCCAACTGACCCACAGACCTGCAAGCAAGAAAAATTAATATGTGTTGTAAGGCACTGATTTTTAAAAAAATTTAATAATTTTTAGTTCCAAGATACATGTGCAGGACATGCAGGTTTGTTACATAGGTAAACATGTGCCATGGTGGTTTGCTGCACCTATCAACTCATCATGTAGGTATTAAGCCTGCATGCATTTGGTATTTTCCTGATGCTTTCCCTTCCTTCCATCTGACAGGCCCCAGTGTGTGTTTTTCCCCTCCCTATGTCTGTGTGTTCTCACTGTTCAGCTCCCACTTATAAGTGAGAACATGTGGTGTTTGGTCTTCTGTTTCTGTGTTAGTTTGTTGAGGATAATGGCTTCCAGCTCCATCCACGTCTCTGCAAAGGACATGATCTCATTCCTTTTTATGGCTGCATAGTATTCTACAGTGTATATGTACCACATTTTCTTTATCCAGTCTATCACTGATGGGCATTTGGGTTGATTCCATGTCTTTGCTGTTGCGAATAGAAGGCACTGATATTTTCAGGTTGTTTGTTATGCAGCATTATGTGTCAATAGCCAATACAAAGGTGAAAGCTTGTATGTGTGTGGGGTCATGTTGGATAGAAGGTTCCAGTTTCTTTCTTAGGATTCCGGCCAGACCCGATAGCTCTCAACCAGCTGCTTCTTGATCTCTCTGGCTACCCTGGTGGTCTTCAATGCTCTGCTTCTCCAAGGAGTTTATGGAACATGGGCCTAGTCAAGCCTGTTCCAAGTCATCAAGTATGGTAAGTTGTTGCATTAATGTCCCCCAATAAATTATGTCTCCTCTGTCAATGCCCTTGTGCAATCCCTTCCTAGGTTGACTCTGACCTGACCTTGGCTGTGTGACTTGCCTTAGCCAGCAGATAGTAAATGTGCGATGTTGTCTTAAGTTCATGTGCATTGGGCTTGTGTTCTTTTGCTGCTGGAAGCTCATCTGCTGTTTTGTGGAAAAACCAGGCTTAGCCTCCTTGAGGATGAGAGGCTATGTGGAGAGAGGTCCCAGTCATCTCAGCAGTCCCAGACATGAGCGAGGCTGTTCTAGACCATCTGGTTCTAGTCAAGCTACCTAGACCAGAACTGGAGGCCACCCACAGAATTATGAGGACTAGTATGTGTTTGTTAAGCTACTACATTTTGAGGTGATTGGTTATGCAGCAAATGCTAACTTATACACCTAGGCAAAACACAGTTTGGAAAATCAGTGAGGCATCATTCATGCATGAACACATACTTACTAAGATCTTACTAAGTTCTAGACATTGTGCTTTGGGTTGGGCTTGAGATCTCCAGCTAGGAGACAAGTTTTGCTCTCCAAATGCAGAACTGGAGGCAGATGGCATTGCAAGAACTTTGTCTAAAGTACAACCAGGGCGAGGTCGACGCATGGTGGACATTGGCACAGCAGAGAGCAAGGTATGTAAGGCAGAGAAAGGCAAGCCAAGGAAACACTGATTACCACCAAGGCAGAGGGCTGAGGTTCAGGTACAAATTAGGCTGACTTTGAGGGCAGCAGCAAGTGAGGAAGACACAAGGCCCTAGAACTTGGGAGATGCCTTCTCCAGGCAGGAACTCTTGCTCCTTAACTGCTAGAACAGAATGAAAGTCATTCCTGACATCTGTTGGACACCCTCATATGTGGTTTCTCCTTTGATTCTCATGACCCTGTGAGCAGGTGGTCCAGATATTTTTAGCTCCACTCTACCAAAGTGGAGCTGAGGTAGAATGACTTGCCTAGGATCACACACCACTAAGAGGCAAAGCTGGTACTCTGCCTGAGTCAGGGCCTACTTTGTATACCTGTCCACTGCAGTGAAAATCTTTCAGGACCAAGTGCTCAGCATTGGTCCCCCAATAGTCCTGGAAGATCTGGACAATGCAGGACCTAGGGGGGAATAAGTAGTGTCAGTGTCGCCCAGGGCCAGGATTCAGGGTCAAGGGAGTTGGTTGGGTCCCAAGGACCCCGGAAGGAGAGATTGTGCAGTGAGTAGGGAAGACATTAACCAGTTAGTGACCAAACCAACATCCCTACTGCCTACTTACCCAACCATCAGCCAACCATTCATTCCCCCATCCACCTATTCACCCATCCACCCATCCAATCATTCACCCAGCCAGTCAACTACCCATCCACCTGTTAACCAACTACCCACTCATCCATCCAATTAAGCAACTATTCAATCAATCAACCATTCAAACAACTAACCAGTCAGCCAATCTGCCAGCAGATAGCTGAGCATCTAAGTATTTAAGTATTCAAGTATTCGTTAAATCCTGCCATGGGCAATGCTTGGTGCTAGAAATAAGGGACATATAAAAGTGAGACTGAGTCTCACTCTACTCCTTTTATTCCTTCACCCTCCATATCTATTCCATCAGCAAGTAGTTAAACACATCTACCTTCTAACATACATTTCACATTTGATCCCTTCCATCCATCTCCACTGCTTCCTTCCAAGTCCAAACCTCCACCATCTTTCCTTGGCTCCCGAAGTAGCCTTTTGTCTGGTGCTTCACATTCCACTCCTGCATTTTGATGGTGCAATGGGTCACCTCCCTGTCCTGCCTAAGGCCTTCCAGTGGTTTTCTTATCACAGAAATAACCCAGGCAGCCGGGCCCGGTAGCTCACACCTGTAATTTCAGCACCTTGGGAGGCCGAGGCAGGTGGATCACCTGAGGTCAGGAGCTTGAGACCAGCCTGGCCAATATGGTGAAATCCCATCTCTACTAAAAATACAAAAATTAGTGGAGCGTGATGGTGCATGCCTGTAATCCCAGCTATTTGGGAAGCTGAGGCAGGAGCATCGCTTGAACCCAGGAGGTGGAGGTTGTGGTGAGCCAAGATTGTGCTATTGCACTCCAGCCTGGGCAACAAGAGTGAAACTCCATCTCAAAAAAAAAAAAGAAAAAGAAAAAGAAAGAAATAAACCCAGGCTTCTCATCAGGGCTTCCACGGCCTTCCAAGATGGCTGCATTGGAGATACCTCCAGTCTCCCTTTCTCCCACACCTTCCCCTCTTTACCCCAACCCACCTTTGCCAGGCTTCTTTCTATTACTCACACCCGCAAGTTTGTTCCTGTCTTGGTCTTCTCACCTGCTTTGCATTCTGAAATGGTCTATTCTCAGATCTCAACACAGCCACTGCCTCTTCAAGAGGCCAGCCTCCATTCAGGTTATCACCTCGGCAGAGAGGCCTTCCCCAAGCACCTGCTCTTATGGCCACTCCGGTCACTCTCTTACCATCCTGTTTCATGCTCTGAACAGCATATATCATTCTTGAGTTTATTTCCTATGTGTTTACTTGGTTGGTTGTCTGTATCTACCTTTAGAATCAGCTGGGAAGAGCAAGGGCCTTGCCTGTCTCACTTACCACAGTACCTCTGGGGCCTAGAACCATGGCTAGCTCATCGCAGGCCCTCAGGGAATGGCCATTATTGATATTATGGCCACCATCTGCTTTCTCCTCCCTGCCTTTTTCCTTTTGTCCCAGAATGCACTGGTAAGTGCTATTCCACTGCAGGGCATCCTTGCTCTTTCTGAGACAAGGTGTAGTCTGCGCTTTGCCATTTTCCTCTCTGCAGGCCCCCTGAGGGATGTACACCCAGACATGAGCCTGGGAGGGCATGTGCCGACCCACCTCATGTTCAGGCCCAGCCCTGGTGGGATTTTGGCACTTTGATGTGGTGGACTCACTGCCTACAGCACTGGCTCCCATCCCCACTGACGGCCTCAAGGCTTGGTGATCTGACTCCGAACAGCAGTGACCCTGAGTTCTAACTTGGAGAGCCCTGTGACCACAAGACCTAATGGCCCCAGGCTGCAGAGATGTGGAAATCCTTGGGTCTGCTTTTGATGACTTTCTGTTATGCTGTCAATTGTCATCACTTGTTGCCATCAAGTCTCCCCTTCAATATACTGCTTCTAATCACACTGATTTCTCTTGTAGTAAAATGGGAATAAACAGCTGCTGCTTCTGTGATATCAGGCATTCGGTCCATAGACACCGTTGGGGTCTCTCCTGTGCACACTGTGTATGGGGAAATGAGAGATATCCAACACCACAGAAGGTCTGTGCCCTTAGGACCCTGCCATTAAGTGGTGGTAATAAGATAGAAGCATCCACAAAGAGTGACCAGAGGGGCCAATTGGGAAAAGCTCTCTAGGGGGTCAGATGGACCTAGAGAGGAACCTTGGAAGTTGGCACCTTCTAACCCAGAATGGGGAAGAATTCATTGTTGGAGAAAGTTGGAGGTGATTTTGGGGTCCTGCCTTGTTGCTGGGGAGATGTGGCTCATAAACCAGCAGTTGAGGCAGACTGGGATAGGAGTTTTCTGGCAATAGCCCTGCCCTCTCCATGTCCCAACTCAGGGTCCAGCAAGTCCCCATCAGTGCGGTCTATGGATTAGAGTCAAATCTGATTCTCAGTCCCTGGCCATGGTGGCGTCTCTGCATCACCATGATGCAAACATTTGTATAGAGTCTACCTTGTGTGCAGGCCACTGTGCCCTGAGCACAAAGATGGCAGGATGTGGCTTGGGATCCTATATACTTAGTGTGAGTTCTGCTCTGCCCCTTCCTGGGTGTTTGTGAGGTTTAAAATATAATGTCTTTTGAATAGTTAATACCTTTACATGGTTTAATACTTCAAGGTACATCTGATGAAATTCTTATCAACTTTGTCCCCAGATGTCCAGCCCTCCTGCCTAGAAGGTGCTTGCAAGAAGAAGTAACCACTCTCCTTGGTATCTTATTTCAGGGATTAAAAGTATTTCAGGGATTGAAATATATATGCAAGCAAATATGAATATGGAGTCTCATTTCTCCCTTTCGCATAAAAGGTAATACATTAGATACTCTGTAATTTTCTCTCTTCAGAATATATCTTGGAGATCTTTCCATTTCTATTCAGAGAGTCCTGGCTTATTTGTTTGTTTGTTTCATAGCTACATGGTATTTTCACTCTATGGCAGATCATTTATATACATATTTTAAACATTTTCCTGCTGTTGTGGACATTTGAGTTGCTTGACTACAAGGTTTGGCCATGGCCTCATTCATAGTGAGAGCCTCCTTCTTGGCAGGTGGCCTGCAGTCATGGGAGGCTAGCCACAGCCCCTAGGGAACCATTAGAGTAAATAGGACTAGGACCAGCCCTGGGGACTCTGTCTCCACTCAGGGAAGCAGTCATGAGACCCTACCAGTGGTTGGAAACTCATGCTTCAAAGGCAAAAAAAGAAGAATCTGCCTTTGTTTCACAGATGGGGAAGATGTGACCTGGGTGAGTCTTGAATTTTTGGGTCCACCTGGAGGCTGGTAGTGGCAGCGGCCTAAGCTCAGAGCAGCTGCAAACACATGCCTGTCCCTCTGCTGCCCTAAGACCTGTGATGTGCTTGGAGGAGAGTGTAGAGCAGTAGATCTAAGTTGTGGGTGGGTGGTGGGGTGCTTTGGGTAAAACCTCTTATTGCTAAAATCTCATCTTTAGTAGGATGAGTAGAATTGAGTGGAATTCTCTAATTTTTTTTTAAACTCCTAGGGTTGCAGGGCAGAGGCGACACTATCTGGCAGCTAAACTCATAAATTCATCGTTAGTCATTGAACATCTTTATGACTGGCTAATGGGGGGTGGGGCAAATGGGAGTTCTGGACTGAGTAGGGGGGTCTTGCCAAAGAGACATGTGAGGCATGGGAAGGCTGTCTGTCCTTCTTTCCCAGAGTCAGCACAATGTAGGAGAAAAGCGTGTTATGGAGGTCAGCCCATGCTCCTAGGAAGGTGAAGGCATTCAAAAAACTAGCAGAGAAACTGGTGGGGGTGGAGATTCTGCCTGCATTCTTGACACAGTCCTGGGAGGATCAGGGTCTTGGTGATCATGTAGACCTAGTTTTTAAATCCTGGTGCAGCCATTTACAACTTAAATGGCTTTGAGTAACTGGCAACTCTCAGTGGGGATGCTAATACCTACTGCATTAGTAAGGGTTCTCTAGAGAGACGAACTAATAGGATAGATGTATATATGAAAGGGAGTTTGTTAAGGAGAAATGACTCACACAATCACAAGGTAGAGTCCCGCAATAGGTCGTCTGCAAGTTGAGGAGCAAGGAAGCCACTGGTGGATGAGTCCGAGTCCCAAAGCCTCAAAGATAGGAAAGCCGACAGTACAGCCTTTATTCTGTGGCCAAAGGCCTAAAGAGCCCTGGCAAACCACTGGTCCAAGAGTTCAAAAGTTGAAGAACTTAAAGTCTAATGTTTGAGGGCAGGAAGCATCCAGCATGGGAGAAAGATGAAAGCAGGAACACTCAGAAAGTCTGCTCTTCCATCTTCTGCCTGCTTTTATTCTAGCCACACTGGCAGCTGATTAGATGGTGCCCACCCAGATTGAGGGTGGGTCTGCCTCTCCCAGTCCGCCGACTCAAATATTAATCTTCTTTGGCAACACCCTCACAGACATACCCAGGAATAATACTTTGCATCCTTCAATCCAATCAAGTTGACACTCAATATTAGCCATCACACCTACCTCACAGGATTTTATGAAAGTTAAATGAGGGGTGGATACGAACACCCAGCATAGTTGGACATTCAATACATACTAGCATTTTTCATCCCTTCTTGCCTACAATGACGAAACACAGCTTATTCATCTTTCCTTCTTTCCCTTGTCTTCTCTGCCTATGAACCATACACATTTTACATAAGTACTTTGTAATTCTGAAGCTAGGAAATTGAGCAAAAAAGCTCTGAAAACCTGTTATTTCTATGTAGGTAGAGTATGTGTGTAACAAGGGGTTGGGTGGAGAAGAGTTTAACTTCCCCAGTTCTAGTAGCAAATACACTATATGCACTGTTACCTGTTCTCCTCTTTGTATCTCAGATGATTTATTTTAAGGTCTGCTATAAAAGCAAGACATTGCTTAATTGTCTTGCTATAAAATATGTAAAATATTACACTACTGGGGCTCATTAGCTAAAGCAGTGCTGCTGTTTAGTAATCCATAAGGTGATACTGATTAATGAACACTGCAAATGATTCTCCTAACTACCTAAGGAGTAATAATAGATATGTCAGCTCGAACAAACAAGTCTCTTGTCCCTGGGGGGTGTGAAGACACTGGATCATAATTAGACAGAGGTGCAGAGCAGACACTTGTAGTTTTGTGGATAGGACTCTCCGTATGCATCTCTGGCATCACTTCCGGGTCTGCAGAGGTGGAGCCCCACTTCTGTCCGCATCCTTGTTTAGGGGAAGGATAGTTCCCTGCTCACAGTGGAAGTGGCCACAGGATCTTACTGAGAGTCAAAGTTCTGTTCTTCATGTGTGGGGCAGTCGGGATCCTGATTTAGAGGCCTTTTGGGCAGTGTGGGGTTTTCAGTGGCGCTCTCGATCCCTTGAGGCTACAGCTGAAGCTCATTCTTATTATCCACCCCATGGTTCTGAAATAAAGCAGAGAGTAGACCTGAGGGTTGGAGAAGGGAATATTCTTAGACAGTGGTGTGTTAAAAGCCACTTGGTTATTGGAAAACAGTATCGTGGTTCTTAAAAAAAAAACCTAAACATAGAATTACCATATGATCCAGCAATTCACTTCTGGGTATATGTCCAAAGGAATCGAAAACAGGGTCTCAAACAGATATTTGTACAGTTATGTTTATAGCAGCAGCTATACTGTTGATTGTCCCACAGTAGTCTCTTAACAGCAACAGGTTCCTCATCTAAAATAATGGGACTTGCCTTGTAGGGTCATTTAAGAATTAAATGAGATAATGTGAATAAAATGCTTAGTATTTGCCTGAAACATGACAAGTGTATAGCAAATATTGGTCATCATTGTAATTGAAAATGGGTATCATTAATGGCAGGAGAGTACACTCTTACAACTGTAAACTGTAATATTTATCTTCTTTGTTTGTTTATGAGACAGAGTCTTGCTGTTGTCCAGGGGAGCTGGAGTGCAGTGGCATGATCATGGCTCACTGCAGCTTCAACCTCCTGGGCTCAAGTGATCCTTCTACCTAAGCCTCCTGAATAGTTGGGACTACAGGCATATGTGCCACCTTCCCTGGCTAATTTTTTATTTTTATTTTTTGTAGAGATGGAATCTGCTTATGTTACCCAGGCTGGTCTCTAACTCCTAGACTAAAGTGATCCTCCTGTCTTGGCCTCCCAAAGTACTGGGATTACAGACATGTCCCCGGCCACATTTATCTTAATTCATAAGCTCAGGGGGCAGAAAACAAGAATCTATGAATTCATACTCCTGAGATAAATAAATAAAGGGAGGAAGCATTTCAATACAGTAGCTTTCAAATGATGGATGAAGAAAGAACGATGGGGTTGAACATTGGCATCCACTACAGTAATACTTGTTTCAGGCCAGATTCATCCATGGAGGCTAACATCATTGGTTGAAATTGTGATAAGATATGAGATATTTACCTAACTTCAATGTCACTCTCCAAAAGATACTTATGAATGACAGAAGGGAAAAGGTAACACCGTGGAAAAACCTGACAGACACCACATGAACCAAGATCAGAGCTAACATCCCCAGTTAACAGGGACAAATCAACACCGCGTAGTGTGATGCTCTGAGAAGGCATAACATCCCTGCTGGTGCTATGGTGTTCCTGCTAAAAATCCCTAACTTGAATTTGATCATGAGAAACATTATACACACTCAACTGAGGGACATTTTACAAAATAACTGCTTTTACTTTTCAAAATAATCAAGACCATGAAAGACAAAGGAAAAACAGAAGATCATTCCAGCTTCAGGCAGACTAAAGAGATGTGACAAATAAATGAAACATGCCATCCTGGAATGGATTCTGGACCAGGAAAAGAACATTAGTGGGACAGTTGGTGAAATCTGAGTAAGATTAGATGATGCTATTTTATCAAGGTCAATTTCCTGATTTCAATAATTGCACTGTGGTTATGTAAGAGAGTGTCCTTGTTTTTAGGAAATATACTCTATAAAATATTTAGAGATTAAAAAAACATGATGGCTCTGCCTTACTCTCAAATTTTTCAGGAAACAAATTGAACTTATACACACCTATGTTTGTATATATGAGAGAGAAAATGATGTGCACAGGGGACAAAATGTTAAGGTTTGGGGAAGCTGGTATATAGAAGGTGGATGGGAATCCTTTGTGCTACTCCTTCAAATTTTTGTAAGTCTGAAACTATTCCAAAAGAATAAGTTAAAAATGAGCATTATTCTACAATATACATATTGTATATTGTATATACATAAAAAACATATATATATTTGTTTTTTAACCACTTGTCTCATTTAATGAATTTATTCCTTAAGGCCACCATGGGAAGTTGGGAGGTAAGTGTTATTATTTTCTTGATTTTTCAGATGAGCAAATGGGGTCTCAGTAGGATTGAGTAGCTTGCCCAAGTCCGAGGGCTAGTAAATGGCAGAGTAAAGATTTGGTTACAGGTAGGTTCACACCAGTGCCTGCGTGCTTCAACAGTGTAACAAATATTTATTGAGTGTGTATTAGGTTCTAACTACTTTTTACATAATGCTTTATTTAACTCTCACTGTAACCTTTTGCAGCAGGTATTTTCATCCTGGTTTTATGGATGGGGGTGTGGCTGCTCAAAGAGGTTAAAGGATGGACCTACAACATCCTATGGCTAAGAAATGGCAGCTCCAGAATTTCCTCTCAGGTTCCCCTGAAGCCAAAGAGTGTCTCTCCACTGTGCCCTGTGTTCCAGTTCAGGTCCAGGCTGGGGACCATCAACAGAGTATTGAGATCCTGGCCCACATCAGGCTAGCGGGTGTGCTGCCCCCCTTGCTTTTGACAGTATCTGTCACAACCACAGGCCTCCCCTTCCAAAGCAGGGCAACAAAGTTGCATTGCAGTGTGCATGATCATTTGACAGGGAGCCACACCGCCATTGTGGTTGGAAAATCCAGAGACTCCTGGGGAAATTGTAGAGAATGCCGTCCACATGATGATCTGATTATATGCATCACCATCAGCACGACTTCGTGCTTGGCTCTTAATACATCCTTAGTGGGAGTGGGCCAGGGAGGGGGACCCTCTTCCCCCAGGAGCATTTTTCACTTGTGGCCTGTGGGACTGGGGCACAGAGACTATCAAGAGAATGTGTGGGATTTATCCACAGTCCCCAGGCCTGCCTCCCTCCCTGACGGGTGGCTGCGAACAGGTTTTGCTTACAATTTTGGCAAGACAGTTTGATCATGAGTTGGGTATAAAAATATTAAGGGGAGGACAATGACTCATCATTGGGGAATGAGAGGGAACAAATGCGATGTAATGTGGGTTTAGCAGGTGGTCACTATGATGTGAAAGAAACTTGATCCTCAGAGGGAGAGGTTCGGGGGGACTATTAATTCCTTTAAGCAAGTTGTAGATGTCCTTCTGATATTTTCTTAGATTAAAAATACGTATGATGTTCATACATGTGGGCCTTGGAATAGACAAACAAATCAGCTTCCAAAACAATCTTAGACTATTCACACTAGCTGGAGCCCATGAATGATGGATGGGGCTTAGTACCCACACCCTGGCCAAGGAAACTGAGGTTGAGGAAGCCGCATCAGACCTGACTCCTAGCCCAGTGCGCTCCACCCCAAATTCTCTGCCCCTGAGCTCCCCACTGAAGACATTATCCCCACTTCCAAGGCTGCCTGCATTCCCCAGGCTGTTTTGCATTAGACTTTCTCTAGGTCAGTGATATTTAAACTGCTTTGATTGTAACCCACAGCAAGATAGACACACACATTGGATCAGTGGTGGTCAAGGTCCCAGCAGGTTACAGAGTTCTCTCAAATGGTTCAAATAAAGGGATTTTATTGAAGGGATATTGACAGAGGTGCGGGCTGGGTTGAGGAAACAAACAATACCTATTGAGGCACCCGAAGTCTAGCAATGATGGGAAGCTGTTACCACCCTTAGGGCTGAAGGGACGAGATGAAGGATGGTGTAACTGGGGCCCACTGAGAGCTGAAGCCATGGCAGGAGCTGCAGGCCTGGGAGGAACAGCCTTTATCGGGGGTGTTGTGCTGAGGCCAGGAGGGATTGGGGAAAAACAGTCTCGTGATCTCAAACAGGGATATCCACTGGGCAAACCCAACCAACCAAAGAGCCAAGGAGATGGCATTTGAAGGGGTCAGCCTGTAGCTGCCCAGAACATCGCAGAGAAGGGTGCAAAATGAACAGTGAGTGGGGTGTGGCCAAATGGACAGTGTCCAGCCCATGCACACACAGACACCATTCACCCATGCAGTGCCCCTGCATGAGGAAAGGGGTGCCTCTGCTGGGGAGACCCAGCCCTGTTAGCACACAGCTTGGAAAGAGGTGCCCTTTGCTCTTGGGGATGTGGCTGCCTCTCAGAATGTAGGAGCTGGTGAGTGAAGATTGGGCTGGATTTCTGGATTGGGCTGAAGCATGAAGGCCAACCTGGCAATCATTCCCCACAGCCCCGCACACATATGTGCAAAACTGAAATAAAATGTCCTGAAACAAAACTTACCCTTGCTGCTTGCCTTGATCTAGTTTTTTTTCACCCATTCTATTCTATTCCTTCATTAAAAAATGTAGATTTTGACCCAATTAATAGATGACCATTGTGGTTTAAAAACACTGCTCCAGATTGCGGAGCTCTCAGAGCCCAATAACCAGGCATAGTGTTGTTTGGAGGGTCCGGGATGAACTTCAGCTTGGCGCCGCTCACCCACTAGGTCCAGAATTCTCAGGGGGTTGGGGAGGAGCTAGGCTGCCTGCAGGGTGGGAGCCTGTGAGGTATTATTCTGGTTTTGCTGTTAGAAGGTTTGGTGTCAAATCTTGCCTCTATCATACGTGACATTGGCTAGGTGATTCAACCTCTTAAACCCTCAGCATTCTCATCTGTAAAATGGGATAACTACCTACCTCTTAGATTTAGGACAGCGTTAAATTAAACTAGACAAGGTCAGTAACACACATGGAATGTGTACATGCTCAAAAAATATTGTAGCAGTTAGTATTACATCTCCCATCTCAGGGAACAGTGGGCAGATATTAATAACTTGGGGGTTGCCTGGTCTGGAGAGAGAGTCAGCTACCAGCTTCTGCTTTTCCTATCTGTGAACTAAGTAGGTCAAGGATCAGCTTCTATGTGCCACAGGGCATTCGGAGGATGGGTGAGGCCCCAGATAGTCACTAGGCATGTACAGCGACCTCCTGTTAACCCAGAATCCAGACTGGAAAGTCCGAATACTCGAAATTTTTTTCTGCACTTTGCTTTTATGAGGGAGAGATACACACAGATAAAGGAGCCAAGAGCAGGGATTTGTTCAAGAGAGCAATTTCCTGGGCAGGTCTTAGACTGAGTACAGATTCTGCCGTGTATTGCAGTCCTCCTGCTTCTACAATCACAATAAAGCCTCTCTTACCAGCCCCCGGCCACAGTTCAGCACAGCGTTGGCAGAATCTGTAGTGGTAGCTGGAACTGTCACCAGCTCCACTTTTAAGAGAGGACAGTGTGTCACTCTTTCCCGACACTTTGCCTGGGCCAGTTTGGTTTTCCAGGTCTTACCTTAGAACTCCTTTTCCAGAAAGCCTTCTGTTACCATCCCAGGCTAAGTTAGTTCTGCCTCTGTGCATCCACAGGAACCCATGCTGACTTCTCTCTTAGGTAGCCTGTCCCACACTTAGGGAAATTCTCCACTTGCTCATGGAGCCTTAGGATGGGGCTGTGGGCTACAAAGGGCAGGGCCTGTCTGATTCATCTTCCTGGCCCTAACCCCAAGGAAGGAGCTTTGTGTAGGGTGAATGCTTAGTCCATGCTTATGGAATGAATGGAGTGTAAACATTCAAATAAATAGTTGGTCAATATCATGTTATTTACCCCCATTTGTTGTGTGCTGATGACATTTTGAGAAGGCTACTTAAAACCAAATGCAAACCCAGATCAAATCCCTTCCACCCAAACTTGTCATTTTGTGTAAGGGGATCGTCAGTCAAAATAACTTTTATGGATGAAAAAAACAGAGCACTATAATTCCACACTTGTGTTTTTGTTGTTGTTTTTTTGTTTTGGACAGGATCTCACTCTGTTGCCTGTGCTGGAGAACAATGGTGCGATTTTGGCTCACTGCAATCTCGACCTCCTGGGCTCAGGTGATCCTCCCACCTCAGCCTCCTGAGTAGCTGAGACTACAGGTGTGCACCACCACACCTGGCTAGTTTTTGTATCTTTTGTAGAGGCAGGGTTTCACCAATGTTGCCCAGGCTGATCTTGAACTCCTGGACTCAAGCTATTCTCGTGCCTTGGCCTCCCAAAATTTTAGGATTACAGGCATGAGCCACTGTACCTGGCCCACACTGGTTTTTGTTCTTAGCATCTTATTATCTTAGAGTTTGTGGATTCTCCCTCCCATGCTGACCCCTAAGCCACTGGGACTCACTCACTGGCTTACTCCCTTCCCAAATAAAAATAGCTTCATTCTGATCACCAAAGGAATATATACTTATCATAAAGAATCAGAAAGTATAGGAAAAAAGTCAAGGAAGAAAGTAAAAACTACCTGAAACCTGCTCCTGAGAGATAACCCCTACCACCAGAGTTGAGTGTGTTCTTCTAGAATTTTCCTGGTTTATGAAAACACACATATACACACTCAAAAATGTATGTTAGCGCTACATTCATAGCACTTTGTAATGTGCTTTGCCAGTTATTACCACACTGTGGACATGTTTTCATGTCAATATATTTAGTCCTGAGTCATGTCATTATATTTAAAAGCTTCTTCATGTTCTATTCATAATGCAGCTTTGCCACACAGCTCCTCATTATTGGACATGTAAGTTGTTTCCACTCCGTTTGCTGTTGAGAACAATACAAGCACTTGCTTGGGCTATAACTAAGACCACAGCAACATGGTACCCAAAGCTCTGGGTGGGTAATGCTATCTCTTATCCTAGAAGAGGCTTGACAATATGATTGGCGGTTTATTCCCCCACTAAATAGACTAATTAGTGTGTCAACAGCCTTGGAGTGAGAAAGCCTGTTTTCTCTTCTGCCAAGATGATAGTAACCTTGTCAGAAGGAAGAGGGAGTCTTTTGGAGGAAGGCTGGGTGTTTTTTCAAGTTTTTGAGAGAAGCAACAGCAGCTCTCTCTGGCTGCATGAGTGCAGGGAGGAGAGTAGTTTTCCCTGCGGCCAGCACGCCCATGTTAGGGGCTGAAGCCCTTCCTCTACAAGTACACAGATGCGTGTTTTACTCTCTGGCATGACAACCTACTAGGGAAATACAGACAGAAAGCCCTAGAGAGCTCGATAAAACAACATAAACATGCCTATGTCTAGAAGGTGAGAATTAAGACCAAGACCTGAAAATCTTCGATCAACTTTCTTCCTTTTCATGGAAAAGTGTTTTATTCCGATAGCCGTAATCAAATGCAAAAGTGTGCGCCATGATATAAAGGCACTTAAATTTGTGAGCTCCAAGAAAAATCCTGGTGATGTAACTTGATTCTGTTGACAAATTAACCTAATGAGAATAGTTTCCTACTACGAATTCATTAAGCAAAAATGTGCAAAGATGGTATTTGCAGCCTGTTAACCCTTAATTGGCTCAACACTGAAAACACTTAATTGTGACATGTGTCACCAAAATCCCTAACGTAGTTAATCGCTTTTAGACTCACAAAATGATACACTTTACATGATGATCTTTAATTAAAAATTATTTGGGATAATCTTCAGCCCATGCTTTAAAATGAGCAGCTTTAGTACACTTGAGAAAATGTGGGTGGGGGGAAGGGGAAGGCAACAGAATCAGGAGTGTTGCTTTTTGCTTATAACCCAACTTCTACATGTGGGAAATGTGGAACGAAGAGTCAGGCTGTTTTGAAATAGGCTTCACATACTTCAGACTGGTATGGTAGAAAGTGATGGACACAAACAGGGAGAGGCCCTGCCATTTGATGGCTGTATGATCTCGGATAGAGCACACTTCTCTCTGGGACTGAGGGTCATGATCAGTAAAATGTGGTGAATTGGATTAGGTTGGATTTGGAAAAGTCTAGTGTACACACTAAGAGAAAGATGAAAAGAAATATTTTCAGGTATCATCGGCTCAACCAAAATTCAGGACACAATTGTGAAGCTTCTCACTCTATGGGTGGATGAGCAAATGTGCAGTAGACTCTAAAATGGGCTATGGAAATTTACAAAAAATCCAAACAACAAAAAAGGTGGGGCTCAATTAGATTTTTCTTTCCGGCTCCTGACACATCTGCCTTTGGAGCACTCACTGGCACAGACAGCTAATTACCTTCTTTTCCTTGGTGGTTCCAGTAGGTGGGGGGGAAAGTTTTCATTCTAACCAACAAGCCCCATATTGCAAAGAAAATAGTTTTTCTGTGTTAAGAGAAAAAAAACGCAAATTCTGGAGTTGTGCTAATCTTCCTTACACCCTCTATAGCTTGAAAAATTCATTTCAGAATGCATATCCAAATTATAGTAGCATCTTTTGGCTCCCTGGTGACCCAACACCACGTACACAATTTTAATGATCTATATTCTAAGGTGGTTGAACAGTGGTCTCTCCCAAGAGACTTGGAAGTCTCTGAGGCATGTGTTCAAAAAACACAGCTGGTGGCAGGCCTTGAAATCCCAGTGGGGTGAGCATGGAGCCTGGAGCCTAGGTAGGGGAGGGGAGGAGGCTGATGCACTGACCATGTCTACACAGACTTGGTGCCGACTCAGCAACATGGCGGCATCCGGCACGAACCGTAGTGAAAGGGGTGTAATGGGAAGAGGGCGAATATGGAGTAGAGTGGGGCTGAGGTGCCAGAGGTATCATTCAAAGAGAAATTGAGTTCTCTTTTTCCCTTGCTGTGACCATAGACTAGAATCAAAGACTGTCAGCTTCTCTAGGTGAGGCTCTGCTCATGTTAGGTCAAGTTTATGCTAGGAGACAACAGAGCCATCCATCCACTTCCCTCCCTTCTCCTTCTCCTCCTCCCTCCCAGCTAAAGGGCTCTATAGAAACTGACCACAGTTGATCACTGGCTGGCTCTGGGGTTACTGAGGCCTGCTCTTTATGGGGCTCTAGGTTCATCAACCTCTACTGCTTGCTTTGCTCTGCCCTGGATTGCTCTCCTTGTCAATAGGGTGGATTCTGTGTCTCTTGGGCTTACTATTGTCTTGGACTGAGCTATTTTTCTGGGACTACTCCTGGCTGGGGCAAACACTGTGGCTGTGGGTGAGAGGAACGCACTTCCACCACTGCAGGGGTTCCCTGAGGCTGTGTCTGTCTTCCTTGCCAGTGAGGGGTAAGATGGGACACCATAGGACCTCACTGGAGGGACACAAAGCATGGTCCCTGAACTCATGGGCTTCAAGGCTGATGGGGGAAGGATCATGATGCCCGTAAACCAGACGGGGTATGGCACGGGTCCTGGGAGGAGGAACATCGAAGAAAGTCAGAGGGCAGTCTTTTCCAAAAATCAGAACAACCCTCCTTCTTTATTTTTTCTTTTTTTCTTTTGTCCCAAATGAAACTATGTAACCAAGCAAATCGGATCAAAGCTAAAGGCAGATCTTCTCTAGTTGAAGTGAGAGATGGGAGTCTCCAGAGAACATTTAAAAAGATTATCAGTTGTTCAATGAATACATGTGCCTTAAAAAATTAGAGCATTAAAAGATTAAGCTAAAATCCATTGGCCCTCCATTTCCAGGCCTGTTCCTGTTGTACCCTCCCCAGAGGTAACCAGTTACACATTGTTGGGGATTCCTCCAGACCCTTCAACCATGCTTATATTCAAATCTATGCCTACATACATAGCATTGCCTTGTGTGTGTTTTATATAAAAATTACCATACTGCAGGCAGGGTGTGGTGGCTCATGCCTCTAATCCCAGCACTTTGGGAGGCCAAGGCAGGAGGATCGCTTGAGCCTAGGAGTTCAAGACCAGCCTGGGCAACATAGGGAGACCCTATCTCTACGAAATACTTTTTTAAAAATGTTATCTGGGCATGGTGGCATACACCCGCAGTCCCAGCTACTCAGGAGGCAGAGGTGGGAGGATGGCTTGGGCCTGGGAGGTAGAGGCTGCAGTGAGCCATGATTGCATCACCGCACTCCAACCTGGGCAACAGAGTGAAACCCTGTCTCTCTCATACACACACAAATTTACCATACTGTAGCCCCACATATACCTGATTAATTCATTTCAGCTGCTGTATAGTATTCCACTATATGGATAATCCCCATTTTACAGAGCAGTCAGTCCCCTATTGATGGACACTTAGGTTACTTCCTATTTGTTCATGGTCATGAACAAAGCTTGCACCTGACTTTTTATACACAGATGAGTTTCTCTCCTGAGAAGAACCATTTTCCTGACAGCTTGGAAATTAATTATCCTGCTTATTTGGGCAAAGGAGAGTTCACTGGGGGAAGAGTAGAATATGATGGTGGGCTCTGCAGAGGAGCTGGGTTTGGATCAGGCCACAAAAGGGAAGCAAGGCTTTAAGTAGATGGAGAAAAGGGAAGGGGGTGGTTCTGGAGCAGGGAGAGGCAGAGATGTGGTCAGGGGCTATCCTGGAGGGCACAGGAGGTCTGCATCTGGTGCCAGGGTGGGCTAGTATGCCTGGAAGGGCATAGCTGTGAAGGGCATGCTGCTTTCTGGGGGTGTAGGGTGGGAGCAGGAATGGCAATGGGACAAGAGCAAGTCATTCAAAGGTGCCTGGAAAGAATGTTGGACCCAAATCTGCTTTTAATGAGGCACCTGAGTTTGCTTCTGCTTTAAAGGTACCTTGGAGGGAGTGATCTTGTGCAAACCCTCATCCTTGTCTCCCTGGTCCAGTAACCCAGGCCTTTCCTTTCTCTTGCCAACATGCTACCACTCAGCTGTTGTCCCTGCATGGCTGCAAGGAGCCAGCAGCTACATCATCGACCTCCCCAAGGGTTGGGAGTTGGTGGGTGAAGTCCATTCAGGTGCTCACAGCAACCTCAGGTGGCTTGGAGGGGGACGGAGCAGACCATCTTCCTCTGGGTCACCTAGGGTGAGTCTATCTCCCAGGCCCTGCGTGGAGCCTCCTTGCTTCATGGTGATGGCAATTGCAGCCGTCGCCTGCTCACAGATTTGCTGTGACACTGGCAGGGAAGGCCTCTGATGGACACCCACACTGCCTTGGGGAAGTTGGGGGGTGCCCTTCCAGATGGTGTGGGGAGTAATCACAGAAATGTGGACTCTGGGAGGGATGGAGAGGAAGAGGGGACGTGGAGCCAGGGAGGGCTGACGGCTTTCTTGAACTTCCCTTTCTGTGAGTGGGGACATCCCTCCCAAAGCTTCTCCTCGCCCCAGCACAATCATACCACAGGAGATCTAGAAAGTAGCTCCAACTGTGACTTGGTTTCCCTTTATGCCTTAGGACTGGCTCTCCATGTTCTCCGACACGTACCAAAGTGGGCCTGCAAATCTGTGTTCTTCTGGGTGAGGCTCTGAAGAACAATGGGGAGTGGGTGTGAGGGGTGGCTATGTGTGGAAGTCCCTTCCAGCATCTGCCGGTGCCCCTGCCAAGTGGCTCTCTCTTCAGGACCCCCTGTGGTCAGCACATGCTCCAGGCAAGAAGACAGACCCTCTGTTGCCCTCCAGGAGGGAACAGGGCCTGGGAGTGGAAGCAGCGTTAGAAAGTGTTGGAGATTGGGGTTGGCAAGGAAGCGAGGGTTGCACTGAGCAGGTCCTGAGTGCAGGGCTGAGGGGTCTCCACTGTTTCCTGGGAGCGGCAGAGCCACTGAAGTTTTCTGCATAAAAGCAGCAAAGTGATCTGCTACAACAGTGGGGGATAGACTGGGGGCAGAGGCCACTTGGAAGAGGTTGAGTTGTCCGGGTGTGAGGGATGAAGAGCTGAACTACAGCATGGTGGAGCAGTGGGGAGGGAAGGAAAAGATGCAGGAGAACTTCTGGAAGACCAGTAACTTTGCATCGGAAAGACCCACCCAATGGGACAGCTTGACCCAGCCCTGCCAGCTGCATTTTCTTTGGGAGAGCCTTCCTAATTAAGGTGACTTTTGTCAGGTGGATGTGTAATTAAAACAGCAGAACTTCTAACCTTTGAGGCCCTTAGCAGTCCCAGGTCAAAAATAATGGTCTGGTCCTCAGAGACAGTTAATGCCAAGGTAACTGGGAGAGAAGCCTTCTGAAACGGCAGGTTGTGCAGCATGCAGCCCAGCCTCCAGCCATGTCCCACATCTGCTGTGTGCCCTGGGGCAAGTAAACAACCTCTGTGAATTTGTGTTTTCTTACCAGCGAAATGGGACAGTGACAGTCCCAATCACCACGTTGTGCAGTGATGAACTAGGCTCAGCCCAGTGTGTGTTGAATGGGGGGCCTGGCACACGGTAAGCATCTGGTGAATGGCCATTGGGATTCATGTCAACCTGGCTGCGAGTCTTCTCAAAGACTCTTCCTTCTCCCAGTGTTCCCCAAGAGCCCTTCCTGATTTCAGATCAGTCTTTGCTCTTGGGATACCCTGAAGTTTCCTTTTCCCTGTTCTGATAACCAGCCCTGAATTTCCTCAAGGATCCTTCAAGACCTCTTGGAATTCAGGTGCTCACAGTTCTGGGGGACTCTCTGGCCAGGTGCCTTTTCTGAGGTCACCGCTTCATAAGGGTCCCTTGCTCACCTGTGAATTTCTCTTCCTTTTCCCTGGCCTGTCAGTGATATGGAAGGCAGAAATTTATCTGGAAGCTGGGGTGGGGTAGCCGTGTGCTTTTTTCTGTACTAGGAACCAGTAATTTCGTTGGTCAGATGCTGCTAAGTATTTAGACAATGGCTTTGCCAAAAGTGGTGACCAAAAGGGACTTATTAGCACTCCATCAATTAGCTTATAGCTCCGAATGCGATGCCCTCAAGTGTCCTCTGTGCTCTTATCATATTGGCTGAGTCTGGCATGAATGAGGTGGCCTGATGCCAAATGTTCAGTTGAGAATGGAGGGGACTAGCCTTTGGTGCCTCCGGGATGGAGGATATCAGAATGGGAAGAGGTTTGGGAGCATCTGGGGATTAAGGAGGCCAAGTTACTCACTGTCTGATAAAAAGCATCTTTGTGGACTGGGACCTAGGAGTTCTTGTAATGTGCCTGGTGGAGAGAGGGGAGGGTGCGTGGTTTTAAGGTTTTTCCCTTCGCCAAGAATGGAAATAAGACAGAGCACTGAAGTCTACTCAAAGACTGGTGGGGAATTTCTGGCAGAGTATTGAGCTACCCCTGTGACTTCAGAAGTCTTCAGGATGTTTTTTGTGTGTTGGGGGGGAAGCCAGCTCCTTCAGCGTATCCATTTGGGTTTGCATGTTTCCTTGGATTTATAGTAACTTGGATGGATATAGGTGGATCCAATTTGGGTCCAGGTGTCTGTGTGTCAATGACTGGAAGATTCTGTCTTAGGAATGTAGGAAGGGCTAGTGAGCATGGCATCACACATATGGGTTAAAAAGGAACATGCTGGTCAAGAATCGTGCCAACCAAGTCATAGATTTTAAGTATGGTGGGAAGCAACTGTAGATGATATAATTTTTTTTAACTTGGTTCAGAATCCATTTTACCTTCACTCTCCTATTCTCAATCCATTAGGTTTGAGTGGGTTGACATCACTCCCTCATCTAGAGCATTCTACTCCACTTTGGCCATGGTGAATGGTTCAGGGATAGGGCAGGTGACCCAAGCTCATCTGACGAGGCTGCATCCAGGGGTTTTTCTTGGTACTGTTGAGAACGAGGCACATTTTCTCTGCTAGAGGTTCTGGTTACCATGAAGCTTGAAGCTATTAGCAGTCAATGGGGGAGACTGAAAATGGAACAATCAGAAGGAAAAGAAGAGTGTAGATATGGAGAGAGGCAGATTCTCATGATGTTGTTTGTATACTTGGCTTCAGCCATTCTTGAAAGTCATCAAAAGTATCAGTTAAATAAGCCTACAAATACCTCATCTACCCTTTTTTATTGTTCTTATGTCCCTGGCACCCCAAAGAATACTGGCTAACTCAGGGTTTTAATTGCCTCTACTAATCCTGTCGCCTCTTCTTGGACACCTCTGTGGATGGGAATCTCATTTCTTTTGGATGTAGGAAGACCTAGAATTAAAACAGCACTCTTTCCCAAGCACGGGTTTGTGTGCCTCTCTCCTGGGAAGGAATTAGTTACCGCATTCAGTTCATCACCATCCGTTCTGTGAATTGTTTCTGTTACACTCAAACTTGATTGCACAGTAAGATGCTTTGTTGGGTACCTGGAAATGCCTGATATGGGGCAACATCCTGAAATTGGTTAGCAGGCATCTTGAGAGATAGGCAGCTGCAGGGAACAATCACCATCCAATCCCCAGGCTGGAGCTGTGAGCTCTTGACCAGCTAAATCAGGGGCATGAGGCTTTGGCTCCATCAGATTACTTTTCTTTCCTTCCTTTCCTTCTTTCCTTCTTTCTTTCCTTCTTTCCCTCTTCCTTCCTTCCTTCCTTCCTTCCTTTCTTTCTTTCTTGCTTGCTTGCTTGCTTGATGGAGTCTTGCTCTGTCACCAGGCTATAGTGCAGTGGTGCGGTCTCAGCTCACTGCAGCCTCCACCTCCCAGGTTCAAGCAATTCTCCTGCCTCAGCCTCCCGAGTAGCTCGGACTGTAGGTGCGCACCACCACGCCCGGCTAACTTTTTTGTATTTTTAATAGAGACGGGGTTTCACCATGTTGGCCAGGATGGTCTTGATCTTCTGACCTCGTTACCCACCCACCTCGGCCTCCCAAAGTTGTGGGATTACAGGTGTGAGCCACCACACCCGGCCCATCTTTGTTTCTTGTCAAATGATGAATTGTATTTCCTTAAAGATAACACCTGGCTCGACCCTGGTTGACATTTTCCTTGCCTGCTTGTTGGTATTTTGCATGCAAAGACCTCAACTTTGAGGAGTGCCTGGGGGCTGCTCAGACCGGTAGTCAGTGGAGTAGTTGCAACGGCGCTGCATGGAGCCATCTGAGCTCTTTCCTAGCCAATGAGGCACCAGTTTGTGAAAAGAGCTTAGAGGGTGCAAGGATGCAGGCTGCACTCATGCAGCAGGACAGAACAAGGCAGCCCCATCAGTTCCAGGCCCCACCAGCTTCAGCCGAGGCAGACTGTGAGGCAAAGCGGAGTTATGTGATTCTCCAGCAAGGACCATGGCATTTATGGATTTATATTGCCTTGCATAGTTGGGAAGTTCAAGGGGCAGACCAGACTTCAGGCCAACCAGATCCAGGGTTTAAACAATGTCACCAGGGCTCCTCTTTCTCCCTTGTCTCTGCTCTGCTTTCCTGAGTGTGTCCTCATTCTCAATGCAAGCCTCAGGCTTGTATCTTCCTCATGGCCAGTCCCAGAGAGGTACTGCCATCTTTCTCCCTCATTCTTATTCATCCCTGAAAAAGACTGATTGGTAGACTTGGATAGCATACCCTCTTCAATCATGTGCTAGGGATTGAGCGCAGAGTACTCTCATTGTCCATCCTGGAGGATAGTACTTGTGGCTCCTGGATTGACAGCCCAATCAGAAACAGGTGGTGTAGGTACAGTAATTTTCTAAAGTAAGGGAAGCAAGGTGGACCCAAAAGTAAGGGAGATTTTCCATAGCCCCCACAGTGAGCAGTTACCTTTCAAATGCAACTCCATTGGATTGGTGTTGGCCGCCACAGTCAGTGGATAAGGAGGCTGCCATTGATTGGCAGGGTCTGCCGTGGGTGCACGACATGAGCATGGTAAACACAAGCACTGTATTTACTGTCTGAGCTTCTATGTAATGATGGGCTGGAAGGTTCACACCGATTTAGTTTGGAGGAAGTTCCTAGTTGCACATCAGAGGAATTGATCCAGAAATCTCAGGGTACATCATTAACTTGCTCCCAGCCTCTCCCCCCATCCCATCTCCCTGCTTCACAGGAGCATTTCCTCCCTGTTCAGGGCCTCTGCTTGGGCTGGGAGAGGAAGCCCAGGGCACTCTAGCCTGTGGACCCTTCTCTTCCCATAGTGCCCTGCAGAGGTCTTTAATTATTTCTCCTCTGGGAGAAGGGGCTGTTCTGGGGCCAGGGGCTCTTATGGCCAGATGCTTCCTTCTTGTCTTCCATCCTGGACTGAGAGGGAAAGAAAACAAAAAACAAACAACAACAACAACAACAACAGAGAAGAGAACAGGGAGGAGGAGAGCCCTGAAGCAATTTGGATGTCTGAGTTGAGTCTTCTCTCCCGAATCAACAGCATCTTGGTTGATGAAGGGAAAAAGTCAGTGACCTGGAAAGCTGGGTTCAAGAGCCAGTTCTGACCCAGTAAGTCAGGGCCCTTGGCACCTCTGGGTTTAGTTTCCCCATCCCTAAAACAAAGGGTGAGCACTTTACATCCTTCTCCAGTGCAGTTGTTTGGAAGCAATGCTAGAATTAAGAATGAAATCCAGTAGTAACCCTTGGGGCTAGGTGTGGTGGCTCACGCCTGTAATCCAGCACTTTGGGAGGCTGAGGCGGGTGGATCACCTGAGGTCAGGAGTTTGAGACCAGCCTAGTTAACATGGTGAAACCCCGTCTGTATTAAAAATACAGAAATTAGCCAGGTGTGGTGGCGCGCACCTGTAATCCCGGCTACTCGGGAGGCTGAGGCAGGAGAATCACCTGAACCCAGTTGCAGTGAGCCGGGATCATGCCACTGCACTCCACCCTGGGCGGGCAACAGAGTGAGACTTTGTCTCAAAAAATAAATTAATTAATTTTAAAAATTAATAAAATAAAACAGCAGTAACCCTTGTGTCCTTCTCATGATGGCATCTCACACAGAGCAGGGAAAGTAGTTCTTCTATTCGCTCATACACATATGAAATCCCATGCAATTTTTTCAAGAACAAAGAGAGTTTGGATTCAGGGGGGCCGGATACAGTTGAACTCCATTTGCTTCACTCTCACAGAGCAGTAATTTATCTGGCCCCTTCCTTTTTTTTCTTCCAGTGATCATGAAACATGAGATCTAGTATCAACTTTGCTGGGTGACCTCAGGCAAGTTACTTGTCTTCTCTGTTACATTCTTCCTCTGCAAAGTGGAGATGAGATTATCCACGTTATTGGACGGCTGGCTGGGATGTTCAGATATGATAATGGCTTTGGAAACCATAAAGACACAGTCCCAGCACTTTGGGAGGCCAAGGTGGGTGGATCACCTGAGGTCAGGAGTTCAAGACCAGCCTGGCCAACATGGTAAAACCCTGCCTCT
The DNA here is from genome assembly GCF_000001405.40 of Homo sapiens. Taxonomy (NCBI): domain Eukaryota; kingdom Metazoa; phylum Chordata; class Mammalia; order Primates; family Hominidae; genus Homo; species Homo sapiens. The sequence goes on from NC_000010.11 coordinate 117,608,907, forward strand.
ACTAAAAAAACAAAAATTAGCTGGGCATGGTGGTGCACCCCTGTAATCCCAGCTACTACGGAGGCTGAGACAGAATTGCTTGAACCCAGGAGGCAGAGGTTGCAGTGAGCTAAGACCGCACCACTGCACTCCAGCCTGGGCAACAGAGCAAGACTCTGTCTCAAAACAAAACAAATAAAAACAAAAACAAAACAAAACAAAACAAAACAAAAAGCTGATGCAGGGGACAGAGATGAGCTGTTTCTGAACTCTCACTCAAAACTGGCCTAAGAATGGGCCAGAAATTCCTTTAGGCCTGTTCATACTATGCCTTACACTTAGCAGACACGGAGCAAATATTTGTTGAATGATTAGAATCCCAGGGGCTTGTTTGAATATGAAACTCGACACAGCACTTGGGCTGTGCTACTTAATGTCCCGGCCTCAGGTCTCTGCTGGGGTAACTGGCAGGGAGGGTTGGAGCCAAGACACCAGGGCTGTGTGATGTGTGTGTGGGGCTGGAGACCTCGACTGTAATGCCAAAGCCACTTACTGGCCTGGAATGGGGCCAAATGTGAGCCAAGGTAGGAAGACAGACTTCTAGCAGTAGGCATAGGGGGTGGTGGTGGGAAGGCTGTGTTTTTCTGCTTGTGTCTTAGGAAATGTAGCTGTTTTCTCTCTTTTGGGAATAAATTACTGTGGCTTTATTGCTCTTACAGGAGTTTCTGGAAACTCTGACTGGATGAATCCCAAATACTGAATTCTTTTCTGAGTATCCAACTCCCCCAGATCCCCATTTGGAAGGAAAATGGGGTCAGCTTCTTTGCCTCTTCTATTCACCCTCCAAACAGGGTAACCACAGCATGATCTCTGAAGTTTTTTTTTTTCCCAAGGAATTCTACAGAGATGGCTGAGCCGTTTCTCCCAGACCCACAGCCACTCCCTGAGGGTGAAGGGCATTGCTTTGAAAGTCTTGTCACCTCCCTGATGAAGATGCTCAACCCTATCAGGACAGAGCTCAGGCTGGCAGAGGTCAACTCACCCCCTGTACTATTTTCCTTGCTCCTGAGAAACACATATGGATATTCATCAAAAGCTTCTATCCCCATGCAGATGCGTACAGCTTAGGAAGCATCGGGGATGCCATAGAGTCAATTAAATTAATCTCCCCCCTTCCCTATCTTAGAAAAATGTTCTGTGCAGCCAAACATCTGTAGCCCTGGATATTGTAATCTCCTTGTGTTTTGTTTTGCTCCAGACAAAATGGTGGAAAAGCCGAAATTTATGCCTTTGGAATCTGAGGCATTAACTGTTGTAAATCAGCCTTGGGTGCCCAAAGGTAACAATTACCGCTCTCATTAATAGATTTCCCCAGCCTCACTCTTAAAACAACTCTAGAAATGTCTCCGGGGACAGGGTGGGGGAAGTGTGCCTGGGGATCACTAACAGTCAAGCACCCTGGGCAGAGAGGGAGGCTGCACCCTTCTCCCCAGGGCCTTCCCAGTGGACATGAGAGAAAGCACACTTGGAGGCCTCCAGACAAGGGTAGGGGCTGTTTGCATGAGTAGACCTGAGTGAGAAGCAGGACTCCCAGGGCTGGGTGAAGCCCTTCTAGGCAGGGGATTAGAAGCACTGGGTCTAGCAGAGGAAGGGACTTGCGGGAGGGGGAGGGAACATCTGCATGTCTATTACCAAGTGGTGACTTCCTTCTCGTGGGAACAACAAGGCTGGATGGGATCTTGGGGTCATGGGGTCTACTCTGTTAGTACTCATAGGGGACAACGGGGGCCCAGGGACTTGCCCCGGGTCAAGCAGCAAGTCAGTGGCTGAGCTGGGCTCTAAGAAGGAAAACAGCAGACTGGCCCGATAGTGTTAATAGTGTTTCTCAAATGGCTTTGGGTCCCTGCGTCTCTCTTTGCTTGGAACGTAAACTGGATTGGAATCCAGGTAATGCTTTCTTCTGTTCTGTAGGTGGCATAAGGGTAACGATTTCAAGGCCAAATGGAAATGGTAGGTTATGGGGCTGCACTTTGCCGGGAGGCAGGGGCTGTTCCCCATCTGGGCATTTATTTGTACCTGAGTGTGGGCTAAACGCTGGACTGTAGGACACAAAGACCAGACAGTCCTTTGAGATACTTGATGATACCCTGCCCCAGTTTATTTATGTTTATTTATTTATATTTATATATTTTTGAGACAGGGTCTTGCTCTGTCACCCAAGTATCTTTACTTTTGAGTGGGATTCTCATATTCTCTTCTGAAATACTGATTTGTGGAAAGAATCCATACGGGACTTGGATGCAGACTGGGCCTGCCTTAGAATCTCAGCTTCACTGGTAGCTGTGAACGTGCCTTGGGAGAGTCACAGAACTCTGCTGCTCCTGTCTGTGATGGGTGTCATTGATCCTACCTGAGATGTTGGTGGAAGGGTGAGTGCCTCACTGATCATGCTGTGCGGGTGCCTAGCAGAGTGCCTGGCACGTTGTGGGTGCTCAGAAAGTGTGTCTCGAGTGAGTGGAAAAGAAAAGGTGCCAATTGTTATAGCAACAAGAGGGGACTGTCCCGCCCTCCTGGGTCAGTTTCTTTCTCCCTCTGCAATGTACTCAGAGGTAAGTAACCAAAGGCTTCCTGATCTCTGGGGAGGGTTTCTGGCCCTCAGGCAAAGCTCAGCTCAGAGAGGCTGTCATGCTCCTCAGGGTGCACAACACAGCCGGCAGGCGGTCAGCTTCCCAGGCCCCCACCTACCGGCTCTGACCATCATTTCCAGCTTGTTTCAACTCCTCTAGGCTGATCGAAAGAACCCCCCCGCCCCACCTTTGTTTTAGATGTGGTAAAATTCATCAGATTAACCATTGTAACCATTTTTAAGCCTGCAATTCAGTGGCATTAGGTACATCCACATTCTTGCACAACTATCACCACCATCCATCTCTAGAAGGTTTTATCTTTCCAAGAGAACCTCTGTATCCATGAAACACCAACTCCTCATTCTCCTCCTCCCCAGTCCCTGGTAACCTCTAATCTACATTTAGTTTCTATGAATTTGCTCATTCTGGGTACCTCGTAGAAGTGGAATCATACAATCTTTTCCTTTTGTGTCTGGCATATCTCAATTAGCATAATGTCCTCAAAGTTCATTCATGTTGTGGCACATGTCAAAATTGTGTTCTTTTTTTAAAGTCCAAATAGTATACCAGTGTTTGTGTATACCACATTTTCTTTATGCATTTATCAATCAGTGGACCTTTAGGATATTTTTCTCCTTTTGACTATTGCAAATAATGTTGCCATGAGCATTGGTGTATAGATATCTCAGTCTCTGCTATCTGTCATCTATCTATCTATCTATCTATCTATCTATCTATCTATCTATCTATCATCTATCTATGTATCTATGTATCTATCTATCTATCACCAATTATCTATCATCTATCAATCTCCCTAATCAATCATCTATTATCTATCGATCATCTATCTTATCAATCTATCATCTATTATCTGTCTATCTACCTACCTACCTACCTACCTATCTTATGAATATACCTAGAAGTGAAATTGCTAGATCTGTATTTAATTTTTTGAGGATCCTCCATATTACCTCTTATTTTAACTTTCCCAGTGGAAGGGGAGTGCTGCAAGGCTGGGTGCACTGGACTCCATGGCAGACTACTCTCTTCCATGTAGGGCCTCTCCTAAGTTAGAGATGGGGGCTGTGGCTGGACAAGGAGGCCCCTGAAGCTGGCATGGGGTCCCTGGGTGGTTTAGCAGTCCCCCTATTCCCCTAACCTCAATTTTATACTCAGCTCTAGGAAAGAAAATACTAGCTCTACCCCCATGGACAGAAAGAGATTGTCTTATTCTTACGGTTAAACAACAACAAAACTCCCACTCCATGCACATATACAAATTCTAAGTTTTGCTCAGAAAGGCAAGTTAAGCAGTTTTACAATATTGTGATTACACAGATGGGCTTCGGAGCCAGTTAAAATTCTGATTCTGTCACTTATTAGCTGGGGACTTCGGGCAAATCACTGAACATATGAGCCTCAGTTTTCACATCTATAAAATGGAGATCACAGGTTTTTGTGACACATCAGAGAGACGTTGTATGTGGAGAGCTGTGTACAGTCTTGGGCATGCAGAGAGCTCTCAGCCCATGGGCTGGGATTTCATCCTTAGAGGCCAGTGACCATGTCATAAGTGAAGATAGTAAAAGACGCCTGATTGGCAGTTTGGCTCTGGTCCAGCTCACCTACTCTGGTTTTGGAGGGCCATGTATGGCTGTGGCAGGTGACCAGCCCCATCCTAAGCCTCATGCATTACACATTCACTGCCAGGCCTTCCATCTCTCAGGGCGGCACTGCCTGTGGGGAACTCTCGCAATGGAAGACAGCCCGCAGTGGGGGGTTTATGATCCTTGGTCTCCAGCACTTCCTGGGTCATGTGACATGGCTGATTGTTAATTACACCTAATGTTAAAAGTTAGTCCACCTCTGGGATGTTTCCCAGCTTGAAGGTGCCTACGAAAAATTAGTTCATTCATGAAACAAAGTGTCGGGTTACAGCCCCAAATGGTTTCCTCCCATCCATCCCTGGCAGAGAAGGGCCAACAGGGGCTGATAAGAAGCATCTCCAAGCCTGCCTCTGACTCCTCCGCTACCTCGAACAGGGTGTCCAGTGAATGTTTCACCTCCAGAAAGATAGTATCATGCACAGAGGATGGGAGAGTTCAAAAGGCTTCAGAAACATTGGACAGAGGTCAGCACAAAGAAGGTGAAGCCTGGGACATTTCATGGAGATGGCTTGGCTTTGCTGTTGCTCCATCCTGACTGCCACTGTGCTTTGTATGGCCAATGGAGACATTGCTGAATGGCTGAGAGGTGCTGGGGCCCCTGGCTCCATTGTGGGGGCAATGCCCCTGTGGATCTGGAAGTTGTCACAGCCAAGTCCCAAACTCAGGGCAGCTCCACCATGTGGGTTCTCATCAGTCCCTAACTTATCAAGTCATTCAACACATTTTTTTTTTTTTTTGACACAGAGTCTCGCTTTGTCGCCCAGGCTGGAGTGCAGTGGTGCGATCTAGGCTCACTGGAACCTCTGCCTCCTGGGCTTAAGTGATTCTCCTGCCTCAGCCTCCTGAGTAGCTGGGATTACAGGTGTGTACCACCACACCCAACTAATTTTTGTATTTTTTAGTAGAGACGGGGTTTTGCCATGTTGACCAGGCTGGTTTCGAACTCCTGGCCTCAAGTGATCCACCTGCCTTGGCCTCCCAAAGTGCTGAGATTATAGGTGTGAGCCACATTTTTAGTGGTTACTCGCTGTGTGCCAGGTACTACTCTAGGATCTGGGAATATAGTGCAGTGACCAAAACAGACAAAACAAGAAACAAGAATGCCTATCCCTGCCCCTACCCTGCACAGGGTTTACATTCTAGTGGTGGGAAGTACAGACAGAAAGTGAGTGAAATGAATTAGTAAAATGATGGAGCTATTCAGAGAGTGATAAGTGCTATGGAGAAAAAGATAGTGGGGGTGGGGGGGTGGCGGGAGACAGGAAAGGCTGGCATGGGTGTGTGTGGCCAGTTTTGACAGGGTAGTCAAGGGAAGGCCTTACTGAAAAGTCATCGGTGGAGCAAAGAACAAAAGGAGGTGAGGGAATGAGCCATGAAGGAATCTGGAAGGATGGGTGCTTCAGGCAGGGCCAACAGCAAGTGCAAAGGCCCTGAGATTGTGGGATGCCAGGCATGTTTGAAGAGCAGCGGGAAGGCTGTGCAGCTAGATTGGAGAAAGCAAAGGAAAGAGTAATAGGAGATGAGATCAGGAAAAGTGCAGGCCACGCGTTGGTCTCTCTGCCTCCAGTCCTGTGCCCATCGTTTCCTGACCTGGAACCTGGATGTGACATGGCTGTGGACAGGCTTTAGGGTAGTGGTCAGTCAACTATGGCCCTCAGGCCAAATCTTTCCAGCTGCCTGTTGTTGTAAATAAAGTGTGATTTATTTACACAGCCACACCCACCCATTTTACATATGGTTTGCAGCTGCTTTCAAGTTACAAGGGCGGAGCTGACTAGTTGTGACAGTGACTGGATGGACTGAAAAACCTCAAATATTTACTATTATTATTATTATTTTTTGAGACGGAGTCTTGCTCTGTCACCCAGGCTGGAGTGCAGTGGCGCAATCTCGGCTCACTGCAAGCTCCGCCTCCCAGGTTCACGCCATTCTCCTGCCTCAGCTTCCTGAGTAGCTGGGACTACAGGTGCCCGCCACCACACCCAGCTAATTTTTTGTATTTTTTTAGTAGAGACGGGGTTTCACCGTATTAGCCAGGATGGTCTCAATATTTACTATCATTGTAGAAAAAGTTTGTAGCCTTGTGCTTTGAGACATGCGCTCTGGAGTTAGATGACATTGGTTCAAACTCCTGCTCATTTATTATCTAGGTGACCCTGGGCAAGTTGTTTAACTTCTCTGAGCTTTATTTTCTCATCTGTAAAGTGTTGATAATATCCATCTTGTGGTTAAATTAAATAACTAATATAAAATGACACAGCACCTGATAGAGCCAAATATTTTGTTGGGAGGCAGCATTAGGTGCACAGTCTTGGACTCACATGGGCAGGATTTTGGCTTTGTTGGGTGATCTTGGCAAAAGGCTTTATTGGCCTCAGTCTCAGTTTCCCTGTCTGGCAAGTGGGGATAATTATAACTAAAATGAGACGAGGTGGATGGCTCATAGGAAGCAGGTATGAGATGGAAGTTGCTGTTTTATAATCATCAGTCTTACTCTCCATCATCTCCTATGTGCCAGGGCATCTGCAAATTCTCCAGGATCTGGAGGAAAAATCCAACATCTGTCTCTCTGTCTCCGTGTGCCGCTGTCATGCCACCCAGCCCCCAGCACATGCCTCAGATGACAGTGCCTGGAAGGGGGTGGGTATTAAAAAACCTCCCTTTCCCACAGCTTGGCACCCAGCCTAAACCCACTGCTACCTGAAAGGGTGCCAACCTGTCCAGCACATTTGAATTTGCAAATTATCTCTTGTTTACTATGAGGGGATCCACAAAGCCGAGGCTTGTCATTGGTTTTATGTTGCTGCAATAAGTTTCTGTTGGGGAAGGTCTGTCTTTGCAAAGCCCAGTTGGTGTATTTACTTATAGGGCTATTTTATCAGTAGGCAAGAAAATAAGAGGATCACTAAAGAATTTTGCCCACGGGACCTGGTTTGAGCGTTTGCTAATTTGGGGGGTGTGTATGGCAAATGGTAGGAGTTTGGGGAGTGGGATGGAGGTTTGGGATGGAAAAATGTTGACTTTGCTAGAAGACTCTGTCATGCTGCTTGGCCACGGTGAAAATTCACTTGAGTTACGTTGCACTTAAAAAGAAAAAAGTGGTGAGAGTTCAGTGGTTGAAATGCAGACGCCCACGTGTATTTATGTTTGCAACGCCTGGGCCTTATGTGTGGTGATATAGAGAACTCAAAAGTTGTGGAACTGAAAATAACATATGTTTGTCTCAAGTGCCAGAGGAAATTGTAGCACTGGTGAGAAGGAGAAGGGTACAGATTTAGAGAGGGGGAAAGAAATACGCTCCTTGTTCAGCTGTGATGTTTATACACAGGCCCTCGCCTCTCCTCACACGTAATGAGCAGTCACAGAACCCACAGGAAAACAAACGCAAGTGGAGTGGATTGCTTCTTGGAGAGCGGGTTGGTTTGAGTTCAGGATTGAAAATATTCCTGCAGAAAAGGCATAAGAATGATACAATGGATCTTGGGGACTTAGGGGGAAGAGCGGGAGGGTGAGGGATAAAAGACTACAAATAGGGTGCAGTGTATACTGCTCGGGTGAGGGGTGCACCAAAATCTCACAAATCACCACTACAGAACTTACTCATGTAACCAAACACCACCTGTACCCCAATAACTTATGGAAAAAAAATATTCCGGCAGATTGAACTTTGACCCTCCCACAGCCCCTTGCTGAGGTTGAGTTTCTTGAAATCTTTACAAGAAAGAAGCTGTGACTGGGGCTGAAACAGGTCAAAGTGAAGATGATAAGTAAAAGGCCACCCTTACACCACCAAACTGCCTGGGCTTAAAAAGGGTTCCAATAAAAATCTCTAAACCAAGTAATTTCAGTCTTTTGCGAGCCAGAGAATTGTCTAGAATTTTTCTGTATTCAGGAACACCATGAGACCCCGTAAGAAGACATTTCTCTTTTGGGTGCGGTGCTATTTTTAAGGGGTGGCTACCACCCTCTAATACCATGTGTCTATATGTATAAATAGAGAAGACTAAATTAAAAAAGAAACAATAGGTTAAGCTCACATTAAAAAAAATCTTTGTGTAAGCAAATAACTGGTTTGACTTCATTTTCCACATTTCACTTTGCCATTTTGACATTATCAGACACAGCCTTAGACTCAGAGCCCATTGGTCTTTCTTTGCAGACAAAACTCAGCAGAAAGAATCAGATGCTGACACCTCCCTTTGATCCCGTGATTCATCTCTCTCAGGGAACCACTGATAATCTGGCACCCCACCCAGACCCCAGAACAAGCTGGAAATGTCCCACTGTGGCCCCTAACATGAAACTACATCCACAAGTTTTTAACATGCACATTGGCCAAGGAACCCACGCCTAACTTCCTCTGCCTCAGTATTTTCATCTGCAGAATGGACATAATATTCTCTCTTCTGCAGGGCTTGGAGAGGAGGGATGAATTGAGGAAGCACGGGGGACGAGGTGAGGGGGAGGAGGTGGTTAGAGGAGTTGCTGACATGAAATAGAGCCCAGTCACTACTCACTACTCAGCTACTGTTTGCTGCCTCTTCCACACCCTACAGGTAAAGCATCTTCACCACCTGGGTTTCCTGTTCTAATCTCCAGGGACCTCAGTTTGCCAGGGTGCCTGGCCTAAGAACCTGAGATCGGAGGCTGAGCTACCATAGCCTGAGCACGTCTCATGGGCCGGTGCTTGGCACCAGCCGCTTCACCTTGGTTTGCTGGGTTAGGCATCATAACCACTTGTGAGAGTCACACTGCTCGCCACATTTCACAGGTTGAGAGACTGGCAGCAGCTGCTCCTTTAATACCAATTGAAACTTGACTATAACAAACCCAGTAGTTAAAAAAAGCTTTTTTTACAACCCACCAAAGAAAATCCATGCAGTTGTCTATGGAGAAGGAAGGGCGGGCATGGAAAGCTGACATTCCAAGACTTGCATCTTGAGAGGAAAGTACCAGATCTTTCCACATCCTGCATAGTGGATTGGATGACATCCCCCCAAATTCATGTCCACGCAGAACCGCATAATCTGATCTTCTTTGGAAACAGGTTCTTTGCAGATGTACTTAGTTAAGGATCTTGAGCTGAAATCATTCTGGATTAAGGGTGGGCCCTAAATCCAATTATCAGAGACATTTGAACCAGAGCAACTCCATCTTGAGTAGGGGGCTGGGCAAAATGAGGCTGAGACCTACTGGACTGCATTTTCAGCTGGTTAAGGCATTCTAAGTCACAGGATGAGATAGGTGGTCAGCACAAGATACAGGTCACAAAGACCTTGCTGATAAAACAGGTTGCAATAAAGAAGCTGGTCAAAACCCACCAAAACCAAGATGGCGACGAGAGTGACCTCTGGTCATCCTCACTGCTGCACTCCCACCAGCACCATGACCATTTACAAATGCCATGGCAGTGTCAGGAAGTTACCCTATATGGCCTAAAAAAGGGAGGCATGAATAATCTACCCCCTTTTAAGGATATAATCAAGACATAATCATAAAAATGGGCAACCAGCAGCTCTCAGGGCTGCTCTGTCTGTGAAGTAGCCATTCTTTTATTCTTTCACTTTCTTAATATACTTGCTTTCACTTTACTCTGGACTCGCCCTGAATTCTTTCTTGTGTGAGATCCAAGAACCCTTTCTTGGAGTCTGGATCGGGACCCCTTTCCTGTAACACAGTGACTATAGGTATCCTTTTAAAGAGGCAAGGACACAGACACAGAGGGAAGAAGGCCAAGTGAGGATGGAGGCAGAGAGTGCAGTAATGCAGCCAGAAGCCAAGGAATGCCAGGAGGTGACGGAAGCTGGAAAAGGCAAGGCAGGATCCTCCCCCGGAATCCTTGGAGGGAGCATGATCCTGCGGACACCTTGATTTCAGATGTCTGGCCTCCAGAACCATGAGAAAATAAATTTGTTGTTTTAAGCCACCATGTTTGTGGTGATTGATTACAGCAGCCCCAGCAAATGAACCCATCCTGCAGTCCTTCTGGTTAGCCTGTTACATTTGGTCTCCAGAAATAAAGCCAGGCGGGGGCAAGTGCTAAGCATACATAAAGTGTTGACCACATAACAGGAAAAGTTAAATCATATTTGTTAAACAAAAGGCAGAAATTGCCTTGTTCTTTCCTAGAGCATGCCTGAGAGACGGGATCCCTGAGTCTGCAGAGGAGCCGGGCAGCATGAGGTATGGGATTGGGGAATGACGTAAGATGATATGATTTATTGCTTTGTTAAGCAACATTTTCAGCTACGGATCTTGCTTTCACACTTAACCTATTGCCAACACAATGGGTGGGCCAAGGAAATTTGAACACATGGAGAGAATGTCTCCAGTGCAGAGATAGAGCATGGCTGACATTTCAATTGCGAAGGTGGGAGGTAAGCGGTCTGAAGACTCGATTATGGAAAAACTGCACAGGGTGACCAGATGACATTACTAATACTTTAATGAGCTCGAGGTATGGGGAATATTGAGATAGGTTGGTTAAGCCTTCTCTCCAAGGGGCTGATATGAGGAGTCCTTTAAACTGGGGCGGCAATTGGGAGCCTCAAACTCCAATAGGTGAGTGGTGCAATTAGCATCGCTCTGACACCTGAGAGGCCCAGGCGTGCTGGATGTCAAATGTAAGGGCAACTTTTGATTAGGACAAATGCTATGATATATGAGCAAGGACCAGCCAACAGCAAACTACAGCAGCTCAGCTGGGAGATGACTAAAGCAAAAACTAGAATCTTGGCAATAGTTGTCCTTAAGTATCTAGCCAGCCATGTGTGAGTGTGTGTGTGTGTGTGTGTGTGTGTGTGTGTTGTTATTTTACAGAGATTAAAAAGAAATAATTGTTAAGGCTTTATTAATGCATGGAGAGAAGTCAGAAATAATAAACAATTTATATCCAGAAGGGCATGAAGATTTCTGACCTGGGGCTGAGGGTGCGGGTGGGGTGATTTACCCTCCGGAAGCCAGAGATCTGTCACTGGGGATGGTAAAGACAGACCTGCTTGTGTGGGGAAGAGGGGCCACCAAGTGCTTTGGAGTGAGGGGCTCCTGGGTTCTGACCTCGCTCAGCCTGCAGCAGAGCATAGAGCCATGAGCTTGGGTCTATCTCTCTTCTCTGTTGGTGTCGAGGGAGCTAGTGCCCCCATCAGGTTCTCAATCTGTGCCCAAATCACAGAGGCCGATACTCACTCAAGTTGATGGAAATGAAAACGTGATTCATAATGAAACAACAGTTTCCACGTATTCAGGGAGAGCATAGAGACCAGGGCTCAGAGCTTGCTCTCTGGAGTTTAAAGCCCAAGTTCAAATCCTGCCTCCAGCTGTATGACTTTGCACACGTTGTCTGCTCTCATCTGCTAGGGAGGTGGATTCTAGGACTACTAGTGGCAAGAGCAAGATGGAATGATCGGTGGGAAGCAGAGGAGTGCCTGGCACATAGTACACCCTGAATCCATGTGACCTGCTGTTTTCACACAGCTTACCCTGTGTGGGACTACATTATCCCATTTGATCTGCACTACTGCACCAGGTAGGGGAGGCAGCTGCTCTTTTCTGGGTCATACATGAGGAAACTGAGGCTCAGAGGTCTTGAGTAACTTGCCTGAGGTTTCTTGCTTGGTGTGTGGTAGGGACAGGATTTGAACTCAGCACTCTGAGCCTCCGATTGTTCTCCTACACTGGCTCAGAGAACAAGAGCACGTTGATTCAGATCAAATCAAGGAGCTTAGCAGCAGTACTGGCCCCTGTCTCTCCCACGATGAGTGGCCTCACCATCCTACGGGCACTGGGAATGGCTGCACCCTCAGCAGGCAGATCCGCTTGGTCCACAGTCTGTTGCTCCTGGTCTCGCTCTTTCAACTTAATTGCCATTTAGATGTTAATGACAAACAATGTTGATATCTCTACAACCACACAGATGTGTGCACACACACGCGTGCATGCACACACAAGTGCACAAACACATGTACACACACGACCACCCTCAAATGCTCCACCTGATCAGGCTCCTTGTTTTGACAAGTTGCTCTGCAGTGAGTTGTGTCGGATTCGCTAAAGCTGCACACATCCAAGACAGCAAGATTGAAAGCGGCTTGTGGGCTGTCAGTGACAAACCACCCTGCCCCAGAGCTCTGCTTCTCCAGAGGAAAGAAGCCGCCTCCAGACAACTCCTGCGTCCCCTCCTATCTCACGCCATCCCTCCCTTTCCTGGGTGGGTCAGTCCTGAGGCCTCCCTGCCTCCCTTAGCCTCTCTTTGCTCTGAAGTTTTCTGCCTGGAGATGGCAGTTTCCTGGGGGTGGGTAGGTGACTCCAGAACTCCTGATTGCAGGTGCAGCCCCTTTCTCTTTTGTTTTGAGTTTTGGGTTCCAGAATCCTAGACAGCTGTCCGGGGCTCCTCAGATCTCCTGAGCTGTGCCTGGTTCTTGTGTCCGCCTCAAGGGAACATCCCCTTTCCAGCTCCCGCTCCTTACAGCTTCCTCATTGGAGGGTGGTTTAGGTCTCCATGCTCTTCTTCTCCCTCTCTCCCTTCCTTCCCCTCCTGCTTCCCTTCCCGTGGGCAGCCTTAGCACCAGATGCAGCCTTTTTCATTTTGATAGTGGCAGGCTGAGGACCCTGATGGCCCCGCCCACTAGTTCCTCCCCATCACATACTTGGAGGGGAAAGGGAACTCAGAGGAAAATAACCCGTCCTGAGAGTGAGACTGGACATTGTGACCAGCCAGAGAGCCGTTCCTCTCCAGGGAGCATGAAAGCTTCAGACCTGCTCCCAAGGCAGTGATGAGAAGAAGTGATGAGAAGACCATAGGCTGGCGCCAGGCTTGCTGTGAGTGGAGAGTCCACCTGAGTGCAGGGGAGGGTGGAGAACGGAATAGAGAGGTGAGGTTGGGGAGGGCACACCTAGGGGCTTCCCTGAAGCTGACACTGAGTGGACTGATGGGAAGCCAAGAGCTGATGGCTCCTTGGCATTGCACTTTTGGGGCTGACTCCTGCAAGACTTGGGATGAGATAGATGTTGTTGGCAGCTGCTTGGGGCACAGTGTCGGGGACACCCGGCAACTACTCCTCCTTACAAAAGGAAAATCAATGCACCTTCTGCAACACCTTCCCAATGTTGACAGTTCTGATCCAGCCTGTCCCCAGGAAGTGAGTGCACTCACTTCCAGCTCCTGCTCCTTACTGCTTCCTCATTGGAAGGTGGTTTAGGTCTCCATGCTCTTCTTCTCCCTCTTCTCCTCTTCGCCCAGTGTTTCTCAGCCCTGGCTGCACACATTCAAATCACCTGGGGCTGCTTTAAAACTGTCCCATGCCTGCGCCTCACCTGAGAGCAGCTGCCTGCCTCTCTATCAGCCCAAGTGAGCTGAATGTGCAGTTGAGCTTGAGGACTACTGCCAGGTTATACTTCTTGTGCTAGGTCACAGACATGTGTTTGCAATTTAAAACCTCTCACCTTAGATAGATGCCACATAGCTGGTGGAAGGCCCCAATCTCAGGGTTTGCAGGACATCACCTGGTGACGAAAACCACCAGACCCTGCTAGGGTCGGGGAAGATTGAGGAAGAGGACAGCACAGACTATTCCCTTCAAACAGGCAGGGACAGCCCAATACCTGCTCCCCAGGGGCCTCTGAGCCAGTCCCCATTGCCCCTGTGGCTGGCATTTGCAGGGGCGGTGGTCAGGGTCTCTAGGTTCTTCATTCGCTTCCTGAAAGGCAGGTCCTGTAAATGGCTCCACTTTAAACGGCTTTTCTAATCATGGAAACTCCCTGTTTTACTGTAACAATAGCTGAATGCTTTTTAAATAGCAGCATCTAATGAGCCATGCAACAACTCTTCGTTGTAGGTATTTTTATCCCCATTTCACAGATAGGAAAACAAGGGGTTTGACAAATTGGATGACGTCGTATGCCAGGAATGGCAGAGCTGAGATCTGACCCCAAGTCTCTGGGGCAGAGTCCGCTGGAGGTGAGATGCTTGGTTTCCACATTACAAAGCACTCCTTGACAGTGCCACCTACATTCTGGGCCATCCTGGACATGTCTTTTTTCTTGGGGTCTCAGTTTTTTGTTGTAAAATTCTGAGAGGGGCATATCCTTTAAGGGTTTAATTAAAGCTGATAAGTTAAAGATAATTCACTTGTTAAGGTCATAGAAGGGGACTGTGAAAGTACTCTTCAAATGAGAATGCCTCCTTCAAATGCGAGGGCTGTCACCACAGTTGCCCTCAAATACAGGCCCCTGTTCCTTCTCTTACATTCACTCTGCCCATTTTGGGAATACTGGGTGGAGGGCCACATGTACCTTATTTACACCTGCATACAGGCGGCATATATATATGCACTGTCTCCAGGCACATCTACTCTGTTTACTGATGTATATACTGTATACAGGTGTTCAGAAAAGCATTTTTAAGTCATTTTAAAATATTGAAGTATATAACACATAGAGATGTGTGTAAATCACAAGTGTACAACTGGGTGGAATTCTCAGTGTGAGCATGTACCCACGTAGCTACCCATGGGTGGTTGCCATGTAACCACCTGAAACAAGATGTAGAACTCACCCAACACCCTTCACAGGCCTCCCTCATGGCCCTTCTGGTCATTACCCCCTGCCAACGAACTACCATCCTCACTTCTAACCTCATCTATTTGCTTTGCTTTTTTGAGCTTTATTTGGATAGAATCTTGTAGTATGTGCTCTTTTGCATCTGTTTTATGTGTGACCTTATGTTCGTGAGACTCATCCATGCTGCAGCGTATACTTTTGCATCATTCATCCTCTATACATTCCATTGTGTAGTTGCAACTCATCATATGTATCATTCTACTGTTGATGGATATTTAGATGGCTTCCAGTTCGGTGGCTACTTGGAGTAAGGCTGCAATGAACATTCTGATATTTTGAAGCACATATGTAGAAATGTTTGTTGAGTATATACCTAAGAGTGGAATTGCTTGGTTATTAGATTTTTAAAATTCTGCTCATTGGTATTCCCAGTAGCAATGTAGGAGAGAAAGTTTTAGCTCTTTCACATCCCTGCTAAGACTTAGGATTATTCTTTTATTCTTCTGGTGTGTGTGAAGTGGTATATCATTGTGATTTTAATATGCATTTCCTTGCTAGTTATTTATGTTGAACACTTTTATTATGTGTATTGGCCATTTGGACATTCACTTTTTTGAAGTGCCTGTTTAAATTTTTGGCCCTATTTCTGCCAAGTTACTGATATCTTTCTTATTGAGTTCTAGGAGTTCCTTATATTCTGGTATGAGTCTCTTAGGCATACCTTCTCATTTCTTCATGGTGTCTTTGTTGAACAGAAATTCTTAATTTTTTTAAAGTTATTTACATTGTAATATAAGCTAATAATTGCGAAACACTGAAATTATTTCCTTTTGAATATTACTTCCTACATTAGATCATGTTTTTATTTTTATTTTTTAATTGTGGAGAAATTCTTAATTTTAATAAAGTACAATTTATCAATCTTTTTACTTATGATTATTGCTTATTGTGTCCTGTTAAGAAAATGTGGACTATCCCAGGGCCATGAGGATATTCTCATATGTTACCTTCTTGAAGCTTTGTTGTTTAACGTTCACTTAGGTCTATATTTCCCCTGGGATTTACTTTTATGTATGGTGTGAGGTTGGGGTCACTATTAGCTGCTTCTCCATGTTGATATGCAGTTTTGCCCTGCAGTATATATGGGCTGTCTTTCTTCCATGCATCACAGGTGCATCTTTGTTGTAAATCAAGTAACTGTATATGTGAGCATCTATTTCTGCAGTCTGTTCTATTGTCTCAGTAAATACTTCAGGGATGAATGGTGGCTGGCCTGGGTCTCACCGTGTTCCCAAGGAAGATGGAGGTGCTGGGCTTCTGCTTCCTGAGGAGATCCTGTGTTTCCTCTGCTGAGTCACTTAGCCTATCTCTGCACTTTTCTGGCTTCTTCCCACAGACACAACTAAGTGGCTGACAAAATTAATTATTAAAATAGCAAAGCCTTGGTATTAGTCCATTTTCACACTGCTGTAAAGTACTGCCTGAGACTGGGTAATTTATAAACAAAAGAGGTTTAATTGACTCACAGTTCTGCATGGCTAGGGAGGCCTCAGGAGACTTGCAATCATGGCAGAAGTCTAAGGAGAAGCAAGGACCTTCTTCACAAGGTGGCAGGAGAGACAGAAAGAGAGAGCAGGGGAAACTGCCCTTTTAAACCATAGGATCTCGTGAGAATTCTCTCACTATCAGGAGAAGAGCATGAGGGAAACTGCCCTCGTGATCCAATCACGTTCCAATGTGTCCCTTCCCTGACAAGTGGGGATTACAATTAGAGATGAGACTTGGGTAGGGACAAAAAGCCAAACCATATCAGCTTTACATAACACTTACTATGTGTTAGGTTCTGTTGTAAATGTGCTTTAACTCCTTTAATCTTTACACAAACCCATGATGTAGTTACTATTCTTATCCCCATTTTCCTGATGAGAAAGCTGGGGCACTCAAGGCCACATAGGTGGTAAGTGCCAGAGCTGAGACTGGAGCCCAGGGATTCTGCCTGGCAGTCCATGGCCTTAAGCAGGATGCTACATTTTCCTTCAGCCAATAGCAGGAAGAGGAGCAGTGGAGGCCAAGTCACTGACCTGGGGGCAAAGACATCTGAGTTCTCATCTTGGCTTCTATACCTCCTGGCTGGGAGACTGTGGACACATTGATTAATCATCTCCTTGAATCGGTTTCCTCAATGGAAAGCAAGGGAGTAACATGATATTTGAGGGTCTATTCCACTCTGACATTTTATAGTATTATCTCTCTGGAGATTCCTAGAGAAACTATGGGCTTTTTGGAGAGGCGAAATTTGTACAATGGCGGGTAGGGTTGAGGCACAAATGGAGAAGGAGCCTAGAGAGAGTGGTGCGAGGAGGGCAGGGGGTGCTGCAGGAGATGGGGAAGTGGGAGAGGGGAGGGTGAAAGGAGGGGATGGACCCAGCCCTCCAACCTTGTCTGTCCCCCTCTCCTCACCCCTGTTCTGGACCCCCAGACCCAGCCTATCGTGTTACACGCTGGAGGAGGATGATTCCTAGGTGTTAAGTTTTCTATTTGACCCCTCTTCTGGGAATTAGTTTCAGAGCATTCCTATTCATTTCCAAGGCCAGGGTTCCTGTGTGAGCCTCCAGGGAGGTGGTTTCTCTGCCCAGAGCTGGCTAATTGTTCACCCACCGTGTCCATTCGGTGCTCGTGAAAATCATGCCAGGCTCTTCTACACAGACACTAAGGGTCCATGTGGGGCAGTCGCGTGACCTTGAGAGCCCTCGCAGCCTGAGGCTGGGGGCTGAGAATGGCCTTTTATCATTAACTCAGTGACAGGGACACGGTGTGGTGGTGGTGGGGCCATGTTAAAAAGTAACTTAGAAATTTCACATAAGGAATAGATGCTAGTTTTAGAAAATTTAAAAAAATTCAAGTAAACAAGAAGAAACAAAAAAATCTACCTGCCCGCTCTTAATCCACAGATAACCATGATTAACATTTTAGAGTAATTTTCCTTAGAATTTCTTTGGATCTCTCTCTATAATATGTATATGTGTGTGTGTATATATATTACTTATATAATATACATATTTATTACTTATATATATACATATATAATACTTATATAATGTGTGTATACACACACACACACATAGATTCCCCTCTCCTATAGCTAGATTTTTTTTCTCTTTTTTGAGATGGAGTTTCACTCTTGTTGCCCAGGTTGGAGTACAATGGTGTGATCTCGGCTCACTGCAATCTCTGCCTCCCGGGTTCAAGCGATTCTCCTGGCTCAGCTCCCAAGTAGCTGGGATTACAGGCGCCCACCACACCTGGCTAATTTTTGTATTTTTAATAGAGACAGGGTTTCGCCTTGTAGATCAGGACCAGCCTGGTCTTGAACTCCTGACCTTGGGTGATCTGCCCGCCTCGGCCTCCCATAGTTCTGGGATTACAGGCGTGAGCCACTGTGCCCAGCCCCATAGCTAGATTTTAAAATTTTGCAATGTATCATAGGCATTTCCCATGTCACACAACATATTTTATCACCTTTAATATCTGCATAATAAACCATAGGAGAGTGTTTACTATGTTTACTGTTATACACAATGACTATCCTTGTTCATTGAACACATTTTTTTATTACTTCCTAAGGAAACTTCTGAAATAAATACGGCCCAGTAGTTTTTCAAAGGATGATAAAATCTTTAATATTGTCTTCATCATTATCCGTAAATATTTACAGAGAATCAATAACACTAATAGCTATATTTTAATCATGCCTTATATATTAGCAACACTGTCTATACAGTCTCTCATTTAATTTTCCAGAGAGGTTTTTAGCCATTAGATTCACTTATTTCCATTTTACAGCTGTCAAAACTGAGGCCTTTTAGGGTTACATGATTTGCCCCGAGTCTCCCAGCTGGGAAGAGCAGGGACACGAAGCAGGGCTGTGTTGCTTTCCACTCCGCAGTGTTCTCTGCTCTCTGTGGGGTGCATGGCACCTGTCCAGGACAAGGCCCTGGCTCTCCAACCTACAGATGGAGGTCAGGTACCTACAGATGGATGGGAGATTGGCATCTGCTGAAGAGCAGTCGAGTAATGGATGTCAGAGTAATGCATCCTCTGTGAGGATGGGTGGGCTGGGGCTTCAGAACAGACTTCCTGGAGCTCAGCCAGGATGGATGGGGTCAGGGAGGCACAGAAGAGCTGGGAGGGCATGCCAGCCAGGGACACAGCATGGGCAAAGGGGCGAAGTCAAGGAAACCTGACGCTCCTCCCTCAGACTCAGTCCCTCGTGCTGAGATGAGCTCATAGGAGGCCTGTTCTAGTGCCTTCTCCAGTTACTGACTGTGAATGTGCCTGGTGTCACAGAGAACCGTGGTAATAATGGGAATTTAATTTTCTTTTAAACTGCCATGTGTTAAATACTTTCATTATACAGTAAGAAATAATTTTCTGATTTATTTTCTCAAAATGGTAGCAGCCTTCTCACCTGATTCTAAGAATGACATCTATTCACTGTAAAGTTTTGTTAAATTTTGGTCAGGTATGGCGGCTCACACCTGTAATCCCAGCACTTTGGGAGGCGGAGCACAGTGGGTCACTTGAGGTCAGGAGTTTGAAACCAGCCTGGCCAACATGGTGAAACCCCACCTCTACTAAAAATACAAAAATTAGCCAGGCGTGGTGGCATGCACCTGTAATCCCAGCTACTCGGGAGGCTAAGACAGGAGAATCAGTTGAACCTGGGAAGCAGAGGTTGCAGTGAGCCGAAATGGCACCACTGCACTCCAGCCTAGGCAACAGAGTGAGACTCCATCTCAAAATAATAACAATACAATTAAATTTTAGACAATACAGATAAACATAAAGACAAAAGCAGGACCCCTCACCCTCACCCCAAGATAGCTCCTCCTAGGGTCCCCGTGGCCAGCTCCCAGACTCTCTCTAGGCCTATAATGGGGAAAGGGATTTTCCTTTAGGTTTCACATAAATACACTCTTGTATGGCATGCTTTCCTCCTCAACAATCTGCCTTGGATACATTCCCTCGTCATCGCGCATGGATTTCCATCATTATTTTTATTTATTTTTGCAGAGTCTGATGTACAGTAATTAAAAATGGTCAGAGTTTTGGGGACTAACATGCACAGAAATTGAAGCTTGACTTACCCAGATGAGGGTCTTTAAACTCTTCAAAATTACATGGGCTTTGTAAGCCGGGGTGGCCTACAAACAAGAAATCTTCTGTTTATATTTTTTGTTTCCTTTTTTGTTATGCAATTTTTCAAACTTTGACGAGTAGAGAGAATAGCACAATAAACTCTCAAAGGCCCATCACTTAGATTCAACAATTATCAACATTTTGCCACATTTAATTTTTTTTTCTTTTGTTGAAATATTTTAAAGCAAATTCAGTTATCTTGTCATTTTACCCCTGAATCCTTTAGTATAAATCTCTGACCAGGAGATTGTGGGGGGCATGGGTGAGGGAAGGTATTTTCTTGTGCAACCACAGAGCCAGGACCTAACAAAGTCGACCTTGGGATCTGGTCTATCATCAGATTTTCCTGATAGTCTCCTGACTGTGCTTTCTCCAGCTGTTTTGTTTGAATCAGGAGCCAAAGAGAGAGAATGCCTTGCATTGTGTTTGGTTGTTGGTGTTTCTTAAGTTTATTTTCCAGAGCAATCCCCAAATAATACTAACTCACATAGTGAGATAGTACTTCATGAATTTTGATTATACTTCAACACCTCTGGGTACAAGGGGAAAGTCCCAGCCTGCTGGGGGTATGTTTTTAGCATCTCACTAGACTACCTCTAATATCTCCCCTGCTTGTTATTGTTAATATTTTAAAAGTCATTTTCTTTCCCTCCCCTCCTTTCTCTCTTCCTTTCTTTCTTACTTGCTAAGTCTGTAGCTGTATTAGTTAGGGTCCTCTAGAGAGACAGGACTAATAGGATAGATGTATATGTGAAAGGGAGTTTATTAAGGAGTATTGACTCACGCGAACACAAAGTGAAGTCCCGCAATAGGCCGTCTGCAAGCTGAGGAGCAAGGAATCCAGTCCGAGTCCCAAAACCTCACAAGTAGGGAAGCCGACAGTGCAACCTTCGGTCAGTGGCCAAAGGCCTGAGAGCCCCTGGCAAACCACTGGTGTAGGTCCAAGAGTCCAGAAGCTGAAGAACCTGGAGTCCGATGTTCAAGGGCAGGAAGCATCCAGCATGGGGGAAAGATGAAGGCTGGAAGACTCAGCCAGTCTAGGCCTCCCACATTCCTCTGCCTGCTGGCAGCTGATTAGATGGTTCCCACCTAGATGGAGGGTGGGTCTGCCTCTCCCAGTCCACTGACTCCAATGTTGATCTCCTTTAGCAACACCCGCACAGACACACCCAGGGACAATACTTTGCAATCTTCAATCCAATCAAGTTGACACAATAGTAACCATCACAGGCTCAGTCTTAAAGAGGCAACTTTATCGAGCTAGATTTTAATAACATTACTTTCTTTCCATTGTGATATGTGTATTGTTTTTATTTATGGCACTGACACTAATATTCCATTTAGGGTAATATAGTTTTTCTTTTCTTTGAAGTAAATACATTTATTTTAATAAAACACTTGGATTAATTTACGGGAAAGTCATGGATTAGGTAACACGAAAACACAGCAACCCTTCTGGAAAGTTTTATTGAGAATGGAAGAGCCGCTTTAACCAGTCCTCTTTAGAAGGGCATTTGGACCATTTCCAATTTTTCCCACTAGATACAATGCTGTAATGAATAATCTTTAACCATCTGCCCTTGTTTGTTATTTTCTTAGGATATATGTTTTAGAAGTAGAATTGCTGATTTTAAAAGCTATGAGTATTTTAAAAAGTCATAGCTTCTTAACCAGAGTATGCTGAAATTTATTTAATGTTTGGCTTCTGTTTTTATTTTTTGGCAACTCAGGGTTGTATGGGGAGCATCAACAATTGTGCAGTGATGGCCTTGGCTTCCTGTACTTTTCCTGTGTCCCCAGGCTGTGATAGCGGGTTTTGTGCCTACTTATGGTGTTTCTGTCCTTCTGTCCTGCCCTTTTCAGTATGCCCTTCCTTCCCCTTTCTCCTACATTCTTTTAAATTTGCTACTTCTCAAGTACAAAGAGCTGGGAAACAGATAAACAAGTTTGTTCCGATTGTACATAAATTAAGAGTAAATAGGGCCGGGCCTGGTGGCTCACGCCTGTAATCCCAGCACTTTGGGTGGCAGAGGTGGGCGGATTGCCTGAGGTCAGGACTTTGACACCAGCTTGGCTAACATGGTGAAACCCATCTCTACTGAAAATACAAAAATTAGCCCGGCATGGTGGCACAAACCTATCATCCCAGCTGCTTGGGAGGCTGAGGCAGGAGAATCGCTTGAACCTGGGAGGCAGAGGTTGCAGTGGGCCGGGATCTCACCACTGCACTCCAGTCTGCGCGACAGAGTGAGATTCCATCTCAAAAAAAAAAAAAAAAAAGAAAAAAAAGTAAATAGGGCATGAGTGAGTTTCTAGTGGGACAAACACGAGGCAAGTTTCTAGGTAGGTCCTGCCCCTTCACCCCACTCCTCCTAGCTCTCTCCTGCGTCACAGCTCTAGGGTTTTTTTGAAGAGTGGTTCCTGGTGACAATAATGGTAAGTACTGCTACTTCCGGCAGGGGAAGTGACAGATGAGAGTGCCACAGGCCCCTTGCATCCCCAGCGAAATTTTTCAGGAAGCAATGTGGATTTGCTTAATTGCCTCCCTTCATCCTTACAGCAGTTTGATGGAGGTGGGGCCAGCATTATGGCCTTTGCTTTGTGGAGGATGGATCTGTGGTTCAGAGAGGCCAGGTGATTTTTCCAAAGGCCACACAGCTGGCTTATGGCAGAGCTGTAGCTCAAATCCAGGTCTCAATAGCAAATCCGGTGGTGTTCACACTCTTGCTGCTCGCTTGCTCATAGCCTGGGCCAGCCGCACCTGGAGGGCTGTGAACAGTGATTGTCTGCCAGAGGATGGGTGCCAGGAGGGGGATGAGTTTTCTAACAGCAACGAACCATGTTATCATGGTGTTCACCCTTCTCAGAAGGGACCAGAGTGTGGACAAGATCCAGGGTGTTGGGATCTGGATAGGCAGGTCCAAGGGGGTGTGCCTGTGAGGGCAAGGCTCTCATGCAGCCTAAGATGTTCTCAGCCAAAAGGCCAGCTGGGCAGGAGCAGGGCCAAGAACGCAAAGTCCTCATTAGCGGGGACTGTTGGCTGTGGAGGGAGGAGCAGGGCCCCACCAGTCCCTCAGCTGGGTTCTGGAGCCTCCGTGGCCATGTGCTGTGCCAGGAAACCCTTCCTCTCTGAGCCTCAGCTGAGAAGAGGGGCCTGGACCTTCAGGGGCCTTCCAACTGTGATCCGGGGGAGGCCAACCCCCTCTGCACCTCTCCAGGCTCTTTGGTATTTAAAGCAGTTCTGGGTTTTCTCTCTCTCTCTTTCTTTGTTAATTCTTAAGATTTAATTAGAAGGATTCTGATGCCAACATTTTTCTAAACAACTGAACAAAATGATCTTACATGTTCAACCCTAACCTCCTTGGTGTTTCACTCTTGGTTCATGAGACTTCCCCATCCTCAACCACATTAACCAGTTCCTTGGGAGGCATCCTCAGATCCTGCCTCTTCCTCCTCACCTCACTGTGTTCTTTTCATCCCACTTCCTCAGTTTCCCTTTCAGCCCCCTGCCACCATCCTTCCCTGCACAGTCGCCTTGGCCTCCTCATGGAGCCTGCCTCTAGTCTCACTCACCCCTGACACAGTCATGTTCCTTGACTCCCGCTGCCTGCAGGAGAAAGCCCTAGATGCAAGGTGCCCACGCTTCCGCCCCAGGCTGTTTCTGTCTTTCCCCTCCACCCATCGCTCCTCCAGGTCTAACCTCAGGGGGCTGTTTTGAGGTTTCTGAATGCTCTGTGTTTTCGCTTGTCCTCAGCCGTCTGCCCAGACTGTCCCCCCTTGCCTGCAATGTGCTTTCTGCCCCTTGGCAGCTTGGAGGCATTAGACTCATCCAGGAAGACTCAGCTAAGAGGTCCTCAGTGAAGCCTCATCCACGCACCTGCCACAGGGATGAGACCCTCTTGCATTCCTACATCTGCCACCACAATTGATCACATCATTCTCCCCTGGGTGAGTTCCACGCTAGACCCCAGGATCCTTGGGGCCTGAGATTTAAAATTCACCCCAAATCCCTGGCACCTAGTGTCTCTAGCAGGCCCAGGCCCAGCACATACTTGTAGAGGAAACAAATGAGTTCCTTGCTGCAACCAGGGCTCTATGCCAGGTACAGGAAGTTTAGAACTTGCCATTTTGACTCCATGGACATTTAGAACCTACCATTTTGATCCCTAGCATTCTCTGCAGCTTTATGAACACTCATTATTCTTAAAAATTAAACAAAAAGATACATTTATGCCGAGAGAGTCTTCGATTAAGCCAGTTTAACATATTGATTTCTTTTCTATAGAACACAGTCAGGTCCTGATTTTCCCTTATTTTCATCAATATCAATTGTTTTCTAGGTAGATTTTAGAGTGAAGATTTGTTTCATTGATCAGGATTTTTTTTCCCTTATCAAATTTTGCAAATTATAACACGTTTCTGTTGGGAGTTTTCTTTTATGGGTATTCTACCAAATCGAGGTTTTCTGGAATGAATTTGGTGCTAAAAATTTTAGCAGGATGATTTCAATCTTCTGTTAATTCTGTAATAATTTTTAACATGTCCCATTTGAACTGTTGTCTGTTCTGTTTTGTCTAGATTACTTTTACAGGAAACAATTGATTAAAAATTAATTTATATTCATTCATCAGGTTATTTATATGAAAACTGTGAAGAATCCCCTATCAGATATTCCAGGATTTCTCCATTGTCTAGGAAAGGATTAGTGTCCTTTCTGCTACAGGGACAAAGAGTAGGTGAAAAGGTAGATGTGAGGTTGTTCCTTCTCAGGCCTTACCATCTTTCTCCTTCCTCTGGAAGAGAGCTGATCTCTTTATCCCAGCAACTCAGAGAGCTGAGGTCTCGGGTCAAGGTCACAGAGCTTATGTTGAGGTCAGAGTCAGGGCCTAAATCCAGCCTGTGTGGCTCCAAAGCCTGTGCTTTTTTGTTGAGCCCTTTCCCTTCCCTGCAACTGTCCCAGGTGATAACAAAGTCTTGTAGAGACCTTTGGTGGAGGGTGACCAGCAGCCACTGTGAATGACCACGGAGGCCAGATCAACTCTGGGTTGTGAGAGCTGCAGGCATAGTCAAAGCCTCTTGGTAGCAGGAGTTTGGTTTCTAGTCTCAGTTTTCCAGTCGACTTGGGCATGACTTTAGATAAATCATTTGTCTTCTCTAATTCCTGGTTTTCTCATTTTTAGGATTAATTCATCCAACAAGTATTTATCAAACACATACTAGTGCCAGATGGTGTTATATGTGTCAAGGTTACACCTGTGAGCAAAGCAAAGTTCCTGACCCCATGGAGCTGACTCTGGACTATGTGGTCGGTCCCTACATCATCCTCTGAGCTCAATGATTCTGTGGATAGGGGTGGATGCTGTAGAGGAGAAACAAGAGAAGGCATTTTGTTGCGATACACAATCAGTTCAAGGCCAGTCCTTGCCTGCAACTGGTTTCCCATTCTGCTGGGGAAGGCAGGCTGCCACTGTAAAACAATCGGAGAGACAAATTTCCTCTAAGGACATCAGTGGCCTGCATGACCTGGCCCCTCTTGTCCTGTCCAGAGTCCCTGTGTGCTGATCTTGCCTTGACTCCCCACCAAATCCTTTCCAGTTTGTCTTAGTCTGGGTCTTCTAGAAACAGCCTCTGAGATGAGTGGTTGGAATGCATACCACTGATTTGGAGGTAACCCTAGAAAGCAACAGTGGTGGAGTGGGAAGTAGGATAGGGAAGGAAGGGAAACCAGACAGGCTGGTGTGTTTCATTAGAGCAGGCTGTTGCTGTGGGCGAGTGGAGCTTGACCCTGCTGCACGTTTCCGAGGGTCCCACACCATGGGTGAGGAAGCCGGTGTTTTAGCACCAACTCCAACTGGGGATTTGCTGAGAACTGCTTCTGGGGGCATTAACTTCCCAGCACTTCTGGCCTGTTCAAGGCACTTCCAAGAGAGAGTACCCAGGCAGAGAGACTTGGGTGCTTGCAGTAGGGCACTGCAGGTGTGCCCTGGGAAGGTGAGTTCTCAGGGAATATGGGAGGGACTGCTAGAAGGTCTCAGGGCCTTTGCACTTACTGTTCTCTGCTTGGAGCAGCTTTCTCCCTAGTTCTTTGAAGGGCTGGTACCTCATCGTTTAACTCAGCCCAGAATCTCTTCCTCAGACAGATTCCTTTCTAAATGTTCACCCTCTTCCCAGAATTCTCCATCAGATTTCTCATGTATTTCTTTTACAGCACAGATCACAACCAGAAATTAGCCTCTGTGTTTGTGTAGGTGCTGCTGTATCTCCAGTGCCCAGAGAAGCATCTGACTCATAGTTGCTCCTCGATAGCTACTATATTCTTTTCAAATAATACACGAATACACTCTCTTGTCATACTCACCTGCACACACAGGCACCTTGCCATCTGCACCCCAGCTAAACACAGACGTGCCTCCCACTACTTCATCCATACTTACTACCAACAGGGGCAATAAGGATCGAGTGTGGGTTTTGGGAATATGAAGATGCTGCTCAGTTTTTCATGCATGTTGGCTGGATGTTTGCTCATTAGGAAAGTCTGAATGTCCTTGTGCTTTGGGGGGACACGTGGTATTGATATCCCAGCAGGGTAAGAGAGGCAATGTCCAATATTTGTGAAAATGGCTGAGCTTCTGAGTTTCCTGAATCATTAGCTATTTTTCACTTCTGATGTAAAATCCAGATCCCTTCTGACAGCCCACTTGTAGGTATTAAACGGACAAGAGCCCAGTGAGTGTCCTTCAAGATAAATTTCATGTCATCTTTTCTTGTGCAAAGAGGTTTATTCCATCCCTTCAAAAATCTGTAGGGTATCCTGCTTCTATTTTTTTAAAACTATATTTAGTTTGCTTTGAAGATGAATAAAACTGAGATGCTATTATGTTCCTTTCCTACTTTGCAGCATCCAGAAATTCCTTTGCTATTAATACTCCAGAGAAACAGATTTCTTTGATTTTTTTTTTTTCAGTTTAGAAGATCAAAAGCTGCCAGAAATTGTTTCAAAAGAAAAATAAATCTCTGAGAAGTTGGATTTGAAATTCCAAGGGGCCGGCGCCTGAGTCCACTGTGCTGGGAGTCGTGTAATGAGAAAGTTGCTCTAATTGTGGTGCTGGCCTCCTTTCCGCCTCCCCTCTGCTCCTGGGAAGCCCCACCTTAGCCTCTGCCATCTGCTCTCTCTTGTGGAATCAGAATGTTGAGCCTAAAATTAAATTGCTTGTAAATCTGAGCAGGCAGAATTGTTTCCCAAAGAGAATGGTTAAAAGAAATGACTGTCAATTTCTGGTAAAACTCACTTCTTTTTTAGGGATGAGCAGTCAGATTGTAGAAAGTTTTGAATGAAGGACTCCATTTCCTCTGGGGGTCTGAAGATATGTACACATCATGTTTATATTTTGACACCCCTGCTCTATCAATAAAGGGAGTGCCTGAACCATTCATTACATGGTGCTGCTTCCCCTTGTGGCTTTGGGAAGGTCTCTGGCCTAGAAAGTCCAGGGTTTAGCAGCCATCTCCCTACACTTCTCTTGTGTGCTTTGGGCTTTGAAGAGGACTTGATGACACATTTGGTGGGAACATAAAAGCTGAGATCCCCCACTGAGAGGGTTTGGATACCTGCTAGAAGATACAAATCAAAGAAAGGGGAGACATTACCCTAGACCTGCCCTGGCATGAAACAATATAGAATGGGTTCAAAGAAGACAGCAATCAGAGAGTCTCCATGACCACACTGTTGGAGCTCAATCCTGAACTGGGGGCTTCCCTGGTTCCCCAACTCAGCTTCGTGCTTGGATTTTATGTAAAAATTAAACGACAAAAATGTTAGAGACTGGGTGTGGTGGCTCAAGCCTGTAATCCCAGCACTTTGGGAGGCTGAGGTGGGCAGATCACTTGAGGCTAGGAGTTTGAGACCAACCTGGCCAACATGGCAAAGCCCATCTCTACTAAAAATACAAAAATTAGCTGTGCATGGTGGTGTGTGTGTGCCTGTAGTCCCAGCTACTCAAGAGGCTGAGGCATGAGAATCGCTTGAATCTGGGAGGTGGAGGTTGCAGTAAGCCAAGATTGCACCACTGCACTCCAGCCTGGGTGACAGAGCAAGACTTCTGTCTCAAAAAAAAAAAAAAAAAAAAAAAAAGTTAGAAAATACACAGTAAAAGGTTAATGGCAGAAGAATTAGAAAATAAAGACATATAAAGAAAAGAAGATTAAGAAATAGCACCATCTACAATCTCATCCACCCTGAGAAAACTAATGGAAATACTTTGGTATCACTTTATACTCTGGGTATAACATGATACGATATGACATGTCATGATATTAGTATACATACATGCTATATGTATAAAAATATGTGTATGTACATCTACATACATTTGTACTATAAATATATGTATGTATACTTATTTTGGTAACTAAACAAAAATATATGCCATTTTTTGTGATTTTCTTTTTATATTGATATATTGTAAAGATATTTTATGTCCATAAATATGTTTTTTATCCACATAGTTTTTAAGCTTTTGGGGGGGAATAATTTTAGACTTACTAAAAATAATCACAAAACTATGGTAAAACAATCAAAACTAAAAAATTAACATTCATTAAACTGTGGACTTTATTTGGACTTTTCCAGTCTTTTCTCCTAGTGCCCTTTTTCTGTTCCAAGATCCAGTCCAGGATCTTACATTAACTACAGTTGTATTTTTTCCTTTGTCTCCAATGGGTGCCACTTCTCCAGTCTTTCCTGGTATTTCATGACTTTGACACTTTCGAAGAGTACTGATCGGTTATTTTGTAGAATGTCACTCGATTTGGGTTTGTCCAATGTCGTCTTGTGATTAGATTGGGGTTAGATTAGATTAGATTGCATTGTTGGTAAGGAAAACACACAAGTAGCATTCTCAATGTATCATCAGGGGCTGCATGATGTTGATGAGTCTTTTTACTGAAATATTAACGTTGATCACTTGGTTAAAGCAATGTCTGCCAGGTTTCTCCAATGTAAAGTTTTTTTTGCCTTTGGAATTCATAAGTATCTTGCAGTAGATACTTTGAGAGTAGGCAAATATCCTGTTTCTGCTAACATTAGCCTCCAATTTTAGCATCCACTGGTGGGGCTTGCCTGCAATAATTATTATTATGGTGTTCAGAGAGCGATTTCCTATTTTCTTCATTCCTTCTGCATTTGTTAATTGAAATTATTCTGTCTGAAGAGCAGTCCCTTCTTATTGATTTATTAATTAGCATCACTCAGGTCTCATGTAGCTGCTTATAATCTAATGCTATCCTTATTTATTTTGTTGCTCAGGTTGCTCCAGCTTCAACCTTTGGGAGCTTTTCCAGATTGGCTTCTCTGCCTTTGTAACATGCTCTCCCCATCTTTTCTCAAGCACTTCTTTACTTTTTAGTACCTGGAGATGTTCCAGGCTCATTGTGTATTTTCCTGACCAGTCTTGGAATAAACCAATTCTCCAAGGAGCCCTAGTGTATTTTACTGGAGAATGCTATTTAGAAACCATGATCTGGCTAGATGTCCTTATTTCTGCTGACTGTCATTGCTTCTAAGCCCTTTCAGCAGACAGAGCCTGGAAATATACGCATGTGTCCCATTCTGGGCATATGCATGTATTTCTCTTTCTTTCCTAAAAGACGCATGAGTTTACACTAGTACCTCTTATTCCAATCCAACACCACAGGGTTCATCTTAGCCTTTCCCCATTTATAACTTTCTCTGACATGAAAACCTGGACCCTAAAAGTAGTTTCAGAATACCTAATTCTTTGCCTTGTGGGGAAGAAAAGCTTACTAGCTAAAATATGGTATTTGTGTACAATTCTTTTGTTTTTAGCCTTAAAATACCTAGTCAACATACTGTGTTTCGGAGTAATTTGGTTAGTCCTTTTCTTCCTCACTCTCTTCAGTGTGGTTACATGATTCATTTGTAATATGGGCAGCTTTAATTATCACACTTAGCCTTCCATTTTCAGTACTTTCCACATCCTAGGTTTTGAAAGTTACATAAAGTAAAATTCACTCTGTGGCATACAGTTCTATGAATTTTGACAAATTCATGGAATTATGTACCCACCACCCTATTACCATACAGAACAAGTCATCACACAATTCCCTTCTGTGGCCCCTTTCTAGGCTTTCCTGACCTTCCCTCTATTTCTGGAAACCACCAATTTTTCATTTCTGTAGTTTTGTCTTTTCATATAAATGGAATCATACAATATGTAGGTTTTTGGGTCTGACTTAGCAAAGTGCACTTCAAATTCATCCATATTGTTCTGTGAATCAATAGTTGTTTGCTTCTTTTTATTGCTGAGTACTATTCCATTTTGTGGATGTGCCATATGTTGAATATTTTTCTATTTATCAGCTGAACTACATATGGGTTGATTCTAGTTTTTGGCAATTATAAATAAAACTGCTTTAAGCATTTATGTACAGGGTTTTTTTGTGAGCATAAATTTGTATTTGTTTTAGGTAAATACCTTGGAGTAGGATTGCTCGGTCATATGTTAGTGTATAATGAACTTTGAAGGAAATTATGAAGCTGTTTTCCACAGTAGCTGTACCATTTTGAATGTCCACCTGCAATGTATGAGATTTCCACTTCTCTGTGTCATTGTCAGCACTTAGTACTGTCAATTTATTTTTTAAATTGTAATCATTCTAATAGATGTGTAGTTACATTTCACTATGATTTTAATTTGCATTTCCCTAGTAACTAATGATATTGAGCATCTTTTCATATACTTATTTCCCACTTGTGTATCTTCTTTGGTGAGATGTTTGTTTATATCTTTTGCCCATTTTTAATTGGGTTATTTGTTTTCTTATTCTGATTGAGTTTTGAGAGTTCTTTTCATATTCTGAACATGAGTTCTTTGTCAGAAATACAATTTGCAAATATTTTTCCTTTCTCTGTGCCCTGAATTTTCATTTTCTTAACAGTGTCTTTTGCAGAGCAAAAGTTTTAAATTTTGATAAAGTTCTATCAGGTTTTTTCTTATATGTATTGTGCTTTTTGTGTCATGTCTAAGAAATATTCTTAATCTGAGGTGACAAAGATTTTCTCTTATGTTTTCATCTAGGGATTTTATAGTTTTATGTTTGCATTTAGATATGTAATCCATTTTGGATTAATTTTTGTATAAGGTGTGAGGTACAGATTGAGGTCTGTTTTTGGTTAGTTTCTGTTTTTATTTTTTTACATATGGATAATCACTGTTTGCAAGCACTATTTGCTGAAAAGACTATCCTTTCTAAATTAAATTGCCTTTGCACCTTTGTCAAAAATCAGTTGACTATTTGTGCGGGTCTATTTCAGAACTTTCTGATATGTTAGGTTCACATATGTGTCTATCCTTTTGCTAATACTATGATGTCTTGATTACTGTAGCTTTAAAGTAAGTCTAAAACTTGGAGTATGAGTCCTCCAACTTTGTTCTTCTTTATAAAGACTGGTTGGGTTATTCTAGTTCTTTTTTCCATACAAATTTTGGAAATACCTTTTTGATATCTACAGAAAAGCCTGCTTGATATTTTGATGGGGATTGCATTAAATCTATAACCCAAACTGGGGAGAACTGACATCTTAACAATATTGAGTCTCCAACCCATGAACAAGTTATCTCTTTCTGCTTATTTAGCTCTTTTATTCTTTCATCACTATTTTGCAACTGTCAGCATATAGATTCTGCATATTTTTCGTTTGATTAAAGCTAAGTTTTAATTTTTTTGGTGTTGTTAGAAATAGTGCTGTTTTAAAAATTTTGAATTTCAATTATTCATTTCTAGTTTATAGAAATACAATTATTATTTTTTTTAGAGAGAGTCTTGCTCTGTTGCCAGGCTGGAGTGCAATGGCATGATCTCAGCTCACTGCAACCTCTGCCTCCTGGGTTCAAGCGATTCTCTTGCCTCAGCCCCCCAAGTAGCTGGGGCGACAGGTGTGCACCACCACACCGGCTAATTTTGTATTTTTTGTAGAGACGGGGTTTCACCATGTTGGCCAGGTTGGTCTCAAACTCCTGAACTCAAGTGATCCACCTGCCTCGACCTCCCAAAGTGCTGGGATTACAGGGCTACTGCACTCAGCCTTATTTTTGTAGCTTGACTTTTGAAAAATTCCACAACCTTTAATTTAAGGAATTCTTTGGTAGAGCCTTTACATTTTCTACATCAAATATCATATTGTCTGTAAATAGGGACAGCTTTATTTATTCTTTTTGAGTCTGCATGGTGCATACTCCCCCTTCCTTCCATCCTTCCTTCTTTTCTTTTTTTTGCCTCATTGTGCTGGGTAGGACATCTATTAAGACGTTAATAAGGAGTGATGAGAGGAGACATGCTTGCCTTGCTCATAATCTTAGAGGAAGAGATTTCAATCTTTTGATGTTAAGGATGATGTTAGCTATAGGTTTTTTTTGGTGATTTTTTTTTTCTGTAAATGCGCTTCTATTCCTACATTTTTGAGATTAAAAAAAATCAGCAACAGATGTTGAAGTTTTTCAAATGTTTTTTCTTTTCTTATTTTTTTTTTTGAGACAGGGTCTCACTCTGTTGCCCAGGCTGGAAAGCAGTGGTGCAATTGCGGCTCAATGCAGCCTTGACTTCCCAGGCTCAGGTGATCCTCCCACCTTAGCCTCCCCAGTAGCTGGGACTACAGGCGTATACCACCATGCCTGGCTAATTTTTTTTTTTTTTTTTGTAGAGATGGGGTTTCATCATGTTGCCCAGGCTGGTCTCACTCTTGAATTGAAGGCATCTGCCCACTTTGGCCTCCCAAAGTGCTGGGATTACAGGAATGAGCCACTGTGCCTGGCCTCAAATGTTTTTTCTGCATCTATTAAGATGAACAAATAATATTTCTTCTTAAGTTTGTTAACATGGCCATTTATATCACTTGTTTTTTAATGTTGAATTAGCCTTGCACTCTTGGAACAAACCTCACTGGTTGTGATGTATTCTTCTTATATATTGCTGAATTACATTTGGCATTATTTTGTTGAGGATTTTTGTGTCTATGCTCATGAGAGATACTGGTCTGTAGTTTTCTTAACTTGTAATATCTTTGTCTGGTCTTGGTGTAAGTGTAATGCTGGCCTCATAAAATGAGTTGGAATGTGTTCTCTCATCTTCTATTTTTTTCTGGAAGAGGCTGTGTAGAATGGGAATTATGCCTTCCTTAAATGTTTGGTAGGATTAACCAATGAAACCATTTGGTCCTGGAGTTTTCTTTGTTGGAAGGTGTTTAACTGTGAATTCAATCTCTTTAATAGATATAGGACTATTCAGGTTAGTGGTTCATATCTGTAATCCCAGTGACTTGGGATGCTGAGGCAGAAGGATCAGCCCAGGAGTTTGAAACCAGCCTGGGAAATATAGTGAGACCCTGTCTCCACATAAACAAAACAAAACAAAAAGACAGCTGTGCATGATGGCCCGTGCCTGTAGTCCCAGCTACTTGGGAGGGGGAGGTAAAAGGTTGCTGGAATCCAGGAGTTTGAGGCTATGGTGAGCTATGATCATGCCACTACACATCAGCCTGGGTAACAAAGTGAGACTCCATTTCTAATAATAATAATAATCATAATAATAATGGGTTATCTGTTTCTTACTGAATATATTTTGGCAGCTTGTGTCTTTCAAAGAAGAGTCCATTTCATCTAAGTTGTCCAATTTTTAGGTATAGAGTTGTTTATATTATTCTATTCTTATCCTTTTAATATCTATGGAATCTGCAGTGATATCTCCTCTTTCATTAATGTTGTTGGTCAATTTGTGTCTTTTTTTTGTGCTTTGTCAACTTAGAGGTTTATCAATGATATCAATCTTTGCAAAGAACCAGCTTTTGGTTTCTCTATTATTTTTCTGTTTTCAATGTCAATAATTTCTGCTGTCATCTTTATTATTTCTTTTCCTCGAATGCTTTGAGTTTACTTTGGTCTTCTTTTTCTACTAACTTAAACTCTAGGCTAAAGGTACTGACTTGAATCTTTTCTTCTTTCCAACTATAAGGAATTAATGACATAAAGTTATATCTAAACACTGTTTTAGCTGCATTCCACAAATTTTGTTATGCTACATTTTCATTTTCCTTCAGTTCAAAATAATTTTTATTTTCCATTGAGATTTTTTTCCTCTTTGACCTATGATTAATTTAGAAGTGTTTTATTTAATTTCCAAATATTGGGGTATTTTCAGGATATCTCTCTGGTACTGATTTCAAATTTAATTCTGTTATGAACACAGTTCATATGATTTGTATTTTCACAAAAATAGAAATGTGTATTTTCACAGCAGAGTTTGTACGGTTTGTATTTTTTTTTTTTAAGAGATATGTCTCGCTTTGTCACTTAGGTTGGAGTGCAGTGGCATGATCATAGATCACTTTAGCCTTGAACTCCTAGACTCAAGTGATTCTCCCGCCTCTTGAGTAGATGGGATTATAGGCTTGAGCCACCACACCTGGCTCCTCATTTGTATTCTTTTAAATTTGTTAAGGTTTAATGGACCAGAATATAGTCTGTCCTGGCTTTTGTGTACTTAAGCTTGCATGTACCCTCAGAACATTGTATAGTGCTTTTTTTTGGCTGAAATATTCTACAATTGTCAATTTGATTGATAATATAGCTCAGGGCTTATATCTATAATTTTATGCCTACTTTTCTATTAATTACTGAGAGAGAAATGTTGATGTCTCCAAGTAAAACTGTGGATTTATCTGTTTCTCTTTTCACTTCAATAAGCTTTTACTTCACGTATTTTGAAGTTCTCTTTTAAGGTGCATACCTATTTAGGATTGTTCTGTATTTTTAGAGAATTGACTTCTTTATCATTGTATTATATCATATTCCTTTTTATCGCCGATAATATTCTTTGTTCTAAAGCCTACTTTGTCTGATTTATTGGTTAGTGTTTGCATGACATATCTATTTCCACTTTTGTTTTTTTAACCTATTCATATCTTCATATTTAAAGTGGGTTGCTCATAAATAGCATATATTTGGGTCTTGGCGTTTGTAAAAAAACTGTTTTGACAATATCTGTCTTTTAATTTGTATGTTTAGACCATTCACATGTAATGTTATTGATATATTTGGATTCAAGTCTACCATTTTGTTAGCTTTTTCCCATTCTATCAGTTCTTTTCTTCTTTTTTCTCTTTTACTGCTTTCTCTTAGGTTACTTGAGCATTTTAAAATAATGTTGTTCTTCTTACCTATTGACTTATTATTTATATCTTTAAAAAGTTGTTTTCATAGCTGCCCTAGTGTTGATAATTTGTCTTTAATCAGAGTCTACCTTCAAATAATATCATACCATTTCATGTCTAGTGTAAGTAACTTACAATAATACATTCCCAATTACTCCCTTCAATTTGTTGTGCTACTTTTGTCATAATTTTACTTTACATGTTAAGATTACATAACACACTGCTACTATTTTCACTTTAGATTGTCAGTTATCCTTTAGAAAAACTAAAACTAAGGTAAATTTTATTTGCCTTCTCTTTTCCAGTTTCAGTGCTCTTCATTTCTTTGTTTAGGTCTTAGTTTCTGTCTGACATCGTATTCCTTCTGCCTGAAGAGCTTTCTTTAACATTCTTCTGGTGTAGGTTTGCTGGCAATGAATTCTCTCAATTTCTGTTTTACTGACAATGTCTTTATTTTTCTTTAAGAAATGTTTGTCTGGGTATTGAATTTGGGGTTGGCAGATTTTTTTTTTTCTTCAGCACTTTAAAAATGTCATTTCATTGTCTTCTGACTTACATGGTTTCTGATGAGTTGATGAATAGTCTACTATAATTATTATCTTTTTTCCTCTATAGGTAACAAGTCTTTTTCTCCTGGCCATCTTTAGGATTTTCTCCTTGACTCTATCCCCCATATATTTAGGTGGTTTGTGTTGTGTGTTTTTATTTTGCATGTATCATGCTTGATGTGCTCTGACATTTTTGGATCTATGGTTTGGTGCCTGTCATTCATTTTGGAAGTTCTTGGCCTTTATTTCTTCATTTTCTTCATCTATTTCTTCTGTCTCATTGTCTGTCTCCCCTTTAGATGTCTGTCTGCTGCAGTTAGGGAAGTGCTCATGTCTTGTTTCTTTCTTCAGGCACCTGTGCGTCTCCAGATTGTTGGTTACTTGGCTGTCCTATAACCTCAGCTCTCTGATGGGCTCAACAAATGTAGAAGTCTTGTAGCTTGTCTGACTTTTTTTTCTTTTCTTATAAGGGTGGGAATAATGTCCTTCCCAGTTCTTTCCATCCATGAGTAGAAACTGGGATCTATAACATAACTTTTGTATTTCATTTTATGGATGTGCTGTGCTTTGTTTAAACTATTCCCTATTATTTGGTACTTAACTACTTAATATTTATTTTTGCTATCATTAATAATGAAGTAATCAACATTTTTGGGCATGTATCTTTGTGCTCTTATTTGAGTAAGATAAACTATTAGAAATCAAATAGTTAGGGCTGGTTGCGGTGGCTCATGCCTGTAATCCCAGCAATTTGGGAGGCTGAGGCAGGCAGATCACCTGAGGTCAGGAGCTCAAGACCAGCCTGGCCAACTTGGTGAAGCCTGGTCTCTACTAAAAATACAAAAATTAGCCGGGTGTGGTGGCCTGTGCCTGTAATCCTGGCTCCTCGGGAGGCTAAGGCAGGAGAATCGCTTGAACCCGGGAGGCGGAGGTTGCGGTGATCCAAAATCGCACTATTGCATTCCAGCCTGGGTGACAGAGTGAGCCTCCGTCTCAAAACAAAAACAGAAACAAACAAACGAAAAAAATTAGGCATGTACCTTTTGAAAGTTTTATTAGATGTTGCTGAATCAACTTCCAGAAAAGCAATGACAATTAACCCACCTACCAGCAGAGATGGGAGGGTCCATGAATTACACTTTTGGGACTCTGGGGGAGCTGCCTCCACAGGCATGAGAAAGTGTCCCTCTCCACAGATCTGGCACTTGCCTGGCCAGACCCAGAAAGACCCTGGTTTCCCTCTCTGACCAACTCTCCCTGCAGGAAGCACTGCCAGGAAGGAAGGCCTGAAGTAAGGCTGGATTCAATATTGATAAACCCCAGCCCAAGCTGTAACTATAACATGCTTCTCCAAAGACTGATTAAGATATTGGAGGAGTATCTTGATAGATCTTGTCTAAGGAGTTCTAAACCGATTCTAAACTACAGCTCAATCACATTTATTCAACACTGATAGCAAAATTGGACATGATAGAGATGAATTTCTGATCAAGACAACTTCTAATTATTGTGCTGGCAAATAAATAACGGAAGCAATCTTTGAATTTTTTGGCAGTTGGGGGATGTTGTGATTTGTACTTTTAATTCCAAATTAAAATATTTAATGCTTTATAAAGCAGTTGCTATTTAAACTGCCAATAATATTTAACATGAATTTACTCACCATTTCCTATACTCATGCTGTATAATTTATAACACTAAGCCCTTTCAATACTCCAAAATGCCAGATAAACTTTTCTCATTTGCTCTTAATTTGGTCACGCAGGATAATACTAACATCTGAAGACTCTTTAAACTGCTTTTTAAAATGCATTCCTGGGAGCGCCACCCATGGCCCCTCTGCTTCTTGTCATCATCCATAATTATTTCCAATCCAAAGCAGCCCTTAATGCACTTATTAATCTGGCATTCTCCTCCGTGTGAAGCACATTCAGCTCTATTAATTTTTAAAAACCCTCTTTTTTATAGGGGACTGCAGATGCTTGGCTATTACTGAAAAGCTATTAGAAGTTAACACCTTTCTCTCCCCGGAGACTGGCATCATCCTAGGCCTCCAAATGCCACCCTGTTTTACATTACCAGCTGCTAAGACAAAGTATTAGATAGTTTTTTTTTTTTTTTTTTTTTTTTTTTGCTGCTGAGCTGGTGATGCTATTATTAGTGAATGGCAGAATTCCACCTGGCCTGGGAGCCCGGGGCTGTTGGGGCTGAAACAGGCAGACTTGTAGACTTTCTGGCCATCTCAGAGGGCATGCCTCCTGCTCTGCAGCGCGTGTGGTCCCAGGTGAGCAAGGCAGGTCTGGCTCTTGGAGACAGAGACTATTTCTATTTCTCCTCTGAGTGACCCCTTCCGCTTAGATGACATCCATGGGCCATTCCAGGCACCACAAAAATATTGGAAAAAATGGCTGAGGCTGTTGTGTAGAAACAAAAACTCAGGTTTCCTGTTTCCTCAGAAACTACAACAGGGATACCAGCAAAGTGATGGCTCTTGGCTTTGCAGGGCCTGATGAGGCACTGGGGGCCTGGGTGGGAAGGAGAGGATGCTAATGAATTATTTGCCATGGCCCATTTTGGGATATTGG
The DNA here is from genome assembly GCF_000001405.40 of Homo sapiens. Lineage (NCBI taxonomy): Eukaryota > Metazoa > Chordata > Mammalia > Primates > Hominidae > Homo > Homo sapiens. Next base: position 117,647,292 of record NC_000010.11, read on the forward strand.
GTTTTACAGCTTGTAGCTACATGTCCAGGTCACCCACTGAGAAGCAGCATGGACAGGGGAGGCCGAGCTTTCAGGAATGAATGGTTGCTCCTTAGAACTGGACACAGCCTGGGATCCCCGGTGAGGAGGATTTGTAGGGGAGGACCTTCCCAGGGAGCGGAGCCTCCATCTGAGTTTCCCGGGCTCTGCGGTTGACCTCAAACAGGCCCATCTGGCTGCAGACCAACCAGATGAACAGGATGCTTACAATGCAATTTAGTCATGTGCTTTCTCCCTCTGTCCTCCTCATTTGTATTTGGGAAAACAGAAGGCCAGGAAACAAAGCTGGAGATATTGAAAGAGGGACCACAGATCCTCTTGATTGCAGCTCTCCGTAGAAACATCTCTGCAGGGATGGAAGAGCAGGCCTGGTGCCCATCACCCAGGCTGGACCTCTGGCCATGAGTCTCACCCCTGTTTTCCTGAAACTTGGCCATTGGTTATATCAACCTCCCCTGCAGATTTTTTCCTTAGCGCATGTTCCACTAAGATATTCAGATCCACAGTGCTGGGGAAGACATTATTCTCCCCAGTTTACAAATGAGAAAACTGGGGCTCTGAAAAATGAAATTATGTCTTGAGGTCACATTGACAGGAATAGGACTCAGCCCAGGTCTTCCTGCTGCAGGGTCTGGGTTTATTTCTATTCCAACATTTTGCCTCAAAGGCTCTGATGGTTTTATTGGGTTCTTGAGTCTTCACTGGTAAAAAAAAAAATTACCAGAAAACACACCCCGTTGTATAGTTTAAGTTGCGATTGCTGGTCACTGTATAGTCATCTCAACCATGAATTAACTCCCTGAAGAAACCATTTGAAGGCACTTTTCAAAACGGTAGATGGTAAAAAAAAAAAAAAAAATCTAGGAAGGAGGTAAGATGCGGAACCATAGCCCAAGAATATAAATAACTCATGACAGAACTGTTCTAATATAAGGCTTCAAAACAATACTATTTTTTGTAACATTATGAAGACCATTTTGCTGGCAGTTCTATTTTTTCTGGATGTCCCAAATAAATGCAGTTTGTTTTTACCTCAATATGACATTACTTGTAATTTAAAACCCTCACTCAACTAATTTCAAAGATAGTAGATTAAATATGATGCTAAAAATAACAATAAAATAATACCCTCAAGAGTTTCCATACCTCAAGTCCCCACCATGTACCCTTACATGTACATATTATTATTTTCATGTTTTTAGGCTCAAGGAGGTTAAGTAACTCTCCCAACTTTCCAGAGGATGGGTTGAAGGATCCAGATACCTTCATTGATTTCTGGTGCATTGCATTGTTGCAAACTTTATTTTGTTTTTGGAAGAAAGTAATCCAACAATAGCTATTAGGAACAAATATGCATATACCTTTGGCCCTGCAATATCCCGTGGGGGAACTGAATCTACAGGTAGTTTGATCTCTGGATTTCCTGCCCCCTGGCTACATATAAGGATGTTTTCTCCAGCATTATTTATAATGGCAAAAAAAATGGAAAACAACCTAGAAGTCCATTAAAACAAGACTGAATGAATAAAATAAATGACAGTGTTACTGTAAAGTGGTCTACGACATAATAAATGTCAAAAGCAACTCTAAAGTAATATTTATTATGTTATGATCCCATTTTGGCAAAAACTGAATCAAACTAACCCAAAGCCTTGCATGTGCATATCTGTGTCCAACTGGTGTTTGGGTTCAGGTAGAGGATGCTTGCCTGGCAGTTAATGTGGGTTGTCAATGGGGGTTGGAGGATTAGTAAACTTCTCCCTATGTATCTTTGGATACGTTTCCATGTTCTAGCAAGCATGCATTACTTTGTATAAAAAATTGAATTAAGAAAAGAAATAAAGTCACCAGGTAAAATCAAAGCTGAGGATGTGGGTTCCCACTTTGTAGTCAAAAGATGTTAAAAATTAGCCGTGCTGCTGTTCTGGGAAAGGTTATTACCAAGTCTAGTCATTTGGAATATGTAACAAGATTTTTCCATTTTTAAATTGCTAGCTCCCAGTGTTGTATTCTTACACTCGATTTTAGGAAAGCATTTACATGTTAACAGAGCTCTGCACTAATATAATCACTGCAATAGAGAATATTCTTCAGTTATCATAGAATGCTTGTCTCTCAAATAGCTTAATTTTTTCTCATGATTTAAACAGAAGATATGGATGGCAGAATAGATAACAGATAGCAAAGCAGAGGTTTGAATAAGAAAGTTGTTGCTTAATCAGAATGTACTATCTTTCTAATAAAAAGTAACGCTGATTTAGTGCCTGATAATGCACTTGATTGAATAATATTTTTGAAAGACTGCTGAATAGATTGATTTTCTTACAGACTTTGCTCAAACTCACACCTTCTCTGTCCCTCAAGGGAGGGCCTTGCTTCAAATTACTGAATAACTGAATTGACTTTCACTCTTAGAGTCTAGAAACTGAAACGGAACCATTCACCTCTGTTGAGAAGACTATCTCTGGGTTCTAGTGATCTGCAGTGGGACAGGAACCATGTTGACTGACAGCTACTCTGTGACAATGTGCAGTTGCATTCTTACTCTTGATGTTGTAGTGACTTTGATTTGGGTGGCCATTATAAGACCACTTCCCTCTGTGGCTCTCCCTATAGTGATAATTATTGTAGAAGTCTTCCGACAGTGGAGCTTGGTGGATCTGAGATTCTGTGTCATCTGTGTCATTTTGGGGTCTGTTTCTATTGATTGATTTTTCTCCTCATTAATGGTTGAATTTCCCTGCTTCTTTGTGTGCCTAATAATTTCTGTTGGATGCCAGACATTGTGAATTTTACCTTGTTGGGTGCTTGATATGTTTGTGTTCCTTTAAATATTCTTGAGCTCATTCTGGGACATTGATAAATTATTTAGAAACCACTCGATCCTTTTGGAGCTTGTTTTCAAGCTTTGTTAGAAGGGACCAGAGCAGTCTTTGGTCCAGGGCTAATAATACCCTGTTGAGTACTCCACCTGGTACCCAATGTATGATGAGGTTGTGCCATTCTAGCTGATGCGAGCACAAACCATTCCTAGCCAAGTGGGAACCCTGGTAGTTATTCTGCCTGGTCCTTACTGCTGTTGTTTTTTCTCTTTCCCTTTTCTTGAGTAGTTCTCTCACATGCTCACATTGGGAGAAGCTCCATGGAGCAGTTTCTGCACAGCTCCTATTCTGAGCTGTTCTCTTCTTTCAGGTGCTCTACCATTCACAGTCTGGCCTTCATGGCCTCCCCAGACTCTTAAGTGTGTCTCTTTAACCCAAGGAGATGTCGAGCTCTGTTTGGGTTTCTCCACTCTGTGCTGTTTAGGAAATGTTCTCCAGGCAGTCAGCTGGGCAGTTGTAAGGTTTCCCTCATTTACTTTCCTTCTTGCCAAGATCACTGCCCTGTGCTGCCTGTTACACACTGTCTGAAAACTGTTTTTCATATCTTGTCTGTTTTTGGTTGTGGGAAGTGAAAGAGTATAAGCCCAGGGCCTCATCACAGCTGGAAGTGGAAGTTTTGGAGCCGAGACTCTTAGCTTTAAGATGCCAGCTGGGTCCCTTGGTCTCAATGTCTTCTCATCATTGTCTTATAATGCAGTGAAATAATGTCCCTAAGTGAGGCCCTAAAACTGGGAAGTCTTCATCCGGCCTGGGGATTTTGAAAAAAGGTTTTGGTTCTAGGAAAAAATAAGAAGTCCAGCAAGGCTTTTCCTAATGACAAGAAGTAGGACAGTATCTGCCATGAGGTACCCACAAATTGTTACCTTCCTGCTCAAAAAGCTTGCAAAAATGACCTTTGCTTGTATGATAAAAAGCAACATCCTGGACCCTATCTGTATCTTCAACCTCGTCTCCTGTCCTGCCCTCCTTCCTTCTGCCTCCAGCCATGCTGGGTTTCCTTTAGTTTGTTGTGCCAGCCGGTCGCCACATCTCCTTTTGGGCATGTTCTCACCTCCAGGCTCCTGTGCTTTCAAGTCTCAGCTGTGATGTCACTTTCCTAGACCAGCTAAACCCGCTTTGGGTCTTATAGCCCTCTGGATTCTCCTTTATGGCACTCATACCAGTGTGATGACAGAGGGCCTTGTTATCCTGAGGTGATCCTCCCTGAAAGGACACCTCAGACCAAGCCCACTTAACATAGGAGCCAGTATTTCATGGGAAATGGGATTTAAAGAAGATTTGATTAAGATTTTCTTGAAAACGGAGATTAGAAATTATGAACATAAATTTATTTTTATCTTATACTTACCCAATTTTAGATTCTAATTTCAACCACACACTGAAGTTTAGAGTGGACAAAAGTTGAATCAGATGTTGATAATTTCAAGCAATATAATTTTTATGACAAAATCGGATAATGGCATGAGATGGCCTCCCTTGTTTTGTAATTTTAAAAAAAAATTCTTTAAAACAAAAACATAAAGAAAGCTGTTTATTGCAGAAAGGGTCTAGGTCTTTATGCATTTGCCCAAGGGCTTCCTTTAACCACTTGATCCAACCATTCTGTTTTGACTATGAATTCATCATCCGTGGCAAATCCCTCTCTCTCTGTTGTTACGTGATCTAACTGTCAGAGCTTCATCTATCATTGGCTTGGCCTGGGGTTTAAGCTGTTCTTTAGCATCACTGTCGTAGACATCATAAAATCCTACAGCTTTGGTAAAGTCTTCAATTTTTTTTTTCAATTTGTTTGTACTGCAATTGCATCATACTGTCAGATAACAGAAAGAAAGAAACAAACAAACAAAAAACAAGGAGAGATGGAACAGAAATGATGACAGCTCTTTGGGCTGTGATAGATGCTGACATTATGTATGTTGTTTGAGTAGACACTGATCTTACAAGTGGTTAGTTCACTGAATATTTTTGAAATTCTCAGGCTAATTTCTGTTTCTCTATGAAACCTCATGAATGTGGACACTTGGCTAATAAATACTCAAGAGTATGTGGCCTCCCTATGTACGAATATTTGTGCATTTACTTGTTTAATGTTATCTCCCTCCCTGGACATCAGCTCCATCAGAGAGGGACCTCTGAACCACAGGGGCCTAGAACAGGTCTAGCCTAGAGTCAGGGCATGGTCAAATGTTTGCTGAACAAATATGCAAGCTCAAGAGGAACTGGGAGGAGAGGATCCTTGATAGAGTGGTCTCAGCTCATCGAATCATTCCGTTTTCAGTGATCTGGGCTCCTTAAGATCAAGCATTGGGCTGATTGGTTGAAATTGTTTCCTTATTGTTCTAGGGTAGTGTTTAGGAAAAGGAATGTATGGGCCAAGCTACTGCTCTTCAGGTGAAAGCAAAGGAGAGATGATTGCCCCCCAAGGGGAAGAGTTTTAGGGTTTTTACTCTGGGCTTGGCTAGTGAGGGTGAGTTGTGGATCTGTGTTAGGGTACTCAGGCTAAGCAGAAGCTCTGGGAGAAGAGAGTGCTGCTACTTCTGACCTCCACTGGGAGAGCCCCTTCCAGAATTCTCTCTGCTCCAACCTGGGAGGGGAATGTGTATGTGTGTAAGTTCCTTGCATGGTTTTGGGAGCTTGGTGGCTTCAGGCCTGTCTCTAAGAGACAAGCCTAGGAAGCTGTATATAATAAACCAATATTGTGGCTCCAGACAATCTCTCAGAAGAAATGCAGTGTCTTGGGTAATTTTCTTTACTTGGAAAATGTCACTCAAAGTGGCTTGCTTTGGGAACATTTTAGCCCCTGGAGATTACCTAATACTGGGCCTCTCACTCTTGGCCACACAAGTAACCCTCATGACAGATGAGAGTAGCCATGTACCCCTGAAGACACATGCTGGAAGGAGGACACTTCTTTGATGTTTTATTGGAAAATTAATGTACATTTTGCATTTGATTTCAAGATGTGCTCAGGTTTACTTTTATATAAAAATACTACCTCCTCAAAAAAAAAAAAAAAGAAAAAGAAACCCTTCAAGTGAGTCAGGCTTGTGTGCTCTCAGGCAGTAACACAGGGGTTTCCACACCCCAGTTTGTGAAATGACTCATGTTAATGACTCATTTCTGGAATAGTAACTCTTCACCTCAGCCACTGCAATGTGGAATGCACCAGCATCATCAGTCTCTGGGTCCTCCTTAGCACTGATTCTGGGTTAGAAAAGCAACAACTCTCTTGGCTAGTGTACACCTTCACTTTCATGAAATTACAGCTCCTTCCAGAGAGCAGTTAGATGTTCATTATGATCTAGTTTGATCATTTAAGAAAACAAAGAAAATATATATATGCTACACATGTTTTAATTTTTCTTCTTACTGACTTTCGAAAAATAAGTTGTTGGATCAGTTTCCAGATAGGTAGAAGTTTGAATATGGGAGTTGAGCAAATTCTTGAGGTTCACTAAGGTTTTTCTTCTCATTAAGATCTGGGGGATTTCTTTTCTGAAAGGCCTAGCCCCTGCTCTGCTCCTGCATTTTCTGAAGCCTTTACATCCCAACAGAAAGCTCTTTCTGGATTTAGATGTTGACAGTAATTTCGTTTCTTTACATGCCAGCATAAGCTACAGTTTCTTTCTGGTCAGCATTTTTCAACTTCATATTTTAGCCCAGAATCCAACAACACCATTAGAAAACTGACGAAGCATTTTATATTTGTGCTCCCTCGTCAGGTAGCTAAATCTCAGAGCTTGACATTTAGGCACATAAAAAAAAAAAAAAAAAAAGCCCCAGATACTGTGCTATGCGTCAGCTGGTTCATACAATTTTACCACATTCATGATATTTTTGTTAATAAGATTTAGTATCACAGAATGAGACAGAACTAGAAGGGGCCTTTAATGATCATTTAATTTAATCTCCTCATTTTTAGTGGAAGAAACTAGGCACCAGAAAGGTTTAGTGACTTACCAAAGGTCACACAATGAGTTAGGAACAGGGTCCCAGTCTGCTGACTCATTCTGGGATACCACAATATAGAGTTAACTTTTGCTGCATGTCAAACTGCCCCAGTGTTAATGGCTTAAATTGCTTATTTAGGTAAAAATTCTGTAGGTTAGCAATTGGCCTGGGCTCAGCTGGGTGGTTCTTCTGGTCTTTGCTGGGCTGGGCTGATCTTGGCTGGGCTTACTCATGTCTCTGCAGTCAGGTAGTATGTTGGCTGGGGCTGGCATGTGATGATGGCATCATCTGAAATTACTGAGATAATAGAGGCTTCTCCCATGTGATCCCTCATCTTCCAAAATGCTAGCCCAGGTTTGCCCTCATGGCAGTTACAGGGTTCCAAGAGCAACAAGGGAGAAATCTCTCAATGTGCAATCATTATTTTAAAGACACTACTTATGTCATGATTGCTAATGTCCCATTGGTCAAAGTAAGTCACAAGAACAAGCCCAGATGAAAGGGAATGGACAGAGAGAGAGAGAGAGAGAGAGAGAGAGAGAGAGAGATAGGATATCCTATAGGCCATCTTTTTAAGAGTCTCACTTCTAGTTACCTGGGATGACAATAATGACATGCAGTTGTAAATGATATCATGGGCTAGCCTCTTATAATTGAGTTATTTCAGTTCATCTGGTGCTGGTAGATTTTACTTTATTGTATATTATTTTCTCTTCAAGTACAATCTATTGTAGGTGGACATATGAGAGAACCAAAAAAAAAAAGGTACTATTTCTTGTTCCCCAGTTTATGATAAAAACTCTCTTTAAGCTCCCAAAATGCTGTTAAAAAGAAGCTCAAAGGATCTGTGGATCTATCCCAATATTTATTTGTAGGTTCAAGGAGCAATAATAGTTCTAGCCTTCATATTTTAGGACCATTATATGGTTTGTACATGAAGCTCATTCTTTACCCCATTTGACTTTCATAGTCTTCCTGTGGAGTAGCTGGGCATGAGATATTTGCACTATTTTACAGATTGGGAACTAAGGCTCAGATTCTCACTCCTCCTGCCCCGCCCCACCCTACTGCCCCAGGAATTGCCATGGGACTCCATAGGTGTGATGCCTGTGTTAATTTCCTCTTCCCCCAAGTCTAGAAGCCTGTGGAGAACCCCCAAACAGCTCTCCCTCAGCTCTGTGATTTCTCTCCAGTCTCAAGGTTGGAGGACCATTTTAACTGTGCCATTCTGGGAAGAGGGTTCCTGCCTTTTCTTTACTGAGAGGAGCCAGGCCACAGATGTGGGCTCCTGGCCTCCAACTTTCCTCTCAAGGTGCCTCAATTTGTCTGAGTGTCATCCCCTCATCCTCGGAGGGTCCTCCTCCTCCACCTCCTTCTCTAAGTTTAGTCCTTCACTGGGATCCTGATTCCATCCCTCTCCTTGCTGGGCTCAGGGAAGGTTCCCTGGAGGAGGTGGTGTGTAAACTGACCCCTGGATGATGAGGAAGGTCTTTCTGGTATCAGGCATTGGCAACAGTTTGAAGTATTTTCTAGTTAAGAGGAAATGGTAGCAATCAGTATGAGAACTGTGTGGCAGCTTTCATGACTGGAGGTTAGAGTGTGTTATTAGGGGCAGGAGGAAGGGAAAAGATGGGCCCTTCCCTCAAGTGGCCTCACCACAATCTATCCCACCTCAATGGAAAATCACTGGCTGGTGGGAATACGTCTTAGAGAAGGGTCCAGCTTGCTAGCCAGAGGCCACAGGTAATAGCCACCTGGTGCTTTCCCCTAGCTGGGACAGATGAGCACATATTCTCTCATGCTCTTGGAAAGCCTGGAGTGGTGTAATAAGGACCAGCATCCAACCCTTTGCCGGATTACTGAAGGCAGGTGGTGAGGAAGCCACACTCCACACCAGTCAGCATCTCCTCCATCAGACCTCAGGGCCTGGAAAAGTCATGTCTCCTCTGAGAAACTGCTGTGCTCTCCTTGGGTTGGTTTGTGTTTCATCTGGTGGATACCATGCATAGTTAGACTGTCATTGATTGTAGTTTCCTTTCTTCTTTGGCTGCTAGGAAGCTCCGAGCTGAGTGTTTTCCTAATGTATTTTAAAGAGTAAAAATCAGTTTGTTGATTTTTATAAATAGAAATATAATAATAATTAAAAATTTTCAACAGTGCAACAATGTATGAAAAAGAAAGTTTAGGTTTAAAAATCACTCCAACTATTACCATTAGGTAAAAATATTACAGATATTATTTTCTGTCTCTCCGTTTGTGGAGACACACACACAAACATACACACATGCAGTTTTCCATATATGTCAATATTCATGAATGGACTTCCATCTATCTATCTATCTATCTATCCATCTATCTATCTATCTATCTATCTATCTATCTATCTATCTAATTACTTATCTATATCTACCTCTCTACTTATCTTCTTTCTCAGTCTCTCGTTCCATCAATCAACCAATCAACCAATCAATCAATCAATAGATAGATAGATTGATAGATAATGTGTGGAAGTCCATTTGTGAAAAACAAATCATATGAATGATGCTTGTTACTTTTAACATAAAGACTTGAAGTTGATTTTTCTTAAATTTCAAAAAAGAAAAAGAAGCTAAAGGCAAGTGGAATGAATGGTTGAACTTTTCACCACAAGATACATTCTCTTCTAAAAGGTCTAAGGTTAAGACAGGAGACTGTGGAGAGAACATTGAGGTTGGGGTAATGATGTTTTTCTAGATGCGTTGTTTCGCTTTCAGATACTCTCAGTCACCCCCTTGCTGTGAAAGATGAGGAACTGAGCACCTCACACCTCCTACACGCTTCTTTGAGGAGTTATAAAATGTTCACAGTTCACACAATAGTTTGGTATTAATTCTATGTTTAAATAGATTCTATTGTTACTACTGGCCATTTTACCACCCCTTCTCCACTACTGAAATCTCGATTTCCATTTATCTCTTAATTAGCTGGTTTCATGGGCAAGTAGTTTTGTCAAGAAGACACTGTATTCACTGAGTTTTTAAAATTTCTGTTTTGTACTTACCTTCATGTCTGAGAATGTCTGTTTGTTGCCTTTCTATGAGACCAGATCCTTGGCTGGCTGTGGTACTCTTGATTTCCTTCTCCCTTTAAATGGGGTATCCTTGCTCCATTGTCTCGGAGGAGGAATGTTGCCTTAGGCCTGAGGGCAGCCTGACCCTCTCCTTTCTTGATGATCATAGGCTTTCCATACCTGAATTCTTGAGAAACTGTTACATTTTCATTTAAGTTAAATTACATAATTAGAACATATCATGATGTCGGACTTACTGAATGAGATTATTTCTTCTGGAATATTATGTGTTATGGATTCAGTTCTTCCTTCTCAGACAGTGCTGTATTGTATCATTCAATTCCTTTCTAGTCAATACCTTTTCCCTGCCTTCTGTGGTTTCTCTATGTCCGGGACACTAATTACCTTGTGTTGAATTCTCTTTTTTCTGGTTTCTTTGTCTTTTTCATCTATTTCTTTTTGATTATCTAGGCCTTTCCTTTATGCCAGTAATTCGATTTTCAGCTATATCTGTACTGTTCTTGCTGATTTTAATTATGTTATTTATTTTTAAACACTGTTTGGTCCACAATTTATTTTCTTTGGTTTGTAATCTCCATTTTCCTTTCTTTATGTCATTTTCTCACTCCTCTCATCATTTTATTATGACAGTTTCAAAGATATATAAAAGGTGAAAGAATTGATAGTGGATACCCATATACCCACCACCCATGTTCTACAATTAACATTTTACTCTACTTGCTTCACCATGTATCTGTTAACAACTAGTCCTTCAATCCCTCTATCCATCATATTTTTTGCTAGGTTTCAAAAGCAAGGGGGTCACATAGGTACACATCCCTCTAAATACTTCAGCAAGAATATCACTAACTGGACCCAGCGCGATGCCTCACGCCTATATCCCAGCTCTCTGGGAGACTGAGGCAGGCGGATGGCTTGAGTGCAGGAGTTTGAGACCAGCCTGGGCAACATGGCAAAAGCCTGTCTCTATTAAAAATATAAAAATTAGCTGGGCATGGTTTTGTGTACCTGTGGTCCTAGCTACTTGGGAGGCTGAAGTGGGAGGATTCACTGAGCCCAGGAGGGCAAAGGCTGCAGTGAGCTGTGATCACACCACTGAACTCCAGCCTGGGTGACAGAGCCAGACTCTGTCTCAAAAAAAAAAAAAAAAAAAAAAAAATCACTAATTGGAGTTTAACTTTTATTTACAGTTTTTTATTTTTTCCCTTGATGTGAAATTTGCATACAACAAAATGCCACACATCTTGAGTATGTCATTTGATAAGTTTCCCCAAAAAATTTATCGCAAAAATTTCAAACATACAGCAACATTGAAAGATTTTTACAGCAAACAACCACGAACGCATTACTTAGATTTTTGTATTAACAATTAACTCTACTTGTTTTATCACATATCGATCACATTTTCTTTTGAGGTAAAATTTACGTATCATTAAATGCACAAATCGTAAGTGTACATTTGATGAACTTTAGCAAATACATCCACTGTGTGCTCCAAATCACCATCAAACTATAGACCACTACGTTGGAAACTCCCTGGTGTTCAGCTCATTTCCAGCCCCCACCCAGAGGCAACGACCATTCTGATTTTTTTCCACCATAGATTAGTCTTCCTTGTTCTTGAGCCCCACATAAATGGAATCATATAAGGCATACTCTTTTGTGTAAGACTTCTTTCACTCAGCATAATGTTTTTGAAATTCATCTTTATTGTTGTCTTTATCGGTAATTTGCTTCTTTTTATTGCTTATAAGTTTTCCATTGCATGAGTATACCATTGTTTATTCTTGTTTCTGGACACCTGGGATGTTTCCAGGTTTTGACCATTATGAATAAAGCTGCTGGGAACATTTTTGTGCAAACCTTTTGTTCATTTCTCTTGGATAAGTGCCTAAAATTAGAATTGTTAGGTCATAGGGTAGGTATATGTTTAGTTTTATAAGACACTGCCAGAACTTTTCTCCAATTTTTGTATTATCTTATATTATCACCAGCAATGCTTGAAGGTTCTATTAAATAGTTGCTCCATATCCTCGGCAACACGGGGTGTTGTCAGTCTTTTTGATTTTAGCCTTTCTGGTGGGGTAGAGTGGTCATTTGGGGCTCTTTTTAAAAATTGGATTCATGTTCTTACTGCATTTTTCTTCAGCTATTGCACTTGTAAAATTTTTCTTGTGTACTTTAGTTCACGTTTCTTCCATCGTTTGGTCGTATCTATCTTTCACTTGCTGTTTCTTTTCCCTTTCAGGGGGAGTGGCCGTCAGCTCCATGCTCCAAGTCGCTTAGTTGCTGCACCATCTCTTTTCATTTAATTTGTGCTTGAGCAGCTCTCTCCAGACATTTATTTTGATCTAATGGAGTGTGTTTAGCTTCTTGACTTTCTTTCCATTGTACTTGAGGATGCTTTGATTATTTTTTCCCTCCTTTGCTACAGTATTTTTTTAAACCAGGTATGATTTACATAGAGTAAAATCCATCCTTCCCCAGATGTTCACTTCTATCAATATTGGCAAGTGTGCTCAGATGTGTAACTGCCACCACAATCAGGATATTCACTGTTTCCATCATTCCACAAAGTTCCCTCATGTGCCTTTGTAGTCGATCCCCACGACCTCCAAGTCCCGGCAACCTCTGATGTATTTCCTGTCCTTAGAGTTTTGTTTTTTCCAGAATGTTGTATCAGTGAAATCATACAGTATGTCACCTTTTGAGTCTGGATGCTTTCACTTCATCTGTGGTGTTGCACGAATCAATAGTTTGTTCTTTTTGTTGCTGAGTATGATTCCGTTATCTGGATGTACCACAGTGTGTTTATCCACTTACCAGGTGAGGGACACTTCCATTATTTCTGGTTTTGGATGATTATAGAAAAAGCTTCTATAAACATCTGCATACTGTTTTTTTTGTGGGTGTTCATATCATTTGCCACATTTTAAGGACTGATGTTTCATGTTGTAGTTGCATATTTTTGTCCCGAATAGCTCCAATAAAGCAAGTGTCTATGTTAGACTTCCACTTCTGGACTTTTGTTTAATATCCACTCTTGGGCTCATCACACACAGTGGAGGGGTGTTGACCTTTCCCATGGCATACTCTTGGCTTTAGATGGTTTCTCTAATCACCATGTGGACCCAGAATGCTCACTTCTATCTGAGAGAGTAAGGGCCCTGATCCTGTCCTCAGTTTTCCTGTTTCCCCCAGCAGCAGTTTTCACTCATCCCCAGTCAATGGTGAGAAAGCTGTGGCCAGCTTCACTCCAGATCCTAGGGTATTAGTGAGAATAGCTAGTATTTTGCTGACCCAAAATGGCTCCTGGGGGATTGGGAGTGGGAATGGACACATTGCTGCACTGAATCATTTTGCTCTGCTCCATAATTTTCCTTTTCTTTCCTTGGCTGATGCTTTTGAAGCTTTGTGCTATGCCTCTGTCCTTTTTTGCTGTATTTCAATTTTTATTTATTTATTTATTTTTGAGACAGAGTCTTCCTCTGTCACCCAGGGTAGAGTGCAGTGGCACGATCTTGGCTCACTGCAACCTCTGTCTCCTGGTCTCAAGCAATCCTCCTGCCTTAGCCTTCCAAGTAGCTGAGACCACAGACATGTGTCACCATGTCTGGCTCATTTTTGTATTTTTAGTAGGGATGGGGCTTCGCCATGTTGCCCAGGCTGGTCTTGAACTCCTGAACTTGTGTGATCTGCCTGTCTTGGCCTCCCAAAGTGCTAGGATTGCAGGCATGAGCCACTGCACCTGGCCTATTTTTTTTATTTTTAAAATCAATTTCTTTAGCTATTTGGGGAGGGAGGTTCTCTATGCAGCTTCCATTAGCCATCCTAACTCAAAAATCTCTGCTTACCATTAAAAACTGTGCAGACCGTTTTGACTTGCATTTTCACGTCCTAACTTTTCCTTTGGCCTCATCCTGCTATTCTCGTCTGATTTTCCTTCTCTCAGATTTCTTTATCTATTTTAAAATTTTATGGTGCTATATGCATATTTACAAGCTGCCTCAAATACTTTTGGAATGTAGTGGGATATAAATAAATCCATAACATTAAAAAAAAATCAAAATCAGTCAAGGGTTACCTAAGACCTGTGGGCTGTGGCGGCTGCAGGTAGGCCAGAATTCTGGATCTCAAGGAATTGTTAAGTACCTCCGGTTGAGTTTAGTGGTGACTTTGCTAAATGAACCACTTCAGCCCTTCAGGGAGCAGAGCTTCATTTTATGGCAGCTGAAACAGTATTGAGTAAGAGTCACAAAATCAAATGCCTCCAGGGGCCAGGCAGGTACTACTAATTAGTAAAGCAGGTAGGTACAAGGCAAGAGGGAGTGGTGGTGACTGTGGCAAACCAGAGAGCACCTGCCTGGTCTGTTGATGGCTGCCTCTCCTCCATTTAATAGGTAGGCAGGTATATGGGCTAATCTTACCAGAACCTTTAGAGGGGCCAGATATAAAGCAATGGGCCAGGCACTAGTTTTTTTTTGTTTTGCTTTTTGTTTTTTTCTTTTTTTGAGGCGGAGTCTCTGTCACCCGGGCTGGAGTGCAGTGGCGCAATCTCGGCTCACTGCAACCTCCGCCTCCCAGGTTCAAGCGATTCTCCTGCCTCAGCCTCAGCCTCCCAAGTAGCTGGGATTACAGGCGCCCGCCACCACACCCGGCTACTTTTTGTATTTTTAGTAGAGATGGGGTTTCACCATGTTGGTTAGGCTGGTCTTGAACTCCTGACCTCATGATCTACCCCTCTCAGCCTCCCAAAGTGCTGGGATTACAGGCGTGAGCCACCGCGCCCGGCCAGGCACTAGTTTTTAACACCACCCCGCCCCCCACCCTTTTGCCATAAAATGGGACTTTCAGATGAAATCTTCGATTAAAATTCAGTATCTACAAGGTTGAAGGTGGGACAGGTTATTTGGGTTAAGTGTGGCAGCCTGAAGAGCTGACCCCTAGAGGTGCCTCTCCAAAGGCCCTGTGGCTCTAAGGAACACTTTGGAGACTTCAGACTAGATCGTGGGCAGACTAGATCTCTGATCTCCTCTTGTGCCTTACATACCCACAGGAATAGTCACTTACAGCTTCTCAACCCTGGATGCTGTGGGTTTGCACATGACACACTGACCCTGAACAAACTTTGGAGCATGTGTGTGCTCTGCAAATTCCAGAAATTATTTTCAGAGAATGCATTTTTGCCCCAGTGGAAGCTTTGAGTGTGTTTGTGAAGATGTCTATGTCCAAGTGTGTGTCTCTGTGTGTGTATGAGAATGAGAACATCATTGATCCGTGGGCATTTATTGTTCCATGGGAAGACCAGTTGATCTTGTAGGGAATGTTTTGAGTTAGTGATTCTAGAACAGGGGTTGGCAAACTACTGTCTGTGTGTCCAATTCAGCCTGCAGCTTGTATTTGTACAGCATGTGAGCTAAGAATGGTTTTTACATTTTTTAAAGAATTTTTTTTTAAAGCCCAAGATACAAAGCCTAAAATATTTACTATCTGGCCCTTTACTCAAAATGTACTGAATATTCTGGAGTATCTTATATTCCCATTTAGTCTGAACCACCCAGTCACAAGCCTTTAAATATGCATTTTATGTAGGAGATGGATGTGCATAAAACTTTTTTCTGTCCTGAAAAGCTGCTGCTGTGGGTTTGCTCCCAGTACAGAGTGAGGCAGTCCTGGGCTAGAGCAGCCTCCAGAACAGGTGCGGCACCCCTGCAGAGCCTGGGGCCAGTTGAGTCGCTCACATGTCTCCCTCCAGGCTTGGCTTCCTAGGAGCTGGATTCTCCAGATGAACAAGTGGCTGCCATGACCATGTTTGGGAATCTGGGGCCTCCAGCTGTCCAGTGGCAGCCATCTGATCCCTCTGCATGAGTGATTTCCTGGGCAGTGAAGACTTGCCTTAACTTTTGAGCTCAGGTGGGTTCCAGTGATAGTCTCTGGGGTCAGAGGCCTCTGCGGCTGCAGAGGCCCATTGCTGTTGCTTGTACTTCTCAATCTCTGGTGAGGCTCTCGGGAGCTGTTCCAGCCTGCCCGTGGGCCTCCACTGTGTGCCTCCACGATGCTGACTTCAGTTGTTGGTCACAGTGTCTGGAGGGCACAGCTGCCCTCCCCACTCTGGAAGAAGCCGTTTACATCATTGTTAGTGGCTCTGGCTAGTGACCCCTCCTTCTGGATCCCAACTGGGAAAATTCTGCTTCCCAGATGGCATCTCTGGCCAGCTGTTCTTGGGGGCTCTTGGGAGCTCACCCTTGGGCTGAGAAGCCACCTGCATTCAACTCTGGCTTCAGCCCCAGCTCCCATTGTGATCTTGGCAAGTCACATTCCTTCTGTGGGACTTAGTTTCCCCATCTGGAAAAGGTGAATGGTAGGCTAGATCTCTGCTTTTCAAACCAGGATCCTCAAACCGTTGGACAAATCCTCTAAGATTTTTTTTTTAATTCCATTTTTATTTTATTGATAATTTGAAAAAAATGGATGTAAATATTTTCTGGCTTGGCTGGCTGGTCACTTTATACCTGGGTATGGACATAAGATTTTAGTGTCCAAGTTTTAATTGTATCATGAGATGCTGGGGCAATCAAACACATTTTAGTTCTCACAGGCTGATGAGAGAAAGCACAGATGTGGTTGAGTGAGTATTTGTATCCACTGAAGGCCCATGTTGTCATGGCTTTCTGTGTGAATGAAAGTGTTTGCAATAGTTAGAAGGGAGAAACCGAGTGGGAGAATTGAGTCATCACACAGCACTCTGTTGGTACTGACCTTGCTAAATGTAAACAAATCTGTATCCTAGAGGCCACACGTGCTCCAAGTAGCAATGCCTCTTCAGCAAAAGCATCACCAGTTGTGTTATTTTAATGCTGTTAATTTTAATTTTAATGTTTTTGTCATTCTGCAGGCATTGAGTCCAAGAATCTTTTTTGTTTTCTAGTGGTGTAAGAGCTAAAAGCCTAAGATGATTATACGTAATTATATGTATGCATCTATTTAAATAACATTACAATAAAATAATTTAAGACAAAGATGGGGCCATGTGGATATTTATTTCCCCTTTCAGAGTGATGTGCACATTACCTGAGAATCCATGGTCTAAAACAGGCACTGCAAACTGTGTCTGTAAAGGGCCAGATAGTAAATATTTAGAGTTTACAAGTCATACAGTCTCTGTTACAACCGTTCAGCCCTGAAGTCGTAGCACAAAAGCAGCCATAGAAAACACTTAAATGAATAGGCTCAGCTGTGTTCTAATAAAACTTTATTTACAAAAATAGACAGTGGGCTAGATTTTATGCTGCCGGCCATAGTTTGCCAATCGCTGGTCTGAGGCATCTTCCTTCTCAGATGACTGGCAAAGTGGTCTTGCTGAGGGGACAGGTTTTCTCTTCTGGTTTCCACAAAGAGTCTCTTCTGTTGCTTTCTGCTGTATGAACTCCTGGAGGCCCTCCAGAACGAGTTGCCTGGGTGAGGTGAGCTTGTCCCTTGATGCTGGCAGTTTCCTTGCTTTGGCCATGGGTTCCCACTCCACCTTAGGCCTGCAGAGTCACCTGAAATTTCCTTGCGTGTCCCCTGTGCCGGCCTCTGCACCTCTGCGGGAGAGTCATCCATCCCTCCTCCCCTGGCACACACACCTTGCCAACATTTGGAGGCTGTTATCGAAATATCCTGCAGCCCGGCCTTATGAAGCTGGGCCCTTTTATCTTTCTTTATAAATCACCCTCTCCCTCCACTTAATCCTGCCAGGCCCGCTCCTCTGAACTCCCTCCAATCTGTCTCTGGTGAGCTGGTTCTGAGCACCACGGGCTGCAGGCAGCCAGGTGCGGCCTTGCTGAGGCTTCGGGGAAAGGGAGGGGGTCTTGCTTCCATCTGCCAGGGATGGGGCTTTGGCTGCAAATTCCCACACCTTTCCTTTGCTCTGCGGAATGGAGCCTAAGTAGTTTATTCATTCAACATTCACTCAACATTACCTATTGAGCTTTGCACTGTCAGCAGTGAAGACGACGGCTGTGCTGCTGTCATCTTGGGGCTCACAAGGCTGAAAAAAATGCACAAAATAGTTACACATTCTTGCACTGCTATGGGGAAAACCAATAGAGGTTGAGATGGACAATAGTGGGGTAGAGAGTGCAGGGACGGCTGTTCTTATAGAGTGGTTGAGAAGACAGACCCTGAGGAGGTGACATCTATGCCTGGGCCTAAAAATGAGAAGGAGCCAACTATGGGCACAGTGGAGGGAAGAGCATCCCTTCCACAGGAAAAGCACATGCAAAAGTCCTGTGGTGGGAAGGCACTGCTCTGCTTGATCGTGTGAGGAGCAGGAAGGAGAGAGAGCCTTAGGGAAGATGGGCTCAACGGTGCCCTGGCTGTGCAGTGAAGGTAATAGCCCGTGCATATGTGACGAGCTTAATCATCCTCACCATCATTGCAGGGCCCATATGCTCGACACTTTATTAACTTTGTTTCGTTTAATCCTCAGGGCAACCCCTTGAAGGAGTTATGCTTTCCCCTGTATTTTACAGAGGAAGAAACTGATGCTCAGAGAGGTTAAGTTGCCTAATATCACACAGCTAATAAGTAATGGAGCTGGAATTTGAATCCAGAGCAGTCAGAATCAAAGCCCCTGCTTTATTATCTGATTCAAAATCCTATTACGTTTTGAAATAAACAAAATCTCCTGTTCATTCATTCATTCCCCGTATTAGGGGCATTCTTGCATGGGTATAAAGCAATACCTGAGACTGGGTAATTTATAAAGAAAAGAGGTTTAATTGACTCAAGGTTCTGCAGGCTGTACAGGAGAGTAGAGCTGCCATCTGCTCTGCTTCTGGGGAGGCCTCAGGGAGTTTTTACTTATGGCAGAAGGCAAAGTGGGAACAGGCATGTCACATGGCGAAAGCAGGAGCAGGTAAGCAAGAGAGAGAGAGAGAGAGAGAGAGAAGGTGGGGGCAGGTGCCACACACTCTTAAACTATCAGATTGCCTGTGAACTCATCACTAGGAGATGATCCAAGCCATTCATGAGGGATCCGCCACCATGGTCCAAACCCCTCCCACCAGGCCCCACCTCCAACATCGGGAATTACAACTCAGCATGAGATTTGATCCGGGGCAAACATCCAAACCGTATCACTCCCTATGCAAGAAGCAGACAACAGACAGATTAAAAGACACGATCTTTGCTCTTGAGAGCTCCTGGTTTAATGGGGGAAACAGCTGCAGAGACAACTGCCATATCATGTAGTGGGTTCTGTGCAGGGACAGCAGAGGGTGTGTGGGTGGGGTGGGTTGGGAGGTCAAGGAAGGCTTCCTGGAGCTGTCTTGAAGGGGAAAGATGGGAGTAGAAAAGGCGTCTGAGGCAGAGGAAATAGCACGCACAAAAGCTCAGAGGCATCAAAGCATCAGCTGTGCTCAGCAGTGGGCTTCATGTCTTTGGCCTGGCTGGAGCCCTGGCTGTGGGGAGATTGATTGATGAGAGCATTTTGAGGGTGCACTAGGTTGTGAAGGGCTGTGTTCCCATGCCAAGTTCATCCTGTGACTGATTATGAAGAAACCCACTGAGTTTACTAAGTAAGGGAGGCTGAGGCCAGACTGCCTGGCTTCATACCTCACTGCTGCTGTTCACTCCTGTGTGGCCTCAGCACCCTGTTCCTCAGTTTTCTCACCTGGAAAATGGGGATGATAATAGCACTTCCTTGACAGAGTTGCTGGGGGCTTAAGTGAGCTAATGTAGACAAAGGACTTGCCTATATTCTTATTGCCTGTAATGATTATTATCACCAGTATTGTTTATGATTAAGAATGTGTCCACCATGCAGTTCTGTGGACACTGGCCTAGAGGGTGTCTCACCAGAGGCTGGAAGACCAGTCAGGGGCTTTGGCACCAGTCCAGGAGAGTGGTGACTAGAACCCAGACCGAGGTGGTGCCCTGGGGATGGTGAGGAGCAAGCAATTCTGGAGATGAGCAGGAGGTTGGGTGACAAAGCATCCGATCATCAGCTGAAGCCCAGAGAGAGGTTGGTAAGGAGGGACACCTGGATTAGGCTAGGGATTTGGAGCTTGGGGGTCAGGGGAGATGATGTTGCCAATCCCCATATTAGGGGTGCAGGATGGGGGCAGGCCAGGGGAAGATGATGAGTTCAGTTCTGAGTGTGCAGCTTGGAGGAGTCTGTGGGACATCCAGAGGGACATGTCCTGGGTACAAGTGGATATGGAGGTTGGGGACATGGGACAGAAGTGGTGACTGAGAGGAACCCTTGATGTAAGTGTATCTCGCACCCTGGTAGAGTGGGCCACCACTGACAAAGCGCCCTCACGTCCATTTTCTCAGTAGATCTTCTTGTCAACACCAGGAATGGGGCACAATGAGATTCATTTTGCAGATGCAGACGCTGAGGCCCAAGGAGGTGAGGCAAACTGCTCAAGACCTCATGATCGGTACCTGGTAGACCCGGAGTCTCAGTGTGGCCTTCCTAGTGCCCCAGGCTGCCTGGAATGGGCCCACAGGTTCTCCCACCCCAGTTTCTCCTGGTGTCACTTTTCTGTACCCTGGCAATGTTTGTAAGGAGGCCCAGGCCCTATCTCCAGGGCATTCCTGGCCACCATAGGCAGAATCTGGTCATTGCCCCTGTGGAGAGGGCCACATGGCCAGAAGTGTGGCAGAGAGCCTACTTTCCCCTCCCTGCTGACTGTGTTCTCAGGGTGGGAAGGCAGGCATCTCACTCTCTCACATGGTCCTGACAGTGGCCCCCACCCGGCCACTTGGCCACTTGGTCACAGCTGGGGTCCAGCAGAAAGGAAGGCACTACAGCCCCAAAGGGTCTCTTCAAATCATTGATGGGCTGGAGGGCCATTTCCCGTGGAGGCAGAGAAGTGGCCTAGAACTCATGCAAGCTAACAGGCGGACCAGCGGGAGGGAAGTAAAGTCCCCGGGGGCTTGGGAAAGTGGATGTCCTGCTTTATGAGGCTGTGGGCGTTGTTTTTAACAGGACAAGCCTTGAAGACCCAAGGAACCAAAGACTTATCTGAGACATAAGTCCTTCACTTCTCCCTGATAGAGAACAGTGTCTCTCTTGCCATATTGGTGTCTATTACCAGCCCTGCCTCCCACTGTGTGGGGAAGGTCAGCTTTGACAATTTTCCACTTGATCAGGTGAAAACTGAGGCTCTGAGACATGAATCAGCCTCAGGAGAGAACAATAAATCCGGGGTTCCAGATGCATCTGGGATAGCCCAAGGTCAGGACTAGTGGCTGAGAATAGTCAGAGTCAAAGTGAGCTGGGGTGGCAGGGGGCAGTTATTACACACACCTTCTATGCACCAAGCACTGCTCTCAGTACTTTACATGAATCATCTCATTTGCTGTAAGGAAGCTGCAATTATGGCTGTCTAATCCATGAGGGAACAGTCTCAGACAGGTTAAGGAACCGGCCTAAGGTTACCCAGCTGATCAGCAGTAGATTGCAGCCTCTCTGACTTGAAAGCCTGTTCTTTTTCCACTGCACTGTTAGTTTTTCCACTGTATCTGCTAGTAACCCTAGTGGCTAACTCTCCCCACCAGATCCCTGTAACTTCCAGGGCCTGAAACATAGTAGGTGCTTTTTTGCACATAAAAGTCTGTTTCCTGTTTCCTGTACACATTTGTGCTTTTGGTAAAAGGTGCAAAATGCTGCCTTTCACACAACTTTGCCATGTACCTGGCTTAGTGGGAGAATCTAGAATCTGTGGATAATTAATAGTGTTATTTTAAACTTAAACTCAATGGCTGGGGGCTTTGTGTTAAGTCCATGGGGCTGGACACCTTCAACATCTCCTGTCTTGGGCTTGGATGTGGGAAAGAGATGCTATTCTGTGTGCAAATTTGAATCCACTAGGAACTGCCAGAAAATGTCCTCCAGCCATGGAGTAGCACAGAGGGGGTGATCTGTGTGTTCTGGTGGCTACGGTGGGAGGGATGAGTCCTCCCTGCCCAGCCTCCCAGCCTCTTCTTTCCCAGCTCAGCCGAGGTGCATGGGAGCTGGGAACCCCAGGAGGGCTGGTACCTGAGCTGCAAATGTCTGGCCCGGCCTGGCCTCTCTCAGCACATGTGATGCATTAGGCTGGAACGGCTCCTCAGGGAACCCTTTCCCATCATCTCCTCCGCAGCAGTTCAGAGGTGGTGTAGAAGATCAAAATTAGCATGTTTGCAGATCACATGCTTGTTGATTTGGGCAGCTGTCTCAGCTAGGGTGTAAGGAAGAAGGTGACATTTGAGGTCTGAGTGAGGAGCGAGGGGAGCCCAGGCAGACTGGGTCCTCATGATTGCAAAGCGGGGTTTGCAGAGGCCGGGCAAGGGGTCACATGGCCCAAGGGGCAGTCAGTAGCCTGAAAGCCAGTGTCCACACACCCAGGCCCCAGCAAGCGTGGCTCTCTGGGTGCTAGACTGCCAATCTGGGTCTTGGCAGGAGGCAGCCTGGTGGGCAGAGGCAGCCAACTTAAGCTCGCCAAGGACCCAGGAACAAACTACAATCTCTGGTGCTGGGTAGAAGAGAGAGGTGGGTCACAAATGACCTTCCCCATCCCAGATTCCATCCTGCATGGGATGTGGCTGGCCCTTCCCTGGTGATGGCTACAGGGCCCTGGGGAGACATCCCAGTGGAGGCACCTCCGCTTAGGCCTGACCCCAGGCTGGATACTGGGCTAGGTTTTCTTATGGGTAACAAAATCTTTTATTCATTCATTTATTAACATAAAAACATTTATTGACCGCCCATTATATGCTAAGTGCGAGGAAACGGCCAAGTGAGTTTCAATCCCTACTCTTGCAGACCTAAGTACAAAATAATGAGCTTATTATAGCAGACCTTCATGTTAGGAAATTTTCGGCCATCCACAAATTTGAGAATCTCTCTTCCATAGCAGACAATATCCCTTACAACATGCAGTCAAGTTCACTGAAACCCTCTGACCTGCAATGAGTCTGAAAATGCAGCACTAAATACATTTGAGAGTTATGAATGCCTCCAATTCTCCACCTGGTTTTCCTCCCCTGGGCGGCATGGCTTCCAGAATCTCCAGGTCCCAGACAGGCTGAGGAACACAGAACGCCACTGGCTCAGCTGAGATGCAGGTGCTGGTGGTGGACAAGGCATGCTTCCTGTGAAGCCTTGTCTTCTCACTCCAGCCCTGGGTCATGGGGAAAAAAGACAAGCACCTATGTGAGCTTCCTGGGCTGCTTGCTGACAGACAGCTCCAAAGAGACACTGTAAAAGCCCCGGATGTTTGGGTCTCTGGGAAGAGGTCAACTTAGTTTTCATTGAGCCCCGGGCCTCACTTTTCTGCAACTTTGGTGGGGTTGGGGTTGGGTGTGTATTGTGGGGGGCAACTTTAGCTTGTTGGGGTATGTGAGTATGCCTTGGCCCTGGGCAATGTAACCAAGCCACCACTTGTTGAGTGCTCTCCTGTGCCACGTGCTTCCCTGTACCCATCTGTTATGTTATTTGACTCTACAGCCAGCAGTTTGTGTGAATGTTTATTGGCAGATACCACATGGGCACCAGCCAATGAGAATGAACACTGTCCGTCTTGCCATATTGGTGCTTGTATTAGTCTGTTTTCATGCTGCTATGAAGACATATCCAAGACTCGGTAATTTATAAAGGAAAGAGGTTTAATTGATTCACACTTCTGCATGGGTGGAAAGGCCTCAGGGAACTTACAGTCATGGTGGAAAGGGAAGCAAACACGTTCTTCACAAGGCGGCAGGAGAGAGAAGTGCTGGGCAAACGAGGAAAAGTCCCACATAAAAGCATCTCCCTTATAAAAGCATTGGATCTTGTGAGAACTCACTATCATGAGAACAGCATGACGGTAGCAGCCCCCATGATTAAATTACCTCCCACCAGGTCCCTCCCATGACTCATGGGGATTATGGGAACTACAATTCAAGATGAGATTTGGATGGGGACACAGCCAAACTACAGCAGTGCTTATTATCGGTCCTGCCTACTGCTGTGTGTGGAAGGTCAGTTCTGACAACTTTCCACCTGACCATGCAGAAACTGAGGCTTTGAGACATGAATTGGTCTCAGGAGTGAATAGCAAGACCAGGATCTGAACTCAGGCACCCAACTCCAAAACCCCTCTCTCCCAGTTCACTCCACAGCCCCAGGCCAGTTCCCTAAAACCAGGTTGCAAAAAGCGCCTTTCAGCCCAATGACCTCATTTCTGCACAATCAATTCCTTGACCAGCTGATTTGCCAAATTCCTGAGGACCTTTCCCAAAATTTTTTCCCCCTCCTCCCCTATGTGAGACCCAGCCCTTGTCTCTGAAGGCAAATGGCTGCAGTCAATAGTCCTAGACCTAGAGACAGGAGCAGGAAGAAGAAACTCAAGCATCAAACCTTCCCTAAAAATTCTGCAGACCACTCTGTAGATCCTGGACAGTCCAGTGAGTTGGTGGGCTGAAGAACTGGTGATCTGATGACTCTGTTATAGTAGGAGGGGTCTATTCCAGACTGCCTGTCTCTCATGGCTGGCACAGCCCTGGGCAGCCTGGGCTGGAAGACTATTTTGGCAGTGGCAAGTGCAGAATGAGGGGAGGGCTCCTTATCTCCCAGGGCTGCTTGTCTGGGGTCCCAGTGGTTTTCCTGAGCCTGCTCCAGGAAGGTGACCTTTGCAGGAGGGAAAGGAGTTTGCTGGCCTCAGCCAGCACTGTCTCTGAGCAAAGCTTGTGAAGGCAGCCCTGAAAGGCTTGGACATTCAAAAGCAACCCCAGATCCAGAGCTTCATAAAGGATGGTGATGGGGGCATCAGCTACTGGGGCTAGGGGAGGGGAAGAAAGGCCCCGGGACTCCTCCAGCCCTTCCTTTGCCTGGCTCAGTCTAGGCCAGTCTCCTCTGGCCCTGCTTGGTAACTCTGGGTGTCTAGTTCCCTCATCCTTGGAGAAGACTGTGAGATAAAGACAAAATAAAATCTTACTAAAATGGACCAAAAGCTGTGGTGGATACCATAAAGTTTTTAATATATTCTATTATGTTTGATGACTTAAGTATGAATGAATGAAAAGTATAGGATTGCATTTTCTCTCAATTATACAGTTTTAAAACTGGGGAGAAGTGCTAGCCAATAGGTGTTTTTGGCTTTATCAGAACCCCAACAAGGAAATTGCTGGAGACATTCAACCTGACCCAGGCTCCCACCTGCTCGCTGAACCTCAGCCACTCTCTCCTTTCAGTTCTTCCTATGTGTTCCTCTGGGCACAGGGCCTTTGTATGAGCTGTTTACTCTGCCAGGGACACTCGTCACTCCTCTTGGTCTAGTTACTCCCATTCAAGCTCTGGATCTTGTCTCAGCCATTGCTTCTGTGGGGAAATCTGCCCTCATCTCTGGGAGGCAGGAAGGATAACAATGATCTCGCTCATATTTAGCTTCCCAGGGCCTGGCACAACATAGTTACTCCGGAAACATTCTCTTTGAATGAAGAAGAAAGAGTCGGTCTGCAGTTTGGGACACTTTTGTTGGAGGCCCAGAGTGTCAGGTTATGATTTCTGAGCTCTCCTGGCCCTAAACCAATTGGCTGTGTGATCTCCGAGATGCAGCTTCACCTCTCTGGGTCTTACCATCCCTGCCCAGTGGGGAGTGGACTTGACTCGAGGCTGCCTGTGGGGTGCTCCATCACATGTGCACAGCTGGGCTGTTTCCCGGTACCCACTGTGTCTGTGTCTACGGGTCATGGAAGCACCTTCATTTGAATTCCAAGTGCTTCCAGGCCAGCCAGGACAGGATCTGTTTCACATTGGAAGGGAGCTCTGGCCAGACAGGCGCCCCTAGGAGAGCTGTGCTTAACGGAGGTCACTTATGGGCCTTGGCCTATTGGCATCTGGGCTTGAGAAGGCTGCACCTACACTGGTGCCAGGAGTACAGGTCCCAAGCCTGCCATAGGCAGGGGCTTTCTCCAAGCAACCCCCACTCACTTGTCCATGGGAGGCAGGAGCCAGGGTGGTCAGGCTGACCTTCCAAAGTTGGGATGTGTCCACTTCCTGTTGGATCATCAGGCCGTTTAGCTGTGATGACCACCCATGGGAAGATCCAGAGGGACATGTGGACCAAAAGAGGGCAGAGCTTGTCTCTAGGGAGAGGGCAGGCTTTGTGAAAACTCCCCACCTTGGGGCTACCCCCAGGGGAGAAAGCAAGGTGCTCTCACTGCAAACCAGCCAGCTTCAGATCCAAGCCACACTCCGAGGCTGCCCTGTCTGTGGCTGTCTGCTCACACCCTTTCTCCCAAGCAAATGCCAGGCTTGTCAGAACGCTCATTTACATTTCATTAGGAGGTGTCAGGCTGGGTGTTAAGAACAGAGCTGTTCCAGGCCTGAATCTAGAGTTTTTGGGCCAGCACTAAGCACTGATTTGCCTCAACCCCCTTGGTGGATCTACCTACCCCTTCCTTCCCAAAACAGAGCCTAGAACCATCTGACCTAATAGATGAGTCTCCATCTACCTAGCCCTTTGCCCATTCTCAGCACAAACCTGAAAAGTAGGTATTATTGTCACCACTTGCAGATGAGAAAGCCAAGACCCAGGGAGGTCAAGTGACTCGTCCAAGGCCACACAGCTAGGAAATAGCAGAGCTGGTTTGCAAACGTGTCAGCCTGCCTCCAAAGTTCACGATTTTTCCATTTCTCCAAGCTGACTCCTGTCTATTCAGGTGAAGGGAGCTGCGGTGTGATGCTTACTTGCACCAAAGGTTTTTAGTGTGGACTCTCTAAAATGGGATGCAAGAGATAACAAGAATGAGAGCTCGAGAGACAGGCTGTGTGTGTGTGCATATGTGTGTGTGTGTGCATGAGTGCATGTTTAGGAGAAGGTCCCACAGCTTTCATCAACCTTTGTAATGCCCCAAAGGCCATGATTATCTGCCACTCCATCCTCTATAGATTTCCTTGGAGAAAATCACAGAACCCAGGCATGTAGTTTCTGTGTCCATTATGAGATACCATGTGAAATTCTCAAGGTGTTCACAGCTTAACTGAGCTACTATCTTGGAACACAAGTAAAGGGTAATATTGTTCTGCAGAACACAGAGACCTCTGCTTTCTATAAGGAAAATGTTACAGAGCTCATCTTATCGCCTGGCTCTTAGAGCATGAACGGTTTGAAAGCTTGTGGCGCAGACACGGCCTGTGGCTTATCTCAAAGACAGGGAACAGTGGGGCTCAGAGGAGAGTGGGAAAATCCTGTTTGTTTCTCTTTATTCCTGGGGACTTGCAGAGACCTAGCAGTGAGCTGGCTCTAAGAACAGAGGCCCGCCTCCCCGCCCATCCTCGAAAACTGATTCCTCCTCAGGTTCCTAACAATTGGTGTTTTATCACATTTCCACATGCAAAATGTGTGCCATTCTTCATTAGATTTTCAAGGCTCAGATTGATGAGGGCAAGGTAAGAGCCAGACACAAGGTATAAGAGACAAGGTTTAGTAATGAGTTTGAAATTTACAAAACACAGAAGCAAATATGGCTTCAATACACGACGTGACCCCTTATAAGGCTGGAAATTACTCTTCAAAAATCATTCTGGCCTGACTTCAGAGTCGAGTGGATGCTGGGATACCACAGATTGACTTTGAGAAGTGGGTTGGTATTGCAGGAATTTTTTAATTTCCTGTAACTCACAACAATTTTCTCCCAGTGAGACTTAGAGTCACTCCTGCGATGGTGCGCTGACCGCATTTGCTGAACAATCTGCTGCAAGAACCAGCTCAAGCAGAAAAGGAATATGTCAGGAGGAAGGGGACAAATGGGATTACCTTAATAAAAGTCATTAAAGGTTTTGAAAAGTATTTCCAGGTAAACGAGGGACCTGTTGCTTAAACAAATGTGTCCAGGTAAACGAGGGGCCTGCTACTTATGTATTTCAAAAAGTGAAATAAAAATGGCATCACTTACACTTCTGAACTGAAAAGAATTTGGGGAAAGCAGATTATTATGAATTATTTTTAATAGCTTCTTAATTAGCCCTTCAAACAGGTTTTTCAAAATCCCCAAAGGTGTCTAATTTGCATGACATGTTTTTACTTTTCTACGCATCTCATTAGCAGCACTTTGTTTTTTTAACCTAACAGCAAGATGGTATTACAACACTTTCAGAAGGTGGACCAAGAAAAGACAAGAAGAGAAAAAAGAAAAGAAAAGGAAAAAATCCTTAAATTATTGCTCCAAAAAAGTCCTGCGTTTCTTTTTCCATCTTCATGATGTCTTGCTATATTATCTCAGGGCACTCATTGGAGCTTATCTGTCTTTCAGAAATCACTAAACAAATCCGTCAGAGCAAAACCGTGGTGTGGAGGATGGTCTATTGGATGCGATCCACTGGGGCAAAGATTTATTAGGCGGACAACCCCTTCTTCTACCCAACAGCAAATCCATTACAATAATGGGCTTCGAACCCATCTGCAGGCAAACAGCGGGTCAGGAGGAGCCCGATGTGTGGACACTGAGCAATCTGAACATGGCTGCCTTTTACAATGTGTGAAGCCAGGCAGAAAAGCAGCACATTTGATTGAGAACAGAGGAGAGCGGCCAGAATCTGCCTTCCCTTTGCTCCCGCTTCCGGGGGGATTCATGGCGGGGGATCTGGAGGCGACACTTGGCAGCCAAGGGCGTGGGGCCAAATGGAGGGCCCGGAACTCAGAAAGAGAGGAGGGGGAGCTAATTAATGCTTTGTCCTGCCTGCCCTTCTCTCCTCCCTACCCCCAGCGGCCAACAACTACCACCACCATAATACTAAAGAGCAATATTATCTGGTGCTTACCATGTGCTAGTTCTTGTGCTAAGTGCTTTCCTGGAATTTTCTCCTCTTTATCCTGGCAGCAAAATAAACCCTATTTGTTAGCCCCATTTAACAGATAATAGCTATTTAATAGCTACTTGTATTGAGTACTTCTGTGTGGCAGGGCCTGTACTTTATTTGTATTAATTCAATTAATCACCACAACAGCCACTGGCATGGGTACTATTTTGGTCCCCATTTTACAAATGAGGAAAAGGAGGCAAAGAGACGTAACTTGACTTGGTCACACAACTGTGATCAGCAGAGATGGGATTTCAACCCAGGTTGTGGGACACCATCTGTTATCATCCCTCAAGGCCCATCCTAGTTGCCTCTTTCCTCCAGGAAGCCTTCTCTGACTTTCCCACAGATCTGCGTATCTCATTCTTCCTCAGCCATATTTCATTATTTGTGCAGTCCTCTGAAATGATAAACCCCTGGAGAGCAGGGGCCGTGGTCTCCCCATG
The DNA here is from genome assembly GCF_000001405.40 of Homo sapiens. Classification (NCBI taxonomy): domain Eukaryota; kingdom Metazoa; phylum Chordata; class Mammalia; order Primates; family Hominidae; genus Homo; species Homo sapiens. The sequence continues at coordinate 117,676,494 of NC_000010.11, forward strand.
ACACACCTCCATATTCGCAGCATTACCCAGCCTGATGCCTGGCACATAGTAGGTACTCAAGACATAGTTGTTGAATGAAACATCTAATCAAAAAGCAGCTTTAGTTTTGAATCTGGGCATTGTTAGGAGACAAGGGCCTGATGTTGCTTATTACATTTCAAGGTGATTTTTTTTTTCTTTTTTTTTTTTTCTTACTCACTAATGGAAAATTCTCTTCTGAAGTCACACTCATTAGCACTCAGAGGCTGTTGTGGCAAAAGCTTTCTAAAATAGCCCCAAGTTTATTTGTGGGAGGGAAAGGAGCTAAGCCAGAGACAAAAGTATTAAGGCTTGGCATGCCGGAAAAGTTTGAAATGTGGGGGCTGGCTGCCTCTCACCTCGGTCCCGGGGCAAGGGTGGGAGATTGCCGGGCCCCAGAGGGGCTAGTTAGATTTTGTGTTTAGGGAGAGAGCAGCAAGGAGGGCTAAAAAGGAATGCACCAAAGCCACGTGGAAATGATGTGGTGTCGTTTTATCTTTTCGACAGACCTAGTTTCCAGCAACACGGAACTAATCAACAGTAGTAAACGTCTTGTAATTGGCACCTCTTTTATTATCAGACGCATAAATCAAGGAAGCTTCTCTCTCCAGTTGGAACAGGAGCTCAATAAAATTGGTGCAGTTCTCTGCTGTAGGGAAAGGGTTCTGTTTTTCTCCGGGCTCTCTTTGTTCGTGTTATATCATGACGTGCATTTTACATTCATGATCCCATTTTAACTCTTCCAACAACCTTTGCAGTAGATTTAATTCCCATTTTGCGGATGAAGAATCTGAGACTTAGCATCTGTCAAAAGAAACAAAACCACACAGTAAGCTGGGATTCGAATCCAGGACTTTCTGATGCAAGATCCCACAGACCTAATGACATTGCTGCTGCTGTCGGCCTGACTGTCCCGCCCTTTCAGAAAGAGCACACTGATCAGTGGGTGGAGCTTCTGGCTGCATCCTAAAGGTGTCGCAAGGTCCCCACCTAGCCTACCTACCGCGTGACTCACATGTTACTGCTAAAGGGATGCCTTGGGGTTAAAATACTGTCCACAGATGTTTTGGCTAAAAGACTCAATAATAGAAGTGCTCTGGTCTGGACTGAAAGATGATAGTTAGAAGCCGGAAAGAGGGGATAATAAAATCTACCTGATAGGATAATTGTGACAAGAAACTGAAACACTGAACGTAAGACTGTGGGATGGTGCCATCTCCTAATCACCATCATTATTCATAGCTCTGCAAGGCTGCTGTGGAGACGCTATGCAGTTTTCTCCTCCACTGCATTCAGCCAGGGTTGATTGGGGGCTTGCCCTGCGTGCGGCCACAGGTCCTCCTGCAGACACCACCCCACACACACTGTATCCTCCCAAGGAGAAAGAGTGGAAAGCCAGCCATACAGCAAATGCTCCCCAATTGCTTCTTCTTCTTGAAAACTTAGGTATGTGGACAGAGTCAAGGAAAGGCTAGATGTCGGGCCTCCAGGAGCAGTCAAGGGTGAGGGTGGAAGGCCCCGTCCTGCGTCTGTCTTGTGATGGCAGCTGGCTTGTGAGAGGGTCTTGTGGCCACAGTATTAGGCCTCTGCCTGGACCCTGCAGGCCAGTCTAGGAGCACTGCAAACACAGTGAGATGCCACTTTGGGATGTGTAAAGGTGACCCATGCTGACAGGAGAGGCTTCAAGGCCTTTCTGATTCAGGATGTAGGTAGACACTTCTAATGTTCACCTCTGTCTGATTCTTCCCTCCTTCTGCACACGAGCGGATTACATTTCCTGGGCCTCTGCTGTTTGATGAGCTGTGTGAGTCATTTTAGCCAATGGACTGTGGGTTGAAATGATGCATTTGTGTCTTCCCAGCTGAAACATTTGATTGCCTGTATGAGATACTATTCTTCCGCTGTTTCAGCAAAAACCCTGAATATTGTGTTGAGATGGTAGCCTAATAAAAAGATTCTAGAACATTCTGTAACATAACAGAACACCCCTCCCTCCCCACTGACCTGCCTTGGGCTTATACTCTGAGCAATACACTTACCTTTATTATTTGACATCATGAAGATTTGGGGTTGTTCAGGAAAGCCTCTTACCTTACTGATACTAACTGATAACATTTCCTCATTTTGGAATTCACCCGTTTCCCTCTATCACCTCCTGAGTGTCCATGGCTGGCTCTTCCTCTTCTTCCTCACTAAAGTTTAGAATGTCATCTTTCACATGCAGATGTCCTGACCATCCCATAAAATATCCCCTTCCATATGCTCTATCATGCCACCTCGCTGATCTCTTCCATTCGTGTATTGATTTGTTTCTATCTGTCTCTCACATCAGACTGTACATCCCATAAGGACAGAGACTGTGCTGTTTTATCCACTACCTTATATACCCAGCGCTTAGCACCATGCTTGAAAGAATGTCTCAGGTGAGGAAATCAGCTCAGAGAGAAGTGACTTGCTTGAAGCCACACAGCAGGCAGCCAAGGTGAGCCTGGCCCCTGGTTGCCACTCTCCCCAGGTGGATGCTCTTTAATGTCTCCGTTTAATCCCGGGCCAATGGTCAAGGTTTGGGAAAGATTTTCAATGCTGCTGTTGTCGTCAGGCCTTCGGGGAATAAGAAAGCCTGAGCCTTGGATTGGGAGGTACCTCGGAGGTAAGAGCAGGGTCCAAGAGCTGAGTCTTATCCGAGGCTCTATACCTGTGTGAGCTTGGGCAGCTCACATCACTTCTCTGAGGCTCAGTGTCCTCATTTGGGAAATGGGGAAAAATTAGACCTACCTCAGAGGCTTATTTGTGAAGACTAAATGAAATAATGTATATAAAAAGTTCAGCACCATACCTCATATCAAGGTTCGACAACGCCTGTAATCCTGGCACTTTGGGAGGCTGAGGCGGGTGGATCACCTGAGGTCAGGAGATCGAGACCAGCCTGGCCAACATGGTGAAACCCCATCTCTACTAAAAATATGAAAATTAGCCAGGATTGGTGGCACACGCCTGTAATTCCAGCTACTTGGGAGACTGAGGCAGGAGAATTGCTTGAACCCGGGAGGCAGAGGTTGCGGTGAGCCGAGATCGCGCCACTGCACTCCAGCCTGGGCAACAGCGCAAGACGCCATCTCAAAAAAAAAAAAAAAAAAAAGGTTTGGCAACCCTTGGTGGTTATTACTATTAGCAGTATGATTTTGTTGCAGAGTTAATACTCTCTTCTGAAGGAACTCTGAGGAGGAGGAATTTTGCCCACAGGTGGGTCCTCTATGGGGCCAGCCTCTGGGGAAATGGTGGCTTCGCAATCTGGAAGCCTCTGCTTCCCCACTTTTAAAAATGCTTCTTTCAATGCTTTCCCCAGCCCAGCAGAACTGCTTCTGCGAAAGGACTTGGCCCCAGGTGGAGAAATCCTACAAGGCAGCTCATCCCACATCCCTTCTTACAAATGAGACACTAAGGCCCAGAGAGGTTAGAGACTTGGCTAAGCTCACACAGCTCACTAGAGGGAGAGCCAGCTGTACCCTTGGTATTAATTGGAGCCACCGTGCCCCTTCTGCCCAGGCAATTCATCGTGTCTCAAGGCAGAAATACCACGTGTCCTACTACCAAGCAGTGGTTCTTGGCCCTGGATGATTTTTTCCTTCCAGGGGCTATTGGACAACATCTGGAACGTTTTTGGTTGTCACAATTGGAGGGTTGCTACTGGCATTTAGAGGACAGAGGCCAGGGATGCTGGTGAATGTCCTACAATGCTCAGGACAGCCCCCCTCAACAAGAAGTTATCTCACCCCAAATATCAATCGTGCCAAGCTTGAGAAATATCACACTAAAGGCTTTTCATAGATCAGAAGGGGAAATTAGTTTGGGGGTCAAGAAGCAACTGTTCCACTCCCCCTGGATGATACTACAGAATAATAACAGCAACTCACACCAAGAAATTGATTTTACAAACACCAGACGCTTTCATAAGCATAGTATTATTTAAGCCTCATGGTAACCCTGAAAAGGTAGGTGTGATTATTCCATTTTACAGATATGGAAATAGAGTATCTGAGAGTGGGTATGACCTGCCCAAGTCCACACAGGCATGAAGCAGACAGGAGCAGGGCTAGGAGCCAGATGTGTTCACTGCTGTGGCTTTGCGTTAGATACTCCAGCTTCTTCTCATGCTAGGACCGGGCCCTGAGTGAGACAGAGTGCCTGTGTTCTATGATGCTAGAGTCTGGGGAAGGAGGGACCCATGACCATTTAGAAAATAGATAACTTCCCAGCTACCTAAAATAAATTACTCAGTACATTCCACTTCACTGAGTCTCACTGATCAAAGTTAAGGATCATTAGGAAAAACAAATCCTGGGTCTTGGGAACCACTTCAGGGTGAGTGTGAAATTTTAACCTGGCTGGGGAGATTTGCAGTAGCAAGCTAGGGCTGGACTGCACACTTCTGATACCAGCTGACAGGTTTGTGGACTCAGGGAGAAGCAGCATCTGCTCAGAATAAAAAGGCAATATTGAGTTTCTCTTCCAGGAGTCAACAGCCTTCTTGCTTCCTGTTCCCAGTCACCTGCAGGGTGGTGGCTAGCTGGCTTCCCAGCATAACTAGAGATGGGATGCTAAGCTGCTACCTCTCCACTCTTGGTATTGGAGCTACCAGGCTGAGAAAGACCAGGGCTAGCTGGGGCTCCTTGTCCATGAGGCCTGCAGGAGCAAATGTTCAGTCTTATATCACCTCCCACTCCTTCATCCTCATGCTTGGCAAAATGCTTTCACATGCTTGCAAATTAACTTTCGATGTAACTATAACCAGTCCCTTTTCTTAGGATCATTGTGAATCGATTAATCATTTATTGAACACCTACCATGTGCTGCAGATTCAATGGTGAGTGAATCACACAGGCCCTGGAACTCATAGAGCTTATTATTTGAGATGTGTGGAGGCGGGGGTGGATATGTCATCAATACATCAGGTCAAAATGTGACACATCAACAATGACATCACAGGAGATTGATCTATTGGTGGTCAGGGCATCAGACATCAATGTCCCTGGAGGAAGGGACACTGGGCTGGCATTTAGTTTGTCAGGAGGAGTAACTTCTGCTCTTAGAACCTCCTTATTCCAACCTCTTCATTGAGGTTCTCAGTACACAGAACTGGGAGCCATTGGGTGGGATGAAGTGTCAAGAGGATGAGCTGAGAGTTCCTGTAATTTATCCTGGCAGCCTGGCTCAGAGTGAGGGCAGGTATGCCAATACCTGGTGCTGATGTTCATTTCATCTACCAGCCATTATGAATGGACTGAGCACCTATAGTGCTCCATGCACCACGCCAGGCCCTGGTGAGCTGCAGCTTTCACAGAGCTCCAGTGCAGCTGGGGAGGCAGACTCAAGGATGAGCTCAACACAGAAGTGGCATCGCCATCGCCTACACGGGCACTTTACTTGCTCTTAAATATTTGTGTAGGGTAGAAAGCACGCACATATATCAAGGAATGAAAGCATTAGAAGGACACTGGGGCCGGGCGCAGTGGTTCACACCTGTAATCCCAGCACTTCAGGAGGCCGAGGTGGGTGAATCACCCGAGGTCAGGAGTTCGAGACCAGCCTGGCCAACATGGTGAAACCCGGTCTCTACTAAAAATGCAAAAATTAGCTGGGCGTGGTGGCAGGCACCTGTAATCCCAGCTACTTGGGAGGCTGAGGCAGGAGAATTGCTTGAATCTGGGAGGTGGAGGTTGCAGTGAGCCGAGATCGTGCCACTGCACTCCAGCCTGGGTGACAAGACCAAACTCCATTTCAAAAAAAAAAAGGAGTCTGGCCAGGTAATGGGTAAATGCTGGTCTCTGATCCTGAATCACTCCACCCACCACATGGCCTAGTTACCTGTTCTCTAGTTCAGCTCAGAAGTTATCTCTTCAGGGAAGTTTCCAAGTCACCTGGCTCTAGCCCAGGCTCTCTGCCTGGCCTCATGGCACGTAATTACATACTTGTGTGATTACTGACTAATATCTGTCTCTCCCATTAATTTATGAAGTTCTCAAGAGCAGGGACCATATTTCTGTTTTGCATCCCCTGGGATGCCTGGCATATAGTAGGTATTCAGTAGATGTTTGTCAGATGAACAAATAATACACAGCCACTATTGTAGCAACCACAGTGAGAAAGCCATGAATGGTGCATCTTCCCCTCTCTTTCAAGGAACCATTCAATGCATTATCAGATTCCTCTTGCCTTTAGATCCCCTAAACATTCTGCAGGGCTGATTTGAACAACCCTGATCTCCAGATGAGAAAATCAGGGCTCACTCCACGCTCAGCACATCATTGGGGATGCTCATCTGGGCTGCTGCAGATATGACGTCCCCCTAGTTCATGGACTCTATACTTGGGCTGTACATTAGAATAATCAGAGGACTTTTGAGAACTACCCCTGCCTGGGGCCCACCCCCAGAGGTTCTTTCAGCTGCTGGGGGTGGACCCTGGCCTCGGTGTTGTTAAAATGCTCTCCAGCCAATTTCAACTTGCAGCTAGAGTGGAGAATACATATCTAGCCACAGTCAGAGAACCAGAGGGTGGAACCCCACCTGCATTCTACCCATGAAATACCAGGAGCCCAGAGAGAGGCAGAGCTCACTGAAGGTCACACAGCAAGTAGGAGGCCTGGCCTGGACTAGCAGCCAAGCTCTACAAGAGTGCCCAGGAGGCCATTCCCCTGTGTAGGAGAAGCAAACTTCTCCTGAATCCCCTCAACTCCTCCACCCCAGAGCAGGATGCCTTTCAGACAGAGAGAAGGGGGCTGCTTCTCAGGCTGAGCCTCAGAGCCCCTGAACCCAGTCTGATGGAGGGGCTGTGTGCAGTGAGTGGGCCAGGACCAGGGGCAGCCAGTGCTCCCCGTGGGCTCACAGAAACCCATCCTCTTGTCACCCCGGACCCCAGGGTAAAAGCACCTGACAGCAATAACTTAAGCATACTCTTCAAATGACCCTCTATGGCAGACATACCTGAATGTGTGTTCCAAGCTAGGGAATCTGCGAGTGGCCAGCCTGGTGGTTCATTCCTTATCTATGAGGAGCATCTGAGCCCCTGGCCTGTTCTATAGAACATGGGCCGTATAGGGGATCGAGGCCCTGAGTTTTGGGTTGGATGAAGATTGCCAGGTGGAGGTTTTCGAGGGGAAGGTGTTAAGAGAAAATGCTATAGAAACTGCATGCTGTTTGGGAGTGGTTTTCCCACCCAGCCCACTGCCACTGGGGTATAGAAAGGTAGATACCTTGTCCAACCCACCGCCACTGGGCTCTCGCCCCTGTCACCCCCTAATGAAACCTCTTGTCTTATTTGTTGGCTCTGGATCTCTTCTTGGGTCTCTTGAACCTGATGCCTTCCCTACTGAGGTTAATAGGGGTTTGGCGCAATACACTCACTCCTGCTGGAACATGGCAACATCATGCCTGGCCCCCAACAGGGCTGGGACTCCTTGGTGGGGAGAAGGTGGTCTCCTCCCAGCCTGGGACCTGTTCAGGGGCAGCCTCCCCCGGACCAGAGATTCTGGAGCCTCATGGGGAAAAGGCCTCATTTTGCAGCCCTTGGAAGCAAGGAGGGGTCTCCTGCGCTGGAGCGCCGGCCTCAGTGATCCGCCTGCATACCCATTCCTGGCAGAGGATTAGAACACCCTTGCCCAGACTGGGCTCCAGGATGGATGTGGAGAAGCAACCAAATGTCCCTCATTAATCACCGGCTCCATCTGGCTCCCCGCTCGATGGTTTTCAGCTGACTTGAAAAAGACCCAATTAGATCAAAACATTTTGACAATTTATCTTATGGCATGAGCAGGTCCAGATCGAGACTGTGATTTCACCATCCGTGAGCGAGGAAGGAACCCGGGCGTGGGTCACGCACGGAGCTGGGGAGATGAGGGGATCTCCCCCAGCCGCCTTCCTGTGAAAGTGGCGCAGCCCCTCCCGGCGGCTGCCGACCCTGTGAATTCCAGGGCGGGGGATAAGACGTACCCACTGCAGGATGATGTGTGTCCTTCCGTTTGGGTGGGAAAGGTCCACGGTAGGGGAGTCTGGGGTGGGGAAAGGAAATGGACAGCCAGAAACGACAGATATTCCAGGCAGCTTGGCGTGCGGGTGTTGAGCACAAAGCAGATTTAGAAGTCAAGATGTGGCTCAGGCCAGGCCTGTTCTAAGTCCACACCCACAAGATGCCTGGGTACCCAGCCCCTCAGCCTAAACAAGAATAGCCCCGATTTCCGGCTGATTCTGGCCTTCCTGAAATGGGCTCGGCAGACTCCAGCAATTCCCACACTCTCCTTGCAGGGCTGGCAACCTGCCAGGGTCATGGGTGTGGCCCATCCTTGGGGCAGTCATTTCCACGAGCCCACGGCCCTTGGTTCTTAGGCACTGTGTATGGTTTGGCTGCCCCCTTGAGGGTCCACCGGGCAGCTCAGCAGTCCCGGGAGAGAGCCCCCAGCAGGCAGCACCACCCCACGGGGTTTGCTCCCCCCGAGCCTCTCCTGTGTGTCCCAAAGGTGCCCGAGGACTGGAAGAGCAAATTAGAGAGTCTCTCCCAACAACTTCATTCCCCAGCCCCCAGGCCAGACACGGGGGCGCTGGCACACACACCGGGGTGAGGAAACCGGTCTTGCTTCTCTTGGCAGGACTCCTCACTCCTGCCTGCCAGGCTGGGGAGGGGCTTGAGTGTGCCCGCCTGCCACGGCCCTTCCTGGTGACCTCTGGGCTCAGGTTTTATGTGGGGAGTGACGTGTGGGGCTCCTTGCTGCCTCACCTGGGGGGGCTTTTAGGGACAGCCCCAAGGAGATGACTCTCCGGGGAGCTGCATGCCCTACAGACCCCTCACTCACATTCCCCAGCCCAGGCACACCAGGCAGATCTGCTCCTGCACCCGGTGGGTTGCAGTCCCCCGACCTGTCATGTCTAAGGATGTGCGCACATACACACACACACACACACACACACACACACACCAGTGTTCCCACAGACTCTCACCACCTTTACCCCACTTTCTCAGACTCTTCAAATACTTCTCACTCGTGTGCCCCACTCTACTCTGTCCACAGACACCCATGCCCTGTCAACACACACTCATTCACAAAAATCCTGCTCCCTACCACACATGCCACACACGTGCACACCTGTGGAATAGCAGGTCATCCAGGGACCCCATCTCAGTTACCCCTCAGTTCCTGGGCATGGATGTACTCACATGTGCACATGAATGTGTACACACATGTGCATACATGCACCTTTCTTCCAGATATACAGCTGGTTGGGGGACAGAGGCTGGCAGGTGACCAGATAGAGCTGCTGTCCTGCAGAGAGCCCAGGCATGTAGGGCAGGGCCCTGAAAGGCTGACCTCTACGGCTCCGGTTCCCAAGTCAATCTTCCTCCACATTGCCCTTGACTTCTATCTTCCCCTTATTGGCATGTCTTCCCGGATCCCTGACACTCCTTTCCCCCTCTATTTCCATGTTGTTCCTTCAGGAGCTTGTTTCTCTTGTCTCTTTCTGGACAGAGTTAGCTTGCCTTCCCCGGATTCACTTACTCTATGGGCTTTTATAGCCTTCCTCAGCCCAGCTCCGAGCTTGATGTTTTCTTCTCTTTAATGTTCTCCCTTAGGAACCCAAGGATTGGCTGGCACAAAGGTTCCATCCAGCAGGCTGGTAAGGCAGATGGGTCTCCAAGGAGAGATGGGTCTCCAAGGGGTGATGGATCTCTAAGGTCAGATGGGTCTGGTTCTTGCTTTGGGTCAAACCATCTTCCCATCTTTGGAAAATGGTGATGGTCCTTGGGGAACACTGGCTTAGACGATGACCAAGGACTCTTACAGGGCTATTGGTCTATGAGCCTTGGGCGTCCTGTGCCCACTGATGCCACACCCAGCTGCAGCATTGCCTTATTAGACTTGGGTTGCTGTATTACTCAGAACTCTTTTATTTGCAAATGACAGAAACCCAACTCAAATAGGTTTAAGCAAACAATATGTCAATTGGCTTAGGTCACTGGGAGGATGAGGAGGATCGCTGCTGGGGACGGTGGCCGATTCTCTCTCCACCTCTCCATGGATGTGTCTGTGCTGCCTCGTGCTGTCATCCATCTTTGTGGCTCCCAGCAGCTCTAGAGACATAAACACAGGATTTGTTATCTAAGGAAGGAAAGCTATTACCCCTCTCCTCCTGGCTTGGAAAAAATGAAGATCTCTGACCATCTCACCTTGAGTCATGGGCCATTTCCAGGACGAACCTAACCTGTTTGTAGGAGGTGCTCTACTGTGATTGGTCGACGCTGGGTATGATCCCACCCTCATGGCTAGAGTGGCAGGATCCTTTCTCATCAAGATCACTGAAGGAGGAACAGTGGGACAGGACCCCACATGTGTCTGACAATCGGCCTCTGCTTCCTCCCCAGCCATCCCAACCAGGACCTGGGCAATGACAGCAGTTAGTAGTTGAGAATCTTTCTTGGCACAGCTATCTCAATTTGCAAGCTCCTTGCCATAGCTTCTGCTCTGGAGTCCCTGTTTCATGCCTTTAGAAGAAGCATCCTTCCATCCCAAGGGGCTCGGAGAGGCTGTTCCTGGGGAACACCCAAGAGAGAGTTAAATGGAGCCCTGTTTACAAGATTTCACCCCAGGGCTGCCTCTGAGCCATCTCCTTCCTAAAGGCGCTCTCCTTGAAATGCAGATGTGGGGATATGCATTTCTGCCCACTCAGGACCCCTGGCAACCATGGCCCACTATGATATGAGCTGGGCTTGTCAAGTAGCACATCCTAATCCAGTCCAGTTCAGGATTCAGCTGGACACAGAACTCCCTTGTCTTCCATTTTTTATTTCTGTGTGCACTCGTTGGCTGAGAATGTAGATGCTGGTATTTCCATGTTGGTTAGGATGGGAGGTAGTCCATGTTAAACTCACATGAGCAACCCAGACCCCTCACTCCTCCAGGCTTCCAAGATCCTGACAGGGGCACTTGCAGATGAGTAAGTTAATGCTGGAGAAGTGTTTCATCTTTGGACATGAGACATTCCATAAATTGACCCACTTTTTCCAAAGGATTTTGGTGGCATTTCTGGGTGAGTTGGCTCAGGCAGACTACTGACTATTGGATTAATAACAATAATACAAATAATAATATATGATAATGATGCATGGTGATAATAGTAGCAAATTATGCCACTTTAAAGCATTTCCTATGTGCCATGCACTGCATTCATTTTTTTACATAATGTCATTGAGAACTTCTACTAGTTCTATTTAACAGACAAAGAATCCAACGCTCAGAGAGGTTTAGAAAATCTTCCAAGGCCACACAGCTAGCCCAGAATTCTAATCCAGGTCTTTGTGATTCCAAAGCCACTGCATCATATGTTTCATCGAGTCCAAAAATGGAAACAATCCTTATGTCCATCAATAGGGGAATGATGATATGGAATATCTAAACCATGGAATATTAGTCAGCTGCTTAAAAATGATGTGTGCCTGCGTGTTCTGATATGGAATGATATCTAAGACAATGGCTAAGTGAGAAAAAGCAAGTTGCAAAAGATAAAACTAGAACAGTTCCATTTATTTACTCTCCAACCACAAAACAGGAGTAGAGAGCTCTATGCATTCATGTACACACAGAGAAAGAAGCCTAAAATCATATGCACAACACTGCTAACTCAGGAAATGGGAGAGGTTGGTGGGTGGTAAAAGGTTTTATTGGCTTGATCTGTATTTCTAGGACATTTTAGATGAACTTAGCTTCTTGCATTCCCTGCAAAAACTTGTGCTGTGATTAGAGCAGGAGCCCAGGGGGTTACACTGCCTGGGTTTACATCCTAGCTCTGCCACTGACAAGCTGCATGACCCCAGGAAAGGCACTTCATCTTTGTTTCCACATCTGTAAAATGAGAATAACCACCACCAACACCACAACTACCACTGCAATCATAACAATAATAATACACATCTCATAGGGCTAATTCAGGGTTTCCCAACCATGGTGCTATTGACATTTCATGCCCGTTAATTCTCTGCTGTGGGGGGCTGTCCTATCTATTGCTGGATGTTTGGCGCCATCCCTGGCTTTGTCAGGGATCAGTAGATGTCAGCAGCCTCCCTCACCCCAATCAGGGTGATAAAAACGGTCCTCTGGGGGGCAAATCACCCCAGCTGAGAACCACTAGGTTAATGTAAGTGTAAAATGAGTTAATTCACATAAAGTGCTTGGGGTGGTGCCTAGCACAGAGTAAGCCCTGGATAAATATTACCTCCTATCAATTCAAGGGTGGAAGAAGAGAAATGTGATGAGTCCTTCTCTGTCCAGCCACGCAGGGGTCTAGGGGTTGGTGCAGGGGAAGAATTCAAGGCTGGATGTTGGGGGGCGTGGGGTCTGCTTCTGTGCCTGTCCCTCAGTGTTGGGCACTTTGGGTAGCTGGTTCATCACTTAGGGGCTTGGTTTCCTTCTCTGTAAAATGTAGGGGCCTGACCAGGGGCTGCAGAGTACACTCAGACCTCAGGCAGCTGCTGAGTCCCCAGGGAGCCCTCCTCCATCTCTCAGAGTTGGAGGGTGGCGACGGGGTACCAGCCCCCTAACAACTCCCCAGTGTAGCTGCCTGGACTGCAGCTCAGTCTGGCTGGGAATCCATCTCAGACGCGGCCCCTTCCTCCCTCCACAACTGGGGAGCAGATGCAGCCCGTGTGTGGCTGTTGCCCAGACACAGGTGGTACCACCTGCCACAAGTTCCTTGATTCCTGATCATCCTACAATCACTTTTGGCCCCAAAACAATTTGCTGGGTGAAGGGAGAGGAGGGCCTCGAGGGTAAGGGGGAAGAAGGGGAGGGAGGTGGGGGTGGCACGGGGTTAAGAGTGGCCTTTGAAGTTCGCAACCATCTTATATAAAACATCTTCAGTCATTCCCCATTTGGATGATGTCAGGAGAGCACATTACCATCCCGAGATCAAATGCAACAGCAAGAATCACTTGTTGCGCACCAGGCTACAGTCATATATCAAGTATTCTAGGCACACGGAATTCGTAACTTTCCCCGAAACAGATTGATATTTTCCTCTTCCACTTTCTGGGAAGGAGACATCTGACTTTGCTTCAAGTGCAGTTTGAGGGGCGGTGGGGAAATTAAACCAGTGCCCATTGTCTTTGCACGATGCTGGCCATGCAGCTGACGGCACAATTCTATTTCTTCTTTCCTTTGGGTTCTCTTGGTGATAGGCAGTTTGCCATCGGCCACATAATGACAAAGAAATCCAAAGAACTCTCTCAGGCTCTCCAGTATTTGGCCCAAACAATAGCAGCAGGGGTTGTGTTTTTATTCTCCCTCTTATGCGTTCTTGTCTTTTTCTTCTACTTTTTTGGTTAGTTTGGGCCTCTGGTGCAGGGCAAATGTAATTAATAGTCAGAACAACCAGTAAAACTGGGAGATGAGAGATTTTTGTCTTTTTTTTTTTTTCTTCCTTAGAACTGCAGATTGTCAGAGCTGGAAGACTCCTTGCAAATTACCAGGGGCAGCTCTTTTACAGATGAGGAAAATCAAGCCCAGAGAGAAAACGTGACCCCCCAAGGCCACACAGCCTTGACTTTGGGTGAATTGTTTACCCTATCTGGGTACCACTTTCCTTATCTGGAAATAGAAAGTGTAGAGACCTGTGGTAGCTCCTTTGAGTGGGTGTTAGGAAGACACAAGAAAGGAGGTCCCTTTAGCAAATGTGTTATCTGAAAGCAAGGTCCTCTTAAACTCCCTGTTGGAAATGCTGGGGGCTGGGATGAAGGACTGAAATGTAACTGGATTGACGTCCTTTTCTCTTCTGCTTTCTGCTTCTCTTCCCTGTTTCACAAATCTGTGATCAATGCACAAATTGATCACAGTGGAGCAAAGACAGACTTCTGAGAGCCCTTTGCAAATTGGGACTCTGAGGCTGTCACCGTGTGCCCAGTGGAGTGAGGCAGGCGGGAGATTCAGAGGCAGATCACAGTCCCCTGGAACCGGCCTGGGGAGAGCAGGCCAGTGATGATCTCAGCCTGACGCCTTCCATTATGGGGTGTCTCACCCAGCCCCTCCTGGAAAGCGATGGTGGTTAATATCAGGCAACCCATGCAGCTTTGTCATACCTGTGTATCATATTTGTAGTTTCTCTTGAGGCCAGTCTAGCAACAGGCAGCATAGCCAAGGGGTTTATGTGGGCTCTGCAGCCAGATGCTGGGATTCAAACCCCAGTACTAGCTGCGTCCACCTGGCCAAGCTCTTCAGCCTCTGAGCTTTGGCTTTTAACATCTTAATTTTTTTTTTTTTTTTTTGAGATGGAGTCTCACTCTGTTGCCCAGGCTGGAGTGTATTGGCACAATCTCAGCTCACTGCAACCACTGTTCCCTGGGTTCAAGCGATTCTTCCACCTCAGCCTCCTGAGTAGCTGGGATTATTGGCATGTGCCACCACACCTGGCTAATTTTTGTATTTTTAATAGAGACGGGGTTTCATCATGTTGGCCAGGCTGGTCTCGAACCCGTAACCTCAAGTGATCCGTTCACCTTGGCCTCCCAAAGTGCTGGGATTATAGGCATGAGCCACCGTGCTGGGCCTTAACATTTAAATTTTTTTAAGGAACTATAACACATGTATCAAGAACTGCAACATGCAAGTAAGTGATGAAGCCCTGAGAACTTACTTCCAACCTAAGAACTAGGCCTTGGATGGGCCTCTGTCTTCCAGTCCCCTGCTCTACCCAAGAAGTAACCATGATCTTGAAACACCTCTATCCTTTCCTGTTTTTTTTTAAAACAAAACAAAACAAAACAAAACTTTATTTTGATTGTTTACATATGTATCCCTAAATAACATATTGCTTATTTTTTGAGCTTCATAAAAGCTGTATCATATTCTGTAAGGTCTTCTGTTACTTGCTGTTTTCCCCCATTTAAAATGATATTTCTAAGATTCATCCTTGTTATGGTTCGAGGCCGTGTTTCATCTGCTTTTCTCTGCTGGAGCACATTGCATGGTAAGAGTACACCACCATTTACTTATCCATACTCCTTTTGATGGGCACTTGGGTTGGATTCAGTGTTTTTGCAGTTATAAAGAGTGGTTCTATGAGTGTTTCAATATGTGCACACACGTGTGGATTTCTATGAGATACACATATACAAGTGGAAGGCTAGATCATAGGGAATAGGAATATTCAACTTTATGGGCTAGCATCCAATTATTTTCCAGTGCCTTGTCCCCAAAGCTCCCATTTTTTTCATTTGTAACATGGGTGCCAACCTTACAGGGCTGAAGCTAGAATTGAATGAGGCAAAGCACCGGGAAACATTTAGCACAGTGTCTGCACTTAGTAGATGTCCAGGGCACATTATCTATGATTCCCTGCTTCCTCCTTCCTCCACTCCCCTGGGATTGAGAGAGTCCTTATCCATCTTCAACAGCATTTGCTGCTACTCATCCAGGAGCCCTTTGTGAGTTTGACTTTGACTTTAGGGCTATTCACCACATGGATGGATTTTTTTGTACACAGTCTCTCAGTGATGTTGGCCGGTTACTCCTCCGTGTTCATCACATGTGCCTCTCTCACTATGCCTCAGTCAGAACAAGGCCCTGAAGTTAACTTCAAACAGACCGGTGCTGCTCAAACTCTAATGAGGATCTGGCAAAAATGCAGATCTTGATTTTTCTTAACTTTTATTTTAGGTTCAGGGTACATGTGCAGGCTTGTTATATAAGTAAACTCATGTCGTGGGGGTTTGTTGTACATATTATTTAGTTACCCAGTTACTAAGCCTAGTAACCAACAGTTATTTTTTTCTGATCCTTTCCCTCCTCCTATCCATCACCCTCAAATAGGACCCAGTGTCTGTGTTCCCCGCTTTGTGTCCATGAGTTCTCATCATTTAGCTCCCACTTATAAGTGAGAACATGCAGCATTTGGTTTTCTGTTCCTGTGTTAGTTTGTTAAGGATAATAGCCTCCAGCTCTATCCATGTTCCTGCAGAGGACATGATCTTGTCCTTTTTTATGCTGTGTAGTATTCCACGGTGTACATGTACCACATTTTCTTCATCTGATCATTGATGGACATTTAGATTGGTTCCACATCTTTGCTATTGTGAATACTGCTGCAATGAACATTCACATGTATTTGTCTTTATGGTAGAATGACTTATATTCCTTTGGGTATATACTCAGTAGTGGGATTGCTGGGTTGACTGGTAGTTCTGTTTTTAGCTCTTTGAGGAATCACCACACTGCTTTCCACAATGGTTGAACTGATTTACACTCCCACCAACAGTGTATAGGCATTCCTTTTTCTCCACAGCCTCATCAGCATATATTATTTTTTGACTTTTTAACAATAGCTGTTCTGACTGGTGGGAGATGGTATCTCATTGTGGTTTTGATTTGCTTTTCTCTAATAATCAGTGATATTTAGCTTTTCTTTATATGCTTTTTGGCCGTATGTATGTCTTCTTTTGAAAGTGTCTGTTCCTGTCCTTTGCCCACTTTTTAATGGGGTTGTTTTTTCTTGTAAATTTGTTTAAGTTCCTTATAGATGCTGGATGGATGGTAGATCTTTTTCAGATGCATGGTTTGCAAATATTTTCTCCCATTATGTAGGTTGTCTGTTTACTCTGTTGATAGTTTCTTTTACTGTGCAGAAGCTCTTAAGTTTAAATAGATCCCATTTGTCAATTTTTGCTTTTGTTGCACAATTGTTTTTGGTGTCTTTGTCATGAAATCTTTGCCTGTTCCTATGGCAGATCTTGATTTAGTAGGTCTGGGAAAGATTGGGGATTCTACATTTCTAATCACCTCCCAGGTGATACTGATGTTGCTGGTCCGTGGATCATCCGTTGTGAAGCAAGGGCGTAGACCACCTAGGCCGTCTAAGTCAGAATAACTCAAATGCACTCTCCAAGTTTCATGACAGTTTGTCTTGTCTGACAACAGACAGAAGTGTGACCTTGTGTGTCTAATTAAGTGCCTTGATGGGGAGGAGATAGGATGATGGGAAGGTGGAGGAAGTGCCAATAGCCCACATTGGCCATGGTCGGGGATAAATGCTTTTGGAAAGAGTGCTATCAACACTGCGTCCTGGAGGAAGGTCTGAGTTACCCAGGCTATGGCCAGGAGGCAAGTCCTCAGACCAAGGAATGATGCTTTGTATAGAAGAGACCTGAGAGTTGGTAATGTCCTTTCCATAGTGTAGGGCCAGTGTTTGCTCCATGAATTTTTTTCAATAAGTATACAAAATAGCTCTGGGTGTTATTAGGAGAAGGATTGAAATTGAGTGGCTCCATCTGCCTTGTGCAGTCTTTATCAGGACATTCAGAGGCAAGAGCTCCACCCTGGAGCCTGGAGAGCACTGTTTGGATTCAGCCCTGCCTCCCGTGCTCCCCTTCCCACCTCATCCTGGGAATTCTGGAGCTGACCCATAGGGAGATGGTTCAGGGAATGTTCCAGTGGATGGTGGGGGAATGTGCTTTCTCTCTCAAAAAGCTGCCCCCTCCTCTAACTATTTCTAGGTAAAGTAATTGCTTGGCTTTTCAAAGCTGAGAGCTACTTGGGATATTCCAAACACAGGGCATTTCTTCAGAACTGTACATGAGACTCTCGTACAAAACTCATGTACAAAACTCTTGCTCCACTGTGAGCTCAGCGTGTTGGGCTTTAGGAGATTAAATTATTATTTTTTTAAAGTGGAGGCTGATGCTTCTCTCTCATCTCTGTCTTTGCTGTTGACAGCCAGACACCCAGGAAAGCGTGCAAACACAGTTATCCACAGCTTGTCGCCAAAGATATTTATCACTTCTTAGCGCTGTGCACAGTTCCTAGACAAGACACCCCAATGCACCTAAATGGGACGCTTTTTCCTCCTTGTTTCAAAGTGAAAATTCCCCAGTAATATCTGACGTCAGGAGAGTGGTGACTCAGATTTTCCAACATTTAAGCACAGACACGGGTGTCTAAACCTCTGAGGCCATGCTATGTGATCTGTGAGTTCAATTCTGGATTTGAGTCCAAATGCTCACCTTTTAGTGCCTCCCAAATCCTTCTGTGGTGGGTGGTTCCTAATGTTTCCCTTAAGGGCCACCTTGGTAAGGAGCAGCCATAGGAACTCTAAGCCAGAATGCGAGGGTAAGCTTGGCCCTTTCTGCTAACAAGTAGCTGCAGGATCCTGGGCAGATCTCCTCACCTGGGTGCATTGCTGCCTTCTTATTTTAAAAAAAGTCAGCAATTTTCAAGTGTTTTGTAAAACAAAGAATCTTTGATTAAATAAAGTCTTCCATGAAGCTTCAGTGTAGGAGAGTTGGAAGCCAGGCTGATTTGGTGGAGGCAGAGTTGGAGTCCCTGGTTTCCTTCTCCCAACCACGGAAGCCCCTACGGTCACTTTAGGAACCCTAAGTGCTTGACAGAACACAATTTGAAAACCACTGAACTACAAAAGCTCCAGAAGGCCTTTTAGTTTTATCAATTGTATTTTATTGATGTGAGACAGGGTCTTACTCTTGTGTGTGAGCCAGAGTGCACTGGTGCAATCAGCTCACTGCAGCCTCTAATTCCTAATCTCAAGCAATCCTCCCACTTCAGCCTCCTAAGTAGCTGGGACTACAGGTGCACACCACCATACCTGGCTAATTTAAAAAAAAATTTGTAGAGATCGGTGGGGGGCGGGGGGTCTTGCTGCTTTGCCCAGGCTTGTCTTGAACTCCTGGCTTCAAGCAATCCTTCTGCCTCAACATTCCAAAGTGCTGGGATTATAGGTGTGAGTCACTGTGCCTGGCTGCCTTTTATTTGTGATGGTCTAAGAAGCTATGGCAAGATGGCTGGCTTGGGGATATGAGGTGTTATGGGCTGAAATATGTCTCCCTAAAATCAATACATTGAAGTCCTTACCCCCAGTACTTCAGAATGTGACTGAATTTGGAGATAGGGTCTTAAAGAGGTAACCATATTAAAATGAAATAATTGAGTGGGCCCTAATCCAGTATCACCAGTGTCCTTATAGGAAGATGAGATTAAGACATAGACACTCACAAAGGGAGAATCATGTGAAGACACGGGAGAAGACAGTTACTGGTAAGCCAAGCAGAGAGGCCTCTGAGTAGTAAATCAATCCTCTGACACCCTGGTCTTGGACTTCTAGGCTCCTGGATTATGAGAAAATAAATTTCTGTTTCTTAAGCCCCTCAGTCGGTGGTACTTTGTTACAGCAGCCTGAAATGGTTTGGCTCTGTGTCCCCAGCCAAATCTCATCTCAAATTGTAATCCCCACATGTCAAGGGAGGGGCCTGATGGGAGGTCATTGGACCATGGGGGTGGTTCTCCCATGCCAACTCAAGATAGTGAGGGAGTTTTCAAGAGATCTTGATGGCTTAAAAGTGCCAGTTTCCCCTACGCATTTTTTTTTCTCTCTCTCCTGCTGCTATGTAAGACGTGCCTTGCTTCTTCTTCGCCTTCTGCCATGATTGCCATTTTCCTGAGGCCTCCCCAGCCATGCAGAACTGTGAGTCAATCAAACCTCTTTTGCTTATAAATTACCCAGTCTCAGGTAGTATCTTTATAGCAGGGTGAAAATGAACTAATACACAGCCCTAGCAAATGAATACATGGAGGGAGAGGTTCCCATTCAGGTCACCATTTTAAGGAATTCTATTTATCCCAATATAAAACCACTAGGCAACCTTGTATGTCTCCTCTCTGAGGAACTAAACCCATGCTCTTTACCAGGGAGATGCCCCTGGTCTCCCAAGAAATATGTCCCTGCCCTCGGGAGGATGATAAAAATGTTCTTGAGCTTGGCTATGTCTGGTAGGGGGTCTGGGTTTAGAGGGCATCCCCAGGGATGGTGATGGTGGAAAGAGCCCTGGGAAGGCCTCCCACTGGCTCCTGGTCTGTGAAAGTCTGGCTGTAGGAATATTTAACACCTGCTGGGACCAGAACCCAGGTTTCATTTTTTCCTAATCAGATTGTGCCCAAACTAATAATAGTTATCCAGATAGAGCTGTGCGAAACTAGCAATTTTCACTTCACAGGCATTTGTTTGGGAAAATCACAGTTTTTCACCTTTAGAACCTGCCATTTTGTTTCACAAAAAACTCAAGGTGAAAAGAAATGTAGGTGAGCATTTTCAATTTTTCATGAGCTGGATTTTGGCAGAGGTGGCAGCTCTCTCCAATCTTGTTTCATGGTAAAAGAAGCCACCATGGGGCTGGACCAGGGAAGAAGTTGGGGTGCTGGAAGACGATGAAAGGGGGTGTGCGGAGTCTAAGAGGTGCCCATCAGTGTCCTCCAAGGGAGTCTCTGGGGATTGGGTGGGACAGGGGTAGCACCAAGCTCTAGGCAAGCAAAGTGGGGCACAGGACCCTGGGACAAATGTCTGTCTCCTTTGATGCCTTGACCTGGGGTGTCTGGGAAAGAGTGAAGTGTTTATCCCCTCGTTTATGAAGGTCTCTGCACTCAAGTCTCAGCAATTGGCCATAGGCATCTGGGTCACGCCTCCTTGGAGTTTTAAAAATGCAGTGTTCATTTGTTCAGCCACTTGCCAAGTTTCTCTTTTCTATCTTTAGTGTAGTCATGATAGATACTGTACAGGTGTGCACATGTGTGGGAGAGAAAGAGAGATGGCAAAGCTGAGGGGCCAGACATACAACAGCAGAATAAGAGGAGGTCACATCTTTACACTCTAGGAATTGGCAGGCTGGTAGAAGACCAGGACAGAATTCCTGCTCAGGAAATATCTGGAAAACAGTGGCTTAGCAAGCAGAGGTACAGATCCAAGGGCAAGTCCTGGCTCAAAAATAAAATAATAAAATAAAATTAATGCCTACTGAATTTTTACATAGAACTCAAGAGTCTTAAAAATGCAATTCTTCTCCTGAGAAACTATCTGAAGGAAATAATCAGAAATGCAGTCAATAATTTGCACCAAGGTCTTCCCTGCTGATGTATTTATAATAGCCCCACATTGAGAACCAGCCTAAGCTCTAACAATAAGAAGGATTAGTTCAATAAATGGTGGTCTAGCCCAGAGATCAGCAAACTGTGGCCCTTGGATCAAACCCAGCTCTCCATCTGTTTTTGTAAATAAAGTTTTATTGGAACACAGCTATGCCCATTCTTGTGTGTATTGTCTGTGGCTGCTTTGATGCTACGATGGCAGAGCTAAGTAGTTGCCATAGGGACCATATATCCCGCAAAGCCTAAAAATATTTACTATCTAGTGCTTTAAGAAAACAATTTCTGACCTCTGGTTGAACCACATGAAGAAATGCCAGGTAAGCATTCAAAATTATGTTAAGTATTTTTTTTTTTTTTTTGAGAAAGAGTTTCACTCTATTGCCCAGGCTGAAGTGCAGTGGCATGATCTCAGCTCACTGCAACCTCCACCTCCTGGGTTCAAGCAGTTCTTCTGCCTCATTCTGCCTCATTCTCCCCAGTAGCTGGGATTACAGGTGCATGCCACCATGCCCAGCTAATTATTTTGTATTTTTAATAGAGATGGGGTTTCACCATGTTTGCCCAGGCTGGTCTCAAAGTCTTGACCTCAAGTGATCTGCCCGCCTTGGCCTCCCAAACTGCTGGGATTACAGGTGTGAGCCGCCACACCCAGCCTAGGATTTTTTATTGTCACGGAAGAATGCATATGGCATAATGGTAAGTTAAAAAGTAGGATATGACATTTTCGTATTAATAATAATAACATTTGTTAAGTGCATATGAAGTTTTAGGCACTGTTTAGATGATGATTACAAGGTGTCTTAAAAGCAAGGGAAAATGCCTGTGGTATAACGGCATGCAAGAAAGCAGGATATAAAATGCTGATGTTTAGTAAGAATTAATATGTATCAAGCACACATGAAGCTCATCACTTTGTGTATCATTTCACTAAGCCTTCAAAAAATTATATGTGGAGGCTACTATTATTGTACATTTACAGATCAAGAATGAAGACAGAGAAAGAGGTTAAGTCATTTGCTTTAGGGACCTACCTGGTGAGTGAAGGAGCCAGCATTCAAAGAAAGGGAGTCTTCTTCTACACAGAGAAAGGACTAGAAGGAAACAGGGCAAAATATTAGCAGTGGTTGTATGTGGGTGCTGGTGCGAGGACAGCTCTGTCCTTGGCATTGTCTTTGGCTCTGAGTAACTGAGAACCTAGAAAACAACAGCTTGAGCAAGTGAGGGGCTCATTTTCTTCCATTCCAAGAAGTCTGGGGGACACAGCCACGGTTGGATTGGAGGCTCTCTGACACCGGCAGAACCTGGCCTCAACCCTCTGAGCATGTGAGTTTTGTTCTCAGGTTTGTCACTTGTGTCTCAAGGTGACTGCCCACCTCTTGGGTCATTTCTTGCATTCAGAGCAGGAAGAGGGGGAAAGGTGAAGGGCTAGAGGTGGAAACTGGCTGAATGGCCCCTTTATCAAATAACCTTCCTGTAAGTTCCAACTAGCAACTAGTTTCACATATGTCTCATTGGCCAGAATGGGGTCACATGATCACCCACAGTTGCAAGGCTGGCTGGAATGCAAAGTCTTTTAGCTAAGCGCTTTACAACCCTGAA
This sequence comes from Homo sapiens, assembly GCF_000001405.40. Classification (NCBI taxonomy): domain Eukaryota; kingdom Metazoa; phylum Chordata; class Mammalia; order Primates; family Hominidae; genus Homo; species Homo sapiens. Next base: position 117,699,069 of record NC_000010.11, read on the forward strand.
CAAAATCAGGATTTTGTTAGTAAGGAAGAGAGGCAACTTGCCATGTTTGCAGCACGGATGGTTACTAACTTATCCTTTATTACTTCCTGAATTTTCCAAAATTAAACAAAGGCTTGCAGAATCTGAAGGCATCAGGATGGAGGAAAGGTGGGCAGAGGGAGTGATGGAGAGGAGTGGGTGAATTGGGGAGGTATCCCCAGAGCGGATATACTTTAATTTTCAGGGTGACTGGTGAAGAGACATGCCCGCACTTTCTTTTATTACAAGCCTTCTGAGGGCATGTAAGAGAAGCCCAGGACAGTCTGCCAGATTGGCTTCTCCCATCCTGCACAGGAACAGGAACTGCCGGGATCAACCAGCCCATGGTGAGGCTGCAGCACATGGACTCAGAAGCCATACTGATGGGGCTAAGAGGCCAGGAGGCCACTCTGACTAAGTTTTCATTGTCTCCTAGAGTGGGTAGGATTGTGTCCTCCCAAAAGTTATATTCAAGTCCTAATACCCCTATACCTGTTATCTTATTTGAAAATAGGGTCTTTGCTGATGTAATCAAGTTAAGATGAGGTCATACTAGATTAGTGTGACCCTAATCCAAGTCCTTATAAGGACCGGTGTCCTTATAAGGAAAGAGAAATTTGGACATAGATATAGAAGGCTCAGGAAAGAAGGCTGTATGAAGACAGAGGCATAGATTGCCATGAATCAGCTACAAGCCAAGGGACGCCAAGGATTGCCGGCAACCACCGGAAACAAGGAGAGAGGCATGGAACACATTCCTCCTTAGAGCCTCCGGAAGGAACCAGCCCTGTTAACACCCTGATTTTGAATTTCTGGCCTCGAGAACCATGAGAGAATAAAGTCCTATTGTTTTAAGCCACTCAGTGTGTGGCAATCTGTTATGGCAACCCTGGAAAATAAGTACTGCTCCTTCCAGGGAGGACTGGCAAGTTCTGGTCATCTTGTGTGTCCTGCACACAGGCGTCACCTGCCACTTGTTGTGCTCTACCCCAGGGGGCATGCCCTTCTTTGCAAAAGGCACAGAGGTGGCCTTTCAGCCTCCACCAAGGCCAGTGCCCAGGCTCGAGGCACGCACACAGTTCTTCACTCAGGGTTAGGGCACCTTTTCCTTTAAGTTCTCTCCAGCAACCCCAGCATCTGCATCTCCATCAGCACCGCCTCCAAAGACCCCTCCCAAATAGAACACGGTCTGCATCCATGCAGCAGGGGAGGTTTCAAGCTAAAAGCGGATACAATTTTGGGGAAGAATATAAAATTACAAATACAAAACCACAAGCAGGCTGGGTGCCGTGACTCACGCCTGTAATCCCAGCACTTTGGGAGGCCGAAGCAGGCAGATCACTAGAGGTCAGTCTGGCCAACTTGGTGAAACCCATCTCTACTAAAAATACAAAAATTAGCTGCGCATGGTGGCATGTGCCTTTAATCCCAGCTACTCAGAAGGCTGAGGCAGGAGAATTGCTTGAATCCAGAGGCAGAGGTTGCAGTGAGCTGAGATCGTGCCACTGTACTCCAGCCTGGATGACAGAATGAGACCCTGTCTCAAAAAATAAAAAATAAAATAAAATACACCCCGCATGCAGGGCCTTGAAATGGATTTCAGTGACGGGTCTCTAGGAGAAGCTTCTGGATTCCAGTGAACTCAACCCATTTGTTTTGCATGTGCACATTTAAGGCAGTGTGCCAGGCCCTTCCAACAGACAGCAGCCGCCTTGTCCTGCAAACCCTTCTGCTCGGAGTTGTACATGGCTGCTGTTAGACCCTTTCTTGGGGGCAGATTTTGAGGGAGCAAGAGTAGTTGAGGGTGTGGTGGAGAGTAGGGGAAGGAAGGGAGAGCCCAGCAGTTGCTGTGGCTTTCAGAGGGCATGAGAAGCCTGGCTCTGATACTTACCAGCTGCATGACTTGGTGTTCCCTTCTGTCAAATGGGAATAAGGGTTAGAGAAAGACCAGAGGTGGAGACTCTGGCAGATAGCCTGAAACTGTAGGTGCTAAATAAGCATCCATTCACTTCCACTTCCCTTCCCTGGAGGGAGCAAGAGTAGAGGGCCTGAATGTTAATATGGGAGTCATCAATCACAAACTCGACAGGATTCCCAAAATTTGACCTCACCTATGAGCCCTGAATTTCTTTTCTTCCCCAAAGCATCATGAGATTAGGGCTTTCCACTCGCTCTGACTTGTCTCTGAAACCCTGTTTGTCAAGACTCATCCTCGGGAGGGAAAGGGAGTTGCGCGTTCTGCATTAATTTGATGGGTTAGGCTCTTCTCGTGTTTACCAGGCGAGGCTGCCACCAGCCACGTGGCCTCAAGGCTGCCGACAGCAGGTGAGCTTCCCCTACTGGAAAGGAAAACTTGACATTTCTTCAGATTGGCTGAGTCTCTCATTCATGCAGAAAATGAGACATGATATCAAAAGCACATGGGGCTCAGAGGTATTAAGCAGCCTTTATGGGCCTGTCAAATCCCATTTGAGGGGCGGAACTTCCTTTACCTGATATCTGTAGTAACTTCGTGATGATTATAGTTCCTGGGCCCTGGGCCCTGATGCTTCTCTAGGATACAGTAACAGTTCCCTCTCTAAGTGGGACCTGGAAGCCAGTCTCTTTTCTGGGGCTACTGGGTACGGCGGCATCTAATGACAGAGTCTGCCTGATGCTAAGTCATAATTCAAGTGTGCAAAAATCTCTCCAAACTGGGATACATGGAGGGTGTTCTCCCTGCTATAGAGTGGAGCCAACCCCTTCAGTCCTCCTGCTCCTGGGCCTCTGTAGGTGGATGTGGAGACGAGAATGGGTTTCAGGCTGTATTTATGGCTGGCTTCTCCATGTGGAATCTACAAGTCCTGGTCCCTCCCACTCCCCTCGCATTGCATTGAAATACAACAGCCATTGGTCACTGTTTCCATTAGAGCTCCACTAACCTTATCAACGTCAATACTGAATCTGACCAGGTGATGTGTGAATGGCTGTGCGCATTGATGGGATTTGACTGTGTGCTTCTCTGGGGTGGGGTCTGACCTGCCTTCTCCTCTTTACATAGCATTTGGTTCAAAAATGAGGAATTTAAAGATGCCTCAATGTTCACCAAGGAGGCATCTGTGTCAGTGACTGGGAATGGTGGTGCACTGTGTTTGCCCCAAGCAACGGGTGTTTTCTAATTTGCCCAAAGGTGACATAAGGGCTAGCTGTGGTCTGGGGCAGCAGCACCCTAACATGTTAGCTCCTTAACATGAAGGATGTCAACAGAGAAAACTCTAGTACATAAATTCGAGTGGGCACTCTTCCTGGCAAAGATTTTCTTGTCAGCAGCAGGAAGAACGACCCATTACTTCTGCCTTTGCTACCACTCCTGATTCAGCTACCCTCTCTTGGGCTCCTACCAATGTGCTAGGAATATATGTGCTCTTTATACATGTGGCTTTTTACTTCTCATACGGGTATTTTTATCCCCATTATTTCAAAAAAAAGGAAATTGAGTCTCAGAAAAGCTCTGTAACTTGCCTAAATACACAGCTTGCCATGGGTGGAGTCAGGATTTGAACTCATGACTCCCTGACTCTGAGGTCAACATGTTAGGGGCCTCGAGCTGTCAGCTTTCCAGGGTCCCAGGAACATGAACGGCTCACAGATGAGGGGTCCACATTTATACACACACCCAAACATACATACGTGTTTAAATTGCAAAACATAACTTATATACAAAAATACATAAAATAAATTCACAAATACATAAATTATTGTAAAGAATACACCTTTCAACTTCCATTTAGGTCAGGAAACAGAACATGGCCAGCACCTGAGACACCCCCTCGTGTCCCTTCCAATGACCACCACAGCCTACTCTGACTCTTACAGAAATCACTTCCTTGCTTTTCTTTATTGTTTTATCACTTAAGTGAGTGTCCCCAAGCAGCACAGTTTCATTTTGCCTGTCTTTTGAACTTTCTGTAACTGCAATCATGCAGTGCAATTCAGCTATGCCTGGTTTCTTTCATCCAACAATGTGTGTGTGAGATTCATCCAGGTTGTCAGGTGTAGCAGTAGTTTATTTTCATGTATGTATACTATTTTATTATATGACTATTCTACCATTTATTTATTTCTTCTTCTTTTATAGCCCTTTGGGTTGTTCCAATTCAGGGTTATTATGAATACTGCTACTGTGACAATCTCTTATGTGTTCCTGGGTCATTATTGAGTATAGATCTGGGAATTAAATTTCAGGGTCGAAGGATGTGCCTATTTTCAGAAGATACTTGACCAAATGTTTACTAATGTCATTGACATTCCCATCAGCAATGTGGGACAATTCCAGTTACTCCTCCCCTTCACCAATACTCTGTGTTGTCAATCTTTGTAACTTTAGCCATTTTGGTAGGTATGTAATGATATTCCCTTGTGATTTCAGACACAATTTTTATGGCTATATTTATTCTGGTGAAGCACAACTTATCTTTCTCTGAGTGGATAGGACTCTGTGATATTGAGGGGAGCTTATTGCAGTACTCACCAGTCAGCTGGTGTCTGGGCATTTTGTACACACCACACATCACCCCTGTTTAAGCACAGAAGTACACAAGTGTTGAGGATTTCCCAGGCTGAGCTCTCTGCAACTTGCAAATAATGTTCTTGAAAAGTTGGCTTATGGGAAATCCACGTGGATGTCTGTGCTTCAGATCAACAAGCAGTCAAGCAGTGTGCACCTGGGCATGGATGGCAGCCCTGCTTCTTGAGGGTCCCCCATCCTCATCCCAGCTCTTCCTGTTTGTTGTCCTGGTGCCGTCAATCACCTAAGATTTCTGGGGGTGGCTAATGGTCATAGCTGACACTTTCTGGACATCTTTCTAGGCCTCAGTTTTCTCAACTGGAAAGAGGGGCTGTTGAGATGAGTGAATGAAATGGTGCATGCAAGCCCTGGGCTTGGTGCCTGGCATAGAATAGGTGCTCAGTCATGGGGCTGAGACTAGGGCGTGACAAGTGAGGTGCCTAAGGTACAAAATTTAAGGAGGCGCTCCCTGTCTGATGCCAAGCCTGCATTTGCAAGACCCTGTGAACCACTGCCTCCTTAAATTTCAGCTTTAGGCACCTTCATCCCTTCATCTACTCCCAACCCTGCTGGGTTTTGATGCTGTTGCTGATTCTCTGCCCTGGGCCTCACCCCATTCTGAGTCCTGCATTACTACTCATTATGAAACTTCAGGGGCTTCTAATACCAATTTGCTTGGTATTTTACACAACACTTATGAAACATGAAATAGAATGGAAGTTCATCTTACATAATAATTGAGTTGGGAAACTAAGGTTTCAGTTATACATACATATATGTGTACAAGTTCAGAGTGTGAAATGCATTTCTTACTGTGGGTCACAGTAAAAAGTTTAGAAAACTGCTGCTCTGTCAACCCTGCACCATCAACAGTGCCCAGAACACCACCCACTTTGTCCTCTGCCCCTGCTTCATCTGCCAAGTTAGTCCTGACCCTCAGGTATCCTGGACTGAGCACCCCACCCCTCTGAAGTCTGCCCTGCCTCCTGCAAGCAGAGGCCAGTTCCTGCTTCTTTGTGTTGCTGCCTTACATGCAACACGACAGTGAGACATCGGCGGTGGGGCCAGACGGCCTGGGTTCCAATCCCAGCCTGCTTCTTACTAGACATATGACCTGGGGCAAGTCACATGTGCTCTCTATTTCTCAGTTTCCCCTGTTTGTGAAATAGGGATAGCAACACCCACTGGTTGGACTGATGGAAGGATCAAATGAGTTAATACATGAGGGTGCTGAGACCAGCTGCTGGTGAGCTCTCATGGCGTGTTAGCAGTAGTTTTATTTACAGCTCAGGCCCTGGCGTGGGGACATTTCTTTGCCTTTCAATGATTTGTTTTCCTGTTTAACTGGTGTCCTGGACTGAGGCTCGTTGAAGGGAGAGTGTCCATCTGCTTAGAGTTTGTGGCTCTAGCTCCAAGCCCTAGGCCATGCACACGGTAGCCGTAGCCCAAGCCTCAGCCTTCCCCATGCTGAGTTTCCTCCATCCAGGACACACTGGGGAACCCAGGGTTTGTCTTGTGTCTGACTCTCCAGCAGTGCCCACTAGCATTTGCTGATCCCTTGGAACCTCCATGCACTTTGGGTCATCAACTGAGACTTCTGGGCCATGAACCTTTGGCAGGCAGGCCCTGGGCACCTGTGGGGAAGGAGGGTGAGGTGAGAACAACACAAGCTTTTGAGGCACTGTTTCCCCGTCCCCACCACTTTGTCACTTGTTGCTGCCCAGCTGGGTCAGATTTTATTGGAAAGATTGGAGTAACTCATAGGAATTACAATGCAGGGAGGGGAAGATGCAAAACTGCCCCATTCACAGGAATCCCACAGCTGTGGTCTGAATATTTGTCCCCTCCAGAACGGATGAATGCGTTATCATAGGAATGGGAGTCGTGGCTTTATAAGAAGAGGAAGAGAGACTGGAGTGGGCACGCTCAGCCCCCCTCCCCGTGTGATGCCCTGTGCCACCTTGGGACTCTGCAGAGGGTTCCCCCAGCAAGAAGGTCCTCACCAGATGCAGCCCTTTGGCTTTGGGCTCAGCCTTCACAGCTGTAAGAAATAAACTCCTTTTCTTTATGAATTACCAAATTTCAGATATTCAGGTATAAGCAACAGAAAACAGATCAAGGCACCCACAAATTCCCAAAGAAAGCCCAAAGAGGAGCTGGCTTCCTGGCTGTGGTGCCCTGTCCTTGGGTCCTCCCTTCCCTGAGAGCTGCCTCCTCCTTTAAGCCTTTTAGAGTTCATCTCTAGCCCCCATTGGGGAAGCACCATGATCTACTCAAAGGGATTGGCCTTGCCCTGGAATTAATCCACTTCCTTTCAGCAGCCAAACTGTAAACCTTGCAACTCATTTCCAGAGGCCTATCAATTTGTTGATGACTGACAAAAGGTGTATGTGTGTATGTGTGTGTGTTTTGGGGGAGACCAGAGGGTGTCTGAGCAGGACAATTTGGGGTAGAGCCATACCATGTCAGTTCTTTTTCCAGATTGCCCACCAAGGGAAGGTGTGAAGGGATGATCTGCCTATGGATCAGCATGTACACACAAGTACAAATGAACACACGCATGTAAATACACAGATGCTACATCCAATGTACAGTAGACATACACATCACACATATATCTTTACTTTTATAATACCATACACACAGCAAGAGACAAAGAAGTCAATACTAAATTCTGTGCCCATACACATATAACCACACATGCACACACATCTATGAAACATAAGTAAAAGCACGCACATGCTCAAATGCGAACCTCTTTCACTGACAAATAATAATTCTCAGAGATCAAACAGCTTAAAACATATTAAGGCATAAAGACATTTTCCTAAATGTAATTTCATCCTCACAGACTCCTGCCCTCCATGGGAAAAGCTTCTACAGCATTAATGAATGTGGTGTCAGTTTCTCTCTCTCTTTTTTCTTACTTTTTTTTAAAAAAGGGTTTAAAAATTATTTTATTTTAAATTGAGAAATAATAATTGTATATATTTATGGGGTACAGTGTGATGTTATGATGCATGCACACATTGTGGAATGATTGATTCATGGTAATTAACATATCCGTCACCTCACATACTTATCATTTCTTTGTGATGAGAACATTTAAAATCTACTCTTTTAGCAACTACGAAATACACAATATATGATCAATAACTAGTCACCAGGTTGTGCAATAGATCACTAGAACTTACCCATCTTGTCTAACTTTTAACCCTTGTTTGGCCAGCCCCAGGTTACTCTTTGGAACCCATTTGCATAAGGAACTGGGGCTATTTCAGAGCCCTTGACCCATTTATGGCTTCACAATAACTAGATAGAAGTTTTGATATTAACTCTCATCCGCCTCTCAGGACGACACACCTCCAGAGCACAGCGTTCTCTTGAGGGTGGAAGGGAGGGAGGCAGGGTGAGGATTTATGATCCACCTGTATGGGCAAAGCCTTGGGGTTCCTGCTTCTATTACATAGTCACTAAAGCTTAGAGGAATAAATGAGTAAATGAATCATATTGCAGAGGGTTTTGGAATCCAACAGACATGGGCTACAGTCCTTGTTCTGTATTTGTGTCAACTTGGGCAAGTCGCTTAATCTTTAGGAGCCTAAGTCCCCCACCTGCAAAATGGATATCATAATACTGCATTCATTAGAATAAAGAGGAAACTGTAGTAACAAAACAAAGAGACACCAAAAGACAGTGCCTCAAGAAGGGCATGTCTAATTCCCTCTCATGTATCCGTCCTGGGAGAACAGCCAAGGTCGATGGAGAAGTTCTGTCCGTGCGTTATGCCAGGACCTGGGCTCTTTCCATCTTGTTGCTCCACTTCCCCTAGGACATTGTCTTCATGTCCATGGTCAAAATCAAGTGATCACCACGTTTGCACAGGAGTGGGAGGGAGATGATAGAGATAGAGCTAAAGATAGAGACAGAGATAGAGATGGATAGAGACAGAGACAGAGAGAGATAGAGATGGAGATGGAGATGGAGATGGAGATAGAGTCAGAGATGGAGATGGAGATAGAGATATCGCAGCAAGGGGCTTGCCTTTGGAGTTGAAAATGACCCCAAAGTTGCACACATGGCTTGCAATAACATCCCATTGACCTAAATGTAGTCACTCAAGGTGCCTGAGAAATGCAGTCTAGTGGGGCAGCTACAACTCCCTTCCTATGAAAGAAGGGAAGATTGCTCTTTGGTGGATAACTAGTTGTCTCATCAAAAATAGCTACATCAGATGGCTGTAGTGAGAACTAAGTCATGTAATATGTATAACATGCAAAGCATAGGACCTGCCACTCCATCTGCATTTGAGAAATGGGAGCTATTATTTAATCATTTCAAAAGAATTCTTTTAGGGTGAATGTTATAATAATGTAATCAGAGTGCACATTTTCTTGGTACTTTAGTGGGGCAGGGTGGTATGGAAAAAATAAAACAACTCAGCTATAAATGAAATGTTTGGACAAGATTCAGGAAGTATATAACCTAGAAGCCAAAAGCCTTTCGTAGGATGTGACACCTGCTCCAGGTACCTCCCAAGGTGGAGTTGTGGATGAAGCATCGACTCAGATGAGGTGTCCCTCAGATGAGGCCTAGGATATAAGGATTTTGCAATGGCTGGTGGCAACCTGTGACTTGGTTCTCATGCCACTGGCAGATTCTGCCCGTCACATTCAGGAGGAAGTCTTCAGGACTGGGAGAAAAGCAGCAGGACATGCAGTACTCATGGGATACCTGTGTCTAGTCTTAGCCCTGGGCAAATCACCTCACCTTTCTGCGATTCGTTTTTGTCCATGAACAAAGTGGGGACCCAAATCATGCTTACCCTACGGGGTGGTCATGAGATGAAGCAAGATAATGGGTATGCTGTAAGCTCTGAAGGGCTCTGCAGATGTGAGGAATTAGGGTAATTAACTCAAAGTAGGGGAAATCCATCACCAGCAGTCAGGTGTGTCCCCCAGCCCCCACTGGGGCTCATGTGGTGGGTGGGTGGAGCCCACGTACCTGTCCAAGAGAAATGCCTACCCATTCCCCTGGGAGTGGCAACGAAGCTGTCAGTCTTAATCAGAACTTCCTTTCTGCAAGCCTCTTCCTTCATGTCATAAACTTGGCACAGTTCAAACCTCTGCTTCAAGAGTTATTTTCTTTGAGTTTCACAAGTTGTCTTTTACCCGGAGGAGACAGAAGCCTCCACATTTCTTTCCACCTGGAAATCACCACTGTTCTGAGGCTGTCCTTGTTTCTCTGCTAAAGACATATTTGTATATCTACACCCCACAATTTTCCCATCTAACTTTCATTAAAGTTAATTGGCATCACAAGATTAAGACAGGCAGCAAGAGACAAAGAAGTCAGTACTAAATTCTGTCTAGCCAGGTGGCTGGGAAAGTGACAAACTTCTGGAGGAAGGGACCACACCAAGTGTGAGTCCCAGGCTGCTGGCTTGCATCAAGTGTCTTCAGAGCAAGCTGCAAAAGTGTGCTCTGTACCCCCATGTTTATTGCAGTGCTAGTCAAGAGAGCCAAGATACGGAATCAACCCGGTGTCCAACAGCAGATGGATGCATAAAGAAAATGCAGTATACATACACAGTGGAATACTATTCAGCCACAAAAAAGGAAATCCTGTCATTCAAAGCACCATGGATGGAAGTGGAGGGCACTATATTAAAGGATATAAGCCAAGAACAGAAAATTAAACACCACACGTTCTCATTCATAGGTGGAAGTTAAGAAAAGTTGATCTCATAGAAGTAAAAATTAGACCAGAGGACACTAGAGGCTGGGAAGGGTAGGGGAAGGGAAGTTAAGGAGAGATTTGTTAAGGGACACAAAATTATGGCTAGATAGGAGGAATAAGCTCTAGTGTTCTATACCTCTGGAGGATGACTGTAGTTAACATTAAGATATCCTATAGTTTCAAATAGCTAGAAGGAGGATATTGAATGTTCCCAATACAAAAAAGGATAAATGTTTGAGATGATGGATATGCTGATTACCTTCACCTGATTGCCAAATATTATATGTATAGAAACATCACTAGGTACCTCACAAATATATACAAATATTATGTCAAAAATTAAAATAAAATTTAAAAGTGCACTTTGGATAGAGCCACAGCCTAGAATCCATGTGTGAGAAGGGAATTAGACATCTTCCCTCTTCACTTAAACTGGCCTGAAGGATATTCTCACCCTTTTCTCTCTCTCGCTCTCTCTTTTTTTTTTTTTTTGAGATGGAGTCTCGTTTTGTTGTCCAGGCTGGAGTACAGTGGCGTGATCTCGGCTCACTGCAAGCTCCGCCTCCCTGGCTCAAGCAATTCTCCTGCCTCAGCCTCCCGAGTAGCTGAGACTACAGGCATGTGTCACTATATCTGGCTAACTTTTGTATTTTTAGTAGAGATGGGGTTTCATCATGTTGGCCAGGCTGGTCTCAAACTCCTGACCTCAGGTGATCCACCTGCCTCGGCCTCCCAAAATGCTGGGATTACAGGCGTGAGCCACTGTGCCTGGCCCCTTTCTCTTTTTTATGGTAGTTGAAATAGTTAATTCACATTGCAGTTGTGACAGTAACTATTCATTGGGCATCTCCTGTGCTCCTCTCTGGGTTGGGGGCTGGACCCGCACTTGGGTTTCCACAGCGGCTGTAGGAAAGCTGGGGTTACCTGCATTTTACAGATGAGGAAGCCGAGGCTCAGAGACGTTTCATGGTTTGCCTGAGACTGCACAGACCAGTAGAGGGCAGAGTGAGGGTTTAAGCCCCAATCTATCGCGCTCCACAGCCAGGACACCAGCCAGTGGGGTGAAAGCGGGAAGGGAAGAGAAGACCTTATCTGGTGTCACGTCACTTGGAGATACCTTCCCAGGAAAGCTGTCTTTGGGCTGGCTGGACCTCCAGGCTTCCCTCTGTCCAGGGCTGATGTTTGCAGGGTCTATGAAAGGCTGGCTCAGGCCATCCTGGCTCAGCCCTTCTGTATCCTGCTTCAGGCCCTGGGCTCTCTGGAGCACAGAGTCCACAGAATCCACTGGCTTGTCACCCTCTTGGGAACAGGACCCATTTAACATGCAAACACTCCAAACATTTTCCTATCTGTTTAGTGTCTTAACTGAAAAAAGCAAAATGATTAAAAAGGTACTTTTGATTTAATAATGCAAGAAAATAGGCCTGTATTTTATTCATCATGACATCTAGGTAAATTGGCAATAATGGTACAGATATCATAGACAATTCACAGAGGAAATCCAAATGGCCAGTAAGTATATGAAAAGATGATCAATCTCACTGGTAATCAGGGAAATGCTAATTAACAATAAGACATGATTTCATTCATTAGATAGGCAAAAATTAAAAGTCTAATGTTATCTAGTGATGCTCAGGGTATGGGGAAATGTTTACTTTCATTTATTTTCTGTTCAGGGGAGTATAAATCAATGCAGCCCATTTGGAGGGGAATATAGTAGTGATTATTAAAACACACACACACACACACTGTGGCTTAGCAACTTCACTTCTTGATAACTCTTCCAGTGTACAAGGTGAGATACACATTGAATCACCATATGAAATAGCAAAACCACTGGAAATAAGTTAAATATCAATAGAGGCATGTTTACACGAATAACAGAATATTCATACAATGGAATACTAGGCAGCCATTACAATGAATTAACAGATCAATATGTGCTGAAAAAGAAAGATTTCCAAGGCATATTGTTGAGCAAAACAATAGTATCCCCTGTGATATTATGTGGCAGCCAAGAGAATGAGCCTTGTACACCCCTAGGGATCATAACTGATGGAGGGTCCTAATTGCCGCACTTTGAGATCCATCGCTGCGTCTGAGTCTAGGCCATGCCTCCCATGGGCTGCTGGCTGGCAGTGACTGGATGTGGGAAGGATGATACTAAAGCAACCCTGTCACTAGAAGAAATGGGACTCCTTTATCGGCCAACTTTGAGCCCAGAACTCTCGGGTGCAGTCTAGAATGATTCCACCTACCTTCCATTACCCTTTCTTCACTCCGGGAGACCACACTCCATTGTGGTCTGCTGGTTACCCCAGGGTTGTCCTTATTTCTTGTCTGTTTCCTCCCTATATGTCTCCTTCCTTGTTTTTTCTCATACAGGATTTTTCCTTAATAGGATTCTTACACATTTAATCCAGTTTTGATGTCTACTTCTGTGAAGGCCCCGGGTTATGCATGCTTTGAATGCAGTGGTTCTTAAACTTCAGTGAGCACTGAATCTCACAAATGGTTCTCAAACTTTAGTGAGCATTAGAATCACTTACGGGAATTTATAAAACCCAGATTGCTAGACCCCACCCCTGCAGTTTGTGATTCAGTAAGTCTACGGTGGGACCTGGGAATTTACATTTTCACAAGTTTTGTGGTAATGCTGATGGCAAAGGACTACAGTTTGAGAACCACTCTGTTAACGTATAACACACACAATTTTAATATTTGTATAAGTTTGCCTATGTATGTAAATTTGAAGAAAAATATCTGGGAAGCAACAGAGCAAAGTGAAAATGGTGTCTTTCTCTAGAGAGGTCAATGGGATTAAAGTCAGCATGTTATGTTGGCTAAAGCATGAACTCTGAAGTCACACATCCTGGGTTCAAATCCCAATTTTATAACATGCTATCTGTGGGGCCTTAGACATGTTCTTAACCACCCCATGCCTCGGGTTCTCATTTGTAAAATGTTGATAGTTATAACACCAATCTCTTGAGTTGTCTGGAGGAGAATATGAATTAATACATGTAAAGCACTTAGAACTTTGCATGTTTAGCACTTGTCCTATACCTCTCGTTTATAGGAAGCACACTGTAAATACTTATTTTATTTTTTAAATGAAATGCTGGTAACTGGTTCTTTAACTCTATCAGTTTGATTTTTTTTACAAGAATTGGTAATGTGTTACTCATATAATTAAAGCCTTTAAATAAAAAGAAGAAAAACAGTTGTGCATACTTCTGTGTACAAGGCATATTCTATATTCAATCTACATGCAATGTTTGGTGAACGAATGAAGAACAGATTCCTTGCAAACTTCTTTCCCACCTTCCATCCCTTTGCAGGCCCTAAACTCAAAGTTATGAGCCTTTATTTTATTGATATATTTATTTATTTATTATTTCAATTAAAAAATATATAAATAAAATAAAGGTGGGACAACAGGTGGGTTTTTTTTGGTTACATGGATAAGTTGTTTCTGAGATTTTGGTGCATCTGCCACCTGAACTGTGTACACTGTACCCACTGTGTAGTCTTTTGGCCCTCACCACCCCCCTTAAGTCCCCAAAGTCCATTATGTCATTCTTTTGCCTTTGCATGCTCATGGCTTAGCTCCCACTTATCAGTGAGAATAGACGATATTTGGTTTTCCATTCCTGAGTTACTTCACTTAGAATAATGATCTCCAATTCCATCCAAGTTACAGCAAATGCCATTATTTCATTCCTTTTTTATGGCTGAGTAATACTCCATGGTGTACATATGCCACATTTTCTTTATCCACTTGTTGGTTGATGGACATTTAGGATGGTTCCACATTTTTGCAATTGTATATTGTACAGCTATAAATATGTGTGTGCAAGTGTATTTTTCACATAATGACTCCTTTTCCTCTGGGTAGATATCCAGTAGTGGGATTGCTGGATCAAATGGTAGTTCTACTTTTAGTTTTTAAAGACTCTCATACTGTTTGTCATAGTGGTTGTAGTTGTTTACATTCCCACCAGCGTTGTAAAAGTGTTCCCTTTTCACTATATCCACACCAACATCTATTTTTTTTTTTTTTATTTTTAAATCATGGCCATTCTTGCAGGAGTAAGGTGGTATCACATTGTAGTTTTAATTTGCATTTACCTGATATTTAGTGATGTTGAGCATTTTTTCATATGTCTGTTGGCCATTTGTATATCATCTTTTGAGAATTGTCTATTCATGTCCTTTGCCCACTTTCTAATGGGATTGTTTTTTTTTTTCTATCTAGTTATGAGCCCTTAAATAAGGCAACTGCCACTGCTTTGTTGGCCAAATTTAAAAAAATTAGTGTAACCCAAATACAAATAAGGCCCTGCATGGCCCAGTCCGTACAGAGTCAGAATCGAAGAAGCACAATCCTTTGGCCAAAACTAATTAAAAATGAATTCCCCAAACACACAGAAATATTAAAGGAGAGCCATTGAACAACCTCAACAACAGTTCTTAAAAATCCCTCTCTCTCTTCCTCCCCAGTTCTTCTCAAACAGTTGTTTGGAGTTTTCCACATTCCAGTCTCTCTGCACTCCACTCGCCCAAAAAGCTCTTCCTGATTGGGAACTAGTTTTTCCCTTTTCCTGCCCTCTCTCCTACTCCCAAGTTCTTTAAGATCTATATTGATGTATTCTCTCTGGGTTCTTTGTATTTCGATTTTTACTTCCCCATTCCTGAATTCAGCACACAAACAAAAGCCGAGATTAGCCCAAGAAGAGAGATTTCTCCCAACTCCCCATTTCACTATTCCTCTAACAATTTTTCTGCATTTGCAACCCAGAAAGCCCAGGGAAAGCCTGGGTGTACTTGCCTGTTAACAGCGGAGGTCCCTGTCACACTGGATTCATCAAGGAATCAGTTTAATTAAGCCTGTAGTGCTAACAGACCTCCTGTTTTTAAAAGGAGACACTGCTGCTATAAGAAGTTCCCTTTTCCTGGGCACATAATCCTATTTTAACATTGCGCTATTGGCCATGAAACCTTCCTGCATTAGGCAGATTATCAAGTAAATCATGTACCACTTATCAGGAGAAGGGTGATCAAGAAGTGAGAAGTTGGAAGAACCTCCTTTTTTAAAAAGAATTTTTGGTTTGTTTTTCCAAATTTCTTTATATATTGATTTATTTAACAGTTATTTTCTGAATCTTAAGCTAAAGGATACGCATATGTTATCTCGTTCCCTCCTTGCTTGCTACTCCAGCTACGAAGTTGCCATTTTTCATAGGAATAACCTGGGACTCAGGGAAGTCAAATAACTTGCTTACGGTCACTCAGCTCCTAAGTGGCAGAGCTTCTGTGATCTTTTCACTGTAGTAGCTATTTTGCTACAGTAGGAAGTAGCGAAGTTCAGCTCCATTGTTCACTATCTCTATGAGATTAAAAATGTTTCTTAATATCTCTAAGCCTCACTTTTCTCATCTGCAGATAGGGTTGTAAATACCTAGCTGAGGGACTTTTTATGGAAATTGAATTAATTTACAGACATGAAAGTATTTAGCTCAGCACCTAATCCACTGTAGGTATACTGCAAGTTTTCTGGTGTATGTATTCGTTTTTACAGAAGGAAAACCATGGCCAACATGACTGGCTGATTTTGTAGGTTAGGTCACTTCCTACTCATCACAACTCCCTTCTAGCTTATCTTTTCGTATTGTAGATGCCATCAAGCTAAAAACAAAGCAAAATAAAGCTCCATTTCCCAGACTCTTTTGCAGCTAGAAATCTGCATATGATCTGAATTCTGTCAAGTAGGTGTACCATGCAAATCTTGGAAGTGAAGTGAGCAATAGCAGTTGGTCGCTATGCACAGGAAGATCAGATGTGAGGGCAGGGTGGTGTAGGCATCTGTTAGAGCTGGCTAGGGTGGAGTTCCTGCAGCCCATTGCTCAGCATCATCAGTTCTGAAGAGTAGGCCACAGGGACCTTGTGTTTCACAGTATAACATGGTCCCATGGTGTGGGTTGCTATTTCTCCCAGCGAAGTGGCCCCTTCGCTGCGATATTGCTTGTGGCATTTGAATCTGGTTTCCCAGCCCACCTAGAGATTCTATGATCTGTATAATCCTCCTTAAGAAATCTTTTTCTATAAATCATTCTACTGTAAAGACACATGCACACGCATGTTTATTGCAGCACTATTTACAATAGCAAAGACTTGGAACCAACCCAAATGTCCATCAATGATTGAATGGATAAAGAAAATGTGGCACATTTACACCATGGAATACTACGCAGCCATTAAAAAGAATGAGTTCATGTCCTTTACAGGCACATGGATGAAACTGGAAGCCATCATTCTCAGCAAACTAACACAGGAACAGAAAACCAAACACTGCATGTTCTCACTCATAAGTGGGAGCTGAACAATGAGAACACATGGACACAGGGAGGGGAACATCACACACAGGGGCTTGTTGGGGGGTGAGGGGCAAGGGGAGGGATAGTATTAGGAGAAATACCTGATGCATGCAGGGCTTAAAACCTAGATGTTGGGTTGATGGGTGCAGCAAACCACCATGGCACATGTATACCTATGTAACAAACCTGCATGTTCTGCACTTGTATCCCAGAACATAAAGTATAATTAATATTTTTTAAAAAAGAAATCTTTTTCTGCTCAAATTGACTAGCATAGATTGCTGTTGTCGAAAACTAATATTCAAAGACTGACATGGTATCATCTAAGAACATGGAACTGGAAATGTCACCCTTTAGTGTCCAAGTTGTCTACTGGCATGTGACCAGCATTCTGAACTAACATATTTTTAAATACATAGTATGGTTCCAGGTGGCACTATCAAGGCAAGGAACAAAAGACTGATGGGGGAACAAAAAGAGTTTCTGAGTTTTCTCTTGATTTTTATTTTATGAATTATTTTAACTATCTGTAGTAATTTCACACTAACAGTCCTGATGCACCAGGAAATGCTGACTATAAAGGTAACAGGGACATTTGAAAATTTAAAACCCAAATTATAATTCTGCAAAACAATGAAGTCAATTTCCAGGTCCCCAACAGCAAATCATATCTATGGTTAGCAACTGGTATTGTTCTTATTACTGGTTAAATGGAAAACCAAAATACAATATTTAGACAAGATTAACAAAGATTCTGCACGATGAAGAGATAGCATAGAACATCTCACAGCAAGCTAGAGAGAATAAGGTATTCAGTCAAAGAGCACCAGCTTCCCGTTCTGCCATGTGCTCAGTGACTCTGGACAAGTTAAGGGCAGAATATCTACATAGCTTACTTTACTGTGTGGTGAAAATTAAATGAGACAATGCCTGGGAATGGGCCTACCACATAATAAATATTCAACTCATGATGGATACTTCTTGTTTTCCTTTTACCTATTTCAGTAAATAGAGCGGTATAGCACAATCAGTTGCTGCACTTCTGAAATATTCTATGTGCATTGAATTTTGAAATATCAAGTAAGACTTGATCTATGTCAGGGGGAAACCCATTGTAAAACTTTTTTTTTTTTATTTTGCAAAATGAAGCTCTTTTTGTGATGTGGGCAGCTCTTCATGTAATTTCTTAGCTTTCTAAGTTTGGATTTTTGCCTGAAGTTTCATATTTTGTGTAAGGACAGGGCACCCTTCTCTCTCAAGCTTCAAAATAAGGATGGCCTTAGGAATGCTTATTGTGGTTAGTCACTCTAAATGGGTTTACAGACATCAGAGCCTGAGGGTGAGGGAACCAGGCTGATGAAATGAGAACCACACCCAACATCTGTTCCTCGGTGGCAGCTTTAAAGGAATCTGCTTTACTTACATGGGTACCTGTGAGCAATAGGTAGAAATCTGCCAGGGTGTTGGTCTGTGTCTCTGAAACCCTCCACTCCTCTTCCATGTCACCCATTCTATCTCCCACAGTTTTCAGTCCTCTGTTAAGCTCTCTACGACCACACCAGATGGTCACCTCCACCATTGTTAATTCTGGTGATCAGTTTTCCACATGTCCTCCATCTTGACTTGTCACTGCCTTCATGTAAGATGCTGTTACTGCCTTCTCGCTTCATGCAGTAGATTAGATTAAGACCAGACTCACTCCAGGCACACTCTGCCTTGGTCCTTGGGATGTGCTGGGGAGAGGCATTGGATACTTTCTCTAAAGTACTGTGTGGTAGAGACCAGTGGTTTTCTTCCAATGTGCAATTTCCCTTCCTACCACAAAGACTACATTTCCAAGCCTCCCTGGCAGCTAGGTGTGGTCATGTGACTAAGTTCTGGTCTTTAAGAAGTAAGAGGGTTTTCTGGAAAATATCCTTAGGAGGAAGAACATGCCCTTTCCATCCCCTTCCCTCCACTCCTTCTTCTTTTTCTCTGGATAGCGCTAAAGATGTGATGGCTGGAGCTGTGGCAGCCAGTTAGGACCATGTGGAAGAAGGCACTGCTGGCAATGACAGAGCAACAAAGTATGTGAAGCCCGGGATTCTGATGATCATGGAGGTGAGGCGCTAGTTCTGGACTGTTGACCTGTGGACTTCATGTATGTAAAAGACAAATACATTTCTTTCTCATCAAAGTCACTATTATTTTCAGTTTCTTGTTGCTAACAGTTGAACCTAATCCTAATTGGTGTACAGACAGAAACTCTACCATGCTAGGGGGTAAAAGACCACATGACCAGAAGCCTGGAGGTAGGATTTTATCCACCACCCATCACTCATCTTGAGAATCACAGCACTCACCTGCTTTCCCATCTATAAAAGGGGCAGAAAAAATGGTTCTTAATTTATTTTGAGTTACAGAACTCTGAAAAATGTTGCTTAAATCTGTGGGTCATCTCCTAAAAAAATACAGATAGATACAAATATGCAAAGTTTTGCAGAGGATATCAGGAGATTCCTTGGAGACCTCTGTAGCGAGTTGATGAATTCCTTATTGGTCTAAGCACCAGATTAGAACCAGAACTCAAGAAAATCTTTCAGCTTTAGGAACAAATCAACACTCTCATTTTTTGGTTGTACATTATTGTTTTAAAATACTTTTCAATTCCTTTCAACTAGGAACAAAATCAAAACACATCTGAAAAAAGACACAATCCCAAATCTCCTAACAGAGTACATTTCTGGGTCTTATATCTATATAATATATACCCATATATAAAAGTACATCATATGTAAATATATACTACAATTATATGTGTGTATTCATGTCTGTGCATATGTATATCCATGCACATATATTTACATACACATGTATATGCATGTATATATGTTCACATACACATACACGCAATAGATATACATATATAATATAAAAATTGTATACATATAGTTAAGGGTTTTTTTTTGGCTTCAAGGCATTTAGGTAGATATGTGATAAGCCAGAAACCTTCTGCATCTGCCAGCCTGGAAAGGGTCCTTGTCACTGTGTTAGTTCCAGTCCTTAAACTTTCAGGTCAGCTCCTACTTGGCACCTTTCTGGCTAAGTCAGGAGGCCACAGCACCAATGGATCACACATGCTGAGCGGCCCCTTGAATAAAGCCAGCACTTTGGGTCTGGGGTGCATGGAGGAACTAGTGAGACAAGCTCAGCCCTGAAACTGCCTGCACTTACTCCTTCCTTAGATAAGCAGTGGTAAATCCCTGCCACCGTCCCTCCAAGGTGCTTCCAGTAGCACTGCTATTAAGTGACCACTGAAGGTAAATAAAGAGCGAAAGAAAGAGGGAAGGCCAAGGAGGTGACTTAGATGACCACATTTTGCCACTTAGAGGTTACCCAGCTTTTGCAAAACTCTGTCTTCCTTGTTTACTTAGCTGTTTCTACACGTGAACAAATGGACCTTTTAAAAAAAATAAAAGCTGAGTAAGAGGCTTAGCTGTATCCTTAGACCCAAGTTTTCCACAGGTTAGATTAGCTATAAATTAACCAGTCTGCAAAATATATAAATAAATAAATTGCTTTGTCTGAGCTATCTCCAGTAGGGCTCTGCCTGCTTGTTATGAAGCCTGGTGGCCGTTCCACTGCCCAGTGCTTTTATAAATACTAATGAGTGACATATTGAGAAAAATTGTACCTACAAAAGCAAAGTCTTCTTCCATGCAAATCAGGCCCCAATTCCCCACAGATAAGGATCTTTTTGATGGAACACATGCAAAATCTCCAGCTCTTAATTCTTTCATTAGTATTCCAGGCAGATGGCTGCCAAATAACAGAGAAAACTGTCTGAATTGCTGTGTCTGAAACCTAATATTGATTTGTTTAATAGTGTCAGGAAGTCAAAATTCACAAATCTCCTGTCGATTGTTTATGAGGCAGTTAGCAGAGAATTGGTTGCCCCTGCTTAATTAATAACTCATTACTGAAATTTGATTATATGCTTGAATGCTTTAAATGGGTTCTAACACAGCGTCTGCAAAGTGGCGTAACGACAAGGTAAGGCAGCTCAGGAAGCTTCTCTATTTAGACTTGTGCCATTAGAATTTCCCCACAGTCATACAACACCGGCCTCTGGTGACTTTCCTCCTAGAGGCAACCTCCCTGGTGTTAGCATGTTGGTTTAAAAGGTGTTTTGGGGTCCCCTGGACTGAAGAGAGGGGGGTCTAAAATTTGGGGTGGAGACATTTCTAAAAAAAACACTAGACGCGGACACATCTGCGGTATTATCTGTGGGTGCACAAATTCTAAGGTAGGAGTTCTGACGGAGGGGATTAGCTGGTGACAAGATTGACAACATTCTATTATTCAAGTGTTGTTTTGAAAAATGACAATTCAGCATGGCCAGTCACCCCATGTGGACAGACTGGCAGGATCAGAGCTGAGGGTGTTCCTGGCATTATCTGACCTTGTACTCTGAGGCTGGGGGTCTCTGGGGGAGGCTCTCACGGTTCCACACAGCCCAGTGCCAGGGACAGATGGGGAAAGTTAAAGTGACATCAGAGGATGAGCATGCCTCTGCTGTATCTCCAGATTAAAACACGAATGCCTTTGAGAGATAATGCCCTCCAAAGGTCTGGCATGGGCATGCCAGGCACTGCCATGGGCTGGCAAGGGCACTGCCCTCCTGACCAACTTATAGCCCCCACCCTGCTGCCCCACCCATCAGAAAACTGGCTTTCACCAGGGATCAACTCCAGCCCAGGCTGAGTCTGGGCAACTCTGAATCCCCTTCTATTTTTGTTTTAGGTTCAACCAAGGGGAGAAAGCAGAAGGAAGGGGCTTCCTAGCTTTGCCCCTTTTTGTATCCTGCTGAAAGCTGTGGCAGGGGTTGAGTGTGAGGAGGCATGGGGACATGAATGAGTTTCCCCTCTGCAGCATTTGCCTTGAGTGGAGGATGGGGTAAACTTCCCAGTGTAGCCCAGAAAAAAATCTAGCTCACAGTGGCTGAAGACTGTTGACTTAACAGCTATACAGGCACCTGCAGACACAGGTTGTATGACGGGAGCGCATCTGTTGAATGCTGTTGCAGTTATGTCACAGGCAAAATAGGACTTACTGGGCTAGTCTGTGCCCTGGTCACTGTGAGTGCATCATTTTAGAACATCATTATTTTGGAAAAAAGGAAGGACCACATTCTAAATTCCAAACAGCTGACTCATGAGCGGACTTTTGGAAGCCACCAACCCTTTGTCATTGAGAGCTGCCTGATCGCAGGGTCACACAGAGGTGTATAAAGGCCGGACTTCAGGCAGTCATGTGAGCATGCTCACAGAGGCCGAGTCGTGTGGCAAGCCTCGTGGAGAAGTCTGCAGGCTTCTTGCTCCTAAGAAGGTAAGGAGCAGCTCAAGGCGGTATACAATAAAGCCCCAGGTGAAGGGACTCACAATACAGTTGGAAGATTTCAGAAGGAGAGGTCACTGCCAGCTGGTAGGGCCAGGGAAGGCTCCTGAGAGGAACCAGAATGGGGCCTTGAAGTTTGGGTCAAATTTCACCGGGGGAGGGGGGCATTCCAGGCGGGCACAGAAGTGGGCTGGTCAAAGGCAGGTTTCAGGACGGCGACTGGCCAGGCCGGCTGGAAAGGAGGGTAATATGACCAGCTTGTCTCCTGCCTGTGGTCTTAATTGAACCAGTCAAGCTTTCAAAATGAACAGTTGATCATTTGATTAAGAAGGGCCTTTGACTCTTTCAAGACCCGCGGAGACTGATTTTTATCAAAGTGGATCAGAAAGGTTTGCGTGGAGGAATGCTGACCAGATTTGGGAGGGAGGTTCCTTGCCGCTCTTACGGGCCAGCCTGAACGTCTCTTTCTCAATGAAGTGTTCTCAGCTGGGTGGGCGTCCAGGGCTGAGGCCGGAAATTGCCGCCCAGTTTAGGGTGGCTGGGTCCCAGGGCAATGCTTGCATTTGCTGGTGACAGGAACTTTATCAAGTCCTGCTTCAAAGGTAAAACCTGGGCTTCTCCCAACAGCCTCCAATCAGGAATGCCTCCAAATGCTTCCACTTGGCTTAAACAGCTCCAGTGCAAGGAAAGGTTGCTGCTGGTGTCTGCCATGAAACCAATTTGTCAAAATGCTATTAAGAATTTTCAGTTATACAAAAAAAAAAAAAAAAAGAAGGAAAGAAAAAATAGAGTCAACTTTTTAAAACTCTAATTTATTATGCTTGATTACGCAGCTGGAATGGGAAGGTAGCTGCTGTTTGTAGTTAAATAACTCCTCACAATTTCTTAAAGAAATGATCTTCAAAGCTTTAACGGGTCAATGGCTCAAGTACAAAGGAAAGATTGATTTTCATCCTCCCACCCTTTGTTCCCAGAGTTTAAAACAGACACGTTTGGGTAAATTAGTTTGTCTGTGTTATTAATGGAAGAAGTTATTAAACTCCCATAAATATACGGTGGTATCTCGCTTAAAAGGCCAAATTTGTTTTAAGGGAAAAAAGTAAGAAAGAAAATGTGGAAAAGCACAGAATGTCTATTAGTTATTCTTATTTCTTTTCTAGATGTGAATTTGGAGTAGTGAGCTGGAGAAGCAGCTGGCTCTAGATTTATCCCCCAAGTGGTGGGATAAATGCCCGAGGAAGGAGACCCCAGCACGTTGAAAAAAAAAATCATCGTATTTGATGAAAAGCATTCAGAGGCTGGATTGTAGTAGGGGTAGAGGTACATAGAAGGAGAAGGGTGCAGGAAAGATATTCTTTCCACTGCCAATGAGATGATAAAGGACTATTCAGCTTTTAAACCTCAGGGGCTGGTGAACATTTGTTGGCTGAAGGTAGAAGGGTTTTATCTACTCAAGGCACCTTTTTGGGAGAGGGGATCAGAGATGACTCACCCAAGTGAGGGAGGCAGCCCCTAGCCCACATCCTAGGCCAGAATGTAGGGGAGACGCAGCTGCAGGAGCCACCTGTGGGGGACTGCACCCAAATAGCTGGAGGTCTGAGGCACTAGTGTGCTTATAAGGGTAATTCTCCAACTGTGTCCACACTTAACAGCTTATAAACCCTGGGGTTCCATATCTCCTTTGAATCTCACAGTGACCCTGAACAAGGCTTGTGATCCTCCTTTTGCAGATGGTGAAAGGCAAACACAAAGCATTTTGGTTTTGCCCCTGAGTAGAAAAACAAAACACAGAAAAGCATTTGGAAAGCAGAGAAAAGTGAAAAAAAGAAAACCGTAGTTACCACCAGATGACAGTTAGTGTTTTGGGTTCTTTCCTTTTAGACTTTTTTCAGTGACCGTACACACCCATGCTCACGAGCAGACCCACGCTTGCACATACAAAAAGGCACACACAAACGCACATGCACACACACACACACATGCAAACACACACGTGTGTGCACACACACAAATGCACACTCACATACCCACTGAGTGCTCAGTGTGCCAGGGACTGTCATAAGTGCTTTTTACATACTCATTCATTTACGTTTCAAAACAACTGTGTTAGGTAGACACTATTACTACCTACATTTTACAGAAAACTGGCACAGAGAAGTTTTCACTTGCCCCAAGACACACAGATAGTGGAGGTAGGAGTGGGTAAGGATTGAGTCCAGACAAACCAATTGGCTCCAGCCCCCGACCTGTGTTCCTAACCACTCTGCATTTGGCCTCTGCACACATCTGTGGAATTATTTAATATGGGTGAAATCATATCATAGCCACAGTATTGCATCCTGCCTTTTTTCCATTCAGTATTGCCTCATGAGTGTCTCTGATGCCATTGCAATTCTTCTAAAATGATTTTCGGTGGCTGCACCACCAGATGGAGACGTTTTGGCTAGAGTTAACTGCCTTACATGGGACCCACAACCCAGGATTAGAACCAGGTCCTCTGGCTCAGAGTTCAGCACTCTTCCCCTTATACACTGTTGAGATGGTCACAAAACAAAACAGAGAAAAAGCATGAATCCAAAAGTCGCCAAGATAAGTTGTCAGATCTGGAAGTGGCCCTAGTACCTGTTAGCTTTGGGCTAAGACTCTTTTTGTTACCCCAGTTGACCTCATTTTAAACTCTGTGTGAGAAATTAATTTTTGAACTCAAGACCAGGAAAACCTCTGTGTCCCCTGAGAAGCTGATATGCTTCTTTTCTTTCCTCCTTCATAAATGACTATTTTTCTCTTTTCACTTTTGCCACCAGGAAGCTCAGTGTTAAATCTGAAGCTAAACTGAAGAAACTATGTGGTCTCTTACGACTGGTTGCCACAACAGATGTTGCCAGGTGTCCTTGGATAGTGACCTCCCATATGAAGCCACTTTCCTCTGATCAGGCCTGACAGCTTCACACTGTGGAGGGAGCTGAGAACAATAATCTTTCAAGGAACAGAAAACCAGACGCCACATGTTCTCACTTATAAGTGGGAGCTAAACAATGAGAACACATGGACACAGGGGGGGGAACAACACACACTAGGGCCTGTTGGGGGTGTGGGGTCAGGGGAGGGAGAGCATTGGGAAAACTAGCTAACACATACTGAGATTAATACCTAGGTGATGGGTTGATTGGTGCAGCAAACCACCATGGCACATGTTTACCTATGTAACAAACCTTCACATCCTGCACATGTACCCCAGAACCTAAAAGTAAAATTAAAATAAAAAAAATCTTGAGCATTCAATGTTATGACCTGTGCCACTCTTTATAAAGCTCATGAACAACCATAATCCCAGTGTATTAGTCTGTTCTCATGTTGCTAACACATACCTGAGACTGGGTAATTTATAAAGAAAAAATGTTTAATGGACTCACAGTTTCACATGGCTGGGGTGGGGGGCACTCACAATCATGGTGGAAGGTGAAGGAGGAGCAAAGGCACATCTTACATGGTGGCAGGCAAGACAGCCTGTGCAGGGGAACTCCCATTTATAAAACCATTAGATCTTGTGAGACTCATTCACTACCACAAGAACAGTATGGTGAAAACTGCCCTCATTCAATTATCTCCACCTGGCTCTACCCTTGACACGTGGGGATTATTACAATTCAAGGGAAGATTTGCATGGGGATGCAGCCAAACCATATCACTCAGTTAATCCTCCTCCCAAGCATCCTGAGAGGAAAGTGGCTGAACTCAGCCCTATTTTGGAGCTGAAGAAACTGAGGCTTGGAATAGAAGTGCTCAAGATCATGCCCAAGTCTCTCTCCACTCCCTGGGACTCCTCTGAAAAGTACCATGAAGTCTCAGTGCAGAAGTGGGAATTCCTTTCCTTTCTCTTCTCCTAGTCTGGCTCTTCCCCTGTGTGTTGGAGTTTCCCATAATGCACCAGTATGTGAGCTGATTGGAGTTACTGCACTAAGCAACCTTTTAATATTTTGAAAGCTCTGTATCAGTTTTAATAAATTCTGGTGCATGAAACTGGTTTTCCATTTACAATAATAATATATGCTCTTTCAAAATAAATGCATTAAATTTATAACAAAAAGCAAATCAATTTACAGTAACATTTTTAGTAAGGAATAGAAGGGTAGGTGTGCAGATATGACCAAACAGGTGAGACCACTGCTTCCTGCCACCCCCAGCCTCATTCTTAGCCCACAGCCAACTGAGAACTGCATTTGCATATACAGGAGCTGGTCTCACAGAGAGGACTCCAGAAGACCAAAATGTTTTCAGGAGCCAAAGGAATGAATCCCTAATGTAAAAATTTCAGGTGAACAGTGAGGGAGATGCCTCAAGTCTGAAAGGCAATCCACCCTCTAAATCAAATATCCAAGGATAAAGTGGTGGCAGGTTAGGGTCCCCTCAGCCACCATGGCAGCCCCGTTAATCTCTCTGCATATCGGTGTGTTCATCTGTAAAATGGGTGATGACATCTATCTGGTTAGGCTGAAGTTAAGGTTACTTCCCCCAGGACTGACCAATCTTGCTTCACCAAAAGGTACAATGTTCCTCTCTCTCTTCTTCTTCTCAGCAGGCTTAGCCACACAAGACAAATTAATTGACCCTTGGGTGAATTAATGGCCTGTGGGTGCAAAAAGCCAAGAAGAATTATCTCTGTGAGACACGCCAGGCTCTGCAAACACTCCGTATGCCCATAGGGGAGTGACTGCGTGGGCCTCAGCTTGTTCATCTTGGGGATGAAAGGGGATGAACTACATCAAGTCTGTCAAATAGGTAAGAGCTTCATGGAGTGCTGTGTGTAGAATTCTGAGGCCACACCCAGTCTCTGTGAGAACGAGGGGAGCAGCGAGTGACTGCTAGCATTTATAGATGATGGCATGATTGTTAACACAGAAACAGCCCCAACAGTTAGAAGCCCCTGGACCACTGAGTTCGTGGGTCCATAATCCCTAATTCTAGTTGTTTCTAGTTGCCCAAAAGGTAGCTCTGAGAGAAAGCCTGCCTACCTGTCTTTATTCCTTCCTTTCTCTCCTTTTCCCAGCCCTGTCTCCATGGTGATAATGTGATTCCCCATCTCTTAGGAAGGCTGCTAGACTCATGCAAGTCATTTGTAGGAGCTGTGCAATTTGTCATCCATTCTGAACATTTTTGAGAATGAAAGGGAGCACGTTCAATAATTTTCCTGGGACCACAGTTGTAACCTGGGACTCTCCTGGGGAATTGATGTTACTTAAGATGGTGGTTTGCAAACTTTACCACGCATAAGGATTGCTGAAGGCAGGGGAGTTTTCTAGGCAGTATCCTCAGTAGGGTTAGGGCCTGAGGATTGGCATTCTAACAAGTTCTCAGGTGCTGTTGCTTCAGGTCCACAGACCACACTTTGAGGAGCCTAGGTTCACAGAACTCATTCACAGCATGTTCTTATTGAACCTTACAGAGAGCCCAAAAGCCATGAAAAGTTATCAATACTGTCATGCTAAGCTGGAGAACCGAGACTCAGAGAAGTTAAGTGACTAGCTCAAGGACACCCAGCTACAAGGGGAGAAGCCCTTGTTTAAATCCAGAGTTGCCAACTTGCAGCCTCTGCTTGGCTCACCAGGCCCAGCAGCCTCTCAGCTTAGGAGCATTTTAAGAGCTGAGCTGATCCCCCTGGCTCTGCAGCAATGCCTCGTTCTCTGCAAATGTTTCTGGCCTGGATTAAACCCAGCTCTTTTTGCTTCATAAAAACTACTTCAAGTCAGCCAAGAGGACTGTAATTTGGTATAAGAAATTACTTTGGCAATGCTTTAGTCTATATTTATACTTAATTAATATTTTAATGTTTTAATATTTTGATGTATGCATAATTTTAATGTTAAAATAATCAGATGTATATCATAGAACACTGGTGCTAGGTATTTTCTGTTTTACATCATTGAAATGGAGCTCCATTGGCCTGGTGCTCAACTTCCATACACTAAATCCTCAAGTGTATTTTTTCAGGAATGCAGTAGGAGGCTGCCTGTATCATTTAACCTCTCTATGCCTCATCTATAAAATGGGGCAGGGAATAGTGCTTCCATAATAGGAGAGGTGTGGAGATTAAATGAATTAATTCACATTAGCTTAATTAGAGGAGAGCCTGGAAAATATTGAGTGCCCACAAAGAAAGCTCTTCCTTTTTAAATTCTCTGCTGGACTCCCTTTTATTCTTTTGTCACTTTTATAACTTCCCACCCGTGAACTCTTTCCACACATAGGCTGAATTTTCTTCCCCACTATATTCCTTCAAATCTTGCACACAGTAGGTGACTAAGACTTACTTATGGAACGAACACAAAATTTAAAATATTTAGGAATCCCAGAAACTCATCTTTATACTGCGAAACCATAAAATCCAAAGCCTGAGTGATGGGCTATTTCATTGAGGTCCCACGGAGGTTGTTGGAACAGCCCAGATTGGCCGTGACCCAGCCTCAGCATCTCTCTTCCAGCTGCATGGAATGAAGTCTGGGCTCCACAGCACTCACTGTTCCAGACATGAGACCTTTCCACTGTGAGTTCCACTCTGGGCTTGGAAAGCCTGGAATCAACAGATCCAATGGGGAATGAAAGTGAATTTGGTGGGTCTCATTCAGCCTTGCTGGCTGCTGATGGATTTGGGAGGGATGAACAGTTTCCTCTGGATGCCTGGCTATGAAAGGAAAAAGAAAAGCAAGAATCTCATTAGGTGTGGGAGGTTTTGTGGTTTGGTCCAAAACCAGAATCAAAAGTGAGAACCAATCTCACACCCAATGGCCAAAGATTTAGGCTTTTTAAAATGAAAATTCTCATTTGTCAGTTGCTTAATAAGCAGAGAAATTTCATGGTGCTCAGAGGCGGTGACAGGAAGAGCTTTATTGAATCTCACCAGGTCTATGGGTTTTGGGGTCTCTAGCAGAAGTTTGAACATATCCCTAAAGAAAGAGCCAATTAAAGAAGGAGAAGGCATAAGCTGAGTACCTCTCAGATAATGAGAAAAAGCACCTGGCTCAGGAGAGTGTTTTAGTTAGTGCTTGCTATGAAACAAACCACCTGCAAACAAAGGGGCTTCAGCAACTACCATTTGTTTATGATTCAAGGGGTCAGCAAATTAGGCTGGGCTCAGCAGGTCAGTTCTTCTTTCCTAGGTAAGCTTCCTCATGCATCTATAGTCAGCTGCAGGTCAGGTAGGGTGGCTTTGCTTCTGGAGGTTAGCTGGCTATTAGCTGGACAGTGAGGACAATTGGGCCATTTATGTCACATCATCCAGCAGGCTAGGCTGCACTTGTTTAGGTGGTGGCAGCAAGATTCAGAGAGAGAGAGAGAGAAAGAGAGAGAGACAGAGACTATAAAGGCATGAAAAATGCCTCTTGAGACCTAGGCTCAGAATTGGTGCAATATTGCTTCTGCTACATTTCACTTGCTAAAGCAAGTCACAAGGCCAACCTAGATTCAGAAATACATTCTGCAAAAAATATACTCCACCTCTTTAGGGAGGGAGCTGCATAGTCACATTGCAAAGAGGCATGGATATTGGGGAGAGTTGGAAAATTGGGGCTATTTTGCAAACTACTACAGATAAGATGACTAATTAAAGGCTGTTGTTAGAGGAGTGACATAGATAAGGAAACTGTGCACTGAGAATGATTATTGCTGAGGAGTTGGAAATTCCACTTAGCTTCCTGCTTGCCCTTTCGGAGAAGAGACAAGCCTGTGTATGTGTGAGTGGGTTGGGAGTGGGGTGTAGTGAGGGGATGGTGAATGGCATGAGGTTTATATCCTGATCCACCACTGATTAGCTATGTGGCTTTGAGAAAGTCAGTGAATCCATCTTAGCCTTGATTTTTCCCATCTGTGAAATGGGATCTCAGTTTCTACCTCATAGGGTTGTTGTGAGGAAGAAAGAGGCAACAGGTCTGGCATATGGCAGGCGCTCGAAAAATGAAAAACAGCCACAATAATGAGTAATATATGATATCAATCAAGTAGCAAAGAACAGCTTATATGATGAAAAGTGAGTAATAAAGAGTAATTAAACTTATCCCCAGCAGATGAGCCTGGCATATCCTATCCTGGAAGGCAAAATGGCATTCTAGATTTATACCAGCAAAGCTGCCATCTCTGTGAGGCAATTACCAATTCAGGCCTCAGAACTGGCCGCTAGCCACTTAATACCTCCACGGTCTCAGATGTCACCCAGGGCTCTGTTGGGTCTGGTGACACACTCAGCCCTGGGTCGGACCCTGGCCCTGCACACAAGTCCAGGCGCAGTGAGGAGAGGTCTTACTGAGGAGGCAAGGCAGCCTCTTACCAGGCTCAGAAAAAAACCTCTGGTTTTGCTCTTTGACTCCATGTGTTGGTGTCTCTGGGTGGGAAAGATCAGGGGAATGACCAGAGAATTATGAAAAGCTCTAGCTTAGCCATCCTGAAAACAGACTATATCTGCATGGTCCAATCTGGTGGCTACTGGCCACATGTGGCTACTGGGCACATGAAATGCAGCTAGCTAGTGCAACCAATAACCGAATCTTTATTTTTTATTTTACTTTAAGTTCTGGGATGCATGTGCTGAATGTGCAGGTTTGTTACATAGGTATATATGTGCCATGGTGGTTTGCTGCACCTATCAACTCATCATCTAGGTTTTAAGCCCCGCATGCATTAGGTATTTGTCTTAATGCTCTCCCTCCCCTTGCTCCCCAACCCCCCGACAGGCCCCGGTGTGTGATGTTCCCCTTCGTATGTCCATGTGTTCTCATTAAGAACCGAATCTTTGAGTTATTTATACAAGCACATGTGGCTAGTGGTTAGCATATTGGACAGCACAGTTCCAGACAGCTGAGCCTCTGAAGAAAAGGGGCCCTGGAAGGTTCTGAGTGATGTGGCCATCACCCCTTAGTGGTTTGGAGATCCTGTCTCAAGGGTGCATGAGAGCCAGACAAGGGTTTGGATATGGGTCAGCTAAGCAGCAGGGCCTTGGTAGTCTTCAAGGTTATTGCCTGGACTCTCCCTTCCTATGTCTAACAGTGCCGAATCAAGAGGAAAGCTCATAATTCTGAAGAAATCGAAAATCCAGTATAGACCTAGCTTCTCTGCCACCTTGCCCTTTTCTGAGTGGCACAGCCACTTGTAGCTCCCAGAAAGGCCAAGGCTTTGCATGCTACCTCACTCTTTATTGTGCAAAAAACCGACCCATCTGTCCTGTCAGGGAGAAAGGAGAGGACCCTTATGAGAAGGAAAGGAGTCCTTCCCATTTGGATGGTTGCTTTTGAATAAAAGGGGCCACAGGATCCAATGTGGATTTTGAAGACGTTAAGATAGCTCATGAACCTCTGTGTGTGTGTGTGTATGTATAGGCACAGGTGTGCATATTCACACGCACACACAGTTCACTCATGAAAGAATTGACTTTTGGAACGTCAGAACAAGATGCCTTGGTCTGGAAAAACTGGAGGCTTTGCTCCTGTTTTAATTGGGTTCGAAAAGATGACAAACTAAATCTGCCTCCGGCTTTGCTTTTGAAACTCACATTGAAATTTATTTCAAAACCTTCCCAACTGCAGCAGAATGCTGCTTATGGAAGCGATGGTGGATTTTGCTCTGAGATTTTTTTCTCCAATTGCTTTTCAACTCTAGCAGCAATAAGTGGCCCAAACCAGTCACAGCCTTTGTGTGTAAGCTGATGACAAAAGCCACTCTCTATCCACCTCGCCAGGCTCTCAATCCCCCAATATTTCTTAAAGTTGAGACTTCATTGCAGGCAAACATCTTAACGTCCTTTAAAGGATAGACTCTTTCTGGATCCTTCAATTAATTGACTGTGGTGGATACCAGCAGCTCCTGAATGGGCTTTTTGCGGTGGCGTGGGTGAGATTAGTTTTCTGCTATTGCCATAATTTACAAGGCTCACGTAACCATGTAACGACTTGGTGATTACATGAGAAATATCGTATAAATACATAGTAATTACAAGTTCATGCAGATTACTTGGTATATACATTTGAAGTTACCGAGTAGTTCAAAGATTAATTATCCTGTAACTGGCAGTATTTAAATCATCTTTTCTCATATACGAATACATTGAGGCCGACTTCAAGGCTGGCAAGGACGCGGATGCGATGAGTATGATCTGAAAAGAAAAAATGAAATTTGACAGGCATGGATTATTTAAAGCATGCATATGTGAGCCGAGCAGCCACTACACTTTGATGCAAATCGTAGGGGAGAGAGCCGGGGGATGGTCTGTAGAGAAAGGTGCTGAACAAAGTAAAGATTTCCTGCTGGCGACTTGAAATTTAAACAAATAATTATTTAAATGGCGGCCCGGCATTACGTTCCAAGTTGTGTGCATTCATGTCAACATCTGGTACCAACATTTTGACAATTCTATTAAAATGCCCCAGCATTCCCTATCTAACACCTGTTAGCTCTAATTTTCTTTCCTGAGAAGCACACCAGTAGACAGGGTAGATTCCAAATCCTTTATCACTTTTAAAGTGCTTCCATATGCGCGTTGGACCCAGCCTGGCCCTAGGCGAACGTTTTCTGAATGCATTAAAATTCAGGACTATTTTTTTAAAGTGTAGACACCAATGTTTCATTGAATTCATGTCTGGTAATTATTAGCTTAAATTATGGCTCACACATGACTTGACAAAGTGGACCATGAATTAAAACACACATACACACACACACTTGCACACACCACACATACACACACCCCCCAGAACTCCTCAATAGATGCACCCAACTCATACATTGCTCGTTATTGAGATGTCAGTCAGTAATCATTAGGCAAACACTCTTCATGGAGAGAACTGCTAAGAGGCCCAGGCGTCCCAGGAGAGGATCTAAAAATGTCAAAAATGTTACAGTATAAATGAACGACACCAACAAGAGAACATGTGTTAGAGATGCAGGCAATTAGTTAAGATATTACAAGTTTCAACCTCTGAGCAAAACAGGCAACAAAAATTTCCTCTTGACAAAAGGCTACACATAAGATCAAGTCGATTCCCAGACAACATAATCTCCCTGAATTGGAGCAGCACTCCAGCAGGCTGGGAGGAAGGGATGAACCTGGGGGGATTCAGGGGTTTGTAAGGTGTGGGCCCCCAGGGTAGGTCCTGCCTTGCCTGAAAATGACTGATTTGACTGCCAGGCTCCTGAAGGGGAGAAGTGAAGTCTGAAGTGAAGGAAGTCGTCCTGCGACCCATGGATCCGGCTCATGAAGCTAACAGACTACTCCCGGCTGGAGCTTCGGAATAAAATTTAGAAGGTAGAATGAAATCATATTGCTGTTTTCAAAGGAAAGGAGGTAGCTGCAAAAGGCAGTGGGGAGTGTGTATATATGAGATGGATAAATACTTGCTCATTGCTTTTCAGAGATTTTTAAAATTAGATATTGTAGATTGTACAGTTTCTCTCTGTATATATACACACACATAATACATACATATACGTACATGCACATATACACACAAATATATATGGAGATGTTTTAAGCAAAAAGGCAAAAAGACCCACAACACCCTCCATATATACACATACAGGAAATATATTTTAAGCAAAATACATGATTTGCACTTTGGATAAGGATTTGAACGGGTCTCTTAGAAATACGAGGAAATACTGAGAATACAAGAAAGAAGGGATGAAAACCTGAGTGCACCAACTCTAAAAGTAAAAAAAAAAAAAAAATTGTAGACAGTTAAAATGTCTGTCTCTGTACACACGCACACCTACACGTTCACACTTCCTCTGTTTACTAAATAACATTTCAGCACAGTTTTCATCTTATAAGGAAAGTGTTTGAAACTTGGAATAAGTGCACTTAATTAAAGGAAGGCTGTGAAAATGTGCACTAATCTGATATGACTAATAGCAAAGTGCATGAAATTGCTAATTAGAATTTCATTAAAGGTGCTGCTTTATCAGACTGTGAATATCACAACCTTTAAAATTCTTTCAGGAGAGCTTAATTCCTTTTCAAACAGAAATATTCTTTAAAGACATTTGATTTGTTCTGAAGGAATTCATGGCTTAGGTTGGAACTTAAAATGTTGCCGATATTCCAGGAGGTGACATCAGAACAGGAATATAGATCGGGGACTTTGTTTCATTTGCTGATGAATCCCCCTCCCCCACCTCTATGGATTATTGTTCAAAAACCAATCATGAAAAATGCAGTTGAGTCTTTGTTTTGCTCCATACATAATTTGTTTTCTGCTGAAGCCAAGCATTTATTCTCACCTAGCAGAATAAAGGAAAAATTATTAAAAAAAATTTAAAAGTACTATGAATAAAATTAAACATTTAAATTTTCACATACATTAAAAAAAAAGGACAGCAGACAACACAATATTTTTTCCTTTAAAAAACCATTTTTTTAAAGCCAGTACCCTTTTCTCTTTCTTAAAAAAATAAAACTCTTAAAAAAGGAGTCACCTTTCAATCATAAAATTGTACTTTTCAGAATTGGGTGAGTCCAATGGTAACAACAGTAAAGGCATTTTACTCCTTCCCTGACCTGTTTTCCTGGGTTATCAGGTTTTCTTATTTTACATTTTAATTATTCCCTGAACTAAATCTGCATTTCAGCTTGCTTTTTGTCAATCAGATTTTTAAAATTCTACCTTTTTATTCCTTCATCTTTTCTACTTTCAACCTTCTTTTCTGCCACTTCTCTTTATTTTCATTTGCAAAAGTTGCTGTAACAGGTTGTTACCCTCTCTGCACACAGCTTCCAATGTTACCAACCGGATTTTTGTATTTGCTGTTTTTCCTGACTGTTGAAGGGTTCTTACAGTTAGTAACTGGGTTCTTTTTAATACTCAAGCTTAATTGAACAGTTACATTTTGTTACTAAAAAGCCATGAATGCTAATGGAAACTACAGCTCACTCAAAGCATCAGTTTACTTTTACAGAAGTTGTTAAAAAACCAGCTCTGCTCCAAATTTGCTGAACACACCAGTTAACAGTGATGTAATTTTGGAGAACTGAATATTCTAAATACATTTTAAAACCTTGGTTTAAAAGCTAATCAGTCATATTTACACCACCGTATCTGAAAGGAGAGAAAATGAGAACAGAAGTAACTTTATTTGAGAAACAGTGTGATTTCTTTGGACATTTAAACAAGTCTCAAGTGGGTTAATTACAGTTTGTTCTGATTTTAACTCCAGCAACAGGAATTTTCATGGCATTTAGATAAGTTATCAACTGGGCTAGGTAACAGATAAAAGATTGCATTTTCTTTTCCAACATTTGGGAGGTACACTTGTACAATAAGTGCAACAATTTGAAAAATCGGTCTAGACTTCAACGAATGAAAATTATGCTTGTTAACTGTAGTGTCTGGAGTCCGAGCTGGGGTGTCAGTCTTGCCTATCCCTGGGCCACCGTCAAACAAAGCTGCTAATTCTAAAGCTTTAAGTTTCAAATTGAGAAATATTGTTCTAATATGGCAACAATGGGGCTGTTGTCCTTTCAAGAGCTCTGCGATTACAGGCTCGTTTTATGCAAAACAAATGGCAGGTAATTGTGATTTAATTCTTTTCAAGTAAATTACAGTGAGTGCGTGACACAAAGCTGCTGCGGACCCTCCTTTCTCTGTCAATAGTTGAATTAATGATGGCAGGAGTAAAAACAGCAATTGTGCACAGCGACTCTCCCCGGGTCCCCCACCCCAGCCAAGAGGGAACCTGCCAATCAGGCTGCGCCACCACCAGGCTAGGAAGCCTAGGGTCGCCGATGTTCCAGGATGGAATGTTCTGGTGTCACCGTGCGGGGGGGTGGGGGGTGTCACAGAGCTGGGAACTCGCTCAGAGCCAGGGTCTCTGCTGGGGTCAGCGTCTGTACGCTAAAGCCAGGGCGCAAAGTGCGTGGGCACTGCGGACACTAGAGGCTTATGGCGCTGGAAATACAAGGCCGAGTTGCCGGCGCAAAGAGTTCCCCGGGCGGGTTGGTGATGCGGCGCGCTTTGATAACAGGTTAATCCGGCCAACATTCGCTCCGCGAGAGAGCCATCGGAGGGCTCCGGGAGACTGCGGCGCCACGGAGGGAGAGGCGGCGAGAGGCCCCTCTGCGAGCACCCTCTGGGCGCAGTGCGGTGGGCTATGCTCTGCGCAGCCCCGGGCGCGCCTGGGTTCTCAGAGCCCAAGACCTGAGCCGCTCCGAGCGCAGGGCGCCAGTTCTCTTTCAGAAGCGGGAGAAGTTCAGGTGGGACAGGAGACACGGGGGTGAGGAGATCTTTGAGAGGGCCGGCCGGGAAAGTGGGGGTCGCCTGTGGCTGAGAGGGCCGCATGCCGAAGGTCCCGACCCCAGGCTCACGACAGGCAGCCTGGCACGCAGGAAGGGGCTTTGGGATAGAACGTAGCACCTGGCTGAGTGCTTAACAACGATTGAACTGACCTCTGAAGGACTGTGGGCCCTGACCACTTCCCCTTGTACTTGGAACAAAATCCAAACTCCTTCCTGAGGCCCATGGGAAATATGTTCTCGGGCTTTTGCCGGGGCGTCTGCTCTAAAGTGCTCTGGATTTGAAATGCCAGGATGGAATCCTGCCTGCCCTGTCCTTAAATGGTGACTTGGAGCAGATTCCTTAACCTCTCTGGCCTCCCAGCTGTAAATGGAGTTAACGGAACCCCACCTTCAAGGGCCCTTATGAGACTTCATGAGCTACTAATAGAGTGCTTAGAATGCGGCCTGGCACAAAGTACAGTGCCCAGTAAATATTAGCAGGGGTCACTCCACCTTAGCCATGTCCATCTTCTTCATTTTCCTGGACCTCCCTAACCGTGACCCTGCCACAGGACTTTTGCACTTGCAGGCAGAGCTCTTGCCCTGCCCGTCATGGCTTCTACTTCCGGCCTCAGCTCATCCTTTCTGGATGAGAGGATGAGACCATCAACCATCCCACCCTTCACTTTCATAAAGCTCTTTGTTTTCTTCCTAATATTTATCTTGATCTGAATGTTTGTTGCCATTTGCTTAGCGTTTATTGTCTGTCTTCTTCTCCCCAAAATGTAAGTTCCATGAGAATGGGGACCTTGTGTTTTTGTTCTCTGCAGGTGCCCAACACCTTGATCAGTGCCTGCTTTGTAGTAGGCATTCAAATACTGTGGACTGGATGAATGGAGTCACTTCCCTTCCAACCTGCACACCAACGTGGTTGAACTGCCTCCTTTCTAAGTGCCAAAGTCTGTTTTACAAGGCTGTAAGTGAAATCACTGACATGGAAATTATATTTTCAAAATTAAAGGAACAATTTTCTAAAGAAATCTAGGTTCTCAAGAAGGATGCCAGACAACTGGAGACTTTTCTCTATGTCAGCATCTTTCTACCCTGACAAGTTCTGACTGTGGGCTGGAGCCAGCTTCTGTGAACTCTCTCCACAGCTCCCTCTTCCTGAGGATGGGGCTTGAGGGATGGTACAGGGGCCTTTGGGATTCCTCTTCAGGTGAGGGCTGTGCTGGCTGTGGCACAGCTGGGCCCTAGGAACCCTCTAGACCTCCACCCACAGTGTAGCAATGCCTGCTTTATCTGCCCTTCGATGCGCCCTTCCCACTCCAGTGACTGCGTCATGTGGCACTGGCCTTTGTCCTTAACCTCCTTGGTCAGAGCTTTTCTGTTCCTTTGACTGCCCCTCTGTGGCTTGGCGTTAGTCACAGATTCACACCTGCTTTTTCTTCTCCCCAGAGCCAGCTGCTTTAGACTGGCTCCTGCTAGGCTTGCCAGGCGGAATGAGGGAGTCTGAGGGGCTGGGTGGGGCTGAGATGACTCAACTGGCCAGGGTCATTGTGTCTCAGTGCCCCGGCTGGAGCCAGGGGCGGAGTATTTCCAAAACTGGCCTGCCTCCTGTCTCATGCTATTTATTTACTCAGTGAGATCATTATAAACAATGAGTATCTGGGCCACAGTGACCATCCTTGGTGGCAATTCCCATCCCAGGGTCCTATCTTTGGGATAGAATTTGGAGAGGATCTCTTGCTATCCAGAGAACAAGAAATATAAATACTCAACTCATTCATGTATCCAAAAGCAGCTGCTTAGCACCATTGGGCACAGTGGTGGGTGCTGGGGACACAGATACAATAATAGCTAACACTTGTTTAGCACTTCCCATGTGCCAGGAACTGTTCTAGGTGCTTCATGTGTGTTACATGACTTCATACAATACTCACGAATAGGTTCTTTTATTGTCCCCTTCTTATAGGAGGAAACTGAGGCTCAACACAGAAACAGATCACATGGCCAGGAGGTTGCAGGATCTGGGCTTGGAACCAGGACCTACACTCCTAACCATTATGCTGCACTGCCCCTCTGTTTCAGTCCCCAAAAGGGATAGGACACAGCCTCAGCCCTCTTGGGGCACAAAGCCACAGAAGCAAACAGAGAAGGTGGGTGGGAGGGGGTAGCTCCCTGCATAGGAGATCAGTAGCGACATATTACGGCTCTTACTACATACCAGGCCCTGTTCTAACTGGTTGACACATACTGTTAGCTGTTGAAATCTTCGCAGCAACCCTAGGTGGTGGGGAGTAACATCACCCCCATTTTATAGGTGAGGCAGATCCTGCTGCTTGCCCATGATCGCGGGGCTAGAAACTGGCAGAGCTGGGACTTGAACTCGGAGACCCTTTGCTCCAGGGTCCCTGCTGTTACCCTCATCCTGCATGAGGCCTCTGTCGGAGAGTCATGGTGCCCAAGTGCTGATGTGCAGGCAGCCCAGAGGGTGCTGAGTCTCTGATTGCTCAGGTGTTACGAAAAACACCCTGTGCTTAGAGTTCGAAGACCTGGCTTAGAGCCCCAGAGCTGCTGCTTCCTAACTGAAACCCTTGGGGAATCTCCATTTCCTTGTTTGTAAACGGGGGTAATGAGGTCAGCTCTACCTGCCCCCCAGGGCCACCGTGAATGAGGATTAAAGAAGATAATATACAGGGAAGCGCTCTGTGAAGTGCAAACTGCTGACCTCAGAAACACTCAGTTCCATGGCTCTGGTCCATGCTGGGCCCACCTCAAAGTTCATGCCCTCTAGTTCAGGATGCATGGCCCATGGAAAATGAAGAAGTGATTTTAAAAAATTGCAAAACGGCTATAAAAATAAGACAGTGAGATGTCTCATTTGATGATGCAGATTATTAGAGAATTAAATCTGTTACTTTAAAAAAAAATCTTTTTCTAGAAGGATTGGATTCAAAGGCACCTGGGTCAACACTTGCAGATGCCTGCAGGCCAGGCCTGGTGCTGGTGCTTTATGTGGTCAACCCCAGTGGGCCTTCTGCAGCCCTGGGAGTCGAGACTGAAATTGCATCCATTTTATGGGCCAAGACATTGAAAGGTGAAAGAACTGGAGCTAATGAACAGAGGAGCTGGTCTCTGAACCAAGTGCAGCTGACTCCAATCCCCGCAGCTTTGTTGCAGCTCTGCAGAATCCTCACACCAGCTTGGGGAGAAGGCTGCCTTTCTCTTCTGCTTCAGAACTTTCCGCTTTAGCTGCACATATATCTTGAGTGACTCCTCCCCACAACCTCAGCACTTTCATGTTTTTCAGCCCTTCTTATTGTTTTTTTTTGTTTTGTTTTTTTAATATTTTTAGTTTTTGAGAGTCTTGCTCTGATGCCCAGGCTGGAGTGCAGGGGTGTGATCTCAGCTCACTGCAACCTCCATCTCCCAGGTTCAAATGATTATTGTGCCTCAGCCTCCTGAGTAGCTGGGATTACAGGTGCGCATCACCACACCTGGCTGGTTTTTGTATTTTTGTAGAGATGGGGTTTCACCATGTTGGACAGGTTGGTCTTGAACTCCTGGCTTCAGGTGATCTGCTCGCCTTGGCACCCCAAAGTACTGGGATTGTAGGCATGAGCCACCGTGCCCAGCCCAGCCCTCCCTATTCTTAGGGCATCTACCACCCACATAATACCCCTGTTGAGTGTCTGGCGGCCAATTCCACAACCTGTCCACCTACCCAGCAGCTCGCTGCTTTTGTGTTAAAGGCTTGTGGTCAACACCCTGGACTTGAGCAAGGTGCAAGGCAAGGGAACACGCTCCGTCCCAGGTGCTCGCTGTGGGCCTGGACCTCCCCCAGTGTGAGCAACACCTTGGAGGGCCA
Organism: Homo sapiens; assembly: GCF_000001405.40. Taxonomy (NCBI): domain Eukaryota; kingdom Metazoa; phylum Chordata; class Mammalia; order Primates; family Hominidae; genus Homo; species Homo sapiens. Next base: position 117,739,244 of record NC_000010.11, read on the forward strand.
GGATGCATGTGTTCGAGAGGCGGTGTAGCCTTGGGTTTCTCTCCACATTCACATCAGACCTGCCTCTGGCCCCAGGGGCTGAATTTATTTTGGCTTAAATGACAGGGTGGTCCGAAATAGTAAAAATACTCCCTTCATGAAGCCACTGGGTGAATCTAGTAAGGTTGTGAAGGGGATGTCAGCTGCCTCTGGGATTGTGGTGCCACTCTAAATGGGCTGCTGGGCCCTGGCATGGTGCTCAGGTTACCGGTGACTTTACCGGGATGCCAATATGCCCTTGGGAGGGTTCCTGCCTTTAGACCATGACTTCCAAGGAGGCCGATTTAGGCTGTATGATGGGGCATGAGGACGACGAAGGTATGTTCACTGCTTGCTTTGAACTCATGGGTGACCAAGAGCAACTCCATGCTGAATGAGTGCAAGAATGGGAATGAGGAGTCACTGGGGATGGAGGCCCCATTCCTTGCTTACTAGCTTGAGCAAATTATATTATTTCTCTATGCCTCAGTTTCCTCATCCATAAAGGTAAGGTCGTAACTGGATTGGGAGGAGTCAATTATGCAATATATAGAAAAGCATTTTGAATGGTGTTTGCCACAGAATAAGCAGGCAATAACTATTAGCTGACCCCAAAATATCAGCTTGACATTATCTTCTCTATGCACATTTGCCTTCCCATTCAAAATACGTAACACACAACAGTCACAAAGTGGAATGCCTTTTCAACTACATGTTGACAAGAGATGAGCCAGAAGTATATTCCTGGTTTCACCACTTACCACTGTGTGATCTCAGGTAGTGACCTAGTTTTCTGTGCTTCAGTTTCTTTATCTGTTAAATGGGTATAAAATTTAAAAAATCAATTACTGATAGGACTAAATAGTGTACATAAAGCAAATAATGCTTATCATTCTTCTTCATCTCCTTGCCCTTTTAACATTTTTCCCTGTCCAAGCCCTTTTGAAAGACTGATGTGTTCTCCAAGCCAGTTTTCTTTCCTTTCTGGGTGCACAGGAAGACATTTCCCAACCTCCTTTGGAGTCAGAGCCCCATGTGACTGAGTTCTGGCCAATGGAATGTGGGCAGGGATAATATATGCTGCTTTCAGGCCTGGCCCCTAAAATTTCTTGTAAGATCCTTCTTGCTTGTTTTCTCCTCCATCTGGCAACTGACTGTCAATGCTCAGCAGGACCTTGGGAACTATGTGTCGAAGATGCCAGAGCCCCTGCCAGGAAAACCCTGCCCTTCATTGCCTGTTCCCTGCAGGCCTGCTTGGACTGGGACACTTTGTATGAAACCATTGAGACACACAGGGTATTTGTTATTGCAGCTAGCAGTAAGCCTGTCCTGACAACAATGAATTTTATAGAACTTGTATCTAGTGTACACACCTACTTACATTCATTCAAGATTTTGCATGTATTTTAGTCTTCTTGGTTCCAGCCCTCTTAGGCCCTTACTGCCTTAAAAAGCAAGACTCAGCAGTTGTTATTGATGGTAGTGAGACAATTCCTGAGAGCAGCTTCCTGGCTTCAGGGTCTCCCTGCAACAGAGAGGTTCTGAAGACAGCCCCTTACCTAAGGAATTTTAGTGACAGCTGGCCTTTCAGGGCACAGGTCTCCTACAAAGGCACCGCTAATCACATTGACACTCTCCTTTGTGCCGCAGTTGCCAAAGTGCTTGCTCTCAGCCTCATGGCACACCCAATACATTTGATGGATCACAGGTTAGAGGATCAGGCAGACTGCAGCTCCTCCCAACTGAGCCCTTGAGACTCTGCTCCGGAGCCCCCTCCTCCCCATCCAGCCCTGCCCTGGTTCTGCCTTGGGTGAGATGGGCTCTCTCAGTGCTGCCTCCCCGTTCAATCCCACACTCCCCAGAGGCTGAAGCTGTGCTGTTATCATTCCCCTTGACTGCTGCAGGGTTGGGGTGCACGGCAGACATCATTTGTTTTGCGCAGAGTTGTTGATTTCAGGCATCAGGGACAATTCTGATGGTCTTCTGGAAAAATTAAATTCCTCAGCTTGAGTGAGGTTTAAGTTAATAAAAGATAATGTAACATATCGAATGCCTGTTCTGTTCCCGTCCCTTCTCTTAGTTTGTTACCACCCCCTCAATCCTATAAGGTGAGTTTTAAATAGCCTATGTTGTAGGTGAGGAAGAGGAGGTGTGAAGATGCCAGGCCCAGGGTCCCAGAGCTGAGGAGGCAAACAGCTTGGGTCAATCCATTGGTCATAACGGCTAGCATTTCCTGGCCCTTAACGGTGTGCTGGGAGCAATGTATGTTAGGTGCTTTCAATGAGTTATTTCATTTCACTTTGATAATTTCCTTATGGAGTGGGGACTTCTGTTACCACCATTTTGCAGGTGAGAAAAACAAGTTTTTGTAGGTCAGGAGATGTGGAGCCTAGATTCAAATTCAAAATCCTCTGCCTTTAGAGCTTGCACTTTCACTCCCTTGGCACCTGCAATGCCTACTCCTGCCACTTGGAAAGTGCATCAAGGACCAAGTAGGTGCTCCTCTGGGGCGGGAACTTTTGGGTGGGAGCCCTCCTGCAGTCAGGGTGAACCAGCACCTACTGTGTACAAACGCTGGCCCGCAGCCCTGTGACAATGTGCAGGATGCTCGACTGTCCCAAGCATTGGCATCCTGGTGGAGAGGGGGCTGTGTACCTCCATTTCCAGCCCAAATAAGTCAGTGCCATGGAAAGGAGGATACAGCTGTCCTCAAAGGAAAAAGAGGCCACAAGGGTAGGGGTGGAGATGGCTTCACCCAGAAAGTGGGATTGGGATGAGCCTTTTTTATTTGGATTTGAATCCCAGCTCTGTCACTTGTTAGTGGAATGACTTCGGGGAAGTTATCTAACCTCTGAGTCTCAGTTTTACCATCTATAAAATGGAGGTGATAAAAGTACCTACCTAATAGGATGAGCAGGAGGATTAAATGAGTGAATTAACAAGTAAAGTGTGTGAAACACAGTAAGCTATATTATATACTTCTTTACTCTTTCTAATTACCAAGGACTTGTAGAATTTTAACAGGTGAAAAGAGAGGCATTGTATTACTCCGTTTTTATGCTGCTGATAAAGACATACCTGAGAGTGGGAAGAAAAGGAGGTTTGACTTACAGTCCCACTTGGCTGGGGAGGTCTCATAATCATGGCAGAGGGCAAAAGGCACTTCTTACATGGTGGCAGCAAGACAGAATGAGGAAGAAGCAAAAACAGAAACCCCTGATAAACCCATGAGATCTCATGAGACTTATTCACTATCATGAGAATAGCATGGAAAACACTGGCCCCCATGATTCAGTTACCTCCCCTGGGTCCCTCGCACCACACTTGGGAATTCTGGGAGAGACAATTCAAGTTGAGATTTGGTGGGGACACAGCCAAACCATATCAGGCATAATGCACCAAGTGAATGCCACAAGCAATTCTTCAGAGTTGAGAAAGCACAGGTGTGTTTTGAGAATAGTGAGCATCTCTCTCTGGCTGGTTTTTATTGGGAACAATAGAAAATGAGGCTAGAAAGAGAGGTCGGGCCAGGTTGAAGAGTGTATACTTAACAGGCAATTGGGAACCAATGAAGGTTTTTGAGCAGGGGAGTGTCGTGGCCAGAGCTGAGTTTTAGAAAAATCCTTCTGACTGCAAAGCATAAGGCAGATTGGAATGGGAGTAGTGGGAGAAGCCCAGGAGAATCCCATTGTCATTGACCAGGGGAGAAGATAGTGGGACCTGGCAGGACAGGGAGAGCATGAGCTGGCACACATGGCAGAGGGAGGTCCCCTGAATCTTGGTGGTCTGTGTGCTGTGTGGGGCATGTGCTACCTATGCTATGTGCCTGGCCAAAGGCAGGCATGGCAGTGGTGCCCATCTCAGGTCCAAGTGAGCGACTGGGACCCACTGCAGGGCTTCCTCTTTGCAGGCCCAGGCCTGGAATGCAGTCCTTCTGGGCATGATGTCATCAATGGTAGCTTTGGGCCAAGAAAGAGACAAAGGTAGAGAAATAGGGGACCAGCTTCCATTTAGTCCTAAGAACTCAGGACACCTGGTATCCTCAGGGTGATAAAGCTCCCTGATGGCCCCCCCCCCCAAAAAAAAAACAGGTTCCAGAAGACTCGGATGGAAGGGAAAAGGAGGCAGACTGCTTTTGGGTTTTCATCTAGGTTTTTGAAAAGCAAAGCAGACAGGTGAAAGCCGCCTGTCTGAGGCGTGTTTTATCTTAACCTTTCCATGTAATCCTGAAAGCCCACCTAATCAATTGAAGATCATAAAATATTAGACTTAATGCTGCAAAGTGCTGCTTTTTAATTCACATAACAAGCTCCTAAATAATTCAAATAGCAAACAGACCCTGTAAGTCAATGGTGGGAGGCTGCTTGGATCAGCAGGAGAGTGTCAACACATGCCACATTTCCCAGATCGACTCCATTTCAAGATCCCTATTAAGTTAATTGCCGGTTTCTGACAGCAGAGAGCATGCTGGGAGCACAGCACGCTTTATTAGCCTCCGTGGCATCTGGAGGCCTCAGCCATTTTGCCCCTACTTGCAGGCCCTAGGAGCAGCGTGGAAAAAAGTAAATCAAATTATGAGACAATAAATGCTTTTGGCAACACATGGGCATCAGATTCATTGGCGAATCCAAAAGCCTTCGAGTGTCAATTGTTGTTCTGTTAAATTTTTTACAACAACATCATCTATATGCTGCAACAGCCTCACAGGATGTCAGGAAGCAGTTCCATCATTTGGCACTGCATGGCTGATGCAGGTGAACGTTAATGGAAGTGAGGGGTCCCACCTACTGATGGAACCACTGGGTGAAGACAGCCTCTAAATAGAATGGGGGTTGGGGAGAACCTTTAAAGAGGCCCTCAATGATCCCAGAGTCCATGTTGCACATTCAGATTTGTAAGCAGATCTGCCTGGGTTTGGAAACCCAATGGAGACATGCGCAGGCTTCCAGAGTGGTCAGAGAGGGCCAGGGAAAGGCAGAATGAAGGCAAGCTCCCCAGCCTTCAGTTGGGGAGATGTGCTCACTATGAGGGTCCCAAGCAGAGCAGGCATCAAGGCATTGTTTCCATGGCTACCTGCTCTCTACTTGGTGGTCCTGGTATACACTGAGTTCAGAGTGGAATGGAGGCATTGTGGCAGCTTGGAGATCTACTAGCAGGTGTATGCAGGCTCTGATCTGTCCAATATCAGCACCTTCTTTTTTTTTGTTGAGATGGAGTTTTGCTCTTGTTGCCCAGGCTGGAGTGCAATGGCGCAATCTCAGCTCACTGCAACCTCTGCCTCCCCGGTTCAAGTGATTCTCCTACCTCAGCCTCCTGAGTAGCTGGGATTACAGGCACCCGCCACCACGCCTGTCTAATTTTTTTGTATTTTTAGGAGAGATGGGGTTTCACCATGTTGGCCAGGCAAGTTTTGAACTCCTGACCTCAGGTGATCCACCCGCCTTGGCCTCCCAAAATGCTGGGATTACAGGTGTGAACCACTGCGTTCAGCCCAATATGCACCTTTGACACATGAGAAAATTCAGGCAAAGAGAGATTCTGTGACTGTCCCAGTGTCACACAGCCAGCCAGTGGCAGCTGGTTTTAGGACAAAACTATTCTGATACCTGGCCTAGCCATCTTCCCATATTTTGCCATTTTCTTTCAGGCCTCGAGATTATGGTACAGTGGTGACAACCTAGATAAAATCTGTCCTGGCTCAACCACTTGTTGTCTCTGTGTCCTTAATTTAAGGAAAAGATATATAACTTCACTGTCCCTCTACCTTATTGGCAAAATGAGGATGGCATTGCTTACCTGATGGATGCTTATGGAGAGGGTTAGATTAAATGACATGTATTAAATATCTAGTTCAGGACCTCAAGCATGGTAGCCAGGCACTCTGCCAAATTTCCTTCCCATCATCTGTGTGGGAGACTCTTAGAAGAGCAAATTTATTGTATTTCTAGATAACTCCGTTAGAAACCAATGGTCTCCCAATGTATTAGGTTTGCACATCTGAATTTTTACAGGAAATTTTCATGAAGTAAAACAAACTACTCTCTCAAGTCTCCTCTTGACCCAGTCCTTAGATTAAGCCTCAGTGTCTGCAGAAAGGATGCTTTGTTCTGGATCAGGCCCTTAATACAATCGGAATACAAGAGGAAAGAACATTGGAAAATGATTAGCAGATTTGAGGAGGCTGGGGCTAAAACTTCCAGCAGGTCAAAGCGAGAGCAGGCAGATTGACTGTTTTGATCCTGGTTCTCCAGGCTGCCTGTATGCATGGAATTGCTGCACTTTGATGCTGGAAGGAACCTCAGAAATGTAGTCTGGCATCCTCATTTCATGGGTGGGGAAACTGAGGCTCAGAAGGAGTAGGTGACTTGTCTGGGGTCAAAGAGCTAGTTAGTGCAAAGTCAGTGACAGGAGCTGAGTCTCCTCCCTCCCATTTCTGTCCTTTTTCCAGTTCTCAGACAGTTTGGAACAGACCTTCCTGGCAGAAGAGCTGATTCCACCTTCCCTGGAAGACACAGGGCAATGCCTAAGCATTGCTACCTTCTGCATTTACAGAGAGGACATGCCATTGCCCCAAGACCTCTCTCTGAAAATAATTTTGTCAATTCATAATGAATCTGTAATAATAACAGCTATCATTTTTAAGAACTGAATTCCAGGCATTTTACTTACATTATCCATGCAGCCCTTTGAGGTAGGTGTTACTATGATTCCCATTTTACAGAGGATAAAACTGAGGCTTAAGGGTTAAGAGGCTTTTGCCCAAAGCCACACAGCTTGTAAGAATCAGAGGTAGGACTCTGGTTTCATTTTGACTTATGCTCCTTTCCTGTGGCACCTATTTCTCTTAGATTTCAGGCTTTGGCTGGAAGGAATGGAGGTCTCTAGAAGGTGAAATAGGGAGAGATGGGTCACTTACCCTGAGGTTTAGCACCAGCCAAGATGCATAGGTACTAGGACCCTCATCCTGCACCAGGACATTCTGCCCCCTTCCTCCCCATGCCCCGCTGTGTCTCTTGCTGAGAATGGACTGGTAGCCAGGGACCCAGAGCTCCTCTTTGACACAACCACCAGCCTCGAGTAAATAAGTGTGTATATTAGGATCAGGCTAAGCTGCACATAACAGAAACTCCAGGAAACAGTGGCTTAAATGCAGACAGACTTCCCCTCTGCATTGAAGAAGTCCTGGGTAGGCTGGTGTGGTGGCTTCGCAATCATCTGGGCCCAGGCTGTGTCTCTCCTCTTGCACTGCCATTCCCAACATATGGCTTTTGTCCTCAGTATTTCAGGATGCCTGCTGCAGCTCCAGCCATTGTGTCTGCATTCCAGGCAATGGGAAGGAGGAAGAGGGTAAAGCAAAAAGGACTTTCTCCAGTTGTGTTTTCTCTGTTTCAAAGAACCTTCCCAGAAGTCCTTCCCTACTAGCTTCTCATGTTTCATTGGCCAGAACTTCATCGTGTGGCCACACCTGGCTGTAGAAGGGGCTGGGCAGTAGAGTCTTTGACTGGAAATATCACTGACTGTAGAACAGAGGAGCTCTCGATGGCGGAAGAATGGGAGATCGGATCCTGGAGGAGCAGCGAGCAGGCTCTGCAATGCCAGATTCTGTGCCAGCTCTCTTACTTGCCAAAGTCTTGGTGATGGAGAATGGTGGTATTTTGAACCAGAGAAAACTCAGGTTTGATGAGTTTTGTAACACTCTGAGATCATTGGAAACAGCCTGCGATGCCACAGGCTTACGGTGCTTTCAGGGCCATCTGTTCTGGAGGTGGCAACAATGATGAAATCAATAGCAATTCATACTGTCAGCGGCTTTCACCCCAGAATGTCCCCTTTCAAAATATAGATAAATTTTACTTCTCTGAATTTATTTTCCTGTTCATGACACATTTATCCTGCGAGTCTTCTGAGGCTGACTGGAGGATGGATTTCCTGTTCTGAGCTGCTCTCTGATGATGATTAGTCTATAGACACAAACACAGACACCACTGAGCCAGCACCATCCATACACCAGCACTGTACCTGTGGCAAGGCATGTCACCCTCATAACAGTCTTGCAGGTTGAGGGATCATGATCCCATTTTACAAGTAAAAAGTGGAGGCTCAGAGAAGCTAAGTAACTTGCCCCAAATTGCACAGCTGATAAATTCCAGAGCTGGAGAGAATGCTTTCCAGCATACTGCACAACCCCTCAGTTCATTTACTGTCTTCACCCTCACCTCACATGGCTGACAATGGTCCCTTGTGACAACAGGGGCATTCCTGAGACCTCCAAGCATACACTTTCTTCTAAAGCCCTTTTCTTGCCTCCACCTCTTCCTTTCTTTTCCACTCTGGATCTTCCTCTAATCTTGGAAAGACCCCTGGAAAATTGTATCTTGAATGTAGCCTCATCCCCCGACTCCCTTGGCAGACTCAGGCCACCCATGCCTCCTTTCCAGGCCCTGCTGTGCCCATCTGGGCACCCAGTCCAGCCTCCCTTCCTGGGCGCCTTGACTCCCAACTGCAGATGAAGTGTCTGGAAATCATGGTACTCAAGGTAGGATCCACATTGCCTGCCGGCCTAGGACCAAGATCTGCAAGTCAGAACGAAACACCAGCTGTCCCTGTCTCCTGCACCCATCCCCATCCCGGTGAGTGAAGACACAGAACCGAGGACGAACCCGGAAAGCCCTCTTCTCACAGCCCCAAGAGGCAGGAAGAGAAGTGTGTGTGCAGCGGAGGCCCTGTGGCCCGGCAGCGTCTCTCGGGTTTTGAGATACATAATCTAAATATATACTTTGAAAATTGAAAAGTGCTCACATATAGAATGTGGCTGCGGGGAGAGGATGCTCTCTTTGAACATGTCTCTTTAAAGACAAAATTTGCAAAGTGTTTTCCTGCCCTTAAGGAGACACTTAAACATGGCAGAAGATGTAAAATGGAAATTGAAGTGTCTCTCCCAGGCCACCATACACGGATCAAACAGGCACGGTCTATTCTAAGCGTTCATTAATAGCTGGTCTCTGAGGGCCTGGGCAGCAGCCAGAGGATTTTACTCATTAAAAAGGTGGCAAGGTAGAGTTTTGTGCTTTCCCGGCTTGTCGCTGTGTAATCTTGGTGCTCAGACGTCGCCAGCAGGCCTCATATGAACGCCCCGAGATTGCTGGCATGGAGGACTTTTTTGCCGGGTTTGAAAGCGTCACCCCCTCATGGATGGGGCGAGAAGCCCTTGCTGTTTGTCAAGTAGATCTCTCTCTTCCTAGGCGGGCCCAGAACAGCATTATCTCAAGCTAAATGCAGAGAGAAAAGAGCTTTCACTTGTCAGCTAAGAAAAGATCGTCTGCGATTCCCAGCGCAGCTCTGTGGTCATCTCGACAGCCCAGCAAACCACACAGAGCCACCAGGCTAGGCTTTGCGGGGAGGCCTGGGGTCCACAGATGGCCCTGCCAGGGACCAGACTCTTGGAGGCTTTGGCATCTCCACAGTGCCCACTGGCACGGGGGCCGCTGGCTTATTTAGAAGGGAGTCTCTGGCCCCATTTTCTACCCCCACTTTTTGTTTGTTCTCTCTTTTGATTCTTTCAATGTCTAGCATCAGCATTTTGTGAGTGGGGTGACATTGTCTTGTCACCATAGATGCATTCACAGAGGCTGCAAGCAGTTTTCCCAGGCATCTTGAAGGCTGCCTCTTCACCCTCGAGCCTCCTGGTGGAGGCCAGGTGGAAGCCTCACTGGCCTCTAGGCTACGGTGCCTTTGTGTGCCCTGTTCATTCCTGCTCTGGACTTCTGCTATGGTTCTCCATGACTGCAGCCTCCCCCTCCTCTTCTCATGGCCAGCTCAGATGCCGCCTCTTCTGAGAGGTCTTTCCAGCTGCTCCCCTGCCGGCTGCTCACTGTTATCTTAGTTCAATTTGGAAAGATCTGGTTTATTGATTGTGATTGTGGTCTCACTACACTGCAAGATGAGGGCCGAGAGGGCATGGACTTTCTTCACCTTGTTACCCTGCTTCCCCAGTGGTTAGCATGATGCTTGGCCCCCAAAGGTGCTCCATTTTTTTTTAATTTTTAAATTTTTTATTAAAATAATTTTTGTTTTTGAGATGAAGTCTCGCTCTGTCGCCCAGGCTGGAGTGCAGTGGCTCGCGATCTCAGCTCACTGCAACCTCTGCCTCCCAGGTTCAAGCGATTCTCCTGCCTCGGCCTCCCGAGTAACTGGGATTACAGGCGCCCACCACCGTGCCTGGCTAATTTTTTGTGTTTTTAGTAGAGATGAGGTTTCACCATGTTGGTCAAACTGGCCTTGAACTCCTGACCTCAAACAATCCACCCGCGTCAGCCTCCCAAAGTGCTGGGGTTACAGGCGGGAGCCACCGTGCCCGGCCAGTGCTCCATTTATTGAATACCTAACAAAGGAATGAAGGAGGGGTTCTCCCATCCCAAAGCCCAGCTCTTAGCCACTCTACAAAGAGCAGCCCTTTGGGGATTTAAAAAATGTGTGAACTTTAGTCACTTCTGGGCTACAGTCCTCAGCTCCCCGGGTGCAGAAATGCTGTGCGCTGCCCTACAGAGCACATTAGGTCGGGGTCTCCACAAGGACACGGAGCCAAGACTAGGACAGGGAGGAGGCCCTGGCAGAGAGTTTCCTGTAGGGGATGTTTTCATGATACAATATCAACACTGTGTCAAGAAATGAGTTGATCTATTTTTACCCCTCATTAGCAGATATAAAATGTATTGTTTATGAAATGCTTGGCTGTCTAGATCAAACTAAATTGCAAAATAATTAAGTTCGATATTAATGAAATAATAAAATATGTTCAGGGTTGGAGGGGGTGGGGAGACAGGGTGAACATTCTGCAATTTTTTTTTTTTTTTTTTTAACGCAAGGGACACCTGGCTTGTCCCTGATAGGACTTGAGTTGGCCTGTAGAAATGCATCCTGTACATCCACAAATGTAAGGGAAATAAGGCAGGAAAATAAGTTCGAGTGAGGACTCACTGCACAACAGGTAGGCCACAGAAAGACTGGGAACTATGCATTTGGCTCTGAGTTTCTTAGAAGCCAAAGCAAAGAGAGAAAGAAAAACAGTTCTGAGGTTCTTAAGAGGTGCAAGGCCTGCAGCTTTGGAGGGAAGAACAACAGAGACGGAAAAATGGGGATAATCTTGATTCGGTTTTAAAAAGAACCTCAAATAACTCCTTAAAAGATCAAAGAATTATCAGGTATGGTCTTAAGGTGCCCATCCTGGTGCTGAAATGTACCTCTGCAGTTACTTAACACTGCCTGGCAGGTGTGCCATGATGCTCTGAAGACCTAGGGGCACCTGGCCTCAAAGTCCACCCAGGCCTCTGTCTGAAGACCCACCATGACTGTACCTCCTTCCTAGGGAGAGTGTATGATTATATCACTGGGTGAATGGAGGATCCAAGAGCAGGTTGTGATTAAGGTGTGATGGTGCAGAAGTCTGGGGCCCTGGGACTGGGTGAGGCTGGAGGGTGAGGGTTTGGGCCGAGACTGAGAACAAGCATGCACTAAATTCACAGGCATGGCACAGTGCCAGTTGGATGCTGTGGATGGCTGGTGGGATGGAGTGCCAATTGTGGCACTACTGCGCCATGTCCGGGATGTGAGCCTCGTCTCTCTGGTACACATTAGGCACCCAAAGTGTGACTGGGCCACAGAGTCCCTGGAATCTCCAGACTGTCCTGACAACAGGCTCAAAGTCTCCTTCTTCCCTGAGAGCACTGCATGTTCATCTTTGTTTTGTAAACAACTATATGACATTTGAAAAAAGTCCCTGAATGAGTGGAGGAATTAATGATTGAACGAGTAAATGCCATGATTATCACGGTCCAAATCCCATCCTTCCTTCACATCCCATTCAGGGTCACTTCCTTTAGGAAGCCCTCCCTGAATTCTTCTGCCCTTTCCTTCTCAGGACTCTCGCAGTGCTGGCTGTGCAATCAACATGTAAATACTTCCCTAGGTGCTAAGAATTGGTATGTCTTTCTCATGTTTTCTCTTGTTCCTCACTCCAACTGGACAACAGAGTCATTTCTTCAACAAACATGCATTCAGCTGTCACCATCTTCCCTGTACTATGTTAGACCCAAAGGATTCAAGAGCAAGCCAGACAGATGTGAAGCTTACAGTCCAGGGCAGGGGCTGGTGAACTGCTGCCCACAGGCTGAATGCAGCCTGACTCTTGATTTTTGTAAATAAAGTTTTATTGGAACACAGCCATGCCCATTTGTTCACGCATTGTGGCTAACTAGCATGGCAGAATTGAGTGAGTTGTCATGACAGAGATCATATGGCCTGTAAAGCCTACAATATTTCTAATCTAGCCCTTTACAGAAAAGTTTGTTGACCCCAGTCTAATGGGGAAGACAAGCTAGAAACAGATCATTACAGCAATGACATATGACTTGAGGGATAAGAACGAGGTGATAGGCAGGCCGGGCGCAGTGGCTTATGCCTGTAATCCCAGCACTTTGGGAGTCCGAGGTGGGCGGATCATAAGGTCAGGAGTTCAAAACCAGCCTGGCCAATATGGTGAAACCTCTTCTCTACTAAAAAATACAAAAATTAACCGGGCATGGTGGCGCATGCCTGTAGTCCCAGCTACTCGGGAGGTTGAGGCAGGAGAATCACTTGAACCTGGGAGGTGGAGGTTGCAGTGAGCTGAGATCAGGCCACTGCACTCGCACTGCAGTGTGGGTGACAGAGCAAGACTCCATCTCAAAAAAAAAAAAAAAGAAAGAAAAGAACGAGGTGATGAGGACAGCAGAGTGGGAACATGTGGGAACATGTGGTCAGGGAAAGCTGCTGTCAGGGAAATGTTATGTGAGCTGAGATATGACTAATGAGAAGGGCCCCATGTGCACATCTGCGGAAGAGCATTCATGGTGGAGGGAACAGCATGTGCAAAGGCCCCCTGGGGTGCCTGGTGACATGGAGAAAAGCTAGGTGTCCGGGAATGTGGTGAACAAGGGGAGTGTAGGACAGATCCAATGTCAGGGAGGTGGCAGGAGTCAGAGCAGGGGTTCCCAAGGGGAGCAGTATTGCCCTCTAACGTTTATTAGGATATTTCAGGGGCAGTAGCTTGGTGAGCAGGTGCCAGGGAGGATGCAAGGTTTCAAGCAGTACAGGTAACAGTCCCACACAACCGGGGACTGTCCTGGGTCCTGCCTGACTTCAGGATGTCTTGGTGGATATTCACATAGGTAAAAGGCCTATTAGTGAAAATCTGAGCCTGGACTTAACTCTCTTATTCATATAAACAGAAAGTGATTTTTTAGCATAGTTTCAATTATATGTGGAATTGTCTAGGAATGCAACTACTATGTAAATTAAGGCAAGATCACACTGTGTTTTGTTTAGAAGGCTCACAAGCAGTGTTGCCCATGTTGGGAAAATCAGGTCACCCATGGTAACATCACTCTTGGTATTTGAATCGCCAAAACAACATACATGTTGTCAGTCTGTATTTGGCATTCTCTATGGTTTTACACCCAAACACAGGTACCTGATTGCTTTCTGGTGCTCACTAGAGAATCATGTCAGAGGATTTACCCATTGAAATGCATGCTGTTTTGTGACAAATTACTTCTTTTTTGTTTGTATATTACATTATTTTGGTTTTTGTTTTAATTTATATTAAAATAATATATTTTAGTATAATATTAAAATATATATCTTGTATTATTTTGTTTTCATATTATAGTTAAGACATTATATTTATTAAGACATCTTGTGTGTAGATAAATTATACAATCTCTGAATTTTGTTTCAGGATATCAAAGGAGCATTACAAAATATTGTCTAACAGAAGTACCAGGGCTGGATCCCAAAGTTTTGTGTAGATCTTGATAAAGAGTTTGGATTTTATTCTAACAAGAGTGAAGAGCATGACAATGTTTGCAGAAGAGTGATGGCTTCTTTCAGGCAACAGTGACAATTACACCTCCTCTTTTTCTCTTTGATCCTCCACCCTCTCCCTCCAGCACCTGGTACAAAGCTGGGTACCCAGCAGACACTCTGTAAATTAAAGTGCTGCCAGCCTGAACAATCTCAGTGGAAGAGCTAAGTGGGTCCATTTCCTTGCTTTACAAATGAAGTCGCTGAGGCTCAGAGGGGTTAAGTTCTTTTCCTGAGCTAGGTAATATCTGGTTAAGTAAGATCTGATAAGTGTGTGTGTGTGTGTGTGTGTGTGTGTGTGTGTGTGTGTGTGTGTGTCTGTGTGCTTGGACAGGGGGTGCTTCCGCCTTTCACTGCCCCAATAGGAGTCAGTCCTGTTCCTTTTCACTTCTCTACTTGATGCTCTACCCACCGGCCTCAGGCCATATGCCCTGGTCCACCCTGCTCACAGAACTTCCCGCCTGGCCCCTGTTACCTGACCGATGCCACAGGCATCACTGGGTCCCAGGAGCCAGCCTCTTTACTTTTGGACCCCAGGCCAGGATCTAAAAATATCTCTGAGTATTTCCAACACCTACAACAGATGCGCCTGCAAATTACCTGGTCCCAGTGGTGGGGAGCAGGGGAGGAAAGGGCATCGTTGTTCTAAAAGCATTACACATTTAATTTGCAAAGTTACATCATGCATTTGTGCACAGGTCAACTTTCTAGGAGTCGATTTCGAAAACAGAGACAGGTTGAGGATCCTGAGGGTGTTCTTTGCAGAGAAGGCAGGGGAGGTTGTGGAGGCCTGTCAGATGCTTTCACACACTCAAGGCCAGTACTCCTCTTCCCTCTCATAGATGAGAAATGATGGACATTCATGGGGTCCTTTCTCTGCGTGTGCCAGGTACCTCTGCAGACACCATTATATTTCTTTCTGAGATCAACCTTGCAGAGTGTGCCTTGGTGTCATCCTCATCTTACAGGTGTGGAAGCTGAGGCCTAATGAGGCCATGTGTCTTCCGTTCCCCTTATACACCATGGGACATGGGGCAGAGCATAAGCTTGAACCCCGGTCTCTAGGTTTTTTTCTACCACACAGTGCAGTGAGAGACATGAAGGGGGTTGATGTGTATGGAATACATATACATGCGCATCCAGCTATACTTTTAAAAAAATTATTATTGGATGGGTCTGGGTTCTCTATTTTATAAGTGACACATACAACTATTGAACCCATGTGAGATTATAGCCAGGAGTGCATAAAAAACTGTCCTCAGAACAAGTTGAATGGGAAGTTGGTAAAAACGAATAAGGTTGAGTTCACTCCACAGCCCCACAGATGCAACTGATTTAATTGACCAAATAGTTTTCTTGAATTACTGTTGTTAATTTAAGAGTTTAAAAAAATTAACTTGAGAGTAGTTTTGTGTGCTAACCGGATGATTTAGAAGGTTATTTGGTTGATAAAATGAATCCTTGATACATTATAGTTATAAAGTTAAAACCCTATTCCTTACTTATGCTTCTAAATTCTGCTTATAAATTATATTCTTCTGTTTCTTTTAGTGATGTTGTTTTAATTGTGGACAATATGTATAATGTAATATTTACCATTTTAATAATATTCAACTGCATAATCCAGTGTCATTGAGTATATTCACACTGTTGTTCACAGATATACTTAAAAAAAAACAAATAAAAATTCTCTTCTGAGAATCCTAGCAAAGAATAATTGAATCAAAGGCTTTGAGGGGAAAGAATACCACCCACATCCAGTTCCCAGGGTCCAGAGACTGCTTGAATGCACATCAGCTTGTCCAGGAAGATGTGCATTTCTAGTAGATTTCATCAGTCCCTGAGACTTCTTGCTAACCAATGAGACATCCTCTCAAATTCAGGCCTCCTCTTCCTCCCTCTATTTTTTCCCCAACCAGATTTACATTTTCAAAAACCCTTCAGATAATCACAGACCAAAGAAACTTCCACTCCTCTGAGGTTTAATTAGGAGAATCTGTCTTTCTGGTACTTCCGAGAGCCTTGCTCTAAATTTCTCAGAGGAAAGCGAAGGTTCACAGTGGATGAGTGGGAGTGAGCAGAACCTGTGAACAGCCTCCCACTGTGGCCCCCTCTCTCTCCTGCAACAGGGAGAAAGCCGTGTTGTAGGTCATGGAAATCACACTGTGCGTGTGCCCTGCATCATTACGACCCAGAGAATGGGGACGATCGGAACGCAGGATAGCACATTAGCGATAGATAATAGAGTCTAAATAAACATAATCAGCTTTCCTCTCTGTCTCCAGACCAAAGCTTATCTATAAATACCCTAATGACGCCCAACCAGCCAATTACTCCTTTCTTGGAAGAGTCCCTTATTAATGGCGTTGCAGTGAGGGAAAAACATTAATTATTGGACACAGTGGGATCTTTTACGTTCTGTCTGGTCCGGACGGCACCAATTAATGCAACAATTATCAACGACCAAGGCAGCATTCTGAGTGCAACCACCCTGGGTTGGCTGGCTAGGGTGGGAAGAATGTGTCCTTGGGGGAATATCACCCACACCCTTTTAAGGAGCCTGCTTCCTCGTCACTGTGGATGTTGCTGGAACGAAGCAGAGGGTGGCCACAGTGTGTTGGTTTTTCTTTTTAACCTTAAGAAAGTGCTTCCGGGGTTCTAAGTTGGGGGAAGGGAAAGGAGGTCAGGCACTGGTCTGTTGCAAGGAGTTGCTAAGTGAAGCCAGGCAGAAGATTTAAAAAGATGCTGCCTCCAGAGCAGGGAACACCTGACTTGGCCCCTGCCCACTCCTCCAGCCCCCACCCCCTCACTCATCACATTCCAGCCCCACCACTTCTCTCCCAGCTTCTCCAATTCAGCTGTGCTCTGTCTGCCCTAGGACATTGGCACAAGCTCTTCCTCATGCCTGAAAGGTCTTCCCCTGCCCTTTGCAAGAGCATCTTTCTGAACTCACTCTTAAGGTTATCTTTGTAGGAAGGTCTTTTTTGAGCCTGAACCCAAAATATTCCTCTTCCCTAATTTTCATCACTTCTTGTTTCTATTTTTTTGCGCATCTATCACAAATCATATTTAACAGATATGTCTTCTTATTTTTTCAATGTCTGTCTCCCCCATAGGAATGCCAGCTCCATGAGCAGGGGCTTTGTCTTTTCTCCACCATCTATCTGAATGTCTTGCACTTAATAGGTGCCTCATAAATATTTGTGAGTAAATGAATAGATCCGCCCATTGTGTAGAAACAAATTATACTTGAGAGTCCCCATGCCAGCTGTCACACAGACTAAACCGGCTATGCTCTTGCAGAAATTGCACAGAAAAAGAAAAAAAAAAAGCCCAAACTGTTCTATTAATAGCATAACATTATGCTAACTCCTGCAAACTCTATGTCGACTCTTTTGCATTTTAAAAGCGATGAACATGTGGCTGGGCGCGGTGGCTCATGCCTGCAATCCCAGCACTTTGGGAGGCTGAGGAGGGTGGATCGCCTGAGGTCAGGAGTTCGAGACCAGCCTGGCCAACATAGTGAAACCCTGTCTCTACTAAAAATACAAAACAAATTAGCCAGCCGTGGTGGTGGGCACCTGTAATCCCAGCTACTCGGGTGGCTGAGGCAGGAGAATCGCTTGAACCTGGGAGGCAGAGGTTGCAGTGAGCTGAGATCATGCCATTGCACTCCAGCCTGGGCAACAAGAGTGAAACTCCATCTCAAAAAATAAATAAATAAATAAAAATAAAGTGAGGAACATACTTGAGGGGCCTTTGCCAAGCTATCCTATAAAATATTGGCCTCTATTATTATTTACATCATAGATTTATATCATAATACTTTATTTGAACTTGCTAAAAATGAATCTGCTCTGCCCAAGGTATAAAACAGTTGCAGGAATGCTTTTATTTTTCCCTTCTTGCTGACAACAAGAGGATTTCTTCTGGGAGTCATTAATTACACAGTACTTTGGAAAATTGGTTCAGTGAAGGCTCAGAGAATTCCCCTGAGCATTGGTCAGGGTTCTGAGAAGTGGGTTTGCCCGTGTGGCCCTCCTGGAGAAATATCTCTGGGCTATTTCCATTAGACGCTACGCTTTTGAGTGTTAAACAGCTCAGATGTGTTGTTGAGAGTCACAGCCAAGTCCGGGAAGCTTATTCAACCTTGCTGAGCCACAGCAATCCCCAGCCACTAACAAGAGCCCAGCCTTGTTTATTCTTGACCACGGCAATATTTTCCCAAGTTTTTCTAACCAAAGTGGAACTACAGCAGCTTGAAGGCGGCCACGGGATCCCTCAGCCTTGGGCTGCTGAACAGATGTGGCCATGGCAAGTGTTACTTTCCCAGGCCTCCTAAATAACTATCCCCAGGGAATATGCCAACTGAAACATACTTAGAAATGACAGGGACTCTCAGGGTATATCTGTCAGGGTTGCTTTGCTTTCATCTGGAAGTGGCAACGACCTCAACTTGCAATAATCTCACTCCCTTGGCATGCCTCCAACACATTTGGTCTCGACCATGCATTTGGTCCAAAGTGTGGGCTGCTCAGCTTCCAAAGGCAGACAGGGTCTGTGGCATCCCCACACCCTGCCTGGTGCTAGCTTGGTGATGCTGGCTTGGCAGAGTCCAGTAGATGTTTGTTTCATCGCCACATTGTTTTGACCTTATAAGTCTATCCATTGGCCCCCAGACATGCCTGTGGAGCAGCGGAACTACCAACTATCCATCACTGTATCTCCAGTGCCTGGCAGAGAACCCATGCCCAGAAAAGTTTTTCCAACTTCAGAATGAGTGAATGCATTGGCCTTTGAATGGAATTGCTGCAGGGACATTTCAAAGGTGGCAGTACCCGCTGCAGAATGACCTTCCCTTTTCTTCCCCAGAGAAGGAGCATTTTGGGGTTACTGTGGGCTTCTGGGTGCAGAGAATGAAAATAAGAACGAGGCATCAAGTGAGATGGTTGGAAACAAGGAGGCCGACAGATCTCGGTTCGAATCCTGGTTCTGCCACCTACTGGCAGGAGGACATGGGGCATGTTAATCTTTTTTTTTTTTTTTTTTTTTTTTTTGAGATGGAGTCTTGCTCTGTCGCCCAGGCTGGAGTGCAGTGGTGCAATCTCGGCTCACTGCAACCTCCGCCTCCTGGGTTCAAGCAATTCTCCTGCCTCAGCCTCCTGAGTAGCTGGGACTACAGGCATGTGCCACTACGCCCAGCTAATTTTTTGTATTTTTAGTAGAGACAGGGTTTCACCATGTTGGCCAGGCTGGTATTGAACTCCTGATCTCAAGCAATCTGCCCGACTTGGCCTCCCAAAGTGCTGAGATTACAGGCGTGAGCCACCACGTCCCGCCTGTGTTAATCTTTTTGTGTCGTAGTTCCCTTGTATGTAAGATAGAAATAAAAGTCTGAGCCTGATAATGATGTTGGGGGGTTCTATTGGGTAATGCTGGTAGAGTGTTTAGCATAGTGTCTGAGATAAAGTCAACCTCCAATAAATATTAACTTCTGTGATATATTTTCTTTTTTTTCTTTTTTTCTTTTTTTGAGTCTGGCTCTGTTGCCCAGGCTGGAGTGCAGTGGCATGATCTTGGCTCACTGCAACCTCCATCCCCCAGGTTCAAGTGATTCTCCTGCCTCAGCCTCCCAAGTAGCTGGGACTACAGGCATGCACCACTGTGCCCTGCTAATTGTTGTATTTTTAGTAGAGACAAGGTTTCACCGTGTTGGCCAACTGCTGTGATTTCTACTGCTGGAAATGAAGACTTTCAGAACATGGGAGTGAGGCCTCCAGGACAGTCATTCAGCCAGTCCTTTGACAAATTTATACTGAATACCCAGTATACTTACTGTGAGCTAAGCATTGTCCCAGGCCCTGAGGATACAAGAGTGACACAGATTGGTTCTGCCCTAGAGAATTTCTTGTGGATTAACCAACTGTATCATTTCATTCTTGCATTGCTATAAAGAAATACCTGAGACTGGGTAATTTATAAAGAAAAGAGGTTTAATTGGTTCACTGTTCTGCTGGCTGTACACGAAGCATGATGCTGGCATCTTCTTGGCTTCTGGGGAGGCCTCAGAAAACTTACAATCATGATGGAAGGCAAAGGGCGAGGCAGCACTTTTAAACAAACAGATCTCGAAAGAACTTACTCACTATTGCGAGGACAGCACCAAGGAAGATGGTGCTAAACCATTCGTGAGAAACCACCCCCATGATCCAATCACCTCCCACCAGGCCCCGCCTCCAACATTGGCGATTACAATTCTACATGAGATTTAGGCGGGGACACAGATCCGAAGCGCATCACCAACTATGGTTTCCGGCTGGCTGGAATCTCATGAATTCTGGAGATCCTGGCCTGATGTGAACACGGTGTTTGATGAATGAAGGTAACACAACGGTTGTGGAGTTTGGGCTGCTTGGGAAGGTGCCAGAGAAGGGGTTTGGTTCTTATTTCATAAGTAGCTGTAGTGCCTAGGATTGCACTGGAGAATAATTTACCATTTTTACATCAACCAGTGCCTTTGGCCATGTAGAAATGCCCATGTCAGAAGTATCAGAATGGGAAATCATGGGCTGTAATAAAGATGTTCTGCTGTTAGGAGTTTAAATCAGGACTCGTATTTGAAACTACTGCTTATTTTCTCTGCGGCATCTCAATATATTTGACATTTCTTTATCAACTGATATTGAAGGTCTCTCCTTATAATCAGCTGCTCAAGAGGATGACTGTTTCTTTGGGATCCCCTGTAACCACCCAGGTGAATGTTGTGTGTGCCATGTAGTCTGTATCTTAAGTTTGGGCATTCTGAATATATTTTCTAATTTAAAGAAAATCAATGCAGGCATGTCACATCACGTGGGAACAAATGGGCGGAAAGGTACATTACGAAGATTGACTGTGGAGGGCTTCTGCTTGGTGCTACCTATTTTTCTTTGTTTCTAATTCATCCTTTCCCCATTAACTCCTTTCCTCTCTTCTCCCACTTCCACTCTCCCTCAAATGCACAGTGATCTTTGATTTTCTGGATAGTGAAAGAATAGGGCATTCATTTAATAATAATAAAATTCTTTACTAAAGTTTTACCGTAAGATTTCCATTATTGTTCAAGACAAAAGAGTTTTGTTTTGAGTTGAGAAATAATTTACTTCCAAAACAACAGTACAAGTTCCACATAGACGTTCAACCCTCTACTGGGCCGTCAGCGATTTCTTCCTGCAAGTGGAAATACAGATGGAAAGTGACATTCTCGTTTTCTGGGAGTTTCACTGATACATTTCGGTGAAGAAGGAAAACTCCTAAGAACTTGCCTTCCTCTTGTTAGTTTCGTTTTCCACCTGACTGTACTTCCATCACGTTCCATGGCTTGCTGTCTCATGACATTCTGTGGTGCGTTCAGTATCTTCCTCAATGTGAGTGGTGATATAATTGGGGTCCCTCCCTTAATATGTGTAGCTTACCTGATTTTTCCAGCCATGTACCTTATTTAATTGGAAACCAGGAACCTTTGCGTGATCTAATGGCATCTTATGACTTTCATTCATTTCTGCCTGTTTGCTTAGTTGCCCATTTCTAAACTTGTTCTAAACCTTGATGAGGAAAGTAAATGCTGAGCGGGCAGGTACCAACAGAGTGTATTTAAGTGAGAAATGACATACTGAATGAAAACAAATGAAAGAATGAAATCAGCAATTAATGAAGTCCACAAAAATATAAAGTCTGGTACTGAAGACCATCTCTCCCGAGCGCCAACAACGCTTTTCTTTGAAACTGGAAAAGACTCCTGGGGTCTGTGTGGCATCGGGCAGAAGGGACAGGGAGACCCTGGTGCAGTGAGTGGCTCAGGAAACAGGCACAGAAACAGAGTTCTGGCCAGCCACATGATCTGGGGCCAGTTATCCAGGTTTATGGGGCTTCTTTTCCCTTAATTATATGAAAGGAGCCAAAATTAGTTCCACTCTTTTAGGGCTGTGCTGGGCTTAAATGAGATAATTCACGGGATGTGCTTAGCACAGTGCCAGGCTCATAGGGAGCACTCAATAAAGAAAGGATAAATGCCTTTCTAATAACTAGACCCATTTAAAGATGGCACGGGCTTCCTTGGGGATGGGATGGTGAGTTCCCTGCCACAGGAAGTGCTTAAGAGGAGATAATGGGGTTTTCAGAGTTTCACGTGCAGGAGCAGATGAATCACCTGAGGAGAGCATCAGTAGATTCTGATTTAAATAGGTTCTGGGTGGGGCCTGAGAGTCTACATCTCTAACAAACTCAGGTGATGCTGTTGCTGCCAATTGGCCGTATGTGAGTAGCAAGGAACTAGATGATTCCTTAAAGGATGTTGAAGAAGATCTGTGATCATCCATCAGATGGAGTGATGTGTTAGGCTTCTGTTGTCCCATGCGGTGGCCTCTCACCACAGGTGACACTGAGCATTTGAAAGGAAGCTAATTGAATCCAAAAGGAGAAATTCTGTGAGTGTGAAATACACATTTAATATAACAAAAAGAATGTAAAATAATCCAATAATTTTTATAGTGATGACATGCTGAAATGATAATATTTTGGATATATTAAATTGCTGTTTTTCTTTTTTTGCTGTGGCTTCTACAGAATTTAAAATGATGTATGTGGTTCACATTCTATTTCTGTTGGACAGTGATGAACTGGGTCATCTCCCAGGTCCCTTCTGAATGTGAGCACCCCGTGAACACTCTAAGATGACATACAAGCTTGTCCACGTGTGCATCTCCTGCGGAATGTTTGTAGCTTATTTCCTCCCACAGCTAAAGGCAGCCAGCAGAGAGACAGAGGGAGAGAGGCGCTAGGCTTTCCTTAGCTTCCTTTCTGCCTGGGGCGGGGGTGAAGAGTGAGGAGGGAGCTTGTGCGTTTGTCTTTGCTTCTTTCTCCCCATTTTTCTCTCTCAAAATTAATGGGAGACAAAATGCCTTGTCACTCTAGGGATATTCAATTTTTACCTTGAAACTGCCTTTCTGGACAGAGGCAAACCTTGTCTTCAGCACAGAGCTCCTTGCTAAGGGAACTGGAATTTTTACATCACCGTCTAAAATAAAGATGGCTGCCCGGGGGAGGCGTTCGTTTCCTTTGAGAGTTACGTGGTTAGGAACCTGGCGGGCGGAGGCCCTGGCAATGCCCATGGATGCAATGCCGTCACCTAGAAAGTTGTCTGGTGGACCAGGCTGTAATGTGCCTGAAGGGCTGGGGAGCAGAACTGTAGCCCTGCAAACCATGGGGCAACCAGAGCCGTGGGACAGGCAGCTGCTAGTTCAGGTCCCACCGCTGCAGACTTAGCATCATCTCATATGGCTTTGCGTGAGACCCTGCAGAGTGAGCCGTTAAGAGCCTGAATCCAGTCCTTATTCCTTTCTAGCTGGATGACTTCAGATAAGTGATACAAACTCTTTGTGCCTTGATTTTCTTATCTGTAAAATAGTGATGACAGTTATACCCACCTCATGGAGTTGTGAGAATTAATGAGTTAATATGGTAAAGGGTGGAGAATAGCTCCCAGCACAAGGTAAGGATAGACACGTACTGCCTGTTATTCTGAGATAATAAGAGCTCCCTGAATGGCAGCGTCTTTTTTTGGCTGGCAAATTACTCAGAAAACCCCCCTAAATTGCACACTTGTTTGAGTAAGAGTCAGGTCCCGTGTGGCAATGATGTAACATACCTATTTTTGGCAGACTTGGCAATTCAGGGAGTGACCCATTTTCCTGTGCTTCGTGGAGGTCATTGCAATGGGTTTCATCAACCAGCAGGCTTGGAAATGAGCCATAGGGTTAGAAGGAGCTTTTTCTACCACTCTAGACTGCTTTCACGGCGGTGCAGCTTATGTCAGGATTGGGGAGAGGGTGAAAGGATGCTGCCATGATGACACCACGTTCAGAATGATGGCCATGGAGACGGGTGGAGCAGTGGAACACATGTTCTTCACCCGACTCCCGCGGGGGACATTGGCTGCATCACAGGAAGTAGAAGTGTTTTTGTTTGTTTGCTTAGTTTTTGTCGTGGTAAATGCAACCTTGAGTTTCTAGGTGTCCACAGGACCTTTGGAAGATTCATGACAGCAACAAGGTGTTGTGAAGCTCCTGCTCTGGTGAGGCCCCAGCTCCCATCAGAGGATCAGAAGGTTCCCAAGTACCCCAGGACAAGAAGTGAGCTGTGTGGTTAGGGACCCTTGTCTGCAAGAACTTCTTAAAGAGTCTGATCTTGTATTTTGAGAAGACATCGTCATAGGATTTCTGTACCACCCATCTAGTTGGAGTAGGGGACTCTGTCTGAAGGAGACTCCATTAAGTACAGAGAATCTTAGGGGGTTCAAATTATTTTTGGAATGAGGCCAAGTATGAGTAATAATGTACAGACAACGAACTAATTAACTAGCTGTCCCAGTGTAAATTGTATTGTCAGTGTTGGTAGCTTTTGAATCAATCAAGGGTCAATCAAGTAAGGTCAATGCTAAAAGCACAGGTTTGGGACCAGATGTTCCTTGATTATAATCTTGCTTCATTGTTCTCGGCGGTGTGTTCTTGATCAAGTCACTTAACCACTCTGAGCCCTTGTGTGCATGTCTGTGCAGTAAAGGATAATGCCAACCTGGCAGGGCTGTCAGAGAGGGTAGATAGGAGGCAGCCTAGGCTTCCTGAACTGCCCAGTGGAGACCCAGTCTCTGCTGGTCCCACCTGGCCCTCAGATCCCTGGTTCTTCGTTCTCATCCTTCTGGTTTCAGCTGAATTGTCAGCTCTTCTGATAGACCCTCCCTGACCACCCACATAATGTGCCGTGGCTTCTCTTCCCACCTCCAATTACTTTCCCATCTCTTTCTGTAGTTTGGTTCCTTCCCAAAATGTGACACCATCTGTGATTCTCTCGCTAGTTTTTGTTGGTTGTTCTTTCTTGTTTGTTGACTACTGACTGTCTTGGGTCATGAGACAGAGGTTACTGAAGGCAGAGGCTCCATGGGTATTATCCAGGGATCTCGAGTACCTTGAACAGTGCATGGCTTACAGCAGGTGTTTGAATGAATATCTATCTGTGTAACTAGAGCAAGCTCCTGACCCTGGTGAGTTCTCAGCTTTTCCTTCTCTTTAAGGAAAAGCCCCTGTAAAGGGTTGTGGTAAGGATTCACTGAGATACAGTGTGGATTCACTGAGTACAGGAAGTGAGTGACCCAGAGTGGGTATAGAATCAATAGTGTTCATATCGTGAGATGGCATATGGAATAGTGGGTGTCTCCCAAGTAATAAATATTTTGATTCTTTTTTTTCTCTGCTCTTTCCTTCTGTGTATGGAGTTTATATTCCTTTTTTGCAAATACAAGTTACATGGAATGCAAAGTTTGGAGTAGCAGATGTAACTCTGAAAAATGAGAGCAGGAAAAACAAGAGTTTTCAATTTCTCAATTTACAAAACCAGCGATTTCATTTATAATGTCAGTGGAAGTGGCCAGTGGGTGAGTTCACACATTAATGTGCAAACTGGCCGAATGAGTCAGTCTAGATGAGAAAGTTAGTATCTTTGGACTTGGTTGGCATCTTTCCTCAGAAAAGGGGCGCAATTCCTCTCCTCTGTGAGGTTACATATGGACATTTCTTTGTGAAGTAATCTCTTCTAAAAAGAATGGATGTTTCCTCATCGATGAAAGCTATGGGACATAGTGGGTTTCTCTTTTTACTGAAGTGGCAGGAAACTCAAAATTAATGTCAAAATTTAATAATAATGTTATTATTATTAAATAATAATAATAGGCTGCAGTCGCAGTTGCTCTTAGTAGCTCTCCTATTTATCTCTGTTTTGAAAAGAAGCAGGATATAAGTGAATAAGGGCATTTTGGAAATGTGATTTGCTTACAAAAATCCTGTGTCTAAGTTGTCTGGATAGACCACCAATACTGAAACTTCTGAAGTTTCTCTGTGGCACTTGCCAGGAACATCTCTGTGACCCTGGGCATGCCCTCCCTTGGTCTGGTCTGCAATTTCTCAGCTATTAAAAGAGGTGTTTAGACCGAGGTGGGTTGTTCGGGGCACTTGAGGATTTTTCAATGCTTTCACTCTTTCAGATGAGCATGAAGCCTTCTGTTCTCATTCAGCTCCATCTCAAGCACTGAAGCAGGGATTCCCCCCACCCCACGCCAACCCCAGACTTTTATTTTAAACAACATTGTCCTTGTCCAAAATAAACCTGATGGGGAATCTAAGTGCATGAAACAAAACATTGCAAACAACTGTGGTTAAAGTGAGGGGTGAGGTTGTGGGCCTAGAATCCTCACCTCTTCTTCTCCTCCTTTCCAGAGCCCCCAAGGCACCTCTGAGGCATCCCTAGAATTTCAGAGAGCAGTTTGAAACCAAAGCATTGTAGAACTGCTCAACATCTGCAGAATTAAATTTACTTTCTAAAATTTACCTGTCCTAAACCAAACCTGGATTGTAAACTTCTCAAGAGCAAGCAGTACTGGTACCTGTTGAAGACACAAGTGTCTGTCCAGTGAATGAAAAGGCTAAACAGTTTATTTTATTTCAGGGATTGGGCTTCTCCAGCCCCTGAGCACACCTCCCTATAATCCTTCATCATCTTATAAGGTGACAGTCCACAACTGCTTGGGGACTACAGAGCTTGTGTTTTCATTGCCTTTGTTCCAGGATGATTTGTGACTTCTCAGGTGGAACTGCTGGTGATAAAACTAACATTTCAAAATTTTGCAACTGCGAATTTAATTTCTTTTGAACATTAGGGGATGTTTAAAAAGTAGCATGAGTATTAAATTTGTACTTTATGGGAGTTGGGAGGAGGAACAGGGAAAGCAGGAGCAGAGAATTTCCCAAAACCATATGAAAGAAGGATGGAAAACACTGTTGAGTTTTTGCTAGGAAAACTACTTTTTCCCCCCAATTGAAATATTGTTTTAAAGCATTGGCAGGCTTACAGAAGTGAAATGAAAAACAAATCCCACAAAAATCCTGGAGTACCATAAAAATAATGAATAAAGTAGTGCAAAAGGCTTTGATTTCAGTAATATTTTTCAATAAACTTGGTGCATTCCAAACAGATTGTGTTTGTCTTGAAGGAGGCCCTCTGCATTGTGGCTTAAGAGTTTATAACAACTTTTTGGTGGCCTTGGTTGTAATATGATATTAGAAAATACTCTTGTAGTAAACAAAGGCATGGGCTTTGAAAGTGGGCTGACCTAGGTTCAAATCCCTTCTTCCTCTACATTCCCTGGGTTTCTTTAAGTAAGTGGTCATCCTCTCTGGGCAGTTTCTCTTTATCTGTAAAAATAAAAAGAGTAATGCCAACATCAATGGGCTGTGGTGAAGTTCACGTGAGCAAATTTAAGTGGAAGCTGCTGGTAGAGTGTGTAAGCATCAGAGCTGAGTTTGGTAAAAATAGTGATTCTGTATTTGTGTCCAGGGTTCTTTGTAAGATGTCTCTAAGATTACACAAGGTACAATATTCCAGCACCATGGAAAACTATGGCTGTTTTCCCTTGTTTTCCTTTTTGTTTTCCTGGCTTTTTTCCAATTATAAAATGAATATATATTTACTGGAGAATGCTTGAAAGCTGAAGATGTATATTAAGAAAGAAAGTAGAAGTTATCCACAATTTCAGGATTGGTGTGCTTTTCTATGTATATAAATATACAATTTTTCTTTAGCCAATTTATTTTTCCTTCCAAGAAAACAGTTTTATTCATTGGGATTTTCAAATGTATTAGGATGTGGTTGTGTGTAGTATTCTCTTATAATTTCTTAAAATATTATTTTTATTAGTATAAGAGAAATACATGTTCATTGTTAAACATGTAGAAAAAGTGAAGGCCCAAAAAGAAGAAATGAAAATATCATTGGTATAATTACACAAAGATAGTCACTGCTGACATTTAGTTTCATATCCTTACCATTTTTTTCTTAATTAATATATACATAAATTAAAAAGCTTAAACTGGGATCTTGTTGAGTGATCAATATTGTAGACTACTTTCTTTTGCCAAATATTATATTGAGAATACTTTCCTATATAATTTTTCTTTTATGCCATAATTTTTAATGGTTGACATTATTTCATTGTTACATACCACAGTTTATCTTATTAATTACCTTTTAATAGGTAGATTTCAATATTTTATTGTCACAGACAATTTTTCAATGAACATTCTAATAGTGAAATCTGTGCTACATCAATGATGAATTCTTGGCTGGGTGCAGTGGCTCATCCCTGTAATACCAGCACTTGGGAGGCTGAGGCAGGTGGATTGCTTGAGGTCAGGAGCTCGAGACCAGCCTGGCCAACATGGAGAAACCCCGTCTGTACGAAAAATATAAAAATTAGCCAGGCATGGTGGTATGTGCCCGTAGTCCCAGCTACTCGGGAGGCTGAGGCACGAGAATTGCTTGAACCTGGGAGGCAGAGGTTGCAGTGAGCTATTATGCCACTGCACTCAAGCCTGGGTGACAGAGTGAGATTCTGCTTCAATCAGTCAATCAATCAATTAATAATGGATTCTTTAAAATAAATTCCTGGAAGTAAAATTTTGAATGAACTTACACATATATTTTTAAGTACTTTGCCAACTTGCCCTCTAGTAAGATATACCAATTTATGCTTCCACTAATACAGAAAAGTACTTGTGTCCTTCTACCCTACAGTTATTATACTGATAATGTTATCAATAAAGGAAAACTTTGTTAATTTGACAAAAAATGTTATCTTACTGTAATTTCTATTTTTACTAGTAGTGTATTTCTTCTATTTTGAAGTGTCTGTCCATATAAATCAAATGCTTTCTTTTTCATACTGGCTTGTTATGGTAAAACAAACATACAGAAAGTGAATAAAGTGTACTAATTAAGACTACAGATCAGTTAGTTTTGACAATTGTATATATCTGTATAAACAACACCCAGGTTAAGATATAAAATATTTCTAACACTCCAGAATAGAATAGAATAAAACTTCCATTGGTCTGTGTGTCTCTCCTTATGCTACTACCACATGCAAAAAACATAATATGTAATATAAATTTATATATTATATAAATACAATTATAAATTATATATTTATATATTATATAATTATACATTATATATTTACATATTATATAAATATAAATCACATATGTATATATTATACAAATATTATAAATGATATATCTATATAAAATATAATTATAAGTTATATAATATTTATATAAAATATAAATATATTTGTTAGAATGAATCTAATAAAAAGTGTGTAAAATCTGTACTATGAGAACTGCAACACATATTGGAAGAAATTAAAGAAGACATAAATAAATGGACGGATATATATATACTATGTTCATGGATTGGAAGACCATATTGTAAACATGTCAATTCTCCCAAAATTCATTCATAGATTAAATGCCATCCCAAACAAATTCTAGCAAGTCTTTTTCTGTGGGGTCAACAAGCTGATTCTAAAACTTATATGGAAATTCACAGGCCAAGGAGAATTAAGGCAATCTTGAAGAGGAAACCTAGAAGTGAATGACTTACATTATCAGAAATCTAGACTTATAAAACTAAAGTAATTTAGACAAAGGAGCATTAAGGGTAAAAGACTTGAACAGACACTTCAAAAGGAGGATATTCAAATGGCCAATAGACATGTAAAATCATTCTAAGCTTCATTAGTCATCAGGGAAATACAAATTAAAACCACATGTGATATAACTACACAGTTTCCAGAATGACTAAAATTCAGGATAGACGTAACAAGTATTGGAGGAAAGTATTGGAGCAACTGGAACCTTCATATATTGCTGATGGGAATATAAGTTGGTTTAATAACTTTAGAAAAATTGCTTGGCAGTATCTATTAAATTTAAACATATGTCTACCTACCCATGATGTGGCAATTTCAACTTTAGTGATATACCCTCCAGAAATGCATATATATGTTCACCAAAGACATATATATATAATAATGGCCATCATAGTACCACTTGAAGCTAATGTGGATTAGCTGGAATGTCCACCAGTAGAATGGATAATTGTAGTTTAGTCATACAATGGAATACCGTATGGCAATGAGAACGAACAAATCACAACTACGTGCAAAAACACAATGTTCAAAAAAAGAAGTCAGACACAAGACTATACACAATATGAGTCCACCTATACGAAGCTCAAAAATAGGCTAAACTATTCTACTGTAGGGGCATGAGAGGTGTTCCAGGCTGATGGTCATGTTCTGTTTCTTAACTGGGTGCTAATTATATGGGTGTTTTCAAAAATTCATTGAGCTGTACACTTATTATTTGTGTACTTTTTATTTTGTATATTGTTTCTCACTTTTTTCCAAGAAGAAAAAAATAACCTCAATGGTCAGTGCTATATTTCCTTTTACTTTATATTTTTGAGAATCTTGAGGCCAGACACACTGTCTTTCTTGGGTAGAATTGTAGGATTTTCTCTTACCTAAAATTAAAATATAACTACCAGAATATTACTACATATTGGCTATTTTAATTAATACTGCCTGATCTTCATGAGACCCTTTGGATCTAAAGACATTTTTTAGTTTTAGGAAGTTTTCTTCTATTACTTGTTAGATTGTTGTATTTTCCATCTTTTTCCTATCTCCATTGACATTCCTAATAGATAATAATTGAGTCTATTAAATCATTAAAAATTATTTTAAAATATTTATCTCCTTGCTCTGGGAAAATTTCTTGACCTTATTTTGTATTTCATTGATTTAAAATTTTACAAGTATTCAAGCTGCTATTGTTTGCTTTCAATTCAGTAATTGTACTTCTCATCATTTTATAAAATTTCCAGATCTCAGATGTTCTTTTTAAATTATTGCCTGCTCTTGATATGGTGTTGATACAAATTAGACAATTCCTAAAAGCTTCTCCTGCTTCTTGTAGTATCAGTTTTTCAAGAAAGCATATTCTCTGATTCATCAGAGTAGTCCTCTCTTTTCACACATCAGAAGTTTTTCTCCTCTAGCTTCTTTTCTCCATCTGCCCATCCTTGCTGATATGCTCAGAAATGGAAGCTAAGATGGGTTTATCTATACTGAGTGCATTCTATTTGTCATTTGTGTTTCTAGATGCTAAAGATAGTGTAGTGGACTCTCTAGAAACCATCCCTGTTGCCATGATTCTTACTCTCTAACAGGAAAGATTGACATTGAACAAGTGATTTCAGATATGGTGAATTCTGTGAAGGAAAAGAGGAGGATCTTACAGCAAAGGGTTTTCATCTAGTCTAGATGGATGGCACATGGAGTGTTCTGGAAACACTCCCCAAGGAGGTGATGCTTTAAGCTGAAATCCAAAAATGAATGGCAAGTGGCAGGGAGGGGGCAGTGCATGAAATAAAAAAAAAAAACAACTCCCATATACAAAAGAACTCAATAGCTGGTGTGATTTCCTGAGCTACAATAGGGTGTTTGACCCTTCCTACATTTTAATGTAAATGTGTGTGTCACACATATGCACCTCTAAGGCAGGCAATTCATGAGCTAGGATGCTCTCCTGACAATGAAAATATTAGCTATCTGAGAGTGTGAGTACACTTTGAAATCCTCTCCCATTATCATTTGTCAAAAACCTCTGAGGGTGGTCAATAGTATATTGTATAACAGTGGCCAGAACTCCAGCTCCTCTCCAACCAGACAGGGGACCTGGGACGCTGATATCTTGACAGGTATCTTCCTCCAGGATTGTCCAATTTTCTGTGAGGGGACAGACGCCTTCCCTGGGAACTATGCTTGTGGGAGGAGATTCCAATGTGTGCAGAATGTGCAAAATGCAGAGGGAGCAGCTGGGAGGTGGGCTTGTGATTGAGTTAGTCACATAGCTGGACCACATAATGGGTTAAGTAGACTGCTGTGGGCTGGCCTGAGACCCTCAAAACCATGCAAAGTACATTTCTTTTAGAAAATAGATTCTATGGTTCAGACAAACCTTGGGAAGACAATACACTTGGGACCTGGACACTTGCTGTGAAATAGGGATGGTTTTCGTACTGAAAATCATGTTTTCAAATATTATGTGAAAGACCATACACAAAAATATTGTATGAGGATGCTGGGATTGTGGATGGTTTTCTTTTTTTCCAGACAGCTGGTTCTAAATTATGTTTAGACTTCAAATATAAGAAAAATTAGCTTTAGCACTGAGGCATTATTGCCTTTTCTGTTTCTTTTAGCCCCTTTTAGGCCAGAGAAGCTTTTCCAGTTTCTTGAGCTAGATCGTTCTGTTTCTGTGGGGAATTGCCAGCATTCTCAGGGGGAAGGACTCACATGTGCTCAAGCAATAGGATGAAGACATATTCTAGAGTTCCAGTAGAGGGAATAGCTGAACTGACCTTTTCTCCATTATTGCAACCCATTGAGAGCTGATGGAATTTTAGAAGGGTGGCAATGTGGGTCTTAATCTTTGCAAATGCCAGTTATGAAAAATGTTAACTCTCTGTAGTCATAGGCAGGAAACTCACTGTCCAAGTCATAGACCCAGACTTTAGTAACTACTGGGCCAGTGTCATCCCGAAGAATACATTTTGGTCCCATGGTTCAGTCAATACTGAAGGATAGCCCATCAGTGTTGTTAGGGTTAGCAGAAAAAGAAACTCTTTCCACTTCGACTCCTTAGGGAAACATTGCTGAAAAAAAAAATCAGCAAATGGAAAAGGGGAAAATTAAAAATCACCATACGTGATGCCTACATCCTAAATCTATCTATTGGTTCATTTTGCAACTCATATGCTTTGGAGAGCTCTCAGGAAGTTAATTGCCCAAATATAGACAGGACATGGGGACATTACTGAGATACAGGTATGACTGAGGTGGGGCTTGGTTTCCACATGCTTTATGATACTTGGCCAAAATTAGTAGCCATGTTAGATGGTGGGCTTGTTGAACCTGTACTGCTTATCTACCTGGAACCAAAATCACACTCTAAGGATACTCTGTCCCTGTTGTCAGCTCTCCCAGGCTCACCTCTAAACAGACGTAAGATGACTCCGCTTTCAGGAATGTGCTTTAGTCAGGGCCCCCCAGGTATCACAGGAGGATATTGGTGGGTCTTCTTTCTGCTCATCTGATAGTTAAAGCCCCTATCTGTGGACCCAACTGGCAATCTGGAAGAGTGGGTACCTGGCAGGGAATAAAAGCTCAAGCTGATGGCTACTCATTGTCAAAAATTATGCTAAGGGACATCATACCTAGAGCAAACTATCTGATGGGTGTGCAATTTATCACTGGGACCCTAAAACAATGCTGTCAAATGGAACATTCTGGTGAAAGTTTTGTACTCTCTGCACTGTTCAATATAGTAGCCACTAGCCACACATGGCTATTACACACTCAAAATGTGGCCAGTGTGACTGAGAGATGCATTTTTAGTTTAATTTCATTTAAATTAAATAACAACAGTGGGTGGTGGCTACTGCATTGGAGAGCACAGCTCTAAAACCTACTTCTAAATAAGGGCAGATCCACACATATCCTTGAGCAGCATCACTACAAAAACCACCTAGATTTCATTACCAGAGTTGGTTGAGGATGGTGTTCTTCATATCACACCTAGAACTTTCTATGAGGATTCATGGGGGATATTATTTCTGGTTTTGAGATCAGGAAGAACTGAGCCTTACTTAGGGTGATTTTTACTTCAAGGACGCTGCAATTCACCATATCATCATATTACTCTGTCCACATCAGTTGTTGGAAGATGAAGATCCAAATCTGTCACCCACTCTTACAAGTAACTACAGGGGGCTCCGTAGCATTCATCTTATGTTTTGCTTCATTCCTGGCTCAATCTTACTTCCTCTTTAAGTGGAGGGGCACAAAAGGTTGTCTAAAAATCACTCTGGGTATTCATCTCAGATAGTCTGGCAGAGACTGGGCGTCCCCCAAATTTCCCACCTCCAGTGGGAGGGGTTTTACCGACTTAACTGATCACAGCCTCTCCTCCATTAGAAGAGGCTACAATCCCCCACCGGCCCCCACAGCTTCCAAGTGCTGGGTGGTGGCATTTTCCAGCAATTGCTACAAACAGTTAAAGTCTGAGCTCAGCCATATACATAGTCTGTGTCTTCCCAAGCTCTGTAGGACCGTGCCCATGCTTCCATGGGAAGAAGGCAGACCAGAAGGGTCCCTTCCCTGGAACACAGACCCACTGTGTGCTCAGCAGCCTTGCCCAGGCCCTGACACTCCTCTAGATGGAATAATAAGGGCAGAGGAGACTAAGCCCCTCTATTTGTAAATCCCCCCACCCCCAGTACCTTTCTTTACTCCATATGGCATGACGTTGAGGTATTTGCTTTTCTTCCTGTTTTATAGCTCACCTAATTTTCTTATTTAATCAGATTATTTTCCATTGTAGTGTGTCCAATTTTGCAAGCTTCATTAAAACTCTTTAGGAAGGAAAGCAACAAGGTACCATTTGGATTAATCAAAATAAGTAAAGCATGGGAGAATGGGCTCCCCTTCTCCTGCCCACTAAGGCCTCACTTCCCGGAGGATAGCCGGAGAGGAACAAGGGGGCTCTCTCTGTTCATTGAAGCTCAGGTGACAAGACTTCATGGTCTACCAATCAGCCCAAATGCCCGCCAACCTTCAGACTCTCTGTGGTTGGACAATCTTGCTTCAATCAGAAGTAAGGAACTAATAGCATAATATTCAGGATGCTGAGTTTGTTTTTGTCTGCCCATGGAAAGAGGGCAAGAGGGAAGGCCTCTCCTCTAGCCTTCTAACTACCCCCAACCATATTCCCATCAGAAGCCTGGCATGTAGGAGAGGTTCCATTAATGCTGTCTGTTATGATTAGTACTTGTTATGCTTTGTCCATTTCAATGTCTCTCATTGGAAAGGCCATTCCAGGACTTGGAAACTTTCTTTTCTACCCAAATCTCCAAGGCCAGGATGTGGCATTGACATCATGTAGGACCACACTGTGATCTTTAGAATCAGATTAAAAACATAAGATTTTCCATCTTTCCCCACCTTCCCTAAGAGTCCCTGCCTCTCCATCAAAGAAGAAACTGTTTAGATAGAAAAATCAGGCCAAGATTACCCCAGAGAGAAAATATGTTTTGAGTCTAGTGAAGGCCTTTGCGGAGTGACATTAATTACACTCGTTTAGGTTTGACATTATTAATGAAACTTCTCAGCTGTTTATACTGTAGCCTCTTATTAAAACAATGTGATTAAAACAAATAATTAAAGAATATTACTACCACCTTAAATATGTACATCATGTTAAGCTTGCAAAAGGCTTCTATCCACAATCTCACTTGATATACACACTGATTCTATGAAGTTAATATTGCACGACTTATTCTTTTTTCCTTTATATTTTTATTGTGATAAAGTACATGTAGCATAAAATTTACAATTTTTAGCATTTTTAAGTGTGCAATTCAGTAGCATTAAGTACATTCACAGTGTCGTGAGACTACCCCTATTCATTTCCAGAACCTTTTCATCATCTCAAATAGTATTCATTAAATAATAACTCCACATCCCCCTTCCCCTCAGACCTTGATAACCTTGAATATACTTTCTGTCTCTATGAATTTAACTATTCTAGGTCCCTCATATAAATGGATCATACAATCATTGTCCTTCTGTGGTTGGCTTCTTTCACTTCTTAGCAGAATGACTTCAAGGTTCATCCATGTTGTAGCATGTGTCAGAATCTCATTCCTTTTCAAGGCTTAATAAAATTCCACTGTATGGATATACCACATTTTGCTTCTCCATTCATCTGTTGGTGCATATTTGTTTTCTTTCTCCTTCTTAGCTCTTATGAATAGTGCTGCTATGAACATTGCCAAGCCTTATTCTCATTTGACAAGTGTGATGAAAGGATCCACCTTGTCATATGGAGGTAGAGCAGTGGTTCTCAATCCTGACTGCTAATTAGAATGGCTTGGGGAGTTAAACAAACAAATGACAAAACATATCTTGGCACCACTCTGGACCAACAGAATGTCAGAATCTCCAGAGGTGCAGCCTGGATGGGTCAGTTTTTAAAAATCTCCCAGGGGATTCTTCTGAGTGGAGGGCCATGAAGCCCACAGCAACAGTGCTCCCCAGCTGGACCACTCAGGACCATTTGTGGGCTGTCTCCTTTGTATCTCCCTTTTCTTCACTAAAGCTGCCCCCACAATCAGTGGAGTAACGTGAATCCTCCTTAGAGCATTTTAATCCGTAATGTAGAGCAGAAAAAATAAAGCAAATATTTTAAAATCAAAATTCAAGCTTAAAAAAGGATGTTCTCAATACCATTAAGCCAAGTGCTGGTTTGTTGGCTAAATATATGGATCCATTTGCTTCTTGAATTTTAATCATCTCGTTTTAATAACACACCACAATACAAACAATTGTGCGGGTTAATTCAGCTCCATTTAAGAAGTCTTGTTTTGTACGCCAAAGCTTGTTGTTCTGTCTAGTTAAATGCTCATGCATTAAAATGCTAATAATTAAACTGTTACAACTGACTAATGAACTCTGCCAGCAATAAATGATGGTCTTGTTAGATTCACTGCACAGCCAGCCTCCCTTTGTACTGAGAAAGTTAAAGGTTAAAGCGCTCTTGAAACCAGTGAGTGGATCTAGAAGCAATTACAATTTTTCCTTGAAACTAATAGTACTACAATAATGTTTCAATTCCAACCCAGTAAGAGTTAAAAGAATAAAAGGGGAGAGGGAGGATGACTCTGAGCTCTATTCATGGAGAAGGATGTGGAGCTTTCTTTAGCCCACAAGGCAGATGGTGTAGTTATTCAGACTAAAGCCTACTTAGTTACAAACATCCTTCCTGGAACCTAGTCTCCCAAGATTGCAGACTGAAATGGTGATTTTTCAGGACACAGCAGCAGGTGACCCAAGCTTCATGGAACTATTTAGAGAACAATGGTTAAGCAATGCAGGGAGTTTCTCCCCAACACTATGTGTGATTTTTGGGAAAGTGAAGTGGCTTAATCGCTTTGGATCTCAATTTTCTTGTTTTAAAAAGCTGGATGGATAATAATAAGAGCTCTTTATGGAAAGCATTTGCTTGGTCCTGTTGAACAGCCAGTTCCCATTCTTTCAGTAATAGCCTCCGATTTTCCGTACAGAAGCGCTGCTCCTTGGCTCTCCATCACAGGGTTTGGTGGGAGCTGATTCCTGCCCCCGGGCTCCAGGGGTAAGCATGTGACCTGGATCTGGCCATTCAGAGCATCCTATCTCTCTGAACACTAATGGGCCTTATGAGAACCTGTCAGAGCCAATCCTGGGGATCAAGCCAGAGTAATGTAGAAAGAAGCACCCCCTGCACTTGATCCTAGAAGGTGTAATCCTGGAGCGGTCGGGACTACTACATGAAGAAGGCCTTCTTGTCACAGACAAGACAGAGCTGACGTGGAGAGGCAGAATCCCAAGGGGCTGGATACAGCCTTACCCCCATACCTTTCAGCAACATGAGCCCAAATTTCCCTTTTATCCCACCCATAAGGCAGTTTGAGTTGAGTTTCTGTTGCTGGCCTCCAAGAGTATCTCAGAGGGTGGCTGTGGGCATTAAGTGAGTTAGTGCATGTATTCTTCTATAGAAGGGTAATCAGTAGACACTCAACAAATGGTAACAGCTATAATTAAAGAGAAATCAGGAAATTGACCACCAGGCCAGGGTTATTATACTCTCTTCTGATGTGCCCTTACACAGACCCTTTAAATGTGAGCTTGACTTTGTTCAGGTGTGGTAAAGATGCAAAACTGACCAAATTCAGCAGTGAAGATAAAACCACGTGGCTGGGTTGCTGGTGGAAAACCCTATGGGCACTCAGGGCCTTCCCTTCCTGAGAACTTCATGCCCTTTTCCAATTATCCATGTTTTTCTAGAGGAAGCAATGCAAGAGTCTGCTGAGAAAAATTAAACAAGATCATGAACTCGAAGGATGTGCGATATGTCTTAGCCATTCTAATTATGGACTTAAACTTAACAGCAGCCACATTTAATCAAACAACCAGATTCCAAGCATTTGGTTGGAGGCTGCATTAGGAAGAGTCACATGGAGGGAGCAGCTTAGGACTGCAAATCAGAATACTATCCAGGTGACCTTAAGTAGGTCACTGCCCCTCTCTGAGTCTCCTCATCTCTAAGATGGGGATAAAAATCCCGGGTCCTTGTACCAGGAATGTTGGGGAAATAAGTAGAACTATGGGAAAGAATAATAATTAACCACTTACATGGAAGGCTCTCCAGTTTCCCTACAGTTTTGTTTTTTTTTTGACGGAGTCTCGCTCTGTTGCCCTGGCTGAAGTGCAGTGGTGCGATCTCAGCTCACTGCAAGCTCTGCCTCCCAGGTTCATGCCATTCTCCTGAGTCAGCCTCCCGAGTAGCTTGGACTATAGGCACCCACCACCATGCCCAGCTAATTTTTTGTATTTTTAGTAGAGATGGGGTTTCACTGTGTTAGCCAGGATGGTCTCGATCTCCTGACCTCGTGATCTGTCCACCTCGGCCTCCCAAAGTGCTGGGATTACAGGCGTGAGCCACCATGCCCGGCCCCTTCCCTAGAGTTTTTACATCTACCTTTGGGTTTAGCAAAGGGTAATGTGAATCAAATATATAAACATAAAGGGGGTTTTATACTTCTTTAAATTATTTTCTGCTCATTTCATGTATTTCTTGTCTCCCTGATGAGTTCTTTTGGTAAATATTTACTGGGCATCTACTATGTGTGTGACTGGTAGATGGTAGAGATACAACCAGGAAAAACAGGTGTGGTCTCAGCTTTTACGGTGTTTATAGTCTAGTGGGGTGCCTACCAATAAAACCACCACATTCAATATACAGTTACAAATGTGATGAGTGCTGCGATGAAAAAAATAGAATGTGAGAGAATAAGAGAGAAGATCTGTCTTTGACAATTGTGGCGGGGAGGGAAGCTAGAGCTCTCTGAGGATATAAGATTTGTCCTGAGATGTGCAGAATGAATAAGAACTGGGGCCATGAGTGAGCAAGAAGAGAGGTCCAGGCAGAGGGAGGAGCAGGTACAAGGTTCTGCGGCAAAAAGAGGACCCAGGCTCTGGGAGCTCCCGAGGACAGAGCTGGGGTATTCTGCTTCCCTCTACACTGTATCTTGCTCCCTCCATCCCCACGACATCAAGGGCTTCTGGTCCAGTGTAGGGCACAGAGCTGGCTTTTCAGGGAGAATAACATGGTGGCCCTGGGGGCTGTTCCTCTGCAGTCCCATTTTCTTCCCTCTAAGGACAAGGTTGGGCTGCCTTTTTCTCCTAGATGAAATTGGACATGAAC
This sequence comes from Homo sapiens, assembly GCF_000001405.40. Classification (NCBI taxonomy): domain Eukaryota; kingdom Metazoa; phylum Chordata; class Mammalia; order Primates; family Hominidae; genus Homo; species Homo sapiens. The sequence continues at coordinate 117,778,456 of NC_000010.11, forward strand.
AAGTGACTTGCTTTGGCCGGTGGGATGTGGCCCAAAGTGAGGAGGGTCACTTTCTGGCAGAAGCTTGAAGATCTGGTGCTCAATTCGCCATGTTTCTCTCCCCTGCCACAAACTGGATATGTTCCACAGTGGAGGCTCTGTTGCCTTGAGTCCCCAAAGGAGAAGAATGCAGAACAGACCCCCCAACCCAGACTGACATGGAATATGAGCTCAAAATGAAGGTTCATTGTGCTCAGCCACTGAGGTTTTGTTGTGTTTTGTTTGACAGCACTGTACAAATTATAATATCCTATACAAGTTATTGTATGATAATGATGATGAGCGAGGGAGAGGGGAAGTGTAACAGGGAGGAAGTGCCCAGCATGAAGGTGTGTTGTTGAGTTTGCTGCTGTAGGTCTTGGGGGCTCAGCTGCCTGAAACTTGGGGAAGCCTGCAGACTGCCTTCCAGAATATTCTGGCTAAAGGACAGGACACCAGAGCATTTACCCACAGGCTCCATCCTTCATTGCTCAAAGGTTGCCCCAGCAGGGCTCATTCTCCCCCAACCTCACACTGAACTTGTAGGTGGGCTCCATGGGATTCCCTGATTTTGGAGAAGGTTCTAAAGCAGAGCCCGAGGTGGAGATACTCATCAGGCCCTTAACATAGAAACCTGCCAGCATGCAGAACACTACCCATTGCTTTTGGTGGTATCAAAGATGAAGTCAGAGACAGCTTGAGGGATGTGACACAGGACAGAGTCAGTATCTGCCACAGTTTGGCTTGCTGTGTTATCACTCCTTCTACTATTTGTGTTTTGAGAAGAGCCTGGGGGATAAGGTCACACAGCACTGAGGACGCAGACCATGAAAGTCGGAGAAAGGTACTGCTTCAGGAATTAAAGGTAGGTTTGCTCTGATGTCACCTCATCTAAGAAGCCCTCTCGGCTTCCCTCTACTGAAATATTTTTGCCTTCCTCTGAACTTCCCTCTGAACTCTCTTTTTGTCCCCAAGTAGAGCTATCTGCTCTGCCTGTGACTTCCCATGAATTTTCCTTACTAGATTGTCATATAGTTGAAGGCAGGACTCATTCCAGGCTCATATTCATGGACCTACTATGCCTAGCACAGTACTGGAACATGGAAAATACCCAACAGTTTTATTTTTTTGAGTGAAAGGACAAATGCATTTGAACTGGCACCAGTGAACCTATCCAGTTTTCTTTTTTTTCTTTTTTTTTTTTTTTGGTGATCATTGACCGCTAGCAATAAAAACAGTAAATATGTACACAGTTCTTACTGGCTTGTGTTAGAAAGCACTTTCACAATTATCAATTCCATTCCACTGACGACAAAATGGAGGCCAAGGAGGTAAAATAACTATCCCAAGGTCACAGACCTGGGAATGACAGAATGAGGATTTGAACCAGGCAGTGCTGACCCCATTTTGAGTGTTTGTACTTCTCTGTCAGGGATCCAGTAGAAAACAAGACACTCAATTGATTTTAAGGCCCTCACCAGCTCTGTTCAAGCCTGGAGAACTCCCATCCTGGCTGGCACCACCGGGTTAACATCATAGTCTCAAGTTTGCGTTGTGATCCCACCATGGTCCATCATATCCAGGCAATCACTGGGAGGAAGCGGGAACCACAAGCTCCTGTCTCTCTACTCTGGGAGTCATGACTACCAGCTGGTAGCCCATGGCCTCCTGAGGAACCTGGGTTCCTGCTCATGATGCCTTCCTGGGGGAGAAATAGGAAGAGAGGATGACATGAGAGCAAGGCTTACACAACTTGAAACTATGTAGAGGGACAGTTTGTATCTGCTAACGGTTCCTTCTCACTACCCATCTTAGCTCAGTCCTCACTTCCTTGAGGCAGGCTTCCCTCCCCACACTAGATCAGGCCAAAGTCCTTTGTTAAAGTCTTCACTGAGTTTTTCTCCTTTGCGGCACTTGACACAATTGCAATTTTACATAGTTTTTCATGACTTTAATAGTCTCCTTCACAAAGCTGAAAACTCCACAAGGGCAGGAACCATGTCTGTTATCCATCCATCCATCCCTCCATCCATCTATCCATCCATCCATGCATCCATCTACTCATCCATCTGCCCTCTTATCCATCCATCCCTCTATTTAATTGTTCATTCATCCCCATTCCTCCACCCATCTACCCATCCATCCAACCATCTCTCTGCTCATCCATCCATCCATCCACAGAGTTTTTTCCATCTAGTTGGAGTGATTATGTCCTCTCATATATCCATCCACCCATCCCTCCATCCATCTATCCACCCATCCATGCATCCATCTATTCATTCATCCATCCTCTCATCCATCCATCCATCCATCGCAAATATTTTTAAGTGCCAACCATGTGAGGCACTGATAAGGCTAATAGGGAAATTGCAGTGAATAAAACAAAATCTCTACATGTATGGAGCTTACATTTTGATAGAATGAGAGAAACAATAAATGAGAAATCAAATAAATGTAGACTGTCAGGGACAATAAATGCTATAAAGAAAAATAAAAATAAAACAAAGTTGGGGAGAGTGATAGGCAATGGGGCCCCTTTGCCAGGACCTCTAAGAAGTCTAGATTGTTTCCCAGAAATTTCTCCCAAAGGACAGGAAGTCCTGGCAGTTACTGGTCACCAGCTGGCAGCTCACTCTCTCTGGAGATCCTTGGGCTCCTGCTTTTGTCCCCTTCTTGGGAAAGAAAAAAGTGAAGAGAAATAAGGAGTGGAATTCTCAGTATGCAGTCAACTGCCTGGCATGCAGTGGGAACTCAATGAACATTAGATGGAAGACTGCACAGGTGAAGGGATGGATGGATGAAAAAGTATCATTGGGAGATTTCTGGGTGGGCTGGAGGCTGAGGACAGCCCTGCCTCCATCTAGAAGCGGTGGGCATGGGGAGTATGAGTGTCTCGCCCTGACATCAGCCTGCTGTCTATAAGGGATGCTCCGGGAAAGATGAGGCAGGTTCAGGTGGCACCTAGAGGACTCCCTGAGTCTCCTGAAACCCCCTCACACTCAACCCCATTTCTTCACTGGCATGGAAGGCAACTAAGCCTGACCCCAGGGCTGACGTCCTGGACCGAAGTCTTGAAGCAAGAGGTCCAGTCCCAGGATGTGGTTCAAACCTGGGAGACTACAGAAATTCCTCTTCCTGGATCCACCCGAGTGCAGCAAAAGCCCAACTGGAATCCACAGAAGTTAATAAGAAAGCCACACTGTGTACTTAATGAAGTTTTTAAGTCAATTACGAAAGACTCATTGATCATTTGTTAAGGTCTTGAAACCTTTACAGATTAATTTTATTAAAACAAAAACTCTCACAGTCTGTTAACTCCATAAATGTATTTTAAATTTATTTTTGAAGGCAACAGTAAGCAGTGTGTGCACGTGTGCGTGCATGCAATTCAACATCACCACTCTGAAACAAGCTGCTCTGCATTTGAACAGCGCCCACCTGCCCATTCCCAGAAACGCTGTCTGTTTCTGTGAATGTCAGTGTCAGTCCTCCTGTCCTGGGAGCAGCAGTGCCTGCACAGTTGCCCAGTGTATCTGATCCTCCTGGGCAGCAGAGTGGTGCCTCTGGATATGCCACCTGGCTCAGTGGCAGCTGTTTTGGTAGGGCAGAATTTATGGCTGCTGACCGCAACAAGCAGTGACAATGGGATAGGGACCATGTGAATGCCACCATCCTAAACCCCTGGATGGATGGATGAGAGGACAGAAGGTGAAGAGACCCAGGAATCAGAGTTTTAAGGCCTTGCTAAGGAGGGACAGCAAGGTAGTCCTCAAATGGCAGGCTACCTGGAGAATCTGACAGTGGTCTATGGATAGGGAAGGGCTGTTTTCTTTTATGCCAGTGACACAGGGAGAGATCCACAGGAGGGAGGCTCTGCAAGACCCATGAGGTAAACTGCTTAGCCATTTCTACACTGGCCAAGTCCATTCTTGACTTTGGTTTTAGGCCAACTGTTTGGGGAACGATGCAGAAACCCTGAAAAGAGGCCCGAGGGAGGTGACGATCACGTGGAAGTGTTGCAAAGCAGGGTTAAAGGAGCTAAAAGTATTTTGCACTTTGTGGGGGAGGGGAAGGGAGAGAGAGGGCTGGGATGTGGAGAGAGGGAAAAAGACTTAATAATAAGTAACCATGTTTACATCTGCAGAGGGTTTTCATAAGTATGTGGCTTGTAAGAGTCATTTCCACCGATAAGAGTGGTGGACTTTTTATTCATTCATTTTGATGAAGCAGGAGGAAATTCAGTTAGACCTGAGGAAGGCTGTCTTGAAGGAAAGATTATTTATCATGACAACAATCCTCTGATTAAGATTGCAGAATCTGTCCTATCCTGAAAATCCTCATGACTCCATCCTTTGAACAATAACTGATGCCTTCACTGAGGACCGAGACACAGTTTGAACTGACAATTAATAAAAACAAAAACCCCCTCTCTTCTTGTCTCCTATCTTACTTTTCTGCATAATCACGTTTCTCATAAATATAGCTACAGTAAAATTTTACTTTTAAATAAACTTTGATCTGACTATATGCTTATTCAGGTGATTTGGAAAATATAAAAAAGTATAAAGTGGAAGGAAAGAATTGAGACAAAAATCACTGTTAAAGTTACCTCCTAGTTTTTTTTTTTTGGACACAAATATATAAATTTTTTTCTATACATTTCTATAAAGGTTTGTACCTTGATTATTATTATTTTGAGACAGAGTGTCACTCTGTCATCCTGGCTGGAATACAGCAGCGCGATCTCAGCTTACTGCAAACTCTGTCAGCTTCCCGGGTTCAAGCGATTCTTCTGCCTCAGCCTCCTGAGTAGCTGGCATTACAGGCATATGCCACCATGCCCAGCTGTACCTTGATTTTTTTCTTTTTTTTTTTTTTGTGAGATGGAGTTTTGCTCTCGTCGCCCAGGCTGGAGTGCAGTGGCACAATCTCAGCTCACTGCAACCTCCACCCACCGGGTTCAAGCGATTCTCCTGCCTCAGCCTCCCCAGTAGCTGGGATTACAGGCGCCTACCACCACGCCCGGCTAATTTTTGTATTTCTTTTAGTAGAGACGGGGTTTCACTAGTTGGCCAGGCTGGTCTCGAACTCCTGACTCAGGTGATCTGCCTGCCTCGGCCTCCTAAAGTGCTGGGATTACAGGCGTGAGCCACCGCGCCCCGCCAATTGTTTTTTAACGTAAGCCGCTGCAAAGTCATTTTTCCATGTCATTACAAAAATCTTCTAAACTTTTTCCACATCAAAACAAGCTTTTCTTTTTGTCTTCACAAATGAAATACTGTACAAAGTAACACAAGATTGAAATATTTCAGAACTACATATTAGGAAAAGGTAAAGGTCCCATCCTTCTCATAAATCCACCCCCAGAGAGAATTGATGTGGACAGTTTTGGGCACACACCATTACCTAAAGCATTTTTGATGACTGTGTAATATCTGTTTGCGTGGCTGTACCACACTTTATTTTTGGCCCTCATCATCTTCGCTTATTCACTGTTTATTTGTTCACTTATTAAGTCACTGTTGAGCAGCTCCCTGTGCCCTGTTCTAGGTAATGATATGAAAACAGACTACAAGGGACTAAAACGCACAGCACGTCAGAGGGTGGTGTGTGTCCTGGAGAAAACTTGGCAGGGAAGGGCACGGACAGTGGCGGTGGGGCTGGGTGGAGGGGCTGCCCTGTGAACGCTTGTGCCCGAGCAGAGCTCTAAGCCTTGACCTCAGCTGAGGACCCCGGCTGACCCCCTCGCAGCCCTGTGACGGCCTTGCGAGCCTTTCTTTCTGGGACAGCGGTTATGGACTTCTCGTGCCTGACCTCAACCCCTCTCCTTCCCATTTCAGTTGTCAGAGTTGAGTCTGGAGAATTTTTGCCTCATGCTTTTTCTTTCACATGCAAACTTCCTGGGTATTAAAACTAAGGTTGGCCCTTTATTTTGCCCATTTTCTCACCTGCTCAGCTTGATCACAATCAACAACCCCAGCGGACTGGCTGAAACCAGAAATCCCCACAAGCTGAGCTGAGTCACTCACTCAGGACCCTGATTCTGCCTCCTCACAAGATGGCGCCTTGGACTGAGCCCCAGGAAATGCGCCATTTTGGCCTTGTCTAGCCACCAAAGACCCCAAAGGGCATATTGCCTTCCCCAGGCCTGCAAGAGGAGAATGCGTTTCTGCCAGTACCACATCTGGGCCTCACCTAGCCTCTGACAGGAGACACCTGCAGCCCCTCACCCAGGTTACCCGAGGCGGGTCCCAGCTGCCCGGCTCAGGCCTTCCCCACACTCAAGGACAGCCGGCGGCTCAGAAGGCCACCTGTTTGGGCAACAGAGAATTACTTGATGCTGCACTTAAAATCACCAGAGAATAAGCACAATGGAGCATTAAAAACTTTGACAATTTGATACTTTGCAGAATACCTCCCCCGCAAAAAATCAGTTTTTAGAGCATTAAGTGAGACAAGGCAAAGATGCATAAAGAAAAAGCTGACTGTCTTCATCACCTCCACCCTCCCCTTGAGCACCCAGGCCTGGGCTGGCGTGAGGCTCCCACACAGCTGTGACAGATGTGTGTGGACTTAGGAATTTTGTTTTCATGAAGATGGAATCTTGCTTTCTAAGTTTCTCTCAACCCATCTTGCTTTGTGTACCTGATGGCTCTATAAGTCAGCGAATCTGAATCTACTTCAATCATTTTCTGTGATATTTACACATACCCACATATATATCATTTGCACATTTCAGATCTTATTCCACATGATATTTTTGTGCATAGCTTTGCTTCAAACTTGCTTCCTCTCACTAGTTTCCCTACCACCCACCTCCATGAATTCAGGTTCACAGCCTGTTTCATGTCCTTCTCTCCTCTATGCTGGGCTCATATAGTCATATACAGACACACAAATAAAAACACACATTCAACATATAGACATATTTTATTTTTGAGACAGGATCTCACGCTGTTGCCCAAGCTGGAGCCTAGTGGTGCAATCAGGGCTCACTGCAGCCTCCACCTCCCTCAGCTCAGGTGATCCTCCCACCTCAGCCTCCCAAGTAGCTGGGACCATAGCCATGCACCACCACACCTAGCTAAGACATATTTTATATGCATCACTGCACCTCGCTTTTCTCACCCACCAATATGTCACAGAAATCCCCCCAAATCAAATAATGGGCCAGGCGCAGTGGCTCATGCCTGTAATCCTAGCACTTTGGGAGGTTGAGGTGGGCAGATCATTTGAGGTCAGGAGTTCGAGACCAGTCTGACCAACATGGTGAAACCCCATCTTTACTAAAAATACAAAAAAGTAGCCGGGTGTGGTGGCACACACCTGTAATCTTAGCTACTCGGGAGGCTGCTTGAACCCAGGGGTTGGAGGTTGTGGTGAGCTGAGATCATGCCACTGCACTCTAGTCTGGGCAACAGAGTGAGAGTTTGTCTCAAAAAAAAAAAATCAAATAATGGAGCTCTCGTTTTCTCATAGTGGGAATTAATTCTAATTTATTTGAACATTCTCCCGTTAATGGCATTCATCTTATTTTCTTTTTGGCCCTGACAACAGTGCTATACTAAACACCCTTCTGTGTGTGTATTCCTAGATCCATACCTTTAGGTCATTGTGCTTCTATTTTTATGGACTAAATTCCCAGAAGTGAAGATTCTGAGACTTTGGGAAAATTTAAAGCTTAAAAAATTTAAAGAAAAAAAGAAGGAGAATAAATGGTGCATGTGATGTAAGCCCTAAGCTCGGAGCTTGGGAGGTTGGGACATCGTCCATGGTTCAATTTTTCCCATCCTCATTCCTAAATGGTTCTAAGTGTTCCTTCTGCCTCCTATAGTTAAGAGTCAGAACAGTCTAACTGCTCTGACCTTCAACTGCTCAAATTCTCCCCGGAGCTGGTATAGGAAAAACAAATTCCGCAGCAAGAGGCAGGGTCCCTTACTTGGAAAGTCACCCAGCTTCTCTTCACATTTTTGTCTCCCCATCTTTAAAGCAATCTAGAAAGTGGGCTGCAGAGGGTTGCTGTGGGATCTTCATGAAACTTTTAGGAGATGAGGTTTTGGAGGCTGTGAGGTGTTATATCCAGGTGAGGGCTGGACACTGCACCAGTTTGAACCTGCTCTCTTGGAGGCCTTGGTGGAAGCTCAGCTCCAACAAGGTCCTCTATTTCCTATCCATATGTACTGCTGTGGCCTTGCCAGGATATTTAGCTTCACTTAAAGTGATGCTTGAAACATAGGTTTTCTCTTTTCCTTGAAGGAAATAATTACTGCAATTGAGCAAAACAGCCACCTTTCATTTTAACATCAACAAATGATTGAGTCATGATGGGTGAGAAGAAGAAAACCACAAATGCTTAGGGCAAATCTTTGTTTAAAAAACTGCATGTTCTCACTCATAAGTGGGAGTTTAACAATGAGAACACATGGACACAGGGAGGGGAACATCACACACAGGGGCCTGTCAGGGGAGTGCGGGGCTATGGGAGGGATAGAATTAGGAGAAATACCTAATTTAGGTGATAGGTTGATGGGTGCAGCAAACCACCATGGCACGTGTATACCTATGTAACAAATCTGCAAGTTCTGCACATGTACCCCAGAACTTCAAGTATCATTAAAAAAAGAAAAAAAAGTAATTAGATAGAACCATACCATTAAAAAAAAAAAGGCTGATAGAATCTCAACCTATTCATTTAGCAATGTTGTTCATTACCCATGTAGCTGGACCAGTCTGAGCCTAGGGGTAGGGCGGTTTGAGGTCAGGCCAGTGTTCAAATACTAGCCCTACATAAACAATGGTCTTGGTCCACTATTTAGGTAATACAGCAAATATTTCTTTCTCATGATTCCGGAAGCCAGGAAGTCCAAGATCAAGGTGCTGGCAGATTCAGTGTCTGAAGAGGACCTACTTTCCGGTTCCTAGATGGTACCTTCTTACCATGTCCTCACATGGAGGAAAAATCGAGAGTGTTCTCTGGGGTATCTAATGTAAGGGCTCTAAGCGCATTCATGAGGATTGTGCCTTTATTAACCTAATCACCTCCCAGAGTCCTCACCTCTAAATACCATCCCCTTGGGGGTTAGGATTTCAACGTATCGGCCACCATGGTGGCTCACGCCTGTAATCCCAGCACTTTGGGAGGCCAAGGTGGGCAGATCACCTGATGTTGGGAGTTCTAGACTAGCCTGTCCAACGTGGTGAAACCCCATCTCTACTAAAAATACAAAAATTAGCTCAGGAGTGGTGGTGGGCACCTGTAATCCCAGCTACTCGGGAGGCTGAAGCAGGAGAATCTCTTGAACCTGGGAGGCAGAGGTTGCAGTGAGCAGAGATCGCACCACTGCTCTCCAGCCTGGGTGACAAGAGCAAAACCCTCTATCAAAAAAAAAGGCGGGGGGGAGATTTCAACATATGAACTTTAAACATTCAGACCATAACAAGAATGAAAGCTAGTCCAAGCATCATGTGCTGAAATCTGGCATAACCCTTCTTCCCCTGTCCTGGTACATACACAGCGATTGGTGCCATTGGTTTTTAACCATGCTTGCCAGAACCTGGGGAGAGGGAGACACAGATACAGGATGAGGTACATTTGCTTTAGATCCAGTTGAGAAATGCTTAGTTTCACTGAGAGGAAAAGTGGTTCCATGCAGTCAATTCCATGGAAAAGGTCCCTGTACATTTATAGAAATCTGAGAGATGTCACAGGACATCATGGAAAGAACAGGGGTAAGTGAGAGGGCTGGGCTCTGATCATGGCTCTGCCACTAAATACTTTGAAGACCTTTGTGTGGCATCTTACTTCTCTGGGCCTCAGTTTACCTGCTTGGACTAAAACCATTATACTAGATGCCTTCTAAAGCCACTCTCAACTATGGAACTCTAGGGGAATTTTTTAAATATAAAAACATTTTTAACATAACAAAAGAAATCACGCTTTTTAAACAGAGAAATCAGAAAATACAGGCAGGCCAAAAAAAGAAAATTGAAAAAAATATTAAATCTGAAATCATATTTCTAAGCAGTAAACATTATTAACAAACTTATGTACAGCCTCTTGGGCCTTTTAAAATAGGCATACATACCTCTTAGTATCTCTTACATATAAAATATGTACTTCTAGTAAATAAGGGATCATACTTTGTTTGGCATATGCATGCCTCACATTTTATTAATGCTGCACATTTAAGATGTTTTGTATTTTTCACTCATATATATAACACTGTGATAAACATCTTGGTAATTACCTCTTCACTTGCATCTTAAAATTGTATCCTTAATTCTAATGATTAGAAAAGTAGAAATGGGTAGTGTATGCTAAGAGCAGAGAGCGGGCAGAGGCCAGGCTGGGTCAAACATGTTTTTTGAGTGTGTGGGGAGAAGGGGGTGTCTGAGTCAAAACACTAACCGTGATTTTGTAGAAGGGCATCTCTGCTTCAGGCTGGCTGTGCCTGTGAGCAGGGAGGGGCAGGTAGCAGATGAGATGCTCACAGCAATGTCCCCTGAAGACCCCACCAAGTGCTGAAGAACTCATGAGCTATGTCCCAATTTCAAGTGCTGCAGAACCTGCAGATGCTTTCAGAGATTTGTACTGGGTAGCGGTGGTGTCGAGGTGGGAGGTGAGTAATCTTGTGTTGCCTGGAAATCAAGAGAAGGTTCTTTGATAACAATCGCTACTCAGTCATTCCCTGAAGAAAGAACTAAGGGGTTCTCCTTCATTGACTCTTGGAATGTCATTTCATTGCCCTCCTCATTAGCAAAGGAGAAGAATAAAAATCTCAGTCTCATAAACAAGTGCTTGCAAGATTACTGAGATAATACACAAAGACCATTTGAGTGCCTCTATGAATTAAAAAAATATGGGATGAGAATGGGGCCAGTGAGCCCTGGTAGCTCAGCAGATGTTGGTAGAGCTAGTTCCTAAGTGTGGCTTATGTCTCAGAGACAGCCTGTCTGTGCCCATTTCATAGATGGGTGCCCTCGGGACATAGGGTCCAAGGGATGGGTCCATCACTACGCAAGAGAACTACAGCAGAGCTGGAAACTCATCCTTTGTCCATGGGTGACGCTTTACTGTTGAAAGGTTGGAATGAGGTAACGTCTCAGAATGTCCTTTGTAAACTATAAAATATTATATGTCTATGTGAGAGATTACTATGACTTATAAAGCTAAGTTATAGCAAATTTTAAATGAAAATCTCAAACGGCCAAGCTGCAGAATGCTAACTTTTCATACTCATTTTTCCTAACGGGACAATCATAGGAATTGAGAAGACGGATTGAATTCTGCTGTGGGATCTAAGTCCTTCTATGATGTTAACCCATTTAGTCCTCCTCAAAAGTGTGAGGTAGGTGCTACAATTAACCCCAGATTACAGATGGGAAAACTGGGGCACAGAGAAGTTAAATAATTTGCACGAAACCACGCGATCTATATGTGCCAAGCCTGTATACATACAAAAATATGTGCCGTGCCCCCAAAAAGAGGACCTGGGCTTGACCTGACCATTAATGTTCTTCAAGAAAACTCTAACTGACTCAGAGATTTGCCCGCTTTTTGCCAGCACAAGGCTGACCATGCCGGCTGGGGTCTCTTCCAGAACAAAAAGGGTTAAGCCGACTCATGACCTAAAGGACCCTGTGATATTTTCCTTCTGTGCCACATATGTAGATGGGCTCTGAAGACGATCATCGCCCCTCGTTGGAAATCATGAATTTTTATGAAGCCAGCCCAGAATTCCCAGAATTCAGTCGGGTGCACTTTGCAAACCCTAAAATGCTGTCACCATAGAAGGTTTCATTGCTTGCACCTGCTATAACATTTGAGGCATTTGAGAGGCAGTGAAACACATTTGCTTTTCATTTTATCTGACTTTGGAAACCTTTGAAGTGTTTAATAGTAGAGCCCAGGAAAGATCTCCGCCTCTTAATCATTTACTCGTAAGGCACATTCTCGGCTGGTAGCCTGTCAAGCAGAAACTGAACTGAGCCCAGTTTTATTAAGTGTCACATGCCCAGTCACTGTTCATTAAAGGTGTTTTAAGGTTTGAATTATGTAATTTATGAGAAAAATAAAAATTCCATTGTTTTATTAATATGCAGCCCAGGATCTCTTGCTCATAACAAACTAGAAGGAGAGTTGAGCTAAAGGGCACGAGGGAGGCTGGAGGTGGCCTCCTGCGCTCCTACCTCCCATGTCCACACCGTCCAACCCCAGCAGAGCTCTGGGAAGGAGCCAACCACCACCCCGACCTGGCCTCCAAGTCTCCCCATGTACACCCGATGTACAATGGAGCTGCATTCCTCCTCTTTCTATCTCCCCTGTCCCTTTCCCAGAAAGGCCTAAGACAAACAGTATGAAAAAGCATTCCTAGAGTGACCCCGGGTGCCCTGGGTGTCACAGTCATTGAGACACCTATGCCTGCCTCTCAGAAGAGCTGGGAGAGGGCTGGATACCGGGTGCATCCCTGGATGTCAGGCCCTCAGCCACCTGCTGTAGGTAAATGATTTTATTGAATCTTGACAATGCCTCAGGGGAAGGAATGACTGTCCCCATTTAATGGAAGAAGAAACAGAGGAGCTGCGGGTCGGGCCCAAGGGCTGCCCATGTCCTTTCTTCTCAGGAGAAGGCGGCATCCTAAACCCAGATCAGCCTTCTTGGAATCATGTTACTGAACCTGCCAGGGGGTGTGGGTGGACTGAGCAGCGTGAGCCTTATCTGGACTTGCAGCTCAGTGCAGAGACCCCCAGCAGGGTTAGCTCTCTTCGCCAGGGACGTTTTCCTCCTACAGATTCTCAGTGCATTGTCCGAGCATTTACAATGCCAGTTTACCAGGGGATTTGCAGGAGGGGTTGCTCCTGCGGAGTTGCCCTCATCTGCCATGGTGGGACCCGCAGCTCCCTGTTTCCCTCCCCAACTTCTGAACAAAGGTGGAGAAACCAGCCTTACCTGCCAGAGGAGAAGGCTTTGAAATCCTCCGGCAGCTGTTCCCTTCTTCAGTCTCCCTCTGACCATCAAATAAAGTACTCACAGGGGAAAAGTCGTTTTCCAAAACGTGGACAGCCCCAGAATATTTAGACATTGATTAGGATTTGTAAGTTAGTGCAGCTGAGGCATTTTTCACCCTCCACATGCCCCCCACTTTCCTGCCCACACAGAGAGAATCACAAACTTGATATTTGAGTATTTCTTTAATCAAGTGACTCATGTGTTACAGGTGCAAAATTGTACCAGGCTTTTCCCTTTTGGCTTAAATTCGTGAGTTTATTTCTTTAAAAGTGATCTCAGGTGCTAAGACTTTTCTAAGACATCTAACAGGAATGGTGTAGTTTTAAGAACAGGGGCCCTTTAAAATCAGGGTTGGGATGGGGCGGGCAGCGTATGGCTAGAGCTCAACCAACTCCCATCTGGGAAGCTCCATGCTCCCAGCTGACCCAGAATAAGAAAGGCCCTGTTTGCAGGAGGTGAGTTGGTAGGCCAGGTTTTACAAATTGACGTCAATCATTAATCCACTTAATTTTGAATTACCAATTCAACCGATATTCTGATAGTGCTGGCTGCTGGCAATCTGGGCTGTAGGAGACATTGCCTTTGATCTGTCAGTTCAATTTCCATTAGCAGTAAAAACCACAGACCTCTGCTGGGCCACAGGATGGAGAGTTCTGATGTCTCCAGGAGTCTTGCAGGAGCTCTAAGCTGCTTGCTTGTCCTGATGCTGAAAAAGATCTGGGTAGTGTCTCCATAAGGAGTCATCACGAATCTGTTAACTCATTAGCTCTGCACACATTTCCAGCATTGGGCTAGGCACTGAGACACTGGGAGGAGTAAGTTATTTCAACCAGTCAGAGAGACAGGTATGTGAACAGGCAATTGCAGCACACAGGACTGGATACATGCCTGAAGGCAGAAGTACAGGCAGCCGTGGGCCCTTTGAGGTGGGGCAATCAAGGAAGACTTCCCAGAGGTGGTGATGCCTAAGCTGAGACTTGAAGCTAGGGTAGGAGATAGCTGGAAGATGGGCAGAAAAGCACAGGCAAGCTAAGAAGGAACTTCTAAACCCTGGGAAAGAGCTTGGAATTTTGTCCAAAGGCAAGAGGAGCCATTGATCGGTCTTAAGAAGGGGTGAGTTACAGGAGTAGATTCATATTCTAGAGGTCAAAGCATGAAGAGGGCAGGAGAATGGGCAAGAATGGAAGCAGAGAGACCAGCTTGGAGTATGATGTTAACAGGGATACTGCCGGTGGGGGCATTTTGGGTTAAACAAAGCCTAACGTGAGTGTGTGTGCTGTCAGGGGGTGCAAGGGATATCCTGCCCTTACACCCCCCGTGAAGAACATGAGGAGCCCCCAGGGCCACTAAAGGCAGGCCCCATGGCATCTATCTGAGCCTGAGCCCACTGAGCCCCTCCTCAGAGGTGAAAACTCTCTGGGAAGTAAAGATAGCCAGGAGAAAAGAGCTCAGAAGACAGATGGAGGGCAGAGTGCTCCTGTCTTAAGTCTCATAAGATTTAATTAAACTGTTGGATAGCTTTGGGGACAGAAAATTGAGGAAAGAATTTCACTTGTATCCTAAGTGAACTAACCTAGAAAAAAAATTTTCCTTGGACTCCAGACATGCATCAGGTAAGAGCTGGCCCAGGGAAGCCATGGACAGTTGTGTAGGCTGTGCACACAACCAGATGGCCATGGTGGGTGACCCTGGGTAGCATATAACTTCTGTCAAGCATCAGAACATCTTGGCCTTAGTGTTAGAGACTATATTTTCTTTCACAAAAATGATTTTAATGCGAATATCATGTATTGATCCTTGAAAAAAATTAATTGAACACTTACTATGTGCCAGCTCTGTTGCATGCTTCCACGTGTTAGCTCACTTAATTTCCCCATCCCTTGACAAGTAGGCTTCATTACGTCCATTATCAATAATGGGAAAATTGAGGCTCAGAGACTGTAAATCACTGGGGCAGGGTCACACGGCTGATAAGTGTCAGGAATTGTCAAAGTGTGACTGGTAAATCCAGCCATGGCTGGGACACCCTTTAAGGGTTGCAGGGGTGGAGAAGCACAGATTTGGGAGCTGGTGAAATGTCGGGCTCTGCAGTGGCATTCGGCAACACGAGCAAGCAGGGAGGCATCTGGGAGAAGTTAGAAGCTCTCTGTGTGCAGAGTCCTGCTCTCTGGCCCTGCCAGCCGGCAGCTGTCTTTATCAGGCTGTTTAATGGGAAGGCACTGCCCATCAGCTGAGGTAGCACATTCCTGATTTCTGCACATCTTCCCAGCACTTTGACAACACTTTTCACTCAGATGAATCTACTTACCTACCTTTCGCAAGAAACCAAGTGAGGCGCTGCCTGCATGGAAAGCCTAGAAGGGGAGAGGTTGTCTTACCTGTCCTACCTCTAACCACTTTCCGTGGAGAGTCTGTGGCAGGTGGATTGGAGGAGCCCAGCGGTGAAGGAGCTGCTGAGAGTCAACAAGATAGGCATGGCAAATTGCACCTCTGCCATTGTTGTCTGCTCTACAGGGATTCCCAAGGCCATGGAGATGGGAGGCTGCCCCACGACAGACAATGGTAAATGTTGGCCCCAGAGAAATGGAATGAAATGGTAAGAATGTTGCTTATCATTCAGTGGGCACAAACCAAAACATTCTGGCACCATCTCCAAGAAGGTGACATTTAGCATCCTTTTGGGTGATACATTATGCAGACAGACTGCTTTGCCCTGGGGGTGGCCAGAAAGAGAATGGATTCCCCCTTCTGATTTCATACTGAGTTACAGGGATGATGATGGGTGTGTAGGTGGGGGGTAGCCTGCATTCTGTGCTGAGCCCCTTGCCAGGCACCTTGGTTATTTTATATAGCCTTCTTGGCCACCCTCTGGGCTAACTAATAGCACCCACATTTTACAGAGGACACTGTGGCTCGAAGATTGAACACATCGTCCACAATGTCAGCAGTGGAGTGGCATGCTCACTCCTGACTCATTCCAAGGGGTGTCCTTTCCATGTGGCTGTGGGGTCTTACACAATAGAGAAAGTTTAGGCAGGTCTATTTTAGATGTGTTGGAAAGCAAATTTTCATCATTTTCGATGGATTCTGTTATCCATAAAAGCAGTATGTACTCTCTAATTTTCAGGACATGGAATATTTCCAAAGTAGCCCAGTTGGAAATTCAACCTACCACCATTAAGATTTCGATCCAGGGTTGGCATTTACTCTGGAGGGAAAAAACAAACAGGCAAACTCTACCTGCAATGAAATGAGAACGAGGACAGGTCCTGGCTTGCCAAGCCAGGGAGGCAGATTTTGCACCATGAGAAGTAGCTGCAAGTTACCACCCAAATGCTGGGGGTGGGCAGAGGGGGGCCCAAGCCAGGTGTCTCTTCCCTGAGGATGAGAGGTGACAGGATGGATGAATGAGACAGGGGATGCTTAGGCCACTCCTCCAGGCTGCCCTGCCTTTTCTGAATGACCTCCAACACTGCAGTTCTCCCTAGTTCAGTGACTCCCCAAGCACAGACCACGGACAAAATCTCAGGAAGCCACAAGTCTCATACACACTTAAAAAATATACAAATAAGTCTTCAACCAGACATCTGGACACACCTCTGCTGCAACGATAATTTACTTTGTTGTAGAATAAGACTCATTTTCTGTGTCTCAAATTGGGATCCAAGATGAATTAATTCTCTAGAATCTGTGAATTATTTTCCTTGAAATGGCATGCATGTTGGAATCTGAGCAACACAGCCCTCACATAAAATTATACACCCAACTCCCCAAGATCAGAAATAGCGAGTTAGAAAGGGAGATCCTGGCTACCCAACTCCAGGCCACAGGCTGTGGGGCGATGGGAAGGAAGGAAAATTCCCCAGCTCACATGGCTCTTTTTGCCAGCTCTCCACGAAGCCTGGCTTCAAACACAATGAAACCCAGCTGAAACAGCAGGTCTGCCAAGCAGGGGGATGCAGCAGGGTCCTCAGAGACCCAGCCCCGCATTAAATGGGAGTAATTTCCGGACCAACCCCAAGTCTCTCTGGGGGTGGTTCCTGGAATATTACTGAGTCTCTGGTTTGACTGCCTTGGTCTGGAACATCACACATGTGCTTCCACTTTCATGTGCATTGTGAAACATGTAGGATTTGGGGGGCCCAGTGTACCCCAAAGATCTGCAGCTTTCTCCAGCACTCTAGGGCTCTGGTTGGACATAACTGCTGGGTTCACCATCCACAGTAATGGAAAGGCAGTGATATCAGGTCACAACCAGTGTTTACTAAGGTCTCATTGTACCCTATGATATCGTTGTTTCCTTGCTGCAGCCCCGCAAGGTGGCCGTCATCATGCTCTTTCACAGATTCACAAGGCCTGGCAAGGGCCAATCACATACCCAAAATCTCAAATACAAGAGATACACTGCACAATCACTCTCTCGATTTTAAGCTGCTGCAGGTGGGGCTTACCTATTATGTGCAAACCCCCGTTATGGGTGCAAACGGGGTATTTGCTTAGCAAAGTGGTTGTGGTTGTACAAATTGGGCAAGGCAGTTTACCAAGGGCATAAAACACAGTACCCAGCACCTGGGGGTGGTCGGGGGGCACATAAGTCCATCCATCCTTCCTCCTGTCTTCCCTCCAAGTGGGTCCAACAAACTGCTTGGAAGAAACAAACAAAACTTAGCTAACCAGTTTATGGAGAACATTAATTTCAGGAAGTCCTGGAGGAAGCCAGTGCTGGGGAAGGGATGAGGGGTGGGAGGCTGGCATGGGTCACCCTCTGGCCTGAGGAATTTGATTCTCTGGAGAGTTTCAGATGAAAACATCTGGGCCAACCTGTAGCAGACCTGCTCGGTTGGAAGAGCTGGCGGGGGTGGCGTCTTCAGGAGGTCATTTGTCTTTCGTCTTGGAAGGCTATGAACTCCGGGCCTCCTGAGCAATGGGCCCGGGGACAGGGAGGGATGTCCCTGCCCCTTCTGCTTTCTCTCACGCAGCTTCTAAGGAAATTCCATTGCATTGTATTTACAAGGCATCCACAACTGTCAGCTTCCCTGAACACAATGTATTTAATAAAAAGCCATTAAGCCTTGTAAAGCTGTCAGAAATCTAAATGACACTTGTAATAAAATCTTGTGGATGACCTGTTCGGTTAATCAGGCCCAGTGACATCATCACCCGAGGATCTGTCTGATACCCAGGGCGTGAGGTATATTTAGACAGCTTTATGATGCACACGGATTTGAGTTATTAAAATTGTACAGTTTTGCAAGGAATTGGGGACTTAATAAAGCAACGGAGAAACTACAAAAGGAGCAATAACCTTCCCAAACAGTCAATCCTCCTGTGTGCTGGGGGCGTGTGTTCAGGCCGGTTGCTGGGGCCAGGTCTGATGCCAGGTGCTCGCATGAGTGCTCGCATGGGCAACTTTATGTATCTATAATACATTGATCTGGCATCTGCAAAGGTAGCAAATAAATTACATCTTTCCCGATGACTTCTAGGTGGTGAATTGTACTTAAATGTAGATTTATGGATTAATTCAGATTACAAGAAGATATTACCACCAATGGCACATTGCCCTAATAAGCCATTTTTGAGCAAATACAACTGCTGGATTGTAAATATCTTTGGTCCTGCTTACCACCTGGATAGTTTCTGGGCCTCCAGCCCTTTCAGGCATAACTCTACTTATCTTGAACCATACAAAGCCTGGCTTCATGTAACAATCAGGATGAGACAGACAGACGGACACAGGGGATATCCACTTGCCGGATCGTCTATAAATTTAGACCAATGGGTCAAATATCAAAAATTGCGTTGGGCACAGGTAAATAAATCGCACCTGATCTCCTGGCATAAACTAACACAGCGTTCCTGATATTTCAGTCAAATTATTCCATTTGTTTCTAAAGATATTTTAATCCCACATGACCTCAAACTTCCCGTGAACCAGGGCCTGGACCCAAGGCCGCCCACGGCCTTTGCAATAAATCCGTTGTCTTCCTTCTTGGCCCTCAACCCAGGCCCATAGATCACCCCTCCCTGCATCTTGCTTCAATTACTCAATTAACTGCAGTAAAGTTCTTGTAGGTTTTGCAGATGTTGCTTTATTATCAAGGCCTCAGACGAACACGAGAGTTCAGGAGCCGAGGTTATAGGAAGGTTGCTGGGGGAAGGGCCAGGATGGGGCACAGGGAATATTCCCAGCAACTATAGGGGCCGAAGCTCCGGAGAGGGGCCCTGCATCATTCCCGGTGCTTGTTACATGCCCTTCCCTTCACAGTTTGGGGAATTCGTGATGTTATCTCACTGAAAAACTGCTTGAGAGAGAAGTAGGTATTCCACCTTCCAAGGAGATAATGCCGTGATTAACAGATGCTTAATTGGGCCATTTATCAAGAGCAGGACCTGCCCCCAAGTCAGTGGGCTAAGTAAATTATTACCCACCCTGCAGGTGTTGGACTGGCAGACCTATTACTCTTCTTGAAATGGTCTTCAGAAGACTTTATATGAAAAGATGATTTATTTCCACAAGGAATTCTATTGTGCTTGTATTTATCCAGAGCATGGCAGGGTTCTGCCCGGCCCCTCTTCCCTCGGGCACCAAAGAAGATTGTTGGCAGTTGGAGTCATGGAGTCCAAGAGGGTTAGAGCCTGAAGGAAACTTAGAAATCAACTCATACAATCTGGCCACTTTACAGAGGACAAAACTGAGGTATTAGCAGACTAAGTCAAATGACACAGCCAGTTAAGCAAAAGGGCAAAGGTATTTCCCTCCTGTTTTTGAAAACTGTAGTTTCTTTAGTTGATGTAATAGAATTCCTAAAAAGCAAGAATTTAATTCCAAATAAGATATTTTTTATACCTTAAAGCAGGGTTTCTCAACCTTGGCATTACTGACATTTTGAACTCTTTTTTTTTTTTTTTTTTTTTGTAAGACAGAGTCCCACTCTGTCACCCAGGCTGGAGTTTAGTGGCATGATCTTGGCTCACTGCAACCTCTGAATCCCTGGTTCAAGGGGTTCTCCTGCCTCAGCCTCCTAAGTAGCTGAGATTACAGGTGTGCACCACCATGCTCAGCTAAACTTTTTGGTATTTTTAGTAGAGATGGGGTTTCGCCATGTTGGCCAGTCTGGTCTCCAACTCCTGGCCTCAAGTGATCCACCCACCTCGGACTCCCATAGTGCTGGGATTACAGGCGTGAGCCACTGCACCTGGCCTTGGTTGTCATTTATTGTGGGGGGATTGTCCTGTGAATTGTGGGATTTTGAGAAACATCTCTGGCTTCTACCCACCAGATGCCAGCAGCACCCCCTCCTACAGTCATGACAATCACAAATGTCTCCTGGGAGGCAAACTTATCCCTGGTTGAGAACCACTGCTTTGAAGCATTACCGCAGTCATCATCATCATGACATTAATAATATGAATAATAGCAGTAAACATTTATTGAGTGCTAGAAATGACTGAATACTTAATATACATTCTCACATTCAGAATCCTCCCAATAACTCTATTATCTTGGATTACCATTACTCCATTTTACAGGTGAGGAAGTCTGTGCTTAGAGAGGTTAAGCTGTGCCTGAGTTCACATGGCAAGTACCACAGGTGTGGTGGAAACCCTGAAGCCCTTACCCATGCCACGAAATAAAGGATGAAGCTGCTGAATTTGAATTTGTTGTTAAGCAGTGAAACTGTACAATTTCATTTCCTATCATCTCCAGGAGTGAACTTATCTTTAAAAATCTGTTGGGATAAGAAGTCATCTTGTTCCCACTTTAAGAAAGGAAAAAGGGAAATGCTCCATGTGCCTTGCTGATGAGATGCACTTGTTTCTCTGTAGATTACAGAGTGGGCTCTTTCTCAAATCCAGAGGATGTGCAAGGCTAGGCCACATGGATAAATGCACTCAGGCTTGTAAGCACACAACAGAATTAGGAACATCTGAACAATATTTCTTTCACTGAGTAAATATCTCTTTTGCGGTGTCCAAAATTTCCAAAGGTGCTTATCCTGACCTTCTTCAATAGGCTAAGGCATATCGCTTCCCAGACCTTGAAGCTGTTTGATACCTGGGCTAATTCCCAGGGGGAAAGTGGCTAAGGCCACGACTCCTGAAGGTAGAGTGTTTGGGTTTCATGCCGGGAAATAAATTCAGTGTAAAACAGTGATGTGAGGCGAGACATACCATGTGGATATCTGTGATCGGTGTCCATGGTGTGTCCAGGCAGCTCTGGGGGTAACATTTTGAGGGTGAAATAGGAGTCTTTGCATGTTTACAAATGAAGCCCAGTTCCCCATCCCACCATAGGTTAATATCAGAGTTGCCCTACCTGTAGCTCTTGGTTCCATGGCCTGAATCCTTGACTAATCTTATTTTACTAGTTCTATTTCCCTTTCACTTTGATTTCTTCATGTACTTATTTTATGGGTATTGTATTGTGAACTCTGTGTGTGTGTGTGTGTGTGTGTGTGTGTGTGTGTGTGTGTGTGTATACATATACATCCTTTCCGCTCTTTAGAAAGGATTTGGCATGACTTACATACCGAATATAGATATATTTATATCTATATCGAACCCCAAGCAAACTCAGCATATATATATATGTGTGTGTGTGTGTGTATATATATATATATATATATATATATATGCACACATATGTCACTAAGCCAAGCCAAATCCTTTCTAAAGAGGCAGGGTATGAAAGTAGACACTGACAATATAGCAGCTGGAACAGACAGATCTCTTGATGGAGTTTTGGGGATTGGTAACCACTACACGTCCCTTCACTTTGTCCCCTGCCCCCCACCTCCCCCCCCCCCAGCATTTCCCAAGGCAACTGGGTGCTGTTGGCACCACTGGCAGAGCAAGTCCGGCCCCGTCTCCAAAACGTGGAGCCAGAGATGCACCCCTGCACAGCCGGGGCTGCTTTCCCACTGTCAGGGTTTGAGCTCAGACCTTTTATTTACTTCCTCCTACCTGTTTTGTGTTTTCCATTTCCAACAAGACTCTGTGTGGTCAAACAACACTGTGCATAAAAATGCTTTCCCAACAATGAAGCACTTTTCAAAACTCAGACTCTGCGTGTATTCTCAGCCTAATTATTTACTGTAATTTTTCTATCCACGCTAGTAAACTAAGAAGATGGGCAAAGGGAAGTGAGTTCTCAGATGGATTATAGTGGGTTCCAGGCTCAAAGACAAGGACAGGGAACACTGGCTGAATCCTAGCGAGAAAGAGAGAAAGAGAGAGAGAA
Source organism: Homo sapiens (assembly GCF_000001405.40). Taxonomy (NCBI): domain Eukaryota; kingdom Metazoa; phylum Chordata; class Mammalia; order Primates; family Hominidae; genus Homo; species Homo sapiens. The sequence goes on from NC_000010.11 coordinate 117,800,727, forward strand.
AGGGAAAGAGAGAGAGCCCTTTCAAGACCATGGTCTCTTCTCTCTGCCCACAGTATGTTTTTGCCATTATGTGAGGACGATGGCCATTGGAGTGCCACAGCTATGTGTGGAGTGCACCCACAACTATCCCAACGACCTCATAGGATGTCCTTAACTCCTTATGGGAACATGAGGTGAAGAGAGATTAAGGGCCTGTTGAGGGTCGTTTGGCCAGCAAGTGACCAAGTTCAGATTTGAACCCCAAGCCGTCTGACCCTGAAGTCAGCATCTCTTCGTTATGTTAAGCTGCTCCATGAAGCCGCTGTGTGCAAGGCCCTGGCCCTAGTGCCATGGATTGGAGGGAAAGACATTCAGACAGGGTTTTTATGGGTGGCACATGTTTTCTTCCCCTGGTATCTGGGGGCTTTTGTGGGGACCGTCCTCTGTGGCCCTGCCTTGTAGCTGGCCACATGGTGAGCAGGGGTTTGCTCGATCCTCTTTCATGGGTGCTATTATATGCATTTATCTCTGCAGAGCAGGCCCCTCCTGGGTCTCTGGTCCGGCAGCCCACTGACTGGCCCTTGCAGCCCCACCTAAATACCTGCTGATGGGCTGTGGATTGATCGGGCCTCAGTTGTGAGGGTGTGGAGGGACTTGCTAAGCTGCTCCTGACAACTGCGGGGCTCGTTCCCTCTCTAGGCGCAGGCTGAAGTCACCGGCTCATAACACACCGCCCCACCCACCGGGAGAAGAGAGAGAGGCAATCATGTCAGAGCCTGAGATGTGAAAACTGCTTGTTTGCCACCCCACTTCCCCCCTGCTGCCCTTTCCTCTGGCCTCGCTGGATGTGACATTGGCTTTCATGGAAGGCAAGGCTACTCCAGTCGTCCACCTGCCTCACAGGATGATGACGATTATTCCCAAAGGCGGCAAATGTCAGAAAAGTTCCCCCTGAGGAAGGAGGAGAGGATTATATTTTAAGGAAATGTTTGTTGGCTTTGGCTGTTGTTAAAATCTGGCTTGAACATACACCCGAGTTTCCTGTGGGTAAAAGGTGTGGTGGTAGCTGAGGTGCCCTTGAGTTTGGGGCTGACACGTGGGCAGACAGAAAGCAGCCCCGTCCCTTCCTAGTGGTGGATGCTGCATATATCCTGGGCTTCAGGGTAGAACTGATGACTCAACCCAAACAACGTTGTTAACCCTTGCTTATTCACTACTTACCAAATCTCTGTGGAGTACCCATGATGCCTCAGGCCCTGGGAGAGCTGCGGAGATGAAAGGACCACTCGCTGCCTTCTTGACTTGTAAAGACTCCTGACCGTGAGTGGTGTGTACTCATCAAATATTCCCATAAATAAGCATTGGAGGAAAAACTGGGCCAAGGGCCACGAAGCAGAAGTCAAGGCTGCAGTGAGCACTGAATGGGCCCCCTATTTGAACCAGGCAGCCAGAGGCAGCTTCTCTGTGAAGGGTTTTTTGAGCTGAGCTCTGAAGGATTGAGGTGGAATTAAGTGCTGAAGGGAAAGGAGGAAATGCAGCTCATGTGGAGGGACAGGGACAGGAGCCATCACTTCATTTGAGGCAGTCAAGCAAACTAAATGTGGCCTAAGAAGGACTCCATACTTCCATATTTGAGTCCTTGCGTATGACCTGTAATCTAGCTTAATAATCAGATAAGGCCGGGTGCTGTGGCTCACGCCTCTAATCCCAGCACTTTGGGAGGCCGAGGCGGGCAGATCACCTGAGGTCAGGCGTTCAAGACCAGCCTGGACAACATGGTGAAACCCCGTGTCTACTAAAAATACAAAAAATTAGCGAGATGTGGTGGCGTGGGCACCTGAAGTCCCAGCTACTTAGGAGGTTGAGGCAGGTGGATTGCCTGAACCTGGGAGGTGGAGCTTTCAGTGAGCCAAGATCACTCCACCACACTCCAGCATGGGTGACAGATTGAGACTCCATCTCTAAAAAAAAAAAAAAAAAAAAAAAAAAAAAAAGACAAAATTGAAAACCTAACTTAGGAGTATGCACCTGTAACAATAACTGAGTTGGCCAATCCCAGCGGCCATATTTCAACCACTCATAGACTGCTAGGTGTTCAAACTGTTCAAATAAGGCAAATGCCGAGCTGTAACCAATCCAGCCGTTCTGTACCTCACTTCCAATTTCTGTACGTCATTTCCCTTTTTGTGTCTATAAATCTTCTTCCACCACGTGGCTGCACTGGAGTCTCTGTGAATCTACTATGACTCTGGGGGCTGCCTGATTTGCAAATTGTTCATTGCTCAATTAAACTCCTCTACATTTAATTTGGCTGAAGTTTTTCTTTTACCAGAAGATTTGGGAGAAGGGAGAAGGTGAGGGCAAAGTCCCCCAGCATGAGGCAGATAGAACATTCCAGAACTTGCCAAGATGGCAAAGGCTGGCTTTCCACAAAACTGTGAGGCGGCCTCTCCTCAGCATTCTCCACCGTGGCTGTCTGCTCCACCCTTTCTCTACCATCCCTGCTCTCAAGAAATGATTGCAGGCCCTTGGCTTAAATTTAGAAAAAAAGTTCCTACTGTGTACCTGTGAGGGATAGAGATGAGTAAGATGTGGTCTCTGTCCTAGGATGCTCACAGCCTCCTTAAACTGCCCCTCAGAACCGTCTGCATGACCCCTCAGAACCGTCTGCATGACCGTCTGTAAGGCCCACAAGGGGAATTATGGGAATTCAAGGAAGACCCCCATGGGAGGCAAGGGGAGGTGGCTTTCTGCAGATGGGGGCCTGGGGATAGGCTAAGGGAACCACCTGGGACAGGCAGTCCCCTGCCCCTTTCCAAAGAGCCTTGTCTTTCAAGCTAGATGTCTGGCAGGGGGAAAAAAGGAATTTTAGGAAGCAGGGAAGAGAAGGCTTTTGGAAGGCCAGGGTCCTTCAGGTGGAAGAAGAGCCTGTGCTCTTTGTAAACAGAGAACCCTATTCCCTCTGGTTAGGTATTTTCCTCCCCCCCTCCTGGGAGACCTGCACTGTGCTTTGAGGAAACCTGTCAGTACAGGACTCAGCCTTTTGGTGGACAAAACCAGAATGGATCCCTAGGTCTGGTCTCTAAAGACCTTTTGAAGTAAGTGGGACAAAAATGTCACCAAAGTGCCCATTGCTTCCTTCTAATGTCTTTGAAATGCTTCTCAAATCTCCTTCTTTGGCCTTTAAGGCAGACAGCCCTGCCAGTCACTCAGTCTGCCTATGCCTCAGTTGCCTTCTCTTACAACAAATCCACTAATCCTCCCCCCCCATTGTATGTTGTGGGAGCGAGGATCCCACGCAATCATACATGTGAATGTAATCATAATCCCACCAGCGAGTGTTTATTGAGAAGCAGCTGATGCAGAGACAGGGACCCTCTCGACAGCCCTACAGTCGAGTTCTCTTATCCTCCTGCTCTTCCAGATGAGGAAACCAAAGTTAGAGATTAGTCCCTCGACAAGTCACACAGCTCATATCGGTGACTTTGCAGAGCCTGCCCCCTTAGGCTCTGTGCTATCCTAGGTTGTATTTCCAGCTGTTATTCTAGTGCTGTGAGTTTTTGCTCATGCGTGGTGTGTCCGGGAAATTGATTGCTCCAGTCACTGGGGGCATTCTAAGAAGAGTTCCTAAACCCCACCCCTCCCCCGATCCCCAGGCCTCCTAGGTTCCATTTTACAGATGGGAAGGACATCACTGAGGGCAGGGGTGCAGAGAGAAGAGGGTAAACGAATTACTCCAGCCCCAGAAGGAGTGCTGGCAGCTTGGAATAGTTGCAGCGCAGACCGGGTTTCCACTCGGCTGCCTCAGCCACACTCCTAGAGCCCGGCTGATAATTGCTCATTATGTGCTTAATCTGGGCACAGCCGGGCCTGGCAGCAGAATTGCATCACATCAAAGAGAGCTCTTCAAAGCAGCAGAAAGCTGGCCCCTGGGGTAATTAGCAGAGGGCCTATTCTTTGCTGCTTGGGACAGTTGGAAGGTTTCGGGCAAGGTCCAAATTGCATGAAGCGAAGCTCTGAGTCGTCAATTCTCTGGTGAACTCAGACAGGCAAGGCTGATGACTCAAATCATGCCGTTTATTTATTTCTTCTTTTATAAACTGCTGAGACATTTTTTTTTTTCTGCCAGCCTGGCCCAGATGCCCTGATCAACTGATTGTCCTCTGCCTCCTGGAACACCATGTACCCTCTCTCTAGGCCGCCGTGTTCTAGGAGGAACCGAAAGAAAATATATTCACGCACATACACACATCACCACCATGACTCAAGAAGAAAACCTGGAAGAAGATGACAGAACCTTGCTTGTGCATAGAGGTGCTCTGAATCACATCACCATGACTCAGTTTCCCCAGTTACCTGAGCTGAGGGGCCCCAGGTGGCAGTCCTAGCTTGGGGAGTGTTGGTTCATCCATCAAAGTGGAACTTAAGGGGCAACAGGCCAGGTACAAGCCCTCTGAGAAAATCAAAGAACGTGACTGATTGCTTGGCATGACCTTCCTTCTCCCTCGCCCGGCTGGAGGGAGAGGCAAGATGATGTTATGTCTCTAATCCCATTTGCAGTCCTCTTTCGCACAGCCAGGTATCCCACTGGCATGGCGTGGAAGTGCAGAAAGTGCTAAGAGACGTTATAATGGAGTTTGGTACCTCTTTTTGATGGCCTGTGGGGCACTCAGGCTGACAGCCTGAGTGAGTTTGACATACGAGATGAACAGTGCTGAACTGGCCAGCGGTGTTCCAGAAAGCCACGGCAAGTCTGCGGCCGGGTGAACACTGATTCCAGGACTGCTTGGTGCAGACGGATGTGGATGGTTTTTCAGCCCGGCTTTAATAAATGGCAAAGTTTTCACTTGCTTGGAAGTTTGGATGAGAATTACTCTTACCCATCTCTTAGCCATATTTTAAAAATGGGCATCTTAAATAATGAGGTTATTGGAGTGGCAGCATTTCCCTGAGCCAGTGAGAGAGATGTTCTCAGATGTGGAACAAAACCCACCAGACTGGGGAGTTGAGTGGGGGCCATGGTAAACAGGGTTTTTATTTCATGGAAATAATACCATGTACTTTATATTGGCTGATAACGCAGACTTTAACATTGCCTTCATGCATAATTTCTGAGCATGGAATTTTTGGTATCAGTTATTTTGTCAATAGTGGGAAACAAATGATTAAGCAGACACTTCAAGATTTGGTAGAGAGAGTGGCCGTTATTATTCCCCAAAGAGGGGCCCTTGTGACCCCCAGGAACAGATCCAGACACAATTGCTTCTAGGATAATTAAAATTATCCAGAGCCAATATGGATTCGCTTCTAGGAAGCACTTTCCCTGGTTTCAGGTTCTCTATCCCACACTCAGCTCTGCACTCATGTGTCCCTCCTACCTGGTGGATTCAGGAGCCCCATTCTGAAAATGGAAGCCTTTAAATTTGCCTTACAAAGCACCTGCAGCCCTGGCTAATCCTCAGATGTGAATATACTATGCACCTGCTCATATTCCCTTGGTATTTGTGTTAACGCTATGGGAAATCATATAGAGTGCTTCTGGGAGTGGCATGGCATCGTGGAAAGAGAGGTATGACTGGGGTTCAAGCCTGTCACTGACCAGCTGGCAGAACTTGGGCAGCTCAGCCCATTTCCTTATCTTTAGAATGGATATGGGGTGGGATACGTGACTGAGGCTGGTGTGAAGCCATCTGAATTGAGGCTGCCCCTTCCCCGGTGTTCCCATGGCTTCTGCCTCCTCCATTTGTGGGCACCGTCTACAAGACCTTTTCTTTCTCTTCAATTCACGTTCCCAGAGGGCAAGATCTGAGCCTAACTCTTTTCTGTGTCTCAGAGCAAAGTGCCTGGCACACAGCAGGTGCTCAGTAAATACTTAGCAAATAAATGAGTATCTATTTGCTCTACCTTGGAGAGTGGAGACATGCATAGAAGAATGGATACAGTCAGGACCGACTAAATAACTTATTGACCAAGTGCAACAGCAGAGCATTGAGAACGTGCAGGGCGCTTCTGAGCGCTGGGCTTTGTGTAGCTTCATGGGTCGCCCCTCCATCAACCCCACCCTGAGTCCACTGAACTCTGTGACTGAAGCATTTCCTAGGGCTGCTGTCACCAAGTCCATCACACATGGAGTGGCCTGAGCAACAGAAATGGATTGTCTCGCAGTTCTGCAGGCTGCAAGTCCAAGATGAAGGCATCAACAGGATTAGTTCCTTCGGAGGGCCTTGAGGGAGAATCTGCTGCAGGCCTCTCTTCTTGGCTTGTGGATGGACAGCCCCTGTCTCCTGTGTCTTCACACCATCTTCCCTTCTCTGCATAGCTATGTCCAAATACCCTCTTCTTAAAAGGACACTGGGCATGTTTGATTAGTGCCCACCCTAGTTACTTCATTTTAATTCAATTACCTTTTAAAAGATCCTATCTCCAAATAAGGTCACAGACTAAGGCATTGTGGGTTAGGACCTCAACATATGGATTTGAAGTGGGGGTGTACAGTTCAGCTCTTAACAGGCAGCATCAAACATAGACACTCCTAGCATTGTTATTCCAAATTTGTCTTCGACCACAGAGCTATGGGAAACATATAGTTTTTTATTATAAAAATACAATAAAGAAGTAAAGCTCACCATTCAACCCACCCCTCCACAGTTAACATTTGGATGCCTGTTGTTTGTTTAGCCTTGCTTCAACATGTGTGTGCCTTGATGGTACTACATGAGATTATGCCATTTATGATTTACTTTTTTTTCAGTTTAAGAACGTACCCCCCTCTCCTATCCCACTGTGTATTTTGAATCTCTCTTTAAAAAAAGTTCTAACAGAGGCCATATCATATTCCAAACGCATTCATGGTTCTCAAATGAAGTCACTTCCCAGTAACTTTTCTGCCTGGGTGGTCACACAGATGTGGCTACCTCTGGAGCTCACCTTGGGGCACTCCTCCAGACCATAGGGCCATGAGCCCACCCAGCCCTTGCCAGCCAAGGCATTTCTTGACATGCAGTTGGGTCAGCCATGTGAAGCAGAAGGGAGAGCTTGATGAATAGGATTCTGTCTTCAAGAAGGCGTTTCCATGTGTCCACAGTGGCTGAAAGCTGATTACTATGGATGCAACGGCTCAGCACTCATTTCTTAATATAGTTCCCTCAAGAAATAGCCATTTAATCCACCAAGTATTTTATCTCTTTTAGGGATATTTTCTTAATTGCAGAAGAATCTAAAAATACAATTGGCATACTTGGTATGTCCTGTGCCTTGTTTAGAAAGACCGGGAGAAAGAATGCAATTAAACTGTCAAAATGTAATTGTTGCTCATATTTAATTGAAAGTGGCTTATTCCCATTTACTGTTCATGGTTTTAGAGTTACAAGCAAAGAAAGTTGCCAGGATAACTGGTAGTTACAAAATGAAGACTGGAGGCTCTGAGTGCATGGTAGCAGCTGAGAAGCTGCTACTCTCAAATTAGTTTGCTTGAATAACACGATATGCTCCTCAATTTCCTAGATACCTGAAGCACAGAATTAGCCAGTTTGGGGCACAATGGGCCATTTTGATTTAAAAAATACACACTGAACTGGATAGTAACTCCATATCCCCCCAGAACAAGTGTGTGCGTGTGTGCGTGTGTGTGTATGTGTATGGGTTTCTGCTGTTTGTGTGGCTCTCTGCCTCTTTATAATTTAAGGATCTATCTAAACAGAATGAACACTCTCAGGCAGTTCTTTCTAAGTGAAAAGTCACCCATCCACACTGAATGGTTATCTAAGTGCCATTTATTCTGGAAATGAGTACTAAACACTGATTTGGTACATTGGGGAAGGTTCCCTGGAGCCAGAGACAGATGCAACACGGTGTTTCTCCTCAAGCAGCTCAGACACAAGTCAGGGAGACAAGCAAACAGATTGTTTTAACTGCATGTCATAAGTCCTGAGACAAAGGTAGGAGGTAATAGCTGTGTAGCCACCAAAGAGGGAAAAACACCCTAGACAGCTGCACAGATTTGCTAGGATGAGGCAGGAACCTGTAATTCAACTCAGTGAATCTTTGACTGCCTATCATGCTCAGAGCACACAGTCCAGGCCCAGCATCAGCACAGAGCTTCTGTAGTCGAAAGGTTCAGCAAATGAAGGAGGTAAAATGAGAAAAAGATGACTACTACACACACAAAACACATCAAAATGAGTAAAACATGGCCGTGGTGCCTGCCCTAAAAGGAGGTGGGGAGTGGAGATTAGCAAGTGGGAAGGAGGGCTAGATTCATTGATCAAGCCATTTCTTTTTTCATAGTTTTTTCCTTTTTATTTAAGAAAATATTGCATCCTAGAAGGACACAATATTACCTATGTGGTATTATTGCCCCAAATGCATAATCTGTGTCTAAGCATGAGGAAACATCAAACAAACCCAAAATGAGGGACGTTCTGCAAAATAACTGGCATATAATTTTCAAAAATGTCAAGATCAAGAAATGCAAAAAGTGTCAAGTTACTATTTCACATAAAAGGGAACTATGAATGTTGAATTTCTTGATTTGGATAAGTATATAATTCACATATTTAGGGGTAAAGAGGTGCAATGTCTCCAATTACTCTAAATGAGAGGAGGAAGGAGAAAATTACAGAGCACATGGGGTCTAACGTACTGAATTGATGAATCTCGGCACAGGGTTAGGGTTTATGGGTGTTTCTTGTACTATCTTAGCACCTTCTCTGCAAGTTTAAAATTACATTAAAATACAAAGTTAAAAAATACAGACTCATTTCAGTAATTTTGGAAAATTACTGCTTTAGAAAAGCACATGGCAGCTGATATGGTTTGGCTGTGTCCCCACCCAAATCTCATCTTGAATTGTAGCTCCCATAATCCCAACATGTTGTGGGAGGGGCCCAGTGAGAGGTAGTTGAATCATGGGGGTGGGTCTTTCCCTGTGCTGTTCTCGTGATGGTGAATAAGTCTCATGAGATCTGATGGTTTTATAAAAGGGAGTTTCCCTGCACACAGTCTCTTGCCTGCTGCCATGTAAAACATGACTTTGCTCCTCATTTGCCTTCTGCCATTATTGTGAGGCCTCCTCAGCCATGTGGAACTGTGAGTCCATTAAACCCCTTTTTCTTTATAAATTAGCCAGTCTCAGGTATGTCTTTATTAGCACCTTGAGAACAGACTAATACAGCAGCCAAAATAAAAGAAAATCACTTGTATTCTCACCCTTCAGAAACAACCATGGTGAACAATTGGTTTCCTCCCAGTCTTCTGTCTATGCATCTTTACATAGCTACAGTGCACTGCACAACCTGCTCACTGTGAGTCGCATGATGTATTTTGAGAAATTCTGTGGTTATGGACACATCTCATCAAAGAGGTCTGACTTGCCTCCTAACATGTTTGGTTGGGCAATAGGGATTACAATCCTGATGTGTGGGCATTTGACACAGAGTTTTGGCAGTGGCTGCCAATGGCTTTTACCATAACAGCCAGGTGCTGATCATGTCCTGACACTCACAGACTCTGGAAGCAGTCCCCACACCATCCTCTGACTACAGACGTCTCTTTTGGTCTTTGCTTTTCTTTGAAAATCAATAGGAATGTGAAACTATTTTAAGTTCCTGATCCTCTCTCAGAGCCATTCTTAAAGCCAGGTTTCTCAGTACTATCAATGTTTTGGGCTGGATCATTCTTTTTGGGGTGCCTTGTCATTGTAGGATATTTAGCAGCACCTCTGGCCTCTCCCCACAAGATGCGAGGATCATCCCCACCTATTTTTCCCCCAGATATTGCCAAGTGTCCCAGTTTGAGAACCATTGCTCTAAAAGTAGGTACAAGAGAGGGGATGGGACCCCTTCCATGGCCTCCTTTCCTCATTGGAATGGGTGGGGTTGGCTCAAAGGGCAAAAAGAGTCCTGAGTCTAGGGCTTAATTTCTGACTCTGCTTCCTCAATGGTTCAATGGGTTTAGTATTAATATCTGTCCTGTCTACCTCTTAGGAATTTAAATGATGAATTGTCTGCAATGAATCTACACAGGGCTTGTACAGAGTTGGTAATGCAAAACATTTTAGGGCTCTCCTGGCATGAGAATAAAACATACAGCAAGGTCACTTTATAAACTTGAAAGAATACTTAAATGAACTCAAGAGTTTATTATTCTCATCTCCGAGTTGCTTGCTGGCTCTAAGTTGTCTAGATCTAGAAAACTGTGGCAGGCAGCAAAAGAAACTACCATCAGAGTGAACAGGCAACCTACAAAATGGGAGAAAATTTTCGCAACTTACTCATCTGACAAAGGGCTAATATCCAGAATCTACAATGAACTTAAACAAATTTACAAAAACAAACAACCCCATCAAAAAGTGGGCGAAGGACATGAACAGACACTTCTCAAAAGAAGACATTTATGCAACCAAAAAACACATGAAAAAATGCTCACCATCACTGGCCATCGGAGAAATGCAAATCAAAACCACAATGGGATATCATCTCACACCAGTTAGAATGGCAGTCCTTAAAAAGTCAGGAAACAACAGGTGCTGGAGAGGATGTGGAGAAATAGGAACACTTTTACACTGTTGGTGGGACTGTAAACTAGTTCAGCCATTGTGGAAGTCAGTGTGGAGATTCCTCAGGGATCTAGAACTAGAAATACCATTTGACCCAGCCATCCCACTATTGGGTATATACCCAAAGGACTGTAAATCATGCTGCTATAAAGACACATGCACACATATGTTTATTGCGGCACTATTCACAATAGCAAAGACTTGGAACCAACCCAAATGTCCAACAATGATAGACTGGATTAAGAAAATGTGGCACATATACACCATGGAATACTATGCAGCCATAAAAAATGATGAGTTCCTGTCCTTTGTAGGGACATGGATGAAATTGGAAATCATCATTCTCAGTAAACTATTGCAAGGACAAAAAACCAAACACTGCATGTTCTCACTCATAGGTGGGAATTGAACAATGAGAACACATGGACACAGGAAGGGGAACATCACACTCTGGGGACTGTTGTGGGGTGGGGGGAGGGGGGAGGGATAGCATTAGGAGATATACCTAATGCTAAATGATGAGTTAATGGGTGCAGCACACCAGCATGGCACATGTATACCTATGTAACTAACCTGCACATTGTGCACATGTACCCTAAAACTTAAAGTATAATAATAATAAAATAAAATAAAAAAAGAAAATTGTGGCAGGGACAGAGAATACCATGTGTTCACCAAGCCCATTTTATTTTTCTTCTGGATGCACAGGAAGACTTACTTCCCAGCCTCCCTTGCAGCTAGGTGGGGCCATGTGACTGAGTTCTGGCCAGGGGAATATCCATGGAAGTGAGGTTGCTACCTCCAGGCCTGGTCCCTAAAACCTCCTGTGCAGATTCCACACACTCTTTTCATCCATTAGCCAGATGTGATCCAGTGGAATCCTCTGGGTCCTGAGAAGATGAAGTCACCAGACAGCAGGAACCTTGGCCCCTCCCCACAGAGTGTGACAGAAGCAAGAAATAGAACTTAGTTGTATTAGGTAAGTTACTATTTGTGAGGCTGTTTGTTACACAGTGATTTACCTATCCTGACTAATATAGGTGTACCAGTGATCAGTATTGAGGAAAACCCCATGGAGAAGGCAGAATAAATCAGATTCTCTGAATAGTCACTTGTGGGCAGAATCCCTGGATTTCTCTGAGTAACCAGGGGATTCCTGCCTCTGTGCCTTTGGTCATCTCATTCCTACTCCTGGAACTCCTCCCTTTACTACAGCCTTCATTCATGGCAATGTTGTTTATTCTTTCCAGTCAACTGAAAGACCACTTCTTCTAGGAAGCCTTCCCTAACTGCCTGGTGAAGAAGTTATCTTTCCCTCCCAAGAATCCCACTTCCACTCTATAATGCTCTCATTTTTATAGCTATTTGTCAGGCTTTTCTTTTTATCAGAATTGACAATTTTAAGGGCATATTCCATATGCTATTCACCTTGGCAGCTATGGCCCCTTAAACATAACAACATAATGAAATCAAAACACGAGCATACTGTTCAGTGTACAGCCTTGGCCAACAACACACTAAAACCATCAGGAAGCAAATTATAATGACTCTACTCACACTCACACCATTTGTGGACCAAGCAACCAGTGCAGGGCTCTGTGACAGACCTTTGTCCTAGATCATCTCTAGACCCCTCAGTGGCCCTGTGGGGTCAGAATCTTTATTTATTTTTTATTTTTTGAGACAGAGTCATGCTCTATTGCCCAGACTGGAGTTCAGTAGTGTGATCTGGGTTCACTGCAACCTCCACCTACTGGGCTCAAGCAATCCTCCCACCTCAGCCTCCCAAGTAGTTGGGACTACAGGCTCATGCCAACATGCCCAGCTAATTTCTGTATCTTTTGTAGAAATGGGGTTTCTCCATGTTTCCCAGGCAGGTCTCGAATTTCTGGGCTCAAGCAATCCTTCCACCTTGGCCTCTGAAATTGCTGGGATTACAGGTATGAGTCACATCACCCAGCCTGGTATTTTTATTATCTTCATTTTTCAGTTTGCCCAAAGCCACATCATAAAGCCAATGCTCAGTGCACTACAGAAGCTCTGCCTCCCAACCTGCCAAGTGCCAATTATTCCTCCTGCCCTATTGCCTATGAGGATTATCACAGGGCCCTGAGAGATGGTTGAACAGTGAGACTTGACCCTCATCTGGGAAGTGGGGAAGAGAATGGAATGAGCTAATCCAGCACAGCTGATCTTTGGCATGTGCTTTAAAACACTCATGATCATCATGATTTGGGATCCAACACTTTCATGCTTCACCCCAACCAAGAGACACAAGAAAATGCCAGACATTGATGGAGATGGAAGTTGGAGATTGTGAAAGAATGAACCACCATCAGCAGGTGCAATTAGAATTTGATTTGGAATGAAAAAGCTGTGATTTTCCAGGGCTGCATCAGACAATATCCTGCTATCCAACACTGGGCTTCAAATAGCTCTTTATATAGCCCTCAGAGTAGGATATCTCCTGTAAACACCTCCTTTGAAGCCCTTCCAGAAAAAGTAGTATTGCATTATTGAAACATGTTTTTTTTGCCCTTATGCTTAACAGGTATGACTACATTTGCACTAAAATATTTATTGCCAGTAACTTTCAAGACAGACAGATGGACATCCTGCAAACTTGTTGCTGGCTTCACTCTTTAATGACTGAAGAGCAGTCTTGGACCTGATTGCTGTCCTTATCCATTGAATGGTCTGAAGATGTCAGTGTGACACATGGACTTGACTCACTTTCAGACCCTGGGACCCCACGGGGATGAGCAGAACATTGGCCCTAACTTGCAAAATCCTAGCCAGCCCGGTTACCTCTTGTGTTCACCAGCTCTATTTCTTTTCCAACTAAGACATTATTTCAAAAGAATGTCAACTAAAGGGAGTTTAGACTCCTGGCTAAATACCTGTCACCTGGAATGTTTTTTAATAATGATACTGGCTATTTGGCTAGTCAGAAGTAGTATTGAACTCTGGCACTACCTCTTACAGCTGTGTGAGCTTGAGCACATAGCTTAAGCTCCCTGAGCCTCAATTCCAATCTCTAATATGGAAAAATAATAGTTTCAACTCCACCTAGTTATTGTGAAGATTGACATGATGCATTTAAGGCTTACTGCAGAGGGGCTAGCACATAAGAAGTGGTTAGTAATGATTATCATTGTTGCTGCTGTTATTATTATCACTGATATTTGTTGTGCGCAAAAGCTCAAGATGCTCTTGTACCCCTGAGGTTATACGCATTGGGTCCTTTTGTTGAGAACTGCCTGGGTACATATGCACACTTATATATGTGCTCGTGAATGTACCGGCACACACACACGGGCATGCACACGCATGCAACAGAGTCTTTGTACCACATGGCTCCGGAGAAGAAACAGACAGCCTGGGACTGAAGGGCACATGTGGTATTCACTAAACCACTGGTGCTCAGGCTCCCAGCTGACAGCATCATGACAAGGTAAACAACTTCGTATGGCTGGGTAGCAAAATGGCAGCCACTTTCTCTGTGGGTTCTGTGTCTGAATCCCTTCCTGAGCTCATCCTCACAGAAGTTATTTGTCTTGTGCTGCTTCTCTGGCTTCTCAGTTGGACCACACTGGCCAGCAAAGCTTAGATTTCTCTCACGCGCTCTCCACCCATCTGCACTGCCCTTGGCACTTCATTACCTTTGATCCATCTGGTTATTGCAGCAAAGTGCTTACCTCTCCTTCCAAACCGTCTGTCTCCTCACTGCCCACTCCGACTCTCAGCAGCCCATAATCTTCCATCACACTTCATATGTCCGCTCCTGTCTCCACACACTGTGCTTCCCCCAGCTCACTCCAACTCTCTTTCTGGAGCTCCCTCTTTTCCCCCTTCTTATTTTCTCATCCACTCCATCATTTTGATATGGCCTCCATAAGCCTTTCCCTTCTACACCCCTGAAAGATGCAGGCATCTTCCTGCCAGCTCTCCCAACTGTGTTTTCCCTCCGTGGTTTCAGCTGGTCTGGTGGGTCCCACAGTTTTGCTGGCAGAAGTTCACTGTTTGCGTCCCACCTGGTCTGTTTAAAGCCCTAAAGAGCCGGCTTGCTACTCCTAATAAAAATGGCTTACATTTATTGAGCCTTTGTTATGTGACAGCACACTGCCTACATTATCTTATGTAGAGGTATGGCAGGCACTAGTGTTGTCCTAACTTTGGAGGTGACAGCAGGGAGGCTCAGAAGGGCTAAGGTGCTTGGCCAAGGCCATAGGACTAGTAAGCGGTGGAACAGGGATTCCAACGTGGTGTGCCTGACTCCAGGAACTCATTCTTAACCCCAGGCAAAATCCCATGGCCAAGATGGTGGAACAATCAGGAGTTTGGCTCTCCTTGTGATATAGTTTGGATGCCCCACCAAATCTCATGTTGAGATGTAATTTCCAGCACTGAAGATGGGGCCAGGTGCAAGGTGTTTGGGTCATGGGGCAGATCCCTCATGGCTTGGTGCTATCCTCGGGATAGTGAGTTCTCTTGAGATCTGGTGGTTTAAGTGTAACACCCCCCCACACACAACTACCTTGTTCCTGCTCTGCCATGTGAGATACCAGCTCCCCCTTTGCCTTCTGCCATGATTGTAAGTTTCCTGAGGCCTCCCCAGAAGCCAAGCAGATGCCAATGTCATGATTCCTGCACATCCTGCAGAACTGTGAGCCAATTAAACCTCTTTTCTCTATAAATTACCCAGTCTCAGGTATTTCTTTATAGCAATGCAATAACAGCCTAACACACCTCATTCCCTGTGCATGAATCAGCTGTGCATGGAAGTAGGGCAAGAAAAGAACTGATGCAATTTCAGAGATGCCTTCTCCAGGTGCCCTTTCTAACGTCTTGCCTGCTCCCTACCCTGTTAGCTAAATCATTCCCACCTGTCTACATGATCGTTATTATTATTATTATTATTATTATTATTATTATTATTATTGAGATGGAGTTTGCTCTTGTTGCCCAGGCTGGAGTGCAATGGTGCAATCTTGGCTCACTGCAACTTCCGCCTCCCGGGTTCAAGCGATTCTCCTGCCTCAGTCTCCCGAGTAGCTGGGATTATAGGCATGCACCACCACGCCCAGCTAATTTTGTATTTTTAGTAGAGACGGAGTTTCTTCATGTTGGTCAGGCTGGTCTCGAACTCCCAACCTCAGGTGATGCACCTGCCTTGGTCTCCCAAAGTGCTGGGATTACAGGCGTGAGCCACCGCACCCGGCAGATTGTAATTATTTCTTTACCTGCCTTTTTTCCCTTCTGAACTGGGGGATACTTGGCATTCAGCCTATAGTAGGTGCTTGAGAAAGGCTTGTGATATGAGTGAATGAATCTGCTGGAGACGGTGTCAAAATAACCCAGGAACAGGGTTCAGCCTCCTCCTAACCCTCAGTCTGGTTTGCTCTGCAGTTTAGCCCCAACTCCCAACCCCTCATCACAAAAATGTCAGCCCAGAATTTACTCTTGGGAATTTCCCCAGGACGGGTGCCACAGGTGGGTATGCCATTCAGGCCACCTTCTCTTCCAAATTCCACAGCCCAGAGCTGGCAGCAGCCTCTCTCCAAGGCAGGGTGGGCAGCCTCACTGCTGGCCTGGGAGTCAAAGCCAGAACAATGCAGGGGTTCTGGGCCTGGCAAGGTGGGTGGCAGCCATTGCTGTGGGCCACAGGATTTGAAGGGAGTTCTCTGTGCACTAGGTCAGGTTTCCTGGTGGTGGGGTGGCCACCCAGCCCATTAGATTTTCCTAGGGACAAGGTGGTTTTGTGGCTCCATTGGCAAATATATCAACTGCTGACCTATGAGCCAGCAGCTGTTCTTGCTTTTTATACACTGCCTTACCTTATCCTCACAACACCTATGAGACACATGTCATTAGGCCCATTTTGCAGATGAAGAAACTGAGTGGCAAAAGGTAAATGCCCTGTCTGAAGCCAATAAGCCAAGAAGGGGCAGAGTGGGGTCCAAGACTAGCTTGGTGAGATACAAAGCCTGTACCACATGGCTCTGGAGAAGAAAACAGCCTGGGACTGAAGGGCACACGTGGTGTTCACTAAACCACTGGTGCCCAGGCTCCCAGCTGACAGCATCATGACAAGGTAACAACTTCGCATGGCTGGGTAGCAAAATGGCAGCCACTTTCTCTGTGGGTTCTGTGCCTGAATCCCTTCCCGAGCTCATCCTCACAGAAGTTATTTTCTTTGCACCCATATGGGCCACAGTGTATGCAGGACATATCAAAGTGAAAACCACCAGATTGTGGGCTGGAGTAGGAGATGACAGAGAAACTTGAATAATATGTAGCAAGTCATCACCTGCTTTGGGCCCAGAGGAGAGAGGAGTTAATGCCAGCAGGGGCTCTGGGAAATCTTCCAGGAACAGGTGGCGGCTGAGGTGGGTCCTAGAGGATGGCAAGGTTTGGGATCATTTGCTTCAAGTGTTGCACGTGGCCTGGTACCATTGGCTCCTGGACATCATGTGTTGGAGGCCCCATCCCCCAGCACTTAGGCAACAACCAACAATTTTCAGTGTCACAAAGCTTTTTTCCAACAACTCCCCCCAAGCACTGTGGGGTAGCGACATGGGGCTCCCACTATGGGTACACTGAGTAGGTCCTAAGGCTTCCTAGCTATGTGATTTTCTGTGCCTCAGTTTCTGCATCTGCAAAATGGGGCCAATATTAGTAGTCCCTACTTCTAGGGCTTAGCACATAGTGAGTGTTGATTAAATCAAAAGATTATAACCATTACCCATCATTATCATTTCTGCAGCCAGCTTCCTGGTGGAATAGGGAGGCTAACTTGCCTTTGAACAAATCCCAGCCTCAATTTCCTCCACTGGGCATCTTTAACCTCCACAGCACCTTTGTGTCGGAGTCTTCTCTTAGCTCCCTTCTGGAATTGTAGGATGGATTGTGTGTGCCCCATAAAAGGCTGTGTGTACAAAAGCAGAGCTAAGAGGACAGGAGACAGATGCAAACCGTTGTGTTGGCTTCTCAGCCAGGAGGGATTTGATTTTTAAAAAATTGCATTATCTTAAATAAATCTGATCTTAGCTCTGATTCAGTAACTGGGTGATTTCAGGCACCTTATTTCTATTAGCCTCGGTTTCCTCTTAACTCCTACGGGGTTAGGGAACATACACGAAATACATATGTCAATTTCTGGCATGGTAAACTGCACATAGAAAGCACCTGGTGTACTAGCTACTGTTGTTTTCCTCCTCATCCCTGGCTCTCCTCCCATTTTCTCTTCCTCTTCCTCCACCTCCATTTTCTCTTTCTCCTTGCTGGAAGACTCCATTCCCCATTTTTTGTCCTGGATCGGTTAAAAGTTTCAATAGGCCCCTAAGGTGTCCTTCCTTAGGCATTATGAGCAGCAAGCATGACATCAGGTGGCTTTCCATGGCTGACCATCTGACTGTGGGAAGAAGATGATAAAAGACCCCTGGGCCCATGGCTTGGCACAGAGCTCTTCAGATCTAAAAGTAGGAAGTTGAGAGCAAACAGGGGCTGCATCTTGGGTGGTGAGACTCTCTAACCCCCATCATAAAGAAATTGCAGCTGTCAGGGCCACGGAGCTCCCATCCCAGGGAGAGATGCTTACAGCCAGAGCCTGCAGTGATGCAAAAGGGTGACATGACTCAACTTGGAATGATTTCCAGTTACACCCATGAAGAGGAGAGCAATCACTCCCAGGGAAGGTATACTTGTTCTCTGGTGCTGGTTGCTCTCCTTATCCTATAGCAATGTCTGCATGTCTGTTCTTTTTCATTCATTAAGCAAATGCTTATTGGGTGTCTGCTATGTATCCTAGGTAATAAAAAGAAACCAGGGACTAAAATAGATATAGATTCTACCCCTACTGGAGGTTTCTATCTAGTGGGGAGACACACACACACACACACACACACACACACAAAACAAGTATACAAACACAACTATATAATTGCAAATAGTAATAAATGCTGCAAGGGAAACAGACAAAGTGAAACACCCTAAGAGGAGGGGCACCTATTGAAGTAGTCAGGGAAGGACTCTGGGACTCGGTGACATTGAAGCTGAGAGCTAAAGCATGAGAAAGGACACATGGTGGGAAGAAAGGATGAGATGAGGTGAGGGAACAGAACCGCCAAGCCCAGCCCTGGGTCAGGGAAGGGGTCGGTGTGCTGGGGAGGCCGAGAGACAGAGGGCAGAGGCAGAAATAGGAGCTGTCATGCAGGGCCCTAGAGGCCATGGCAAAGTGCCTGCATGTCATTCTCAGTGGGGATTGGGGCAGCCGCAGCAGGATTTTAAGTAAGGGATGACATGGATGTCAATGAGCAGGTACAGCTGCTCACAGGCAATGGGAACTGAATTTCACTGCTCTCTGGAGGTGGTTTTCAGAACATGCTTCACATTTGTAAGGGGCACTGGGCCAGGTTGTGGTAAGAATATCATAAAAACATTTGATCTCATCCATCAGAGAGCAAGGGGCTGCAAGGAGTGGGGACAAGTGGGCTATCTAACCCAGATGAAGACTCGCAGTGCTGAAATTCCAGGCATGTCTGCTAATTGAACACTTGAGTAGCACTTACTATGGGCTAGCACGTCCCTGTGGGGCAGGTAGAGTTGCTAGAGAATGCTGTCATTTTTCTAGAGGACGTAGAAACCTTATTTGTGAGCCTTACCCATTTGAAATTAAGAGTCTACTTCTCAAAGGTTCTGTGAGGCTAATAGGAAGTGATGAGTGCTACATGCCGGTATTATTCTTAAGAAATAGCCATTTTCCACCCCTGCTTTTTTTGTCTATAGAAAACAGTTTTCCAAGCAGAAAAAAAAACCGAAACCATGTAATTAGAATTATAGGCAATTTTGAACTTAGCTTAGGCACACATTTCAATCCTGTTGCAAACACCCATTCAGCACAATTGCCGGGCTAATTATAAATCATTTCTTTTTATTCATTAAGCCAGAGTCCCTGAGGGCCTCCACAGAGGTGTGTTCTATTGGATGGTTTCAAGGTCCTCTGTGTTTGACGGACCTCCTTTGTCATCTGGTGTCGGGGGACAGGCCTAACAGGTGTTTTACAGCTCAGTCAGGCCATATCAGGTTCTTATTGAAAATGCTTAAATTTCAGAAAACACACTTGGCCTCACACCATAGCCAAAACCATATGAGGCAAAAAGATGTTGTTACAGCGCTCTTCTGAACTCAAAAGGATAAAATGTATCTTTCTTTAACATCAGTTCAAATTGGAGAAGTTTGAATGTTTAATGATTTTTAAAAACTGTTATTTCTTTGTACTTGACAAGATTTCCCCTTTGGAGTGGGTTTGTTTGAGTGAAAGCTCTTAACCAAAGACTGCATTTTGAGGTCTGAGATTATATTTTCAATACCTACCAGAAGTTAGCTGGTGCAGCTGCTTTGTATGAAAAAAGTATGAATATGTGGTTTTGGTTAAATTATGGAATTTTAAAACATTGTAGTACCTTTAGAAAAAGACAACTATGCCTAAAAATCTTATTTTAAAAATGTGAGCATATAATGAACTTCAATGCTTCGATACATGGTTCGGCCAGACTAATTCAAATGAATTTACATTGGTCACAATATTTACATTTAAAAGGTGTAATTTTCTGAATGCAATAATGATGTCAAAAGGAGTTTTGAGGTCCTTGGGGGTATTTTTTCCAACACTATCTTTGTGAAGTTTTGCTCAAGTGTCTTTCTTGATAGTTGTAAAAGAAATGGTATAACCCTCACAGGGTCACAGCTCTGACATCCCTGTTTCACTGGAGGGAGAACATGTGGCCTCTGCCTTTAGGGTGTTTAGAGGGCAGGAGAGGCAAGCCAGAGGAAACAGACACTCCAGGCTCCACTCTGCTCCATTATGGGACCACATTCTCAAAAACACTCGTGTGTGTGTTTGTGTGTGTGTGTTGTGTTGTTGTTGTTCTTTTTAACCTATGTTTTTTGGAATTTCGTGATGAGATTGCTTAGTTTAACCGAAACTTAGAATGATTTCCTCAATGGCCAAGAACGATAAAACTAGATTCAGTTGTGAGTTCTGGCTTTCAAATGGAAGCTGGCTTGCCTAGAGATAGATAGGTTTGCTTATCTGTCAATGGGCCAGTGAACCTGGCCCAAATGCAAATGAGGCAAAGCAAAACAAAACAAAAACAATGATAGAGAAAGGACAGAGATATAGATCAATTGGACAGAATATAGGGTGCAGAAACAGACCCGCGCATACATGGTTGATTGATTTTTTTGACAAAGGTGCAAAGGCAATTCCATGGTGAGAGGATGGTCTCCTTAATGAATGGTGCTAGAGCAATTCAATATCCATGTACTAAAAATGAAGCTTAATCCAGGCCTCACATTCCATACAAAACTGACTCAAAACAAATTACAGATCTAAATATAAAATATACAATGATAAGGCTGTTAAAAGACGTCAAAAGAACATCACTTTGCCGTAAAGCCATCAAGGTTTTATACATTGGACAGAAAGTATTTTTTAGGTACAACATTAAAAGGATGATCCGTTAAAGAAAAAAATAAATTTGATCTCATCAAAATAAAAACTTTTGTTTTTCAAAAGACAGTTAAAAAAATAAAAAATAAAACCGCCACACATCAAGAAAAAAATATTCACAAATGACACATCTAATAAAATACTTGTATGCAGAGAATACATATAAGGAACTCTCACATCTCAATGAGAACACAAAAGCCTATTTTTAAAAAATGGGGCTGGGTGTGGTGGCTCACGCCTGTATTCCCAGCACTTTGGGAGATCGAGGCCGGCAGATCACGAGGTCAGGAGTTTGAGACCAGCCTGGCCAACATGGTGAAACCCTGTCTCTACTAAAAATACAAAAATTAGCTGGGTGTGGTGGCGCTTGCCTGTAGTCCCAGCTACTCGGGAGACTGAGGCAGAAGAATCGCTTGAACCCAGAGGCGGAGGTTGCAGTGAGCTGAGATTGTGCCACTGTACTCCAGCCTGAGTGACAGAGTGAGACTCCATCTCAAAAAAAAAAAAAAAAGGACAAAATATTTGAATAGAAACATCAACAAAGAAGATACACAATGCAAATAAAGTTATAAAAATATGTATCAGCCTTTAGGGAAATGTAAATTAAAACCGTAATTTAGACACCTCTCCACACTTCTTAAAATGGCTAAAAAAAAAAAAAACAAAAATGGACATACCAAGTTTTGGTAGAGATAGGTAGAACTGGAACCCTCATACATTGCTAGTTGGCATACAAAATGGTACATCCACTTTGGAAAGCTGTTTGGTAGTTTCTTGTTATGTTAAACACACACTTATCAGATGACTCAACGATCTTACCTACTCCTAGGTATTTACCCAAGTGAGAGGAAAATTTACGTTCGCACAACAACTCTATGTGAATGTTTACAGAGGCTACATTTATAATCACAAACAGCTGAAAACAACTCAGATATTCCTCAACTGTGGAATAGATAATGGAAGATCCATACAACGGGTGACGACATTAAAGGTACGCCAGATAACATCACTCATCATGTCCCATGAATATCAGGAGGTACCCACTAATGCAATGGGGGCACCTCACCTCTGTGGCGTTCTCCCCACCAAACCCTCACTCTAACTGAGGAAAATGTCAAACAAATGCAGATTGAGAGACATTCTACAAAACACTGACCAGTACACCTCAAAACTATCAAGGCCATGAGAAAGAGAAACGACTGAGAGATGGTCACAGATTTTCTGGAACAAAGAAAGGACATTCATGATAAAAAAAAAAAAAAAAGAAACTGGCAGAATTCAAATAAGGTCTGGAACTTAGGTGAGAGTAATATATCAATATTGGTTTCGTAGTTTAGACAGATGTGTCATGGTAACGTACGATGGTAACATTAATAGAACGTGAAGCCAGGTGAAGAGTCTATAGGAACTCTGCATTCTTTGCAAATTTTGTAAATCTTTAATTATTTCTTTTTTTGTTGCTTTGAGACAGGGTCTCGCTCTGTTACCCACACTGGAGTGCAGTGGTATGATCACAATTCACTTCAGCCTTGACCTCCTGGGCTCAAGCGATCCCCCAATCTCAGCCTTCCGAGTAGCTGGGACCACTGGTGCACACCACCATACCCAGCTAGTTTGTTTTGATATTTTGTAGAGACAAGGTCTCACTATGTTGCCCAGGCTGGTCTTGAACTAATAGGCTCAAGCACTCCTTCCACCTCAGCCTCCCAAAGTACTGGGATTACAGGAGTGAGCCACTCCACCCAGCTGCTATACTCATTTCAAACTAAAAAATTATTTAAAAATAAATATGCCAGATGCATAGCAGGCACTCAATAAATGATGATTATTACTATTCTTTTGAGGAGAAAGCATTGGTAGGAAAAGCAAATTACAAAACTGCCATCTTACATTGCATAGCAATTCAAAGATGTTAAATGGCTCCTACCAACATTATTTCACATATTGAGTCATAACAGCTTAGAGCTAGAAAAGATGTAAGTATTATCTGGCCCAATTCCCTCGTTTTCTAGATAAAGAAACAGAAGGCCAAGAAAAAGGACCAAAAAGGGGAAAAATAACAGTAATGTTGCAGTAACAGAAATAATATTAAGAGTTTTTAAGAAGTTACCATAACAACAGCAAACAACAACTATATCTCAGGCACTGTCCTAGGAACTTTGTGCTGATTTATAACAACCCTACAAGATACATTTTATAATAGTCTTTATTTTACAAAGGGTGAAGCTGAGGGTCAGAGAGGTTAAGTAACATGCACAGGATCACACAGCTAGCAAGTCGTAAGGCTGGGCTTTGAACCAAGGAAAAGAAAGGGAACTAACACTCATTGGGCACCTACCACCTAGCACAGGGGTCCCCATCCCAGGTCATGGAGCACCATGGCCTGTTAAGGACCTGACCACACAGTGGGAGGTAAGCGGTGGATGAGTGAGTGAAGTTTTATCTGTCTTTACAGCCACTCCCCATTGTTCCTGTTACTGCCTAAGCTCCGCCTCCTGTCAAGATCAGCGGCAGCATCAGATTCTCATAAGAATGTGAACCCTTTTGTAACTGTGCATGAGAGGGATCTAGGTTGCGTGCTCCTTATGAGAGTCTAATGCCTGATGATCTGTCTCCCATCACCCCCACATAGGACCATCTAGTTGCAGGAAAACAAGCTCAGGGCTCCTGCTGGTTCTACATTATGGTGAATTGTATAACTATTTCATTATAGATTACAATGCAATAATAATAGAAATAAAGTGCACAATAAATGTAATGTTCTTGAATCATCCCCAAACCATCCCCCCACTGCCTGGTCCATGGAAAAATTGTCTTCCACAAAACCAGTCTCTGGTGCCAAAAAGTTTGGGGACCACTGACGTAGCAGTCCAGGTGCCAAATATCTCCTCAACCTTAACCCACTGAACTCCTTACAGATCAGTACCTTTATCCCAAATTCACCCATGAGGAACTCAAGGTTTATGTGATTGTCCTGCCACAAAGGTGCCAGATGGCAGAGCTGGGACTTGAACTTGGCTCCTAGTGCCCTCGACCATAATTGGCTTAAGACTGGTAGAACAGGCCAGCAAGAGCAGACTGGAGGCCTTGCCTTTTCATTCACTTTTTGTTCTACACTCAGGACAGCTTAGCTAACCTAGCTGTGCAGCTTTTACAGTTTTCTGTTTTACATGCAGAAAAGACATCTTCTGTCTATAATTCCTTAAGACTTGGGGAACTGACCTAGGGCTTTTAAGATCTCCAGGACACAGAATGACAAGCATATCCATTTTCCAAATTTCCAAATTCACCCAATACCTGTATTAACAGAGTCAGTAAGATGTTAACATACAACAATATTAGCTGAGGCTGATGTCTGATGCTCTGGCCAAGCCCTTACTGTCCGCGGCTGAGAGGATATGAAAAGTGTAACATGTATTTAGACATATTGGGAAAAAGTACAAAGCGATCATCTGTTTGTATCCCCCTCCCATATGTGGCCACAAATGGAACACATTGAAAAGGTCATGAGAGATCAGGAGATTTAGTGAACTGGGCACAATACAGCTTTGTGGTCCGGTTTATTTTCTCATGACAGTGTAAAATATAGATTGAGATAAACTAAAATCCCTCATATTTGGTTTTATAGCTTAAATTCATAAATTCTCCACATTCATTAGAAAGTGATGTATTATCTGCACCCACTTGAAAAGATAGTATCCCAAGGGATGGATACAAGAATATTAAAAAAAAATTCCTGATCAAAGAAATATTGCTTCTTTCTTCCTTTCATTGAGCAGATGTGCAATGTGTCCAGAGAAAGAAATAGAGAAATTCCTGAGTGATTTATTTGATGAACCTAGTCTTAACCGAGGTTATTGCATGCCTGATATCATGACGGGGATTATTAGTTTCTAGTTGAAAATGACCAGAGAGAGTCCTGTTCACTTCATCAATATGGTCCATTTATAGGTTGTCAGGGAGGCGACATCGTGCAGCCACGGCACTTTGTCTTGGAGTTATTTCTCTATTAGATGCTTGCTTGTCTTCATCACGAAGACTTCTGGCTATTTAAGAAAACCCAGACCAGGGAAGATATGTCTGTTCTATCCCAGCATTTAAGACATTAAAAGCAGATGCATCACTTAGGAAAATGAGTCTTTTATTCATAGAGGCATCACAAAAGCACTTTTTGCCACAGAAAAATAAAAACAGATCAAAAAATGAACTTTTTTCGAGGGTGAGAGTTGACTTTGCTTTAGCTAAAAGAGATACTTCATATATCCAGTGGTTCCCAGATTTTGTGAAGCAATAAAATTATTTTTAAAAATTGGTGTATGGAGCTCTATGTAGGATTGGCAATTCTTTATTTTGCCAAATCAAAT
Organism: Homo sapiens; assembly: GCF_000001405.40. NCBI lineage: Eukaryota > Metazoa > Chordata > Mammalia > Primates > Hominidae > Homo > Homo sapiens. Next base: position 117,826,138 of record NC_000010.11, read on the forward strand.
CATTCAAATCTTTTCAGAAATTTATATATTGTCTTCAACATTCTATAAAGAAAGGACATGTTAATACACACATGAGATTTTAAAAGCACATAAAAATTTTAAAAAGAACATAATCTCAGGGAAAAAAGCATTACTTCCTAGTAGAGAGAGCATAAAGGTCTCTCTCTATAGACTCAAGAAGCTGCAATCATTTATCAGAGCTGGTTTGCAGACAATCTTTGAGAACCCCTGGAAAATCTGGTAGAATCTGTAAGGAGCGAGATTGATGTTAGAGATGAAAACTTCATGTTCTGAAATTTTTTTGTAATTCTAAAATACTTGACTAAATGGTTACAGCATGAACAGTAATAATGAGTAGGTAGTACCATTTATTAAGTACATACTAGATGTCAGCTCCTTGCTATGTGGGTGACATGTGGGTGTCTTTTAATCCTTGAAGCAACTGGTAAAATCAGTATTATTATTGCCACTTTATGGATTAGACACCCAAGGCCTGGAGAAGTCACACATTTTGCCCAAGGAAATTCAATAGAAGTATTGGAGCTGGGATCCCAATTCAGGTTCCTCTGAATCAGAAACCAGTGCACCAGCCACTCAGTACCCTGCCTCCTTCTGACTGTGTTCTACTCTACTGACTTACGGGCCTATTTTCCCGCATGTACTCAGTGTCTTTTTTTGCCTTCAAATCCTCAACACTCAGTGCAGAGCCTGACCAATAGGAGACACTTAATAAATGCTTATTTTTAAAGAAATGAGTAAATGAAGACTTCTAGTTTTGGAAATTTGTTTTGCACATAGGATGCTGTGAGGATTAAATCAGATCATGTAACAAAGCACTTAAAACCACGCCTGACATACACAGGAAGTCCCTGATATATGTGAGTGACTGACTTTCATTACGGGTGTTGAGAAAATCAGCTTACCTTTGAGAAAGCTCTCCTGGCTTGGTCTGCTGGAGAAGTACTAGCAGCCTCACAGAGGAATCTTCTAGCTGAGTATCTTCTATAGAAAGATGTAAGAAAAAAAATTCAGAAATGACAATTTATAAAATGCCCCTGTGTCCTTTTTTGTTCTTCTTTTGCTGCATATTATCATTATAACACGTCATGATTTTTATATATATTTATTATATATATTATTCTATAATATATACTATGCATACTTGTATTATATAATTTTATAATATATAATTATATGAAATATATAGATTCTATAGAATATATATAGATTACATATAGATGAGAATATATATTCAATATATATGATATACATAGAATATTGATAATATTGATGGGAATATATATATTCAATATATATCACATATATTGAATGTTGATTCTCTAGATAGATCATAGATCTATAATATAAAGTCCTTTCTCTTGTGGATAAAGGATTTGCAACTTAATAATAAATAAAAGCAGTCCTGAGGGTCTTCTTGATGAAAGGATTTTTAAAACAAACCTTGTTTTGTTAGGCCTCAAAGGAAACTTAAAAGAGTTTGAGCATTGCAGTTCTTCTCCGTAGAAGATTGGAAGTACAAACTCTTCCTTATTTGAAAAAGCAGAGTTGATTACTGTATTTAGAAAGAACTCCCTGACCTTCTCTGTGGATATTCTTTATAGATACAGTCTTAAACTCAAGCTTAGAAATTTGTTTTCATTTATGTGTACAGTCCCATGGAAGGTGGAATTGCGAGTCAGACTATATTACTAGCATCAGGGCATCATGTTATTTTCCCAGAACTTTGCTGGAAATTTTCCAAGACGGTAACGAGAAAACTATTTACAACAAGGCCCTTTTGACTCTGATTTCTCTACTCTAAATTACAAGAGGTCCAGGGACAATCCTTCCCAAGGCACAGTCCAGGAACAGATCGAGAAGGTGATGTCCTTGCTATATTTCATTTCAGTTACTGATACTCCCCTGGTTTGTCTGCCTTCTTGGACAGATGTTTCTCTGGGCAAAGCAGCCCTGGCTGATGAAATGATTTCTAAGTCTCTTCCATCAGCAGGATCAGGGGACAGGAGACTGGTTACTCTTCAGCCCTTCAGATGAGTAAAACTGTTGAAAGTCAGGGTTACTGTGAAGCAGAACTTACAAATGCCTTCAGTCTACTAAGTTGCACTGTGGATAAAGACCTCATTGCATTTTGCCTTATAAAGTAACTAGGGGTTACCTCAAAATAAAAAGGACAAAAGAGAACATTTAGGAAAAATAAATTTCATGCCAGTTTATTTTTCCCCATCAGAAACAGGCTAATTTCTGGCACATGGTACCCTATGTTCATGCTTGGTGTGATTTCAATGTAGTAAGTTTTAGACTCTGGTGCTGACAGGTAAACAACCATTTTCCAACTTTACCTGTAGATGGAAAAATATAAGTGGCTTCAAAATAATGAATGATTAAATATTGCTTGTAATATGCTAGCAGATACATAATGCCTACATTGAGTTTTTCAAAAATAATTTTATAGGTATACATTTTAAAAAGAACTATAGGTCAATTCATAGATACATATATTTTTTCATACATCGATATATTAAAAAGATTACTTTTTTCATAGATAGATGTTTTCCAAAGAATTATGGGTTAAATAAAAGCATCTTTTTTACATCCTCGTTGGGAGAAAATTATGCAGAAAAATCCTTCAGCAGCATAAACTTTTACCTCTGCAGACCACTTCCTTTCTTTCAGGAACAATACATTTGAGTGAACCAGAGTGTCTCTGCCATTTACATGCAGAGTGTCCCTTCCAACAGGAGCAATTGGATGTTATACCTGAAACCATGTTCAAACAGGAATGATGTTAAGGGCACAGAATGTAAAGATGACTTTGTTTTGTTGTTTTCAAGGTAGATTCTCAAAGACCTATGGCTCACAGGCCCCAGCCTTTTTGCAGCAAATTAAAAACAAAACTTAAAAACAAAACCAAAAACCCATCTTTTCTATACTAGATCAGGCCCTAACGGTTATTTTATTTAGACAAAAAGCTTGATTCAGAACCAACTTCTCTCCTCCTCCCTCTCACTGTCTCCCTCTCAGTCTGCTTTAAAGGTTTTTGTTTTTGTTGCTTTTTCAACCAATTCCCTTTGCACTTGTGAAGGATAATGAATTGGTGCTCTTAGAGGAACTTGAACTTCTCCGATAAAAGATGTTTAAAGTCGTTAACATTGACATGATTATCTTCAGAGTTTGGCCCTATTAACTTGATTATTGAACCACTGTTTATTGTCATTGTCACAGTGCTTAACTGCGAAAGGTCAGATCAGAACGAAAGAACCCAAGATAGAATGACTGATCTTTAAATAAAATAGCTGCCGTCATATGCTCCCATTTCAAGATGGAAGACACAAAATGCTTCTGACTTCAACACCAGGAAAACACCAAGTTATGTTGAGAATCTGCAAATGTGAGCGGGTATCAGTGTCCTTAAAAATGCCCATGCTTTTTGAGCCAGAAATTCTACTTTTAATTCCAACTCTGCCAAGGAAGCAGTAAAACACATAAAGAATTGTGTTCAAAGCTGGTCATTTTAGCTTTGAATAGCAAACAATTGACAACAATCTGAATGTCCAACTATCGGGGATTACTTAGGTTAATTATATTATCATATGTAATGCTACAACTCAAAATCATACCTTCAAATAATATATCCTAAATATAGGGGAAATTCATGCCTTATTATGTAAACTGCATTTCAAAAAATTACAAGGACTGAACCCGATTTCATGACAAATGAAGTATTTGTGTTTGTGTAACAACAAAATCTGAGGGCTTTACCAGCGCTTACCACTCGGTGGACGGGGGTATTCTTTTTATTCATTCTAAACATTTTGCTGGAGTTCCTAAATTTTCTGCCACCATCACCTATTTCTATGATAACTAAAAAAATAAAAAACCAAAAACCAACCCAAAAGCCAGCAAATGCTATTTTTAAAAGCCAGAAAGGATGCAAGCCCTTGTGCTGAGGTAGTTATCTGAAGCACAGATCCACAGTCCATACACAGGCAAGCAGAACTGCAAACCTGTCTCATGGCTCCGCTATTCCAGGACCTGTATAGAGTTGTCAAAAGGTAGTCCCATAACACGCTTTTACAGCTCCGCATCCTTTATTAATGCCACATGTACTCCTGTAAGGTTATTAAGTGATATACAATAATTGTCTGTATTCCAAAGTGGACATTTATTTCACTCCAGTCCTGCGGCTCTATTTCAGTACCATTTCTCACAACTGCATTTTAGGAATCATCTCAGTGGGCTGTTTCTCTCGTCCCTCTCTTTTAATGCAAGCCGACCTAATGGCCCCGGTAAGAAATTAAATATAATTACCTAAGGAATCGCACAGGGCAAAATGAGATCGCACCGTCTTCCGAAGTGGAACAAGGCGTGGAGGCCCCTCATCCCCGGTCCTCCCCAGAGTTAATTTGCCTGTATTTCCTCCCTCGTTGAGTGCGCTCACAGGCAGCCTCACAATGACCTGTTTAGTTGGCAGTGGAAAATTATGTCATTTGCAAGCAAGCTTTCAGCTGTGATATTTTATAATTGTTAAGATGAAAACCCGATAATCCTCTCCCCCTTCACATAAACTGCAATCCATCTTTAAACCTGTGATAATTCCTAAAACCTGCTGCTTAATAAACTAACAAACCCCAGGCCTATGTGATTTTGCGGGGAGTCAATCTTTGATCAGCCAAGCTGAAATAGGTCTGATAAGGGGACGCCCTTCCACTCTAGAGTCGCCACTTGAGTAGGTTATTGCTGTTTCCTGCCATCCTCAAGTGCCAAATAAGCAGAAGTCTTCCGAGCTTCTTATCTCTTTCACTTTCTTCTCGAGATCTCTGTCGCTTTAATCCGGCGTGTCTGCTGCTGGTTAACAAGGAAATCCTATGTCAATTATCGCCAACAACTTCCTGCTGCGAAGCAGCGGGGAATCAAAGCGTTTGAGAGCCTTTTCACACCCGAGAGTGGTGCAGGGCCTAATTAAATGGCCCTCATATCCTGCAGCCTGGTGGAGGCCGCATGATAGATAGCTAATGAAAGATAGCCTAATTTTTCGCAGAACTGTTTGGAGGCTGGTGGGCTGTCCGCTGGGCTGCAGGTGTGTCCCGAAGTGGGGCTGCGTGGGTGTTTTTTTTTTCCACTTCCGCTAAATGTAGTGGGCCTGTGATCCGCATTGGACAACAGGGAGCCCGCCTTCGGTAAGGTGCATCTGATTAGAGCTGCTCTGGGAATCAGAGGCCCAGATGGAGTGGGAGAAGGACGGGACATCCAAGGAGACACTGAAAGACATGAAGTTCAGGCCTCAAAGGAGACCACTGCTCCGTGAGATTATTCACCTACCTCCAACACAAGACATTCCCTTTCCCGTCCAGGACTTCTCAGCAAATATGATGCTGTTTTAAAAAACTGATTTTATAAGATCACTGCAAATCATTCTCTTCAACTGACTTATTCCTGCTGAAGATACACATAATCTATAGACAAACTAAATGAAAAATAGACATTTTTGTTGTTGTTGCAAGAAATGCATTTTCTCTAGCAATTTCTCTCTATCTAAAGCAGTGGTTCTCACCATGTGGTCCTGAATAAGCAACATCAGCTTTACCTGGGAGCTGGTTAGAAATGCACATTTCTCGGGCCCCACCCCAGCCCCAGTGAATCAAACACTCAAGGGGTAAGACAGTCATCTAGGGTTTAACAAGCCTTCCAGGTGATTCTGAGACATGCTAACATTTGAGAATCACGTGTGTCCAAGAAACTCCTCTGTAGATGGCCAGTGTAGGTTAATCATGAATATCACCATTTGTTTCAAAAATCTAGCATGTTACATAATGGGACACCCTGTGTTATTTAACCTAACTCCATGTCTTTCTACATTTTATCACATGCTTGTGTCCAAGGCTGGAATCATTTCCTGAGTTCTGACTCATGATGTAGTACCTTGCTGAGTGAAGCGACTTTTGTTTTAATTTGAGGAGGTGGGAGTTGGGATAGAGAAGGGAGGCGGTGGAGACTGTATCCACAGAAATATTTGAATCTATTTTCTAGAATTGTGATTCTTAGGCTTTGGATTTTTCAAAAATTCAGGGCTGGGTGCAGTGGCTGAGGTGGTAGGATTGCTGGGACTACAGGTGCACAGAGCATGGTGGTGCGTGCCTATAGTCCCAGCTACTTGGGATGCTAAGGTCGGAGGATCCCTTGGGCCCAGGAGGTCAAGGTTACAGTGAGCCTGGATTGCACCACTGCACTCCAGCCTGGGCAACAGGGCAAGATTCTATCTCTGGAAAAAAAATAGGGTATTAAATAGGGTTTGTTGCTCTTTATTTTGTAATGAATAACATTCAACACCTCCCCCCCCCCCCACATTTCATAAAAGAAGGAACATTTTTAAACATGCAAAAGAAAACAGTAAGGATATAATTTCAATAGAAAAGTCAATCCTTTAAGTGGAATCAGTTTATGTTTATAAAAAACATACTGTCCTTCATTTACCCTTTTCGTTGAAGATTCAGTTGCCAACTGTCATCTAGAAATGGCTAGTGCAGCTTTTGATTGAGGAGAGAGGGTGCACGGAATGAGAAATCAGTGGTTCTTAACCTAGGCTGCACCTTAAAATCACCTGGGGAGCTTTAAATACTACCCAAACCTGGGCATCCTCCCTAGGGATTTTGATTTAATTGGTCTAGTTTGGGGCACAAACATCAGACTGTTTGTTTATTTATTTATTTATTTATTTATTTATTTTTATTATTTTATTTTTAATTATACTTTAAGTTTTAGGGTACATGTGCACATTGTGCAGGTTAGTTACATATGTATACATGTGCCATGCTGGTGCGCTGCACCCACTAACGTGTCATCTAGCATTAGGTATATCTCCCAATGCTATCCCTCCTCCCTCCCCCTCCCCACCACAGTCCCCAGAGTGTGATATTCCCCTTCCTGTGTCCATGTGATCTCATTGTTCAATTCCCACCTATGAGTGAGAATACGCGGTGTTTGGTTTTTTGTTCTTGCGATAGTTTACTGACAATGATGGTTTCCAATTTCATCCATGTCCCTACAAAGGACATGAACTCATCATTTTTTATGGCTGCATAGTATTCCATGGTGTATATGTGCCACATTTTCTTAATCCAGTCTATCATTGTTGGACATTTGGGTTGGTTCCAAGTCTTTGCTATTGTGAATAATGCCGCAATAAACATACGTGTGCATGTGTCTTTATAGCAGCATGATTTATAGTCATTTGGGTATATACCCAGTAATGGGATGGCTGGGTCAAATGGTATTTCTAGTTCTAGATCCCTGAGGAATCGCCACACTGACTTCCACAATGGTTGAACTAGTTTACAGTCCCACCAACAGTGTAAAAGTGTTCCTGTTTCTCCACATCCTCTCCAGCACCTGTTGTTTCCTGACTTTTTAATGATTGCCATTCTAACTGGTGTGAGATGATATCTCATAGTGGTTTTGATTTGCATTTCTCTGATGGACAGTGATGATGAGCATTTTTTCATGTGTTTTTTGGCTGCATAAATGTCTTCTTTTGAGAAGTGTCTGTTCATGTCCTTCGCCCACTTTTTGATGGGGTTGTTTGTTTTTTTCTTGTAAATTTGTTTGAGTTCATTGTAGATTCTGGATATTAGCCCTTTGTCAGATGAGTAGGTTGCAAAAATTTTCTCCCATTTTGTAGGTTGCCTGTTCACTCTGATGGTAGTTTCTTTTGCTGTGCAGAAGCTCTTTAGTTTAATTAGATCCCATTTGTCAATTTTGGCTTTTGTTGCCATTGCTTTTGGTGTTTTGGACATGAAGTCCTTGCCCACGCCTATGTCCTGAATGGTAATGCCTAGGTTTTCTTCTAGGGTTTTTATGGTTTTAGGTCTAACGTTTAAATCTTTAATCCATCTTGAATTGATTTTTGTATAAGGTGTAAGGAAGGGATCCAGTTTCAGCTTTCTACATATGGCTAGCCAGTTTTCCCAGCACCATTTATTAAATAGGGAATCCTTTCCCCATTGCTTGTTTTTCTCAGGTTTGTCAAAGATCAGATAGTTGTAGGTAAGTGGCATTATTTCTGAGGGCTCTGTTCTGTTCCATTGATCTATATCTCTGTTTTGGTACCAGTACCATGCTGTTTTGGTTACTGTAGCCTTGTAGTATAGTTTGAAGTCAGGTAGTGTGATGCCTCCAGCTTTGTTCTTTTGGCTTAGGATTGACTTGGCGATGCGGGCTCTTTTTTGGTTCCATATGAACTTTAAAGTAGTTTTTTCCAATTCTGTGAAGAAAGTCATTGGTAGCTTGATGGGGATGGCATTGAATCTGTAAATTACCTTGGGCAGTATGGCCATTTTCACGATATTGATTCTTCCTACCCATGAGCATGGAATGTTCTTCCATTTGTTTGTATCCTCTTTTATTTCCTTGAGCAGTGGTTTGTAGTTCTCCTTGAAGAGGTCCTTCACATCCCTTGTAAGTTGGATTCCTAGGTATTTTATTCTCTTTGAAGCAATTGTGAATGGGAGTTCACTCATGATTTGGCTCTCTGTTTGTCTGTTGTTGGTGTGTAGGAATGCTTGTGATTTTTGTACATTGATTTTATATCCTGAGACTTTGCTGAAGTTGCTTATCAGGTTAAGGAGATTTTGGGCTGAGACGATGGGGTTTTCTAAATAAACAATCATGTCGTCTGCAAACAGGGACAATTTGACTTCCTCTTTTCCTAATTGAATATCCTTTATTTCCTTCTCCTGCCTGATTGCCCTGGCCAGAACTTCCAACACTATGTTGAATAGGAGCGGTGAGAGAGGGCATCCCTGTCTTGTGCCAGTTTTCAAAGGGAATGCTTCCAGTTTTTGCCCATTCAGTATGATATTGGCTGTGGGTTTGTCATAGATAGCTCTTATTATTTTGAAATACGTCCCATCAATACCTAATTTATTGAGAGTTTTTAGCATGAAGCATTGTTGAATTTTGTCAAAGGCTTTTTCTGCATCTATTGAGATAATCATGTGGTTTTTGTCTTTGGCTCTGTTTATATGCTGGATTACATTTATTGATTTGCGTATATTGAACCAGCCTTGCATCCCAGGGATGAAGCCCACTTGATCATGGTGGATAAGCTTTTTGATGTGCTGCTGGATTCGGTTTGCCAGTATTTTATTGAGGATTTTTGCATCAATGTTCATCAAGGATATTGGTCTAAAATTCTCTTTTTTGGTTGTCTCTGCCCGGCTTTGGTATCAGAATGATGCTGGCCTCATAAAATGAGTTAGGGAGGATTCCCTCTTTTTCTATTGATTGGAATAGTTTCAGAAGGAATGGTACCAGTTCCTCCTTGTACCTCTGGTAGAATTTGGCTGTGAATCCATCTGGTCCTGGACTCTTTTTGGTTGGTAAACTATTGATTATTGCCGCAATTTCAGCTCCTGTTATTGGTCTATTCAGAGATTCAACTTCTTCTGGTTTAGTCTTGGGAGAGTGTATGTGTCAAGGAATGTATCCATTTCTTCTAGATTTTCTAGTTTATTTGCGTAGAGGTGTTTGTAGTATTCTCTGATGGTAGTTTGTATTTCTGTGGGATCGGTGGTGATATCCCCTTTATCATTTTTTATTTTGTCTATTTGATTCTTCTCTCTTTTTTTCTTTATTAGTCTTGCTAGTGGTCTATCAATTTTGTTGATCCTTTCAAAAAACCAGCTCCTGGATTCATTGATTTTTTGAAGGGTTTTTTGTGTCTCTATTTCCTTCAGTTCTGCTCTGATTTTAGTTATTTCTTGCCTTCTGCTAGCTTTTGAATGTGTTTGCTCTTGCTTTTCTAGTTCTTTTAATTGTGATGTTAGGGTGTCAATTTTGGATCTTTCCTCCTTTCTCTTGTGGGCATTTAGTGCTATAAATTTCCCTCTACACACTGCTTTGAATGCGTCCCAGAGATTCTGGTATGTTGTGTCTTTGTTCTCGTTGGTTTCAAAGAACATCTTTATTTCTGCCTTCATTTCGTTATGTACCCAGTAGTCATTCAGGAGCAGGTTGTTCAGTTTCCATGTAGTTGAGCGGCTTTGAGTGCGATTCTTAATCCTGAGTTCTAGTTTGATTGCACTGTGGTCTGAGAGATAGTTTGTTATAATTTCTGTTCTTTCACATTTGCTGAGGAGAGCTTTACTTCCAACTATGTGGTCAATTTTGGAATAGGTATGGTGTGGTGCTGAAAAAAATGTATATTCTTTTGATTTGGGGTGGAGAGTTCTGTAGATGTCTATTAGGTCCGCTTGGTGCAGAGCTGAATTCAATTCCTGGGTATCCTTGTTGACTTTCTGTCTCATTGATCTGTCTAATGTTGACAGTGGGGTGTTAAAGTCTCCCATTATTAATGTGTGGGAGTCTAAGTCTCTTTGTAGGTCACTCAGGACTTGCTTTATGAATCTGGGTGCTCCTGTATTGGGTGCATGTATATTTAGGATAGTTAGCTCCTCTTGTTGAATTGATCCCTTTACCATTATGTAATGGCCTTCTTTGTCTCTTTTGATCTTTGTTGGTTTAAAGTCTGTTTTATCAGAGACTAGGATTGCAACCCCTGCCTTTTTTTGTTTTCCATTTGCTTGGTAGATCTTCCTCCATCGTTTTATTTTGAGCCTATGTGTGTCTCTGCACGTGAGATGGGTTTCCTGAATACAGCACACTGATGGGTCTTGACTTTTTATCCAACTTGCCAGTCTGTGTCTTTTAATTGGAGAATTTAGTCCATTTACATTTAAAGTTAATATTGTTATGTGTGAATTTGATCCTGTCATTATGATGTTAGCTGGTGATTTTGCTCGTTAGTTGATGCAGTTTCTTCCTAGTCTCGATGGTCTTTACATTTTGGCATGATTTTGCAGCGGCTGGTACCGGTTGTTCCTTTCCATGTTTAGCGCTTCCTTCAGGAGCTCTTTTAGGGCAGGCCTGGTGGTGACAAAATCTCTCAGCATTTGCTTGTCTGTAAAGTATTTTATTTCTCCTTCACTTATGAAGCTTAGTTTGGCTGGATATGAAATTCTGGGTTGAAAATTCTTTTCTTTAAGAATGTTGAATATTGGCCCCCACTCTCTTCTGGCTTGTAGGGTTTCTGCCGAGAGATCCGCTGTTAGTCTGATGGGCTTCCCTTTGAGGGTAACCCGACCTTTCTCTCTGGCTTCCCTTAACATTTTTTCCTTCATTTCAACTTTGGTGAATCTGACAATTATGTGTCTTGGAGTTGCTCTTCTCGAGGAGTATCTTTGTGGCGTTCTCTGTATTTCCTGAATCTGAACGTTGGCCTGCCTTGCTAGATTGGGGAAGTTCTCCTGGATAATATCCTGCAGACTGTTTTCCAACTTGATTCCATTCTCCGCATCACTTTCAGGTACACCAATCAGACGTAGATTTGGTCTTTTCACATAGTCCCATATTTCTTGGAGGCTTTGCTCATTTCTTTTTATTCTTTTTTCTCTAAACTTCCCTTCTTGCTTCATTTCATTCATTTCATCTTCCATTGCTGATACCCTTTCTTCCAGTTGATCGCATCGGCTCCTGAGGCTTCTGCATTCTTCACGTAGTTCTCGAGCCTTGGTTTTCAGCTCCATCAGCTCCTTTAAGCACTTCTCTGTATTGGTTATTCTAGTTATACATTCTTCTAAATTTTTTTCAAAGTTTTCAACTTCTTTGCCTTTGGTTTGAATGTCCTCCCGTAGCTCAGAGTAATTTGATCGTCTGAAGCCTTCTTCTCTCAGCTCGTCAAAATCATTCTCCATCCAGCTTTGTTCCGTTGCTGGTGAGGAACTGCGTTCCTTTGGAGGAGGAGAGGCGCTCTGCGTTTTAGAGTTTCCAGTTTTTTTGTTCTGTTTTTTCCCCATCTTTGTGGTTTTATCTACTTTTGGTCTTTGATGATGGTGATGTACAGATGGGTTTTCGGTGTGGATGTCCTTTCTGTTTGTTAGTTTTCCTTCTAACAGACAGGACCCTCAGCTGCAGGTCTGTTGGAATACCCTGCCGTGTGAGGTGTCAGTGTGCCCCTGCTGGGGGGTGCCTCCCAGTTAGGCTGCTCGGGGGTCAGGGGTCAGGGACCCACTTGAGGAGGCAGTCTGCCCGTTCTCAGATCTCCAGCTGCATGCTGGGAGAACCACTGCTCTCTTCAAAGCTGTCAGACAGGGACATTTAAGTCTGCAGAGGTTACTGCTGTCTTTTTGTTTGTCTGTGCCCTGCCCCCAGAGGTGGAGCCTACAGAGGCAGGCAGGCCTCCTTGAGCTGCGGTGGGCTCCACCCAGTTCGAGCTTCCCGGCTGCTTTGTTTACCTAAGCAAGCCTGGGCAATGGCGGGCGCCCCTCCCCCAGCCTCGCTGCCGCCTTGCAGTTTGATCTCAGACTGCTGTGCTAGCAATCAGCGAGACTCCGTGGGCGTAGGACCCTCCGAGCCAGGTGTGGGATATAGTCTCGTGGTGCGCCGTTTTTTAAGCCGGTCTGTGAAGCGCAATATTCGGGTGGGAGTGACCCGATTTTCCAGGTGCGTCCGTCACCCCTTTCTTTGACTCGGAAAGGGAACTCCCTGACCCCTTGCGCTTCCCAGGTGAGGCAATGCCTCGCCCTGCTTCGGCTCGCGCATGGTGCGCGCACCCACTGGCCTGCGCCCACTGTCTGGCACTCCCTAGTGAGATGAACCCGGTACCTCAGATGGAAATGTAGAAATCATCTGTCTTCTGCGTCGCTCACGCTGGGAGCTGTAGCAGACTGTTTCAATGTTCATAAATCGCGTGGTACTCCAGAGCGTCTGAAAGTTCCCCCAGGGACCTTACTCAAACGCCGACTCTGGTTCTATAGGTTCTGAGGTTCTGGTTCTGAGGTTCTTCATGTCTAACCAGCTCCCTGGCGATGCTGTTGCTGTTGGTCTTTGTACCACATTTCGAGCAGCAATGCCTAAAGCCTCTTACCTGTAAAGGATTTCCAGGTACTTAGCAGAAAGCCCAGCTTCTCTCCCAGTATTAGCTGACGGGCCTGTTCCCTCATTTTCTGGAGGGGAGAGACCATCTTTTCAAGGTCAAACTGAACGCAGAGGCAGGGCTGTGGCTGCCCCAGCTCCGTGGCTGCCCCAGCTCCAAGGCTGCCTGGATCTCCACCCCAGAGGCAGCTGCCGGCTTGCTGGTGTGACCTCAGGCCCCCTCCTGGCTCCCCATCGGTGTACTGCGGTTACCCTGGCCATTCTGTGGTAAACCAGAAAGCCTAAATTTGGCAAAGTGATGCATGTGATATTGGAAGCCAAAGAAACAAAGTAAGGAGGGACTAGAAAATTATGTGGCCAAGTTCCTGGCCAAATTCTGTTGCCTTCACAATCACTCCAAATTTGTCTTACTTTGCCGTAGAGACCAGGCCTGAGGACTTCCTGAGGAGAAACTGACATGACCAGGGTGAGATGCTCCCGCTGTTGGACGTCCTCCATGGAGAGCTGGGCGGAGACCTCCACCAGCCTCAGGGGCATAGACTCAAGTTCCTGTTCCTTCACCATAACCCACATCATCTGTGAAATTAGGGCTGTTTCTCCCAGCCTTTGCATTTATCTCAAGCTTTGTGATACACTTCCCTTTTCTTTGTTCTTGCTATATCTGTGATCTTGGTCAATTTACTTAACTTTCTGGGATCCCCAGTGTTCTTATCTGTAAAATGGGGTAATAGTAGCCACCTCATTCAGAGGGGTTCTTAAGGGTTAAATGAAGCAATAGTTAGCAGGGAGGCTTCCACATAAGTTCTCTGGAAGTTATTTGATCATACAAAGGATCATTCCCTTGGTTGTGTGGGACATTTTGAAAAGCATATGGATTAGGGGTAGAAGAGACCTCAGAAGGTGTCTGGATCATTCCACCCTATTTTACAGATGAGGAAACTGAGGCTCACAGAAGTCACATGACTGCCGCAAGGACACTCTTGGATAGTAAAAATCCAAGCATGGCCTGCCCCAGATCTAACTGTTTTGGATTTCCACACATATGTATTGCATATATTTGTAAGTTGCCTTAAATCCTCTTTGAACCAAGATCAGTTAAAAAGAGACTGCTGATTTGACAGCCTTTCCACACCATGTCTCCTTCCTGAGATAAGGGTCCTCAGGAATGGTAAGTCCTGGCCCTCATGGGGCTGTTCCCCACTCCTGGGCTCACAGTAGACACTACTGATCAGTCACGTCTGTTTTGCCTCTGAATCCACAGCCTCAGCATCTTCAGCATGGGCTTCCAGAAGGCCTCTACCAGCTGGCCAATCATGATCCACGTGTAAACACTTCCCAGACCCCGTTTCCCCTTTTCTGGTTCCTATAATCACAGGCCTTGGGAGCAAGCTTTCAGAATGCACCTAATTGGTTTACCTGCCACCAGGTAGAATCAGGTAGAATCTAGCCCTTCTGCCTAGACCACTTGGTGACCACTTGGTCACCTGGCCACTCCTGGCTGCCAGGAGGCTAGGAAACACAGTTTTGTTGATACGAAAAGAGAAAGAGTGAATATTTGGTGAATCCCCACAGTCTCTGCCCTGAGGAATGACATTGTTGTTCGTTCTGAAAAGAATTCCATTCATTAATTCCCATGGTGGCTGAAGAATCCTTTACCCATCAGCCTGGCTTTTTGCCTTCCAGTTCCTTCCCTGGGACACAGTGTATGTGGTATAGTGAGGGGCGTATTTCTTACTCCTCTAGGACTAGGAGTGATAATTTATAAAATGGCCATAAACCTGGTTACATGATTGAATTATCACAAGAAGATGAACACAAGGAGGTGTTCGTCTTCCCCTAAATGGAATAGGGAATTGGGTATATGGTATCCCCGTGGCTGAAAGTGGTCCAAATACAAATGTCTGATAATATGTGAATTTGCAACAGCAGCGGGGTGTTTGGTGATCTCAAATTTTTCATCAGGCTTTTTATCAGCTCAAGTGATTTTATTTTTTTATTTTGTTTTATTTTATTGAGATGAAGTTTCACTCTGTTGCCCAGGCTGGAGTGCAGTGGCACGATCTCAGCTCACTGCAACCTCCGCCTCCCAGGTTCAATCGATTTCTGGCTAATTTTTGTATTTTTAGTAGCTGTATTGGCCAGGCTGGTCTCGAACTCCTGACCTCAAGTGATCTGCCCACTTCAGCCTCTCAAAGTGCTGGGATTATAGGTGTGAGCCACTGTGCCCAGCCAGCTGAAGTGATTTTAAATGAATAATAATAGTCATGTTATGTTTCTGGTTATATCCAAATAAGTAGAAAAATAGAATCCTGCTCAATAATGGTTTCTATGTAGTTTAACTCGGGATGGTCCATTAAGGCCTTACAGTTTTTGCATAGAGCATTTCCGTAGCCAATCACATACCCACCTTGAAGATGGATGGAATACACAGCAGTTTCAAACTTGGGAGCAAATTTTAGTCCCCTGTTTTGAAACCAAAGATGACTTAAATAATACTTTTTTTCTCATCAATGCCAAGAACCCAAGTAATTTGATGTCTCAATCAGTTGCAGTTGCTGCACTTGGAATTTGAAAATGTTTCAGAATCTTCAAGTCAGTTAGGGGCTAACTACAGTTTCAAAAAAATGACAGTGCCTGTGCTTATGCTGAAAGTGCAGGAAATCCCTGCTTTAGGAAGTTTTGCCAACAGTCAAGCCCAGAGCACCCTACAAAGGAATATCTAGGACAAAACTCCTACCTGTGGCTTAATCAACCCCTGCAGAGCAGAGTCATTTAGATAAAAACTCCCACTCCATTCAACCATATCAGTAAGTGTTACTGAGGACATCAAATTAATTTCTGAGCAAATAAGCATCCTTCTTATTTAACGCCCTTTACCCTTCAATATAACAGTTGGTATCAAGAGAAGTTAATTCCATCTGCAACATTGAATCCATCCAAGGCTTTCCTATAACTTGGATAGAGTCACGTCTTTCTCCTGTTTAAGATTATTCAACATGTTCTTTTCATGGAATAAAATCCAAACTCTTCGTAATAGCATTTTAAGTGCTATTTTAAGTTTGGCCCTCAGCTCACTTTATTATTATAATTGTTACTACTGAGAAAATTACCCCAACTACCATTATTACCTCTATTCCTGGTGCTTCGACAGAATGCACCTGTCTTTGACCAAACATTCACTATACACAATCATTCTGCAAGGACCTCTATGTGGCTAAACTTATCCATGACCAGGTACTACTGTTATCTGGACTTGACAGGTGAGGACATTGAGGCATAGCACAGTGAGATTAATTGCTCAACTCATAAGTGAGGGAACTTGGGCTGAGATTCAAAACACTTCTGTATGAAATAATTGCAAATTGGCTGCTATAGTTCCAACCATCACATCTGAATTCCAGGAGGAAGGAGAAGAGCAAAAGGCCTTCTGCCTAGATACCACTTGGTCACCTGGCTACTTCTGGCTGCCAGGAGGCTGGGAAATACAGTTCTGTTGATACAAAAAGAGAAAGAGTGAATATTTGGTGAATCCCTGAAGTCTCTGCCCTAAGGAATGACATTGTTGTTCATTCTGGAAAAGAATTCCATTAATTAATTTTCCATGGTGGCTGAAGAATCCTTTACCCATCAGTCTGGCTTTTTGCCTTCCAGTTCCTTCCCTGGCACACAGTGTATGTGGTATAATGAGGAATGTATTTCTCACTCCTCTAGGAATGGGAGTGATAATTTATAAAATGACCATAAACCTAGTTACATGATTGAATTATCACAAGAAGATGAACACAAGGATGTAAATTTCACCTTTTAGCTATGATTCCATTTGATCCGTGACAGTATAAAAATCACTGGATTTTTATCAGAATGGAAGATAAACACATTCAAGTCATCTGTGTCCCCTTCCCAAACATTTCACCCATACCACATCTGCCTTCCTGGTAAAGGTACACAGCAGTGCAGCAGATTCATGTCTTCAATGGGATTCTGCCTACTAATTCATGTGAATATGTTGAAGTCAACTTACTCACATGCTCATGACCCTTACCCTTGGCCCTTACCTGGAAAAAAAAAAGTATATGGTGTTGTAGGACTAACAATTATTAAGAACCTTTAAGATTTTCTTTCCTTTTATTATTTTACTCAGCAACATTCGATTGACTTCTGCCAAGCATTCTAAGCAACAAGACTATTCCATAGATCAGGGGTCTCTAACTCCCAGGCTATGGACCAGTACCAGAATCAGCTTCTCATACGAGTGCAAATGCTCTCATGAACTGTGCATGCAAGGGATCTAGGTTGCATGCTCCTTATGAGAATCTTTTTTTTGAGATGGAATCTTGCTCAGATGCCCAGGCTGGAGTGCAATGGCGTGATCTCGGCTCACTGCAACCTCCGTTTCCCAGGTTCACGCGATTCTCCTGCCCCAGCCTACCAAGTAGCTGAGATTACAGTCACGTGCCACCATGCCCAGCTAATTTTTGTATTTTTAGTAGAGACGAGGTTTCACCATATTGACCAGGCTGGTCTCGAACTCCTGACCTCAAGTGATCTTCCCACCTCAGCCTCTCAAACTGTTGGGTCTCCTTATGAGAATCTAATACCTAATGATCTGCCACTGTCTCTCATCACCCCCAGACAGGACCATCTAGTTGCAGGAAAACAAGCTCAGGGCTCCCACTAATTCTACATTATAGTGAAGTGTATAATTATTTCATTACATATTACAATGCAATAATAATAGAAATAAAGTGCGCAATGCATGTAATGCACTTGAATCATCCTGAAACCATCCCCACCACCTCCAGTCTGTGGACAAATTGTCTTCCACAAAATCGTTCCCTGGTGCCACAAAAGATGGGGACTGCTGCCTAGATAACCATACTGGAGACTGTTCCTGCGTTGAGATGTGAACCAGTTGCTATTAGAATATTTTAACAAATAAGAATTTGAAGACAACTTGGAGTATCCTTCCAAACTCTAATTTGAGTGTTTTCATTTTAAGCAATTAATTGAAAATGTTGAACACTTTTCTTTGTGTGTGAATATATAGATATACATAAATATCTGTGTTAACAACTTTTATTTAAAGGTTTGTTACAGATTCAAAGGAGAAGAGGGGTAGAGTGAGAACCATTTTCCTGTTGGAATTCTGGTGAATTCATTTAGCATTTGGGTGTACCAATGACTTGAGGACAGAGCAAACAGAAAGAAATTTTCCACAGAGAATAGCTCACAGCTTTATAAGCAGATAGTGTTTGAAAACAGACTTAGCTGTTTACTGACACATTTCCTAAACTTTTCTAAACCTCAGTTTTCTCATTTGTAGAGTGGGATGATTAAGAGGAGGATGATAATGATAATAGACATTTATAGAGGATTTCTTCTGTGCTAGGTGCTAAATGTATTATATATATAATCTCACTAATTCTCATCATAATCCAATTATGTAATTACTATTATAGTATTTTCATGGTATTATCTGTATCAGTTATCTATAGCTGCATAACAGCCCCTGAAAACTTAGTAATTTAAAACAACAACCATTTATTTAGTTCGCTGGGTGTTTTTGTGTTTTTAGTAGAGATGGGGTACACCATGTGGGCCAGGCTGGTCTTCAACTCCTGGCCTCAAGTGATCCACCTGCCTCAGCCTCCCAAAGAGCTGGGATTACAGGTGCAAGCCATCATGCCTGGCCATGTTTAATAAACATTTGCTTCCTCTGCTGAAAGCCCATTATCCATTTAAGTGGGCAAAGAGAATCTCTAATTCCTAATTCAGTATAAGAATTGGCACTATCTGAAACCACCTAGGAAATGAACACTCAGGCATGGCTGGGAGGAGTCTGGGATGCATAAGGGGCCACAGTGGGCTTCCCACTAGGGCAAGTTCTGCAGTTATAGAGCAAAAGGGGATGTGTTTCAGGATTTCTGCTTTTCTAAGATTATGGAAAATCTTTTTCCGATCTCACAGATCCCTGAGGAGTCTCTGTTTGGACCTGGGAAAACTGTTGGGAAGTCTAATTAAAAGAGAACAATCATGACATGGGGATTAGTCTAACTGGATAGGTCAAGCTGGACACTGTTTCTTCCTTTTCTAAGTTAGTAGGGAAAATTTCTTTAACAGAAAAAAAAAATACATTAGCAGATGATAGGCTCCAAGTAGACCTAGTTAGGTGGGACTTTCACAAAGAGTGGGATAACAGCCTTTGAAAAAAATTATAAAGGAAAATAAATAGCCATGTGTTAAAGTCATGGGGCTGCAGAACAATAATAATAATAACTATAATAAGCACTAGAAAGCAGATGCTAATGGGAATAAATGCAGTCATGACCCACTCTGGTTTAACTGTTTCTGTCAGGACCGGTGCCTGTGTATTAATGATGAGAGGAGAAGCACTTCATGCCCAGAATGTTGAGGGAGGATGTTTTCTGGTAATAGCCAGTTGATTTTACTTGCTAGCTGAACAGAGGAGAACAGAAACAATATTAATGACAATAATAAAACTAATAATGGGTAGCACTTACCGGGTGCTTACTATGTGCCAAGAACTGTTTTGAGTGTGTTACCTTTGTCTTCTCTTTGAGTTTCCACAGTCTTTCATGGGTGAGGAAATTGAGGTCTGGAGATGTCAAGTCACTTTCCAAGGCACACAAAGCTTAATCTTGGCAAGCTGGGATCAAAACATGCATTGTCCCAGGGCAGGGACAAACTCATTTTGGAAAAGTGCTTTAGGGCACAGGACCTGTTCACTTCATCATCTCAGTCATTGGCCAGGGAAACTTTCAAGTTCAAGCTTTTAAGTTCAAAGCTTGAAGCAATGAGGCTCTCGTTACTCCCTGCCTGAGGACAGAGCCCAGCACACCTACTTCTCGTGTGGGTAGCACTGAACATTCTCCAAACTCATAGTTTTCGAGCATTTCATCTGGAATTTATTTTTGCTTATGATGTGAGTTTTGAGATATAGCTTTCCATCCAGCCCTGATAGCCAGCCAGTTATTCCTGAATCATTTCATATATGAATGGTCCTCTTCACATGGAATTAAAATGCCACCTTTGTATGTATTTTGCTCCCATATAGACTGTAATCTATTTCTGAACCTATTTTGTTCTTGATCTATTACCTTTTTCTCTGTCAGTGGTGTATTAGATTATAGTGTAGTTCAGTATTGTGTGTATATATATTATATATATATATATAATATATATATGTGTGTGTGGGTATATATGCGTATACATAAAAAGTATAGTGAGTTGCATAATTTTGTAAGAGGACCTCCCAGATATTTTTCCCTTTTAAACTTCTCTTGCTGGTCATTCTCAGATAGGTATTACTACATATAAACTTTAAAATAGTTTCATGCACTCCCAACATCCACGAAACAAGCATTGGATGCTAATTTGAATTGCATTTCATTTCTAAGTTAATTTGAGGACTGATGTTTTATGGTATAAAGTTTTCCAATACCAGGAACATACTATGTCTATCCAATTTTGGGGGTCTTATTTTAAGATCTTCAATAAGATTTTATGGCTTTCTTTATATAAGTTCTATGCCTTTATTATTAAATTTATTCCTGGTTAATATAGTGAATAGGATTTTTTTAAAATTTCCATTTTATAACTGGTTTTGGCTAGTGTGGCAGGCACTGTTTTGCTGGCCCAAATTCCTACAACCTCCCTGCTTAAGTGTTCCCAGGTTTACATTCTCACTGAGGTGCCAGGGAATTAAGAGGTTCTAGGAGATTGTCAGGAGATGAGGAAAGAATCCCCCAGCTACCTCACCTCTCTCCTGGCTCATGCTTATGGACACAGGGGAAGTTTTCCCAAGGACCAGCTGATTGAGGAGGAAAAACTCAGTTTGGGGCTCACAGAGAAGTCAGCCCAAGATATCATGGCATGCTAAAATGAATGCTGTCACTCAGGGGATGGCCTGAAATTAATAAGGGCAGAAATTCAAGAAGCATACCTTGCCACAAACTTGGTGTGGAGGGAGAAGTGACCTGAAATAAGGATATACATAGACTCCAGGGAAGTGGCAAATGGTCTGCCTGGTTGGTCAAATATCTGACATGAACAAGATTAGAAAATCAGAAACAAAGAAGTCTTGGGAAGAAGAATGTGGATGGGCCAAGGGAGTAGGCACATAATGTGTAGATCTTTGTGACCCACATCAGTGCCCACCAGGGGGAATCCACCGCAGAGAAGGCGTGAAACATTAATGTGGCCAACAAACATATGAGAAAAAGCTCATTACCACTGGTCATTAGAGAAATGCAAATCAAAACCGCAATGAGATACCATCTCATACCAGTTAGAATGGCGATCATTAAAAAGTCAGGAAACAACAGGTGCTTGAGAGGATGTAGAGAAACAGGAATGCTTTTATACTGTTGGTGGGAGTGTAAATTAGTTCAACCATTGTGGAAGACAGTGTGGAGATTCCTCAAGGATCTAGAACCAGAAATACCACTTGACCCAGTGATCCCATTACTGGGTATACGCCCAAAGGATTATAAATCATTCTACTATAAAGACACATGCACATGTATGTTTATTGTAGCACTATTCACAATAGCAAAGACTTGGAACCAACCCAAATGCCCATCAATGATAGACTGGATTAAGAAAATGTGGCACATATACGCCATGGAATGCTATGCAGCCATAAAAAACGATGAGTTCATGTCCTTTGCAGAGACATGGATGAAGCTGGAAACCATCATTCTCAGCAAACTAACACAGGAACAGAAAACCAAACACCGCATGTTCTCACTCATAAGTGGGAATTGAACAATGAGAACACATGGACACAGGGAGGGGAACATCTCCCACCAGGGCCTGTCGGGGGGCAGGGGGCTAGGTGAGGGATAGCATTAGGAGAAATACCTAATGTAGATGATGGGTTGATGGGTGCAGCAAACCACCATGGCACATGTATACCTATGTAACAAACCTGCATGTTCTGCACATATATCTCACAACTTAAAGTGAAAGAAAGGAAGGGAAGGAAGGAAGGAAGGAAGGAAGGAAGAAAGAAAGAAAGAAAGAAAGAAAGAAAGAAAGAAAGAAAGAAAGAAAGAAAGAAAGAAAGAAAGAAAAAGAAAGAAAGAAAGAGGGAAGGAAGGAAGGGAAGGAAGGAAGGAAGGAGAAAGAAAGAAGGGAAAGAAAGAAAGAAAGGAAGGAAGGAGAAAGAAAGAAAGAAAGAGAGAAAGAAAGATGGAAAGAAAGAAAGGGAGCAAAGGGTACAAGGCAGGTGGTGGGATGGGGAAAACCGAGGTCAGTTAATTTGGATATTATAGGAAAAAATGCAAATCATATGCCAAACAGCATCCATTGTTTGGAGTCAAGAATTCAAGCACTATTTGAAAAAACATTGAGTTACTGCTTATACTATTTAACAAAACCCCCAATAACCAGAAGGTTTACCATATGGGGCATTTTTGTTGAAGAACTTGAGACAAATCTTTGGAAAATGTATTACTCACTTCTCTTACCTTAGAAATACAGGAAAACAAACATCACAGGCTCAGTCTCTGACAGTTGGAATAATGATCATGATAAGATTTTAAATGGTCTTGGTATAGAAAACAAGATTTGGTTTTTAGAAACATATTCTGATTTACAAAGGTGTTTTCTCCATTCGACCAGACTATTAAAAGTGGATATACTAGATTATAAATTGTTTTGTTTACCGATGTATTCCTAATGCCTCTCACAGGGTCTGATGTGGTGGGGGGGAGGGGACAAATAGATATTTGTTGAATGAATAAATGAACGATTAGCAATAATCCAAGTTAATCAAGCATTTTAGTTAGTTGAGGCTATTTATGTAGCTTGATGAAATTTGTTGTTTGTTAAGGAATGAGGTTAGACCATGCGAAATTCCAAGCCTGTGGCTTGATAGAATATTTTCTTATATTTCCTGGATAGAATATCATCTGAACTCCACCCAGTGTGAACTTCTTGATGATACAGCGCAGTGATTCAGGACTCAAGACCTGCAGAAACAAACCCGTGTTCAAATCTTGGCTCCACCTCCTACTAGCTGTGTGAACTATGGTAAATTACATAATTTTTCTGGGCTGAAATGTCCTCACCTATTAAATGAGGATAAGGTATTCCTCATAATGTTGATATGAAGATAAACTATGATGATAAAAGAAAGCACTTGGCTTAGTGCCTGCACATGGTAAATGATCAATAAATGGTTTTTATTACCATCATTATGATTAGTGAATGTATTTATTTTGGTTGCCTCTCTCTAGAATATTTAACTTTCTGTCATTTTGAAGTCGATTTGCAGTGACAGATGACACAATAATGTCTTGTTTCTGAGTGGGACTATTTATGAGGAAGATGCATAAGGGAAACTTTCAGGGCTTGAACATGTTCTATGTTACTATCTGAAATGTCATCGAGCTGAACATTTATTATTAGTGCACTTCTGTTTGTATATGATAACTCAATACAATCTTCCCTGTTTAGGGGTGGTGTAAAGATGAGGGAGAAGCTGTTGAAATACCTGGCACCATAAAGAGAAGGGATGAAGCATTGCATTTTCTCTTAGAGGAGCCCCCATATCTTCAGGTAAATGCCTCTGCCTCTACCCTACCCTCTCTTTGTGCCCCTCCCTCACCATCTAATCTTTCTGCCTTTAGAACTAGGAGCACACCCCACACAATCTAGCTGGCCAGGTAAACGTGGTCATGGAAAATGGGAAAAAGGAATGTTGACGGGTCATCTTATGAGCAGCAAGGTATAGCGTTCTACTTTATACAGATATAGTGTGGGTGGAGCAGGGATGGGGAGGTCAGCATCCGCTTTGGGCTGTGAACTTCTTGTTGCTGCCAAATGAGTTGGTCAAGATAGGACGTAAATTTAGTAGAATGATTGTCATTACTGCTCATGGAAAGGTCCGGGAGTCCATACTGGTGCACGGTCTACCACAGTCTCTCTTCCCTCTCTCTCTTTTCCACTGTCTCTCATACACAGACACACATTCTGATATTTAGGATATTCATTTTATTTAAATCCTCCTACTATAAACAGGGATCTCACTCACCAAGTTCTCTGTATCATCTTTGTCCCTCAGTAGAAATTCCTACATGTTCCCTATGCCGGCTGCATCTGTGGAGGTCATGTACACCTGCAGAATGAACCTGGACTTTTTCTATGGAAGCCACTGAAACAAATGCCAACCTTGGCACAAATGAATATGTTTAAAGACTCCAGTTTCCACATGCCTACCACATTTCTCAGTGGGGGGAGGAAATGGGAACACTTTCCCTTGGATATATGATTGAATTTTAAAAAATCTATCAACTTGGTCCCTATGGCCATTGCATGGATATTACCATGGTTTAAACTTTCTGGAACCTCTTTTAGTGTCGTGGAGCATAATGGAAGATGGTCTTTAATCACAACTCTGCCCCCACCGCCACCTCCTCCATGCCTATCAAAAGCAGCACCAGCAGTGTGAGGATCAATCGCCTCAAACTGTTTTTAGACCTGTCTCTTCCTCAGAAGAAAAGGCGTATTTGTTTTGATTCATGCCATACACCACTTTATGAATATGCTTTCCTATCTGCCTATGTAAAGGAAAGAGTGGAAATAAAGGACAAAACCAATAAAGACCCAAACCAAAAGCACATGTCTTGAAGGGGAGCACACTAGGCCAGCAATGGCTGTTAAACAGATGAATCCACTGAAATGTAAAATATTCTGCAAAGTTTTGGCAGCTTTGAAATGCTACACTTTCTAGCTCTCATCTGTTAATCATCTGAGGGGACTTTCACAGCTCACCAGAAGGGACTGTCTTCTTTCTCTACATTCCCACAACTGCAAGTGCATATGATTCAGCAACTGAAGTGATAGGATGCAAATACAGCCATCAAAGCACTAAATGAAGAAAAAAATAACTGCAGGAAGACAGAGAGAGAGAGAAAGAGAGCTATTTTTACCCACCTTCACTTCTAACTGAATCTCACTGTATATATTTTTCAGCATATAAGCTCTTGAGTTAGTTTCAAGGTAAGTCAGAAACCTCTGGTCATACAGATGATATAATGCCAGGAAACCAAAATGACATAATGCGAAGAATTAAGGTTCTACACAAAAATATTTGAAGATTGTTTTAGGAAATTTATCTCCTTTATGTAGTATTTTTTAAAAGCAAAAGAAACCATCAACAGCACTAAATTTAAAACCATAGATAAAAAGCCTCCTCACCATTATTCTAATTAGTTCCCTTGGGACAGGACCATTCCAGATGCCTAGGAATGGCCCAGAGACCACTGTTTTCTAAGAGAAAATAGTAACTCCAACCAGAGAGATCATGCACTCTAAATACAATATGACGCATTTAAGGCACATCATATAAGATAAACTAGACCCGTGCACACCTGTGTCAGGTGTGCAGTTTTGTCATCAGTAGCCGAGTCTGCAGTGACATGAACCAAATGACCGGGAAGTCAGCCAAAGAACTCTGGATGGTTAGATTACCTCTGAGAAAGACCTTTCTATTATTGGAGGAAGAACTTCTAACTGTCCAAAGATGGACCAAGCTGGTGGACCAGTATGGATATGACCAGATCAGTAGTTCTCAAACTGTGCTGCCCATTAGACTCTCCTGGTGGAGCTTTAAAACAATTCCTATTTCCTGGCTGTACCTGCCCGGGGTGAGGCTCAGGCATCAGTATTTTTACAGATTTTCCGGTGACTACAGCCGCCTGTGGGCTAGGTAAATGTTTGGGAGCCCCAGTGGACTTGCTCAGTGCATTTCAGACTTCAAGATGCACACACAGCACCAGGGCATGTGGTGAAAATGTGGATTCTAGGCTGGGCGCAGTGGCTGATGCCTGCAATCCCAACACTTTGGGAGGCTGAAGCAGGAGAATTGCTTGAGCCCAGGAGTTCGAGACCAGCCTCAGCCACATGGCACAACCCTATAAAAAATGCAAAAATTAGCTGAGTGTGGTAGGGTGCATCTATAGTCCCAGCTACTTGGGAGGCTGAGGTGGGAGGATTACCTGAGCCCTGGGAGATTGAGGCTGCAGTGAGCCATGATCACACCACTGCACTCCAGCTTGGGTAACAGAGTGAGACCCTGTCTCAAAAAAAAAAAAAAATGCAGATTCTGGTTCAGTGAGTCTGGGGTGGGACCTGAGATTCTGCATTTCTAAGCAGCTCCAGAGTGAGGCCACTGCTGCTGGTCCAGGAACCACACTTTGAGTAGAGAGGCCCGGATGACTCAAAATCCTCTTCAACCCTGGGTTTCTGTGGGATTCAGCATCATTTTGAAGGAAGAGATAATGGGCTATGAGCAAACACAGAGCAGCCTGCCACCTTCGCTGGCTGCAAGCTGGAAGCAACTCCCTCCTCATTCATGTGCCTCAGTTTCTCCATTTAAACAAAAGAGGGATTTTTTAAAGTTCTGCAGTGCCTCCTCTATCCTTCCCTCTCTGAAGCACCATTAAAATCATCAAAGCCCCTAACGAGGGAGAGCTCACAATGTTTAGAGTCCCACAGAGAAGCTGACCAGCAGGGAAGGCTTGCAGGGAAACCTCAGTTGGCATTCTCTCTTAGCTATTTGGGCTCCAGAATTATACTTGCGTCCTTGACCTACCCTGCTCTGCATTTGTACTAATACGCATTTATCCCAGACGAGTTTGAAAAGGGAACAGGTCATGTCTGTGGGGGAGTGACGCATTCATTGACTGACACATTTGTATTGAGTGCCTAGAAAGGCAGGGCCTGGCGAAAAAGGTAAGAAGATTTCGTCCTTGCCTTGGAGGTGCTGGTAGAGGTAGAGGTCACAGAAGACTCTGAAAGCTGTGATGGAAGTCTTGGCAGGGGACAGGGGCACAGAAGCTGTGGTGGTTAGTTCTTTCAGACAGGGGCATGTCAGGAAGGCTTCAAGGAGGAGGTGACTAAGCTGAAAGGTGACTGTACAGCTCAGTGGACAGGACAGCCTGGGTAGGGTTCAGTGCAAGCTGCGGTGACCTCCTGAGGCCTAGGGTGGGGAGGCACTAAAAGAGAAGTGGTTGAGCCCCATGGAGAGATGGGGACAGGGCTGATGGAGACAGACGGACAAGATGAAATTTTATTTCTTCCAAATCAATGGCCTTTAGGATCTATTCAGTGTTCATTTGGATTAGAGGTTGAATGGTGCAGGAGGCTTTCTCCAAAACCCCAGCATCCAACCTTTACAGACCGCTTCTTTATTCAGATGGGAAAACCAAAGTTCAGGCAGAAAGCAGGAGGAATATGTCACCCACCTGCTAATTTTGCCCCACATGACCTCGGGGATGTGATCAAGGACATCTTATCGAGATGGGAGAGTTTTCCTGCCATCAGCCATCATTTCCATTTGTCAACACAAGTGGAAGACAGCTTTTGGAGGGTAGCTTTATTTCTCCACTTTGCCCACAGAGCTCAGCAGCATTTAAAATTCAGTCACTGTCATCGGCAAACCCCTTTGAGCAGAAACAATTCCAGCATTCTCTTCCTACTTGCAAAGGTGTTTAAGATTAAGTTCTAAATATTTTAAAGGTATCTATGAGGATTGGATTCTTTTCTTAGTGATGACTTGATGAATAAATGATGCCCTAATTTCAGTTTAATTATTGTCTAATGCTCTCTAATTCATTTCAGATTGGCGTTTAACTTCTTTTTCAACTTGACAACCTTTCAGGCAAAACTGATCAAAAAAAGCCAAGACTCCTTTTACACAGGCACGGATTAGTTGTCTCTAGATATCAAATAAAGAAAAATAGCTGTTCAAATCCCTAATATTTTTGGCACTCTGTAAATTTAAACTCATCCAAAACACATCTTTAAAAAATATTTTAAAGTAAGGGAAGGATTTTGAGCTCAGAGTCTGAGATTTTGTTCTGCCAAGTTTGAGCATGGAGCAGATTTTTACGGTTGAATTATAAGCCCCTGAAAATAGGTTTATTATGGAAGTGTGAACACACAACTATAGCCTACAGTAGCATGAATGGCCCCCTTATCATAATGCTCCGATCCTCTCTTTTGTGCTGAATTGGCAAAGCAAGACACCTGCTTTGGCCTTTTTGCTAATACGTGTCAATGTCAGTTAAGAGCTTGTGCCCCTCTTTAGGGAGTTGCCCCAAAGTTTTTAGTAATTCTGAATTACTAGGGACTCCTATGTCCCCATGTGAGGAATTAATCTATCATTTATGATAGAATACTTGATGACATTAGAAACATTTTCTTGTGGAAGGAGAAACGGGGGCTTTCGGAGGAGAGGTGTGATAGCTGTGGCTGCGTTTATTGCCTGGGTCTTTAATGGCCAGCTATGGAGCAAGTTTCTCACCAGACAGAAAGGACAGGTGCACATCCCCGGGTCATGTTGCTGGGTCTGGGAAAGAAAGTATGGTGCACACAGGGGGAAACTATTGTTTGCCCAAAGTTTAAATGCTCTGCATTCTTTTGCCTCTGAAGTTTTCCCTAAAAAGCCTACATGTTTATTTTCTGGTACTAGTTTTTTTCCTACTACAAAGTAAAACATTTGGAATTCTATTGCATGGTACTCATACAATTTTCATAACAGAATTAAAATTATCCTCAGCTGCAGAGTAAACCTCCATTGTGATTGGCTCCAAAAGGCAGTCTCTGTCAAGGGAGCCCACTCTACGAGGCTCGGTCACTGGGTAAAAATCATCAACAGCAGAGCTGCCTTAAACACGGGCCGAATTAAGCCTGATAGGGGAATTTTTGACTTTCACCAACTCGATGCAGGCATACCTCAGTGATATTGTGGGTTCAGTTCCAGACCACCATAGTAAAGCAACTTGCAAATTTTCTTTTGGTTTCTCGTGTATATAATAGTGATGTTTACACTATACTGTAGTCTATTAAGTGTGCAATAGAATTATGTCTGAAAAACAGTCTACATACCTTAATCTAAAAATACTTTGCTATAAAATGCTAAGGATCATCTGAGCCCTTAGCAAGCTGTAATCTTTTGCTGGTGAAGGGTCTTACCTCAATTTTCTCAATGATGATGGCTGCTGACTGATAAGGATGGTGGCTGGTGAAGGTTGGGGTGGCTGTGGCAATTTCTTAAGATAACAATGAAGTTTGCCCCATTTATTGACCCTTTCATGAAATAGTTTTTTAGCATGCAGTGCTGTCTGATAGCGTTTTACTCACAAGTAGAACTTCTTTCAACATTGGAGTCAATCCTCTGAACCCCTTTTGCTGCTTTGTCAACTAAGTTTGTAAATATTCTAAATCCTTTGTTGTCATTTCAACAATGTTCACAGCATTTTCACCAGGAATAGATTCCATCTGAAGAAACCACTTCCTTTACTCATCCATGAGAAGCAACTCCTCATCCGATCAAATTTTCTCATGAGATTGCAGCAATTCAGTCACGTCTTCAGGTTCCATTTCTAGTTCTAGTTGTTTTGCTGTTTCCACCACATCTGCAGTGACTTCCTCCGCTGAAGTCTTCAACACCTCCAAGTCATCCATGAAGGTTGGAATCAATTTTTTTTCCAAACTCCTGTTAATGTTGATATTTTGACCTCCTCCCATGAATCACAAATGTTCTTGATGGCATATAGAATGGTGAATTCTTCCTAGAATGTTTTCAACTTACTTTGCCCAGATCCATCAGCAGAATCATGATCAATGGTAGCTAGAGCTTTATTAATGTATTTTCTGAAAAACGAGACTTGAATGTCAAAATCACTTTTTGATCCAGGGGTTGCAGAATGGATATTGTGTTAATGAAAACATTAATCTCCCTGTACCTCTCCATCAGAGCTCTTGAGTAACAAGGTGCATTGTTAATAAGCAGTAATATTTTGAAAAGAATTTTTTTTGGATAGTAGGTCTCAACAGTGGGCTTAAAATATTCAGTAAACCATCCTGAAAACAGATGTGCTCTCATCTAGGCTTTGTTCTTCCATTTATAGAGCATAGGCAGAGTAGATTTAGCATAATTCCTAAGTGTCATAGAATTTCTGAATGGTAAATGAGCATTGGTTTCGACTGAGAGTCACCAGCTGCATTAGCCCCTAACAAGGCATTAGTCAGCCTATCCTCTGGAGCTTTGAAGCCAGACATTGACTTCTCTTCCCTAGCTATGAAAGTCCTAGATGGCATCTTCTTCCAATAAAAGGCTGTTGAGTATAGCCACCTCCATCAATGATCTCAGCAAGATCTTCTGGATAACTTGCTGCTGCTTCTACCTCATAACTTGTGGCTTCACCTTGCACTTTTATATTATGGAGATGGCTTATTTCCTTAAACCTTACAATCCAATGTCTGCTAGCTTCAAACTTTTCTTGAGCAATTTCCTACCCTCTCTCAGCATTCATAAAATTGAAGAGAGTTAGGGTCTTGATCTGGATTAGGCTTTGGCTTAAAGGAATGTTCTGGCTGGTTTGATCTTCTATCCAGACCACTAAAACTTTCTCCATATCAGCAAGAAGGCTGTTTTGCTTTCTTATCATTCTTGTGTTCACTGGAGTAGCACTTTTAACTCCCTTCAAGGACTTTTATTTTGCATTCACACTTTGGCTGACTGGAACAAGAGGCCTAGCTTTCAGCCTATCTTGGGTTTTGACATGCCTTCCTCACCAAGCTTAATCATTTCCAGTTTTTAATTAAGTAAGAGACATGTGACTCGTCCTTTCACTTAAACACTTAGAGGCCATTGTAGGGTTATTAATTGGCCTAATTTCAATATTATTATGTCTCAAAGAGTAGCGAGGCTCAAAGAGAGAGAGAGAAAGATGAGGTCATGGCTGGTTGGTGGAGCAATTAGAAGGCATTTGACATTTATGGATTAAGTTTGCTGTGTTATATGGGTATGGCTCATGGTGCCCCAAAACAATTAAAATAGCAACATCAAAAGTCACTGATCACAGATCACCATAACAGACATAATAATAATGACAAAGTCTGAAATATTATGAGAATTACCAAAACGTGACACAGAGACCTAAAGTGAGCATATACTGTTGGAAAAATGATGCCAATAGATTTGCTTACTGCAGAGTGGCTGCAAACCTTCAACTTGTAAAAGACACACAATCTGTGAAACACAATAAAAACAGAGCACAATAAAATGGAGTATGGCTGTGCAGTCTAATATCAGTGAGCCAGAAATGTACTAAGTAGACTCTAAGAGAATTAAGTTTTGGTTACACATCTTCTCTCCCACCTCTCTGCAATCCTCAGCCCAGGGAGGCACAGGAGGGCATGAGACGCTTGGCATTTATTGAGTGCTTACTATGTGCTCAGCACTATTAAAAGAGTTTTCTAAGTATTAATTCATAAAATTCTCCCAACAACCCTAGAGGTAGTTACTATTATTATCTCCATTTTACACAGGACGAAATACTCTTAGCAGAGGGGAAGAAATGTTATAGGAGCTTCAGCTTTGCTTACCAGCCTCCCTAGGTTTGCATTGCAGCTCTGCCACGTAATAGCTGTGTGCCCCTAGGCTAGTTGCTTGGGCTCTCTGGGCTTCAATTACCACTAAAATGTTATTTCTCTAAAATGGGAAAAACAATGTGAAATTATAGTTAAAGATGCTTGAGATAGAAATTTCTCTTCGATTACATGGGAAAATTCTATATTTTGATTGTTGAACACATGTTAAGATGATTTTTTCAGTTTTTTGCTCATAAGTTGATGCTGCCATACTTGTCTCCAAACATCATGTTATACTGATGAGGGGACTGTGGTGTGTTTAGGATGGAAGTGAGGAGTGGAGGAGGGAAAGGGAGGAAGAAAGAAACCAGCAGCAAGTACTGGAATGACCATGTAAACCTGAAAATGCTCGAGAGTGAAGCCAGTGTGGAGGGATGCAGAGGCAAAAAAGAAAAAAAAGAGCAACAACCAAGCCCCCCAAGGATGTCATCCTAGCATATTGATCCAGCCCTGCTTGAAGCAGGATCTATTTTTTGGACCTTTCAGTTACATGACCCATACATTTTTATTTTTGGCTGTGGCAGTTTGAATGAATTTTATACAAAATCAAAAGAATACAATCTAAAATAATATCCTACTTCATTTCCCTTCACCTCTACTCTTCAACAATTCAAACCTAATTGGAGAGACAGCGTGCTATCTAGCCATTCATGATCATTCCTGCCTTTTATCCATTATCCATCCATCCATCCATCCATCAATCCATCCATCCATCCATCCATCCATCTATCCATCCATGTATCCACCCAGTATCTATTGAGCACTCACTTGGAACCAGATGTGAAAAGAACAAAGATGAATGTGAGAATGCATCTTTTCCTTAAAGAGCTGCAGGCACATTCACAAAACTGCAAATCTGGTAAAACAGCTACTATTCAATAGCAATGTACAGTTAGAGGGGCAGCCTTACAAATGGGATGGTGTGACTTTGGGAGAAGTTTCTCTACATTTCCATGTATTGATTATTTAAGGCTACTTAAAATATTGTACAGGTAACAAACCTACACGTTGTGCACATGTACCGTAAAACTTAAAGTATAATAAAATAAAAAAAAATTGTACAGGTTATATGGTACATTTTAATACAATCCCCACCTTTTGCTTCAGCTCTCTGAATTGAATGATGCACATTTTTGAACGAATGAATTCTCAAACTTCAAGCCCCCTCCATGTGCATACATCTTCACTGTCTCAAAAGACTCCAGCATGAGGCCAGGGAAGAAAAGTGTCAAGTATGTTCAATATTTAAACAATTTAGAACCTCCCTATATCTTCTGCCATAGAGACATAGATTTATTTCCTGGTGAGATGGAGGGATCCTTTCTCAAGAGCTCCTAATAGAAATCCTTCAGTCACTCTCAGTGAGTGGACTTTAAACACAGGTAGAGACGTATCATCAAATGGATGTTATTTAGAAGACATGTTTAAAAGACTAAAGAAGAGACTGGCCTGTCCAGCTGATTAATTATTTTTCAGCCAATTTCTCCCTGCTAAGGGTACTTTTATCACAAAAATGATCAAACATAACGCAAATTTATTAGGAATGCATCCTTGATTTGTTTCCATTTGAGATGATTATGGGCTTATTATTTATTTTGCAAATGAACTCTGAAAACCTTTAACGTGCAGTGTTATTTGGTAACAAGATTTGATTTAGAATTCACATTGAGTATAATAAGCTATCAAAGGAAATGTTGCATCAGAATCTTTTGTGCTGTGTGTGTGAAATGTTCAAAGTAAGTACAAATATGACAAAATCTAAATCGTACATTTAAGAGGAAAATGGTGCTAAAAATTCTTGCTTGATGTTCAGATAATACAAGCAGCTTATAAGCCTTTGTGTTTTACTTATCTGCATTGTAAATAATATTAGGAGCATCCTAAAGTCATGGATTATTTATAAAACACAGATCAAAAGTCAATGAGTTTAAAAAACATAAAGTTAAACTTTTTAGTCTTTTTCCATAAGGCAGCATGACTTTTTCATATGCTCCCCACCTTTGAACAAATATGTTCACAGCAGCATCATTAAACATGTGATCACATCTCAACATAGCGGTGTCATTCACACGTTTTGGATGGGTGAGGGTGGGTCATTCTAGTGGTGCCCAAACATTATCAGGGAAGGGAGAACTGTCAGTTTTTAGAGAGTCATTTTTAGAAAGACATGGGGTAAAATTTGGGGGCTGTGAAAAAAAGAAAAGCTGTACTCCTGGATTATTATCTCCCCTCACATCATTATTTTCCTCTCTCACAGTCTACAATTCATTACCTAAATCTTGCAACTACGTACCTGTCTCCAGCCTCTCAATCTCTTCGTAAGCCACAGAAGAAACTTCTCCTTCGGATCTTAGATTCCAGCTGTGTGCTAAAGGGGACAGTGTTGGAGCCAAAATAGGGAAGAGATGTCACCTGGTAGCACTTTCCATAGGATGTGTGTTGTTGGTGGTGTTTTGACACTGAGCCGTCTGGCGTTGGAGGCCTCTAAAGCAGTGCGTCTCAGGCTTGAATGTGTAACAGAGTCCCCCAGGGCTTGGGAAATGCAGATTCTAATTCGGATGGTCTGAGATGGGACCAATTCAAACAAGCTCCCAGGTGATACCGATGCTGCCAGTCCTCAGCCTGCACTCTGAGTAGCAATGCTCTGAAGAATAGTGAATTGATATTCAAGATAGGGAAGCGCTGGGACATTAGGAATAGTGTGTGTGTACGTGCATGTGTGTGCATGTGTGCGTGCATGTGTGCATGTGGTGGCAATGGCCTCCTAAGGCGTGGCCCATTCTTTGCCAACTCAACTCACTTGCTCTGGTGAGTAATCCAAGCAGTGTAAACATGTTTGACTCCTCAGACTGTGAGCTATTATTTGAGTCTCACACTATGAGATATTATTATTGAAAACCCTATTTTACAGATGAGGCACAGAGAAGTTAAGTGTCCTACCCAGTGTCACAGAGCTAATAATAGAGATAGGACCTTTTGGACCCACCCTGCCAGGATCTACACAACATGCCTTTAACCCCTAGGCGATCCTTCCTCTGAGAATGTGTTTCAAGCTCTTTCCATCCTTGGGACCTTTGCAAATGCTGTTCCCTCTGCTAAGAGTGTCCCCCTGCGCCCACCACAACCTTTGCTCGATGACTCCACCTTCAGATTTTAGCTCAAACATCACTTCTTAGACAGCCTTCACGGACTCTTGTCTTACTTCAAATTAAATACGCTCTGCTTTTCTCTCAAAGCACCATGCTGCCTTCCCTCATAGGTCTAATCACATTTTTCAGTGTTTTGATTCCTACTGTTAGCTTGTTTTCACACCCATCTCCCTCACAAAACTGTAAGCTCCATGAAGCCAGGGACTATCACTGTTTATTTCACTAGCCTTCAACACTGTGTCTGGAACAAAATAAAGGCTCTAGACTACCTTGATTGACTGACTGAATGAATGAAGTGGATTTACATTCTGCAAATAACCACTAAGCCACTAGAGGGCAAATATATTCATCACATGGACATACATTTCTCCAGTGTACCACATATGGTTGACATACCTAAGAAAATGAATTCAAACAGCATTTCAGCTCTCATATGTGCCATTGACCATACAATAGGTAGAATAAAAAACTCATCTCAACTACATTAAAAAAATGAGGATATGAATTGCAAAAGTCCATTCATTTCTAACTTCCTGATGCATCCCTCACCAGACACTGAAAAGAAAAAAATAATCCAAACGAAGTCCGAGAGGATTTTCAGGTTTTCAGAGCACAGTTCTACTTTTATTCTTTTTTGCTCAGGTTCTGTCCCAGACTTAATGATATTCCTTTTTCCCATGGTGTGCAGGGAACTTGGGGGGAAACTGAGCCTGAGAGCGGCATAAATACAGGTTTTTTTAGGGACTTGGTCCATGCATGGTGTCTCTGCAATGAGTCATCAGGGCATCAAGGATGATGTCAGAGAGGATGTATTAGGCTGTTCTTGCATTGCTATAAATAAATACTGAGACTGGGTAATTTATGAAGAAAATGGGTTAATTGGTTCACGGTTCTGCAGGCTGTACAAGAAGCATGATGCTGGTATCTGCTCAGCTTCTGAGGAGGCCTCGCGAAGCTGACAATCATGGCAGAAGGCAAAGGGCAACTAGGCACATCACATGGCCAGAGCAGGAGCAAGAGAGAGAGTCGGGAGAGGTGCCACACACTTTTAAACAACCAGACCTCCCAAGAACTTCCTGACTATCTCGAAGATAGTACCAAGAGGGATGGAGATAAACCGCTCATGAGAAATCCGCACCCATTAGCCAATCACCTCCCACCAGGCCTTGCCTCCGACACTAGAGATCACATTTCAACATGAGATTTGGGCAGGGACACACAGGCAAACTATATCAGAGGACAGTTGTCATAGCTTGAGTTCTCCCAGAAACAGAACTGGAGACAAGAATTCTGGGCAGGCTGTCTGTTGGGAAATAAGATGGACATGGGAAGTCCACTGTAAAGTGTGTGTTATCCAGCCAGCGACCACTGGGTGCCTGGAATTTAATCCCATGGGGAGACCCCGAGAAGCATTAGGGCCGCCCACCATTTCACCTCTTTACCAGTTACTATTCTACCCACTGAGAAGCACAGACATTCACACGCTACTCCAGTAGGGGGGATGTAATGCTCAGGCACCCTAGCCTGCTTGAAGTGGGCAAGACACTTTACTTCCAGGGCTGGAGAGAAAGCTCTCTGGCAAAGATACAGAGAATGGCAGACTGAAGGATGAAGAACGGAGAGAGTCAGGGAAAGAGATGGCGTCTACTCCAACAGCCAGGCTGATTCAATCATCATTTCCTAGTTGGGAAGAAGAATCTGGGAGCTGACAAGCCACAGGTTTGACTCACAATGACATTTCTTATGTCCCTAGGTCCTCAAATCTTCCTCTGATCCCCCGAAGCTACCAAAACAAAGGGAATGTTATGGCCATGGAGCTGTCACGATTCCAAACTCTAGCATTATTGTGGTCACTTGCCTTCAGGAAGGAGGCCTGCTCCAAAGACCAGTGCCACTGTCCCATGGTGTCCAGATTCTTGAGATGACTTCTCTCCTAAGTGCAGAGATGGTCCTGGCTTCCTGTCTGCCATCCTGTGTGATCTTGGACTTGGGTCTGAAATTTTCTGGCCCTTTATTGCCCTGTCTGTGGAAGAAAAGAGGACACCCTGACACCTTCACCATGCCTATTTCACAAAGATGTTATGAGAAGAGACGAGATACTATCTGAAATCTACTTTAAGCTCAAAGGAAAAGTGCTCTCATGAGCTGTATAAATATAAGTTATTACACAGTATTATTTTAACCTGGCCCAAGTTTAGATTAGTTGTATGAATCATTCATCAACCTTTACTTTGCATAATTAAAAACGTGTGGTTCTTGGAATCTTTGTTTGTGAGGCAAGTTAACATGGCAGGACTAGGACTGGCAAGCTCTTAGTAGTCAGTGACTTCTGGTCTAAGGACAGATGCCTTGACTGATGGGTGAAATTCTATTGTCAGTTCTCATTTGGAGATATTCTTCATCAGTTTGTTGCAGATCCATGATGCATGCTTTTTCTTATTCACATTGGCCTTTTTCATTGTTTTGGCACTCCTATGATGTTTCAGAAGGTACCTCGAGGATGCCTCCAGCTTTCATTTTATTTTCATTTTATTTTATATTTTCCCAAGTAAATCCACGTAATGTATGTGTTGCTGAGTTCTCCTCGCATGAAGATGTCAGTATTGATGGGTTTTTGGAGACCAACCGATTTGAGAGACAAAATGTGTCTCCCCATTTGGGCTTCTGTCCAATTGTAGAAGTGCCGAATTTAAAATGCACCCTCTATAACGTATGTTGCATTGGCCACAGCAGTGCATGAAGGACAGCACCAAGATGGTAACATGAGCCCACGGGACCCTTGAGAGCAGTGGCTATGGTTCCTTCACATTTGTGTCTCCTCCAAAATGCCCAGCACAGCACCTGACATTCAGAGGACACTCCACGATTGTTAATTGAGTGAGTGAATGCTAATAAAGAGGGAGAAAAAACGAAATAAAAACACAATGAACCACTGAACCCAAGGACATCATTAGCTATGGTCTCCCCATGTGTTA
The DNA here is from genome assembly GCF_000001405.40 of Homo sapiens. Lineage (NCBI taxonomy): Eukaryota > Metazoa > Chordata > Mammalia > Primates > Hominidae > Homo > Homo sapiens. The sequence goes on from NC_000010.11 coordinate 117,863,678, forward strand.
GTTATTAGCTATTAGTAGCGTGGGTGGTCTGCGAAAGATGGACTAATTATTCTGTTGGTCACAGTGGTGTCAAACAGTATATTAACTATTGGGAATGAGGGTGTTGACTGGATTTCTGCTGTGCACTAAATTTCCCCTAGTGACTCCAATGAATTAGATACATGTCCCAGGGGCCTGAGCTGTTCCCAGCTTGTAACTTACACAGTGAAAGGATCTGGTGGAACAAAGGAATATCAGGCAAGGTCTATGGGGAGCAGCAGATTGTAAACAAATCCCGCCCAAGTGTCACTAAGGATTGGGTTATGGAGTAATGGACAGAGGGACAATTGGCAGATTATAAGGAGTTTTGAGAGAGCTGTGCACCTACCATTCTGCTATCTCCCTTCCCTTTAAAGCCTTGTCATGATCCATCTGCCACAGCATCATGGTCATATGTACTTGCAGCTAAGGAGTTATTGACAAAACACGTTCAGACTATCACAAATGAACCTAAATGAACAGATGAATTGATATCTGTAATCATCCTTGTAATAATTTGTACTGCAGATGAACCAAAATCTGTAACAATTTCTAGCTTTATTTTTATTGACTGATCAAGTAAAATTTATTCACTTTTTAAATAATTGTATTTTTTTATTTTTAACTTTAACCATTTTTTCTTTGTTTCAGCATGAGAAACATATCACTCACTTCCTAGCTACAAATTCAAATCAATGCGCACTATTTTTTTTCTTTAACTTCAAGATTTAGGGCTTTTTGACCTTCCCCCCACCCCTATCCTGGCCAAAATTTTAAGTGGCTTCTTGCTTAAAAGCAACCAGCAAACTACAAAAGGTCCTTTAAGTGTCCAGGACATCAGTTCACTTTTTAAGGAGAACATTTTGAAGAGATGAAGTAAATGAAGTAGAAACATTCAGATTAAATTTCCTTTGAAATCCATGAGTTTTTAAAATTAAGGGAAAGTGATTGGCAAAACATGTTTTGGTTTTTGCTGAAACTGAAATGTTTGAAAAATAGTTCAAGATGTTCTTCCACACCCCAACCACATCCATCTGGGACCATCCATCTCTAGTTTAAATCTATTTGTATATATCCACTGTGCAGAGAACACAGCTCCTCACAGCAGCCAGACAGCCATCATATTTTCCTAAAGAAGAAGAACATGTTTAAGTCTAAAATCTATATACTTCTTCTATTTCTAGAATAAGAAAGTTCTAGATTAGATGATTTTGAAAAGATAGTGATTTCCACTTGATTCTGAATCATACCAGGCCATGCATAAATGGAATGTGAGATTAGTTCATTCCTTTCTTCCCCTTCCTTTTTTCCCATTCCCTCCCTCCCTCCCTCCCTTCCTTCCTTTCTTCCTTCCTTCCACCAAATACTTATCAAGTGCCTCCCATGTGCCATGGGTTGTGTGAACACACAAGAGAGCCCCTAGCCTTAGGGAGCTGAGCATCTTGTAGGGGAGATAGCCATCTCTTTAAAGTGTACTATGTGGGAGGTGCCATATTGGGGCAGGCAGGGGTATAGGAGAAGAAATGGTCAGCCTTCCCTGAGGATGACAAAGGGGACATTTTATGGAGGAATCTTTAGAAGTGAGAACAAATAAAGGTGAAAAGTGGTTCGAAGGCCGTGGAAGCCTAAGGAGAAGTAAGTTGGAGCATCTATTGACAAATTCTTGATTCCAACAGGCAGGCAAAGGGGAGGTTGGCAAAAGCCAGGTGAGAACCTTCCTGATACTCATGGGCGGAGGAGGATTTGGAGGAGCTGTTCTAGGGAGAATCATTCCCTTCCCTTTCTTTTCCAGATTTGTTCACTGGCTCTCAACCTGTCTTGGCAGCCCCAGGTTGTTGCTCTAAGTCCAGAGCCACGGCAGAGGCCGAGCGCTGCCTGGCCGTATGTGAGCACTCTCGCCTCTCTGGGTCTTGGCTAGACTAGATGACCTGTAGGGTCCATCAGAGAGTTACTACGTAGTCCTGGCTCTGAAAATGACACAAATGGTTGATTTTCTTCCCCCCAGCTTCCCAGAGTTGGCGCAATTTGATTGAGAAAGTCTGCACTTCCCTAATTTTGCAGTCTTGGAATTTTGATGTCTTTGGGTCCCTGTTAGCTTCTTGAATAAATGAAGAACCATGAGGGTTTTCCTCCTTCAGGGCACAGCCAGGGGCCCTGGAGACACATTTACCTTGCTGATTGACAAATATGCTTGGATGACACTCGGCTTTCAGTATGGCTGTTTGGTTATAGTTTTCTTTGGAATGTGATAAGAATGGCTGTTTCCTCATATTGCACTGAAATTGCCAGTTAATTTGTAGCTGTGCTTTCATCTAATCGCGGAGCTGAAAAGCTAGCTGTCCTTTGCATACATGAAAATGGTGGTATTAGTAATTGGGTTGTCACGTGTGGTGTAATATGTGGTTTGGAAGCCATTATAGGATTAGAGGCAATTTGGAGATTATCATCTCCATGACATCACCTGTGGGGGTTGAGACCACTGGCAGTTCCATGCTTTCTGTGATTCAGATGCAGTGGTTTGAAATACACACGGGATAGGTTTTCTGCTTTGTTGACCAAGACATTATATATATTATAAGAGAGAGAGAGAGAGAGAGACAGAGAGAGAGAGAGAGAAAGAGAGAAAGAGAAAAAGAATCTGGATGACTCTGACTCTATGCCAAACTGTTAACAGTGTGGTTATTTCTGGGGTGGAAGGTGTATTCTAGAGGACTTTTACTTTCTTCACATTACTACATTGTTTGACAACTTTCTGATGAGCAGCATGATTATTTCTAAAGTCAGAAGATTAAAAACAATAAAGAGTATATGTGGGTAGGCTGATCCAACCCAAGACCTCGTCCTTCTCTTTTTCCATTTCTAGTTCTAAATAATGTCGAGGAATTTGTCATTACTGTTTCTACAATTTTATCTGAAGTGGCATCCCACGGAACTTCAGTTCCATTTATGGGCTTTTAGGATTCTCAGCCTCTTTCTGATTTTCAAGGTGAGAAGGGAGGGGGCGTGTGAATCCTCGGGCTCAGCCCTGAGTTGTCAGTTCTTCCTTCGGCTCCCTCTTGTCACTTGCCCTTTGTTTTCTCTCCTCTTGGGACTGTTTTTTCCTCCATGTGTCCCGCCCCTATACTCTGCTAATGGGTTGGGAAAAGCTGGAAGTGGATGACCTTTTCCAAGAGTTAGGTGGCACACAGAGAAGGGGCAAGCCAAAGCCGCCCTGGTGCCAGGCTGGCCAATTCTTTAGGTGTTCCTTAACAGGAAATAGTTCAACTCACCAGGGCACAGGTACCCAGAGCCATCCAGGCAAGCAGAGGCTCCTGCGTCTCAAATACAGGGGCCCCTAGTAGCCCCAAGACTTATTCAGGTGGGGACACTAAGCTCCAAGGCTGTCATTTGTAAATGTCTTGAAATGAAAATAAGTAAACTGACATATCAGCTGTATAATAGAGTACTATACTGCAATGAGACCGAATGTTTACAAATACTTGTAAAATATGGTTGACTCTCACAAACGTAATAGAATGAAAGAAGCCAGATGCAAAAAACGAAACACATAGTCAATTATTCCATTTCTATAAGGTAGAAAGACAGCTAAACCCAATGCAGAAGACAGCTACACTGTCAAAGTCAAGAGAGCGTTTCTCCTTGCAGGATGCATACTGATTGGGACAGAGAATGAGGGGGATTTCTGGGAAGGTGGTTATGTCTGTTTCTTGTTCTAAGTGCTGGTTACAGGGGTGTGTTTGAGCTGCATGACTACTCGTACTTTTCAATGTAATATATAATTCAACAGAAAGTTAAAAAAACTAAAGAGTCATGAAGAAATACCATAGGAGCATCCAGGAATGCATAGTAAGCAGGCAACATTGTTTCTAGAAATGCCAGTGAAGTAATTGAATTTAAAAGGTTGTGACCCTATAGCATTAATGAGTCAGGAAGCCCTATGAGACTGGATGTTTTGCTTTCATTTATGGCCATTCAAACTTATCTATTAATAATGATTCTTAAATGCTAATGTTGATTGAGTGCTTACTATAGCTATTATTCTTCCATTGTACACATGGGAAATTGAGATTTAGAGTTTACGTAACAGGCAGGGCTTCTTTCTGTGGCAGCAGGGACTGAGGCCCACTTCCTGGCAATGTCTCTTAGAAGACAGCAAGACCCCAGAGAGAAGGGGCTGTAGGGTGTGTCTAGGCATAGAGGACCAAAGTCAACCTGGCAAAACTTCCCACATTCCAAGTGTGATATTTCAGGCCTGAGGAAACCACCCAGGGAGGAACAGTTGATATCTCAGCTATAATCTTTGTAGACTGATGACAGGTAGACCAGATGCTCCACATCTCCCCTCTCACTGCATAAGATCCTGAAATTGTAGCATAACCCAGGAATGGGGGAGGCTAGAGGTCAAATAGGGGTATGCTAAAATCAGAAATTATATATAAAATGGATATTTAAAATACATGAAACATAAACATAGCAATTGTATTTCTACATGCTTGAATTTGTGGACGGAGATTTTTACCTGCTTTTATTATGTTGGCATTTGAGATGTCTGAGGGCTGAAGCCATCCTCTGATAGGGCTCATACCTTTGCACCTTCAGAGGCCATCTCCAAGCTCTTGAATTGTGTGTGTGTGTGTGTGTGCGCGCGCACGTGCGCACCTATGCACGGGTGCACGTGAGCTTACAGCAGGGTCCTCTCCAAGTGGATACAGTGGGAAAGTCCATGTGTTTTCACTTTGAGACCGTGTATCCCACAGTCCCCTAAAGTCTGCTTTCAGATGCTTTTAGCATTATCAGTTCTTGAATTTTTTTAAGAACCACATTTCATGTGGTTCTCTAAATGTTAGGACTTCTTTTCCCCCAGACCCAGCAGAACATTTTCATAGGGTTTCCATTAAATGACCACATGAAATGTGCCTCATACTCTACTTGAGAACTCCCACTTTACCAGTGGCATACTCTCCTGCTGTCTGTGAGGCTTTGGAATCATTTGAGTATGTCTCTAATTTGTGCTGCTCTTGGGAGAAGTATCAATAGTAAGATATGACTTTCACAAGTGATATCATATCCTGATTGAACATTGCCAGGGAGTCTTAGGCCACTTGGTGGTTGCATTTGCCTTAGATCCAATTACAGCTGTAAAAGTGGTTTACATTAGAAGTTCTGATTTTAGGATTTGATCATTATAAGGAGGAAAAACCACCAAAAGAATGTGAATTGCCTTCGCTAAAAGGATGTAATAGCCCAGAGAATATCTTTTATATTTCAAATTAGGAAAACTAGGCTCTGCGTTTTTCCAGGCAACTGCCCTTTAACTCACTAGTCAAAGCAGTATAATGTCCTTCATTTGGTGGGTCTGTTGGGACCCTCCAGCCAAAGGGGTTTTAGTTCTCGAATAACCAAAAAGGCCTTCCTAAGAGGGCTTCTTGCAGCCCAGACTCTGAGACCTGAGGTCCTCAGGTACTGTATCTAAAGGCAGTTTTACTATGCTTGTTCTGAGTACCCAGAGACTTGACAGTGATTCCCCTACCCACTTTCCCCTCCAAGGGAACTCTTCACATGTGCTGTACTATTTCTGCCCAAAGCTTTGCAACAGACACATCTGTGGCCTAGATGCACCAGTAAGGAGGCCCATATGCAGCACTTGGATGTCGAGTATTGAAGACATGACTCTCTCTAAAGGCTTTGAAAAGTCATTGTTCTGGCTGGCAGCCAGGAAAGGGTCCTCGCCACTTCACAGAGCCTGCAGACAAATGTGACCTTCAGTGCACCAACCACTTCTCCCCATTTCTGAGCAATTTATCCCATAACAACACATTTCCTTGTTCTTTGACCTGGAACCTACAACTAAGCAAGGATGTGAACTCCTCAGAAGGAAGGGTGGAAACCCCAGCTTTCCCTAGAAGCCTCTGGTTACCCAATCACACCAGCTACCCAAGCTCTTAGTCAACCGCTCATCCAATCCCACTCTCCTGCTGCTGCAGAGGGGATGCAAAGAAGAGCAAGCAAGAAGAAAGGGGAGCAGGACGGACACAGCTAGTCCCCTCATCCACCATCTTCTTCACCTCCCTAGTCTTGTGCGGGCAGCAGATGAGTTGTCGTGGGACTTTGCAGATGGGCCACTCAGTGTGGACCAGGGTAAACTGTAGGGATGCATCTTTGGTGCTATGTCTTTTTTTTTTTTTTTTAAGCAAACAAACATTCTTTTCTAACCAGTTCATACTGGAAAGTATTTTGGGGGCATAGGATTATATATATCAATATATAGACCAGCAAAACGGTTTGAAGAAATTCACAGTAATGCCTTACCTCTTTGAAAGAGATTTTATCAGACATATTTGTGGCAAGTTTTGGCATTTTACAAAAAGAACAACAGGTCCCATTTAGTTGATTTTCCACAATACCACGAATGCTCTTTTCTTCCTCCCTCCCTCCCTTCCTTCCATCTCTTCCTCTAACTCTCCTTCCTCTCCTCTCTCCTTTTTTAAATGATGATAGAAATTATATTCTGTCACCTGTCTTCTAAATAATGACTTTTTTTAGAAATGCAGAGTTGAGCTGCAAATGAGTATTCTTAGTTGCATTCTATATATGAGAACTTTAATGACTCTCCAATGCTAATTTAACTAAAAAATTTTTATTGCCAATTACTTTTCTTAAAACTGCAGGATAT